>NC_000013.11:48408106-49658106 GCF_000001405.40 Homo sapiens | reverse complement strand
TCGCGCTCTCTTCCTCTTGCTCCGCCCATGTAGGAAGTGCCGGCTTCACCTTGCCTTCCGCCATGATTGTAAGTTTCCTGAGGCTTCCCCCAGCCATGCCTCCTATACAGCCTGTAGAACCCTGAGCCAATTAAACCTCTTTTCTTATAAATTACCCAGTCTCGGGTAGTTACTTGTAGCAATGTGACAGTGGACTAATACATCATCCATGCACAACTTTTTATGATTATAACAACTGCATTAAGAAAAACACCTTCATATTTATTTAATTTGTGCACATTTATGGGATACATGAGAAAATTTGCTGCATGTATGTAATGCGTAGTGATCATATCCTCCATTTCTTAAAATTTTATTTATTTTTTTAAATTTCTGGTATGAAGACGTGAAAAATGTCTCCAGTGGTCCTCATGAAGACCCATTGCTGTGTCCTTGACAGCAAATTCAGGACAACTCGGCCTGTTTCTAACAGCCTCCCTGGCGTGGGCCAACAGCCCGCCAGCAGGAGCGTCTGCGCAGGCCTTCCCATGAGGGATTACCCAGCGTGGTTCCAGGGCTTTGCTCTCTGCTGATCTGGCTCAATCCAAGGGTAAACAGAGTAGAGCAAAATGGATGGGCTGCCAATCCTGCCGGCAGTACTGCAAGCATGATTTCTCTCCATTGAGTTTTTGCTGAGTATCAAATGGGAGAGAAATGGGGATTATACTCTGACAGGAACTTGGAGTACAGACCCACTCTACTGCCAAGTAAGGACACGTCTAAATGCCTTCACAGTGAAGTGAGCTGGGAGGAGGGTTGGTGTCCCCGTGTAGCAGTTAAGGAGCCACAGGCACTGTGAGTAGAATCCCGTCACACCCTGACAAGGAGGTGGGAGCAAGCAGACTGGGGGAATGCTGTAGTTCATTGATCCAAGGTGGTACTTTCCCCCACATTTTAACATTTTTAAAATTGGGATGCATTTTGCAGTTTATATGTCATAATTTAGTTGGCAGTGGTTCTTTTTTTTTTTTTTTTTCTTTTGAGACAGGGTCTCGCTCTGTTGCCCAGGCTTGAGGGCAGTGGCTTGATCTTGGCTCACTGGAGTGCCGTGGCCTGATCTTGGCTTAAACTGCAATCTTTGCCTCCCAGACTCAAGTGATCCTCCCTCCTCAGCCTCCAGAGTTGCTGGGACCACAGGTATGCACCACTACGCCCAGCTAATTTTTGTCATTTTGGGTTTTTCTTTGTTTGTTTGTTTGTTTTGATGAGACAGGGTTTTGCCATGTTGCCCAGGCTGGTCTTGAACTCCTGGGCAAGCAATCTGCCTGCCTCAGCCTCCCAAAGTGTGGGATTACAGGTGTGAGCCACCACACCCTGCCAGTTTTTTCTGTCCAAAGTACAGTACATCTTACGCTTGACGGCCTCTTAGATTCAATGAACAAGGCACTGCCTCAATATTGCTTCCCTCTTCAAGCCTCAATATCTCCAACTACTTGATAAACAATTGGAATTTATTTTCCTTCTTTTTTTTTTCTTTTGAGACAGGGTCTCTCTCTGTCACCTCAGGCTGGAGTGCAGTGGCACAATCACAACTCATTGCAGCTTCGACTTCCAGGCTCAAGCAATCCTCCCACCTCAGCTTCCCAAGTAGCTGGAACCACAGGCACAGCCACCACACCTGGCTTTTTTTTTTTTTTTTTTTTTTTTTTTTGGTAGAAATGGGGTCTAATGTTGCCCAAGCTGGTCTCAAACTTGTGGGTTCTGGCAGTCTTCCCGCCTTGGCCTCCCAAAGTGCTGGAATTACAGGCATGAGCCACTGCACCTGGTAGAGTTTATTTTAAAAGTCTACATTTTGCCTTCGACATTTAGAGATCTGTTACTCTGGTACCTTCTATCCTCTGCCCATCACATTTGTTGCCAGGGAGCCAGCCATAGAAGGCATGCTTTCATGAATATATAAAATGATTCGCAATGGGTTTTGAATAGCTTATATTGTAGGGAGTGATTCATGCAAAGAATCCATCCTTCCTGCTGTGGTTTGAATGTGTCTCCCAAAAAAGATGTATCAGACACTTAATCCCTGGTGCAACAGTGTTGAGAGGTAGGACCTTTAAGAGGTGATTAGGTCATGAGGGCTGTGCTCTCATGAATGGATTAATGCCATTAATGCTGAGCGGGTTAGTTATCACAGCAGAGCAACTTCCTGATAAAAGGATGAGTTTGGCTCCCTCTTTCTGTCTCTCTTTCAGTCTCTCTCTCTCTCTCTCTCTCATGCTTGTGCCCTTTTGCCTTTCCACCCTTCTGCCATGAGATGACACAGCAGAACTCCCTCACCAGACACAGTCCCTCAATCTTGAACTTCCAGCCTTGAGAACCATGAGCCAGATAAATCTGTGTTTTATAAATTATCCAGACCCAGATTTTCTGTTACAGCAGCACAAAATGGACTAAGATACCTCCCCAGTGTTGTTTATACTGTAAATTTCCTTTGCAAACTCTTCCTTTCTAGAAAATATTGGGGCAAAAGTCAGCATAACCTATTTAAAAGTGTTTAAATGATGATGTTTGCTTGTATTTAATTATGCGAGCTCTATAACTCCTGAAGTATTTACACTGGAGCTTCAAGAAAAGTCTATAGATTCCAATACGGAAATTGTAAAAGAAAACCTTCTCAAAGTTTTGATGGAAATCAAAATGAAAAAGTTTGGAGAAGAATCATTTGTTTTTCATTATTTTAAAGTTATTAAAATCCATGTGCTGTTTTTCTTGTTTGTTATGAACACTTGAGTTTGACTCTAAAGAGAAGTTATTTATAAAGAGAATAATTGGGCAAAGCCTTGCATGAGAAAAGGTTAACTGTTATTATCCTTAATTGTTATTAAATGCCCTCTGGTCAGGAGCAGTGGTTCACACTTGTTATCCCAGCACTTTGGGAGGCCAAGGCAGGAGGATCACATGAGGCTGGAAGTTCAAGACCAGCCTGGGCAACACAGTGGGACCCCATTGCTACAAAAACTAAAAATAAATAATTTTTTAAATAAAAATAAATAAATGCCCTCAAGGTTACAGGCAGCAGCTGGCGGGCCTAAGGTGTGAGCCAACCTTCTCCACCCACTTCCCTTTTGAGGGTTCTCCACCTTCTCTCTTCCCTTTCTACTGCCTTAAGTGCCACCTTGAGATCTGCAGACCCCAGACCTAACAAAATCCACTTCTTACCAGTGTAGGAAACAAATCACACCCATTCACTAACATCAAGGAGTTAGTAACGGATAATGATTTGATGTATTACCCTTCCTGCATGTATTTGCATTAAAAAAAATTATTACGCAAATTGACATGTTCTTTGCTGAAAAATGAAAAATTCAGATAAGCAAAAAATAATAATGATTACCTCCAGTATCATCAGACAGAACCACAGTTACCTGTTACAAAGTTAGTTTCTTTTTTTTCTTTTCTTTCTTTTTTTTTTTTTTTTTGAGACAGGGTCTCACTCTGTCACCCAGGCTGGAGTGCAGTGGCATGGTATCGGCTCACTGCCACCTCAACCTCCTGGGCTCAAGTGACCCTCCCACCTCAGCCTCCCAAGTACCTGGGACGACAGGCAAGCACCATCAAGCCCGGCTAATTTTTGTATTTTTTTATATAGACAGGGCTTCATCATGTTGCCCAAGCTGGTCTCAAACCCCTGGGTTCAAGCAATAGGCCTCCCAAAGTGCTGGGATGACAGGTGTGAGCCACTGCTCCTTGCCATTGTTTCTATTTTTCAAACTTTTTTCTGTGCATATATTAACATTTTGGGGAGACTCCTGAAGAAAGACTTTCTCCCCCTTCCTTCTTCCCCTCTTTCTTCCTTGGCCTAAACTTATCGTTCAGGAAGCAGCAGTTCTACGTGTACACACAAAACCAGCTGTGAAGAGTATTACGGAAAAGGCCCCATTCTTGAGAATTTCATGTGCTTACAGAGGTTTATAGATAGCAGTGATCATTTGTTTTTGGAAACAAAATGTTTCCTTAGATGCTGATAATGATACAGATCAAGTTGACATCTTAAAATATCTGACTGGCCACCTCCCAGCTCTTAAAAAGAGATCAAGTATTTTGATCATGCTACAGCATTAGGTCATAGGGGTGTAATCCCTTGTCTTCCAGAAGCCTTCCCTGGGTCCCTGAGGAGTTGGGAGGGAGGCATTCTGAATTCTCAGTCTTTGTCTATGTTGCTGAAGTGGCCCTGGGTGGCATTCCGTTGGAATTTTTGTACATTCACCTTCCCAACTCCACAGGAACCTCTCAAAGTCACACTTAGAATCCTAGAATCTTACATTACTTAAAGGGGCTTTGGAGAGGTCCAGTTTATAGACATAGAAACTGAGGCACATGGGTCAGATTACCTCCCCAAGGCCACATAGCATTTTTTTTGAGACAGGATCTCACTATGTTGCCCAGGCTGAAGGGCAGTGTTGCAATCACAGCTCACTGCAGCCTCAATCCCAGGCTCAAGGGATCCTCCCACCACAGCCTCCTGAGTAGTTGAGACATATGCCACCATACCTGGCTAATTTTTTAATTTTATGTAGAGATGGGGTCTCACTATGTTGTGTAAGCTGGTCTCAAACTCCTAGGCTCAAGCAATCCACCCACCTTAGCCTCCCAAATTTTTGGATTTTTTAATGCTCTAAAACAATCAACATAAACACATTTCTGATCATTTGGGTCTATTTATTATACTTGAGTGACCACTGAATTTTATTCTTCACTTTTTTGTCTATGAATGGTCCTGTTTGTATTTTTCACTGGTTGGACCAAGTCACTTACAATGCAGTGCTTTTTCTAGAGAGAGAGGTAACAAAACAAAGGAGACTCTCAGGGGTCGCTGCTTTTTCACATTTGAGCAACACTACACTGCAACACATCGCTTCGTGTTCCCCACTATGGTGTGTTTGTTGATGATGCATTTTAATAATAAGTAAATTAGAAATTCTGCCTTTGCCTCTCATTTATGATACATGGTATTGTGCTGAGAGTGAAGATGAACAGATCTTTGGCATTTTGTGGTTACCTTTTGGGAGTGGGACTGATTTCAGTCCCTGGGGGTAGGATCTAATTGCTAAGAACTGGAAGCAGGAAACCGATTTCACAGGTTTGCCCCTGAGCGCCCCTGGTTTGAACAGTCTCCATACATTCAGTCCCTGTCCTGACATCTGATCACCAATATCCATGATCCCTTTAACACTGACATCTGGTGGCCCTGGAGTAGTAGGACAGTCGTTGGGCGGCTCAGCTGTGGTTTTGATGAGATGACCTTATTCTATATAATAAAGCAGGTGGCTGTCGCGGCACAGGGGCCACCGCCCTTTCCCCAGGACCCCCTCCAGTGACTCACTCCCTTCCGCTTACCCCACACCCACTTAGCACTTCTGGCCCCAGAAGCCTCCAAGCAGGTCCTGTGTCCTCTGAACACACTCCCTCGCCCCCCTGCCCCGCCCCCCCCCACCCCCCTGCCCCCCCCCCCCCACCCCCAGCAGCAGGCAGGCTCTTGATGGTGGCCTGGGTGGGAGGAAGGGAACTGATCCCTTGGGTCTGTGTCCGCTGCCATGTTGGCCCGGATTCTGGTGCTAGATGGCCAATGATTTATTGCCTCCCAGGGCAGCAGGTGGCTGGGGTATTTTTAGTGTCTAAAGCCTTTAGGGGAAGGGTTGGGAGGGGGTGGGGGCAGCCATGAGGTCTGAGAGAGTTCACTCTTCCAAGGTTTCAGTTCAAAGCCTCTAGACGGTGGGTCTCCACCCTTACCTCCTTCATGCCTTCCAGCTCTGGGTAAAGGGGTACCCACTTTCAAAATCACACTTCTGTCTTCTTGCGTCTACGTGCCTTTTTCTAGTCAGCTCATAAACACGCGCTAGAGAGGGTGATCCCTTTGGGATGCCAAATTGTTGGGTAGCTAGGAAAAGGACTGGCTGTGATTGGCACCCCATGTGTGTATTCACTCCACTCCAAAGCACTTTTCTGCTCACTGCATTATCTGATCCTCGCTATAATCTCATGAACCCCATGGACAGGGATTATCGAAGAGCCTGGCAACAACAAAAGGTGAGCGGCCTGCCCAGTGCCATGGGGAACAGTGGCAGCCAGGCCACCTGCGAAGCGTTGGGGGGGGAGCCCAGAGCCCAGGCTGTGCCACCAGGAAGTGCTGAGTTACAACTGCCCCTTGCCAGGGGGAGACTTGACAAGATATGTAACTGCCCTCATCCTCAGCCTCTGCACCCCAAAAACTGCGACTCCTAGTGCTTAGCACGTAACGTTGTGAGGACGAGCATGTAGTAAACACTCAATATAACTGTTCTTGTCTATTCCAGCTCACACATTTAGTGGCTTTGCATCTGTCCATGGTACAGGCCCTGAATATAGGACAGTCTCAGAACTGTAAAACATGCCAGGGCGCTCAGGACTAGAGCAGAACAACTGGCCGAAACCTGCGGCTCCTGAGCTGGGCACATCACAGAGAATAAAATATAAAAATGTAAAAGCTGTGCATCCAGAAGCTTCGTCAATCAGACAGCCTGAGACTGGATTTGCGTTCCTTTCACTCTGGAATGACTTGGTGGTGTTAAGTGTGTGATGCCTTGGCCTTAGCAACCCTGTGTTTTCTTTCTTTCTTTCTTTCTTTCTCTCTTTTTTGAGATGGAATCTCCCTGTGTCACCCAGGCTGGAGTACAGTGGCACAACCTCGGCTCACTGCAATCCCCACCTCCCGGGTTCAAGTGATTCTCCTGCCTCAGCCTCCCGAGTAGCTGGGATTATAGGTGCACGCCATGATGCCTGGCTAATTTTTGTATTTTTAGTAGAGATGGGGTTTCACCATGTTGGCCAGGCTGGTCTTGGACTCCCGATCTCAGGTGATCCACCCATCTCAGCCTCCCAAAGTGCTGGGATTACAGGCGTGAGCCACCATACCCGGCCCCCTGGCTTCCTTTCTAAGGATACATTCTGCCTGTGCTTCAGAGAAGAGGGGTTTTCATCAGCTCCTGGATGGAATGGTGTCGGCACCAGGGAACCCCCACTAGAGACCTGGAGAAATCAGGGAAATGAAATGACTGAGTCCTCTGTAGCAGGTGAGTGGGGACAGGCTGTGATTGTAAGTTGTCAGCTCCTGCATTTGCCCCAAACAAGCTGGGCCAGAACCCCCGGGGTTCACCTTCCCACAGCAGCTGCCTCTACCATTTCCAGAGCCTGACCAAGGAATGCGACTCAGGGTGCTGGGCTGATGGAGAAGGGCTGCTGTAGGTTTGATCTTGGCTTTGCGTGGGCCTGTCAGCATGCTACAGGTCTGGGGGCCACTGAGTCCCACCCCTGCTGGGTGCCTCTGTACCTTATAACTGGGCCTCTGCCTACATTTCTGTCTTGTTAACACTTCAGTTTTTCATGAGAGCAGAGCCTGTCTCAAACCTCAGTTCATTTGCCTGTTGGCCCCAAAACCCTAATTAGCCCTAGCCAGTGGAAAGGGGTTGGCAGTGATGGTAAAGATGTGAAGATACAAGGAACCAGGTGCTTTTCCTGTTAGTGCCGGCCCTGACTGACGCCGACCCCTACTCTGGAAAGGGTTGTCAGTAGTTCTCTAGTCCAGTGTTAAGTTCTGCATAGAAAGGGTTCCATGGTCATGATCAAACACTCTGTCACCATCTCCCCCACATGCCATGCCTTAGAGATTGGATATTCCCATAATCATATGAAGGGTTTTGAGATGTCCTGCATTGGAGAAACTTGTTTAGTGTCATTGAATCCAGCATTTCTCAAGCATGTTGGACCAAGGAACCCTCTTTTCAGGTCAGTTCTTTACATCCTTCAGAAGTAGTGTTTCACAGAACCTACCTTGAAAACAAGGCCCAAACCAGGCCACAGCCACCTCGTGACAGCTATCAGCTGCTTTGACTTGTGGCTGCACTCCACCCTAGATGGCATCTCCTTAGATGCTGAACCCTGCTGAAATAGAACCTGAGGTCATTGCATCACGAGCCAGCACAGCCTGGCCCATCTTCCTAGCCCTAATCCCACTCAGCCTTGGCTTCCTTCCACTAGCCACCAGTTTGCCTAGGACAGCAGAAGAGAGGATTCCCCTGTGTGTTCACATCTGCCACACCACCCTCACTATTCCCACCCAGATGATACCTAAAATGTGCAGCTTGCCTTGGGGCTGGGAGCCCATTGGACAGAGATTTTCTTGCTTCTCACCTTTGAAAACAAGAATTTAATTCTTATCCCTATACTCCACTCACACACATATTTCCCTTCTTCCCTCCTCCCAATATAAATATTTAGTTAAATGAGTATTTAGTATTTACATTATCGTGACTATGGAAAAATTATCCACAAGTGAGTCATTTAGGATACTATGATTACATTTCTTTTCAGGGCAACATTTTGTTTTCCCAAGAGCTGATCATTGTCTTTTTTTTTTTTCTGTTTGCTTAGTTTTCTGCATACTTATCAATAATTCAATCCCACACTCTGCCAAAACGGAAAACTTCCCCGATATAATCAAATAGATAGGTAAACTGTTGGTGGTGATTGGTTGGTTAGCTGGTTGGTTTGCAACATCCTTCCTCTAGGAACAATTAGTCCCCTTGCTCCCATCTATACTGGTTGTTCTGGAAGCCTCTGCTTAGCCACAGTTCTGGAAATACCTTTGCTTCCCTCTAGTGTTGAATTCCACGTTGCCTAGATGCCATGTCTGCATCTTGGTTCATTCTTTTAAGGGAGCAAAACTATAGTCGCTTCCTAACAGAAAGTGAATGAGCCCTTGCATGTCTGAGAAATGTCATTATGCTATGCTCACAATTGATTTATAGTTTAGGTATAAAATTCTAGGTTGGAAATAATTCCTCTTCTGAATTTTTACTTTCTATTTTTAAATAATTTTGGACTTACAGAAAAGCTGCAAAGACACTGCAGAGTTCTATGTAATGTCTTTATGCAGCTCACATAGCCATAGTACAATGATCAAAACTAAGAAAATAACTTTGGTACGCTACTACTTACTAAACTACAGACTTCAGATATAACCAATGTTTCCAATGTCGTTTGATTTTTCCATGATCCAATCTGAGATTCCACTTTGCTTTGGTTGCTAAGTCTTCTCAGTCTCTTCCTGTCCTAGGCAGTCTTTCTTTGTCTTTCATGACTTTGACAGTTTTGAAAAAGACTGGTCAGTTATTTTTTTGGAATGTCCCTCAATTTGGATTTGTTTGATGTTTTCCTCATGATTAGACAGTTATGGGTTTGGGGCAAGAATACCATGGAGGTAACGTGCCCTTCTCAGTACATCGTGTTGGGTGCTTGATGTTGATCAGACTTATTACTGGTGATGCTAACCTTGATCATGTGGTGAAAGTGGTTTCTGCTAGTTTCTCCATCATAAAGTTTTTTCCTTTTGCAGATAATAAATATATTAGTGGACATACTTTGAGACTATGTAAATATCCTGTTAATCCTCAAACTTTTACCAACTAATTATAGCATTCATTGATGAATCTTGCCTGCAACAATTATTACTGTAGTGTTCTAATAGTGATTTTCTTTTTTCCTCATTTCTTTTACATTTATTAATTGGAATTCTCTTGTAGGGTAGAGCTATTTCTTCTCCATTTATTTAGTCATTCAATTATTTATTTTTATTAGCACTGACTCATTTATTTTATCCTATGGGTCACTGGACAATTTTGTTGTTCAAATTGCCCTCGGAAATTAGAAGGCTTTGCTCCATTATCATTTATTTATTTATTTATTTATTTATTTATTTTTATTTTTTATTTTTTATTTTTTGAGACAGAGTCTCACTCTGTCGCCCAGGCTGGAGTGCAGTGGTGCGATCTCGGCTCACTGCAAGCTCCGCCTCCCAGGTTCACGCCATTCTCCTGCCTCAGCCTCCAGAGTAGCTGGGACTACAGGCACCTGCCACCACGCCCGGCTACTTTTTTGTATTTTTAGTAGGGACGGGGTTTCACTGTGTTAGCCAGGATGGTCTCGATCTCCTGACCTCGTGATCCGCCCGCCTTGGCCTCCCAAAGTGCTGGGATTACAGGCGTGAGCCACTGCACTCGGCCCCATTTATTTATTGTTTTAGAGATAGGGTCTCACTCTGTCACCCAGTTTGGAGTGCAGTGGCACCATCATAGTTCACTGCAGCCTCAAACTCCTGAGCTCAAGCCATCCTCCTGCCTCAGCCTCCCAAGTAGCTGGGACTACGTAGGTGCATGACACCAGGCCTGGCTAATTATTTTATTTTTTGTAGAGACAAGGTCTCGCTTTGTTGCCCAAGTTGGTCTCAAACTCCTGGCCTCGAGTGTTCCTTCTGCCTCAGCCTCCCAAAGTGCTGTGATTACAGGCGTGAGCCATGGCACCTGGCTCCATTATCCTCTTTTTTTTTTTTTTCTTTTTTGAGGCGGAGTCTTGCTCTGTTGCCCAGGCTGGAGTGCAATGGTGCAATCTCAGCTCACTGCGACCTCTGCCTCTCGGGTTCAAGCCGATTCTCCTGCCTCAGCCTCCCAAGTAGCTGGGATTACAAGCATGTGCCACCACACCCGGCTGATTTTTGTATTTTGGGTAAGAATGGGGTTTTACCATGTTGGCCAGGCTAGTCTCCAACTCCTGACCTCAGGTGATCCACCTACCTCGGCCTCCCAAAGTGCTGGAATTACAGGCATGAGCCACTGCGCCCGGCCCTGGCTCCATTATCCTTTAGATTTTAGTGTTGCTGTTAAAAAGTTTAATGCCATTCTGATTCCTGATCTTTTGTATGTGAACTGTTTTCCTCTTTTATGATGTTCAGAAAGTTCACAATATTGTGCTTTTGTGTTTGTTTTTTAAAAGGTATTTTTTAAATTGTATGTAATTTTATATTTAAATATATCATATATTCAAGGTACACAAACTAATATTTTGATATACTTATCTTGATGTATATAGTGAACTGATTACTAGAGTCACGCAAATTAACATACCCATCATCTCATATACTATAGTTTCATTCTTTCTTTATTTCTTCCTCTTTTTTTTTTTTTTTTTTTTTTTTTGTGAGACAGAGTCTCACTCTGTCGCCCAGGCTGGAGGGCAGTGGCATGAACATGGCTGGCTCACTGCAGCCTCCACCTCCTAGCCTCCTGAATTGCTGGGACTACAAGCACAAGCCACCATGCCCAGCTAATTTTGCTTTTTTATTTTTGGTAGAAATGGGGTCTCACTATGTTGCCCAGGCTAGTCTCAAACTCCTAGGATCAAGTGATCCGCTCCCCGCCAGCTTCCCAAAGTGCTGGAATTACAGGCATGAGCCACAGCACCTGGCCTGTTCTTGCTTTATTTCTCTGATAATTCACGCCCTCTACTTTTTCTCTTTTGTCTTTCTGGAACTGCCATGATTCTGATGCTAAACTTTTGGACTAATTGTTTAGTTTTCCTGTGTTTTCAGTTTCTATTTTTCTTTCTTTTCTTTTTTTTTTTTTTTCTTTAGATGGTGTTTTGCTCTTTCACCCAGGCTAGAGTGCAGTGGCACGATCTCGGCTCACCGCAACCTCTGCCTTCCAGTTTCAAGCAATTCTCATGCCTCAGCCTCCCAAGTAGGTGGGATTACAGGCTCGTGCCACCACGCCCAGCTAATTTTTGTATTTTTAGTAGAGATGAGGTTTCACCATGTTGGCCAGGCTGGTCTTGAACTCCTGACCTCATGATCCGCTTGCCTTGGCCTCCCAAAATGCTGGGATTACAGGTGTGAGCCACTGCACCTGGCCTCAGTTTCTATTTTTCATCTTTTTGTTCTACTTTATAAGAAATTTTTGTTTGTACTTTACCTTCCAATTTTGCAGTGGATTTTTCAGTGTGGAGCCCAAGAGCACTATCTTGTTTTTGAAATTTTTTTTTGGCCAGGTGCAGTGGCTCATACCTGTAATTCCAGCACTTTGAGAGACTGAGGTGGGAGAATCACTTGAGGCCAGGAATTCAAGACCAACCTGGGCAACACAGCGAGAGCCCATCTCTACAAAAAAATTGTTTTTTAATTAGCTGGGTGTGGTGATGCACACCTGTAGTTCCAGCTACTTGGGAGGCCGAGGCAGGAGGATTGCTTGAGCCCAGGCACTTGAGGCTGCAGTGAGCCATGATCATGCCACTGCACTCCCCTGGGTGACAGAGCAAGACCTTGTCTCAAAATAAATAAATAAATATTTTTTTCATAGCAATCTTGTCAATTATGAATGTAATATATATTCTCACTTTTAAGGCTATTTATTGTTTAGGGGAAGTTTTCTTTTGCTTCCTGCGATGGTCTCTCTTTCCTCTGAGTCGGCTTTTTCCTGTTTGTTTCTGTCTCCCTCTTTCATGTTGAAAGCTTTTTCCTGTTTGTTTCTGTCTCACTCTTTCATGTTGAAAGCTTTTTCTCCGTTTCCTGTCATCCTTTATTGTCCATATCTGAGTAAGGCATTGCGCAGGATATTCACACTGTGCCCGGGTGTGTTACCCGAAGGTCATTGGCGAAGGGAAACGTGTGCCTTTACAGTGGAAAGATCCAGCAGTCACTGCCTCCACCAAGTGATCAAACTTCGCTTCACTGCTAGTGACCTATGCAGACGCTGTCTCCAGATACAATGCGACATGAAGGATAGAACTTCAGCTCTGTGTCAGCCGGGCGCAGTGGCTCATGCCTGTAATCCCAGCACTTTGGGAGGCTGAGGCAGGCAGATCACAAGGTCAGGAGATCGAGACCATCCTGGCTAACACGGTGAAACCCCGCCTCTACTAAAAATACAAAAAATTAACCAGGCGTGGTGGCACGCGCCTGTAGTCCCAGCTACTTGGGAGGCTGAGGCAGAAGAATTGCTTGAACCCGGGAGGCGGAGCTTGCAGTGAGCTGAGATAGCACCACTGCACTCCAGCCTAGGTGACAGAGGGAGACTCCATCTCAAAAAAAAACAAAAAAAAAACAAAAACTTGAGCTCTGTGTCTTGTCAAAGGTGTCTGATCTGAATCTAGTCAAGACTTTAGATCTCACTTCCAGTTTATGGGATTTACAAGAGATAGAGGTACAAGTTAAATGACGGTACAAGGAAACAATCAGACAAATCAGATATGAGATGCTCCTTCCACTAAATGGCCTGGCCTACTCAAAAAGTCAGCATTGTGGGGAAAACAAGAGGTTGGGAATATTCTAGTAAGGAGAATAAAGAGACATAAGAGCCAAATGCAATGTGTGCACATGGAAAAGACATTCTAGGGCCAATGCAGGAGGCTAGAATACGGATTCAACATGAGACAACATTAGAAAATTGTGTTAAATTTTCTTGGGTGTGTCATGGATTTAGTTATGTGTGATAATGTCCTTATTCTGTGAAGATAGATACTGAAATATGTATGGGAAAATATTATGGCTGCAGCTCATTTTCAAATGGTTCAGAAAAACAATATACACAGCTGCGCGTGGTGGCTCATGCCTATAATCCCAGCACTTTGAGAGACCAAGGCAGGTGGATCACCTGAGGTTGGGAGTTCGAGACTAGCCTGGCCAACATGGCAAAACCCCATCTCTACCAAAAATACAAAAATCAGCCGGGCCTAGTAGTGCATGCCTGTAATCCCAGCTACTCAGGAGGCTGAGGCAGGAGAATCACTTGAACCCAGGAGGTGCAGGTTGTGGTGACTCGAGATTGTGCCACTGCTCTCCAGCCTGGGCAACAGAGTGAGACTGTGTCTCAAAAAAAAAAAAAAAAGGAAAAGAAAAACAACATACACAACACACACATATCTAAAGATAAATATGGTAAGGTGCTAACAACTGCAGAACAGAGGGAGTGGGCACATTGTACTCTTTGTGTTGTTTTTCTGTATGTTTACATTTTTCCATAATAAAAGTGTAGGAAAAAAGGGGAAGGTAACAAAAAGCTGACAGAAGGTTGTGTGAGCCCCGTGTATGTGGCCAGGACTCGTCAGTTGGTGAACCAGCAATTCCAGCAGGGACCTTCGGATGCTAGTGCCGTCAGTCTTCTCCCCAGCCAATCAGCACTCCTGGAGAGGAGCTCCCAGCCCCCGCCTGGGGTGTGTGGGCCTCACTGCCAACACATGGGAGCTGAATTCAGATTTTCACTGAATTCTCTTGTTTTCTTTCTTTTTTTTTTTTAGACAGTATCTGGCTCTGTCACCTAGGCTGGAGTGCAGTGGCGTGATCTCGGCTCACTGCAGCCTCAACCTCCCAGGCTCAAGTGATCCTCCCTACCTAAGCCCCAGCCCCAAGTAGCTGGGACCACAGGTGCCCGCCACCACACTCAGCTAATTTTATTTTTTTTTTAGAGACAGGGTCTCCCTATGTTGCCAGACTGGTCACAAACTCCTGGGCTCAAATGATTCTCCCGCCTCAGCCTCCCAAAGTGCTGGGATTACAGGCATGAGCCACCACGTCCGGCCTAAATTCTCTTGTTTTAATAGGTGTCTCACCCCATCCTCAACTGGGGAAAGCCTCCTAAAGAAACCCACAGCCTTCTGCCCGGGAGCAGAGGGCAGCTGCCTGCCTAAGTAAAATGGGGAAGGATTCCGAGGGTCTCTTTTCCTCCAGACTTTCCCCCAGTCCTGTTTCCAGGCCCACTTCGGTGCTCCTGATCTGCCAGCCTGAGGTCTCCTGGGGTTTGGTCCCTAAGGGCTTACTCATGACTGTGAGGCTGTGTCAAGCGTGGTCTCTAGAGCCGAACCTCGGAGAGGTTCAGATTCTGCTGTGTAACCTGGGGCAAATTAAACCTTTCTGTGCCTAGTCTCCAATATTAGGGTACAAATCCTGCTAGCATTTTTGGGGGATCGCGAAAGTGAATATACCTTCAACCCTTAGATCAGTGGCTGGCACGGAGTAAATCCTTGAGGCTACACACACACACACACCCCAACCCCCGGCAGATGTAGGTTTCTGATTTCTCTGGTCTGTGCGGTCACTTCCCATTTTCTGTAATTATATTGCTATCTCCAGTCTGGTACTCTTTCTTCTGCTTTGCCTTTGTAGGTTTTGGCTTTTTTTTTTTTTTAATCCCTTTCTCTCTCTGGTGAGACATACATATACATACGGTTATATATACAGTTAAACATACATATACATTCACAACATTAAGCCACAAGTCTCAATGACTCTCTTTTTCTTCCTTTCTTTTTCTTTCTTTCTTCTTTTTCCTCTTTCTCTCTTCTTTCTTTTCTTTTCTTTTTTTTTTTTTTTGAGATGAAGTCTCGCCCTGTCGCCCAGGATGGAGTGCAGTAGCGCGAGCTTGGCTCACCACAACCTCCGCCTCCCGGGTTCAGGCCATTCTCTGGCCTCAGCTTCCCAAGTAAGTGGAATTATAGGCATCTGCCACCACGTCCAGCTAATTTTATTTTTTTAGTAGACACAGGGTTTCGCCATGTAGACCAGGCTGGTCTTGAATTCCTGACTGCAGGTGATCCACCTGCCTCGGCCTCCCAAAGTGCTGGGATTGCAGACATGAGCCACCACGTCCGGCCAGCTCCCTCCCTCCCTCCCTTCCTTCCTTCCTCCCTTCCTTCTTTCCTCCCTTCCTTCCATTCTCTCTTTCTTTCTTTCTCTTTTTCTTTCCTTTTCTTGCTTTCTCTATTTCTTTCTTTCTTCTTTCTCTCTCCTTCCTTCCTTCCTCACTCTCTCCTTCCCTCTTTCTCTTTCCCTCCCTCCCTCCCTCCCTCCCTTCCTTCCTTCCTGCCTTCCTTCCTTCCCTCTTCTCCTCTTTTCTCCTTCTCCTTCCTAAAGATCTCCTTTAGGTAGTGTATTCCTGAACTCACAGGGCACTGATGACCAAGCCTGGGGAGTGAATGTCCATACTTCTGAGTCCTGTCTGGAACCAGCAACTAATGTTATCTAGAAAATGCATCAGAAGTGCCGTAAGCTGAGCCTGCTGCTTGAGTGTTCCCTGAGCTCCTTCCCAAAACCTCTTGAGTCATCACTGACTGAGGGGAAGGAAGGGTGTGGGGTGGGGCCACCCCAAAGCTTGTGTAAGAACCTTGTGACCTACAGCTGTGGGGGAACAAAGGAACCCTCAGGCTTCTGCCCCAGCTGCACAGGGTTCTTGGTTCCTAGGGCTCATCCAGTTGTCCTAGGGAACATAATCCTATCTTTAAAATGGTAGAAGCGGTACCTTTGCAGATGACTTGCTTGAAGAGTTTTAAACCCTGGCTTAAAAGAATGGATTCCCTCCCCCACTAGGGTTAGGCCCATGGAATTTTGCAATCATACTTTCTCGGCCTGGGTCATGATGCTGTCCTTCTGCATTTGGAGAAGCCTCACTCGAAGTGAGGATACAACTGAGGAAAATGTGGCTTTTCCAGTGAAAGGCTGAAGCAACCCTCTGGCTGGTTGTGCCTTGGACCTCAGCATTCTCTGAATGACAATAAAGAGTTTGTGCTGCCTTTTTTCCATTTGCCATTCCCCACCCCATCCCAGATCCATTCTCCAAACTTGTCCACCCTGTTTTACACTCTAGGAGGCCAATCTCTAATGGAGACTTGGCCGAAATCTCAGGGTCAGAGGAAGGAGAAGCCGGATTATTATTCCTTCCCTAGCCTAAACGGGTGCTCCTGGGCCAGCTATAATATTTAGTTCTGTGGCTCCACAGCTGGAGGCCACCCTTCCAAGTGCCTGGAAAAGGTGGCAGCCCCCTACCCAGGAGGTCCTGCCTGTGTGGATGATAATACCTATTTGGTCCAAATTCATAATGGCCTTAGGCAAAGCTGTGAAGGTCCCGCCCTTTCTCTTTTTGGCAGCGTCAGTCCATCATTCTTTCAGGCCCTTCTCAACATTTAGCTTTGCTGCCTCACAAACGCTGTCCTGAAAAGGGCTGGATAATTCATTCTCATTAAAAGGTAAATGACTATCCCTGCTGTCCTTCTTCTAGGGATGTTTTCTTTGAAAAGCTGAAGTCCAAGGAATGAAGCACTCATTGTAGAGTTTCAAAGAGGAGCTGAGTGTGGGATTCAATTTCCAGTCTTCTGAAATCCTTCCTGTCTTTTCAACTTACCAGCCTTTGCTGGAGGAGGGTGCATTCGAAGTGCGTGGAGAGGCTCATGCTGGGCTTTCCAGTACTCAGACTGCAAGAGCTTTGGTCTAAGGAGGGGGAGAGGAGAAGTCCTGGGATAGAAGTGTTCATTGTGGTAGAGAGGAGGCTGGGAGCTAAATGTCCAGCAGCCTCCAGAATGCTTAAGAACAACAGTCTTAGGCCCTGCACTTCCTTCGGCCCCCACCCCCGCACTTTCCATCAGCCAAGGCACCCTCCTTCCCCCAAAACAAGTCTCGTTCTGGAGAGTTCCAAGGATGGTGGAAGGGAACATCAAGAAGAGCCTAGGCCCTAAGAACTCTATGCTTCATTTACATTTTAACATCCATCAGTGGGACTTAATATTAATAGCTCTCCCTTATTGAAAGCTCGGCTGTAAGTTAAGGGCAGGGACTGGGTTTATATGTCCTTCATCTGTGTATCTTTTAAACATAGCTCAGTGATTTGCTCAAGAAACACGAGTCAAGGCCTGGCACAGTGGCTCATGCCTGTAATCCTAGCACTTTGGGAGGCCGATGCAGGAGGATCACTTGAGCCCAGGAGGTGGAGACCAACCTGGGCAAGATGGTGAGACCCCCATTTCTATTTTTTAAAAATCTTAATTAGCCAGGCATGGTGGCCCATACCTGTTGTCCCAGCTACTCAGGAGGCTGAGGCCAGAGGATCCCTTGGGCCCAAGAGTTTGAGAATACAGTGAACTGTGATCACACCACTGCACTCCAACCAGGACAACAGAGCAAGACCCCCATCTCTAAAAATGTATAATACAATTAAAAATAAAGAAATACAAGTTGACTAGATGAACACAGGATCTCACTTAATTCTCACAAGAACCTTGTCAGGTACTTCCTAGCATCATTTCCATTCTGCGGATGAGGTAGTTACGGCTTAGAAGGGTTAAATAATTGGCCCAAGGGTACCCTATTGGTGAGGGGTAGGGCTGGTGTTCTAGTCAGTTCTGACTGACTTCAAGCCCAGACTCTAAGGCAAGACACTCAACTGCATTTAGACAATGCCAGTTTGGACAAAGGGTGGTCTTGCATCTCCCTTTTTGTAGCAATTCTCTCACAGAAGTATTTTTATAACTCTGAGAAATCTTTATATACATTTCTTTATATCCTTTATATTTTCTCTCCAGGTTAAGCCAGCACTTAACACCACATGAAATTGAAGTTCATGGAATTCAAAGACGAGGTAAAATAAAAATTGCAAGAGATGTGGTGTGTGATGTTTCTAATCCAGAGATTATTTATAATTAGGCTGCCTCCTTTTATTTGAAGGATTGGAAGTGCTTTTATGAGAACCAGTTTGTTTAGGTTTGCAATTTCATGCTTGAAGGAACCTGCAAAAATATCAGTGTGCCCCAGATCAGGGGCAAGCAGGAGGACTCATTGTCAGGTTCTAGTTCGAGATCTAAGGCAGAATAATGCCATTTCTCAAGGAGAATTTAAAAATACTTATCATCTATAGCTACACAGCCAAGTTTCCTGGGGGTGAATGTCTCAGAGGAGTGGAAATCAAGACAATTAAGTGAAAATAAAAGGCTTTTTTCTTTTCTAAAATTGTTTTGTGGCCAGGCATGGTGGCTCACCCCTGTAATCCCAGCACTTTGGGAGGCCAAGGCAGGAGGATCACTTGAGCCCAGGAGTTCAAAAGCAGCCTGGGCAAAAAGCAAGAACTTGTCTCTAATAAAAACATTTTTTTTCTAAGATGGAGTTCTGTTCTTGTTGCCCAGGCTAGAGTGCAATGGCACTATCTCGGCTCACCACAACCTCCACCTCCCAGGTTCAAACAATTCTCCTACCTCAGCCTCCCGAGTAGCTAGGATTACAGGCATGCGCCACCATGCCCAGCTAATATTTTTTTTTTCTTTAGTAGAGACGAGGTGTCTCCATGTTGGTCAGGCTGGTCTCAAACTCCCAACCTCAGGTGATCCTCCCACCTTGGCCTCCCAAAGTGCTGGGATTACATGCGGGAGCCACCACGCCTGGCCTTCTAATAAAAATTTTTAAAAAATAACCAGACATGGGGGGCATGCCTGTAGTCCCAGCCAGTCAGAAGGCTGACATGGGAAGATCACTGGTGCCCACGAAGTTGAGGCTGCAGTGAGCCATGATTGTGCCACTGCACTCCAGCCTGGGTGACAGAGTGAGAACCCGTCTCTAAAAATAAATAAATAAATAAATAAATAAATAAATAAATAAATAAATACTTGTTTTGTTTTTCCTGAGCTGCTGCTCTTATGAGCCATGTGGGAAGGAAACTCCAGGTCACCCTTCACACACTGTAAAAGACTTTCCTTAGTGAGTTCAGGAACAGTCACAGGTGTTCATACTCTTGCCCATGGGGAGGGCCGCAAGTCATGTTGAACTGTGTTCATCATTTCCTAACTAAGCACCCTCCAAAAACCACCTTGAGTTTTCCCTTGCTCACTAGGATGCCTTTGAGTTGAGCAGTTGATCTGACTGATCCTGGGTGTGGCTGAAAGCTCACAGAGTCAGGGGACGATGGGCCTGTGGAGAAAATATTATTAAAAGTCAACCTCTGCCAACCCAGGAAATCTCTCCACAAAGGGAGTGGAGAAAGAAAACTGTTTCATTAGTGAATAAGCACTCAACTAAAATGTAATGCACATCCCACACAATCCCCTAAGAGACTACAAAGACAGAAAGAGACCTCACCCTTTTATAGAGTCATGCAGAGGTGACCTATTCCAGACAGGTTCTCCACATAGACAATAGCTAGTCAGTCCTCAAGTAAGAGGACTTGACAGCCCCATTTGTTGCACAGAGTTTACCACAGATTCACCTGGTAACTGATGTCACCATCTATGTTAGCTAATTGGCTTTATTCAAAGGAAAAACAAACCTCTCATAGCTTTAGGACAGGAGGTAGTTTTGCAACTTAGAGCGAGGCACCTGCCAGGTCAGGCTCCTACCCTCCCATTGAAACTCTTGATGACTACGTTTCAAAAGGTTGGCTCCTTGGTCCTTGAAAAAGATATTTCTAAGTCCTAAAGCTGCCAAGAGGCTTATTTAGCTTCTTAAATTTATTATTTATTATTATTTTAAAGCACAGGGCCCCTGTTGCTGCCCAGCTGGAGTGCAGTGATGCAATCATGGCTCACTGTAACTTTGAACTCCTGGCCTCAAACAGTCCTCCTACCTCAGCCTCCAAAAGCGCTGGGGATAACAAGCGTGAGCCCCCTCACCTGGCCCTTATTTAGCTTTTTAAAAGATTTACATACATCTCAAAGAGACAGAGGAAAGAACTTAAAAGTTGAAGTTTCCTAAAGTAAAATCTCTAAGAAAAGGGAGGGAGGTGAAGTCTCTTCCCTTATTTTCCACAAGGAGAATTAAAACTCTTATTTTTTTAGTTGATACATAATAGATGTATATACTTTTGAAGTATATGTAATAATTTGGTAACATTAATATAATCAAATCACGGCAACTGGAATATCCATCACCTTAAACACTTATCCTTTCTTTATGCAGCGGAACATTCAAATTATTCTCTTGTAGCTTTTTTGAAATGCATATTAGATTAATGTTAATTATAGTCACCCTACTGATCTATCAAACAGGCCTCTTCTTTCAATGTGAATTTGCAGACTAGGCGCAGTGGCTCATGCCTGTTATCCCCACACTTTGGGAGGCCAGGGCAGGAGGATTCATTGAGGCCAAGAGTCTGAGACCAGCCTGGGCAACATGGCAAAACCATGTCTCTACAAAAAATTAAAAATGAGCCGAGTGGGGTGGCTACTCCACGTAGTCTCAGTTACTCAGGAGGCTGAGGTGGGAGGATCATTTGAGCCCAGGAGGTGAATGCTGCAGTGAGCCAAGATCGCACCACTGCACTCCAGCCTGAGTGACAGAGAGAGACCCTGTCTCAAAAAAAAATTAAAAAAAAATTTTTTTTTAAATTGTATTTGCTCTTACAGGCCCAAGAGGCAGCAGCAAAGGTCAGCATCTCCACCACCCCATCAGGTCTTGCCCATGTTGACCCAGGTGCTGGGACAGGAGGCACACACTGAACTTACTGCTCCCGTTGACTTCTCATCTGGTTCCAGGTCTCCACTTTCCACCCCTTTTCCTCCACAGACTAAAAGCTAAGTCATTCTGGGTGTGACGTGTGTCTAGAAAGAGTGTGTCTGGCTTCTTGTTTTTACCACAAAGTGTGCCTGAGATATAGGTCTGTGCCGCCATTTTGGCTCTCAAGCCAGGGAACCTCTTGGTGTTCTCATTTTGGAATTTTATTCTGGAAAGTTCGGAGGACCCAGGGACTCCTTACTGTGATACCCGATTCTCTGGCTTTAATCAATTATTCATTATTCACTCAGGTACTTAATGAACAACTCTCAATATCTAATTTTGTTCCAGGCTTTGAAGAGGGTCAGAAGGATGGAAGACTTGGCCCCTCCTCTCTAGTAGTGTACACCATGCCTGAGGAGACCACATATCAACATGGAACAGCCCCGGTTAGGGCACAAGGGCGCTGGGGCCTGGACAGTCATGCCATGGGAGCTCAGTGGGAGGCTGGACTTAGGCTGAGGTGCGTGGGGAGAGCTTCCTGGACAGCTGGGATCTAAGGATGCTTAAATCATGGACAGGAAAGCAGCTGCAGCCTAACGAAGAGCAGGGGTGTTAGGAGGCTTCCCTAAAGTTCTGTGACCCTGTAGAACTGTTGCCACTGCTATGGTCACTGCTGCAACTACAAGCACTGCATCTGGCATGGGAGCTTGATGGACCAGAGCACATGCAAAGAGGGCATCGGAAATCCCAGAAGGGTATGCGGGACCTTGTACCCTGTGGGATTCCCATGCTTACTTCAGGCAAACAGTAAGCCAGTAAGTGGATGGCTGGCAGAGCTTCCCCCAGACTCTGAGGCTCTCAAACCCATCTTTCGTGCAGAGAGAATTGTGTGGTTATCATCCCCAGAACTCACCTGCTGAGTAATTCGATGCGAGTGATTTGATGTTCAGTCCCTCCTAGCAGGAGGCAGACCAGCAGGGAGTTACAGTTAACACTAACTGGGCATGGCTATTGAGGCAGGAGAGTAGGGTCTGGAGGCAGGGAACCTAAGGCTGATTCGCGCCGAATTCCTAGAACTGAATCAAAAAGAAAAGCCCACCTCTCCACACCCAAATAACAAAAGGATCAGAGGCTACTCCCTTTGCAACCCCCCAACTTCCCCTGCATTGCAGATGAAAACTGAAAGTACCTCTGATTGGTCCCCTCCTGCAACCAGTCAGGCTGGTCACAGGCCAAGTCTTCATTTGCAGAGGAGTATAACTTTGTAAGTTCACTTCAGCCTCTGATTGGTCACTTTCTGCAATCAATCAGACATTTGCATAGGGTGTAACTTTGTATCTTCACTTCAGCCTCTGATTAGTTGCTTTCTGCAATCAATCAGACTGATCGTGGGCCACTATTTCATTTACATAGGGTGTAAACCAAGTAACCAATGGAAAACCTCTAGAGGGTATTTAAACCCCAGAAAATTCTGTAACCAAAGCTCTTGAGCTGCTTGCTCGAGCCCCCTCCCACTCTGTGTCGCGTACTTTTGTTTCAATAAATCTGTGCTTTTCTTTTGTTGCTTTGTTTGTGCTTTTTGTCCAATTCTTTGTTCAAAATGCAAAGAACCTAGACAGTTATGACTTTTTGTTTTCATTGTCCTTTTTCCAAAATTGTATCTGAGGGGAGACTTCCTGGGCTCTGTTAAGATCAAGCACATCTGCCTTCAGGGATGATGGGCTTGAGGCAAATACTCAAAGCCACCTGAGGGTCCTCTTGTCCACTGTGTCTATTCCATCAAGGAGCACACATTTGGAGCTGGGGAAGAGCATGGTCCATCTTGGTGTCAGAGAGGAGGCTACTGTCCTGGCTGAACCAGAGGGATTGCCAAGAGAACAGGAAAAATCGAGCCTATGGCATGAAAGGGCAGCTGTGGTGAACTGTTTGCGCAGACCAATGTGTCAGTAGTGTCTACCTGGGTCAAAAGACACCTCTGGTCTTTCTTTAACCTGTCTCCTTGCCTTCAGGATGCTACCTCTACCCAAATGCTGCTGCCCCTGATATCTTCCTAAGAACAGATCTAATCATGTCACCATTCTGCCAGCACCCCGGGAAGGCTCAGGGTCACATATCAAAACAAGTTCAGGACTTCTAGCATTATGGCAGATGGCCTTCCCATGAAAAAAAAACATAGAAATGTTGGGTAAACGATAACAACAAAAGTTTTTTTTAATGTGTGCTGTCTTTAAACAAAATAAAAGGAAATCCTCACGTGGTAGAAATGGAAGAGAGAAACCACAGCCAAAGCAGTAAGTATAAGCTGGAAACCTAGAGCCCATGGAAATTGCAGAGGAGCCAAATTTAGGCTCTAGAGACTGGGCTGAAATTAAAGCACCTGTGTGAGAATAGGACATGTGGCCTTAGGCTTGCTTGGAGGAGAGAAAATGGTTTTTTCATTTGTTTGTTTTAAGACGGAGTCTCGCACTGTTGCCCAGGCTGGAGTGCAGTGGTGCAATCTTGGCTCACTGCAACCTCCGCCTCCCAAGTTCAAGCAATTCTCCTGCTTCAGCCTCCCAAGTAGCTGAGATTACAGGCGCCCGCCACCAGTCCCGGCTAATTTTTTTGTATTTTCAGTAGAGACAGGGTTTCACTATGCTGGTCAGGCTGGTCTCGATCTCCTGACCTCATGATCCGCCTGCCTCGGCCTCCCAAAGTGCTGGGATTACAGGCATGAGCCACTGCACCCAGGTAGAAAATGTTAATCTGAGCTCAGCAAAAAAGAAGAGCATCAGAGAGATGACCCCTCCTTAAAAGAGGGTTCAAAAAATGCTGCCCACCAGCTCAGGGAAGTCTGAGGAGGCAGGCTGTCTGTCTTACAACATAAAGGCAAGGAAAAAAAGTCACCTGTCACATATGGAATCCCTAAGGCCTGTGCATTGAATGGGTA
Organism: Homo sapiens; assembly: GCF_000001405.40. Classification (NCBI taxonomy): domain Eukaryota; kingdom Metazoa; phylum Chordata; class Mammalia; order Primates; family Hominidae; genus Homo; species Homo sapiens. Next base: position 49,634,098 of record NC_000013.11, on the reverse strand, counting down.
CACAGTTCAGATGTATACTACCTCTGAGGTCCAGTAGCCCCAGGCAGAGAAACTGACATAATATTTGGTCTAAAATAATTGAAATCCCCAGGATCCTAGTAGATACCACTCTGTAGAAATGTTGTTACAGACCAGGGCACATGGGAGTCACACAGGATAAACAACTCCTACTGCAGATGAGCTCACAATCAAAAGTGACAAATCATGCAAGGAAATGAGCCTCCATGAGTGAAAGCCAACAAATATATCCGGCAGGGTTGTTGGGAGTACAGATAATGGAACAATCTGAAAGCAGCTATAACCAAACACGTACCCACCCTGCAAAAGCTGAACCCAGCTGTTCCAGCCCCGTCCCATCCTGGTTCTTCAGCGCTCACCTTCTCCAGTTCATGGCATTCCAGTCCTTCTGTCATGTGGACTCAAAATCTTGAGCCCTCTTCAAATTCTTCCTCTCTCAACTGTTTTTCTTAATAATAGCTCTCAATTTTCTCATCTCTCTTCCACTCCCTCCTTTGCTGTGTGATGGTCATCTAGCCGGTTTCCTGCCTTCCCAGCTCCAAGGTTCCCTTTTCTCTTTATTTCACCTCCACACTACCACAAAATTATCCTCCTAAATGGCAAGTCCCATGATTTTTCTTCCTTGACCCAAACCCCTGATTATTGAAATTCAAACAACCTTGCCCAAATTGGACCTAAACTCCCATTCCAGTTTTGTTTTCTATCGTGATGTCAACTTCACCCACCCTTCATCCCAAGCCTCTGTTGCAAGTACACTGACTTACTTATCTTTCTTACACCTCCCTTCATGCTTCCAAGCAGTCTCTTCCCTCTTATTAGAAGGCTCTCCCCATCATGTCTGCTGGCTGAAAGCCTACCTAGCTTAAACCTTCTAGAGGCATGATGTTGTAGAAAAATGCAGCATTAGCCCTAAACAGATCTGATTTCAAATTCCAGATATGTTACTTTATAACTCTGTGCCTCAAGCAACAAGAGGTCACACCTTCTCTGAGCCTCAGTTTGTAGTTTTATAAAATGGGAATATATATATTTTGCAGAGTTGTGAGAATTAGAGACAGTCTATGTAAAACACCAAGACCACAGTGCTTGGTCCAAGTAAGTGCTCAATAAACAGAATAAACAGTTGCTGAACTGAGTCTCTCTCCTCACATTTTTATGGGAGTAATGTCTTTACTGTCTCACCTTCCATGAGGCCTGAGGCCTTATCTCATTCATCTTTGCATCCCTAGTGTCTAACACAGCGTCTTGAAACATGTTGACTGACAAGTACTGGAAATAACCAAGCATGCCTAACCTGGTGTTAGAAGAGGGGCCTGGCAGATCTCAGATTTTAGGAGGGTACTGATGGCCAATTTATACTGCATTACTCCAGAGATAGAGAGAACCAGTCCAGGATAAGAAAGAATATCTAACATTCAGAGCTGTTTAACATGAGAACAGGTGCTAAATATAGGCCACTTGCCATTAAAAAACTCAGATTACAGAAAGTGTTCTGGGGTTGGATGAGGGATACAACAACCACATCAGTGATTGTTAACTTTTGGGAGTCACAGATGTCTTTGAAAATCTGGTAAAAAGTTCTGGATCTCCTTCCCCGGAAAAATGGTCCAAAGCGTAACATTTTGCAAATAATTTCAGGTGCTTCATGGATGCTAGGTAATGATCACCTGATGAGCCTTCTAGGATGCTATGGTCAACCTTCCTTTTCCCTGTCAATCATGAGACAGAAGGCATTCGTCACTGTCATCTGTATCTTCAGAATTCACAATTCCCACCTAAAGCACATGATTCATATTCGAAAGCTCAGTGTTTTTGCCACAAACTAAATGCTCTGTTTTTTTTGTTAAATTAATGAATAAATAAAATATTTTATTGATCTGATCTTTAACGAAAGATATGTGCTACAAGAAGGAGAAAAGAGAAGGAAAAAAAAGAAAATGAGTTTTTGAAAAAGATCAACACAAGATGTCATAAAATCGGGAGAGGCTAATTAGCATCAGAAAAAAAACAAGGATAAATTTTGGATGGTGTGAACTTCCAGCCTCTTGCCCAGGGGTGAGCGTCCCAGGGCAGGGAACGTCTAACCTGCAGACCCCTGCTGTTGTATGGGCCCTGCCTAGCTTGCCCTTCTGAGTGACAGTGGCACATCCCCAGGGGCCACTGGGGAAAATCACTCATAAGGATCCGCGATCCATTGTGACATGTCCAGATGATATTTGAATTTGACTTTTTTTTTTCTTTTTGGAGACACAGCCTGTCTTTTTCACCCAGGCTGGAGTGCAGCAGCACAATCTCGGCTCACTGCAACCTCCACTTCCTGGGTTCAAGCGATTCTTCTGCCTCAACCTCCTGAGTAGCTGGGACTGCAGGCGTGCACCACTATGCCTAATTTTTGTATTTTCAGTAGAGATGGGGTTTCACCATGTTGGCCAGGCTGGTCTTGAACTCCTAGCCTCAAGTAATCTGCCCTCCTCCGCCCATGAGCCACTGCACCTGGCCTCAAATTTGATTTTAAAACCTCTTTCCCTATTTGAGAATTTAGGTCTCTATTATTATGCAACCAGTGGCTACTCTATTATGACATATTGCTTCATTCACACTTGGTAACGAGCTATTAAATGAAGTATGTTGAGATTTTTTTCTTAGAGTATCATCATTATTATTATTATTATTATTGAGACAGGGTCTCACTCTGTTGCCCAGACTGGAGTGCAGTGGCGCGATCTTGGCTCACTGCAACCTCTACCTCTTGGGCTCAAGCGATTCTCCTGCCTCAGCCTCCCAAGTAGCTGGGACTACAGGCACATGCCACCATGCCCGGCCAATTTTTTGATTATTAGTAGAAATGGGGTGTTGTGATGTTGCTCTCCAACTCCTGGGCTCAAGGGATTCCCCCACCGTGGTCTCCCACAGTGCTGGGATTACAGGCATGAGCCACCGGGCCAAGCCAGCATTTCTTGTTTGATAGACTAAGCGTAAATTTCTCAAGGATCAGCTGGTTCTTCTAGTTTGTATGAGCAAAGATATGCTGCTCTGTCTGGATCAAGATCTCTTGCTGTCTCCGCGCTCAGCCCCATGGGCTCTCGCCTGCAGACACATGCAGCTGCGAGATTTCAGGAGGCTCCACAGGCTCTGCAGGGCCTCGGGCAGCCCCTCCCCAGTGAGGGCACTGCAGCCCCGGAGCTCCCAGCAGTGGTCCTGGAATCTCTCTAGACTCAGCCTGTTTCTGATCTTAAGCAGCGGAAGTGCATCAGGTGCCTCCTGCTTGTTGGCCAGCACCAAGAAGGGGACGCCAGCCATGTTGGGGTCGTTCAGGACTTCTGTGAGCTCAGCCGCCGACTCGGGTAAGCGGGCTTCATCTGTGCTGTCCAGCACGTACACGAGGATATCTGTGCCTTCCAGATAGTCCTTCCAGCTGGCTCTGAGCGGGGCCTGCCCCCCAACGTCCCAGAGAGTCAGTGACACGTGCCCAGGAGCTTTCAGAGGCTCCACGTTGAAACCAACAGTGGGCAGGGTCTCCACCAGCTGGTGGCCCTTCAGCTTGTAAAGGAGCGTGGTCTTGCCCGCCGAGTCCAGGCCCATCATCACCACCTGGGCTTCCGCCTTGTGACCTCTGGAATTCACAGAACCCATGGTGGCCACTGCTGAATCCTAGGGGAGAAAGGCCAGGGCACACATCAGCTACTGTCTTCTGAAGGAAGACAAATCCATCCTGGTGCAGTGGCTCACACCTGTAATCCCAGCACTGTGGGAGGCCAAGGCAGGAGGATCACTTGAGCCCAGGAGTTTCAAACAAGCCGAGGCAACAAAGCAAGGACCCGCCTTCTCTACAAAAATTGAAATTAAAAATGGAGCACAAATCTGTGCAGGCAAACAACGGAAGAGTTTTTCCAAAACAGGAAAAGTCTTCACAGGGTCAGATTTTAAACAGATGCCTGGGCTTTGAAGGAAGTGAGGATGTGTGAGTCACCATCAGCTAACCTGTCTCTGGGTCAGATAAGAGTGGTCCCTGAGCAGAGAAGATCAGGGGCCTCCTGGAAGACATTCCTGAGGAGTTAAAGCAAAGAGGCAAAATGAAGTTCCAGTCAGACAGAGCTGGTTCAGTAGAAATTACAGAACGATGTCTTCAATTCTTGCTGGTCTGTGGCTTCTAACCTCTTCTCCTCCTATAAGCCTAAATGCTGAAATGGAAGCTAAGCTGGGTTCCATGCACAGAGTGAGAAGGATGGTTCAGCTCACGGTGACCTCTCTTTAGAGCTTCCCAAGGACCAGTACTATGTCTTGGAAACACAGTGAGGTGTCACTTAATGACGGGGACACATTCTGAGAAATGCTTCATTAGGCAATTTCATCATTTTACAAAATCATAGATTGTAATTACACAAACGTGGATGGTCTAGTCTACTCCACACCTAGGCTATATGGTATGGCCCATTGCTCCTGGGCTACACACCGGTACAGCATTCCTGTAATGGGTACTGTAGGCTATTGTAACACAGTGCTAAGTATTCGTGTATCTAAACATAGAAAAGGTAGTGGTTGCACCACAACACTAAGCTGAAAAATAGGAATTTTTCAGCTCTGTTATAATCTTATGGGACCACCGTTGTATATGTGGTCTGTCGTTGACTGAAATGTCTTCATGCAGTGCCTGACTGGGGCTATTTATAAATACTGTTTACTGGGGGCAAATTTATGAGTCAGAGCAAAGCAGTTTCCTCCACTGTCTTACCAAGGTCAATGACTTCTACAACACTCCACATGTGCTTTTTTGTTTGTTTTTGGGTTTTTTTGTTTTGTTTTGTTTTGTTTTGTTTTGAGACAGGGTCTCACTCTGTCGCCCAGGCTGGACTGCAGTGGCATGATCACAGCTCACTGCAGCCTCGACTTCCCAGGCTCAAGCCATCCTCCCACCTCAGCCTCCCCAGTAGCTGGGACTATGGGCATGTGCCATCACACATTTTTGTTGTTGTTTTGAGACAGGGTCTCACTGTGTCACCCAGACTGGAGTGCAGTGGTGCAATCTTGGCTCATCACAACCTCTGCCTCCCTGCAACCTCCGCCTCCTAGGTTCAAGGGATTCTCCTGCCTCAGCCTCCCGAGTACCTGGGATTACAGCTACTACTACCACCCAGCTACTTTTTGTATTTATATTAGAGACGAGGTTTCACCATGTTGGCCTGGCTGGTATTGAACTCCTGACCTCAAATTATCCACCTGCCCGGCCTCCCAAAGTGCTGGGATTACAGGCGTGAGCCACTGTGCCCAGCCACATATGTTTTTAAAGAATCCCAAATTTTAAGACATAAGACCTGTTCCCAACTTAGACGATGCCTGCGTGGAACAGAGAAGAGACATCTCAACTTCCGGGAATGGGGGTGGGGGGATATGAGCTGCCTCTGGAAGGAGGTAAGCCTCTACTCATCCCTACTCCCAAGGGTAGAAAAGTAAAAAGTTAAAATTACCTCTGTGTTACTATTAGACTGCAGCTGTGAGATCCTGCGTGGCTCTCCTCCCCTATGGAGCTGCTTTCTGCTGGCCAGGCATGACCCAAGAGCGAGATGGGAAGGAAGCAGAGCAGCCGTTGCTGCTTCTCCTTTTTGTGCTTCCTTTTCCCAGGTGGCTGGGGGGCGGGGCTGGTGTCACGGCCCCTCCCTCAGCCCTAGGGCGCCTCAGAGCAGTCATCTTGCTGGGCTTGCCACAGAGAGGTCCCCGGCTCTGCAGGTCCTGGCAGAGCAAGGCCCAGTGACAGCTCCATTTTTTAGCAACTCAGACTTGGGTGCCTGAAGGAGGGAGCACGAGCTCGGAGCTGTGTCCAAGCGCAGCCGCCTTCTCTCTTCCCTCAGGATCCTCTGAGCTCCTCGCAGAGAATTCTGACCTCTTCCTTTCAGTACATGCCTCAAGGTTTTTCTGGTGGCTAGAGATTCTCTGATTTGCTTGGAATCACACATGGTTTGTTGTTGTTGTTGTTGTTGTTTTGTTTTGTTTTCTATTTGAGACCGAGTCTTGCTCTGTCGCCCAGGCTGGACAGCAGCCTCCGCCTCCAGGGCTCAAGCGATCCTCCCTCCTCAACCTCCTAAGCAAGTGGGATTATAGGCAGGTGCCACCATGCCCAGCTGATTTTTGTATTTTTCATAAAGACAGGTTTCACCATGATGGCCAGGCTGCACATGTGTTCTTTTAAAAGCTGCCTATGGCCAGGCGTGGTGGCTCAGGCCTGTAATCCCAACATTTTGGGGGGCTGAGGTGGGTGGATCACGAGGTCAGGAGTTCGAGACCAGCCTGGCTAACATGGTGAAACCCCGTCTCTACTAAAAATACAAAAATTAGCTGGGCGTGGTGGCACCTACCTGTAGGCCCAGCTATTTGGGAGGCTGAGGCAGGAGAATGGCATGAACCCGGGAGGCGGAGGTTGCAGTGAGCCCAGATCACACCACTGCACTCCAGCCTTGGTGACAGAGCGAGACTCTGCCTCAAAACAAAAACAAAAACAAAAAACAAAAAAAGCTGTCTACATATGATGAAAACATTCTTTAAAAGGTATGTATGATGCAGATCAACCTTTAAAATTGTGTTAATGTAGTGATTAAAGTTACCGTTCAATTTTTTCTTGAATGGTGTCACTGTGTTTTTCCCAGTAAAAATGACACCTCTAGAAAATGTAATTTTTAAAAAATTGGCTAGTCGCCGGGCATGGGGGCTCATGCCTGTAATCCCAGCACTTTGGGAGGCCAAGGCAGGAGGATCGCTCAAGCTCAGGAGTTCAAGACCAGCCTGGCCAATATGGTGAAACCACGTCTCTACAAAAAATAATAAATTAACCAGGCATGGTGATGTGTGCCTGTAGTTCCAGGTACTTGGGAGATTGAGGCCCAAGAACTGCATGAGCCCAGGAGGTGGAGGCTGCAGTGAGCTGAGATCACAGCACTGCACTCCAGCCTAGAAGACAGAGTGAGACTCTGTCTCTCTCCTATTTTTTTTTTTTAATTGAGATGGAGTCTCGCTCTGGCGCCCAGGCTGGAGTGCAATGGCACAATCTCGGCTCACTGCAACCTCCGCCTCCTAGGTTCAAGCAATTCTCCCACCTCAGCCTCCCGAGTACCTGGGATTACAGGCACGTGCTACCATGCCTGGATAATTTTTTTATTTTCAGTAGAGACAGGGTTTTGCCATGTTGGCCAGGCTGGTCTCCAGCTTCTAATCTCGAGTGATCTGCCCGCCTCGGCCTCCCAAAGAGCTGGGATTACAGGTGTGAGCCACTGCACCCAGCCGAGACTCTGTCTCAAAAAAAAAAAGAAAAAAAGAAAAAAAATTGACTAGTCAGAAACCACTGATTCAGTAGGTATTGAATTTGGATATGGAGTCACAGTGATTTAGCTCTTATAACCAGTAATCTTTGTGCTGTTTTCTGCTTTCCCATGCATTATTTCATTAAAATATCAAGACTCAAGTTGGATGTTATGACTCTTCCATTTTACAAGAAAAGAAGCAGGCTCGGTTGGAAGGCCGAGGCGGGCAGATCACAAGGTCAAGAAATCGAGACCATCCTGGCCAACATGGTGAAACCCCATCTCTACTAAAAATACAAAAATTAGCTGGGCATGGTGGCGCACACTTGTAGTCCCAGCTACTCGGGTGGCTGAGGCAGGAGAATCGCTTGAACCCGGAAGGCGGAGGTTGCAGTGAGCTGAGATCGCGCCACTGCACTCCAGCCTGGTGACAGAGCAAGACTCTGTCTCAAAAAAAAAAAAAAAGAAGCAGGCTGGGACAGGGTGAATCATTGACTCATGATCTTGCTGCGTTTTATAATTCATCTCTTTCTCTTTTACCATGTCATGCTACTCACACAGAAAGTGCCTTGTAAATGGCAAACACCAGATTGTTGTTGTCATTGTTTTTGTTAAGCTACTGTATTTTAGCAGGAAGAACTGATTAGGAAAAGTCAGAAACTCAAAGTGTGTTATGTGCACCACTGTGTGAGGGTATTGATGCTGCTCTTGGTTTGCTCTTTTCAGTGCCTGTGGTCAGTGATCATCCTTTTTCAAGGCCAGGGGGTGTGTGGGGAGGAGACAGAAACAGATAGAGTGCTCCTGGGGGTGGAATTATCCCAGGGAAGTCTCAGAGCAATAAAGAATCGTCTGGTGGAGGGCTTGTCATTCTCGCCCAAACTGCAGCGGGATCGGCTCACGCTGGGACTAAGTCCTGTCCGGGCCCAGCTGCTGAGTCAGCAGGAATCCTGCAAGGGCCCGATTTGCAGGAAGATTGGGGCCGGACGAGGATGACAGCAGGCCAAGGTTGAGGGGCTCCTGGGGGTGGGGGAGCTGGGGTGCTGCTCTGACCCAGTTCCCAGAGCAGCACCAGGGCTAGGTTTGGGCCCCATGGAGGCAGGGAGGGAGCAGAAGCTGTAGAAGCATTAGCACAGTGGCTTGGAGGCACCATGCCAGGCTGCCTGGGTGACCTATGCCCTGGGTGACACAGAGAGAGAAGGGACACTCCCCTTGGCCTCTAGCCTGGAGCTTGGGGCCACATGGCCAGGCTGCAGGCTGCCTCTGGAGGTAGCTGCGTGGCACTGACCACAGAATCTGAGACAGGCACCGCCATCAAGGGGCCGGCTGGCAGTCAGGGGTGGATCTGTGAGCACTGCTGGGGGGCACAGGCTCCCCCAGACATCAAGGAGCCTTGCCTGAGGGCCAAAGTCTTGTGTTCGCTGGGAAACCATGATTACTTTGTGACCCCAGTTCTGCCCAAAGGCCCTTGTGGCCTGAGTTTCTCTGTACAGCCCCGACCCTGACCCCTTCAGCTCAACCAGCAGGGAAGCTTTTCATTAGACACCCCAACGTGGGGAGGCTCACGAGGGCTACTGCCCCGGGAGGCAGCGCAGAGCAGAAGGTAACAGTGTGGCTTTGATTTGGGTCCACCTGGGGGCACACTTGGCCTCCACTGCTTATTTGCTGTGAACCTCAACCTGAATTTCTCTGCACCTCAGTTTCCTTCTCTATAAAATGAGGTTGATGACGATAATAATGGTACCTAACTTGAAGGGTTATTGGAAGGATTTAATAAGTGAAGACACATCAAGTACTTAGCCCAAAGCCTGGCGTCTAGTCCCAGACTAGTTCTGTTAGAGAAGGACAGGAGAGCCCTCAAACGTAGTGGTGTGGCTGGAGAAAGTGACGCTGGTGAATGTGCAAGCCCCAGCACCTTTGTGTGTCTGTGACTGCAGCTTCCAGACCTGGAATAAGGAAAAGGGGCTACACGGGGCTCACTGATACCAGGAGAGACAAAGGTCTTAGGCCCCATCTCTACTGCCCTAAGAGTGTGAGTTTAGAAATGTCCTCCTGCCAACTCTCATACAGGTGGTCAGGCCTGGAGGAGCACGGCACGCCCATTGCACTCACCAAAAAATAACTTGTAAGCCAGGATGCTTCTTCTGATGTTTCTTATGGGATCTGTTTGACCCAAGAGCTGGGGCGGTTTTCTGTGCAGCACAGCTAAGGGAAGGCAGGGGGCCAGGGGCACGCAGAGGACACACACAGGGACTGAAGGAGTCAACTGTAGGGACGACATCCAAATGGGTTGCTGGAAGACCATGGAAAGTTGGTGGTTTTTAAGGGGTTGTTTATCATGCAACAGAGCCTCGTGGTCACTTTTCTGCTCTCTACAGATAGGTCCAAAGGAGGAGAGTGCTAGAACAAGAGCTTTATTCTCCTGGAAAGTGCTAGAGAAACATGGACGGAGTCTCTTGTCCAGCCCTCCTTTCCCTGGGCTCCATAACGGCCCCCACCTTTTTATCTTGTTGTGACCTCCTCTTGCTCTGGTCTCTCACTTTCTCAACTTGCAATATGCAAATTAATAACTTTTTTCCAGGGACTGCCTCTTTTAAAAATCAAATTCTATTTCTTTCTATTTTCAAGCCATCCATACAAAATTCTGAAGGTACAAAAGAGTAGAGCATCAAGGACGTTCTCCTTTCACCGCAGTGCTCCAGCCATGCCAGACCCTCCCTGGGAAACAGCTCACACCATTGGTTTCTTAGACATTTTTCCAGAGATATTCTACGCACATATAAGCAAGTAGGGTGCATTGGGGTTTTTTTCATGGTTTTCCTTTTTTTTTCCCTCAATAATCACTTACTTTGAGGAATGCAATTTCTTGTATAAATCTCTCAATCAGAAGTTCTCAGCCATGAGCTGTGTTGAGGATCAGTGGGAGACAAAGGGGAGGAGAGACAGCCAGGAACCCTAGGAACCATCCACCTTTCCTACCCACCACCAAGTCCCCAGTGAGTGATGTACAAGATGGGGCTGGGTGGGGTACAAGTTACCTTTGTGGGTACTGTGGTGAGAACCAATGCTCCAATCATGCTGAAGGTTGAATGAAATTCTCCGAGAAATTTCCTCCCTCTATGACCATCATGTATTAGGCAACCCATGGGGCCCTAAGCTATATATCTGAATTTGGGGTGGTTGCTACAGATGTAACATGTGTATCAGTGACTGTTTACAGGTACTTATGCCCATGATTCAGCTTTCCCCAGATGTGGAGAAAAGTGGACAGAGAGTACAAGGTCTACTCATATACAGGAAAGAGTAGTTCTCAATGACCACTCTTGGAGAGTTTGATTTGAGCATGTGCCTGACATTCAGTGAGTGGGGACTAGAGATGCTAGACATCCTATAACACCCAAGAATATTTTGTGCAAGAAAAAAATGTTTCTTAAATTTGAATTTCACTTTTGAATGTCCCAAACATTTATGTAGTAGTTTAAAGAAAAAAAACACCATTTAAAAAGTATCTGGGCTGGGCTCGGTGGCTCAAGCCTATAATCCCAGCACTTTGGGAGGCCAAGGCGGGTGGATCACGTGGTCAGGAGTTCAAGACCAGCCTCGCCAATATAGTGAAACCCCGTCTCTACTAAAAATACAAAAATTAGCCGGGCATAGTGGAGCGTGCCTGTAGTCCCAGCTACTTGGGAGGCTGAGGCAGGAGATTCACTTGAACCTGGGAGGCAGAGGTTGTGGTGAGCCAAGATTGTGCCACTGCACTCCAGGCTGGGAAACAGAGGGAGACTCCGTCTCAAAAATAAAATAAAATAAAATAAAATAAAATAAAATAAAATAAAATAAAATAAAATAAAAACTATCTGATCCTAGAACCTAATTTTGTTTTATATGTAACCGCAGACTATTTTCATGTGGTTTTCATATACACTACACTTTCCAGAAACACAACTACTGTATGCATTGAGGAAAGTTTGCACTTTGTTCTGTTTGGAGCTTTTCCAAGAGCTGCTCATTATTTTGGAAAATCACATCACTGACAGCAGCGCTTTGAATAACAGCGTGGCATTTAAGTTGCTGATAAGACGCACCAAAACGGCGATCCACTGCCATGGTGCTCATGTGGATTCTAAATTTAGATGCAAGAACGTGACAACTTCATTAATGTGATTGTCCTGAGCACTTATGTATGGGAACATGTATTATTTTATTTCAAATTACCTTCCGTTGGGTAGAGTGGCTCACATCTGTAATTTAAGCACTCTGGGAGGCTGAGGCAGGAGGATCACTTGCCCCGCCCAGACCCATACTGGACATCACTCATTGGGGACTTGCCGGTGGGTAGGGAAGGTGGGTAGTGCCAAGGGGTCCTCACTGTCTCTCCTCCCTTTCATCTCCCACTGATCCTCAACAAGGAGTTCAAGACCAGCCTGGGCAACATAGCAAGACCCAGTCTCTACAAAAAAGTTAAAAATTAGCTAGGCATAGTGGTGCACACCTCTAGTCCCAGCTACTCAGAAGGCTGAGGCAGGAGGATCATTTGAGCCCAGGAGTTCGAGGCTGCACCACTTGCACCACTGCACTTCAGCCTGGGCTATAGAGCAAGACTCTGTCTCTAAAAATAAATAAATAAATAAATAAATAAATACCTTCATTTATTTCTTACGTTATAGTTACAGCATTATACTGATTGTTTTTCAAGATTGTGTGGCTAGGTAGATGCTATTGTGTATTATTTTCATTTCTAGACTTTACAAATGAATATTGTAAAATATTTGTTACATTAAAAAAGAGGCCACTTGCTCTGTTTCAGGGCTTATCAGTAGAGGAGGACATAGCTGGGTAGAGGAAACTGAAGAGAAGGGACCAGAAGTGGTGGTGCCAGGTGGGATGACCAAGAAAGACCTTAAATCAGCAGTCATCCATGGTGACAGCCAGAGGGGCCAGCATCTTGCCTCTGAATCAGTGAGCTCCGTTGCTTCATGGTACATGTGGTCTCATTCCTACATGGCACCTGCTTCCGCCTGTGAACTATGGTCTGCCCTGGAGCACAACGTGGGCAGTGGTTGCATAGGGGGCAAAGGAGCTTGCATGAAAAAGTGTGAGTCCACCACCAGAAAGTACTCCAAATTCATAATAGGGTTGGGATTTTTATGGGTGAAGATCTTAATTAGTTATAGGACACAGTAGATAATGATTGCAAACACATTTTATTTATATCTATAACACATAGATATATTTATTAACTCTATTTTTTTTTTTTTTGAGACAGAGTCTCGCTCTGTTGCCCAGGCTGGAGTGCAGTGGCGTGATCTCGGCTCACTGCAAGCTCCACCTCCCGGGTTCACACCATTCTCCTGCCTCAGCCTCCCCAGCAGCTGGGACTACAGGTGCCCGCCACCGCGCCTGGCTAATTTTTGTATTTTTAGTAGAGACGGGGTTTCACCGTGTTAGCCAGGATGGTCTCGATCTCCTGACCTAGTGATCCACCAGCCTCGGTCTCCCAAAGTGGTGGGATTAAAGGCGTGAGCCACCGCGCCCAGCCAACTCTATTTTTATATGTTTTTTAAAATATACATTTTGGCCAGGCACGGTGGTTCATGCCTGTAATCTCAGCACTTTGGGAGGCCAGGGCAGGAGGATTGCTTGAGCCCAGGAGTTCAAGATCAGCTTGGGCAACATAGAGAGAACCCATGTCTACAACTATATAATTTAAAAATTAGTCGGGTGTGATGGCATGCAGCTGTAGTCCCAGCTACTCAGGAGGCTGAGGCAGGAGGATTACCTGCACCTGGGAGGTTGAGGCTGCAGTAAGCCATGATTGCGCCACTGCACTCCAGCCTAGATGACGGAGCAAGACCCTGTCTCAAAAAATAAATATATAATATAATATAATATAATATAATATAATATAATATAATATAATATAATATAATATTAGTATAGTATAGTATAGTATAATATAATATAATAATTTGTGATTTCTGTGTGTCCTTCCATGCTTTTCCTAGGTATTTGGTTTCAGTGGAATATTGCTGATCTGTAACCCTCCACAGAACTCCCTAGAACAGAAATCTGTCTGCCTCTGCTTTCCTAGGACGCTGACCACAAATAAAGCTTTCATGATAGAGAATGAATCCATAGGAAACATCCTGCAAGAAATATTTATTCAGCAAATGGCATGTGGAAGCTGTTTCCCTGTGTTCCTAAGTCCCAGGCTGCGAGCACCACTCGCCTCCCTCGCGGTGTCTGGACAGCGGGATGTCTTCCAGGTTCGTCTCCTCACTGTTGGCGCCGGGTCCTGGGTGTGGGCCTCCTGCCACGGACTCCTCCTCGGGGTGCAGCCACAGTGGGGATCCTTTGCATCTTTGCCGCCCCCAACGCCTCTGCACTTGGCTGCCTGGACTATTTTGGCCCCACCCAGCAGCCTTAGTGGAGAGAAAACAACGCACCTGCGTGCCACACGATGAGCACCGTTAGCTTCTCTCCTCTTCGTTCCGTTTTCTGGCCAGTTTCTTCAACAACCCGCAGCCCCCTTATTTCCTGTGTTCGCTGCACTTATTTAACAATCAGTGTGCCAAGTATAGCCCGCTTTAATTATAGCTGTGCTCCACGTGGTTGTAAGCAGAGCACACATACAATTTTGTATTCTGATTTTGTTTTCATTTAATTTATATTAAGAATTACATTGCCTTATTCCTACATAGTTTCTTTTTTTTTTTTTTTTTTGAGACGGAGTCTCGCTGTGTTGTCCAGGCTGGAGTGCAGTGGTGCAATCTAGGCTCACTGCAAACACTGCCTCCCGGGTTCATGCCATTCTCCTGCCTCAGCCTCCCGAGTCGCTGGGACTACAGCTACCATGCTCGGCTAATTTTTTGTATTTTTTTAGTAGAGGCAGGGTTTCACCGTGTTAGCCAGGATGGTCTCGATCTCCTGACCTCGTGATCCGCCCGCCTCGGCCTCCCAAAGTGCTGGGATTAGAAGCGTGAGCCACCGCGCCGGGCCACCCCTACATAGTTTCTAATAAACATTACTGTGTTGGCTTCATAATTATATTATATCAAGGGGATATATTATTATTTACTTCTAAAGGCTGCAAAAAAATCTGAATTAAAGATTTGGTGAGTAAAATTTCTCTCTTCATTTGGATTATTTCTATGGGCTAGATTGCCAGAGTTGGGACTTCTGGGACATAAGAAATGAACACTTGGCTGGGCGCGGTGGCTCATGCTTGTAATCCCAGCACTTTGGGAGGCTGAGGCGGGCAGATCACGAGGTCAGGAGTTCAAGACCAGCCTAGCCAACATGGTGAAACCCCGTCTCTACTAAAAATACAAAAAATTAGCTAGGTGCAGTGGCAGGCACCTGTAATCCCAGTTCCTGAGGAGGTTGAGGCAGGAGAATTGCTTGAACCCGGGAGGGGGAGGTTGCAGTGAGCTGAGATCATGCCACTGCATTCCAGCCTGGGCAACAGAGAGAGACTCCGTCCCAAAAAAATAAATAAATAAAAAATAAAGAACACTTTGTGGCTTGCTAAGATTATTCAATATGTTATTATGATTTTACATGCTTGCTTTTCATTTTTATTGTTTTCCTTTACAGACTGGACTCCCTACCTCCCCGGCCCAAAGCTCCCAGGCCCAAAGCTCCCATGCCTGAGCTCCTCAGCACTTGGAGAAGAGGTGGCAGCGGGGCAAACTGTCTCCAGACCACCACTGTAGGGAGAAGCAACCCGATGCCATGACACTGGCGGAGTGGAGAAAACATTCCCACCACTGAGGATTTTGCTATGAGGGTTATCATGATTATGATATGACTAGCTACGATTTACTGAGTTCCTTTATGTTAGGCATTGTATTATACCATTTCCTCCTACGACCTGCTGGGTAAGTAGTGTTATCGCCATTTTCTAAAGGAAAAAACTGAGGCTCAGAGAGGTAACTATGCTTTCAGCTGCAAGTTATAAAACACCCACTGCAAGTGGCTGAAACAATGAGATTGTCTTATTCTCTCTCATGACAATACATCTGGAAGGAGGTCATTCCAGGTCAGTTTCGCAGCTCAAGTGTCATCAAAGAGCCGGTCTCTTTCCATGTTTCTGCTTCAGCACTGTCAACTTAGGTGTGATGACTCCCCAGCAATGTTGTGCAGCAACATCAAATATCTTATTCTCACAAAACTGAATTGAAAGGCAGGAAGAGGCCAGGTGCAGTGGCTCAGGCCTGTAATCCCAACACTTTGGGAGGCCAAAGTGGGTGGATCACTTGAGGTCAGGAGTTCGAGACCAGCCTGGCCAACATGGTGAAACCACGTCTCTAGTGAAAATACAAAAAAATCAACTGGCCATGGTGGTATACACCGGTAATCCCAGCTACTTGGGAGGCTAAGGCAGGAGAATTACTTGAACCCGGGAGGCAGAGGTTGCAGTAAGCCAAGATTGCACCATTGCTCTCCAGCCTGGGCAACAAAAGCAAAACTCCATCTCAAAGAAAAAAAAAAGGCAGGAAGAAAGGGAAAGGTGTAAGTGTTTTTGGCTGCTTGTGTGCATGTGTGTGCATTTGTGTAATAAAAAATGAAATGTTTTCCTAAAGCCTACCAGCCAATTTCTCCATACATCTTCCTGACCAGGAGAATAAAATTACTTGGCTTGGCCAGGCTGGGTCTACCTTCTCTGAGCGCATTGCCCCCACCCTGTCTGCCCCCACTCCATGCTATCTGAATAAAATTATGCTACTTGTAGCAAGAAGAAAGTGGGAAAGGTGTTGGGTGAGTGAAAACGTCTGTCACACTTCCTTCCCAGACATTCCATAGCAGAAGATTCTCTTTTCAGAAGACAATGCTGTCTTCCAAGATCTTTGTCTCAGTATCTGTTAACAGTATGTGTGTGCGTCTCTGTGTGTGCACATGCGTGTGGTTGTGTCTTGGGTGCTCATAGTTTTGTTACTGGTGTAGCATATTCAAGTCAGAAATAAGGAAATCAGAAGGAATGCTGCAGTAGTCATTCTCGGCTGCTATCTTGCACATGGGACAGGGCAAGACAGTGTGAGGCTCCACATAAATTAGGAAGAATGCAGGCTGAAGATTTAGATCTGGATTCTAGCCCCCAGCTCTGCTACTTTCCATCTGTGTTGCCTGGGTTAAGTTATTTAATCTTTTTGTTATTATTAATTAGATATAGGGTCGGGCTCTGTTGCCCAGGCTGGAGTACAGTGGTGCAATCATAGCTCACTGCAGGCTCAAATTCCTGGGCTCAAACAGTCCTCCTGCCTCAGCCTCCCAAGTAGCTAGGGCTAGGGCTACAGGCACATGCCACCACACCTGGCTAATTAAAATTTTTTTTTTGTAGAGATTGGGGTGGGGGGGTCTGTCTGTTTTGCTCAGGCTGGTCTTGAACTCCTGGCTTCAAACAATCCTCCTGCCTTGGCCTCCCAGAGGGCTGGGATTACAGACATTTGCCACTGTGCTTGGCCATTACTTAGACTTTCTAAGCCTCAATTTTCTAATCTGTAAAGCAAGAAGTTTGCACTAGGTGATGTCTAAAGCTCTAATATTCTATAATACATATATATATTTTTTGAGATGGAGTCTCACTCTGTCACCCAGGCTGGAGTGCAGTGGCATGATCTCGGCTCACTGCAGCCCTCTGCCTCCCAAACTCAGTCTCCTGCCTCCCAAGCTCAGCCTCCTGCCTCCCAAGCTCAGCCTCCTGCCTCAGCCTTCCGGGTAGCTGGAACTATAGGCATGTGCCACCACGCCCAGCTAATTTTTGTATTTTTAGTAGAGATAGTGTTTCACCATGTTGGCCAGGCCGGTCTCGAACTCCTGGCCTCAAGTGATCTGCCTGCCAGCCTCTCAAAGGGTTGGGATTACAGGCATGAGTGCCCAGCCAGTCTATCACATTATTAAACCCAAAAAACCCTGCTCAAATGCATCTGCATGCCATATGAATGAGGGAGGTCAACATTTTTTCTTGTATAAGAGGAATAAAACATACTATAACAATTAGATACAGAATGTAATGTAAGCAAATTATGGGCTCTTTTGAAATGTCTTTATTTTCATTACAAACTGTCCTTTGAATGATTATGCATTAAGTGGCTTGTGTTTTACATTTACAGCACAGCTCATCTTTCAGAATTTTCCTGCTATTTCTGTTTTCTATTTTATTGGCAATGCGTTTCTTTATAACTGAGTGAAGAATGTGGCAAGGCTGGGGAAAATGTTTCTGCCTGTCTCTTTTTGCTCTCTCTCCCCCTCTGAACAGAAATAGTATCGTGGCAGTGCCTCTCTTTGTCTGTTAGGAAAAAAAAAAAAGCCAGGAAAAGGAAATAACAGTGGGTGATCTACTTTCCGAACAGCGTGAGAAAGATCCAGAGAATGTTAGTTTTGCACTGAAGCCGCTTCAACTTCTACTTTTCCAATATTACAGGAAGTTTCCTAGCATTGAGAGGAAAAAGAAACAGTGGCCAGATACTTTCTCCTAAAAATATACAGGAAGGACAATGTGGAGGCCAAGACTAATCTGGGTGATGAGCTCCAGGCCTGCCTCAAAACAGGAGCTGATGGGAGTGAGTTTCTGATCTTCTTCCAAGGTTGTTTCAATATCCAAAGTAGGTCCTCCATGGCAGCTGCTATTCAATCAGCCACATTTCCTGAACTGGATATTTTTACTTTGCAGGAAAAAGAAAAACAAACCAAAAAAACCTAACTTGATTAGGAAGGAGGTTGGAAGGTCACTTCATAGTTAGAAACTAAGATTAGTGCTTGTGACTTGGCTGGATTTCCCAGATGACTTACCATTACCCTGTGCATCAATGAGCAAAGTATTTATTTTGCATGAAGGGGAAGGGAGAAACTTCATCAGCACAGGATCCAGGCCCCACAGCCACGA
This sequence comes from Homo sapiens, assembly GCF_000001405.40. Lineage (NCBI taxonomy): Eukaryota > Metazoa > Chordata > Mammalia > Primates > Hominidae > Homo > Homo sapiens. The sequence continues at coordinate 49,615,909 of NC_000013.11, read as the reverse complement.
CCAGCTAAGGATTCTCCCTTCAACCCGCAAGACGTATTCTGATTTGCTCACTCATGAGACTGGAGCTGTGTCTTGAAGTAGATCGCGCACAGTAGTTCATTCCCAAGGCCATATTCCTGCTGGACGATAGAGCTGGGCCTGCACTAAAGGTCTGTCAATATTGCCCCAATATGCTGAGGCCTATCCTTCCTAAGATATGGCTTTGTCCACGGTCCTCCCCAGAAGGGGCTCTTGTAAGGCTCCCAAGGGAGTGAAATTCAGACTCTGACCCAGAGACTCTCTTCACCTCATCATCTTCTCCTGGGAGTCTTCATCCAATAGTGGCAATGTCATTCTTCCCTTCTAGAAAGAGTTGTGCTGGCTGGGTGTGGTGGCTCACACCTGTAATCGCAGCACTTTAGGAGGCCAAGGTGGGCAGATCACTTGAGGTCAGGTGTTCGAGACCAGCCTGGGCAACATAGTGAAACACCAACTGTACTAAAAATACAAAAATTAGTTGGGCGTGGTGGCAGGCGCCTGTAATCCCAGCTACTCAGGAGGCTGAGGTAGGAGAATCACTTGAACCCGGGAGGCGGGGGTTGCAGTGACCTGAGATCGTGCCACTGTACTCCAGCCTAGGCAACAGAGCAAGACTACATCTCAAAATAAATAAATAAATAAATAAAAATAGAGTTGTGCTTGCTTCTTTCTTAGCTTTTGTATTGATCCCTTTTCACATATATAAAAGTAGTTCTTGACAAAATGATATAATATTTAGAAGTGAAAAGAAAAAAACTAAGCTGGTTGGTGTGGTGACTTATGTCTATAGTCTCGGCACTTTGGGAGCCTGAGGCAGGAGGATCGCTTAAGGCCAGAAGTTTGAGACCAATCCTGGTGACTTAGCAAGACTCTGTGTCTATTTATTAAAAAAACAAAAACAACAAAACTAGTCTGAGGCAAGGCACTTAATCTTATGTAGCCTCAGTTTCCACATCTATAAATGGGGACAAAAAAATTACCTCTCAGAGGTGTTGGGAGGAGTAAATAAATTAATGTAGATATAATGTATAATGTGCTTAATCAGTAATAGCTTTTTTGCTCTGTCACCCAGGCTGGTGTACAGTGGCATGATCAAGCTCACTGCAACCTCTGCCTCCTGGGTTCAAGCAATTCTCCTGCCTCAGCGTCCTGAGTAGCTGGGACTACAGGTATGCTCCACCACACGGGGCTAATTTTTGTATTTTTAGTACAGTTGGGGTTTCACCATGTTGCCCAGGCTGGTCTCGAACTTCTGACCTCAGGTGATCCACCATCCTCGGCCTCCCAAAGTGCTGGGATTATAGATGTGAGCCATCACACCTGGCCTCCACTCCATTTTTAATGTTCTCTTTTTCTGGAACTCCTATTATTTGATTGTTGCATTCTGCTTAGTCTCTAATTTTAAAAATATTTTCTTTCCTTTCTTACACCTTTGCCTTTTCACTCTACTTTCTGGATTTCTTCAACATTATCTTCCAATCCTTCCATCACAATATTTACTTCTGCTGTTATATTTTAAATGTCCAAGGGCTCATTTTTGTTCTCCTGGGTTCAAGTGATTTTCCGGCCTCAGCCTCCTGAGTAGCTGGGATTATAGGCACGTGCTACCACATCTGGCTAATTTTTGCATTTTTGGTAGAGACAGTGTTTCACTGTGTTGGCCAGGCTGGTCTCGAACTCTTAACCTCGTGATCTGCCCACCTCGGCCTCCCAAAGTGCTGGGATTACAAGTGCGAGCCACTGCACTTGGCATATTCAGCTTTAAAAAAGAAGAAAACCCAGGGCTGGGCGTGGTGGCTTATGCTTGTAATCCCAGCACTTTGGGAGGCCGAGGCTGGTGGATCACCTGAGGTCAGGAGTTCGAGACCAGCCTAATATGGTGAAACCCCGTCTCTCCTAAAAGCACAAAAATTAGCCAGGCGTGGTGGCGCATGCCTATAATCCCAGCTACTTGGGAGGCTGAGACACTCCAGCTTGGGTGACAGAGCAAGACTCCATCTAAAAAAAAAAAAAAAAAGAAGGAAACCCTATCATTTGTGATAACATGAATGGACTTGGAAGACATTATACTAAGTGAAGTAAGTCTGTCACGGAAGAACAAATACTACATCATTCCCCTTATGTGAGACATTGAAAATAGTTGAAGGTGTAGAAGTAGACAACAGAATGGTGGTTACCAGAGGATCGGGGGAGAGGGACATGGGAAGTACTTTAAAAGTATAAAGTTACATTTATTCAAGCTGAGTAAGTCCACATATCTGCTGTACACATATTGCCTATAGTTAACAATAAGATACTGCATACTTAGGATTGTGTTAAAAGGGTGGATCTCAAATTTAGTGTTCTTACCACAGAAAAACAAAAAACATAAACAAAGGGACACAAGGAAACTTTTGGAGGTGATGAAGTGATGGATATATTTATTACCTGGATTGTGGTTATGGTAACATGAGTGGATATATATGTCCAAACTCACCAAATTGTATACATGAATCATGTACAGTTTATACCTCAGTAAAGCTGGAGAAAAGCTGACAAGGAGGATATTATAGAAAACTTTATGCCGATATAACAAACAACTTAGATGAATTTAATAAGCATTATTTATTAAATGAGCTATCTTTTTTTCTGGCTTGAAGTATCGCTGTTATTGTACACTAAATTCATATATTTATATGTATGTGTGGGTTTAGATGTTTCTGCCTTCTATATTCCATTCCACAATTCTATCTGTGGATCTTTTGCTAATATCACATTAGTTTAATGAATATCTTTAATGTTATTGTATTTGATAGGAAAAGTCTCCTGCCCTCTATATTTTACCTACAAAATCTTGTGGTCATTTTAATGTACTTTTTTTTTTTTGAGACAGTCTCACTCTGTTGCCCAGGCTGGAGTGCAGTGGCACAATCTCGGCTCACTGCAAGCTCCACCTCCCAGGTTCAAGTGATTCTCCTGCCTTAGCCTCCCTAGTAGCTGGGATTACAGGTGTACACCATCACACTGAGCTAATTTTTGTATTTTTAGTAGAGATGGAGTTTTGCCATGTTGGCCAGGCTGGTCTCAAGCTCCTGACCTTAGGTGATCCTCCACCTTGGCCTCCCAAAGTGCTGGGATTACAGGCGTGAGCCACCACACCCAGTCTGTACTCTCTTTTTCATATGAACATTAAGATCATGTTTTCAAATTTCATTAAACACTTTGGTGGAAAAATAATGTTGGAATTGTAATTGGGGTAGCTTTTAATAGATTGATTTGTGGAGAATTGACATCATTACACAATTGAGACTTCTCATCTAGAAATATGTGTTGCCTTTCCATTTATGCAAGTCTTCCTTTGTATTCTTCATGGAACTTTCAGCTATTATACTTTTCAGCTTGAGAATTTCTACTTGATTCATTTTTAGAATTTTCATTTCTCTATTAACATTTCCTACATGTTCACTCAGTAATGCCATACTTTCCTTATGTTCTTTAAACATGTGCCTTACTAACTCTTGAACATATTTACAATAGCTGCTCTGAAGTCTTTGTCTGTTGAATCCAACATTTGAGCCCACTATGATTCAGTTGCTATGGACTGATTTTGTTTTTCCTGAGAGTAGTAACACTTTCCTGATTCTTTGCATGTCTAGTAATTTTTGGTTTAAAACTGGACATTGTAGGCTGGGTGCAGTGGCTCATGCCTGTAATCCCAGCACTTTGGGAAGGCCGAGGCAGGTGAATCATGAGGTCAGGAGATCAAGACCATCCTGGCTAACAAGGTAAAACCCCGTCTCTACTAAAAAAATACAAAAAATTAGCCGGGCACCTGTAGTCCCAGCTACCTGGGAGACTGAGGCAGGAGAATGCCGTGAACCCAGGAGGCGGAGCTTGCAGTGAGCCGAGATCACGCCACTGCACACCAGCCTGGGCGACAGAACGAGACTCCGTCTCAAAAAAAAAAAACAAGAAAACAAAAAACAAAAAACACTGGACATTGTAGTAATGTTATACCCACTCAAGATTCTGTTTTGTTCTTCTGAGGGTTGTTGCCATATTGTTCTAGTAGGCAGTTAACCTGCCTGCATTTAAACTGAAAAATCTGTCCCCAGCAATTTATAGTAGTTGATGTATTCTTCTGCACAGTTTTCTCAGGATCCAGTTGCTTCTTTTTTGGCCTAGTGCCTGGGAGTCTTTCCTGAGCCTGTGTAGTTTAGGGTCAGCCACAGATTTGGAAAGAATTTATATTCAGGTATTGAAGCTTACCTACTGTACAGCTCCCTTGCTTTCTTCCTAAATATCCAGTTGCTCTGCCAGCCCCAAGTTCTGCCCAGTGGCACCTCAAGCCAATAAGGTTTTTGCTTTCTGCAAGACCTGAGCTTTGTGCATGTTAAGTCAACAGTGCAGCAAACTCACAAACCTCACCAGGAGCAGTTCTGTCTCACAAGGGTAGATGCCTCTCTAGTCTCTGCTTGCTTTTTCACTGGGCTGCCTGGGGTCTCTTGTGTGTCTCAGCAGTTTAGCAGGCAGGCAGGGATTTGAGCGGAGCTTATACTCAGCTTTTCAATTCAGTCCTTCTGTGGCTCTGGCTCTCATTTTTACAGGATTCCCCCCTTGAATATCCAGTTGTCTGCTGCCTTAAACTTTATTCTCTGACACCTCAAGCTGGTATGGCTGTGGTTTTCTGCCACTAGAGCTGGAGGGTGTTGGGGAGTGACCCCCTGCTTAGGGGTCACAAACTCTTAGTTTTTACCTGATGCAGTATCCGTCATTCAAGAGTAAACCCTTCTCAAGAGTCATCTAACAAAAACACCAACAAATAGTTGTTTTTAAGAAATTTGTCCAGTTTTTATAATCATTATCTATGGAAGAAATTGCCCAATGTCTTCTATGATACTATTCCTAGAAATTCTGCCCTTTAGTGAACTTTAGACATTTTCTCCATATAGCCTTTATGTATTTTTAAACTTTATTACTAAGTATTTTAGGGTTTTTACTGTTATTGGTAATGGCGCTTTTGTCTAAATACATTTTCTAATTAGTTATTAATTTTTATATGTCTTTCCTATATTAAATTAAACTTATACTGAACTCTTCTTTGTTCTAATTGTTTTTTTAGTGGATTCTCTTGACTTGTCTATGGAGACAATCATTGTCTGCAAACGATGGTCGTGTTTAATTCCTTCCAACATTAGGCCTCCCGTTTCATTTACTTATTGGTCCATAAGTTCTAGTTGAATATTAAATAACAGCAGTGACAGAGGGCATACTTTCCTAATCCTTGTCTGTTTTTGTTACTATTGCTGTGAAGCAAATTACCTCAAAATTTAGTGGCTTAAAACAATTATTTTGTTTTGCTTATGATTTTGAGGGTCAGGATTTCAAGAAGGGCTAGATCACATTGTTCTCACTTAGGGTATCTCAAGCAGCTGCAGTCAGATGTCAGCTGGGGATGAAGTCACCTGACGGTTCACCTAGGCTGGATGTCCAGAATGGCTCACTCACATGGCTGACAGTTGATGCTGCTGTCAGCTGGGGGCTCAGTGAGACTAGCAACTGGAGTGCTTACAGATGGCCTCTACATGTTAGTTGGCCTCTTTCCAACATGGCATTCTCAGGGTAGTCAGACCACTTATGTGGAGGCTCAGGGATCTGAGACCAAGTATTCCAGTGAACAAGTAGGAATCTGTGTCACCTTTTCTGACCTAGCCTGAGAAGCCACACTTCTCAGTGTGTACCACTTATTCTGCATTTTATTGTTTGCAAGCAAATCGTTAAGTCTATCCGAATTCAAAGGGAGGGTACAAAGATGCCACCTCTCAATGGGTGGGGTGCCAAAGAATTTGTGACCATATTTTGTAAAAATCCATACATCACTTCAGTGGTGATGTTTCTAATGTTTTACCATTAAATGTAATATTTTCTCTAGGTTCTTGACAGATATCCTTTATAAGTTTGAGGACCCCTTAAATTCAATTATGAGCACATACAAAGAAACAGCAGTTGCCATTTGTTTTTCCTCATATACAAAGGAATATAATTCATGGAGAAGACTTGGGGAAAATTTATATTGTAAGATTTGTGAAATCTGGCTACATAGGTAAAGGTTAGTATACAATAGCAAATAATATTTAAGGATGTTATATTTTAGTCTGGAATATTTTAGAACATAAGTGGGATATTATTTTTTATCAATTGTAATTCAGTTAATATTTAGCAATAACTTGGCCAGGCACAGTGACTCACACCTGTAATCCCAGCACTCTGGGAAGCCAAGACAGGAGAATTGCTTGAAGCCAGGAGTTTGAGACCAGCCTGGGCAACATAGTGAGATCCTGTCTCTACAAAAACAATTTTTTTTTTAGTCAGGCATGGTGGCACACACCTGTAGTCCCAGGTAGGCTGTAGTCTCAGCTAGGCTGAGGTGGGAGGATCACTTGAACCCAGGAGGTAGAGGCCACCATGAGCTATGATCATGCGAGCAAGACCTTGCCTCTTAAAAAAAAAAAAGCAATATCCATCACATATTGCAAAGAGATGATTAGAGAAAAGAATGTAAGAAATTTCTTACAGAAACAATACATTTATTTTATATGGAAAGGAACCATTTTTCCTTTAAATAGGGAATCTAGACAATATTCATCTAAATAGCACATTTAATTTCACTAAAACCTCAGATCCCACTATAGAATCCTGCTGAGCTAGTTTAGATTAGACCATATGGTGAGCTCTTTAAGAAAAAGGAAGTGATCTCTTTCCTAAGCCCATACATACTACTTCAATGATAAGGAAGGCTGATTTGTAACACATAGGCCAAAGAGAAGAATGAACAAGAACCAGAGATGTGTCCCAGTCTCTAGAGCTGGGCTGAGTCAGGCCATCTGCACCTGACCTTTCTAGAACAAGGAGTGATGAGGCTTCTAGGGAAGCTATCACTGGGCCCATCATATCTGGTTACATGGTGATCAGAATGGAGATGATAAATGCTCTAAATGGAAGGCACAGCATGTCCTAAAAGATGAAAGGTTTACATAATATAGGCTTATTCATATACTTTTGGCCCCTGGGAACCACAGCCTTGGGACATATATACCCATGCTTGCGAAAATGTGGAAGCTGGGGAGGTGAGAAGGTAGTGAAAAAGCTGGAGTGTGAAGAAGTTTGGGTTTCCATAGACACCCCCTCTTTTCAAACCTTTTTTCAATTTAACCACAGTCACTGGATTAAATGAATCAATTTAGTTAGGTGGAAATAACAAGTTTATATATCAGTGTAAAAAAGGAACATAAAGAAAAGGATGATGTGGGTTTTTTTTTTCACCCTCAAGTAAATACAATTTTTCCCTTTTAATTGCTTTCTACAGTGAAATCAGGTGAGTTATAGTTGACATTTTATGTGTAATAGATATTTCAGAGTTTGCAGTGGTAGAAAAAGAAAGAAGTAGTAATAGGACCAAAGAAAAAAAGGAACATTTAATAACTGTATCAGAATGTGAGTACTGCTGCCTCCACCCACCAATCATTAGAAGCAAGTGTTAGAAGCAGCAGCTATACCAAGGCCAGGCACAGTGGCTTATGCCTGTAATCCCAGCTCTTTGGGAGGCTGAGGTGGGCAGATCTCTTGAGGCCAAGAGTTCGACACCAACCTGGCCAACATGGTAAAACCCCTCTATTAAAAATACAAAATTAGCCAGGTGTGGTGGCACGCACCTGTAATCTCAGCTACTCGGGAGGGTGAGGCAGGAGAATTGCTTGAACCTGGGAGGTGGTCAGGAGGCTGAGGTGGGAGAATTGCTTGAACCCAGGAGGTGGAGGTTGCAGTGAGCTGAGATTGCACCACTGCACTCCTGGCTGGGCAACAGAGTGAGACTTCGTCTTAAAAAATAAATGAATAAATACATAAAAATAGACGCAGCAGCAATACCAGACTTCCTCTTAGCCACCTGCTAGACCTATAGTCTTGCAAACAACTTCCGATGTCATTCCTGTCTTGATAAATGTAGAGAGAGTTCTGGGAAACGTCAGCCTGGCATGCTAGAACATAGTGAGCTTATACGGTGTTAAAACTCTAGGAAACTGTTAAGTTCTGACTCTCCTTCCATGAGGGTTTTTCATCCATTTTTGGCAGTCCTTCACACTACCTGTTTCCATTCCAAGGAATTCTGCCTCTTATTTTTTTATTTTTTATAGCGACAAGGTCTCACCCTGTTGCCCAGGCTGGTCTCAAATTCCTGGGCTCAAGCAATCCTCCCACCTCAGCTTCCCAAAGCACTGTGATTACAGGCATGACCCACCACACCTGGCCGGAATTCTGCCTTCTAATCTGGCTCATTGACCAACTTTTGAGTGAACTGAGATAAATCCTACAAATTGCTGAGTTTGTTTCCATGTTTGTGATGCACTGAAGTAGTCCTCTTGTGAATGTGCCTGGATCATATTATAAATGTTGTGGTCACTCCTGTAGCCAGTTTGGAAATATTGCAATAATTTCAGAATTGAAGAAATGTATCTTGAAATTAAAAACTACTTAAACCTATAGAATACACCTGGGTATTAATTTCTTATTAGACAGCATTAAATCTAGATTGGTTAGTAAGTGAACCAGAGGCAACCAAGTAAATGAGAATGAACCTTTAACTGATGCTAGGTTTGGGCCCGCGCCACATGGTGGCAGGCTTGCTCTGTGAAGTACTTCCTCTTCAGGACCAACAAACAATAGTGTTCCTAAACGCCATAAAGCTTTCCTCCAAGCCGTGACTCAGGGACCAAGGCTCCTTTCATTCTGTGGCCCCGCCATCTTCAACAAGCGGTTTCCAGGGTCTTTGCAGAAGGAGAAAGAACAAGAAGGACCACCGTGGGAGATCTGTGTGTGATCCCAGGAAAACAAACTTCATCAAGAAACAAGTTTCTGCTTTTCTTTTCTTTTCTTTTTTTTTTGACAGAGTCTCTGTAGCCCAGGCTGGAGTGCAGTGGTGCGATATCGGCTCACTACAACCTCCATCTCCCGGGCTCAAGCAATTCTTGTGCCTCAGCCTCCCGAGCAGCTGGGATTACAGGCATGCACCACCAAACCCAGCTAATTTTTGTATTTTAACTAAAGATGGGTTTTCGCCATGTTAGCCAGGCTGGTCTCGAACTCCTGACTTCAGGCGATCTGCCCTCCTCAGCCTCCCAAAATGCTGGGATTACAGGTGTGAGCCACTGCGCCCTTCAAGAAACAAGTTTTAATGCTAGTATTTAACTACATTAAATCACATTAAACTACATGGTTTAGGAAATTAATTTTTAGAAAGAATAACATAAGTTATTAAGTTGTGAAGATTGTATTTTCTTTTTTTTATTTTTATTTTTATTTTTGAGACAGAGTCTTGCTCTGTCCCCCAGGCTGGAGTGCAGTGGTGTGATCTTGGCTCACTGAAGCCTCTACCTCCTGGTTTCAAGTGATTTTCCTGTCTCAGCCTCCCGAATAGCTGGGATTACAGGCGCCCACCACCATGCCTGGCTAATTTTTTTTTTTGAGACGGAGTTTCACTCTTGTTGCCCAGGCTGGAGTGCAATGGCATGATCTTGGCTCACTGCAACCTCCGCCTCCCAGGTTCAAGTGATTCTCCTGCCTCAGCCTCCCAAGTAGCCGGGATTACAGGCATGTGCCACCACACCTGGCTAATTTTTTTTTTGTATTTTTAGTAGAGACGGGGTTTCTCCATGTTGGCCAGGCTGGTCTTGAACTCCTGACCTCAGGTGATCCACCCGCCTTGACCTTCCAAAGTGCTGGGATTACAGGTGTGAGCCACCGTGCCTGGCCTAATTTTTGTATTTTTAGTAGAGACGGGGTTTCACCATATTGGCCAGGCTGGTCTTGAACTCCTGACCTCAAGTGGTCCGCCCACCTCGGCCTCTCAAAGTGCTGGGATTACAGGCCCACTGCGCTCGGCCAAGATTGCATTCTCTTTAAAAAAATGTTACTTTACATCGTATGGTACATAGGCAGCAATGATTTAACCTTCAGTAGAACATTCCGCCTCTAAATCTCAGTATCATCTTCTCCAAAATGATGGGTTTGTATTTACTTAAAGTTCCATAATTATCATACCCCTCTTACAATTAAAAAAGGCTTAAATATTCTTCTTCAGTAAAAGGAATATCAGTCATGTTACAGTAGCTTTTTAAAGAATATGGTTTCTGGAGTTGGACTGCCTAGGTTTGAGTTTGAGTTCTGCCATTTATTAACTGTGAGGTATTAGGTATGGTACTCAGCCTATCAAAATTTCAGTTTCTTTCCAGGCATGGTGGCTCACACCTGTAATCTCAGCACTTTGGGAGACCCAGGTGGGCAGATGGTTTGAGTTTAGGAGTTAGAGACCAGCCTATGCAACATGGTGAAACTCCGTCTTTACAAAAAATAAAAAAATTAGCCAGGCACAGTGGCATGCACTTATAGTCCTAGCTACCAGGGAAGCTGAGATAGGAGGATTGCTGAAGCCTGGGAGGTCAAGGCTGCAATGAGCCATGAGCAAGACCCTGTCTCAAAAAAAAGAAAAAACAAACAAAAAAAAATGCAAAACAAAAAAAACGAGACTTGATTAGTCCACATTATATACATGTAACTAAATTTCACATGTACCCCATAAATTTGTACACGTAAAAAAGATTTCAATTTCCTCATCCATAAAGTGGGATAAGTTACTGCACATATCTTATAGGGTTGTTAGGATTAAATGGGAAAAACGTATGTATGGCAGAGACTGGCCAACTGTTTACTAAACTGTTTCTTTTTCTTCCTGAGCAAACAGTTAAACCACATTTTCCATCTTCACTTAAGTTAGCTGTGGCCATGCAACTGAGTCCTGATCAGTGGAATGTGAAAGTGTTAGCAGCAGTGAATCTGTACAGGTCTGCAGCAGCCTCAATTCTTGCCACCTCAGAAGAAAGAACTTGACTGAGGGGCATAAGGCAGAGGGAGAGACTGAGGCAAGTTTTAGAGCAGGAGTGAAAGTCTTTAAAAAGTTTTAGAGCAGGAATTTTAAAAAAGTACACTTGGAAGAGGGCCAAGCAGGTAACGTGAAAGATTCAAGTGTACAGTTTGACCTTTGACTCGGGGCTTTATACACTGGCATGCTTCCAGTGGGTAACATCTCTTCTCCCAGTTCTTCCTTTGGGGTGGGCTGTCTGCATTCGCACTGGCCTGCCAGCACTTGGGAGGAGCCGCATGTGCAGTGTGTTTACTGAAGCTGTGCACATGCTCACTTGAGGCGTTTTTCCCTTACCAGTTGAGTGTTCTAGAGGAAGGTCATATACTGGTTAAACTCTGCCATTTTGCCTTAGTTTTCATGCTTGAGCCCACTCACCCAACTCCTGAGATCTTACCAGGAAGCTGCTGATCACCAGTTTCGGGTGTTTTCTATTTATTGAGAGCCTGCCTTTCTCTGGCGCTGGCTGCAACCAATTATTATTTTAGAGAGACAGTTAACAACCGCCTGACCATTACCTGATGGTTTCCTGACATTCCTGGTTGTGGTAGGGGGGTGCTTTCCTGCCCTGCTCATGTCTGCCTACTACCTACTGTAACAAAAGGAAGAGAAGCGTGCTATTTCCAGGCTAAGCTCACACGCAGCTCTCCCACGGTGGTCCTCCTTGTTCTTTCCCCTTCTGCAAAGACCCTGGAAGCCACTTGTTGAAGATGGCAGGGCCACAAAATGAAAGGAGCCTTGGTCCGAGAGTCATGGTTTGGAGGAAAGCTTTATGCCTTTAGGAATACTATTAATAGCGTTTCTCTCAGTATTACAAACCAGAAGCCTACAGCCCTGAACTTAAAACACAAGCAATATAATGGTGATCTTGTCTGCAGGATTTTTTTAAGCTAGAGAAAGTCTAGGAAATAAAGTTGTATGTAGAAGCAGTAAAACTGTAAGCTATTCATATATGTAACTCACAGAAAGTCAACATCTTGTATTTATATTTGCTACATTTTTTGAAAATTTAATGGCATATACAAGAAGGGAAATGAGATAAAATACTGAAGTTGGTGTCATATTGAAAACAGTATTTTCAATTATTTCATCCTTGTGTTTACTTCAGTCCATATTATGATTCATTAAATGATTTCTCTCAGTATTTCACATAATGATTACCCCCCCCCCTTTTTTTTTAACTCTACTCCCATGACAGATTAGGATATGTCCTTTTTTTTTTTTTTTTTAAATTAAAGACTGGGTCTGCTACATTGCCCAGGCTGGAGTACAGCAGCTATTCACAGCCACCATGATAGTGCACTACAGCCCGAATTCCTGGACTCAAGTGAAGCCTCAGCCTCCTGAGTAGCTCGGGCTGAAACTGCCTTTGCAAAATTACAACAGTAAAAGAAATCTGACATGGCTGACTCCATCTTGCTTCCAGTCTCACAGGCTGGCTGTCTTCACTCATTCCTGGATGTGGGCCAAGGTAACTTTGGGGCAAATTTAGTTTATAGTTTAAACGATAATAGCCCTCCCCCAAAACTAAACTGCCCTTGTAAACCTAATGGAAGGTCAAGTTAGGAGGATGGGAGGGGCCTGGATTCTATTAAGATACAGGCTTAGCTAAAATATTACCAACCATTATTGTGGAGGCCACAAGATTAGCAACTTCCTCAATTATTCTTGCAGATAACATCACTATTGTAGAACCTAAGACTGGCCTTTTGAGATGTCTTTTCGGGTTTTTGCCTTTTTTTTTTTTTTTTTTTTTTTTTTTTTTTGAAACGGAGTCTCGCTTTGTCGCCCAGGCTGGAGTGCAGTGGCATGATCTCAGCTCACTGCAAGCTCCGCCTCCCGGGTTCACGCCATTCTCCTGTCTCAGCCTCCTGAGTAGCTGGGTCTACAGGTGCACGTCGCCATGCCCGGCTAATTTTTTTTTTTTATTTTCAGTAGAAACGGGGTTTCACCATGTTGGCCAGGATGGTCATGATCTCCTGACCTTGTGATCCACCCACATCGGCCTCCCAAAGTGCTGGGATTACAGGCGTGAGTGACCGCGCCCGGCCTGGGTTTTTGCATTTCTGATGAACAATGGGTCCACCTGGACTCATCAACCAGTCCTGTGGGCCCCACCCAGAAACCAATTCAGCTCAGGACAGCTTTGACTCCCTATGATTTCATCTCTGATCCAACCAATCAGCACTCCCGACTCACTGGCCCTGTACCCACCAAACTGTCTTTGAAAAACCCTAGTCTCTAAATCTTTGAAGAGACTGATTTGAGTAATAATAAAACTCTGGTCTCCTGTCAGCCAGCTCTGTGTGAGTTAAACTCTGTATCATGACTCCCCTGTCTGGATAAATCAGCTCTATCTGGGCAGCAAGGAAAACGAACCCACTGGGCAGTTACAAGACTACAGAAATGTGCCACCACACCCAGCTACCCTTCTTTTTTGAAAATATCTTCTGTCTTGGCTCTAACACCTTTCTCTGTTTTAGTGCTTTATGCTTATGCCAGTCCCCAGTTTTCTCTAACGAAATTCTACCTCTCTTAAAGCTCAAATTTCATGTATTGAGTCAAAGCCTTCCAAGATATGTAAGGGTTATACCAATTGCAGCCTTTTACTATTTGCTGTCTTCTATCCCAGGTTTTATTTCCAGGTGAGTTTATACAGCTTGCGTCTGCCAAATCAGATTTTAAGCTCCTTCATGGGAGGGACTGTCCTGTTTTCTTTGTATTGCTCAGAGAAAAGAGTAAAGTTTTGTGCAAATAGCTGTTGATGACTGACTCATTCATTTAAAAGCCAAGTTTATGAGATTTCTGCAAACATTTTAATGTCTATCTTTCATGGAGTTTTATAAGAATAAAGTGCAATAGCTCTCATAAAGCTTCCTTCACAGATGAAAAATAACTTGTATTTGGGGGACAATGATGGCAGAGGTGGTAGTATTTTATAGCCAGTGGTTTGGGTTAGAGGAGTTTTACAAAAAATAAATTAGTAGGCCGGGTGCGGTGGCTCACACCTGTAATCCCAGCACTTTGGGAGTCCGAGGCGGGCAGTTCACGAGGTCAGGGGATCAAGACCATCCTGGCTAACATGGTGAACCCCCGTCTCTACTAAAAGTACAAAAAATTAGCCGGGCATGGTGGCGGGCACCTGTAGTCCCAGCTATCGGGAGGCTGAGACAGGAGAATGGTGTGAACCCGGGAGGCAGAGCTTGCAGTGAGCCGAGATTATGCCACTGCACTCCAGCCTGGGCGACAGAGCAAGACTCCGTCTCAAAAAAAAAAAAAAAAAATCAGTGCCTTTTCTCATATTGAAATGAGGACTATTTTATATGTACTAACAACTAAACTTGTTTTGCTTTTCTGGGGGAAGGGGTCTTTCATCCTAACTATTCACTTTTTTTCTTTCTTTTTGCATATTTGCTTAACATAGTTACTTTAAAAATATTAAAATTTATAGCTGAGACCCAGTAAGGTGGCTCACATCTGTAGTCCTAGCACTTTGGGAGGCCAAGGCAGAAGGATTGCTTGAGGCCAGCAGTTCAAGACCAGCCTGGTGAACATAGTGAGACCCCGTCATCTCCACACACAAAAAAATAAAAAATTCGTGAAGCATTCCATATTTTTTTCTGAGATAAAAAAAAACTAAAAAGTTATAGCTGAAAAAGTTTAAATTGTATACCTTACATCATAAAGATCTTAGACTGTTTTAACTGTGAATCTTGCCTCTCACCTTTCACTTGATTGCTAGGTACTAGTCTAGTTCCACTCTGTGCTTATCCTCTAAAAATCAGTAATTTCTTTGCTCATCATTAAGCCTCACATACTGATCCTTTCTGCTGGGTTTATTTTTCCTCTTTCTAAACTACATCCTGGCCAGGCGTGGTGGCTCATGCCTATAATCCTAGCACTTTGGGAGGCCGAGGCGGGCAGATCACTTGAGGTCAGGAGTTCAAGACCAGCCTGGCCAACATGGTGAAACCCCGTCCCTACTAAAAATACGAAAAAATTAGCCAGGCACGGTGGTGCATACATAGTCGCAGCTACTCTGGAGGCTGAGGCAGAAGAATTGCTTGAACCCAGGAGGCGGAGGTTGCAGTAAGCCAAGACTGCACCACTGCACTTCAGCCTGGGTGACAGAGCAAGACTCTGTCTCAAAATAAATAAATAAACTACATCTTTCAGGACTTCTTTCAGCAAGGGTCTGTGAGTGGGAAATTCTCTTAGTCTTGGTTTGATAATGTCTTTATTTTATCCTCACTTTTGAATACCAGTTTAACTAGACAGGGAATTCTAAACCGACAGAAATTTTCCCTTTCATTTTGAAGATACTGCATTATCCTCTGTGCATTATCTACTGTTTGAAATAAGAAACCAGCTTTCGGTCTCTTGTTGTTTCTTTATAGATGACGTGACTTTCGGGGCTATCCTGAACATCCGTAGCACCCAGTGCAAAATTACAAATGGGGGATACCATATGTCTAAAAATTTTTAAGTCAGAAATCAAGCGAATAACTTGTTAAATAAAATATGTTCTATCCTCCTTTTTTTTTTTTTTTAAGACACAGTCTCATTCTGTCATCCATCAGGTTGGAGTGCAGTGGCACAATCACAGTTCACTGCAGCCTCAACTTCCCAGGCTCAAGCAATCCTCTTGCCTCAGCCTCCTGAGTAGCTGGGACCACAGGCATGCACCACTACACCTGGCGAATTATATTTTTTATTCTCTTAGAGATGGGGGTCTCGCTATGTAACTCAGGCTGGTCTTAAACTCCTGGGCTCAAATGATCCTCCAGCCTCAGCCTCCCAGAGCATCGGAATTACACGTGTGAGTTACCACACCCAGCCTATCCTCCTATCTTGACAGATACAGCTTTTTAGTGACTTGGATGGCCATACCTTGAATTTAGAAATCCTAGGGGTTCCATATTGGAACTTGGCAGTGTAGGGAGTGATTACTGAAGGGGTGGGTTGCCCCTCCACACCTGCGGGTGTTTCTCGTAAGGTGGAACGAGAGACTTGGAAAAGAAAAAGACACAGAGACAAAGTATAGAGAAAGAAATAAGGGGACCCGGGGGACCAGCGTTCAGCATATGGAGGATCCCGCCAGCCTCTGAGTTCCCTTAGTATTTATTGATCATTCGTGGGTGTTTCTCTAAGAGGGGGACGTGTCAGGGTCACAAGACAATTGTGGGGAGAGGGTCAGCAGACAAACACGTGAACAAAGGTCTTTGCAACATAGACAAGGTAAAGGATTAAGTGCTGTACTTTTAGATATGCATACACATAAACATCTCAATGCTTTACAAAGCAGTATTGCTGCCCGCATGTCCCACCTCCAGCCCTAAGGCGGTTTTTCCCTATCTCAGTAGATAGAACGTACAATCGGGTTTTATACCGAGACATTCCATTGCCCAGGGACGGGCAGGAGACAGATGCCTTCCTCTTGTCTCAACTGCAAGAGGCATGCCTTCCTCTTATACTAATCCTCCTCAGCACAGACCCTTTACGGGTGTCGGGCTGGGGGACGGTCAGGTCTTTCCCTTCCCACGAGGCCATATTTCAGACTATCACATGGGGAGAAACCTTGGACAATACCTGGCTTTCCTAGGCAGAGGTCCCTGTGGCCTTCCGCAGTGTTTGTGTCCCTGGATACTTGAGATTAGGGAGTGGTGATGACTCTTAACGAGCATGCTGCCTTCAAGCATCTGTTTAACAAAGCACATCTTGCACCGCCCTTAATCCATTTAACCCTGAGTTTGACACAGCACATGTTTCAGAGAGCACAGGGTTGGGAGTAAGGTCATAGATTAACAGAATCTCAAGGCAGAAGAATTTGTCTTAGTACAGAACAAAATGGAGTCTCCTATGTCTACTTCTTTCTACACAGACACAGTAACAATCTGATCTCTCTTGCTTTTCCCCACAATTACCACCCTGGCCCCTTTCCCCTCACCTCATCTCCCTCCATTCCAATCTTGGCTTCATCTGGCACTGCAAGGGGCTTCACCCACATGCTTGTGGATACTTCTCTTCCAAACTCTGTCCACATTCCCCACAAACAGACAGGCCACCCCATGGCTCTAGGTGTGTGGAGTCTGCTGTTGAGGAGAAGGACCTAGGGAAGAGGCCCATGCAAATCTTGGAAGTGGGTTGGAGTTGTCTGGGCATGGAATTCCAAGGTCTTGGGCATTTGGACTATGGTTTAGTGCGAAGGGACAGACTTTGGGTGGGCATCTTTCCTTGATACTGCAATAACATTTTTATTTTATTTTAATTTCTATTTCTTTTTCGAGATGGAGTCCTGCTCTGTCGCCCAGGCTGGAGTGCAGTGGCACAATCTTGGCTCACTGCAACCTCCACCTCCTGGATTCAAGTGAGCCTCCTGCCTCAGCCTCCTGAATAGCTGGGACTATAGGCACACACAACCACGCCTGGCTGATTTTTGTATTTTTAGTAGAGACAGGGTTTCACCATGTTGGTCAGGATGGTCTCGATCTCCTGATCTCGTGATCCACCCACCTTGGCCTCCGAAAGTGCTGGGATTACAGGTGTGAACCACCACACCCCACCCTGCAAATAACCTTCTTAATGGTTCCCCCCATCCAATCTGTTTTCCACACAGTATCCAGACAGAATTTTTTAAAAATGTAAATCATAGCATGTTACTCTCTTGTCTTAAAACCTTTTGAAGGCTTTCCATTGCATTTGAAATAAAACCTTTTAGGCTATGCATGGTGGCTCACATCTGTAATCCTAGCACTTTGGGAGGCCAGGGTGGATGGATTGCTTGAGCCCAGAAGTTTGAGACCAACCTGGACAATATGGTGAAACCGTCTCTACAAAAAAAACTAGTGGGGCATGGTGGCATATGCCTGTAGTCCCAGTTACTTGGGAGGCTGAGGTGGGAGATCGCCTGAACCTGGGGAGGTCAAAGCGGCAGTGAGATGTGATCACACCACTGGAGTGCAGTTGCGTGATCTCGGCTCACTCCAACCTCCACCTCCCAGGTTCAGGTAATTCTCGTGCCTCAGACTTCTGAGTAGCTGGAATTACAGGCATGCGCCATCATGCCCGGCTAATTTTTAAATTTTTAGTAGAGACAGGGTTTTGCCATGTTGGTCTCAAACTCCTGACCTCAGGTGATCTACTCGCCTTGACCTCCCAAGGCGCTGGGATTACAGGTGTGAGCCACCGCGCCTGGCCACAGAAAAACTTTTAAAAAGATTACAAAGCTCTGGGTGGTACTTAAACATGCCTGACTCTTTGCGATCGGCTTTTATCAGAACTGTTTCTCTTTCTGGGACACACTCTCCTACCTGCTTTTCACATGGCTGGCATCTATCTGTTTATAGTTCTTGGCTTAAGTGTCACCTCTTCCAGGTACACCTCCCTGTTATCTGCTATCATTGCATCTTGTTCATTTCCTTCAGTGTACAAATCACAAATCTACTTTGCTTGTTTGCTGTCTTCTGCAAACTGTAATCTACACTGGACAGACTGTCACAGATAAGATGTTCCCCGGAAGCCAACTGCGAGATGGAGATTAGCACATAGGAAGTTTACGAGGGGGCACTCTAATCAACACCCATTGAACAAAAGGAAATAGGATTGGGCATCACTCAGTCGCCGTACACTAGCTGTTCGGCACAGGCCTTACGCTGAGGCAGCTCTCTTCAGCTGAAGCCATCCCCAGAGGGATGACAGCTACAACCCAGGCAAGGCAGTCCACAGCACGTGATAGCATAGGGATATTTGTCCCCACCCAAATCTCAGGTTGAAATGTAATCCCCAATGTTGGAAGGTGGAGCCTGGTGAGAGGTGTTGGGATCACGGGGGAGGGTGCGGTGGGTCCTTCATGAATGGCTTGCGCCATCCTCTTGGTGATAAGTGAGCTCTTGCTCTGAGTTCACATGAGATCTGGCAGTTTTAAAAGTGTGTGGCATCTACCCCATTCCCTTCACTTCCTCCTGCTTTCACCATGTGACTTGCCTGTTTCCCCTTCACCTTCCACCATAACGGAAAAACAGCGCTATGCTTCCTGTAAAGCCTGCAGAACCGTGAACCAACAAAACCTCTTTTCTTTATAAATTAGCAAGTCTCAGATATTTCTTTATAGCAATGTGAGAACAGCCTAATACAGCAAGTGTCACTCAGATCTACTTTCTTTACAAGAATTCTGGGAGTGGCTCCTTTGGGACACTGGTGGGCCTCTCTTCCTGGGGATGACTTGTAAAAGGAGGGTTGGTAGGATGAACTACAGCCTCCCTGCAGCTGCAGCTGGTCTTGAGGCTATAGCTGATATTCATCCCCCCACCCTCTGCTCGACAAGTCCCTGTGAAGGTTTAGGTGACTTTTCTAGTGAGGTGACTCAGACTCTCAAAACTGAGGCATTCTGTCCCATTTGCCGTACCTTCTCAGGGTGTAGCTGCTGCACTTGTCCATTTGCCATCAAAATTGGCCAAGCTGGTACTAACAGATGTCCAAGTCAATGATCTGGGTATCAAACATATGCTTCCTGCCTCCATTGTGTAACAACAGCTGGACTGCTTCTTGATGATAAGAGTCAATCACCCCAACTGGGATCCTTTCCTTGCCTGCTGGCCCTTGGCATGAAAGGCCCAAAGTGCCTGCATGATGAGGTAGCTTAAAGTTCAATGAAGACTCTTGCTGTGTTCCCTGGTGGAAATGTTTCCCTGTTGGAAACCAAGACCTTCGACCCTGTGGGCTACATTTGTGAGGATGAAAACATAAATTCTTTAACTGGGTCACTGGGACTGATAGCAAGTGGGGACACTGCTGCTCCCACACCATGGATTCATCTCCCAGGTATTCTCTTGGGGATACTGCACTATATAATGGTGACTGACTTCAGGCATTACTGCATCCTGGAGGGTAGTGCTTTTTAAAAAAAATTTTTTTTAAATTTTAAGTTCTGGAATACATGTGCAGAATGTGCAGGTTTGTGACATAGGTAAACATGTGCCATGGTGGTTTGCTGCAGCCATCAACCTGTCATCTAGGTTTTAAGCCCCACATGTATTAGGTATTTGTCCTAATGCTCTCCCTCCCCTTGCCCCCCACCCCCCGACAGGCCCTGGTGTGTGATGTTCCCCTCCCTGTGTCCATGTGTTCTCATTGTTCGACTCCCACTTATGAGTGAGAACTGTGATATTTGGTTTTCTGTTCCTGTGCTAGTTTGCTGAGAATGATGGCTTCCAGTTTCATCCATGACCCTGCAAAGGACATGATCCCATGCTTTTTTATGGCTGCATAGTATTCCATGGTGTGTATGTGCCACATTTTCTTTATCCAGTCTATCATTGATGGACATTTGGGTTGGTTCCAAGTCCTTGCTATTGTAAATAGTGCTGCAGTAAACATATGTGTGCATGTGTCTTTACAGTAGAATGATTTATAATCTTTTGGGTATATACCCAGTAATGGGATTGCTGGGTCAAATGGTATTTCTGGTTCTAGATCTTTGAGGAATCACCACACTGTCTTCCACAGTGGTCAAACTAACTTACACTCCCACCAACAGTATAAAAGCATTCCAAGCTTTATCCTCACAGGGTATCATTTCCAAGCTGGCACTTTAGCCAAGCTTTCAACAGGCTGTTCCATTGCTTATTAGGCCAGTAGCTTGGGTGGTGTGCCATATGATAGGTCCAGTGGATTCCATGGTCATGTGACCAATGCTATATGTCCTTTGTTGTAAAGCTGGTCCCTTGGTCTGCTGCAATGATATGTGGAATGCCACCTTGGTGGATTAAATGCAGCTAAGCCCTTGGATGGTCATGTTTGATGAGACTGCAGGCAGGAAAGGCAAACCCATACACAGAATACCTGCCTATTCCTGTGAAAATGAATGGCTGCTCCTTTCATTATGGAAAGAGTTCAATAGGGTCAACTTGCCATCAAGTGGCTGGTTGGTATCTTCAAGGGATATTGTTGTACTGAGTTTCAGCAACAGTTTCTGTTGGTGTCAGGGTGATTATTTGGCTGTGACAGTAGCTAGATTAACAATGGTAAGTGGGACATCATGCAGTTGGGCCCATGGATAGCCTCCTTTGCTTCCATGTCTCCTCTATGAATCCATTGTGCCAGGACTAGGGTGGCTGATGAAAAAGCTGGCTGACATCAACTGGCTGAGTCATTCCACTTGGTTATTTAATGCCTTTTCAATGGTAGATGCTCTTGGGACCTGTGGAGGAAAAGGATGGAAGCAAAACTGGCAGAAAGAGAAAGTGGGCTGCAGTGTAGTCACAACCAGCCCTCAGCCAACCCTGTGGGGAGTTCTAAAGCTGGGATGACTCTTCAGAGATGTCCCCTGAGGAGGTGAAAGGGACAGGTATTTTTTTTCTTTTCTTTTCTTTTTTTTTTTTTTTTGAGATGGAATCTTGCTCTGTGGCCCAGGCTGGAGTGCAGTGGTGCAGTCTTGGCTCACTGCAACCTCTGCCTCCTGGGTTCAAGCGATTCTCCTGCCTCAGCCTCCCAAGTAGCTGGGATTACAGGCACCAGCCACCACACCCAGCTAATTTTTCATATTTTTAGTAGAGATGGGCTTTCACCATGTTGGCCAGGCTGGTCTTGAACTCTTGGCCTCAAGTGATCACCAGCTTTGGCCTCCCAAAGTGCTGGGATTACAGGCATGAACCACCGTGGATCAGGTCTTAACATTCTGACATTGACTAGTCATTTTTTTTTTTTTTTAATTTATTTTTTTATTGATAATTCTTGGGTGTTTCTCACAGAGGGGGATTTGGCAGGGTCATGGGACAATAGTGGAGGGAAGGTCAGCAGATAAACAAGTGAACAAAGGTCTCTGGTTTTCCTAGGCAGAGGACCCTGCGGCCTTCCGCAATGTTTGTGTCCCTGATTACTTGAGATTAGGGATTGGTGATGACTCTTAACGAGCATGCTGCCTTCAAGCATCTGTTTAACAAAGCACATCTTGCACCGCCCTTAATCCATTTAACCCTGAGTGGACACAGCACATGTTTCAGAGAGCACAGGGTTGGGGGTAAGGTCACAGATCAACAGGATCCCAAGGCAGAGGAATTTTTCTTAGTGCAGAACAAAATGAAAAGTCTCCCATGTCTACTTCTATCTACACAGACACGGCAACCATCCGATTTCTCAATCCTCTCCCCACCTCTCCTGCCTTTCCATTCCACAAAGCCGCCATTGTCATCCTGGCCCGTTCTCAATGAGCTGCTGGGCACACCTCCCAGACGGGGTGGTGGCCGGGCAGAGGGGCTCCTCACTTCCCAGTAGGGGCGGCCGGGCAGAGGCGCCCCTCACCTCCCAGACGGGGCGGCTGGCCGGGCGGAGGGCTGACCCCCCCACCTCCCTCCCGGATGGGGCGGCTGGCCGGGCGGGGGGCTGACACCCCCACCTCCCTCCCGGATGGGGCGGCTGGCCGGTCGGGGGGCCGACCCCCCCACCTCCCTCCCGGACGGGGCGGCTGGCCGGGCAGAGGGGCTCCTCACTTCCCAGTAGGGGCGGCCGGGCAGAGGCGCCCCTCACCTCCCAGACGGGGCGGCTGGCCGGGCGGAGGGCTGACCCCCCCACCTCCCTCCTGGATGGGGCGGCTGGCCAGGCGGGGGGCTGACCCCCCCACCTCCCTCCCGGACGGGGCGGCTGGCCGGGTGGGGGGGCTGACCCCCCCATCTCCCTCCCGGACGGGGTGGCTGGCCGGGCTGAGGGGCTCCTCACTTCCCAGTAGGGGCGGCCGGGCAGAGGCGCCCCTCACCTCCCGGACGGGGCGGCTGGCCGGGCGGGGGGCTGACCCCCCCACCTCCCTCCCGGACGGCACGGCTGGCCGGGCGGGGGGGCTGACCCCCCACCTCCCTCCCAGATGGGGCGGCTGGCCGGGCGGGGGGCTGACCCCCCCCACCTCCCTTCCGGACGGGGTGGCTGCCGGGCGGAGACGCTCCTCACTTCCCAGATGGGGTGGCTGCCGGGCGGAGAGGCTCCTCACTTCTCAGACGGGGCAGCTGCCGGGCGGAGGGGCTCCTCACTTCTCAGACGGGGTGGTTGCCAGGCAGAGGGTCTCCTCACTTCTCAGACGGGGCGGCCGGGCAGAGACGCTCCTCACCTCCCAGACGGGGTCTCGGCCGGGCAGAGGCGCTCCTCACATCCCAGATGGGGCGGCGGGGCAGAGGCGCTCCCCACATCTCAGACGATGGGCGGCCGGGCAGAGACGCTCCTCACTTCCTAGATGTGATGGCGGCTGGGAAGAGGCGCTCCTCACTTCCTAGATGGGATGGCGGCCGGGCGGAGACGCTCCTCACTTTCCAGACTGGGCAGCCAGGCAGAGGGGCTCCTCACAGCCCAGACGATGGGCGGCCAGGCAGAGACACTCCTCACTTCCCAGACAGGGTGGCGGCCGGGCAGAGGCTGCAATCTCGGCACTTTGGGAGGCCAAGGCAGGCGGCTGGGAGGTGTAGGTTGTAGTGAGCCGAGATCACGCCACTGCACTCCAGCCTGGGCACCATTGAGCACTGAGTGAACGAGACTCCGTCTGCAATCCCGGCACCTCGGGAGGCCGAGGTTGGCGGATCACTCGCGGTTAGGGGCTGGAGACCGGCCCGGCCAACACAGCGAAACCCCGTCTCCACCAAAACCAGTCAGGCGTGGCGGCGCGTGCCTGCAATCGCAGGCATTCGGCAGACTGAGGCAGGAGAATCAGGCAGGGAGGTTGCAGTGAGCCGAGATGGCAGCAGTACAGTCCAGCTCCGGCTCCGCATGAGAGGGAGACCGTGGGGAGAGGGGAGAGGGGAGAGGGGAGAGGGGAGAGCGGAGAGGGCCTTTTAAGTTCTTAGAAGGCAGCAGTCAATACTCAACTCTTGAAATCACTATGATGGATTAGTAAATTGCTCCTACTCTGTCTCTTCATAGCCATCACTCTTCTTTTCTAGAATTCTTTTTTGGTATTTCCTGGCTCTTCTCACATATAAACATTAGAATAATTTTGTTAAGTTTTGAAAACAAGAAAAAATGGTAATTGCATTGAAATTAAAGATTAGGCCTGGCGCGACTAGTCATTTGTTGCAGGCTGCCCCTATAAGGTGACTGGACCTTGAATAAGGCAGCTTTCTTTAGCAAGACAGTCACTGAAGAAGGCTGTCAGCATACAAGCTTCCCAA
This sequence comes from Homo sapiens, assembly GCF_000001405.40. Classification (NCBI taxonomy): domain Eukaryota; kingdom Metazoa; phylum Chordata; class Mammalia; order Primates; family Hominidae; genus Homo; species Homo sapiens. The sequence goes on along the minus strand of NC_000013.11, from coordinate 49,591,795 downwards.
AAGCTGGGGGAATAAATCCTTCAGTCTTAAAGGAGAGATTGGGTAATGCAGCATAACATTTATAAAAGAGAACATTACTGTTTTAATCACCAAGGTACACCCAGACCTTATTACAGTGCCTAGCACATGGCAGGCATTCAAAAGATCTTTATGAATAAATAAATTACTGAAATATCCTGCTTTCTTAGTTTGAAATATAAAGGGCACATCTCATCCCACCTTACAACATTTTGCTATGAAAATTTCAAAGTTTAGCCGGACGTGGTGGCTCTCATCTGTAATCCCAGCACTTTGGGAGGTCAAAGTGGGTGGATCACACATAGTGAAACCCCATCTCTACTAAAAATACAAAAATTAGCCAGACGTGATGGTGCACACCTGTAATCCTAGCTACTGGGGAGGCTGAGGCATGAGAGTCACTTGAACCTCAGAGGTGGAGGTTGCAGTGAGCTGAGATCACGCCACTGCAGTCCAACCTGGGCAAGAGAGCGAGACGCCATATCAAAAAAAAAAAAAAAAAAAGAAAGAAAATTTCAAAGTTTAAATAAAAGTATAAATAATAGCTCCTCGATTTAACAATTGCAAACATTTTGCCATATTTTCTCTTTCTTTATGGACATGGATATATACAGTATTAATTTTTTGTGTGAACCATTTGCAGACCTCATTACACTCTGTCCTTAATTATTCTGGTACACATCTCATAAAAATAGGGACATTCTTTCTTTGTTTTTTTGTTTTGTTTGTTTGTTTTTTTGTTTTTTGAGACAAGGTCTTGCTCTGTTGCCCAGACTGGAGTGCAGTGGTGCAATCATAGCTCACTGCAGCCTTGACCTCCTGGACTCAAGCAATCCTCCCACCACAGCTTCCCGAGTAGCTGGGATCACAGCTGTGTGCCATCTTGCCTGGCTAATTTTTGGTAGAGATAGGGTTTCGTCATGTTGCCCAGGCTAGTCTCAGACTCCTGGGCTCAAGCAATCCTCCCGCCTTAGCCTCCCAAAGGGCTGGGATTACAGGCATAAGCCACCATGCCCAGCCAGGATGTTCTTAATATTACTATTACCACATCTAAAAAACCCAGTAATCTCCTAATACTATCTAATATCCAGTCCATATTAAATTTCTGATTCTTTACAAAATATTATTTATAGCTTAAAAAAATTGGAACCAAGGGGCTGGGCGTGGTGACTCACACCTGTAATCCCAACCTTTTAGGAGGCCAAGGCCAGAGGATCTTTTGAGCCCAGGAGTTTGAGGCTGCAGTGGGCTGTGATGGTGCCACTGCACTCCAGGCTGGGTGACAGAGTGAGACCCCCATCTCTTAAAAAATAAAATTGGAACCAGGATTCTACCTAAGGTTCATGCACTGCATTTGAATTTCATGTTTCTTTAGTCTCTTTTAATCTAGAACAGTCCCCCTCTTTTTTTTAACCCCCTAATTTTTCAATTTTAATTTTTTTTTGATATGGAGTTTTGCTCATGTTGCCCAGGGTTGAGTGCAATGGCGTGATCTCAGCTCACTGCAACCTTTGCCTCTGGGTTCAAGTGATTCTCCTGACTGAGCCTCCCAAGTAAATTCTCCTGACTGAGCCGCCCAAGTAGCTGGGATTACAGGTGCCTGCCACCACGCTGGGCTAACGTTTTAAAATATTTTTAGTAGAGATGGAGTTTCACCATGTTGGCCAGCCTAGTTTCGAACTCCTGACCTCAAGTGATCTGCCTACCTTGGCCTCCCAAAGTGTTATGATTACAGGTGTGAGCCACCGTGCCTGGCCTTCCCCCTAAATTTAACTTTTTGAGGAAACCAAGGCTAGAAAGGTTCTTGTCCGCTATTATGTATTTCTCTGATTGTTTCCTCATAAAGTCACTGAGTTTGTCCCAGGTAACTTCACCTTTAATATTCCAAATGAGTGAGTCAAGCCCCATCTGAGAATATTCTTACTACCTCCATCATCATCCCAGGGTCACTCTAAGAAGTCTTCAAGATGCATGTTAACATTCAGAGGACCAGTCCTGCTTCATAGTCAATTGCAGTCAGAACTTCTATGTCTCAGAAGACTAGAGACTGCGTATCTCCCACCAGAAGTTGGTGACCTCCTAATAAGCCATGGTGCTACCACAGCTAAATGCAGGTGGAACAAGGACCACTGCTAATGAATAAAAAATAAACATTTCACCATCAACTGACATGGACAGTGAAGAAATTCCATAATTAAGAAGCTCTCTTGGGCTGGGTACAGTGGCTCACACCTGTAATCCCAGCACTTTGGGATGCTGAGGTGGGAGGATCCGTTGGGTTCAGGAGTTCAAGACCAGCCTGGACAAAATAGTGAGATCCTGTGTCTACAAACAATAAACAGAAGTAGCCAGGTGTGGTGGTATGCATCTGTAGTCCTAGCTACTCGGGCGGCTGAGGTGGGAAGGTCGCTTAAGTCCAGGACGTGGAGACTGCAGTGAGCTGAGATCATGACACTGCACTCCAGCCTGGGTGACAGGGCGAGACCCTGTGTCAAAAAATAAAAATAAAAAAATAAAAAAGCTATTTTGCCTGCCAAAGGACAAAGAAGCAATTTTATTCATTTTTTATTTTTATTTTATTTTTGAGATGGACTCTTACTCTGTTGCCCAGGCTGGAGTGCAGTGGCATGATCTCGACTCACTGCAATCTCTGCTTCCAGGGTTCAAGTGATTCTCCCACCTCAGCCTCCTGAGTAGCTGGGATTACAGGTGCCCACCACCACACCCAGCTAACTTTTGTATTTTTAGTAGAGACAGGGTTTCACCAGGTTGGCCAGGCTGGTTTCAAACTCCTGACCTCAAGTGATCTACCTGCCTTGGCCTCCCAAAGTGCTGGGATTACAGGCGTGAGCCACCATGTCCGGACAAACCTTATGATATTTTATTAGGTTCTTGACAGGTACTTTTCCCAACGTAATCATGTGTTAGCATTAAGTGGAGTGGTTCTCCCTTTTCACATGCTGGAGGTTAAGCCCAGTTTCTGTCTTAAAGTACTACCTGTTAATTGAATTATTTTGCTCTAAAGGAAAGGTTTGGAGTGCTCTAAAATAATCTTCTTTGGGGCCAGGCATGGTGGCTCACACCTGTAATCTTGGCACTTTGAGAGACTGAGGTAGGCAAACTGCTTGAGCTCAGGAGTTCGAGACCAGGCTGGCCAACATGGCAAACCCCGTCTCCACAGAAAATATAAATTAGCCCAGCCTGATGGCCCTCACCTGTGGTCCTAGCTACTCAGGAGGCTGAGGTGCTGAGGTGGGAAGATCACTTGAGCCCATGGAGGTTGAAGCTGCAGTGAGTTATGATCATGCCACTGCAGTACAGCTTGAGCAACAGAGCAAGACGCTGTCTCAAAAAATAAAAAAAATCATCTTCTTTGGAACAAGTAATTTTGGTATTTTTACATAATAATCATAGAAAGCTTTTGAGGCTGGAAAAAAAGGTAAAAAATCACCTCGCGTTAGTCCAAGCCAGTTTTATTCTTATTTATTTATAGGGACAGCGTCTTGCTATGTTGTCCAGGCTGGTCTTGAACTCCTGGGCTCAAGCAATCCACCTACCTTGGCCTCCCAAAGCATTGGGATTATAGGCGTGACCCACTGTGCCTGGCCTAGGCCAATTTTAGATGCAGAGCCTATGATGTGCCTGATAGAAAGTTATTCAATACAATAAATAACACCAATACCAGTAAATATGTCATTCTTTCAAGTATATTAAAATTAACCTAATTTGGTTTCCTTTATCCTAGATGTGAATGAAGTCATCAAGGCATCAATATAGGGTTACTTGTTTTTGTTTTTTTGAGACAGAGTCTCACTCTGTCACCCAGGCTGGAATGCAGTGATGCGATCTTGGCTCACTACAACCTCTGCCTCCTGGGTTCAAGTGATTTTTGTGCCTCAGCCTCTCAAGTAGCTGGGATTACAGGCACGTGCCACCACAGCTGGCTAATTTTTGTATTTCTAGTAGAGACAGGGTTTTCCAAAGTTGGCCAGGCTGGTCTTGAACTCTTGACCTCAAGTGATTTGCCTGCCTTGGCCTGGGATTACAGGCATGAGCCACTGCACCTACCTGTTTGTTTTTTCCTAAACAAATAGTACTGTTTCATGTGTCACTACTTTTGAACACATTGCTCTCTCCTGGAATGTCTTTTTCTTTCTTCTTATCTACTTCCTGTCCAACTGACCTTCTCATGAAGTTTCTCCCTGACTCCCTGATTTGTGGTCCCTGGTTTGTGTTCACTTAGCACCTTGTATCATAATACTTTTCACCCTGTACTGGAATAATGAACCAGACTACACATTCCTTATCAGCAACCATGTCTCATTCAGCTTTTAATCCTCCAAGATGCTCCAAGTATGGCATCTGACACATAAGCAGTGAGGGCTCAGGACATATTTGATTGCTCACACCCCATGCCCTCGTTTTTCTCTCAGACATGTTTACACAAGTTCTTTTGATCGGGTTGCAACCAAAAGAAACTGATTTTAGTTTCTTTGAGCAAAACAGGCCTCTTCTAGTAAATTCACTCAACTGCCACTACTTTGGGCAAGCCACTTCATTCAGTGAGTATTAAGGGTCTATCACATGCCAGGCGCTGTTCTAAACCCAGAAGAATCCTGTTTCAAAGAGTTTATAATCTAAGGGAGAAGACAGCAATAGACAATTCACCTTTTACAGGAAATGCGCAGTCTATTTCTGGGCAGTGTGAGGTGTATCAGAATATATATAGTATTCTGGAAATCAGGGAAGAAGTTGCAGCTGACACTGTCTGGATGAACTTCAATTGCTAAAAAATCAGGGAAGAGGATGCTGGGAAGACAAGAGTAGGCGGCATTTGACCTGGATTTTGAAAGATGAGTAGGAAACTGATGTGTACTTTGGAGGCTGTTGAAGAAAACCAGAGCCAAACAGTAGTTGAAGTGGTAAAAACATTTTATTCAGGAACTAGTGCAACAGGAGCGAGACCTCAGAATAGATACAGAACTAAGCTCAATTCTCTTATTGCATTAGTTTCTTAATACCTTTTTTTTTTTTTTTAATCATTGGCCCTGGTTTTCTTTAAGTGGGGGAGGTGGTGATTCAGGACATTTCAGATACAGACAAAAGAATGAACAAAGCAAAAAGGAGTAAAGAAACTTAGAGAAAAAGTAAATAATCCAAAGAAAGTTGAGTAGTCAAGGAAAACAAATTATTTGTAGCCAGAGCCTCCAGTAATGTTGGGGAAGTGGCAAGAGATGAGGGACGGTAGGACTTTTTTAATAATTCAAGTTACCAAAAGTGAAGTTATCTGGTGATATTTAGAAAATGAAATGTTTTTCTGTTTATTCCTAGGAGCTCAAATGGGAAAGGTAAGTGAACAAGTGGCTGGAATGCTATGCCAACAAGTTTGGATTTTATCCTGCAGCGCCAACTGGGAGTTCTCCGAGAGCTGTATGGTATTTTACAAAGGGACTGTAGTCTTTATAGGTGATAGGCTGGAGCAGCTCGTAGCAGTCCCTCTCCTGGCCTCAGTTTACTCGCTGGTAACACGAATCCGGTTGGACCAGATGCCCTCTTAGGTCCCGTCTAACCTCTATGGCATGCTTCCGAGGTACCTCTGCCTCTTTCCAATACCAGGACCTGTGCCTCATCTCGTCCTTCCTTCATACCTTTGTCCAGCTGCCACCTTCCCTAGTCCCTGGCCTGCCTCAGGTACTTTCAATCAGGAAGTGAGGGGCGGGGAGGGAGGGAGGCGCGTCTCCAGTAAAAACAAACTAGTCCCAGCTCCGCCGCCTTTCCTCCCAGGCAGCACCACCTGGGTGGTGCCCCGGGGCCAGACGCGCTCTAGAGTGGGCAGGGAGCCAAGTTTCTCGGTCGCTTTTCCGTCCTAGGTCTCTGGGGTGGTAGGCCGACCCTCCCCACAGCCAAGCCATCTCGGGGAGCAGAGCAGGAGCCCGTGCCTCGCGCGTTCCTGGTTCCTCAGACACAAAAGCCTCTAAGTCCCGGCAGCAGCCACCGGATTTCATGGGGACACTCCAGTGGCAGGGCCTCGGGGCGGGCCTGAGACGGCCAATCGGCTTCTAAAGAAGTCGGGTTGTAGGGCCCGAAGAGCAGGGTTTCGGCCGGGGCCGGGGCCGGGGCGGTGCGGGATGCTCGGCTGGGTAGCGTCCCGGGCGCGCGCTGCACCGGGTCACGTGAGGCGGCCGGGGCCACGTGACCCGGCGGGCCCGGCGCCCTGGCGCTCCTCCTCTTCGCTGCCGGTGGGCACCGCCGCTCGCTCGCACTTCTGCGCCCATTGGAGCTTCGGAGATCCCTGCGGTCCCGCGGGACGGCGCGGCAGCAGCTGACCTCGCAGGTAGCGTGTGGGCGCGGGGTCGAGCTCGCGGAGGCCTCTTCCCCCTCGGCCCTGCCCCTGCTTCCCTTCCCCGCAGGCCGGGCCGGGAGTGCCCCGTTACTCCTGTACCTCCCGCCTCCCTCGCTCGGGCTCCCGGGCAGTCCCTGCGGGCGCTGCGTCCGGGGCGAGGGATGGGGTCCCCGGCCCGGCCCCGCCAGCACCTCAGCTAATGTGCTCTCCTGCGAGGAGGAGGGAAGGATGGGGAGAGGCGAGGGAAAGTTTTCCCTGCCTCCCTCTCTTTTTTGAGGTGCACGGACTCGATTTTGCTCGTAGCTGAAGTCTGACTGCTGTGGGTGCCGTTTTACTGAGAGGAGATCTCCCCTCCGACTCTTCCTATTCTCTCTCCTTTCCAAGATCTTAGCATCTCTCCTTCGTCTCCTGAGAGTAGTGCTGTCACAAACCGTATTCTTTATCGTTTCCCTTTCCGACACAGAATCCACAAAGGCAGGGATTTTGTTAGTGAGGACTTTTATCCAGGCGTGCGGTGAACTCTAAATAAGTGACGTTTCCCTTGTCTGCCTCTGATAAAGTACCTACCTGCTCGGTTTAAGATGACTATCGAGCACGCTGTGTTCTGCTCGCATAAGTGGCCTTTTGTTTTTATTTATTTGCATGTAAGACACTTTCAAGCCATCTGCGGAACTCTGCAGCTGGGGATTACAATTTTATAAAGCAGTCTTGTAATAATGCTTTTAGAAAACCAGATTCATGATCTTCCTTGCTTTTGCCCTATTCTTTTTTTGGGAGGACTAAAAGCCCTTAGAGGACAAAAACTGAGTTTCTGAAACTGGTGTGTATTGTGGGCTAATAACATTAAAACATCAAAGTATATAATGCCGGAAGGAATGGAAAAATGATTGAATCCTGAGGGCAGTTTATAGGTGCTTTAAACTTTAGAGTACTCATTTCAAGTGAGCACTGGGTGAATTTCACCCGTTTAAACTGCTTTCAGGGTCGAGGATGTAACTGTATATTTGGATTCTATTAATATAACAGTTCATCTGTGGGATGGACTTTAATCCATTTAATCCATTGTGTGAATATCAGTCTATTTATTAATACTCTAGACGGGTCCTTTTTCTTCTACCCGCTAGTCTGTTTCTCTTGAAGAGGAAGCATATTCATCTTTAAAGAGATTTTTGCAAGTGATTTTTTTAAGTGTGTGATCCAAATGATAAAGTTCTGTGAACTTCAGAAAACAAGTAGCCATAAAAACCCAAAGCTGTCAAGCTTGTAGCTTTTAAAAAATGATTTGAAAATTTTAAAGCGTGCCCGTATGCTGCAGCAAGAACTTGGCTCCACCTAATATACGGGAGCTGGGAAGTCTGAAACAGTACCCTCCTTTTCCTGGGAGTCATTGTGGGGTAGATGAAACTGTGAAGGAAAGTGAGGACCTTTATTATGATGATGATATCCCTTCTGTGTGTACTACATTAAACAGTAAGTCATGCATAGGAAAGGAGGCTGGGGCCTCACAGAGTCTAGAATCTAGGCAGGGCATTCGGACACATTTCAAAATATTCTCTGGTTTTACAAAAAGTTAAAAATGTTACATATTGGCCAGGCGCAGTGGCTTACATCTGTAATCCCAGCATTTTGGGAGATTGAGGCGACAGATTACACGAGGCCAGGAGTTCAAGACCAGCTTGGCCAACATGGTGAAACCCCGTCTCTACTAAAAATACAAAAAATTAGCTGGGCGTGGTGGTGTGCGCCTGTAGTCCCAGCTACTCAGGAGGCTGAGGTACGAGAATTACCTGACCTGGGGAGGCAGAGGTTGCAGTGAGCCGAGATTGTGCCACTGCACTCCAGCCTGGGCGACACAGTGAGACTCCATCTCAAAAAAAAAAAGTACATGTTGTGTACGTGCTGAAGAATGCACAAGAGGGGTATGATGAGTGTTGTCTGAATTTAGCCAGAATAGACTTAGTAGAGGAGATCAGTTAATGAAATAATTATATAAGTCAACTGTGTGTTAGATCACATTTAAAACACACACACACACACACACACACACATACACAAAAGCACACTTCTTTCCTGGGGTAGAAAAGCTCACAGAGGAGACCAGATGGGTACCTCTAAAGACTTACGGTCTCCAGCTTTCTCTGGGCTTGGTCTTACCATCCTGCTAGGTTTCTCTGCTCAGTGCTCTTTCCCATCCTCCCTGGTGACTGCTTCAGACTTCACCATTTTACCCCCAATTGCTCCACTCCACTTTTTTCTTTTTGAGACAGGGTCTCACTATGTCGCCCAGTCTGGAGTACAGTGTGCCATGTGATCATAGCTCACTGCAGCCTCAAACTCCCAGGCTCAAGTGATCCTCCCCACTCCCAAGTAGCTGGGACCACAGGTGCGCACCACCACATTCGACTAATTTTTTTATTTTTTGTAGAGACAGGGTCTCCCTATGTTGCCCAGGCTGGTCTTGAACACCTAGCCTCAAGCAGTCCTCCCGCCTTGGCCTCCCAAAATGTTGGGATTACAGGCGTGAGCAACCACACCCGGCCTCCACTCCACTGTTTATTGCTACCTCCCCTCTTACTCTTAGCAAAAAGCCTAACTCTTTCTTCATAGGGGAAAAATAGGTGACCTCAGAAGAGAATGGTCTCCAAATGCCAATCAAAACCATGAGATACCACCTCCCATCCACTAGGATGGGTATAATACAAAAGACAGTAAATACTGGAGAAAGCAGCACTGTTGTACATTGCCGGTGGGCATGTAAAATGGAGACTCAGCGGGGAGAGAGAATGAGAATGAGAGAATGAGTATGTCTCCAGCATCTGGATTCCTAACCTTTAAACTGGCTTTCATTCACATTCACCCTTTCCTCCTCCTCTTGTGGAAGGAAGAAAAGGAAGACTTGCTCCTTTCTACAGTTTCTCTTGCATTTATTTATTTATTTATTTATTTAGAGACAGAATTTTGCTTTTGTTGCCCAGGCTGGAGTGCAGTGGTGTGATCTTGGCTCACTGCAACCTCCGTCTCCCGAGTTCAAGCGATTCTCCTGCCTCAGGGTCCTGAGTAGCTGCGATTACAGGCACCCACCACTATGCCCAGCTAATTTTTGTATTTTTAATAGAGATGGGGTTTCACCATGTTGGCCAGGCCGGTCTCGAACTCCTGACATCAGATGATCCACCTGCCTCGGCCTCCCAAAGTGCTGGGATTACAGGCATGAGCCACTGCGCCCGGCGCTTCTGTTGCACTTCTGCTTCAGATCCCATTCCCTGCTACTTTCTTAAGGCCCATTGAGTTGTTACATCCTCTCCTCTTTGATGTTTCTACTGGCTCCTTCCCATTAATTCAAACATGTTCAAGCCTCTAACAATGTTTACATTAAAAAGGTTAACAGAAAACGTCCTGCAACTCTATCACATTCTGTGATTACTATGCGATTTCTCATTTTTCCTTCAGAGTGAAATTTCTTGAACAAGTTGTTTATACTCATGGTTTCCTTTTCTTCACCTTTCACATACGCCTCAACCTGCTGCAACCTGGCCTCTTCCACCCACAACCTCAGTGAAACTGTTCTTGTTAAGGTCACTGATAATTCTCCTTGTTAAATCCAATGGAAGTTTCTCCACCCTTCCCTCGTTTGGTGTCTCAGCAGCATTCGACACTAGCATGCCTCTTGCCTGTGATGCTCAAGTCCCCAGATCTCTGTGACACTCTGTCTCCTGGTTTTCCTCCTGGTCTACCTCTTCCTTCACAGTCCCTTCTAGGGGGTACTCCCTGTCCCTTTCCCGTTGGAGTTTCTTAGAGTTCTTCTTAAGGTACTCTGCTCTCCTTATTTCACTTGCTTTTTTCCTGGGTGATTTCATGCCAGATTTCCAAATCTCCAATCCAGACCTTTCTTGAGCTTCAGATTTCTAAATCCATCTGTTGGGACTTGTCCACTTTAATATCCCACAGGTACCTGGCACAAATGTCCATAGTAGGACTCATCACCCCTGAGGCCTGCTGTGCTTTCTGCTGTAGTGAGTGGCAGCACAGTTCTCTCTCACTCAAGCTCAGCGTCTGCCTGTGATCTTCGGCTCTGCCTTTCTGCTTATCCAGTGCTCCTTGTCCCATTCAGCCAGTTGCAGAATCTTCTTGATTTTCCTTCTTGTTCAATTTTCTCCATTTCCCTAGTGTGGGCTTCAATCCCTTCTTTTCTGGCTTACCATAGCCATCTGGACTTCCTCTAAGCACTCCTTTGTCGTCTCATGTCTCTGTGGTCAGCCAAAGTAATCTTTCATAGACCTACATCTGTTTATGCCACTTCCCTGCTTAAGACCCTTCAGGGATTACCTGGTGCTCTTAGGATAAAGCCTGAGTTGTTTGGCTGCAGCCATGCTGACTTTCTTTCAGTTCCTCCACCAGAGCCTTACCTGGCATGAGTGCTCACTGTTGCAGGCGCCTGCTTCTCTTTAGGTAGCTGAAGCATACTTCCCAATTCTGTTGCCTCCACAGCATCTGACCAGCCACACTGTTGTGAGCATCTGTTTATGTGTCTAGATCCCCCAACCCCATGTAATTTCTGTTGGTGTTGGCTCTGTGTCCTGTTTACCTAAGAAAATTTATTGAATTAATAGTGTATGGTTCTGCCAGTCCATTGCTGGAATTTCAGTTTGGCTTTAGGTCATTGCAGGGTACAGTTGATACTTTTCATACAACTGGGGACTAATAGATGAAATCACTTTTGGGGTATCCACATGAGAAAGATTCATGAAACCATATTTAGATTTGAATTTGACCCACCAATTCCAGCCTTGAATTCATTTGGAAAATAAAATGAAGTATTATGTTTTATCCATTTCTTTTTTCTTTTTCAGACAGGATCTTGCTCTCTTGCCCAGACTGGAATACAGTGGTGTGAACACGGCTCACTGCAGCCTCAACCTCCTGGACTCAGGTGATCCTCCCACCTCAGCCTCTTGAGTAGCTGGGACTAACTACAGGCGCACACCATTATGACTGGCTAATCTTTTTATTTTTAAGGAAATGGAGTCTCGCCATGTTGCCCAGGCTGGTCTTGAACTCCTGGGTTCAAGTGATCCTCCTGCCTTCGCCTCCTAAAATGCTGGGATTACAGGTGTGAGCCACTTCACCCAGCCATCTATCCATTTCTTTAAACTTTGACCCATCATTGGTTTTTTTGTTCTGTTTTGTGACACCTGTTTGTTTGGTTTAACAAAGAACAAACTTACAGAAAAAACATTATTTCTAATCATCGATATTTCTTTTCTGGTTTCCTTTTGAAAACAACAGTATCCTATAAAAGCAATACTTTTATAAGATCTCAGTCAGCTGCACAACCCTAGATATGTTATTTTTTTCACTGCTAATGCTATTGCCACTTGGTTCGTTTGCTTTTCGAGCACATGGCTGAGGTTAGAAGTGAGACGAGATGAAATGAATGAGATGAAAGCAGCCCCTTGGATGATGGGGCTAAAGAAATGCTTACAGAGGCCATTATTGCAAATTGTGCTTCAAGTCAAATAACTTATTAGTGGTTGGGAAATGACAGTTGTAGGAACTTACATTTTCCTCTAAAATTAGTGATGAATTTGAACAAAACTTATGAAACAAAGGGTAGGCACAATCAGAGAATTCTAAAACACTAGTCATACTGTTCTCTAAATGAAGGTGGGGGTATTATCTTCACTCACCTGTACAGGTGGCTTCAGCTTGAAGGATGACAAACTACTTTGGGAGAAGGCTACATTCTCAGACTCCTTAGTCAAGCATTCAGGGCATTCTTCCTTTCCCTTTCATTCTTTTTTTTTTTTTTTCTGAGACAAGTCTCGATCTGTCACCCAAACTGGAGTGCAGTGGCACCATCTCGGTTCACTGCAAGCTGTGCCTCCTGGGCTCACGCCATTCTCCTGCCTCAGCCTCCAGAGTAGCTGGGACTACAGGCGCCCACTACCAGGCCCGGCTAATTTTTTTGTATTTTTAGTAGAGACGGGGTTTCGCTGTGTTAGCCAGGATGGTCTTGATCTCCTGACCTCGTGATCCGCCTGCCTCGGCCTCCCAAAGTGCTGGGATTACAGGTGTGAGCCACCACGCCCGGCCTCCCTTTCATTCTTGTAGTACTGTGTGTTTGCAGAAGAGAGACGTGGATGACAGCTGTTCTAGCAGCTGGGGCAATAACATATTAGTGTCTCAGCACATCTTCGAAACTTTGCCTGTGATTTGCAGCCCTTATACCATAGAGTGGGTGAAATGGTTTTAAGTTTTATTTTTATTTAAAAATGTTTGAGGCTGATTCTTAGAGGCTTATCTGGACCTGGGAAATACATTTGGTATCTCAATGAGACAGCATTTGCTCAGTCTCAAAAAGCCCATCAGAATTATATGTAAGAAATTGGTAAGAGTAACATTTGGCTGTTTGTACCTTGAGAGGGTTTTTGAATTGCTTTTGCTGTAGCATAGATGGAAGACATTAAGTTGTAATGTTGTATACCAAAGTTTACCCCAAACCGTAGAGCTCTCTTATTTGAATGTTTTTCTGGAATTAAATGGATTCAGAAATAAAGATTGTCATACCCTTCAATCTTTTGTGCTCAAATGGAACATTTATTGCTAAAAAAGGAAGAAGGCTATGAAGAACACTTTGTTCTTCTAGGAAACTGGATGATCTTCACTGAGGAAAGGCTCACATTTTATCATCTGCTGGAATATGGAGAATTTGGTTTCTGGGATTTCGTGTAATTGTTTTCTGTTATATACAATTTTTATATAGTTGTCACTAGTTTGCACATAATTATTTCCTATTTGACATATTAACATGTGTCACATGGACCATATACTTGCATGATACATTCATTTCCTTAATTATTCCAGTTGTATTTGCATTCTAGTTTTCCACTTACTTAGGATCTGACTTTCCATTAGACCTTCAGTTCCTCAGAGGCAGAGACCATGATTGTATTCTTTATGATGTCCCTGGCATTGTTGGTATCTGGGGTCATTGCAGAAGAAGAATTAATGTATGCTATTAAAGTCAGCTCTCTGTATCCATGGATTCCACATCTGTGGATTCAACCAGCCTCAAATTGCAAATATTAAAAATTGCATTTGTACTGAACATGTAGAGTATTTTTTCTTGTCATTATTCCCCAAGCAATAAACGTTAACAACTATTTACCAAGCATTTACATTGTATTAGGTATTATAAGTAATCTGGAGATCATTTAAAGTATATGGGAGGATGTGTGTAGGTTATGTGCAAATACTATGCCATTTTCTATCAGGGACTTGAGCATCTGTGGATTTTAGTATCTGCAGGAGATCCTGGAACCGGTCCCCCACAGATACTGAGGGACAACTGGATTTTGTTCACATTAGCATACAATAGTACTTTTTTCCAAGGCCCTTTAGATTTTATCACTAGCTCATTAACTATAAATAAATTTTTTTCGTAAGACAGCTTAGCAACTTAAACTGATAAATAAAATCATCACCCATTCAGTTTACAAAAATAGAGAAACCTCTATTAGGAATTTTCAGTGTATGTGTAAATGCTTTAATTCAAAGTTTTTGCAATTAAAAATATCATTTTGCATATTAGAAGTTGCTGTTTTGAGTAGTTTAAAGCTTGCTGTAGCTTGTATGCTGAAGAATGTTTAGGCTACTTAAAATGATTGTTCCAACATTCAGAGCCCTTCCAGTTTCCTCTGGCTATCGGCTTCCATAATAAAGAATGACACAAACTCATTTCATGCTTCTAAAATGACACCAGAAGCGTCAGAATCTTGGTGCTCGCCAATGCTGAAGGATTGCTTACTCTTTTCCCACTCTTTTCCTTAGCTCTAAGGTCAGTAGAAGCCAGATCTAAAGGTAGAATACCCTATTGGTGGCATTTAAAAGCCAGTACATAACAGCAATTTAAACTAGCCCAAACAAATACATTCTGGTTAGTTGAGGTCTGTGTGGAAGCCATGTGCTTACAGATCAACCCTAAATTTCCACTGTTGTTTAATATTGAGAACATTATTTCATCAAAACCAGTTTTCCTGTACCATTTCTCTCCATTTCCTGTTGTTTTTAAAATCTCCATAAGCATGTTGAAATATATTTTTGCTAGATCAGTAAAATAAACTAAAATAAAATTAGCCTTTCCTTAATATTTGTTCCTTGGGGAAAGTAAAATAAATGTGCTCTTAGGGGAATTAAAAGATTAGTTGCTACATTACTCCTTCAGCCTTCCAGTTCTAAATGTAGATTTCTAAAATTGGAAGGCCTGTGTTTGTCCTGACTGAATTTGCTTTCAGAGTATAAAGTAAAATAACCTTTTCTTCCTCATGCCACAAGTTCTCTGAGGGACAGTGCCAATAGCTAGGATAAGCCATCCCAGGGAATGGGATATTGATCTGTAGGACTAATGGACGTAGGATAAGTGCAGTGGGGATACAGGATGTATTTTCAAGTGCCAGAGAAAATACGAAGAGCCAAGTGGGTTGGCATATTATCTTTAAGGACGTTACACTCTTTCTACCTCTGCTTGCATTTTTGCGTTCCTCTTTTCTTTCCTTGCACCCTTGTTTTATCTTTATACAGTTAAAAAAAAAAGTCATTGATTCACCTAATAATAACTCATAAAGAGTGGTAATTCAGGCTGCAACACATTAATATTGTTTTTCAGAAAGTATTTCCTAAATAAAACATGGAAGGCTTGCAAAAAAATTACTATCTTAGTGAGGTACTTCAGAAGTAACTATTTAAAGATGACTGACATTCTAATTACAGCTCATCATTTTTATAATTATCAAGATGACAAGCCCTGGAAGGACCTG
This sequence comes from Homo sapiens, assembly GCF_000001405.40. Classification (NCBI taxonomy): domain Eukaryota; kingdom Metazoa; phylum Chordata; class Mammalia; order Primates; family Hominidae; genus Homo; species Homo sapiens. Next base: position 49,576,618 of record NC_000013.11, on the reverse strand, counting down.
TCATCTTAGCAATTTGTTTGGTCTGGTTTAAATTGCTGTATGCACTGGAAAATTCTAAGAAGGCTATATTTCTTTTATAAATGCTCCGTTGAGAATTTCCCTAATCTGAACTTATATTCTCAAGACATGATTAAAACAGTATGATTTTACTTTTCCAAACACATTTTTTAGGACTGAAACCTTTCTATATTTAATTTTAGAAATGTATCTTTGAGTTTATTAATGCAGTCTTGATAAAAGCCCACAGGATGATTATTTGATTTTAAAAAATTGGGGTAAAAGGTATATAGTGTAAAATTTACCATTTTAATGATTTTTAATTACACATTTTAGTCACATTATGTACATTCACATTGTTGTACAATCATCACCACCATCAATCTCTAGACTACTTAAAAAAAATCATCTCAACTTTTTTTTTTTTTTTTTTTTTTTTTTTTTGCGACGCCTGTCGCCCAGGCTGGAGTGCAGTGGTGCAATCTTGGCTCACTGCAAGCTCCGCCTCCCAGGTTCATGCCATTCTCCTTCCTCAGCCTCCCGAGTAGCTGGGACTACTGGTGCCCGCCACCACACCCGGCTAATTTTTTCGTATTTTTAGTAGAGACGAGGTTTCACCGTGTTAGCCAGGATGGTCTCGATCTCTGACCTTGTGATCTGCTCGTCTTGGCCTCCCAGAATGCTGGGATTACAGGCGTGAGCCACCACACCTGACCCAATTTCAACTTTTATTTTAGATTCAGGGAGTACATATGCAGGTTTGTTACATGGGTATAGCGTGTGATGCTGAGCTTTGGAGTACGAATAATTCCGTCACCCAGGTAGTGAGCATAGTATCCAATAGGTAGTTTTTTAGCCTGTGTACCCCTCCCTCCCTGCCCCTGTAGTAGTCTCCAGTGTCTGTTGTTCCTGTCTTTATATCCACGTGTACCCTATATTTAGTTCCCATTTCTAAGTGACAACATGTGGTATTTGGTTTTCTGTTCCTGTGTTAATTCACATAGGATAATGGCCTGTAGCTGCATCCATGATTTTGTTCTTCTTTATGGCCATGTAGTATTCCATGGTGTATATATACCACATTTTCTTTTTCCAATCTACTGTCAACGGGCACCTAGGTTGATTCCATGTCTTTGCTATTGTGAATAGTGCTGTGATGAACATACAGGTGCATTTTTTTTTTTTTTGGTAGAACAATTTATTTTCCTTTGGATGTATACCCAGTCTTGGGATTCCTGGGTTGAATGGTAGTTCTGTTTTAAGTTCTTTGAGAAATCTCCAAACTGCTTTCCACAGTGGCTGAACTAATTTACATTCCCACTAACAGTGTATAGTGTTGCCTCTGCTGTACAGCCTCGCCAATATCTTTTGTTTTTGACTTTTTGATAATGGCCATTCTGACTGGTGTGAGATAGTATCTCATTGTGGTTTTGATTTGGATTTCTCTGATGATTAGTGATGTTGAATATTTTTTCACATATTTGTTGCCTAGAACTTTTTCATCACCCCAAAGTGAAACTCTGTACCCATTAAACAGTAACTCCCCATTCCTACCTCCCCCCAGCTCCTGGCACCCACAATTCTACTTTGTCTCCATGAATTTGACTGTTCTAGGTACCTCATGTAAGTGGAATCATGCAATATTTGTCTAACTTATTAGCATAATGTCTTCAGGGTTCATCCCTGTTGTTGTATGTATCAGAATTTCCTCCTAAGGGTGAATAATATTCTATCGTATGTGTAGACCACATTTTGTTTATCCATTCATCTGTTCATGGATATTTGGATTATTTTCACATTTTGGCTATTGTGAATAATGCTGCTTTGACCGTTGGTATACAACTATCTGTTCAAGTCTCTGCTTTCAGTTCTTTGGGGTATATGCTAGAAATGGAGTTTATCTAGATAATATAATTCTAATGTTTTTTTTTTTTTTTAAGGAATCACCATCTGGTTTTCTATAGCAGCTGTATCATCTTACATTTCTACCATCTACATTTAATTTTATATTAATAATTCATTTTTCCAGATTTTGCCTGAAACATTCTGCCACTCTACGTTATGAATCTAAAGCAAGAATACATCTTAAAACTTCTAACAGCCTAGGGGTAAAACATAATTCAAATAATTGAACTTTTATTTTCATTGGAAATATTTGTTCATTTTATTGGTCACAAAGTGTTTGTTATAGAAATTTGGGACTGGCCGAGCATGGTGGCTCACGCCTCTAATCCCAGCACTTTGGGAGGCTGAGGTGGGCAGATCACCTGAGGTCAGGAGTTTGAGACCAGCCTGGCTAACATGGTGAAACCCCGTCTCTACTAAAAATACAAAAATTAGCCAGGCGTGGTGGTGCACACCTGTAATCTCAGCCACTCAGAAGGCTGAGGCACAAGAATTGCTTGAACTGGGGAGGTGGAGGTTGCAGTGAGCCAAGATGGTGCCAGTGTACTCCAGACTGGGCAACAGAGTGAGACTCTGTCCACCCCCCACCCCCAAAAAAAGAAATTTGGGACTATATTTTAAAAATACAAAGAAGGCCAGGTGTGGTGGCTCACGCCTGTAATCCCAGCACTTTGGGAGGCCCAGGTGGGTGGATCACTTGAGGTCAGGAGTTTGAGACCAGCCTGGCCAACATGGTGAAACCCCTTCTCTACTAAAAATACAAAGATTAGCTAGGCATGGTGGTGTACACCTGTAATTCCAGCTACTCGGGAGGCTGAGGCACAAGAATTGCTTGAACTGATGAGGGGGAGTTTGCAGTGAGCCAAGATGGTGCCAGTGTACTCCAGACTGGACAACAGAGCGAGGCTCTGTCTCAAAAAAAAAAAAAAGAGAGAAATTTGGGACTATATTTTAAAAATACAAAGAAGGCCAGGTGCGGTGGCTCACGCCTGTAATCCCAGCACTTTGGGAGGCCGAGGTAGGTGGATCACTTGAGGTCGGGAGTTTGAGACCAGCCTGGCAAACATGGTGAAACCCCGTCTCTACTAAAAAAATGCAAAATTAGCCGGGCGTGATGGTGGGCGCCTGTAATCCCAGCTACTTGGGAGGCTGAGGCAGGAGAATTGCTTGAACCCAGGAGGCGGAGATTGCAGTGAGCCAAGATCGTGCCACAGCACTCCAGCTTGGGCAACAAGAGCGAAACTCCATCTCAAAAAAAAAAAAAAAAAGATGAGGAATTGTATCTAATTTCTAAAGGGGAAGTGAGGTAGGAGACTGATAGGACTTGTTTTCTGGCCACAACCCTGCTGACGAAAACAAACAAACGAACAAACTAAAGAAGTGGGGATGGCAGGCCAAAAAATAGAATAAAAATACAAAGAAAGAAAATGATGCCACCTGTAATCTCTCCATGGAGATATATTTTGGTGTATACATTTCTGTATATATTATACTTTAGAAAAATTGTAATCATACAGGACATATTGTTTTATAACATAGCTAAGCTAACTAAGTCTTACAGGGTACATTTATTTTTGTGGTTTTGTTTTGAATTTGGGATGTGCACATAGTTTAGCTGTATGACGTGTTTGGGTGGCAGCTTCTGTTGGGATGCTTCCTTGGGGGGTGCTTATAATTTGGACAAACCATAGCACCATGGGAAGGAAGAGAGTTGGGCTACCTTGCTCAGGGTACTTACCAAGGTACTTGACTGTCAGGGAAGGCCTGGGCTGAATAGGCCAGTTGAAGGTTCTTTCCATTAGCAGTGCCTCCTTCATACAGGAATAGAACACAAATAGAATCACTTCATATCTTCCTATTTGAAGCATCTAAATTATTGTGCAACCCTCTGGAGTGATTATTATTATTACTATTATTTTGAGACAGAGTCTCACTCTTATCACTCAGGACAGTTGCATAGTCTTGGCTCACTGCAACCTCTGCCTCCTGGGCTCAGATGATCCTCCCACCTCAGCCTCCTGAGTAGCTGAGATTACCAGCGTGCGCCACCACACCCGGGGTAATTTTTGTATTTTTAGTGGAGACAGGGTTTTGCCATGTTGGCCAGTCTGGTCTCAAACTCCTGACCTCAACTGATCTGCCTGCCTCAGCCTCCCAAAAGTGCTGGGATTACAGGTGTCAGCCACCGTGCCCAGCCTGGAATGATTATTTAAATGAAATTTAGTTGAACTACATTTATATTCCTTTGAAATGAAATCCATAGTTAGAATAAGTCTGTTAATACTTTTCTTTCATGTTTAGGCAAATTTAATAGATGTCATGATATCAGAGCTGTCCTAAATAATGTTGCTGTTCCTTGCAATGGATCCTGCATTTTTTTTTTTTTTTCTGAGACAGAGTCTCGCTCTGTCGCCTAGGCTGGAGTGCAGTGGCATGATCTCGGCTCACTGCAACCTCCACCTCCCAGGTTCAAACGATCCTTCCACCTCAGCCTCCCAAGTAGCTGGGACACCAGGTGCATGCCACTACTCCTGGATAATTTCTGTATTTTTTGTAGAGGCAGGGTTTCACCATGTCATCTAGGCTGGTCTCAAACTTCTGGACTCAAGTGATCTGCCTGCCTCTACCTCCCAAAGTGCTGGAATTACAAGTGTGAGCCACTGCACCTGGCAGATCCTGTATTTTTGAGTCATTGTTAACCGCACAGTTCTTAAGTCTGACGTAGATTTTATCACAGATGAAATACTCATTAATTTTTAGATTGCACCTGCTTTAGTTTATTGGATTGATAGTGTATACACATTAATTCTTCTTAAGGTTGATATAATTATGATCCTTAATGTGGTTTTCTTAACAGTAGTAAAAGGTGCCACTGCCTCCAGGAAAATGGAATAATTAAAGACCTCACCACAATAGTCAAATTATAATGAGGATGGTGGTAATTTTGAGTAAATTAGAAAGTTTTGGTGGTATTTACAGTTACGCTCTGCTGCCTTAGGAGGGAAATGCCACGCGCCCAAGTTAAGGACCCTGTTCTGTTGTTCTGCCTGGCACATAGCCCCACAAAACCTCTCAGGGAACCTTGTCTGAATTCCAAGGATGCCAGTTCATGTTCTCAGCTGCCCAGGTTGAGCATGCATGGTCTAATGAAGACACACTTTGTGCCTTAGCAGTCTCCAGCCCAAGGATGCACCTTGTATGTTGTGAGCTCCGAGGACAGAGGTCACATGTGTTCTCTAGGCCTGCCTCTCAATGGTTGATGCAAAAGTGCAGGAATAAATGACATTCATGAGGTTTAACCAGGCAAATCTAGGCAGAAGCATTTTGCGGAATGCTTTTTATTGGGAGAGTGGATACTTCTTTTTTTTTTGAGATGGGGTTTCGCTCTTCTTCCCCAGGCTGGGGTGCAGTGGTGCAATCTCGGTTCACTGCAACCTCCACCTCCCAGGTTCAAGCGATTCTCCTGCCTCAGCCTCTTGAGTAGCTGGGATTACAGGCATGTGCCACCATGCTTGGTTAATTTTGTATTTTTAGTAGAGACAGGGTTTCTCCATGTTGGTCAGGCTGGTCTCGAACTCCCCACCTCAGGTGGTCCGCCCGCCTCGGCCTCTCAAAGTGCTGGGATTACAGGTGTGAGCTACCCCGCCCGGCCTGGATACTTTTTATATTGGTAACAGTTTAAAGACAGATGCTGCTGTACATTTACAAGGCAAGATAAAGTCAGAAAGAAGTGACTTTAGGAAGTTCACTGAAGTTGTTGAGGAAGTTCAGCCCTTCAAGGGCCAGGACTGATATTCTCCATAAGAAAAATTAGAGGGGTCTGCTGTGTGACCTTGGCGTCATTTCACCTTTGAGCCTCAGTCCTCATCTGTCAGAAATGGTTTACAGTCTCCTCCTCACAAGAGTATTACGAAGATTAAATGAAATAATGTATGGAAGCTACCTAATTAACAGTGTCTACGACAAGGCAGGTTCAGGATAGTTATTCGTTTCTTCTTTCCTGCTGTTAGCTTTGCTTGATTGTCTTGCTAGGGATAATTACTTGCTTGGCCAATATTACTGCCTCTGTTGTTCTTATCTGTTCAAGAAATCCCCCAGCTTCTTCATTATATCTTGAACATAAAATGACAAATTTCTAGGTTTGGGGGAAACCCAGGCTCAAAACAGCAAACAGCTGTCATACTGACTGATTTTAAAAGCAAACCTGGGACACAGGCCTCAGCACTCTGTTGTTACCACCCTACCAAGCCTGTTGGGGATGCCTTTTTCTTTTATGATGGGTATGGACATGTAAGATACATGACCTATTTCTTGAATTGACTCTTAAATGACAAGTCTTTGGAGAAATACCTTGTAAAATAAAGCTTCATGTGATTTAGCACTGGGTGAAGTCAGTGCGTATAATAATGCCCCATCATTATGAAGGTTAGCTTGATCTTGCAGTAGATTACCAAACCCTTAGGGCAGAGTTGCCCATATTTGTTTAATGATTTTAGAATAATTGTGCTGCTGTCAGGAAGTTGTGTGGTTTTGAATGTCTTACCTTTTGTGTTGTAATTTTAAAGGTGGTGAGTCATATTTTTGGCTAATTCTGTGTCATGTAAAATTAAACATTTTGAAGGCTAACTTGATATGGTTCATAATTCCAGGAAAACCTGCTTCTGGATTTTCTTGAAATTTACTTACCTGCTTGTATGGCTTTATATGGCTTGACTTCTTATGACTCCTTTCTCCATCTGTTTTGTAAGAGGCACAAGAGGTCGTTTGAGGGGCATCTTGTTCCTTTTTGTTTATTTTATTAATCTTTTTGAGACAGGGTCTCCCTCTGTCACCCAGGTTAGAGTGCAGCGTTGTGATCTCGGCTCAACTGCAGCCTTGACTTCCTGGGTTCAAGCAATCCTCTCACCTCAGCCTCCTGAGTAACTGAGACTGCAGGCATGCGCCACCATGCCTGGCTAATAATTTTTCTTTTTCTTTCTTTCTTTCTTTTTTTTTTTTGAGACAGGGTCTCTCACTCTGCCACCCAGACAAGGAGTGCAGTGATGCAGTCTCGGCTCACAGCCACCTCTGCCTCCCGGGCTCAAGTGATTCTCCTGCCTCAGCCTCCCAAGTAGCTGGGATTACAGGCATGCGCCACTACCGCCAGGCTAATTTTTTTTGTATTTTCAGTAAAGATGGGGTTTCACTATGTTTGCCAGGCTGGTCACGAACTCTTGACCTCAAGTGATCTACCCACCTTGGTCTCCCAAAGTGCTGGGATTACAGGAGTGAGCTACCGTGCCTGGCCTTTTTTTTTTGTATTTTTTGTAGAAATGGGGTTTCGCCATGTTGCCCAGGCTGGTCTCAAACTGCTGGGCTCAAGCAGTCCTTCCGGCTTGGGCTCCCATAGTGCTAGGATTACAGGCGTGAGCTACTGCGCCCAGCCTTTATTTTTAAACTTTTAAAAGCATTTAAGATCATCTTACCATACAAAGAATACTTATAAATCAAGAACAAGAAAAAGAACAATGATCCAGTAGAAAAAGATAGGCACTTTGCACAAAAGGCTGACAGTGGGCTCTTAAAATGTGAGTGAGAGGTGAAGAGTTCAGACTCAGGCTTCAGGTTGCCTGGGTGCAGATCCCGACTCTGCCACTTCTTAAAATCTCTTTTTCTCCATTTCCTTATTGGTAAAGTGAGGATTAAATGAATGAATAAATATAAATTTTCTAAAAATAGTGCTTGGCACATAGTGCCCAGTAAGTTAGTTGTTATTGTTGCAATTATTCTGATCATTATTTTTTATTTTCGAGACAGAGTCTCGCTCTGTCACCAGGCTGGAGTTCAGTGGCACAATCTCAGTTCACTGCAACCTCCGCCTCCCGGGTTCAAGTGATTCTCCTGCCTCAGCCTCCTGAGTAGCTGGGACTGCAGGCACACACCACCATGCCCAGCTAATTTTTGTATTTTTAGTAGAGATAAGGTTTCACCATGTTGGTCAGGATGGTCTCGATCTCTTGACCTCCTGATCTGCCCACCTTGGCCTCCCAAAGTGCTGGGATTACAGGTGTGAGCCACCCCCCTCCCCCGGCCTGATTATTTTTTTAAGTGACATCCAACTCCACTCATCACAGGGAAATGCCAGTTTAAACAAAACTGAAATGCCGTGAGAGTACGCTGTGTGGGAAGGGTGTGTGTAAACAGGTGCCATCCTACATCCATGGTGATTTTATATATGGCCACTACTTCAATAGAAGACTGTTTGAAATATTAATAGCTAGTAACAGTAAAATAGCTATTAGACTTTGACCTAGCAATTTTCATTTTTAGGAATTTATTTTAGAAATTTCTGTATAAAACAAGACATGTCAATACAATAATGTGCAGGCAACAATTGCACTATTGTTCTAGCAAAAGACTGGAATTGACTTAAATGTCTCTCAGTAGAAAATAAGGTAAATTGCTAAATCGATGTAATGGAATGCCATAGTACCATTGGAAAGAAATGTAGCAGGTCTATGTGTGCTAATATAGAATGATTTCCCCGATGTACTGTTAAGTAGGGAAAAAAAACTTCCATTTGTGCTTCTGTTTTTAAAGATACACATACACCTATGCATACATGTAGTGCTTCCATGAGCACTGTTTCCAGAAGGAATTACAGATCACTGGGAACAGTGGTGGCCTTTGAGGAGAGGGTCAGGGAGGGATGATAAGGAGACTTTCTTTCTTATCCCCTTTTGTCCATTTGAAACCAAAGTTTTTTTCCCATTTTCATGTATTACTCCCCTGTCAAATCTTTTACTTGTCCTCACCCATACCTCCCCCTCCACCTGCACACACATTTGTCAAGACATCCAAATGTTATTCCAGTAGTCTGGCTATGCAGTGACAATGAATAGCCTGATTTGACGGCGTTTAATCCTCATTGAATTTGTGGTATGATACCTGGGGCTGAAGCTGATCCTTGTCATCCAAGTTGGTGCTGGTGGGAAGAATATCTCTGGTGGGTGGGGACAAGGCTTTGGCTAAGCATGCTCCAGCTGCAGGCGCCCTCTGTGTGTGCTGTTGGAGGTGCTGGAGCCAGAACTTGGTCTTGACCTGCTGCTTTGGCTGTTTTTAGAGGTCTAAGAAGAGGGTGAGTTGGAAGCACATGTGGAACAGATAAGCACTGACTAGGAAGTGGGCAAGACAAACAGCTAGTTCTTGCACGTTATTCTCTTGTAGGAAAGTCCGGGGTTTGAAGGTGGAGGAGGGATTGCACACATGGCTGGGGGAAAGTGAGTGATCCATGTAACCAAAGGTAGTTCATTTATTCTAGAATCAGCTTTTGTTAGTATTTATTAACAGGTCTTTTTTTTGAAAGTTAGCTCAGTGACTATTTAATTTTTTTCTGGAATCCTTTCTGTTCCAGCAGAGATGTCGGCTTATTTATAGGAATTGCTTGAAGCCAGAGTCATGGTGGATGTCGGAAAGTGGCCCATCTTCACTCTACTCTCCCCTCAAGAGATCGCGTCTATTCGGAAGGCGTGTGTCTTCGGCACCTCAGCCAGTGAAGCACTGTACGTTACTGACAATGATGAGGTAAGAGTCTCTTGAAACCTAGTTTCGTTTTAGGACTTATTTGGCAATTGGTCTTCAAAGTGTCCAGTTCAAAGATGGAGAAAAGGCGGGGTATAAATAAAGAGATCCTGAAGTTCAGGAAGACTATGGCTTTGATAGTTTCTCTTTTTTCAGTTTCTTGATTTAATACCCGTCTACTCCATAGCACTCTGAGTTTCATAATATAGACAAACATTCTGAAACGTAAGCAATGTCCACAGAGGTTGAATTTTTCTTAACAACCATATCAGTCTCTTTTCACCTCCTGAGCTCTGTAGTTGAAATGTCTTATTTTCAGAGGAGAGAAGGGAGCTTTTAATACAGCTTTCGGTCAAAAGACTCAGAAAAAAAACTATCTATTTTCTAGGTCTTTGTATTTGGACTGAACTATAGTAACTGTCTAGGAACTGGAGATAACCAGAGTACACTTGTACCCAAAAAGCTAGAAGGCTTATGTGGAAAGAAGATTAAAAGCCTCAGTTACGGGAGTGGACCACATGTTCTTCTCAGCACCGAAGGTAAGGAGGGAACCCATCTAACTTTTCAGTTTGTAAGAAATTGACCGGTTAATTCTAAGCTTAGGGGAGATAGGGCTATACCAGATAACTGATTTTGGATTGTTTGCTTCTTAATTTCTGAGAGGAAGTACATAAAGCAGGTGAAAGTTAAACACTTCGGGCTAACTCTGGAAAAGCTATAGGATGTCTTGCAAATTAGGCAAACTTCTGAGGTTTTCGACTGCCTCCATAAAGCTGTGGATGATTAGATATAGCAAATGATGGTCCTTCCAGCCTAATTTTTCAGTGGATTTGTGTTGCAATGCAACTTTTTTATTTATTTATTTATTTATTTATTTATTTATTTTATTTTATTTTTTTATTGATCATTCTTGGGTGTTTCTCGCATAGGGGGATTTGGCAGGGTCATAGGACAATAGTGGAGGGAAGGTCAGCAGATAAACAAGTGAACAAAGGTCTCTGGTTTTCCTAGGCAGAGGACCCTGCGGCCTACTGCAGTGTTTGTGTCCCTGGGTACTTGAGATTAGGGAGTGGTGATGACTCTTAACGAGCATGCTGCCTTCAAGCATCTGTTTAACAAAGCACATCTTGCACCGCCCTTAATCCATTTAACCCTGAGTGGACACAGCACGTTTCAGAGAGCACCAGGTTGGGGGTAAGGTCATAGATCAACAGCATCCCAAGGCAGAAGAATTTTTCTTAGTACAGAACAAAATGGAGTCTCCTATGTCTACTTCTTTCTACACAGACACAGCAACAATCTGATTTCTCTATCTTTTCCCCACATTTCCCCCTTTTCTATTCGACGAAACCGCCATCGTCATCATGGCCTGTTCTCAATGAGCTGTTGGGTACACCTCCCAGACGGGGTGGCGGCCGGGCAGAGGGGCTCCTCACTTCTCAGACGGGGTGGCTGCCGGGTGGAGGGGCTCCTCACTTCTCAGACGGGGCGGCCGGGCAGAGACGCTCCTCACCTCCCAGACGGGGTCGGGGCTGGGCAGAGGCGCTCCTCACATCCCAGACGATGGGCGGCCGGGCAGAGACGCTCCTCACTTCCTAGATGGGGTGGCGGCCGGGAAGAGGCGCTCCTCACTTCCCAGACTGGGCAGCCGGGCAGAGGGGCTCCTCACATCCCAGACCATGGGCGGCCAGGCAGAGACGCTCCTCACTTCCCAGACGGGGTGGCGGCCGGGCAGAGGCTGCAATCTCGGCACTTTGGGAGGCCAAGGCAGGCAGCTGGGAGGTGGAGGTCGTAGCTAGCCGAGATCACACCACTGCACTCCAGCCTGGGCAACATTGAGCACTGAGTGAACGAGACTCCGTCTGCAATCTCGGCACCTCGGGAGGCCGAGGCTGGCAGATCACTCGCGGTTAGGAGCTGGAGACCAACCCGGCCAACACAGCGAAACCCCGTCTCCACCAAAAAAATACGAAAACCAGTCAGGTGTGGCGGCGCGCCCCTGCAATCGCAGGCACTCGGCAGGCTGAGGCAGGAGAATCAGGCAGGGAGGTTGCAGTGAGCCGAGATGGCAGCAGTACAGTCCAGCTTCGGCTCGGCATCAGAGGGAGACCGTGGAAAGAGAGGGAGAGGGAGCGGGAGTGGGAATGGGAGCGGGAGCGGGACAGCTGCAATCCTATTCCTTAATAGCTCACTGGTCTTTGTTCTGCAATGCAACTTTCAGGGTTCCTTTGGTACGTTTTTCTTTTCTTTCTTTCTTTTTTTTTTTGAGACGGAGTCTCTCTCTGTCGCCCAGGCTGGAGTGCAGTGGTGCAATCTCGGCTCACTGCATGCTCCACCTCCTGGGTTCACGCCATTCTCCTGCCTCAGCCTCCCGAGTAGCTGGGACTACTGGCGCCCGCCACCATGCCCGGCTAATTTTTTGTATTTTTAGTAGAGATGGGGTTTCACCGTGTTAGCCAGGATGGTCTCGATCTCCTGACCTCGTGATCCGCCCACCTCAGCCTCCCAAAGTGCTGGGATTACAGGCGTGAGCCACCGCGCCCGGCATTTTTTTTTTTTTTTTTTTTTTTTTTGAGAAGGAGTCTCGCTCTGTCTCCAGGCTGGAGTGCAGTGGCATGATCTCGGCCCACTCAACCTCCATCTCCTGGGTTCAAGCGATTCTTCTGCCTCAACCTCCCGAGTAGCTGAGACCACAGACGCGTGCCACCACGCCCCGGCTAATTTTTGTACTTTTAGTAGAGACTGGGTTTCATCATATTGGCCAGGTTGGTCTGGAACTCCTGACCTCGTGATCCGCCCACCTTGGCTTCCCAAAGTGCTGGGATTACAGGCATGAGCCACTGTGCCCGGCCGGTACATTTTTCTAAACATAGATGCTACCTGGCTTTCCTTTCTTTGTGCATTGCTTGCATCTTGAATCGGGAAATCTTCATCTGTTCTCTGGCATTCATGTAGTTGCCATATTGAAAGAACCGGGGATGCAGGTTGATAGGTTCTTGTCCTTTTTTACTCTGCCTCTTCAAGATCACTAAGGGAGAGTGGACATTTTGTATGTGTGTGTAATCGATCTGTACTGTGGGCACCCAACACTCTCTGAAAATTCATTATCTATTTAAATGCTTCCTTTTATACTTTAGATACATTAACTCTTGCTCTCTTTCTCTGAGGTCCTCAGCTTTTTGTTGGATAATTGTCTAGGGTGGCATTTGGGAGATGATTTGCATCCCGGCCTTTCTTTGTCTAGACTGAGGAATCACAGCTTCCTAGAATGCTGTCACAGGTTTTAGTATCTAGCCTTCTAAGTGCCTGTAACTCCTAACTGAATCTACTTCAAGTTCTCTGCATCTTTCTCAAGAGAGCTGTGAAATCCAAATCTGAGCATCATCATGTGGTATGAATATAACTGGAGTTGAGCATAATGAGGTGATTATCTCACTTTTGCCTTGCGTAATCATGCCTTCTGGCATCACACTGGTTCTTTCTTTCCTTTTTTTTCTTTTGAGACAGTCTCGCTCTATCGCCTAGGCTGGAGTGCAGTGGCACGATCTCAGCTCACTGTAACATCAGCCTCCTGGGTTCAAGCAATTCTCATGCCTCAGCCTCCGAAGTACAATTAGAGGCATATGCTACCATGCCTGGCTAATTTTTGTGTTTTTAGTAGAGACAGGGTTTCTCCATGTTGACCAGGCTGATCTTGAACTCCCGACCTCAGGTGATCCACCCATCTCAGCCTCCCAAAGTGCTGGGATTATAAGCATAAGCCACTGTGCCTGGCCTTTTTTTTTTTTTTTTTTTTTTTTTGAGGCAGGGTCTCTCTCTCTCTGTCACCCAGGCAGGAGTACAGTGGAGTGATTATGGCTCATTGCAACCTTGACCTCCTGGGCTCAAGCGATCTTCCCACCTCATTTTTAAATTTTTTTGTAGAGATGAGGTCTCACCATGTTGCCTAGGCTGGTCTCAAACTCCTGGGCTCAAGTGATCCTTGTGGCTCGGCCTCCCAAAGTGTTGGGATTACAGGTGTGAGCCACTATGCCTGGCAACTTTTGCTATTTTGTATGTGACTGTTTTTTCCTCTTTGGAAGCTTCAAGGATCTTTTTTTTATTTTTATTTTTATTTTTTTAAGTATTGTGACATAATCATGATTCTGTACTCTGGTGTAATTTTTAATTTATTGTATTGGTCATTTCTGGAAATTTCTTCTTGTAATATTTCATGAATAGTTTCCCTTGTTGGCTGTGTGTGGTGGCTCATGCCTGTAATCCCAGCACTTTGGGAAGCCAAGGCAGGACGTTTGCTCCAGGCCGGGAGTTCAAGACCAGCCTGGTCAACATAGCGAGGCCATGTCTCTTAAAAAAAAAAAAAAAAAAAAAAAAAAAAAAGCCGGGGATGGTGGCACGCACCTGTAGTCTCAGCTACTCAGGAGGCTGAGGCAGGAGGATCAGTTGAGCCCAGGAGTTTGAGGTTGCAGTGAGCTATGATTGCGCCACTGCACTCCAGCCTTTGTGACAGAGTGAGGGTCAGAGTGAGACCCCATCTCAAAAAAAGAAAAATTTTCTTCTTTGTTTTCTCCTTTATGGAATTTTTCTTAGAAAGTTAGAGATTCTGGAGTGATCTTCCAAATTTTTTTTTTTTTTTTTTTTTGAGACAGGGTCTCTCTGTCCAGGCTAGAGTGCAGTGGTGCAATCTTGGCTCACTGCAGCCTCACTGTGTGAGCAGGTGGTTCACACCTGTAACCTCCTGGGCTCAAGCAATCCTCCCACCTCAGCTTCCAAAAGTGCTGGGATTACAGGTGTGAGCCACCATGCCTGGCCTGATCTTCATGATTTTTTAAAAATGTTCTCTCCCATCTGTGTTCTGGGAAATTTCTTCAACTTTATCTTACAACGCTTATGTCAAATTTTTAACATTCCCATTGTTTTATTTCCAAGTGTTCTTTCTTGATCTTTAAATGTTTCTTTCCAGAACTTGTTGCTATTGTTTCATGGATTCAGCGTCTTCTATTTGAGATTATTTAGAATTACAGGTTATTTTAAAATTAACCTTTTTTTTTTTTTCTTTGAGATAGAGTCCTTTTTGCCCAGGCTGGAGTGCAAGGCACAATCTCAGCCCACTGCAACCTCCGCCTCCTGGGTTCAAGCAATTCTTGTGCCTCAGCCTCCTGAGTAGCTGGGATTACAGGTGCGCGCTACCATGCCTGGCTGATTTTTGTATTTTTTTTTTTTTTTTAGTAGATGTGGGGTTTCACTGTGTTGGCCAGTCTGGTCTTGAACTCCTGACCTCAAGCAATCCACTTGCCTCGGCCTCCCAAAGTGCTGGGATTACAGGCAAGCCCAGCCTCATAGAAACTTGTTATAGGTTTTAGTAACTGGTAGAATTAGCTACCTTCTTGCTTTTTTTTTTGTAGGGTTTTCCTATTTATTCTTGTTTGTTTATTCTTCCCATTAAACTTTCTAATCAATTTGTCTACCTCCAGAAAGTAACTTTAAGCTTTTATTGCTATTTAAACTTTATAAGTTTATGTAGGAAAAACTAGAATCTTTATGATACTGAATTTTCCCATCTAAGAACAAGGTATGCATTTCTCTATTTAAGTCTATTTTTCTGTTTTCAGGGGTTAAAACACTCATTAGTTTGGACATTTCTTTCACCTGCCGTAGCTTTTAACACAATATCATGGATCATACTTTTTGTGTTTTATACTCTTTCTTTCAGTCTTAAGCCTCATCTTTCTCAGGATGAAATTTCCCATTTATGGTTTCTGTCATAATTTCTGTAGGAGGGAATGGCTCTTGTGAGCCACATGTCACCTGGAAGAGGACTCTGAGTTTGTGTGGGCTGTCTTCGTTCTACAGTAGACAAGTAGAAGTCTGTTTCCCCTGGTTGCCTGGGGACTGCTGTGAGTGACCAGCAGCCTAACTGTAATACTTGGATTTCTGCTGTTGCCCTTGAGTGTTGTTGCCAGGCAGACTGTCCTTAATAGGTCAGGATGTTTTATTACCATGGGAAAGATAAGAGGAGAATGTGTAACTCTGGGAGACCTGCCCTTGGCACTCGGGGGTGCTGTGGAAAGAAATGCCTGAAACGATGATACTTCAAGAGATAACACAAGAAAAGTTGTCTTCATCAGAATCTCAGAAAAGATAAAGTCATTATAAAAAAAATTCAGACAGAGGAGCTTCCGGGTTGGTGACCACATCGAGGTGCTGGGAGGGGGTGGCATGCCAGGGAGGGCATGGGAGCTCCGTGCACCCCTCATCCCCGCATACCTTACCCTGTGTGTCTCCCCCATTTGGCTGTTCCTGAGTTGAATCTGTTAGAATAAGCTGATTATGCTTTCCAGAGATAGTCACAGCAGTGTGAGTGACAATGCCTCCAGGTGTTGCTAGTCCTCAACTCTCAAGTCATCTCCAGCCTTTTAATCTTCCTGAGATCACACACACTGTGAAGCAAAGACAAGCCATCTTCATTGTCCCCTGTCCAAATTCCTGACACAGAATAAATGAGCGTAAAAAAATGGTTGCTTTATGTAAAAAAAAAAAAAAATTCAGCCAGATTTCATGCCACTAAAATAAAATAGTCTGCTTCAAAGAAGCCCTGAGACTTTTGTTTCCTTTGTAAACAGTCTATCTCTTTCCCCTATACTTGGTGAGCGAGTAGCCACACGCCCCCTGTGGGTTCCCCGTGACTTGGTATTTGGTTAAGCAATGGTAAACATTAACATCGAGCTTTCTTATCATCTGCCTTTTTCTTGGCATCTGACACAGAAACTATTGAGATGAATCAAAGCTTTTAGAAAGCCTAATTCTTGCATACGTAAACTTTGCTTTTGATCACAAAACTGATCTTTCTATGTTATTACCAAGTTTTTTCTTTAAAGATTTTGCATCTGTCTATCCCGTTCTGTCACCCATCTCTCTCTCCTTTACTCTGTCCATGGTTACTTAATAGAGAGGAGGGGGCAATGGGAGAGAAATGAAGGTTGGAGAAGGAGCTGTACGAAGTTCTGGGGAAGAAAGTACAGGGTTACTATTTCTTTTTGGAGCTGATTTTTTGTGTGCTTTGTGTGCACAGATGGAGTGGTTTATGCCTGGGGCCACAATGGATATAGCCAGCTTGGGAATGGGACGACCAACCAAGGCATTGCTCCCGTCCAGGTCTGTACCAATCTCTTGATCAAGCAAGTGGTGGAAGTAGCTTGTGGCTCACATCATTCAATGGCTCTGGCAGCTGATGGAGAGGTAAGTATGCTGCTTTTATTCTTTATTCTTTTTTTTTTTCATCATAGTAAATACACTTAACATAAAATTTACCAGCTTCACCAGTTTTAAGTGTATAGTTCAGTGGTGTTAAGTATGTTCACCTTGTCATACAACTGTCACCAGCATGCACCCACAGAACTGTTTCATCCTGCAAAACTGAAACGCTGTCCCTGGTAAACATTCACTCCCATTCTGTCCTCCCCCAGCCCCTGACAACAACTTTCTTTTTTTTTTTTTTTTTGAGATGGAGTCTCGCTCTGTCGCCCAGGCTGGAGTACAGTGGCACGATCTCTGCTCACTGCAAGCTCCGCCTCCCGGGTTTACGCCATTTTCCTGCCTCAGCCTCCCAAGTAGCTGGGACTACAGGCACCCACCACCACACCCGCCTAATTTTTTGTATTTTTAGTAGAGACAGGGTTTCACCGTGTTAGCCAGGATGGTCTCGATCTCCTGACCTCGTGATCTGCCCGCCTTGGCCTCCAAAAGTGCTGGGATTACAGGCGTGAGCCACCGTGCCCAGCCAACAACTTTCTACTCTGTTTCTTTGAGTTTGATTACTCTAGGTACCTCACGTAAGTGGAATCATACAATGTTTGTCCTTTTGTAACTGGTTTATCTCACTTAGCATAATATCCTCAAGGTTCATCCACTTTGTACCATATGATAGGATTCTCTTCATTCCTTTTCAGGGCTGAATAATATTCCATTGGATACATATAGTAAGTGCCCACATAATGTCATTGATAGATTCTTGGAAACTACAACTTTAAGCAAAAAGACATGTAATGAAACCAGTTTTACCATTGGCTAATTGATAAAAACAAGAGTTAAGTTCCTATGGTATATTTCTGGTCACAAAGACATCACCAAACTTCTGAAGACCCAAACCACTTCTTAAACATTTAAATAAATGCAAACTAATACATATATTTAACAAAGATTAATAAAAGCAATAAGAGAATTATTTACCCAATTTATGGTGAATCACTGAGTTGGGGTGATCATAGTGGTGGTGGGTTAAGTCAAGGAATAAATGTTTGCAAAGCAAAAATTACAAGGGGCACCTCCTACTGCCACACAGTTCAAAAGCAAACGATCACAAATGTGACAGCTCACTGAGGGTGTTTGACTGTGTTGTTTATTGTTATGCATTTGTATGGTTATTGTCTACTTTGTGAATTTTTTTTTTTTTTTTTTTTTTGGAGACAGAGTTTCACCCTTCTTGCCCAGGCTGGAGTGCAATGGTACAATCTCGGCCCACTGCAACCTCTGCCTCCTGGGTACAAGTGATTCTCCTGCCTCAGCCTCCTGAGTAGCTGGGATTACAGGCGCCTGCCACCATGCCTGGCTAATTTTTTTGTATTTTTAGTAGAGACGGGGTTTCACCATGTTGGCCAGGCTGGTCTCGAACTCCTGACCTCAGGTGATCCTCCCGCCTCGGCCTCCCAAAGTGCTGGGAATACAGGCATAGCCACCATGACAAGCCTACTTTGTGAATTTTTATTTTCTAATAATTTGTATTCATTTATTCATTCATTCATTTTCCAACCCGTTTGTTCCAGTTCAGGGTTGCATGTGGCCACAGCCTCTTCTGGCAGCGCAGGACACCAGGTGGGAAGCAGCCCTGGACAGGATACAGGGTGCACTCATGTATACCCCCACACTCACTCTCACTAGAATCATTGAGACATGTATACAGCTTAGACACAAACTAGTCTGCACAGCTTTGGGGTGTGGGAGGAAATCAGAGTACCCAGAGAAAACCCACACAGACATGGGACATGCAGACTCCACAGACAGTGGCCCTGGCCGGGAATTGACATTTTTTCTCATTAGTGTTATAACAAAATGATGTTGAATGAAATGACGTTTTTCAAGGACCTGCTGTAAGCCACACTTTGTTTGTCTATTCATCTGTTCATGGATGTTTGGATTTTTTCCACTTTTGGCTATTGTGAAAATCCTCTGATTTTAATGACCATATTTGTACTTGATGTGGTGTGAATATTGTAGCCCTGTGCATGTAGCTAAAAACCTTGTGGGAGTGCACTCTCTCTCTAGCATAACGTGTATTGTATAATCAAGATTACACTTTTGATGGCAGTAGAATTCATTCTTTTAAAAAAAAAATTTTTTTTTGTAGAGACAAGAATCTGGCTATGTTGCCCAGGCTGGTCTTGAACTCCTGGGCTCAAGCGATCCTCCTGTCTCAGCCTCCCAAAATGCTGGGATTATAGGTGTGAGCTACCGCACCCAACCTAGAGTTCATTTTTTAAGGCAGCTGAGTCCCATGCTCTTTGCTAAGACTATAGCTCAGATGTGTGACAGTGTTCTGTACTTTTTTTTTTAGTGACCCCATCCTTAAGGTCTATTTTATTTTTCAGTATATGTAATGAGTTTGGAAAAAATAACTTTACTATCCTCCTAGTAGGTACTGTAACACTTGTTAAGCCCCCAAGTTGTGCTTATCTTAAAGGTCACTCATCCTATTGATTCTGTCTTCTAATCTTTTGTACCATCTCCATTTCCTCTCCATTTCCTTTGCCTTTTTGTTCCTCCATTTTGTTCCTCTCCATTTCCATTGCCTTTGGTCAAGTCTTGTCATTTCCTGCCTAGACTACTGCCATAGTCCCTTCTATTCCCTATCTTTTAAGTTGATCCGTCTGTCCAGTCTTGCTTTGCTGTCCTCTCTGGTTTCTAACACAGATTAGATCATACTGTTCCTCTCTTTGAAGTCCCTCAGTGATGTTACAGAGATTTTATTAAGTAGGACAACTTATAAGTGAACAAACCCAAAAGCTCAGGGAGACCAAGATTTCATGACTGGGATGTGCTGGAGCCAGGCATAGCACACAGGCCTCATGCCCCAGATCCACTGTTTCCTAGTCCATTTCTTGGTTAGTGGAACTATAGCCCCAGTTTTTAAACAAGAGTCAGCAGCACTGCAAGGGAATGTGATGTATTTGAGAAGTGCCAGAAGAATGATTGCTGAAATTAGCTCAAACTTGCTAATTTATGCCGGCTGGGTTCCTGATTTATTTTAATCTTAAGCATATGGTACTTTGAATAATTATACTGAATATTAATATTTGCATAATTAAACTAGATATTTATGTGAATATACTTTGAGGAGGTGTTGCAGGTTATTTGTTTTGTACCTGTGAAATGAACCTGTAACACATATACCAGAGGGCTCTACTGTTGTTGCCTTGGCCAGCATCAGACAAGAATCATGGAAGCCACACTCAGTATATACGTGGACCACCTCCTGCAGCCACGTGAAGCAGGGTGGGGAGCGGGGGCTTAGACATTTCCTAATGTTGGAGGAAATTATTTCCTCTACTGCCAACACCTCCCTCCCTAATTCATCTCTCTGTTTATAGTCTTGTTTAGAATGGTTTCCATGAGGCTGGGCATGGTGGCTCACGCCTGTAATCCCAGCACTTTGGGAGGCCGAGATGGGTGGACCACGTGGTCAGGAGATCGAGACCATCCTGGCTAACACGGTGAAACCCCATCTCTACTAAAAATACAAAAAATTAGCCGGGCATGGTGGCGGGCGCCTGTCGTCCCAGCTACTTGGGAGGTAGGAGAATGACATGAACCCGGGAGGCGGGGCTGGCAGTGAGCTGAGATCGCACCACTGCACTCCAGCCTGGGGGACAGAGTGAAACTCTATCTCAAAAAAAAAAAAAAAAAACCAAAGCAAAACAAAAAGAATGGTTTCCATGGAAAACAATGAATATTTATGCCCAAAGAGTTGAGCAAATGTTTTACATCACTAATACTTATGTGGCATATACCGCATTTCCTATTGATGCCACATTCGTATGTGTGTATGTGTAGTTGTGTGTGTATACACACACACACAAATTATAGAGGGAATGTAGCATGGTGGTCAAGAGCATAGCTAGACTGCTTGGGGTTAAATTCTCTTAGCGCTACTTACCAGCTTTGGTACCTCAAGCAAGTCACTTAACCTCTCATGTTTCAGTTTCCATGTATAAAACGGAGATGTATAAAGTGGGTACTACCTACTCTAGGGTCACTTTGCAGGATTACTAGGCAGGTTAAATAGGTTAATGTGTGTAAAGCATATAGAACCGTTTAGCACATCTTAAGTACTCATTAAGTAGGATAATTTTAATTTTTATGATTATTTGTGTTGGGGTAGAATTTTCACCCTGACTATTCTTTCCTTTTCCTTTTTCTTTCTCTTGTAGGTGTTTGCTTGGGGTTATAACAACTGTGGCCAAGTGGGATCAGGTTCTACAGCAAATCAACCAACTCCTCGAAAAGTTACAAACTGTTTACATATTAAGAGGGTAGTTGGCATTGCCTGTGGTCAGACTTCATCCATGGCTGTTCTGGACAATGGCGAGGTGAGGTGTCTCCACTCCCATTTCCCTTTCTACCTTCTTTTTCAATTACACGTCAGTTTCTTCACAAGGTGAATGTATCAGATGGAAGAAGGAAGAGTGCTTTGTTTTGGTAGCTCCATTGAAAGTTAACTGATTACTGACTGAGGAGCTGGAGGTTTTTTGCTCCTCAGTATGACTTTTCTAAATTCCAGGATTTACCTGAAAGTAAAGATTCTATATGTCTAAGTTGTATTTTTTGCAAGATCCAAAGAGCCTAATGCCTATAGCTATTTGTTCGTGATATTTAATGTAATAGATTAAAGAATTTAATCCTACCTTTCTCTTCCAATGAAACAATGTCAACTGTACATTTTAAAATTAACTGATGAAGTCCTTGTAGAACTACCTACCTATATCTTGAATGTTCACAGGAGGAAGCAACTTGCAAAAGCAGATTTTTTGTGGGGTCCTGACTGTTGTTAGCTACTTTTAACAACTGTCCCTTTAGTTACCCCCTACTGTGGTCACTTTTGAGCTGATGGTTATTTCTGTGAAATTAGTCTCTGGATGCAGCTTCCACTTAAATAGGCTATTTACTACCTATGCATATTTTAGTGCATGAAAATTATACAAAGATATTACCCTGGACACAGATGTTTTGGCATCATGCATTGGTGTGCTTGGGCAGTGGTCCCCAACCTTTTTGGCACCAGGGACTGGTTTCATGGAAGACAGTTTTTCCACAGATGGCGGTGTTGGGGGCATGGTTTTGGGATGAAACTGTTCCACCTCAGATCATCAAGCATGAGTTAGATTCTCATATGGAGCGCACAGCCTAGATGCCTTGTTGTGCAGTTCACAATGGGGTTCGTGCTCCTGTGAGAATCTTATGCTGCCATTGATCTGACAGGAGGTGGCGCTCAGGCAGTAATACTCCCTTGCCCGCTGCTCACCTCCTGCTGTGCGGCCCGGTTCCTAACAGGGCACGGACTGGTACCGGCCTGCGGCTCATGAGCTGGGGACTGGGGACCCCTGTGCTAGGGTGCTTTAGAGTTTATGCATAGACCTTATGTTAACTTATTTTTTAAAAAATCAATCTCAGTATCATGAAATGACTTCAGAATTCCTTGGGATGGCCGTTGAATATCCTCCATTCCAGTATTCTTCTCTTATTTTTAAAAATAAGTTTAATTTTTAGGTTATTATTATATGGTTATTTTAACAAAGTAAAGGAAGACAAGTGAAACAGATAAAATAAAAAGTGAATACCTTTTCCCAATCTTGTTAATAGTTTCATGCATATCTTTTTGGACTTTTCCCTTAAACAATTATATATGGGTGAGTATAATTATCTTTTTTTAAAAAAATGGGATGATTATACCTACTGCAGCTTTTCTCTGCTATTCTTCAGCCTGCTTCCCGCTCCCCTGTATAGCATCCTGTGTTTATCTGTGTCTGTGATCAGACCATTTATGCGGCTTTCCATCATTATGGCTGCTGACTTTGGCTTCTGTGAATGACCCACATACAGAGCTCTACTGATGAACATGTCAGTTTTCTAATTTTTTGCTGTTATAGACAGAGTTGTGGTGATTTTCTATGTTACTCTGTGTATGTGTATCTTTGTACACTTATACAAGTATTTCTATAGAATAAATTTCCAAAGAATTTCTGGGTCAAGAAGTATGCCATTTGAAATACTGATAGCCATTGCCAAATTTCTCTCCAGAAAGTTCATGTCTGTTACACTTCTGGCACTGGGTGAAAGTGCCTTTAACCATCTCTCCCCAGGCCCTTAAAGTCCATTCCCCCTTTCCGCTCCATCATGTTACCCTGAAAAGCCCCAGTCTATGTCTGCCGCCCTACATTGCTGTGGGGCTCGATGCCACCACAAATCTTGGGTTTGTAATTTGAGCAAGGCCTTTATTTGTTCCTGGTCAGTACTTTTTCCTATGGCTATTTGGAACCTTTAACACTCCTGTCAAACCTATGCCTAGCTCTGTTACTTTCAGCAGATGGGCCTCCTCTCACTCTATATCCAAGGGACTGTCACGTTCTGGGAAGTCTTCTATTTTTAATCCTCTTTCCTCTGCTTTCCCTCTCATGATCCCCCTATCACTCCTTAGTTTAGAGCCTCATCAGAGCTCACCTATTTGCTAACGAGGGAAGAAATGACCTCCTAAAGGTTCTTCCTGCCTCTAGCCTTATATGCTCCATCATCTTTCATACTGTGGCCAGCATTATCTTTCAAAAATACAAATTAAATTAATATTTCAATGAGAAATTTATAGATGTATTGCACTTTCCCTGGTAGGTTTTTTGTCACTTTCCCTCTGAGCTCTTGCCTTTCCTTCTAGTCTTTTTGTTGTTGTTGTTGCCAGGCTGGAGTACGGTAGCACGATCTTGGCTCACTGCAACCTCTGCCTCCCAGGTTCAAGTGATTCTCCTGTCTCAGCCTCCTGAGTAGCTGGGGTTACAGGCACGCGCCACCACGCCCAGCTAATTTTTGTATTTTTAGTAGAGATGGGGTTTCACTGTGTTGGCCAGGATGGTCTCGATCTCCTGACCTGGTGATCTGCCCACGCTGGCCTTCCAAAGTGCTGGGATTACAGGCGTGAGCTACCCCACCCAGCCTTCTTCTAGTCTTTCTACTACCACTACCGCAGTTGTGTCCAGCCAAGCCCACCTACTTATCTTCTAAACTAGCTTCTAACACAGTCAATACCTTCTGCTTGGAATGTTTTTGCTCTCCTTCATCCTTCAGCTCTGCTCCAATCTCCACTTTTTGAAAAGTCTTCCTTAATCTTTCTTCCTAGAGCTAAAGCCTTCCTCCTTGCTGTTCTGCAGCGCCTTGATTATACCTATTGTAGCACTTGCTACCCATCAGCAAAAAATTTGCATGTATCTATTTCGCCTGTTAAACTGTGACCAAAAACTAGTACCTTTCAGAGTGTTCTGACATACAGTAGGTACTTAATAATTGTTAGTGAGGCTCAACTTCCTCATGTATTAAACAGGAAAGAGTGACTTGCCCCAGACTATCTAACTAGTAAGTCATGGAGTAGAAACTGATGCCAATTCTGTCATCCCCTTCTCCAAAATAGCTTCTGTTTGGAGATCAGTTGCAGGAGCATAGAGTAGAATATAGGTGTTGGAAGTATCTGATTTGTTTAGATGGGCTGGTTTTTTTGTCTCTTCCTTCTTACCAGCAGTTTAAAAATCTCACTCTCTCCCTTCTGTCCTCTCTAAGGTATATGGCTGGGGTTACAATGGCAACGGTCAGCTGGGCCTGGGAAACAATGGCAACCAGCTGACCCCTGTGAGAGTGGCAGCTTTGCACAGCGTGTGTGTGAACCAGGTACGTGTGGTGCACTCTCAGTTAGTGGCTTCCCATCTACCTTCCTTGCTCTAACTTGGAGAAATATTGGAGGTTTACTCTTCAGTCAGTCTTTTCTGGCAATACTCTGTGCCTTCATCTTCCATATTTAATATTATATCTTCCCTAATTTCCCACGAGGAGAAGCAAGACTATGGTGTTGGCAAAACAGGCTCGACAAGTTAAAAAAAAAAAAAAAAATGGAAAAATTCAGTAGCCTAAGGTTTAGGCTTTTCTAATGCTTTTTTTTTTTTTTTTTTGAGACGGAGTCTCCCTCTGTCACCCAGGCTGGAGTGCAATGGCACGATCTCAGCTCTCTGCAAGCTCCGCCTCCCGAGTTCACGCCATTCTCCTGCCTCATCCTCCCGAGTAGCTGGGACTACAGATGGCCGCCACCACACCTGGCTAATTTTTTGTATTTTTAGTAGAGACGGGGTTTCACCGTGTTAGCCAGGATGGTCTCAATCTCCTGACCTTGTGATCTGCCTGCCTCGGCCTCCCAAAGCGCTGGGATTACAGGCATGAGCCACCACGCCCGGCCTTCTAATGCTTTTTTAATGTTCCAGCAAATGTCAGTCCACCCCTGATGATGATTTGGCATTCTGCAGAAGCTGGCTATAGCCTTTAAGTAGATGTTCTCCCTGCCCTTCCTGTTTTCCTGCTAATGGTAACCGTTTCAATTTACTTGCAGATTGTCTGCGGTTACGCACATACTCTAGCACTAACAGATGAGGGCTTGCTGTATGCCTGGGGAGCTAACACATATGGGCAGCTGGGAACTGGCAATAAAAATAACCTGCTAAGCCCAGCACACATCATGGTGGAGAAAGAAAGGTAACTTGGCTGTGCCACGTCTTGGGACTGTGTGTGCGATGTGGCCTTGGGGCTGTGTGTGGCAGAGCTGTGGTGTTTGGCTTTGTGATTCTTCTGTTTATTAACATTCTCATTTTGGACAAAAGAGATAACCTTCCCTTCTCCCTTCCCCCTTCCTCCTTCTCCCTCCCTGCTTCCCCCTTCCCCCTTCTCCCTCCCCCCTTCCCTTCCCTTCCCTTCCCTTTTTTGAGACAGAGTCTCTGTCACCCAGACTGGAGTGCAATGGCACGATCTCGGCTCACTGCAACCTTCACTTCGTGGGTTCAAGTGATTCTTCTGCCTCAGCCTCCTGAGTAGCTGGGATTACAGGTGTGTACCACCATGCCCAGCTAATTTTTGTATTTTTTAGTAGAGACAGGGTTTCGCCATGTTGGCCAGGCTGGTCTTGAACTCCTGGCCTCAAGTGATCTACCCACCTCGGCCTCCCAAAGTGCTGGGATTATAGGCATGAGCCCCACCGTGCCTGGCCTATGCAAAAGTGTTTTGAGTAGTAGCCAGAATGAACATGAGGTTGATATGATTCTTATGTAGCTCTCTGAAATAACCACCTGTGATTGATAGGTGTGAATGCATCTTGGTATAATTACTGCAGTCTTGCTGTTGCCCTTTTAGTATGGAAGACAAGTAAGGTCTATGGCCATGTTGATGTTTATGGTGTAATATAAACTTTTACTTTGAGCCAAGTAAAACAACTTTTAAATAAATCTGCTCTTGAAAGGACATTATCTGTTTAAATATTGATTTGATATAATATGTGTTACTGGAATAGATGCTTGATGTTGTTCAGCCTAATTGTAAGGTCTTACCTCCTATGTCCTGGAGTGCTGACTTCTGATTATGAGACCTTACCCAAGAAGCATACTACTGAGAAATATAGTAAGTTTGGCTTGTTTTCCTTTTGGATTGGAACGTTCAGAGTCCGTGACCCCCAGCCAATGCTTATCAGCCCAATGAGTGTTCTGAGCTCTGGTAGGAGATGAGAGAAAAAGTTACATTTATAAAGAAATGGGCCAGGCACGATGGCTTACACCTGTAATCCCCAGCACTTTGGGAGGCGAAGGCAGAGGATCACTTGAGCCCAGGAGTTGGTGACCGGCCCTGGCAATATAGCGAGACTCTGTCTCTATAAAAAATACAAAACTTAGCCGGGTATGGTGGTGCAGCTGTGGTCTGGGAAGCTGAGGTGGAAGGATTGCTTGAGCCTGGGAGGTCGAGGCTGCAGTGAGCCATGGTCATGCCACTGCGCTCTAGCCTGGGTGACGGAGTGAGATCCTGTCTCAAAAAAGAAAAAAAAAAGAAATGGTATTTAAGCCATCACATTTGTTAGGGCATTTTCTCAGTGTCCACTTTCCTCATTTGCTTGGATTTGCTGGTCTGTTTTCCAAGTTTTCCTCGGCGGTCTGTGTGATCTATCCTAACTCACAGTGAGCTGAGGATGAGAAGTGGGCATTTGGGAAAGGAGAACAGTGCTCTTGCCCTGATCTGTTGCTTTTGTTGCTGTGACTTGGCAGCTAGTGTCCCTGGAACTTGGACTGTTTTCTGAGGTATTGCAAGCATGAACTTTTAAATTGCCTTGTGTGGTGTGCTGTGGGCTTCTGTGATCATGAAGTAACATGCATTTTTCTTAAAACTTTTCAGGGTGGTAGAGATTGCAGCCTGTCACTCTGCCCACACGTCTGCAGCCAAGACGCAGGGTGGGCACGTGTACATGTGGGGCCAGTGCCGGGGTCAGTCCGTGATCCTCCCGCACCTCACCCACTTCTCCTGCACCGACGACGTGTTTGCCTGCTTTGCCACTCCCGCCGTCTCGTGGCGCCTCCTGTCTGTGGGTAAGAAAGTGCAGGGCCACCTCCACCCAGGAAGAATGGTACTACCAACTGACCAGTTTTCCTGTGTCTTTGCTGGTTTTGGGATCTCTCAGAATGTTTTATTCTCTATTAGCTTTCATACGTTCCGTCAAAATAGATGTGCATAATCAAATGTATTCATATATTATAAAATATTACCATGAACTTTAAATTTTCTCTCATAAGTGCTTTCATTTCAATTGATATCAAATTCGCATAACATGCAATTAACCATTGTAAAGGGTACAGTTTAGTTGCGTTTAGAACATTCATAATGTTGTACATCCACCTTTTTTTTTTTTTTTATTGAGACAGAATCTCACTCTGTCGCCCAGGCTGGAGTGCAGTGGTGCAATCTCGGCTCACTGCAACCTCCACCTCCCGAGTTCAAGAGATTTTCCTGCCTCAGCCTCCCAAGTAGTAAGACTACAGGCACCAGCCACCACACCCAGCTAATTTTTGTATTTTTAGTAGAGGTGGGGTTTCACCATGTTGGCCAGGCTGTTCTCGAACTCCTGACCTCAGGTGATCCACCTGCCACTGTGCCTGGCCTACATCCACCCTTTATGTCAAATTCTAAATTGTTTTAATCACCCCAGAAGAAAGCCCTTATACGTTAATTAGTCACACTCCATTCTCCTCTCCCCCCAACCCCTAGCAACCACTAGTTTGCTTTTTGTTTCTATGGATTTGCCGACTCTGGAGAGTTCATATAAGCGGAAGCATACAATATGTGACCCATGTGTCTGGCTTCTTTTACTTAATGTTTTTGAGGCCCATTGACGTAATATGTCTCTGTATTTCATTCCCTTTTATGACTGAATAATATTCCATTATATATATATACACCATATTTTGTTTGTCACTTAACTGTTGATGGACATGTGGGTTGTTCCCACCTTTGACTCTCGTGGGTAGTGCTGTCATGACTGTTCTTGTATAAGTTTTTGGGTAGCCTGTTCTTAAGCACTTCTGTTATACTAGATTTCTTACAGAACTTGATATAATACCAATCAAAGATGAACTTTCTTTTCTTTTTTTTTTTTTTTTTGAGACGGAGTCTCACTCTGTTACCCAGGCTGGGGTGCAATGGCGCGATCTCGGCTCACTGCAGCCTCCGCCTCCCAGGTTCAAGTTCTCCTGCCTTAGCCTCCTGAGTAGCTGGGATTACAGGCGCGTGCCACCATGCCTGGCTAATTTTTTTATATTTTTAGTAGAGACAGAGTTTCACAATGTTGATCAGGCTGGTCAGGAACTCCTGACCTCGTGATCCGCCCGCCTCAGCCTCCCAAAGTGCTGGGATTACAGGCGTGAGCCACTGCGCCTGGTCCAAAAATGAACTTTCAAAAAAGTGAAGAACCGGCTGGGTGTGGTGGCTCACACCTGTAATCTCAGCACTTTGGGAGGCCAAGGTGGGTGGATTGCTTGAGCTCAGGAGTTTTAGACCAGCCTGGGCAACATGGCGAAACCCCATCTCTACAAAAAATAACCAGGAGTGGTGGTGCCTGCCTGTAGTATCAGCTACTCAGGAGGCTGAGGTGGAGAATTGCTTGAGCCTGGGAGGTCAAGGCTGCAGTGAACTGTGGTCGCACCACTGCACTCCAGCCTGGGTGACACAGCGAGACCCTGTCTCAATAAAAAAAGCAAACAACTTGTGGTTTTTAAGGTGACACATTAACCCCATCTTCTTTCTTTCTATCTTTGTCTTTCAACTGATTTCAAATTCTTTTATTTCAGAAGGGCATCAAAACAGAGGTATTATAAAGGGTAGTGGAATTTGGGGTGATATTTGGTTACATAATCTGTACCTTTTCTGAATATTGTCTTCTTTAAGAGTCCATTATTGGCTGAAAAAGCTAGGATGTCTTAAAACTGAGTAGCCATTTACAAGGTGACTTTAATCTTTTTATTTTATTTCTTGTTTATGTTTGCCTTTTTGCTAGCATATTTCTTTTAAGTTGTTTTATTTATAAGCAGAGGGAATAAGTGGGTCATGATGCTCTGTGCTTGAAAATTAATGTAGTTCTTGGCAGTTAAGGTGTTTGGGTTGTTCAGCAATTGATATTGAAGGTTAATTTTCTAAAACGTCATGCTTAGGTGTGTCAGACAGGTGGAGTTGTCCCAATTAGGTGACCAGTCATGGGCATGGAGGCAAGGGTGCTTAGGAAGAGTTAAGCTTGCCTTAAAGTGAAACCAATTGAATACTCCCTTTCACTTTATTTTTGCCATGTTCTTTAGGTATAATACAGTATTTTTTTTTTTTTGCAGTGAGTATTGTGATTGGAAAATAATTGGTTCACTGAATGGGACTATTTGGCCAGAATTGCACATGTATGGCATACCCAGCTGAAGCACTTCTGTACACATCTTCAGATTTGTATATACTACTTAACCTGGACTTGTTATAAAAGGCTTCCCCCAGTTCTTATATCTTAAAATGGCACAGGCATTCTTTTCAGAACAAATGTCCTAACAATTTAAATGTTAAGTTTGGAAAAAATATGGTCATTGACTATATCCTCCTAGATCAGGGGTCCCCACACCCCAGGCCATATGCCTGTACTGGTCCGTGGCCTGTTATTAACTGGGTTGCACGGCAGGAGGTGAGTGGCAGTGAGCGAAGCTTCATCTGTATTTACAGCTGCTCCCCATCACTCACATTACCGCCTGAGCTCCACCTCCCATCAGATCAGCAGCGGTATTAGATTCTCAAAGAAGCGTAAGCCCTATTGTGAACTGCACATGCGAGGGATACAGGTTGCGAGCTCCTTATGAGAATCTAATGCCTAGATGATCTGTCACTGTCTCCCATCACCCCCAGATGGGGCCGTCCAGTTGTAGGAAAACAAGCTCAGGACTCCCACTGATTCTACATTATGGTGAGTTGTGTAATTATTTCATTACATATTACAGTGTAACAATAATAAAAATTAAGTGCACAATAAACATAATGTGCTTGAATCATCCCCAAACCATCCTCCTCCCCGCCTCGGTCCGTGGAAAAATTGTCTTCCACAAAACTGGTCCCTGGTACCAAAAAGGTTGGGGACTGCTGTCCTAGATAACTTCTTTCCCTTCCACCCACTGAAAGTCAAAAGTGTTTTTTCCCTCTCACTTTGTGATCTCATCTGAGTGTTAGACGGAAAGTCACATGGTGAATTCACCCCTTTGAGGAGGATTTCTTCTCTGAAAGGATGTACTATACTTGTTGCCAGGAGCAAAGAGGAGAAAGAGTCATTTCAGCCTAAGACTGGATGCAGAAGTTGAAGCACTGATGAGAAGTGGGTTTTTTTTTGGATGGGTGGGGGTAGCAATCTAGACTCCTGGACTCTTGGCCCATCTTAGTCATTTGTATTCTTTTACCCACCAGTGATCCAGGTTGCAAGGTCAGGGGAAGCCTGACTTTTGAGAGGTTTTCTACCTTTCCTCTGTAGCCAGGAGAGCTCTGCATTGCATGGGGTGGAGGGAGGGCTGTCAGTTAAGGTCACAGGGCTTAGGTGAAAGGTAATGCCTTGGGGGAGAGTCTGATGATAAAGCTTGCAGATAAGCTCATTTGTTGAGTTTCAGCCTAGGTTTTAGCTGTTGTCCCTCCTCTAGGAGTTGCTCTGGTAACAGCACGCTACCAAGGGAAAATGGTTCATCCCAGGCTTGGAAGCCGAGGTCTTTGATTAAGACACTGATTATTAACTCAGCTGTGGGCAGTTGAAACCTGCTTCGTGTATCCATAGCAGCTTGATTCGATGCCTGGTCAGGATCTCTGGAATTTAAAAAAATTTCCCCATTAGCCCTTTTCTGCTTCTTTTCTTCTTTCATACATATAAAACACAAGAAAGCATTCCGGGAATTTGTACAAGTGCCTTTACTTTTCCTTGTAGTAACACAGTTCTACTTAACATATAACCACAACAGCAATTCTTCTTATCAGGTAAGGTGATCCTGTGTTCTTATAAAACTGTTCCCTTCATGTAGGTGTTGTTTCTAAGTGAATTTGCTCTGTGTTTAGACAGTGAGTAAGGATTATGCATATAGTGATTTTTAGGGTTAACAGAGATGTTTAGATTCCAGATACTTAGGAAAGAGTTTCTCTGCTTGAGAACATGACCGCTTAGCATTACCATTTAAGTGGTAAGTTTGTTTCTTGCACCTCCTTGAGTTGGGTATGCTGACCCCTTGAAAGTACCCCAAAGCAGAAAAAAGATATTCTTAGTGTTTCAGTCAAGGGAAACAAATTCTTAGTCTTAGAAGAGAACCACTCGTTTTGAGAGGGGGTTATTATATTATCATGAAGTACCTATAATTTTTTTCTTTAAAAATATACATTTCTAATGTATAACTAGGCATATAAGATGGTATTTAGCCTTTCTAAATACCATCTTTTGGTGGTTTTCTTTGGTAGTTTATAGATGCAGGATACTTACTTTAATACCGTAGAATTGATTTGTCAAACAAGGTATGAACTCTTGAAAAAAAAACAAGTGGAATTATCCATCACGGTCATGATGATCTTTTTGAAGTCTTTTGAATCTTCAATCTGTTCCTTGAACTTGCCATATTAATATATGTTTGTTGCCTTCAGAGCATGAAGACTTTTTAACAGTTGCAGAGTCACTGAAGAAAGAATTTGATAGTCCAGAAACTGCTGATCTGAAGTTTCGAATTGATGGAAAATATATTCATGTCCATAAAGCTGTTTTGAAAATCAGGTATTTTTGCATGAGCTCAGAGACATCAATAACTTGACTTTTCTTTCTTTGTTATTCCACAAAATGAGTACTGATAAAAAATAGCCTTGGTAGTAGAGAGAAATGTCACTACTTAATATTTTTGCAGATAGTATCAGTCCATTTCATGTCAAAGAGTTTTTTGTGTACACTCATGGAGCGTTTTAGAAAAAGTGTAATGTAGGAATTTAAGTATTTGTCCATATTGGTTTTTTGTGTTTGTTTGTTTGTTTGTTTGTTTGTTTCTTTGAGACAGAGTTTCACTCTTGTTGCTCAGGCTGGAGTGCAGTGGCACGATCTCAGCTCACCGCAACCTCTGCCTCCCGGGTTTAAGTGATTCTCCTGCCTCAGCCTCCTGAGTAGCTGGGATTACAGGCAGGCGCCACCATGCCTGGCTAATTTTGTATTTATAATAGAGATGGGGTTTCTCCATGTTGGTCAGGTTGGTCTCGAACTCCCGATCTCAGGTGATCTGCCCGCCTCAGCCTCCCAAAGTGCTGGCATTACAGATGTGAGCTACCACGCCCAGCTTATATTGTTTTTTAAATTAAGAATCTGGTGAATACTCATTTCCATCAGAAAATTTATTTACGTGGTTAAAGAAAATACAAAAGGTTGTTATTGAAAAGTGTATATGCCCTCTTTTAATTATAGATTAAGCAGAAAACTCTCATAGGAATGCTGTGCTTCTGTTTCTAAGGGACATGCAATTACCAATTGAAGAATGTTCTAGGCTCAGCATGGTGGCTCATGCCTGTAATCCTAGGACTTTGGGAGGCCAAGGCGGGAATATCACTTGATCCTAGGAGTCTGAGACCAGCCTAGGCAATATAGCGAGACACTGTCTCTACAAAAAATAGAAAAAATTAGCCAGGTGTGGTGGTGCATTCCTGTAGTTCCAGCTGCTCTGGAGGCTGAGGTGGAAGGATTGCTTGAGCCCAGTAGATCAAGGCTGTGGTGAGCTGTGATCATCCTGGGAGACAGAGTGAGATCTTATCTCAAAAATGAAAAAAAAAGTTTTTAAGATATAGTTCCTTGTATAAATGTGAGGGACCTATGCGTTTATTAGTAACTGTTTGCCACAAAGGTTGCCATTGCAGAAAAAGGCACATAAGCTAAGACCATTAAAGTGGCCATTTACAAGTCTTTTTGGAAATTTAGGTAAAAACCTATTGGCAAAGAAATACATTTGAAAGGAACAGAAAAGCCCTATGTCATTCCTTACCTAAGGGAGTAAATATCTGAACCACAGTATTAATTGAAAAGATGAACTGGAACTGTTTCTGTCTGTGCACCTGTGGTCAACCAGTCTATTCCTTTCATGTACAGTTTTCTGACCATGAAATCCATGATTCTTTCTTAGACAACTATTTCTTTTTTATTTCTCAGGTAATTTTTTATGTAAGTGAAACTATTTTTTTAGTATTCTGAATGGATTCTTTTTCTTTTTTTTTTGAGACAGAGACTCATTCTGTCACCCAGGCTAGAGTGCAGTGGCGTAATACCAGCTCACTGCAACCTCCACCTCCTGTGTTCAAGCGATCTTCCAGCTTCAGCCTCCCAAGTAGCTGGGATTACAATCGTGCACTAACCACGCCCAGCTAATTTTTGTATTTTAAGTAGAGACAAAGTTTCGCCATGTTGGCCAGGCCGGTCTCAAACTCCTGACCTCAGGTGATTGAGGCTGACCTGCCTCGGCCTCCCAAAGTGCTGGAATTACAGGCTTGAGCCACTGCACCTCAGAATACTTTTTCTCTTTGTGCCGTATCTCACTTTAAAATAATTTAAAAATATGATTTTTAGAAAGATACAACTGTGTTATACATAAGAAAATCCAATATTCAGAAATCAGTTTCTTGTGCAGGTGGCTTTGTACATGTAAATACAGTGTAGGAGCTGCTCAGGTTTTCTTGAAATATCTGACTATCCTAGTGGATGTGAGTGTTTTATAAATAAGCTTGTAGCAGGCCTGGGAAGAGAGGAAGGGGAACAGGCAATGCAAAAAAAAAAAAGGAGTGATGGCTGTTTTGACGATAAGTCAGAAAAGAAGAAAAATTGTCGGATAATCAGACAATAATCAGCTTGATGTAATCCAGTTAACATATAAAACAGTTTTAAGAATATGCTTATTATGTAAAACAAAAAACAAATGAATCATTTTAATGTTGATACATAGTCAAAAGTTTTGAACTCTTGTTTCTGAATTTCTTTCACTTTATTGTTTAAAATGCATTTCTGTACATCATTTTAAAAAAAACAAAGGAGCAAAAAAATCTTGGGGACCATCAAATGGAAACAGTAGTGGAAGTGCTAGGTACTTCCAGGCTCTATGTATACCTATTAGTATTTAATAGGAGTTACAAAAAATGAAAGTGAGTGTATGTAAAAGGCATGTACAAAAACCACTTGCATGTGGAATGTTTTTTGGGTGCTAACTAAAGGTCTGTGATCCTGGTGTGTTCAGGCCCAGATAGTAGTTAATATACTTACTTTTTTTTTTTTTTTGAGACGGAGTTTTGCTCTTGTTGCCAGGCTAGAGTGCAGAAGCGCAATCTCGGCTCGCCACAACCTCCACCTCCCGGGTTCAAGCGATTCTCCTGCCTCAGCCTCCTGAGTAGCTGGGATTATAGGCATGCACCACCATGCCCAGCTAATTTTGTATTTTTAGTAGAGACGGGGTTTATCCATGTTGGTCAGGCTGGTCTCGAACTCCTGATCTCAGGTGATCTACCCGCTTGGCCTCCCAAAGTGCTGGGATTACAGGCATGAGCCACCACGCCCGGCCCAAGGATACTTCTGTTTATCTGATTTTATCAACTTAATTAGGTAATTTTTTTTTCTTTTTTAAAAATTGCTGCTGAACAAATAAGACTTTTGCTTTGCTGTTTTAGGTGTGAGCATTTTCGATCCATGTTCCAGTCGTATTGGAATGAAGACATGAAGGAAGTGATAGAAATCGATCAGTTTTCTTACCCAGTGTATCGTGCCTTTCTCCAGTACCTCTACACAGACACAGTCGACCTGCCGCCAGAAGATGCTATAGGTACTGTGGTAGCATTGGGATGGACGAGCCGCATGGTGGAGAATATATCCCCTCATATTCTTAGTCCTGAAATGTAAAAAGCTTCAGGTGTATTGGCTTTAATTTGGTGCTTAAAAAAGATTTGAAGTAAGTATCTTTAAAAGTAGTATTGTGTAGTTATTATGGTTAATAGTTTTGGACCTAGTTTATGACCATAGGCTTTTTTGTTCTAATGTTACTGAAGGACTTTTTTTTTTTTAATTTATTTTTAAGTTCTGGGGTACACGTGCAGGATGTGTAGGCTTGTTACATAGGTAAACGTGTGCCATGGTGGTTTGCTGTACCTGTCAACCCATCACCTAGGTATTAAGCTATGGGCTTATTTTAATTTTCTAGTAGTGAAGTATAAGTTGCTAATGCATTTAGCGTTTTAGAAACAAAATGAGGATTGAAATTGCATTTTTTGCTCTTTCTTTGCACTATTGAAGAAATTGTATAAAGTAAATATAGGAGAGGTGTGGAAGTGGAGGAGGCAGACAGTAAAAAAGAGAATTTATTTACTCAAATTCAGAATCTTATCCACTAAGAAACTTCTAATTTACCTGTACACCTCTGTTCACCAAAACAAAATCTCTGTGTATTGGAAATTATTATACATTTGATTAAACCTTTCACATATTTTACTTTTAGGTCTTCTGGATTTGGCGACATCTTACTGTGAAAACAGACTGAAAAAACTTTGTCAGCACATTATCAAGAGAGGAATTACTGTGGAGAATGCCTTTTCGCTATTCTCTGCTGCAGTCAGATATGATGCAGAGGTAACTTAAACAACAAACAGAAACCAGACCACCTTTAACTCCCTTTGTGCTCGTCTCCCCCGCTTCTTGCGTGAGGCATGGAAAACGATGAGTCACTCCACTTCTGTTTAGGGAATCAGTGAACCCATTGAAAACTGAAATCTGCCCTTGCTTCTTAATTCCCTGTTCATTGTTTCAAAAGTCGTTGTTCCTCTACTTTCATTTCTAAGTAAGACAGGAAACGAACCAAGGTCCTAGCAGCTGTGCTGCAGGTTGGAACATAAGGTGCCACAACTAATTGGACTAACAAACAGCATATTTTAGTTTCAAGTCTTTCTTAATGTCAGCATATGTGTTTATTTCGAGACTTACCTTGCTGTCTTTCCACCTCTGCCCTGTCATAAGCTGGGGATGTGTATGATTTGTATCTGTGTACGCTCTGCAATTCTATTAGTGTCTAATTACAGCTCACAGTTATTTACCTGTTAAGAACTTGCTGTGGACTCCTTTTGTTTTTGCACTGGGTTGAGTTCTTAATCTGAGATTCACAGATCTGTTGAGCCTGTGAATTAATGGGCTTTGGGGAGTCTGAAAGTTTGTGTGCATTTTTTTGAAGAACCAAAGCATCAGACTGTAAGCTCCTCGTGAGCAGGAACTGTCTCATTCGTCTGTATACCCTATAGTGCCTGGCACATATTAGGCACCTGATAAATGTTGAACTGGATGAAGATAGTACCTTAAAGGAAGCATTAAGGATGATCAGTGAGCTGAAGGCGGGTATGGTTGGTTTCACAGATTCAGAGAGAATAAAAGGTAGAGAGCAATAGCCTTGGAGTTTCAAAATATCTAGCTAAGTTGTGCATGTAGAATGTTACAATTAGCCTATCCTTGCAGATACTTTGTCATTTGACAAAGCAGAATATCTGGTATCAAGGAGTTTATCAAACACCTGCAAAGATCTGCAGCTGTGTCCTTTGAGGTATAAGAGGACACACTTCATCACACATAGGGATCAAAGTTGACCACGATGTTTTCAAAATGTATCTTATTTTTGTTTGAGGCTATATTCTGATTATAAATATTTGATAAGGTCAAATGTAGCTGACTTTGTCTGCAGCCCGACAACAGATGGAATGATGATCAAAGTAAATCATTTCTAATAGAAAATGGGGTATGATTTTTTTCCTGTCCTTCCTGTGACACCCTGAACCTCTTTATTAGAAAAGCTGTTTCTTTAGATTTTATTTCCACCCGGTGATATAATTTTAAATTGGGTTAGTGCCTTTTCTGTCCATTTGGTGACGGATGTTAGAATCCTCTCTGGGCCTCTCCACGCTCCTCCTCCTTGTTAACGAGTTCCATACTCAGGATCAGACCTTGCTGACTAACACCAGTGAGAACAACCTGGGCAGAGGCAGATGTCTCGGCTCAAGTTGCTGGAAACTTCTTCCTCACTTTTAGCTAAGATCTGTCCTAGGAAGTTTACAGAAAAAGCCTCTGCTGCTGCTTCCTGTGCCAGCAGGTCATTTCCTTTACTAGTTTTCATTTTTCTCATATTAAGTATAAACATGATAAAAACTTCCTTTAGAAAGACTCCAAATAAGTGTGATTCCCCAGAGTCTGTCACAGTGTGGGCATGGAGCTGGCGCTCAAAAATGCATGTTGAATTAAATAAATGAGTGAAAACATTTGAAATACCTCACCATGAAGGTGTGCTTAAAAAAAAAAAAATGGCCAGGCTTGGAGATCACGCCTGTAATCCCGGCACTTTGGGAGGCCAAGGTGGGCCACTTGAGATCAGGAGTTTGAGACCAGCCTGGCCAACATGGTGAAACCCTGTCTCTACTAAAAATACAAAAATTAGCTGGGTGTGGTGGTGCGTACCTGTAATCCCAGCTATTCGGGAGGCTGAGGCAGGAGAATTGCTTGAATCTGGGAGGGAGAAGTTGTACCACTGCACTCCAGCCTGGGCAACAGAGCAAGACTCTGTCTCAAAAAAAAAAAAAAAGTTAAAAAAAACTTAAAATCCTACAAATATTACAGATTCAACGTAGAAAAATTAGAGAATAGAAAGAAGACAAAAAGAAAGACTCACCTCTTTATTTCTAGGGCATATATATATATGTGTGTGTGTGTGTATATATATATATTCATAATTTGTATGTATTTTTTTTTCCTGGTGATACAGGGTCTTGTTCTGTTGCCCAGGCTGAAGCACAGTGGTGTGATCACAGCTCACTGTAGCCTCAACTTCCTGGGCTCAAGTAGTCCTCCTTCCTTCCCAGTCCAGGAACTGGGACTACGGATGTGTGCCACCACACCCAGCTAATTTCTTATTTTTTATTTGTTGTAGAGACAGGGTTTCATTATGTTGCCCAGGCTGGTCTTGAACTTCTGGGCTCAAGTGTCCCTCCCACCTCAGCCTTCCAAAGTGCTGGGATTATAGGCATGAGCCACTGCGCCAGGCCTCTTTCTAGGGTGTATTTCTTAGGTTACAATACAAGTTACGTAATTGACTAATGTGCTTTTACATTTTATTTCCTGAATGCTACAAGATACAGTGAGTACATGAATGAAGTTCTGGAGTACAAAATTAAAATCCATAGCTGGGCACAGTGGCTCATGCCTGTATTCTAGCTACTCAGGATGCTGAAGTGGGAGGATTGCTTGAGGCTAGGAGTTTGAGACCAGCCTGGACAACATAGTGAGACTGCCATCTCTTAAAAAGAAAGCCCTCTTACTGTGTTTATTAGTTGATTGGAGGCTACTGATGAGTCAGGTTAGAAATTGACTGCAAAAACTATTATTTTTAGAGCTCAACTTGGGGATGCTAGATGACTTTGCCTTCGTGCTGTGGGCCAAAATGCTAGGAAGATGGAGACTACCTGCTTCCAATGTTTCTTGTCTTTCTACGAAAGTACCTGAGGTTCCTCCATGCCCCGTTTTGACAAGATAGCTTTGAAGCAAATGTACACACATTAAAGCAACAAAAATGTATGGACTCAGTAGTTACAGGGAGTTTCAAAAGTAAGTTGATGATTGTGGATCCCTTGCTATGAACGTGTTATGAAACTGTCCACAAGTTTTATTAAGAAGGACTTCACAAAGGAGCACCCAGATACTCCTTTGGTACAGACCTGAATAAATATTGACATCAGGGAGAAAATGTGGATAAAACATTGTTTCAAGATAGATCAGTTGCACAATGCAAACTGATTCTTTTCAGGAAATTTTTTATTTTTATGTGTATTTGAACGTTAAGAGAAACAGCTGGGAAGTATTATTTGTTTAACCAGAGTAGAGAACTTTCCAGAAATCCTGTGTGCTAAGCAACTTATATCTTACGATCTTGCTTTTGGAGGGAAGCGATAAACGTGAGCCCAGGAATCTAATTCTGAAGTTGGTCTGGGGTATGAGTATTGGACAGCTTGGTGTTAAGGCTTGGTGGCCAGCGTTTTTTTCTTCTTTTGGTGGGCCAAATGAAAAGTCTTTGATCAGCAGTAGGCTGACAAATGTTTTTTGCGTAATGGGATAAATTATGTTTTCTCCATATGGTAGAATGTTTAAGTACATTTTGAGAACAAAACAAAACTTCTTTGATTTGGAATATTTTGTACTTGATGTGCTATAACATGAATTATAGACTGACAGTTTTGGGGTTTTGTCTTGCAGTTACTTTAACAACAGGTTGGACAGAGTTAGGTGTGGTTCGTGATCTTGTGTCATCTGGAATGTGTCTTGTGGGGAGCTGTGATGCCGAGGCACCTGCTCACCCTGGTTAGGTGGTCTTCAAATTATTAACATTCAACTAGTTTAGCTTTGGAGTTTTAGGACAGGGTAAGAACTCCCTTAGAGGCGGCATTAGCATTTTTTAAAATGAGGATATTAAGACCATCAATGCTCTGTGTTTTGTTTTGTTACTAAAGAAAATTTGTGGAAAGGAAAAACAGCTTATTTTCAGAGTATATATATTGAATTGGAATAGTTTCAATGTTGAAAGATTTGGAATGATTTATAAATTACTTCAGAAGAGCAGTTTTTATTTTTGTCTTCTTTGCTAATGACAATAAATCTGGTATTTTATCTCATTTGCCTTAGAACACTTTATAATTGTTCTGCCACATAACGTCATAAACAGAGTTTAGTTTCTAATACCAAGAAGACTGTATTAGACCCTTCTGTTTTTATACTCTCCACTTCCCTATTCCATGGGCTATAAGAGGACTTTCATTCTGTCGGGAACTTTGTTCATCTCCTGGTCACATGATCCTTCTGGTCCTCCTTGGAACTGTTTTATTTAAAGCCCAGTTAGAAGTAAGAAGTCAACTATAACCAGCCCTGTTATAGTTGACTTCTCACTTGGACAGGAGTTGCATTTTCTTGCCTGTTATTGAAGATTTGATCCTTTGCAGAATGAAAGGAACAGATTATGTAGATTCTTATAATACTAAAGAGAGGTCAAGTCGGAAGGGCGTTTGTCTAACTTGCTCATCAAAGGCAAACCAACCCTGGGCACTGGTTGCTAAGTGGTTCAGCTTGACTGTGCGACTCTCTGGTGAACTTGCAAATTCAAACGTCCCTCACCACATGCGTTCAGGGCTTCCTTTTACATAGATCTGCCTCAACCAAGGTTTAATTAGTTACTTACACAACCCAGATTTAGATTGTTTTCAGAATTCTCTAGTTTGGCTTTTAATGTTTGGAACTTTTGAATATTTATTGCATACCCAGATACCTCAGTAGTTCAAACTAATTGGAGGGGAAGGGAAGGCAGTTTGATAGAACCATTTTCATGAGTGTATAAAGTGAATTGTGATTAGTGGCACCATTTTTATACCTATATTGTGTATAAAAGTTCTTTTTTTTTTTTTTTGAGATGGAGTTTCACTCCTGTCTCCCAGGCTGGAGTGCAGTGGCATGATCTCGGCTCACTGCAACCTCCGCCTCCTGGGTTCAAGCGATTCTCCTGCCTCAGCTTCCTGAGTAGCTGGGATTACAGGTGCTTGCCACCACACCTGGCTAATTTTTGTATTTTTAGTAGAGACGGGGTTTCACCATGTTGGTCAAGCTGGTCTCAAACTCCTGACCTCGTGATCTGCCCGCATCAGCCTCCCAAAGTGCTGAGATTACAGGCGTGAGCCACCACGCCTGGCCTGTGGTTTATCTCTTAATGGTTATGTGACTGGATGGGTTTCTGGAGTTTACTCTAGGGCATCTTTTAGCCAGGGACAGGAGGACCCTTAGAACAAGGAAATCATTGTTTGCAGAGGTCTGTGCTGAGAGCAGAAAAGGGGTCTCTCCATGTTTGTGTGGGCCCCTTCCACTCTGTCTAACATTCCCACCTCGTGGTAGCTGGAAATGTGCGGTCAAAACCTGCAGTTGAAATGTTGAGCTTCTGGTTCGATAGAACCCGGAGTGCTGACCTTCAATGTACCAGCTAACCAAGTTGTAATAAAGTCAAGCTATTTGTGATAAGAGCTTTTAGTGTGATTTCCTTTTATATATTGAGTCTTTGTATGCATTCCAGGTGCCTAATCGATTTAATAAATATATATTCCAACATCCTAAGGGACAGACTATATTAAAGTTTGGCAGGGGATGAAAGGGTGGATTAGCATAGGCAGGGATTGATTTTGAAATGGTTCTGGTTTACCCCTTGTGGATGTTACTCCCCTGAATGTTGGTAGTTGGTGACTTCTGTTTGACTGAAAACTAACCTGTGTAAATATACTTCTGTGGGGGTGATGTTCTGAGATATTAGTGTGGTGGAAGTTGTAGTGTTATTATTCTTTATGGCTTTAAAAATAAAGTCATTATTAGGAGAGCATAAAAGTGAATTTAAGGTGAATTTTTTGGGATTTTCTTTCAGAGCCTCTGCTCTGTCACCCAGGCTAGAGTGCAGTGGTGCGATCTCGGCTCACCGCAACCTCTGCCTCCCAGGCTCAAACGATTCTCCTGTCTCAGTCTCCTGAGTAGCTGGGATTACAGGCATCCACCACCACGCCCGGCTAATTTTTGTAGTTTTACTAGAGACGGGGTTTCCCTATGTTGGCCAGGCTGGTCTCGAACTCCTGACCTCAAGTGATCCGCCCGCCTCGGCCTCCCAAAGTGCTGGGATTACAGGCGTGAGCCACCGTGCCCGGCTGGGATTTTCTTTTTAATGTGCCACTTTAGGTTGACCATATCTCTTCATTACCTTTCTGTTTCTTAAACTAACCCACATCTTAATTCTTTTCTCTGATGTCTTGAACGTGACAAAACACATTCTGCAGACTAAAGTGGCATTCTGCCTTTTACAACAATGTCTTTGAGCATAACTAGATTATGTGATAATCGTGCAGGAAATTCTTTCCCTTGTAGATCTTGCGTGTGTGTGTGTGTGCGCGCGCGTGTGTGTTTTGAAGAGTCGTACTTTGAGTTAGAGGACCATTGCTTTTACTGCGTTGAATAAATAGTATGTGTTTTTCTCACACCTACCTGTGGTCACCTTTTTGCCTAGTTTTAGGTATCTGGCCTCTCAAATATCTTTTCTGGGGGAGGGTGAGAGATTTGGGGTAAAGGGCTCAGAGAGAAGTAATTCAATCAAAGTTGCCTAAAAAAGCCATTTTTGTTTTTATTTTTGTTGTGTGTCCAGGATTTAGAAGAATTCTGCTTTAAGTTTTGCATCAATCATTTGACAGAAGTTACACAGACTGCAGCATTTTGGCAAATGGATGGCCCTCTGCTAAAGGAATTCATTGCTAAAGCCAGTAAATGTGGAGCCTTTAAGAACTGAAGCGCAAGGCTGCTGGGTTCTGTGTGAGTGCTCTGGGGCACTGTTGAGGATGTGTCCAGTTTGTGCTCTACGGGTGATGTGATTCTGCAGGTAAAAGACCATCAGGTTGTTTTTTTCCACATCTGGGACACAGTTGTTTGTGTAGGAACATAACAAGGGTGTACGGCTTTTCTTGAGCCCATTTTAAACAACCCTTGTTTCCAGATAAGTGTATTTTAAATGTGACCTTTCGTAAATTTGGGCTGGAACATGTAAAAGGGTGAAAGTTAGTCGTTTT
Organism: Homo sapiens; assembly: GCF_000001405.40. NCBI lineage: Eukaryota > Metazoa > Chordata > Mammalia > Primates > Hominidae > Homo > Homo sapiens. The sequence continues at coordinate 49,533,844 of NC_000013.11, read as the reverse complement.
TGGTCTTCTTTTCATTTTTGATTAGAGGAACTTCTGAACTTGGAAAGGGGAAGTTGGCAGCAACTCTCCTGGGCCACGTATCAACAATCTTCTGACAGCAGGAGCAGTGATAGTTGGGGAATTGTGAGATGAATGGAGAGGCCCCATCGTGAATTAAAGATGCTGACCTGGGGATTGTTAAGTGCTGCCTTAGTTGCTAGTTTAGTAGCCTTACTGTGAAGGAATAATTAAGATTGTTTCAGACTTTTGTTTGTGTGCTTGCGTTGATGACTTTTTTAACTTCAAGATAAATCAAAGTAATAAGTTTAACGTATATTAAACCTGTTGAAATGATAATTATGTAAAGATAAATATTCTAGGTTAGTCAAGATTTCTCTTAAGATTTAAGTGCATAAAGAATAGTAATTTAGAAGTATCCGTGAAAAGTTGATAATGAAAGAAATTTGATGAAGGTGAATATTTTATAAATTAGAATCTCCACTACTTATCCAATGGTGTTTTATTTCATTAAGGTAGAACTTGAGAACTCAAGTTTAAATTGTCCCCCACCACCTTCTTCTATAAATGCAAACTTAAGAGGAAAATAATGACATGTATAGTATACTCTTGCCTTCCTAAATTATGACTGCTGAATCATCATATCTACTATATATGACTGGAAGAAGTGGTTCTTCAAGTCAACCCTCTTACAAGACTTAGTGGAATTTGCTTTATCTACTTTAGGCCAAATCCATCACACATTGGCTTATGTGAAACTTTATCATCTTTCACTTTTGGTTTTCCTCTGTTTTTAAACATCTTAGGTATAACAGCACAATTTCACCTTGAAAAAGCACCAAAATTATGGTGTTCCTGAAAAGATCCTATTAAAAGACAGTAGTTTATTTGAACTGGTTATGGAAGGTGACTTTGGGATGTAAGAGTGTTCAACTGTGAGTTTCATCATGTGTGTCCGTTGAGCTTGCTTTTAAGAGCAATGTTTTGCTTTGCTCTCTGGTCCATGAACTCATTTCCATTTGAGTGAGTTCCCTTAGTGAATTTTGTCTCCTGCTTGGAAAGTCTCTCTTCTGAACCTGGAGCCTGAATACATTTTCAGAGCCAAATTACAAGTGGGTGAAGACATGCTACAACTACTATTTTTAGCAATGTTTTTAAATTTGTGTCTATTGGGGTGGGAAGGGGAGTGAGGCCCTAAAGATAGGAATTCACTGATAGCTGAAATAGATACAAGCCTAGGAGCCCCAGCCCCCTTTTCTTGACCATATCACAAGTGATTGAAGCCCAGTGAATTAGTCGGTTAGAATTCGTTCTACAACATGATAGAACTTTTCTTACTAGCTTCAGAAATGCACATTGATTTGTGCTATGATGGGTGGTGTTTGTAACAATCACTGTTCTATAGGCTTATGATCTGAGCAAAATGTGAACTTCAGTATGTTTACTATTGCTCTTACTTGAAAACTTTTTTTCAAAAAAAGCACAAATTAAAGTAGTAAATTCATATCCATAGATAGTTCATTCATTCAACAAATATTTACCAAGTTCCTAATATAAGTGAAGGACCACTTCTCATATTAGATTACTAAGTCATTTGTATGAATATGTGTGGCAGTGAAGAGAACAGGTCTTTCAAAAAGCATTTGATTATTTTTTTTAAATACACTCTCTTATTTTTCTACTTGTTTTTTTGTTAATCATAGCAGGATATGACAACTCTTATTTGAATTGATTTTTTCATCTAATGTAATAATGGAAGCCAAAGTATTCATATTTCTTAAGATAGCCCTAAATGTACTCTTGAACTTCTTACTGGAACAATGTTTGATACTCTAGTATGTAAGCTGTATTTATGTAATATTTAGAACGACATGTTAATAAACAAAGTAACATTAAAACAGGCACATAGAGTTGTTTTTTTCCTTCAAAATCAGTAGTCTGCAGCCTTAAAAAGGAAAGAAATTCTGACACATGGTGCACAGAGGTGAACTTGAGGATATTATGCTGGGTGAAATAAGCCACTCACAGAAAAATACTATGTGATGCCATTTGTGTGATATACTTAGTCAAATTCATTGAGACATAGTAGAATGGTCATTGCCAGGGTCTGAGGGGAGAGGAGAATGGGGAACTTGTTTAATGGATACAGAGTTTCAGTTTTCCAAGATGAAGAGTCCTTTAGGTCAGGGGTCCCCAACCCTCGGGCCACAGACCCATATTCATCCCTGGCGTGTTAGGAAGAGGTCGCACAGCGGGAGGTGAGTGGCGGATGAGTGAGCATTACTGCCTGAGTTCTGCCTCCTGTCAGATCAGTGGCAACATTAGAACATTAGATTCTCATAGGAGTGCAAACCCTACAGTGAACTGAGTATGCAAGGGATCTAGGTTGTGTGCTCCATATGAGAATCTAATGACTGGTGATCTGAGGTGGACCAATTTCATCCCAAAACCATCCTCCCCACCCCTGACCAACCGCCCCATCCCCATGGTCCGTGGAAAAATTGTCTTCCACGAAACCAGTCCCTGGTGCCAAAAAGGTTGGGGACTGCTGCTTTAGGTGCATGGTGGTGATGGTTGCACAAAAATGAATGTTTAATGCCATTGAACCATACATTTAAAAATGATTGGGATGGCAAATTTTAGGTTATATATATATTTTACCATAATAAAAAAAATCAGTGGTGTGATTCTTAATGGGTATCAGGCTAAAAATAGGTACCAGCATGAACATGTCAACTGCTTGATTCTCAACTATACACAAACAAACATCATAGAAATCTTTGGATTTTATTCCTGCTGAAGGGTAGTACAGTTGAACTGGCACAGTAGAAAAATGTGTCTGTACCTTTGGGGGTACTTGAAGGGAAAGGCATATTCCCTATCCTCAAAGAACATATGAATTATTAGGAGAGAGGGAGATAGGTTTAGGAATTAACAACACAATGAGATACTTATAAAGAGCTTTTCATAACAGTCAGTGAGAGAAAACCAAATAGGATGATGTGGTTTGGCTCTGTGTCCCCACCCAACTTATCTTGAATTGTAATCCTCAGTTGTTGAGGGAGACCTGTTGGGAGGTGATTGGATTATGGGGGCGGTTTCCCCATGCTGTTCTCATGCTATTGAGGGAGTTCTTATGAGATCTGATGGTTTTATAAATGGCAGTTCCCCCTGGGCTTTGCGTGCTCTCACTTACTTGCCACTACGTAAGACGGGCCTCTTCCCTTTCCGCCACAATTGTAAGTTTCTTGAGACCTCCCCAGCCATGCGGAACTGAGTCCATTAAACCTGTTTCCTTTATAAATTACCCAGTCTCTGGTATTTCTTCATACCAGTGTGAGAACGGACTAATACAGTTAATAGGGTTAACATGACAAGCAGTTAGTTGTTCTGAAGATAACGCTTGTGTTGGATAGGGGAAAATATAAAGTGTCCTTTTAGCTCATCTCCAAAACAAAAAGAGGCACAAGAGATGGGGGCTAATGAGCCTTCCAGAGCTTATCATAATTAAGTTTGGTTAGAATGGAGAAAATAAGACAGAAATGTTAGCAAGGGGAGTGTGTGCGTGCATGGGTGTGTTTTAACATTTATTTCCCATAGTGCCAGACATTGTGCTCTCTGCTTCACATTTTACTTACTTGTCCATATTTTGTCCCATAAGGTAGGCAGCAGCATTCTCAGATTAAATAATCGGATTCAAGTTTTTCAGTAGTGACATAGCTGAAGTTCATACTCGGCTCCGCCTTATGAACCCATACTCGGGTTTGCCCAGTAGCCAGCCTCATGGCCACCAAACACATGGTGCTCCATGGTGCACAGTTACATGCTGTGTGAGTCACAGGTTAAACGTGAAAGTAAAGTGGGGGACAAAGGTTTTTTTTTTTAAATAAAGATCATGACATCAGAATGATTAGTCAGATAAACTTTGCTAAGATGGCTGGGCGTGGTGGCTCACGCCTGTAATCCCAGCACTTTGGGAGGCCGAGGCAGGCAGATCACGAGGTCAAGAGATCGAGACCATCCTGGCCAACATGGTGAAACCCCATCTCTACTAAAAATACAAAAATTAGCTGGGCATGGTGGTGCGCGCCTGTAGTCCCAGCTACTTGGGAGGCTGAGGCAGGAGAATCGCTTGAACCTAGGAGGCAGAGGTTGCAGTGAGCCGAGATCACACCACTGCACTCCAGCCTGGCAACAAAGTGAGACTCCGTCTTAAACAAAACAAAACAACAACCAAAAACTTTGCTAAGACTTAATATCAGGATAGGAAGCTGAAGCTACAGTAATCAATAATCATCTAGACTAGCGGAAATCTGTTCAGAGGGTGTTGGATGGGGTCTTCACTTCTGTAGTTTTTAAAGTGCCCCACATGATTCTGATGTGCGGCCGGATTTGAAATCCACTGGTTTAGATTTTGTCCCTAAGATATAAGAACTTAGGCTAGGGCTGCCATTACAACTGGAATGGACTGTTCTTTTTCATCTCCTGCAAATATTTTTCCAGTACTTATTTATTACATGTCAGACACCATGCTTGGAGACTCAGTTAAAACCCATTTTGAGACGCAGCATTATTGAAAATCAGAGTACCATGGTAAAAAATGAGAACTGTGAATGTTAAGTTTTCAGGGGTCAGACGTGATAGTGTGGGCATAAAAACCAGAATCGTATATTAGATTGAGAAAAATGTAACTGTCAATTTTTTTTTTCATTCTTGCATACTCCCGATAATGTTCTTATTCAGAGTCCAATTTAAAATTTAGGTGTCTGTTTTGAAGATGATGAATCTCCACGTGATAACTGTGGCTGAAAAGAGACTTTTCAAAAGCAGACTTTGTGACACGAAAACAGGCAAATTTGGTACAAGTAAAGTAGTATAATCCAAATTTATTATATCTAAGAGGCTATCATGGGCTGTAAGTAGAATCAAAGGTTAAGAACATTTTATGCACTTATTCCACAAACATTTACTGAGCATACTAGGTGCTGGGAATGTGACAGTGAGCAAAAAACACAAGAGTGTGCAAAGAGTGATCAAAATGTCAACCAGTAAGAACAGGGAAGAGCTGCTGAGGCCAAGAGGAGACGACTAGTTCTAAAGATGTGTGGATTTCACAGCCTGGTCTCTGGTTTTGAGCCTGATTGCAATTTGACATGACTCTTGGCTTAGGAAACGGTAATCCCTAATAAGACAGGGATGATATTGATGTAGAACTTGACATAAGATCTCTATTTTCTTGAAAAGAGCACAAGGTTTGTTTTAAGTCCTGAAGTAGCTCAATCTCTTCCTTCAACTGCTGCCACCTTTGTTGAGATGCATGAATTTTTTTCTCTATTGCTATGAAAAGAAGAAATAAAATTATTTCAGCTTATTCAGTAGTTTTATTAGAAATAATGTACCATTTCTAGCCCCTTTCACTTGCAGGTACAGATACACAATCCTCGTGCCTCTGGTGAAAAGGATCCAGAGCCTTATGGGCAGGAGCTGGTTTCTTTATGCCTTCACTTCCTCCTTCTAATTCAGGACAGAATTCTAACATTTATCATACACAAAGCTGTTCAGTAAACCCTTAAGATTTTGTGCACATTTATAGCAGAACAAGTCCCTTTGTATATCTTTGAGAACTTGAAAACAGTGACTGTATAACCTTCATGCTATACTATATCCATTTATTGAGAGATGATAATTGGAGAATGTGGCTAGAATACCAAGGTTAAGGACAAATCCTTCCTAAAAATGTGTCCAATTTTTAATGTTACATAAAGGCTTTTGGTTTCATTTAGAAATAGGAAGGCTTTTAATTGTGGAAACTTAGAAAAGCTTAGGAGGAAGATACTTAGGCTTTATAAATAACAAATAGTAGTCAATGGCAATGTAATTTTTAAAAGCCTCAAAATCGAACAGTTACACACATATACAAACTTTATTCAGAATAACTGCATACGTATAGTTAACTTAAAATATGAGTAAGGCTAAATTAAGCAAGTTTTTATCAACCAGGGTAGTGAAACCCAACTTAAGCCTTTTAAGTTGAATCTCATGCAGTTCTAAGTAGTGGCACCCCCGCCATACTACACTATAATATATGTACTCCCACCTAATCCATCCAAGTAGTGATGTGTGACATGTTCCCTTACATGAAAGAAAAACACACATGGAAGTCCCCTACAAAATAACTCTTTTTAGAAAAAAATTTTTAAGGCTGCTTTAAAAAAATATGGATACTGCTATATATTAGCAGACATCCTCAAAAGACTATTAAGACAGACACTCTTTTTGGTAGATTTTTCAAAGTATTTTTCCTGCTGGTTATAAATGTAGTAAAAAATTCAAATAGAAATGTATAATATAGAAGCCAAAATGAGAAAGGTTGTGTATGTTGAGACAGGGATATGAACTAATGATTTCTTCACAGGGAAATCTTATTGTCTTCCTACCATATGCTGGAGAGACAGATGCATCTGTGGAAATGCAGAGTGTGGAGGGCACTCACTCTGTTGTGCAACTTCAGGGGGAGCCATCCACCAATGCTGTTTGACTCTGTGCCCGGCCTGCCCAGCTGTGTGTGGCAGCCTTGATAGAGAAGTCAGACCAGACTCATAAACAAGTGGAGGTGTAGCCTGTCTTGAGGGCATCTTAATGCTGAAAGGAGGACTCACTCAATAAATGGTTGATATTTAATAGGAAGGTTAAATCTCCCTCCTCCAAACCAAACGAGATTTTCTACTGCAAACATTTCTTGGCTATTCTTACTTGCTCATTTTTTGTTTGTTTGTTTTTGTTTTTTTTTTTTCTGATGAACTTTAAATCAGTCGTAACCCTCCCTGATAAGAAATTAAATTAGATTTGAGGATTAATAGTGGGAGAATTAAAATTTTGACCTATCTCACCAAGCGAGAGGGAGGCAAGCGGAGGGATGGTTTATCATAGCCTCGCCACCCAAGAGCAGAGAAGCCGCAGGAAGCTTTACCAGCTCCTGCCTGGGCCACACACAGGCCAAAATATGCTCCAATTTTTGAATCAATTTTTTGTTGTCTCTACTTTTTTAATGAGTTTTTCTCATTATAAAAGTATTTGTGTGTATATAGAAAATCTGGAAAATATAGCAGTAAAAGAACAGACAAAAATCACTATATTCCAACTACCTACAACCAACTACTGTCTCCACCAGGTGCAGCTTTTGTCTGTGCACATGTACCTCGATATTTTTTTCCTGTGTGTGTGGGCAGGTGGGCGGGGTCATACTGTTTTTGTAATTGGCTTTTCTCATTTAAGAAAACAATGAACATTCTTCTAAAATATTTTTATCACCTGTACAGTATATTGTTTCAATATCGTGATAAATATTTCTCAAAACTATGCTGCTCAGATGTTATATAACTCATATACCTGCTTGAAAATTTACAAATGTGTCTTCGAACAATCTACAGTCAAAAAGTGCACTCCCGATTTCTTCATAGTCTGGAGGGAGAGAAACATTTTCAATATTAAACAGTTTGTATAGGCAGAAACTCCTCCATTTATATATGTAATCCAAAACAGGGGAAAGGAAAGAGAGCAGTCATGTGCCATGGAACTTTAATGTTAGATGGCAACAGCAGCAGCAGCACTACAGGGAAGCTGTCAGAAATGTAATTCTTGGCATTTCTCTTTTTTCTTTTTTTTTTTTTTTTTTTTTTGAGACAGAATCTCACCCTGTTGCCCAGACTGGAGTGCAGTGGTGCGATCTTGGCTCACTGCAACCTCTGCCTCCTGGGTTCAAGCGATTCTCATGTCTCAGCCTCCCAAGTAGTTGGGATTGCAGGCGCGCACCGCCACGCCCGGCTAATTTTTGTATTTTTAGTAGAGACAGGGTTTTGCCATGTTGGCCAGGCTGGTCTCGAACTGCTGACCACAGATGATCCACTCACCTCGGGCTCCCAAAGTGCTGGGATTACAGGCGTGAGCCACCGCGCCTGGCCCCCAATTCTTGGTATTTGTACTGAATCAGAATCTCTGTGGGATAGGCCCAGCTATCTGTGTCCTCACCAGCCCTACAGGTGGTTCTCAGGCACACTGTTTGGGAAGTGCTTGGTCTAGAGGAAATAAATGAATAAAATAGTATAATAAATGAGCTTTTGGAAATGCTTACTATTTATTTCACTTTTTGGTTTTGCCCTATAGAAAATAATCCCATTCAAATAAACATTTTTTATATTGTTGCCTACAATATAAGCTGTCCAGCTTGTCCTTGTAAAATAACTATATTTATAATAAAGGTTTTAAACTCATGGGATATAAGTTATAAGAAAGCTAAGTAAGGCTGGGCACAGTGACTCACACCTGTAATCCCCGCACTTTGGGAGGCCAAGGCGGGCAGATCACATGAGATCAGGAGTTCAAGACCAGCCTGGCCAACATGGTGAAACTCCATCTCTACTAAAAATACAAAAATTAGCCGAGTGTGTTGGCACATGTCTGTAATCTTAGCTACTCTGGAGACTAAGGCAAGAGAATCACTTAAACCCTGGAGGCAGAGGTTGCAATGAGCTGAGATCATGCCACTGCACTTCAGCCTGGGAGAGAGAGCGAGACTCTGCCTCAAAAACAAACAAACAAAAAGCTAAGTAGCTATATACCTGCACATACAAATGGAACTTTGACTTCCCAAAGAGCCCTTAAGAAAGAAACTTCTTTAACAAAGTACATCTTTAAACCAAACATCAGTCAAAACATTAAAATTCCTTCTTCTATACTTTAAAGTTTGAGTTAACCTTATTTAAAAAAGGACACTTGGCTTATTAAGGAATAGAATTGGATTCCAAAATCAAAACTGTAACATAACACTGTTCTCAGATCTTAGCAACAGGAATGCAGGGCGGTGGCAGGGGAGCATATGTGACCGAATCAATCTCTGAATGGCACATTCTCTTAGTGGCCAACCTGTTAGACACCTCTGGAAAATGTACCACAACTCTCAGGGCATGAGGTTACTTTTGACTAAATTACTGAGTTTGTAAATTACCCACATCCTGTTGATTTATGAAGGATAGTAGATCTGGTCCAATTATTTTATTAAAGAATGAGGTAAAGGGCCAGGCATGGTGGCTCATGCCTGTAATCCAAGCACTTTGGGAGGCCGAGGTGGACGGATCACCTGAGGTCAGGAGTTCAAGACCAGCCTGGCCAACATGGTGAAACCTTGTCTCTACTAAAAATACAGAAAATTAGCCAGGCGTAGTGGCGTGTGCCTGAAATCCCAGCTACTCAGGAGGCTGAGACAGGAAAATCGCTTGAACTTGGGAGGCAGAGGCTGCAGTGAGGCAAGATCGCACCACTGCACTCTAGCCTGGGCAACAAGGGCGAAACTCCGTCTTAAAAAAAAAAAAAAGAATGAGGTAAAGGTAAAGAATGACAAGCTGGACAGCTTATATTGTAGGCAACAATATAAAAAATGTTTATTTGAATGGGATTATTTTCTATAGGGCAAAACCAAAAAGTGAAATAAATAGTAAGCATTTCCAAAAGCTGATAGAAGAAAAAAGTAGTATAGGAAGAAAATGGGCCTTTTTTTTTTTCTTGGGTTTGTTTTGTTTTAAATCTAGATCTGGGAGAAGTCTCTATACTTCGAAATATTGCTCTTCATCAGTACCTGATTCTGAAGTAGTCTCATCCATGAGTTTTTCTGGAATTGAATGAACTTTGTCTAATATTTCTTCAAGTAAGTAATTAAGAAGTCCTGCTTCCTTGCATTTCTTAAGAAAAGGAACTTTCACAGTTGCATCTAAGAATAAGACAAACATTTGAGAAGGAAATAGTCTTAGGGCAGCTAATCATAAATTACTTTATGCTTATTTCTTCAGACCTTGCCTAGTGGTGGATGCACATACTTAGTAAAATAATACAGCACCTTCACCCTTTTTATTAATTATAATTTCATCATACCTCATTTTTTTTGGCCAGCTGAAACAATGAATAAAATGTTACAAAAAGTAAAAATGAAAATTTCTCTGCTTACAATAACTATATGAATTAAGAGGCTTTTTTAAACATATAAAACTGTAACTTTTTAAATTTCAATACCTTTTGGGGAACAGGTGGTTTCAGGTTACATGGATAAGTTCTTCAGTGGTGATTTCTGAGATGTTGGTGCACCTGTCACCTGAGCAGTGTACACTGTACCCGATATGTAGTTGAATTAAGAGGATTTTTAAAAATTACCCTTAAGTCTTTGACATAACAGCCCCTGTCACTTCTTGTCACAGTTTGTATGTGTTGTTAGTGGAATGTCTATTTCTTTAAAGAACAGAGAACTACAGTTACAGGGGTCACAGTGTGAGGGGTGACACATTGCTGGATTCTGAGCTCAGGCAAGCCTGTCTGTGTCTTTATTAATAGAAGTCTATCTTTTCTTAATACTGAATGCAATGGACCATTCCAACCTAAGTTATCTTGATATGCTGGGATTACAATAGAGTGGACAGTTGCGATAAAGATTTATACTCATTAATTACCACAAGCCTAGAAGAATAAAGATTTAGGCGGGATACCAAGTTTGAAACAGGTGGGTTGACATTTTTATAAGTATTGTAGGCCATATTTGTTACAGACAACACTTAGCGCAAACCTGTGTGTCTGCCATGCTCTTCTTTCACTTGTCTTATGAATGTATTACATTTCATTGTTTCGGGTGGCTAGGAGAGAAAATCAAGATTGCATTACATTGATTTTAATATTGCATAAAATGAAAACCAGTCTTTTGCTGTGCATAACTAAATGATATGCCTACAGTAAAAATCATGCCCTGGCTGGGCGCGGTGTCTCACGCCTGTAATCTCAGCACTTTGGGAGGGCAAGATGGGCAGATCACAAGGTCAGGAGTTCGAGACCAGCCTGGACAACAGGGTGAAACCTTGTTGCTACTAAAAATACAAAAATTAGCCAGGCGTGGTGGTGCATGCCTGTAATCCCAGCTACTCAGGAGGCTGGGGCAGGAGAATCACTTGAATCCAGGAGGCAGAGGTTGCAGTGAGCTTAGATCACACCATTGCACTCCATCCTGGGTGACAGAGAGAGACTCTGTCTCAAAAAAAAAAAAAAACAAAAAAACCCCATATTCATATTTAGATGTAAACATCAAATATATTTTTGTTTTGTATTATAAAACATTAAGAGGTGTTTGACAAGCACCCCTTGTATAAACAGGAGGAGGTGAAGGTTGCTGGCGCATATGAATTTAGCTTATATGTGCTGATGTGTAAAAACTCAAATCCCCAAAATATTTTCATACATTTTATACATAATCCAGAAATTTATAAGAGCTACAGATTTGGTCAGGTGTGGGTCATGCAGCTGGGAAATACTTGGCTCCATAAGGATGTTTGACTGCACCCTCTGCCCGTTTTAACTGTAAGCACCTGTGGGGTCAGATGCTCTCACTAGTTTGGTGCCAGGGAATTTATAGGAGCTCGGAGAATGTCACCTCCTGAAGGTTATGTGCTTGGAACTTCCAGCTTCATTTTCATGCTCATCTCATCATGATTCTATCATCTAGGAATTATCTAAGAGCTTCCCGACTATGGGATTCTTCCTAAAAAGGCAACCTCAGGAGCAGCCTTAGCTGAGAACACAAATGAAGAATGTTCTTCAAAGGCTCTCTGTTTGGACGATTTGGAAAGTACCTTTCACCTGACATTCAGACTGGTTTAAATAAGGACTCTGTATGAAGAAATGCAAAGCTATAAAAACTAAGTCAAATTACCTGTACATGATTGCCTGAGAGGGGTTTCTTCCTTCCTCTTTTTCTTTTCACTCCTGAAAATTTAGCTAAAAATATAAACCATTTAAAAATTGGAATCCATAAAGGAAAAGATTACTGTTTGACTACATGAAATATACAACTCATATGCCAAAAGTTTTTACAAAGTCAAAAGATATGGCAAACTTCAACTAAGTGTTTGCAGCACTTATGATAAAGGGTTAATTTTTAAAAAAGATATTATAAGTTTAATGCAAAACAGGTAAATAATTGAGTAGAAAAATTGGCACATGGGGAACTCTCTGGGGAGAGGGTTCATTGAATAGAAAAATGAACAAATTGGGTCATAGGAAAACAAATATAATTGGTGAAAAGATATGGGAATGCACTCAATTTCACTCAGAAGATATTCAAAGTAAAACAGACTAATAAGGATGAAGATATTTAATAGATGACATTTGCAAGGATTTGGTTAAGTGTGTATTGCTGGTGCTTTTCCCTGTCAATAAACACTGATTTAAAGAAGTATCTGTAATAGCCTTTCCTGCTGAGTTAAAAGGGTAACGACTGAAAAATGATTGTAGAGGTGCTATTTGGAGAATGTTATCACCATAAAATGCAGTTGGCATGACGCAGAACGAAGTCTTCCAACGAGGTCCTGACTCCACTTCACAATGAACATTGCAGATGTAGTGCTGCTAAGACACTGCTGTTCCACTCATGAATGAAAGTATACCCCATGACTCCAGTTAGCCAGGATCCAGTCTGCCTTAATTAGAACTGAAATGCTAACCATGCATCCTTAGGGAATTTTCACTCAGGGAAGGTGCAGCACTTTTAAAATTTTATCTACTGAAAATTCTTATGGAAGAGAAGCAGTCCCAAAAGTCAAGGCTTTTTCCCATGTCTTAGTTTGGTTCTGTGAGCGTAGGGAGAATGAAAGATACCAGGGAATGGTTCAAAGAGAATAGGTCTTGTTCATAAAGAAGAAAAAATTAGTCAGTCATATCACATAGTACACAAAGAAGTTGTCAATTTTCTAGATGTGTAAAATTTTAACTCAAACATTTGTATTTTAATTCAACGAGGCTAGAAAATTAGACTATTCCTTATGTTACATAAATGTTTACCTTTCTTTAAAACCCACAGTGCTAAATTTTAGAAACTTACCACTTTGAGCGATGATCGGGAATTGAGCATGTTGCTGGCAAAGCAGTCTGAAATATTTAATTTCAAAGAATTGTAAAATATTTTTATTTACAGGTTTCAAATATTATGTCTATTTTTGTGATTAAAAACGTACCAACCTACTTTTCATGACGGCGTCACACTAAAGTTTTTTTTTTTGAAGCCCTGTGTAAAATTAGTGACCCACACTGAGTGCAGATGGAGACTCAGTTAGATGTCTTTTATGCCCTCAGGGACTTAGGAAGATGATTATGTTCTTTCAAGGAATGAGTACTGATGAAGTATTATGAACAATACTAGTTCATATACAGTGGTCAGTGAGATTTTACTGTATAAAGATACCTAAAGATCCACAATCTAAGACATGCAGATTTCCATCTGACTGTACAAGATTCTGCTGGTTTTCAACAATAAATAGCACAAAATTGCAAGCATTAATTTAAGGAAAAAGTCATTTTCGATGAAAACAGGTATTTGCCCCAGATCTTAGATTTGACCTACAAAGGGCCTAGAACTGATTAGTATCTTCCAAGAGAAAGCAGCAGCATAGCAGGCTATGATGAAGAAATGAAGTGAGGCCGGGCACGGTGGCTCATGCCTGTAATCCCAGCATTTTGGGAGGCCGAGGCGGGCAGATCACGAGGTCAAGAGATGGAGACCCTCCTGGCCAACATGGTGAAACCCCGCCTCTACTAAAAATACAAAAATTAGCTGGGCATGGTGGCACGTGCCTGTAGACCCAGCTACTCAGGAGGCTGAGGCAGGAGAATCGCTTGAACCCAGGAGGCTGGAAGTTGCAGTGAGCTGAGATCGCACCATTGCAGTCCAGCCTGGGCCACAGAGCAAGACTCTGTCTTAAAACAAAACAAAACAAAAGAAATGAAGTGAATCGTTTTATAGAGCTGCTCAGGCCACTTTCTAACCTTTCCTCCTCCTCGGCACCCAGCTTCATCTCCCTTCCTCTTCAGATGGCGCTGACTCTCAGGAAGCAGTGGCCTCCTTGCCTAGGGGAATACCGTTTCTTCCCATCTTATACCAGTTCCCACCTCCTCCATGCAGTCTTCCCAGCAACACCCAAACAAAGTTAATCTCATCCCACTTTGATTCTGGTATCTCTGAGCACTTTCACTTCCCAAGTACTTAAATTTTTTCAAACATATAAAACAGTGTTGAAAATATCAGGATGAACCCCCATGTCCCCATCCATTCCACAGTGTCAACAATTCTCAAGGCCAAGCTCCTTTCATGTAACCCCTCCTGCTCTCGTTATCCCATGTGCTTCTGTTTGCATTGACCCTTCTTCTGGCCTTCCCACCAGGTGATAACTTCTCTGAGGTTCAATCTATATTTTATTCTTTGTATCTCGTAGCACCTAGCAAGGTGCCTCATGTATGATAGGCATGAAGGTTTAAATTCAGTTTAAAAATGCGTAAAAATTCACCTGTTCCTTGATAAAACAATGCAAGAAGACTGTTTTATTGAGTCCCTATTTGTTAGTTCTTCTAATGGGTGTGATCAGTATATTTTTTCAAACTTTAAGCTATAGCAGGGACATTCCTTTTCATTTGATCTTGTGTTTAAGGTCATTGTAAAGGTCATACTAAAACGAGCTCTTTGGTAAGGTAAATAATAAAAATGAAACTCTGAGACTATAACAACCTGTGAGTTTCTTAGTGAATCAAATATAAAAAGAAGTGCAGTACGAAATTTACATATTTACACATTTCATGTCTGATTAGCAACAAAATACTTACGGAACTTGCTCGAAATCAGATTTAAAATTATTTAGCCCGGGCGCGGTGGCTCACGCCTGTAATCCCAGCACTTTGGGAGGCCGAGGCGGGCGGATCACGAGGTCAGGAGATTGAGACCATCCTGGCTAACACGGTGAAACCCCGTCTCTACTAAAAATACAAAAAATTAGCCGGGCGTGGTAGCGGGCGCCTGTAGTCCCAGCTACTCGGGAGGCTGAGGCAGGAGAATGGCGTGAACCCGGGAGGCGGAGCTTGCAGTGAGCCGAGATCGCGCCACTGCACTCCAGCCTGGGCGACAGAGCGAGACTCTGTCTCAAAAAAAAAAAAAAAAAAATTATTTAGCAAGCTTCTTTCAATGGTAGGCTTGCCCTCTTGTTTTAGAATATATAGTCCCCATACCTGAAGACAACAAGGTGGCAAAGAGCGAGGACTTGGAAGTCCTGCAGCCCAGCTCTGCCACTGACCAGCTGTGTAACCTGGGGACAAGTCACTGAGTGTCTCAAGGCCCCAGTTTCCTCCTCTGGAAAATGGAGATAATAGTATCTACCTCAGTTGACTATTATGAGGATTAAATGAGTTAACATTTGTAAAGCACTTAGAACTATGCCTGGCATAAAGCAAGTGGTTATTAAATAAATAAATAAAATAGTGCCTGGAACACTATGGGAAAATTAGGAATATATGCCCACTGGCAGGAAAAACATCAGCCTCTGAATGGAATTTTTAAAAATCATCTTACGAATGTAACATAGCTCACAAAAATCATATTTAAAAAAACATGCTGTCCTAACATTGATCTCATTATTCAAGATATTGTGACTAAAATAATATATATATATATATAGATTTTTCACTGAAATTCAAAATTCACATAACCCCTGTGCATCCCCCAAACTGGCTTTGTTCTCATTTGAAAACCATTTACATAAAATTAGTCTTCAAAGTCTCCTTGTCTTAATCCAACCATTCCTTATCCCAATCCCCCAAATGTGGTTTTAAAAATGTTTTATTAAATACTTATAAATTCCTCGAACTCCATCAGACTGTGGAACTGCGTCGTCCTTCTTGGCACAGAAAAAGTGGTAATTCTTGTTACAGTTTTTTAAATCACATCCCACGGTGGCTCCTCTTTTATGACAAAATTTGCATTTCTACAGAAGAATAGATTTTACTGAGTAAGTACCTGTTTGTTGTTATTTGTTAAAATTCAAAGATATCATTAAATGTTATTTAAGTTCCAGAAGCCCTGCATTTTATCCTGGGCATCATCAGCAAGATTCCATCCCGTTACAAACATTAGGGTACAGTACTTATATTTGGCTGCTCATTTGGGAATTTCAGCGAAACCTCAGCTAACCGGAATGCTTGGACAGACAGTTTTGTAATGATCTGATTAAAAGCAGAAAAATGCTTTTTGTTTCAAAAAAACAGTCTCTGTCTTTTAAAAAGAATTTTCTAAAAAGCAGAGTGGGCAAACTTGTCCAGCTCCAGGCAAGGGGCCCCACTAGGGGGCCCTTTGAGACAGGCGAGATTGGTCGCTGGCTGTGCCACGGAGAGTGGTGTGATTTCTCTTTCGGACTCAGAACCTGCTGTGGGTGATAATATCTGTCTTACAGAGTTGCCATTGAGGATAATGTGAGATAAAGTAAGGGAATCTAGGTAGTAGGGCCAAAAATTTTTAAAAATTCTACAACTCTATTAACAGTTTTTTCTTGGTTCAATTTATTTGATCCCTGGCTTGTATTTATCTATCTGGTATTTTATATGTGACAGTGGTGTCATGATGGCTAGGCAGTGTGTGGCCACAGCAGCCTAACTGGTTTAGGGGAATCCAGCCAGGACCAAGGCTGATCAGCATGATACTCTGGCTGAATGACGTGGGGGCACAGTGAAATTGCCTTGCAGAACAGGAGGTCACTCACACCATAGCCCAGGGTCGGCACAAGCAAGCATAGAAACAGTTAAAGGAAATTCAAATATAGGCAAGAAATAAGGTTATGATAACGGTGGAAATTCAAATCAGAGCATACAAGAACGATCATTTAATTTGGGAGGAGGGTAACTGGCTATGTATATAGGAAAAAAATAAAGTTAGATCCCTACCTCACAATATACTCCTGAATAAGTTGTACATGGATTAAAGCTCGAACCAGATAACAATGTTAAACAAAAAACTCTTAAAGATTAGGAAATATAGGAGAAAGAAAAAAAGCGTAGTATGGAGGCAAGGAAGGCTGTCTAAGGCAGGAAGAAAACCCAGAAGCCACAAATGAAAACTCTGACAGGCTGGGCATGGTGGCCCATGCCTGTAATCCTAGTACTTTGGGAGGCTGAGGCAGGAGGATTGCTTGAGCCCAGGAGTTCGAGACCAGCTTGAGCAACACAGTGAGACCTCATCTCTACAAAAAACTTTAAAAATCAGCGGGGCATAGTGGCACACTCCTGTAGTCCCAGCTATTTGGGAGGCTGAAGCCAGAAGATGGCTTGGGGCCAGGAAATCAAGGCTGCGGTGAGCTGTGATTGCACTCCAGCCTGGGCGACAGACGGAGAATCTGTTTCAAAAACAAAAACTGACAGAACCTACTATACAAAAATTTTAAACTTCCATTTTATAGTGAGGGCATTCAAAATATTTAAAAGACAAGGAAAAGATTGAAAGAAGAATGTTTGTAGCATACTAGATAAAGTTTTAAGATTCTGATAACCTGCAGAAAAATGGTAACTGGCAAATTACAGAAGAAAAAATACAAATGGCTAATAAACATTTATTCATTTAAAAATACATGAGTATATAGTATTTATTTAGCATGCAGTAGCTATGATGTGGCAGGCATGGTTTTAGGATAAGGGAAAACAGTAGTGGACAAAGCAGAAAAGATGCCTGTCCACGTGAAGCTTACATTCTATTGGAGACAAGGTACAATGATCAAATAAAGCAAAGTTTAAAACGTCTCACAAAGTTATATACACATTATATCGAATTAAAATAGGGTGAAGTGACAGTGTCACTGGGTCCCTACTTCAGACTGGGCAGTTAGTAAAATGGGTCACCTCTAAGGAGGTGATATGGAAGCTGAGATCTGAATAATAGTAAGAGCTCCCAGATGCAAAAAGGAGGAGGAAAGACATTCTAAGCAGAGGGCCTTGGGTCTTGGCCGCAAGAATGAGCTTCCCCATTGGCAAGCTACAGCGAGGACAAGACAGATGGCCAGTGCTGTTGGAGCAGCGAAGTGGGCACAGGGAAGTCTCAGGATGATCAAAGGGGTAAGTAAGGGCTGGGTCACGTAGGACTTACATGCCAGAGTAAGGAGTTGGGTTTTATCTTTCTGCACGGGGAACATAAACTGATTAACATTATTGAAAGATCACTCAGGCTGCTGGGCTGCTGCTGGGTGGAGAACTACGGGCTGGGGTAGGGATGGCAGGAGAGACAGTCGGGCGAGTGTCAGTACTCGCTTTAGAGAACAAGATGGGTGACTCCGCTATGGTGGATTACTGACGCTGAGAGAAGTGGGTGGATGAATGCAAGATGCACCTAGGAGTTCGTGCCCATGGGCTTGGTGTTGGGCTGGGAGGTTGACGAGGAAAAGAGAGTCCTTAGACTTCTGGCTTGGGCAAATGGATAATGATAGTGCTGTTTTTATGAGCAGATTTAGATGGAGAATGTGTGTGTGTGTGTGTGTGTGTGTGTGTGTGTGTGTGTGTGTGTGTGTATAGGAGATGGAACTGTACTTTTTTGGCCACTTTACTCTGAAATGCTATTGGATGTCCATGTGGCTCTGTCAGATTGGTAGTCTGAATCCTAGGGAGGAGCCTGCTTGCTGAGGGCCCCTGCTGCTCACCCTCAAGGTACTTGCCCAGCTTACTGAAAATACCACAGCACTGGCCTGTCCCCACCCTGGGTGTGTGCCATGTATCTGCCCACATAGTCCAAGAGTTCCATAAATGCTGTGAGAGGGTAACTATTACCTCAGGTGACTTTCCTCTCTTCTCTCCTTTATCCTCCACTTCCAACCCATCCCAAAGCCTTCCCAGTAGGGAAGTCTGCATCCCAAGGTCCGCAGAAACCCTCAGGTACCTGCTTTCCCCCAAATATTATGCCTCCAATCAACTGCCCTCATTTCTCAGCCTGGGTCTCTTCATAACTGGATGGCTACTAGAATTTCACAGAGATTTCTTTAACTCTGTGTCTCCCCACTCAAATCCAATTAGTGAAGAGCAAAAAAATATTCCAGTTGAGGTCTGTCTGCTACTTTCTAATCAGTTCACCCATCTCATCACACCCAAAATCCTAGGGATGTGGCATTGTCAGCACTAATGATGTCAGCAGCCAGTCTTGCCAAGTATTAATTAGTAATAGCATAGACATTGAGAGCAGGATCCACACACTCTTTTTTTTTTTTTTTAATTTGAGACAGAGTCTCACTCTGTTGCCCAGGCTGGAGTACAGTGGTGTGATCACAGCTCACTGCAGCCTCGACTTTCCAGGCTCACCCAATCCTCCTACCTCAGCCTCCCAAGTAGCTGGGACTACAGGTATATGCCACTGTGTCGGGCTAATTTTTTTTTCTTTTTTGGTAAAGACAGGGTCCCACTATATTGCCCAGGTTGGTCTCAAATTCCTGGGCTCAAGCAGTCCTCAACTGCCTTGGCTTCCCAAAGTGCTGGGATTAGAGGCATGCAGCACCATGCCCGGGCCACACACAGTCCATTTTTATGGCTTGCTTCAGGACCTACTACAGTATTGTGTACACTGCCTAAGATAGCATAATTTGCAGAATTCCATCTGGACTGTTGCCTTTCACCCTGCACTTTCCATTTCTTCGATTAAAATGGGCATCATTTTACCTATAGCTGGGAGTTTACCTAGAGCAATGTATGTAACACACCTACCACAGGATGCTGCTGATGCTGATGCCTTGCAAAGACTAACTATACATTTGTCCCTGGTTATTAACCCTGTGGTTGTAGTCAGAATGTGAGGTGCTCACACTTGCTGTCCTGCTTGCTAAGATGTGAAGGGTCCTTGAGAGGATGTCGCTGCAATAAGCCCAGTGGAATGACTTCTCAGCATTTCTTCCTCCTTGAATAGCCCCCTTATGACCCATGAGGAGCTGACCCCTGATTAGTTATGGCCACCCCCAGCAGTTGGTGCAGAAAGAGGGGTGCAACCTAATGAAACTTTCAGAAGGGGGCTTATTCCATGTGTATGGATGACCTTTGTCTTTCACTGGGTATGAACAAGAAAGCCTGATGCTTCAGTTGCTGCCTGCGGCCACCCTATGACCACAATGGGACCAGCTGATGTTGGGGACAGGAGGCCAGAGAGGAAGAACCTGGGCCCCTGATGACATTATCAAGCCACTCAATCAACCAACTTGGAAAGCAGGTGTTTTCTCTGATCAAGTGAAAAAGTAAGTATCCTCTTTGTAAA
Source organism: Homo sapiens (assembly GCF_000001405.40). Classification (NCBI taxonomy): domain Eukaryota; kingdom Metazoa; phylum Chordata; class Mammalia; order Primates; family Hominidae; genus Homo; species Homo sapiens. Next base: position 49,513,734 of record NC_000013.11, on the reverse strand, counting down.
AGTCTGTTTGACTTGAGCTTTCTTCTACTTACAGCAAAAGCATTCTAACTCAGATCACTTTACTGGTGAAGTATATGGTAGTTTATTTTAAAATATTAAATGTTGGCCGGGCGTGGTGGCTCACACCTGTAATCCCAGCACTTTGGGAAGCCAAGGCAGGCAGATCACCTGAGGTCAGGAGTTCGCGACCAGCCTGGCCAACATGGTGAAACCCTGTCTCTACTAAAAATACAAAAATTTGCCGAGCATGGTGGCCCGTGCCTGTAATCCTAGCTACTCGGGAGGCTGAGGCAGGAGAATCGCTTGAACCCAGGAGGCGGAGGTTGCAGTGAGCTGAGACCGTGTCACTGCACTCTAGCCTGGGCAACAAGAGCAAAACTCCGTCTCAAAAAAAAAAAAAAAAAAATTAAATGTTAAGTTGAATTGAGGTTTCCAATACAGTTCCTACTTCTTCCAGCTCTCCAAGATGCTTCTCTATCCCTGGTGTATCAGTCAAATAGACTCCTTTGGAATGCATTCCTTGAGGGTCTGTTCATCCAGTATAAGAAATAACATCATTTACACTTACCAACTTCCTTCCTCTCTGGATTTCTTTCTTTACTGATTCCACATCAAAACTTCTATCAGGATTAAGTGGATCCTGATCCTCACATTCCACAAGTCCTGAAGAATACAGCTGCAGATTGGAAAAAAAAATCCAGAGTATGCACAAAGTAATATTGAAAGCTACATGTCAGAAAATCATACCAAAAGTGGAAAATCAAACCAGGAGTGGGAAATGGACTGGGGGTAAAACAGTGGCAACTTTGGGGGTGGATGAGCAGACCATAAGCCATCCCATTTCTCTGGGAATGACCCTGGTTTCCGGGCATGTTTTATACTTTGTAATCCTGACCTCTAATAACTCATTGACCTGGGTGGAACCCTGATGCCAAGCTGGGTCAGTCTGATCCCCTATCCTAAAAGTGTGGAATGGGCTTTGAGCAATAGCTGAAGCCACGTGGTTAGAGCAAGTCAGTCTGCAAAGAAAGAAAAACAAGGGCTAGAAAGAGGACATTCTAGGTTCCCAATGGCTTTCTAGCTGTTTCTTACACCCACCTGCATGCCTGCCTTTAGGAAACATGAAATGCCCCCAAAACCTTATCATAAACCCTCTTTTATGTTTAGGCTGGCTCAAGTCTCTATGTGCTACTTGAAACCAGAAGACTCCAAATCTGAATTGAAGATCAATGTTTCACATATTACACTCAAATAACAAAAGGGCATGAGAAACATAAGAGTAAATTTTGGTGACATTGGCATAGGCGAAGATTTCTTATAAAAATCAGAAAGCATAAAGAAAAAGTAAGTTGGATTCCATCAAAATAAAAATTGTCTTTGAAAGACATTGCTAAGAAAACAAAGAGGCAAGCCAGAGACTGGGAGAAAATATTCACAATACATATCTCTGACAAAAGACTTGTATCCAGATTTTAGAAAACACTTACAACTCAATAATAAGACAATTCAATTAAAAGTGGGCACAAAATTTGAATAGACACTTCATGAAAGAAGGTTTATGAATGGCAAATGAGCACATGAGAAGATGCTCAATATCATTAACCCTTAGGCATATTAAAGCCATAGTGAGATGCAATATATATCTACTAGACTGCCTAAAATAACAAGACCCAGTGTTGATGAGGATGTGGAGCAAATGAAATTCTTACATATTATTGGTAGAAATGTAAAATAATGCAATCACTTTTAAGGTTAAACATACACTAACTTTATGACTCAGTAATTCTACTTCTAGCTATTTACCCAAGACAAACATAACCAAACAAGAAAAGGAGACTGAGTGCCCCAAATTAAAATTGTCCTTATTTAAAGATGAGGATTGTCCACATACAATATATCCAGGTAAATCTAGAGACTTTTTAGAACTGATAAGAGTTTGGTAAGGTTGCTGGATGAGACCAATAAATAAAAATCAATAGTGTTCATATATACTGATAATAGCTCATTTAAAAATACTTTAGAAAAAAGTAACAAAACAAAACAAAAAACAAGCCCAGAATATGCCTAACCCCAAGTTCTATACCTCTACAGATAAAAATTACTGAATAGCCGGGTGCGGTGGCTCACGCCTGTAATCCCAACACTTTGGGAGACCAAGGCAGGTGGATCACCTGAGGTCAGGAGATCGAGACCAGTCAGGCCAACATGGTGAAACCCCATCCCTACTAAAAATACAAAAAATTAGCTGGGCATGGTGGCAGGTGCCTGTAATCCCAGCTACTCGCGAGGCTGAGGCAGGAGAACTGCTTGAACCTGTGAGGCGGAGGGTGCAGTGAGCCGAGATCGCGCCATCACACTCCAGCCTGGGCAAAAAAAGCGAAACTCCGTCTCAAAAAAAAAAAAAAAAGCCATTGAACAATTTTGAAATTATGAAAGGCCTAAATAAAGACACAAAGACTCATATACAGATGCTTATAGCTGATTTTTATCATAAGAGCTCCAAACTGGAAATAACACATGTCTACCAACAGATGAATGAATAAGCAAATTGTGATACATGCATACCAATTAAGTACTGTGAAGAATGATAAAGGAACAAGATACAGATACATGCAACATAGATGCATCTAAAACAGTATGCTGAGCAAAGGAAGTGACACAAAGGAGGACAACTATAGGATTCCTTTCATATGAAATCTGAGAAAAGATAAGACAAATCTACAGGGACTTGGGGTAGGAAGGAATTGATTGCACAGAACATTGAGGAAACCCTTTGGGGTAATGGAAATGTTTATATCTTGATGGTGGTAGTGGTTGCATGGGTCTCAACATGTCTCAAAACTTTCTGAATTGGACACTTAAAATGGGTACATTTGATTTTATGTAAATTATGCCAATAAAGTTAACTAAAAAATAGTAGCAAATCAACATCAACAGTATATTAGAATAAAAACATCACGATTGGGCTGGGAGCGGTAGCTCACGCCTCTAATCCCAACACTTTGGGAGGCTGAGACAGGAGAATCACTTGAGGCCAGGAGTTCGAGATGAGCCTGAGCAACATAGTGGGACCCCCATTTCTACAAAAAGATAAATAAAAAATTAGCTGGGTATGGTGGTACGTGCTTGTAGTCCAAGCTGAGGTGGGAGAATTGCTTAAGCCCAGGAGTTCAAGGCTGCAGTGAGCTATGATTATGCCACTCCATTCCAGCCTGGGGAGACCTTGTCTCAAATAAATAAGTAAAAATAAAACATCACCATTAAATGGTGTTAATCTAAGAATGGTTTCACAGCAGAAAAAATATATAAGTAAAACACACATTACTAACAGAATAAAATGAAAAAACTTAAGACATGATAACCAAATGCAACCCATGAGCTAAAATCTTTTGTTATAAAAAATGTTATTAGGCCAGGTATGGTGGCTCACACCTGTAATTCCAGCATTTGGGAGGCTGAGGTGGGAGGATTGCTTGAGCCCAGGGGTTGGATACCAACCTGGGCAACATGGCAAAACCCCATCTCTACAAAAAGTACAAAACATTAGCTGGGCACAGTGGCACATGCCTATAGTCCCAGCTACTCTGGAGGCTGAGATGGGAGAATCACTTGAGCCCAGGAGGTCAAAGTTGCAGTGAGGCATGATGGTGCCACTGCACTCTAGCCCTGGGCAACAGAGTGAGACCTTGTCTCAAAAAAAAAGCACACACACACACACACACGTTATTAGTACAACAGGTGAAACCTCAGTGGTTTGAGGAATAGACGGTAGTAGTATAACAAAATTTCCTGATTTTGACGTTTATATTGTTATAGTGTGAGAGAGAATGTCCTTGTGTATTAGTCAGTTCTCACACTGCTAATAAAGACATACGCAAGACTGGGTAATTTATAAAGAAAAAGAGGTTTAATGGACTCACAATTCCACATGGCTGGAGAGGCCTCACAATCACGGAAGAAGGTAAGGGGGAGCAAAGTCATGTTTTACATGGCAGCAGGCAAGAGAGATTTTTGGGGAACTCCTCTTTATAAAACCATCAGATTTCATGAGATTTATTCACTATCACTATCATGTGAATGGCCTGGGAAAAACCTGCTCCCATGATTCACTTATCTCCACCTGGCTCCACCCTTGACACGTGGGGATTATTACAATTCAAGGTGAGATTTGGGTGGGGACACAGCCAAAGCATATCACCTTATTTGTAGAAAATACATACTAAAGGCTGGGCACAGTGACTCATGCCTGTAATCCCAGAACTTTGGGAGGCTGAGGTGGGTGGATCACGAGGTCAAGAGATCAAGACCATCTTGGCTAACACGTGAAACCCCATCTCTACCACAAATACAAAAAATTAGCTGGGCGTGGTGGCATGTGCCTGTAATCCCAGCTACTTGGGAGGCTGAGGCAGGAGAATCGCTTGAACCTGGGAAGTGGAGGTTGCAGTGAGCCAAGATCACACCATTGCACTCCAGCCTGGGGCGACAGAGCAAGACTCTGTCTCAAAAAAAAAAAAAAATCATACTAAAGTATTCAGGATAGATTGCATATCATTTAATTTAAAATGGTTCTGACCAAAAAAAGTTCTTTGTACTGTATATGCAACTTTTCCATAAATTTGTAATTTAAAATAAACATCAAATTATGTATATAAAAAAGTGAAATAAAATAAAGCATTTAGCACTGTTTGTGGCCAGAGAGAGAAAAAGAACCCGGATCATTTCAATAGATGCAGAACAAGCATTTAGTAATATTCAATACGCTATAATTTTTAGCAAATTAGAGATAAAGGTAACTTCCTTATTTTAATTAAATGAAATCATTAAGAATGTAAAACATACACAAATTTAATGATAAGATTTTTGGAGCATCCCATTAATATCAGAAGCAAGACAGGGCTTCCAAATTTAATTGCTTGTAATCACCGCTATAATTGAATGTTCTGGAAAAACACAAGAAAAAGAGATTAAGAGTCCCCCGAATTAAAGGTAAGTAAATAAAATTGTTCTTATTTAAAGATGAGGATTGTCCACATACAATATATCCAGGTAAATCTAGAGAAGTTTTAGAACTAATAAGACTTTGGTAAGGTTGCTGGATGAGATCAATAAATAAAAATAAATAGTGTTTATATATACTGATAATAGTTCATTTAAAAAGCTTTTAGAAAAAAGTAACAAAACAAAACAAAACAAAAAACTTGCCCAGGAATATGCCCAACCCCAAGTTCTATATGACTACAGATAAAAATTATTTAACAGTTTTGAAATTTATAAAAGACCTAAATAATTGGAGAGACAGACTCTGTTAATGGATGGGAAAAAAAAGACACATTCATATATTATAATATATAATATAGTAATATATTATATATGAATATATGAATATAGTAATATATGAATATAGTAATATATTATATAAAATGCATATTATTTATATTTATATAATATATAATTAATATATTAATACATAACACATTAATAATATATTAATACATAACACAATAATATATTAATACATAACACATTAATAATATATTAATACATACTGCATTAATAATATATTAATACATATAATATATGAATGCATCTTTTTCCCATCCATTAACAGGTTTTGTCTCTCTAATTATTTATATTAATTATTTATAATATATTATAATATATGAATGTGTCTATTTTTTTCCCAAATTCATCTATAAATGCAATGCAATTCCAATCAAAATTCCAAAAGGTATTTTGGTCAAACATGAAAAGCTGATCCACAAATTCAAAGTGCCAAAATAAAAGCCAAGGCTAGTAATAAAGCCATAGTGCAGTCGTCCCTCAGTGTCTGCAGGGGATTGGTTCCAGGAACCCCCAAGGCTACCAAAATCCGTGAATGCTCAGTTCCCTTATCTAAAAGGCATAGCATTTTCATATAACCTACACACATCCTCCTGTATAGTACCCATAAACCATTCTGTTTTTCACTTTCTATACAGTATTCAATAAATTTTATGAGATATTCAAGACTTTGTTATAAAACAGGCATTGCATTAGATGATGTGCCCAACTGTGGGCTAACGTAAGTGTCCTGAACATGTTTAAGGTGAGCTAGACTAAGCTATGATGTTTGGTAAGTTAGGTGTATTAAATGGTACAATCTCTTTGAAGAACAATTTGGTGTATTTAGTCAAGTACAAAACACCCCATTCCTGTGCCTAACAATTCTGCTCTTAGCTGTATAGCCTAGACTAGGGAAATTCTCACATGAGAAGGAGACCTAGACAAGAATGTTCATGACGACTTGTTAGTCATAGAAAACAATACTGGAAAAACTAAATGCCCATTCACAGAACAGTTAATGGTAATATAGTCATGAAATCGAACATCATATTTAAAATGAAGGACTTAGAGCTATGTTTACCAACATGGATAAATCTCAGAATTCTGTAGACTTTGATAGAAATTATACCTGGGTAGAAGGTCTATCAGTGTCTGTTATATTTTAAATCTGAAACAGTTCAAAGTCAGAAAAATATGCTCCCCAGGCCCGGGCGTGGTGGCTCACACCTGTAATCCCAGCACTTTGGGAGGCCGAGGTGGGCAGATCACGAGGTCAGGAGATCGAGATCATCCTGGCTAACACGGTGAAACCCCATCTCTACTAAAAATACAAAAAAAATTAGCCTGGCATGGTGGCGGGCACCTGTAGTCCCAGCTACTCGGGAGGCTGAGGCAGGAGAATGGCGTGAACCCGGGAAGCGGAGCTTGCAGTGATTCAAGATTGCGCCACCACACTCCAGCCTGGGTGACAGAGTGAAACTCCGTCTCAAAAAAAAAAAAAAAAAAAAAAAGAAATGCTCCCCAATCTTCACCTAAAAGCTCAAACCATGGCCAACTTGTTATTCTTTGTGTCCAAAGTGTTGTTTATCTATTCTTATGTGTCCTACACTAAAAGTACTCATGTACTTTGAAGTATGTTTTCAAGTAACTTACCAAACAATTCTCATGAGCAGCTATATTCTCTGATTGTGCAAAGTATAGGACATTATATTCGACATCTTTGGGGCAGAGTGCACATGTCCTTTTTTCCATCTTTTCTGCAACCTGAAAGACACCTATAAGTAATATCCCTGGTGAGAAATGGAAAAGTGGAATTTCTTGGTCTCACTAACTCCTCTTCCAGTCTTCAAGTGGAAGGCAGGGCACTTGTTTTTATGAGAGAGTCTTAATTCCCAGAGAGACAAAATATTGGGGACCCAAGTGAAAAAGCTATTTATTTTTTATTTTTTACTATGCTAATAGAAGAAAAGAATTAATGAGTTCACTTCTAAATGCCTAATAATGAGGATAACTTCTTCTTTTTAAAATGTAGAGACAAGAGGCTTGTTCAGTTGACCAGGCTGGAGTGCAGTGGCTCACTGCAGCCTTGAACTCCCAACCTCAAGTGGTCCTCTCAAGTCACTGGGACTATAGGTGCATGCCACCAAAGCCAGCTAATTTTTTTTTTTTTTTTTTTAGAGACCGGGGTCTTGCTACCTTGCCAAGGCTGTTCTCAAGCTCCTGGCCTCAAGTGATCCTTCTGCCTTGGCATTTTCAAAGTGCTGGGATTACAGGCACGAGCTACTGTGCCTGGCCAAAATGAGGAAGACCTTTATTCAAGAAACACAACCAGGAATTTAAATACAGGCAAACCTCTCAAAACACTGCTTTGCCCATAGCAAGCTCTCAATAATAATCATTATTGTCACTACAAATGAAGAAGAAAACAATGGCATATTAAGAAATAGTGCTCTGGTTAATTATCTATTTAAAAAGTTAGAATCCTAATGCCATACTGTATTCAAAAATAAATTCTATGAGAATTAAAGACATAAATGAGCAATGTACTTTAAGTGTGCTTTAATTCAATATCATGATTAGGAAAGATACATGAAGGTAGGAAGTAGATTTTTTTTTTAAGGCGAAGAATGGAAAAAAGGAAAGAAATCTAAGGGAAGAAGAGGTAGGAAGAAAAGGCAAGAGGCAGAGAGAGGGAGAAGAAAGCCAGCTGTTGAGATCTCCACCCATGTGTCAGTAAGAGGCAAAGTTTTTGAACTGGTTATTTGCTATTTGGCCACAAGAATTCGTTTAAGATTTTTTTGCCCATTGCAATGTTCATCCTCTTACTTCCTTTGATTTTCTGTAGTAGAAAACAGCTTTTATTTATAATTTTCAAATTTTAGTTTTGAAAGAAAGATTTATTTTACCATTTAATGGGAAAAGTTTTCAATTTAGATGAGGTTAACTGCTTAAGTGATCCCTAAGTCTCTTCTGTTATCCAGATCTCTTCTCTGTCTCTTTAAGTTAGGTCTTTCATTTCACCAAGTCAGAAGGCTGCATTTGGAGCTAGCGTTTATTTCACATTCTGATCAGTTTCTTCTTTAATTTCTGTTTCTTGGATTTGGGTCCCACCTACCGGGGACACAAATTAACAGTCCCCAGCTTCCCACCAAGCAAGAAAAAAGGGTAAGATAGAGTGAAAACTGCTCAGACGGAATGAGCTAGCTGTTTTTTTCATTCATGTCTAACAACCAAAAATTTGGGAGTATCTTTTTTTTTTTTTTCATTTTTATTTATTTATTTTTTTATTATTTTTTTATTTATTTTTTATTTATCATTCTTGGGTGTTTCTCACAGTGTTTGTGTCCCTGGGTACTTGAGATTGGGGAGTGGTGATGACTCTTAACGAGCATGCTGCCTTCAAGCATCTGTTTAACAAAGCACATCTTGCACCGCCCTTAATCCATTTAACCCTGAGTGGACACAGCACATGTTTCAGAGAGCACAGGGTTGGGGGTAAGGTCACAGATCAACAGGATCCCAAGGCAGAAGAATTTTTCTTAGTACAGAACAAAATGAAAAGTCTCCCATGTCTACTTCTTTCTACACAGACACGGCAACCATCCGATTTCTCAATCTTTTCCCCACCTTTCCCCCCTTTCTATTCCACAAAGCCGCGATTGTCATCCTGGCCCGTTCTCAATGAGCTGTTGGGTACACCTCCCAGACGGGGTGGTGGCCGGGCAGAGGGGCTCCTCACTTCCTAGTAGGGGCGGCCGGGCAGAGGCGCCTCTCACCTCCCGGACGGGGCGGCTGGCCGGGCGGGGGGCTGACCCCCCACCTCCCTCCCGGACGGGGCGGCTGGCCGGGCAGAGGGGCTCCTCACTTCCCAGTAGGGGCGGCCAGGCAGAGGCGCCCCTCACCTCCCGGACGGGGCGGCTGGCCGGGCGGGGGGCTGGGGAGTATCTTTTTTTTTAGACAGAGTCTCGCTCTGTCACTCAGGTTGGAGTGCAGTGGCGCAATGATGGCTCACTGCAACCTCTGCCTCCAGGGCTCAAGTGATCCTCCCACCTCAGTCTCCCACCTCAGTAGCTGGGACCACAGATATAGGCCACCATGTCTGGCTAATTTTTGTTATTTTTTTTTTTAGAGACAGGGGTCCCATTATGTTGCCCAGGCTGGTCTCAAACTCCTAGGCTCAAGATCAGCCTGCTTGGCCTCCCAAAGTGCTGAGATTACAAGTGTGAGCCACTGCACCCAGCCTGAGAGCATTTCTTGTGTTTGAGTCACTATGTTGTGCACTCTAGACCGATGCTGTCCAACAAGAAACATATAACAAGACACAAATGTGAGCCACAGATATCACTGAAAACTTTCTAGGAGCCTCATTAAAAAAATCAAAAAGGAGGCTGGGCCTAGTGGCTCACGCCTATAATCCCAGAACTTCGGGAGGCTGAGGTGGGTGGATCACCTGAGGTCAGGAGTTCAAGACCAGCTTGGCCAACATGTCACTACTAAAAATACAAAAAAATTAGCCCAGTATGGTGGCACACACCTGTAATTCCAGCTACTTGGGAGGCTGAGGCACGAGAATTGCTTGCACCCAGGAGGCAGAGGCTGCAGTGAGCTGAAATTGTGCCACTGCACTCCAGCCTGGGCAACAGAATGAGGCTCTGTCTCAAAAACGACACAAACAAACAAACAAAAAACCCAAAAAAGAAACAGGTGAAGCTAATAATGTGCTTTATGCAACCAAATATGTCAAAGAACTTACATCCTTTCAACATTTAGTCAATATAAAAGTTATTCATTCTTTTGTACAGAGTCTTTGAAGTCCAGTGTGTATTCTGTGCTTAAAGCATGTCTCAATAGGACCAGTCACATTGTACGTGCTCAACAGCTATCTGTGGTGAGGGGCTCCTCTAGTGAATAGTAGAGCAGAGGACGTAAAGAAATGTGGTGAGATAGAACTGGTGTCTGCAAGAAGCTTACGAAATAAACAGGGAGACTAAATAGCAGTTAGGAAAATAAAATGGCAGAATTAAGTGTCACAAAGTGCAACTGCCAAGTGAGTGGGAATTCCAATACACGCTAAGGAGGTAGCCGAGGAAGTGCTCCTCGTGGGAAGGAGTATTGTCAAGGGCAGGGGCCTGGAACTGGTACAACCTGGAGAGGAGGGAAAGGTGGGGTGGGTTGGGGTATGGGCTAGGAGGAACACTGTAGAGGGAAGCAGCCATATGGGAAAAGGCCCAGAGATCGGAGCTGAGACAGTAAGGCAGCCAGGCTGAGGAGGAAAGGCTGCACAGGAAGCTGGGAAAGGATTTGAGAAACGTGTTGAAAGGCTGCCAAGGAGGATGTCTGAGCAGGAGAAGCACATGATGACAAAGTTGTTTAAGAAGGTCAATCTTGGTCGGGCACGGTGCTCACGCCTGTAATCCCTGCACTTTGGGAGGCCGAGGTGGGTGGATCACAAGATCAGGAGATCGAGACCATCCTGGCTAACATGGTGAAACCCCATCTCTACTACATTAAAAAAAAAAATTAGCTAGGCGTGGTGGTGCATGCCTGTTATCCCAGCTACTCGGGAGGCTGAGGCAGGAGAATCCCTTGGACCTGGGAGGCAGAGGTTGCAGTGAGCCAAGAATGTGCCACTGCACTGTGGCCTGGGCAACAAGAGTGAAACTCCGTCTCAAAACAAACAAACAAATAAACGTATTATCAAGGTACAGTTAGGACAGAAGGTTAGATGATGAAGTCAAAGGAAAGAACACGAAATGCAGAGAGAAGTGGATCATAATCTGGACTTACGAATGTAACATGCAGTAAGGTCACAATCCCATTTCTTCTCTAAGGCACTCATGTCCTTAGCCCATTTTTCTGTTGAATTATTATTTTCTTATTGGTTTATAACAGTCAGGGTATTAACCCTTTGTTAGTCATATATGTGGTCTTTTAACTTTGTTTATAATATTCTTTGATATACAGAATATTTAAATGTTTTACTTGATGAAATTACAACAATCATTTATTTTATGATTTCTGCTCTTGGGTGAGATGGACATAGAAAACACTTACCTCTGTTTTCTTCTAGAATTTTAATTTATTTTAATTAATCAATTTATTTATTTTGAGACAGGGTCTTGCCCTGTCACCCAAGCTTGGAGTGCAGTGGCATGATCATGGCTCACTGCAGCCTCAACCTCCCCAGCTCAAGTGATCCTCTCACCTCAGCCTCCAAAGTAGCTGGGATTACAGGTGCATGCAACCACATCTAGCTAATTTTTAAATTTTTGTGTAGAGGAGGGATCTTGCCATGTTGTCCAGGATGGTTTCGAACTCCTAGGCTCAAGTGATCCTCCCTCCTGAGCCTCCCAAAGTGCTGGGATTACAGGCATGAGGCACCATGTCCTGCCTTAATTTAATTTTAGAATTAAAATATTGGCCGGGCGCGGTGGCTCACACCTGTAATCCCAGCACTTTGGGAGGCCGAGGCGGGTGGATCACCTGAGGTCAGGAGTTCGAGACCAGCCTGACCAACATGGTGAAACCCTGTCTCTACTAAAATTACAAAAATTAGCCGGGCATGGTGGCGGACACCTATAATCCCAGCTACTCGGGAGGCTGAGGCAAGAGAATCACTTGAACCTGGGAGGAGGAGGTTGCAGTGAGCTGAGATTGCACCACTGCATGCTAGCCTGGGCGACAAGGGCGAAACTCCTCAAAAAAACAAAACAAAATGAAACAAAAAAAGAATTAAACTATTCATGAACATAGAATAAATTGTTTTGTAATGTATGAGATGGGAATCTAACTTATATTCATAATGGTTAGCCACTAATTTAAAATCTCCTTTTCATATAGTTGGATCTGTTCCTCCTGTGCTTCTGTTTTATTCCATTGAACAATGCTACACTTAAAATTTTCAATGTTTTAGAATATATGTTAATATTTGACAACACAAAGTCCCCTGCCCTAGGATGAAACTGGGGGAAAAACATCCCAATATTCTAATTACCTCAGACCCAAAATCTACTTTGATAGAATACTGTGTTCTTATTAAAGGACACTCAAAACAGACATTAAAACTTGTAAAGTACAGGCTTAAAAAAAGCCAGTGGGGCTGGGCGTAGTGGCTCACACCTATAATCCCAGCACTTTGGGAGGCCGAGGCAGGCGGATCACCTGAGGTCGGGAGTTCAAGAGCAGCCTGACAAACATGGAGAAACCCCGTCTCTACTAAAAATACAAAATTAGCCAGGCGTGGTGGTGCATGCCTGTAATCCCCGCTACTCGGGAGGCTGAGGCAGGAGAATCGCTTGAATCTGGGAGGTGGAGGTTGCGGTGAGCCGAGATCGCACCATTGCACTCCAGCCTAGGCGATGAGAACAAAACTCCATTTCAGAAAAAAAAAAACCAAAAAAAAAAAAAAACAAAAGTTGGTGACTCCCAAATTAAAAGCGATACTATCTGACAGGATATGCAGCTGCCTCTTGTTGTATAAGGGCTGAACATTTTTGTACAACATTGCTTGTTTCTGTGCACTGGGCAGAGCTGTCAAGTCACTGATACCTGAGCTGAGCTCCCAAGTACTTGGGTTCCAAGAGTCTTGGCATCTGGGAATACAGAGGTGGTTTGTATTCTCTGACAACGGGGAATACAGAGAAGAACAAGACAGACAAGACAGATATGCTGACAACACTGCTGTGCTAGACCCAGAGTTTGTCTTCAGTGCAGATGGATTAAAAACATGGGGTGGGACCCACAGGTTCTCCCTAGTGGCTTTTTCCTGCTAAATCCCCCCATATCACAGTGTCTTAATGGATTTCGGCTCTTCTAGCTCTTTTGATCTTCTAGACTGGAGGAAGTGTGTAATTCTCTGCAGTTGGAGGAGTCACACTGAGGACTTTTACACAGGCATCTCTCACTATGGGAGTCACACTGAGGACTTTTACACAGACAGGCATCTCTCACTATCTGAACTCTTGCTATGTGTTATCCGAAACTCATGGACCACATACATTTGGACAGTTTGGTATCCCTCACCATCTGAACTCAGGAACTGTACAGATTCAGAGAGGGAGGGATACCTAAAGGTGTGTCATGAAGGCTGAGGTATTTTAGGGAAGAGCCCATTGGTTTTCATCAGTAGCTGGGACCAAGAATAGTCAGCAGGGCTTTCCAGGCTCCTTTCTAGGGGGGTTTAGCAACCCTGAGGACTCACAGAGCCTGACCCGACAAGATTGCAGAATTTTAGAATTCTCACAAATGAAACTGAGAGCCAAGAAAGTTTATACAGAATGAAACCACAGAAAGATCACAAGCCTGGAATATAAGAACTATGACTAATTCAAACAACACAGTGATTCTTAATCTCTCCGGCAATCTGCAGGCCCTCTTCAATGTGGAAATGGATTGCCGAGGCTCTAGCTTCTACTCTTAAAGCCCTCCAGCCAAGGGTAATCCACCCAGGGCACAGAATCTGGGGTAGCCAGGAAGCGTGGTCAAGGAACACATTCTGCCACTAAAGAAATGGGTGAAACAGTTGGAATGGGATTCACTAATCCTATCATTTCATTTAGAATCCCCTTCCAGTATAGATTTGTTCTGGACTGGTAGGTAACTAATTTATGGTGCTGGTTTGGAGATTTCCTCCTTTCTTCTCCTTTTATCATTAGTGTTTATTGCAATTTACTATTTTAGTTCTTCCACTGTTTGCTGGATGTGTAGAAGCCAATTTTATCACTGGTCCAGTGAATGCCTACCTGAACTGGATACAGACCAAAACAGTAGACATTACCTAGAGGCTTGGCAAGGAACTTGGTAATGGCCTTGGAGAATGAATGGTTCCATCACATTATCTCAGGATGAAGTGGCTAGATATGACTTTGGCAGAAGTTAAGTGTGACTGAATTTGGTTTTGGTATAGCTAGAATTCATTACTGGGAACAGAATGCATCACTGGGAATATCTTTAGAATGTATAAATAGGAATAAGGATGTGTGTGTTATAGAGGAGGGACCATGGGGAGCCTAAGGATAGGATATTCAATGGACTCCTTTAGGGTATCTGTTCAGCTCACAATGATGCGTACACAATGACCCCCAGCAGGCATGTTTGTACTTCATTCCTCTAGACATAGCTGATAGTCCCAGAGGACCTGCTCATCTCTCAGATATACAGAATTCAGGATAGAAGATTTCAGTTCAGATTGGGCTGGTTTCTTAAAGAAGATGTAAAAACTGAGAGGCTGCAAGGGCAGCCATCTTCTATACCATCACCAGGAAAACTGGACCAGAGAAAGAGAAGAACAAAGCAGATACACTGAGAGATGCAGAAATAAGAGATAAAGGAGAGTGTTGTCAAAGTTTATAATGGCTTCTCAGGTCCTAGTCCTCAGCCCTTTCTGTAAGATGCTAAAGTATCCATGCTCTGGGGGTCTGTGAGTCTGGTTTTCCTGCTTACTACTACTAAGCATCCCTCATGCTTAAATTACATCAAATTGTTTTTGTAGTACTTGCAGCCAGTACGTGCTTATTAACACTGGAAGGACCATGACTTACTTGATCTGTGTGTGTGCACTCACATGTTTATATGTGTGTGTGCCCATGTGTGTTTAAGAGAAAGACAGTGCTGGCAGCGGTGTGGAAGGTGGACTGCCTTACCCTCAGGGTCTTTCACCTAGTCTATTCCAGTGATCTCTTGTCCTTGTCTCTATTTTCCCTGTCATGATCCCACTGCATTCTTTATATTACTGTCAGAATGATCTATCTGAAATGTATTACGTTACTGTCAGAATGATCTACCTGAAATGCACTATGCTACTGTCAGAATGATCTACCTGAAATGTACTAGGTTACTGTCAGAATGATCTACCTGAAATGTACCAGGTCACTGTCAGAATGATCTAACGGAAATGTACTAGGTTACAGTCAGAATGATCTATCTGAAATGTACTAGGTTACTGTCAGAATGATCTACTGGAAATGTACTAGGTTACTGTCAGAATGATCTACCGGAAATGTACTAGGTTACTGTCAGAATGATTTACCAGAAATGTGCTAGGTTACTGTCAGAATGATCTACCGGAAATGTACTATGTTACTGTCAGAATGATCTACCTGAAATGGACATCTGCTCATATTTCCCCATCACCTACAGAAGTCAAGCTCCGTAGTGTTATATACAAGTACATTCATTCCTTCAACAAATATTTAATGAGGACTTACTATTATTTAATATTTAATGAGTACCTACTATGTCCTACTACTACTACTAGGCCAACCAGTCTAGGCACTAAGGATAGAAGAGAGTAAGACGAATTTACATGCCAGTGGCCAGTGGTAGAGACAGGCATTAAACAAGTTTTGTTTTGTTTTCCAGGTAGTGATAAGTACTATAGAGAAAGAATAGAGCAGAAGGAGGTAGAGAGTGACAGGAGCAGGGGCAAGGGGTGCTCTTTTAGACAGGATGGGCAGGCAAGGTTGAGGGAAGATGTATATGAGCAGACACCTGAATATGATGGGGAACTGAAAATGGGATAATGTGGCAATGAGTTTTCCTTGCAGAGAATAGCAAATGGAAAGATCCTGAGGCAGGGACAGCTTTGGTGGCTTAGAGGACCTACAAGGTAGCAGGGTAGCAGAGTCATTAAGATGGGCAGGAGTCAAATCAGATAAGGACATGGGGTAAACTGCAGGCCAGGCTCATAGATTGTTCTGAGAGTCATGGGAGACTATTGGTGGGTTTTGAGTAGGAGAATCACATTTGCTTTTTGTTTTTCAAAAAGCATTTTGGCCGCTCTGCAGGCCTGCCTGTATTAAAGGCTAGAATAGAAGCCAGGAAAGCAATAGTCCAGACAGAAGATCATGATGGCGTAGGCTTGGGTGGCAGTAATGGAAGTGGTGAGAAGCAGTCAGGCTCCAGATACAGTCAGGCTGAACACAGAACTGGCTGGCCCGACTGATGCATTAGAAGGGGTGTCCGGAGGAAAGAGAGGCCCTGAGGAGCCACTAAGGTTTTTGCAAGGAGCACCTGGGCGAATGGAATGGGCTGGTGGTTGAGCAGGTTTGGAGTACCTGAATACAGTGGAGGAAACAAGAATTCTCTTTGGGACATACTCAGTTTGAGATCATTTCAGAAATGGAAGAAGTTGGTTATACCAGTCTGGAGTTTGAGGAAGAGGTCAGGATGGAAGCGCATCTCCCGTGACTTACCTTACAGTCCATATGTATACCAATGAATGAAATATCCAACTGATTGGCTTGTGGTTGCCACGTATGATGTTTACGTGTGACGTTTTGTGGTTTGGTGCCTTTGTGTCATCCTCTCTGCTGGGAACACCCCTTCAACTTTTCCACCTTTGGCTGAGTCTTGCCCTTTAAAGGTAAGCCCATGAAACATGGAGAAACCCTCTCTACTAAAAATACAAAATTAGCTGGGCGTGGTGGCACATGCCTGTAATCCCATCCACTCGGGAGGCTGAGGCAGGAGAATCGCTTGAACCCGGGAGGCAGAGGTTGCAGTGGGCCGAGATAGCGCCTTTGCACTCCAGCCTGGGCAACAAGAGTGAAACTCCTCTCAAAAAAAAAAAAAAAAAAAAAGGGTAAGCCCAGCCATCCTCTCCTCAAAAAGCTTTCCCTGAAGACTGGGAGTCAGGAGTCTCTCATCTGTACCTCTGTGGTTCTGACCTCCTCATTAAAGTTGCCTAGTAGAGTCTCTAGGGCAGGGTCTGCCTAACTCATCTTTGTATGCTCAGGACCTTGCCCTGAGCCTGGCACACCGTTTGGAGCTATACACACACGCAAGGGCAGGAACCCATCAGAAGACCCACCCACTCAAGTAGAGGGCCGGGGAGGACTGGAACGACTGGAGAAGGGGAGACGGGTTCCAGTCACGTCCTCCGTGAACGTGAGACCCAGCTCTTCCCTCAGGGCCGCCCCCTGCCTCACCGCATCAGGGCGCCCCTCCACTGTCCTGGTTTACCGGTGAGCGGAGGGGCGCTAGGAGAGTTGACATCGGTTGTGGTGGAAGCACTGGGCTGTCACCCGCGGGGGAGGTAAACCGAAGCGTGCCCACCACTCGCGCGAAACCATGGGCAGTCAGAGCCACCTGTGGAACTGGCCTGGGCCGCGCCCTGTCCTCTGGCCCCCTCCCCCACCAACAGGCACGCGAGTGGTGAGCCAAGTTCGTCCAGCGCCGCCCCGGCGTCTAGGGCCCCGGCCCGGAGTAGGGGCAGGTCGGGCCCCCATGCGGCCACGACCGGAAGGCAGGCCCCTTGACCGGGCCCGTCGCTGCCCAGCCCCGCCCGCCCGCCCGCCCGCCCCCGCGGTACACACCGGTGGGAAGGAGGAGCGCCTCCTGCGCGGGCCGGGCCTCCGGGCTGCTGGCGCCGAGCACCCTCTCGGGCCGGGGCGGCGACGCCTGGGCCATGACTGTGCTGCAGCTGCGGGTGGCGGCCGGATAGCGAGATCCCGGAAGTGCCCCAGCTGCACTAGGTTTCGTTTTCTTAAATCTGGGCTGTCGCTTTGAGTCACTAGCCGGCCCGGGGAAAGTTGGGTGTGCAGAGAGGGGTTGTCACACACACTGCTCCAGATTCCAGTCTAGTCTTAATTTGAATAGCTTAAAAAACCCAAACGCCGGGAGCAGTGGCTCACGCCTGTAATCCCAGCACTTTGGGAGGCCGAGGAGGGCGGATCACGAGGTCAGGAGTTCAACACCAGCCTAACCAACATGGTGAAACCCCGTCTCTACTAAAAATACAAAAATTAGCTGGGCATGGTGGCGGGTGCCTGTAATCCCAGCTACTCCAGACACTGAGGCATGAGAATCGCTTGAATCGGGAGGCGGGGCTTGCAGTGAGCCGAGATCGCGCCACTACACTCCAGCCTGGGCTACAGAGCGGGACTCCGTCTCAAAACAAACAAACAAACAAACACACACAAAAAACAAACAAACAAAAAAACCCCAAACGCCAGGCTTCCCTACTCCACCCCCCACAACACAGCGGGAGAAACAATCACTCTCCTGAGGGTTCCTCCTAAAAACTATCATACTGGCCGGGTGGGCGCGGTGGCTCACGCCTGTAGTTCCAGGACTTTGGGAGGCCGAGGTGGGCGAATCACGAGGTCAGGAGTTCGAGACCAGCCTGGTCAACATGGTGAAACCCCGTCTCTACTAAAAATACAAAAATTAGCCGGGCTTGGTGGCGGGCGCCTGTAATCCCAGCTACTCGGGAGTCTGAGGCAGGAGAATCGCTTGAACCCGGGAGGCGGGGGTTGCAGTGAGCCAAGATCGCGCCACTGCACTCCTGCCTAGGCGACAGAGCCAGACTCCCTCTCAAAAAAAAAAAAAAAAAAAAAAAAATTATCATACCGAGTTTGGCTTAAATAAGCATATCTTAAAAGGACGCAGAATTAGCCGATCCTAAATCCAGTTGCCAGTAGCAAGCCTTTATTTAGCACCCATAGGGTACAGAGCACCATACAAGATGAGGTTTTCAGTGAATCTAACATAAATGCATATAATTATAGTTAAAAAATAAGTTGTTCTGGAAAAAAGACATATAATAGTTGGTGGTTTGCTGAGGAATTAAAGGAAAACTGGAGGTCTTCCACTTTCAGCAGGTTGTAAAGAGGAAGACTGCCAACTAGGGATAGCAGAAGAGAGAACATTAAAAAGGACAATTTGTATAGTCTTGACAACTATGAAATGAATTGCAGAAGAGTGTGGGGTCTGCAAAACAGGGAAGTGAGCAGACAGACCCTAGCAGCCAATTTTTAAATTTTTTTTTGCCCTCCATGCAGGAGGATGAAAGAGTATTTCTTGCCAGGCCAAAATGAAAGGCCCTTTATAAAGAGACTGACATTAGGGTGTTCCCCAGCAAGATAGCTCAGGTAGGTCATAGTAAAACAAAGAGCCCTTTACCACACTCTCAGCTTATAGTAAGCTTTTTGGTGTTCCACACTTAAATATGAGTAGACTACCAAGACCATTAACTCTGAGGAAAGCCTATAATGTGAACGACCAAAACAAACATACAGGGGAAACAAAGAAACAAACCCTGGAGGACACAGATTATGCCGAAAGAATACAGAGATGCATGCCTGTATGTGTATGTATACGTGTGTGCATATACATACATAAACACACAAACATCTTCAAGGAGATAAAATACTGCAACCATGAGCCAAAATAGGATGCTATTAAAAAAAAAGAATATTCGGAGAAGGGGAGCTCTTAGAAATTAAAAATATGAGACAATATGAGACTAGAAAAATAAAATGCAACAGATGAACTGGAAGATTAAATTGAGAAATGCTCCTAGGAAAAGGTCCTAGCAAGAAGACAGAGCTGAAAGTTAAGAGAAAAGATAGGAAAATTAGAGATCAAATTCTGGAGGTCTAACATCTGGAAAACAGGAATTCCAGAAACAGTGAAGAGATGGGAAATCATTAGTTTCAGACGGAATGATCCCACCAGGCACCTAGTACAAAGGATGAAAATGGACTCTTAACAGGGACAGAACATTGAGACAAAGATAAACCTATAAGCTTCAAGAGAGATAAAAATGGATTATATATGCAAAAGAGAAGGAACAGAATGGCATTCAATTTCCAGTAGTCACCCTGGAAGCCAGAAGACAGATTTTCAGACTCCACAGCAACAGCACTGAAAGCTAGCAGATGTCTTCAAAACTGGGCATGGAGACCACTAAAGAATCCTATACCTTGCCAACCAAAACAGCAATCAGGTATAAGGGTAAAATAAAGACATTGTCAAACACACAGAGATTCAAAACATTTACTTTTCATTTTTCCTTTCCAAAAGCTATTGGAAGAGCTTTACCAATATGTGGAAGAGTAAACCAAGGAAAAGGAAAATAATGGCATCTAACTGGAAACAGATCCCACATAAGAGACAAAGTGAATCTCTGGGGTACTGATGGAAGATGATGGCTATGAACCAGTCCAGACTAAAGCAAATCAAGATTTTAGGAGAAATTTCTCCAAGAAGATAAAACTGACAGAATACCTCATATTTCTAAAGGTCAAATGGACTCCACAGGCAGAGCTCAAAGAAATACTGGCTGATCCATAATATTCCCTTTTGCACAAAAATGGTTCCCATACTGATCAAGCTTTTTTCCCCCATTTCATTTTAGTGCATTGCCTGAAATTCCTGCGTCTCTATGGTGAATAAATGGATTTCTCAACTTTCTTCATCTGTAGGTTGCTGGGCTATGTTTTGCTCCTTTTCCTAGCTGTCTGGTTTCCCAGTCTGCTTGGGCTTCCCAGTCCCCTTTTCCACTAGATAGATGATCACGGCCAAGTAACCTATGGCAAAGTGCTTACTCTTTGCCTTTTTTCTGTAAAAAAAAAAGATTTGCAAATCATGCCCAGGAGATACCAAGGGGCTGTTTCAGATTTCATAGTTCAGAATTGTTTTCGTGTGTGTGTGTGTGTGCTGTTTTTTTTGAGAGAGAGTCTTGCTCTATTGCCCAGGCTGGAAGTACTATGGTGAAATTATGTCTCATTGCAGCCTTGACCTTCTGAGCTCAAATGATCCTCCCACCTCACTCCTGAGTAGCTGAGACTACGGGCACATGCCATCATGCCAGGCTAATTTTTGTATTTTTTGTAGAGACAGGGTTTTGACATGTTGCCCAAGCTGGTCTTGAACCCCTAGGCTCAAGTAATCCACCTGCCTCGGCCTCTCAAAGTGCTGGGATTACAGGTCTGAGCCACCATACCTGGACTTCTTGTGTTTTTTAAGTGAAATTTTTGCCCAGTACAATTACTTCTGGCCTAAATAAGCAACGTGTGACTACTTTCTAGGTTTCCTTTTCAGTAACTGTATCTCTATCTAGAACAAAAATATTCAAGTTCCTCCAGGTTTCTATTCCCTCTTCTCCTATCTGTTTGTATAGAAAGAGTAGAGAAAATCTGTGGGAAAGAAGACTCATTTCAAAGAGCTTGCCAGAATCTTACTTACAGAAGAGCTTCTCCCTCTCCCCACTCAAATGGTTGATGGGACAGTGTTTTATCGATCCAGATATTGCTTCTCCAACAAGTGTTAAAATACTTGGGAGTAATATGCATAAAATTAGATCCTCAGGCGCTGTTGCCCACCTTGTAGCTCATAATGGTAAATTATTTGCCAGGAATTAAAAATCAATTTTGTAGGTAAAAATGTGAAATTTAGCTCTTTGGGGGGGCATGAACTAAAAGGTAACAGTCACAAAAGCAATTAGAAACAGCTGAGTTCTGTTATGACATTTGTTTCTCTTAATATATAATTTGTAAATAAATTATAAATTGTACAGTGGTATTTCATATAAAATATACACTTCCATCCTACTCATGTAAAGTAGCACAGCAGTGAACAAGATACCCTATGTGTATGAAAATATCCTAATTGTGTTCCTGGAATTTCTAAGTCACACAAATAAAATCTGAAATAAAACATAAACCCCATGACAAAGGAAAACGGAGGGGAATTTCCTTGATGGACCTAGACCTTCTTTTGCATGGCTTTAATTTCAGCCTGATAAGCTAATTTCACAAACAGGCGTTAGTTACATATTTATAATATTTTTTTTCTACATTTATTAACCCCACATTGGCAGAAGATTTCCTTCTCAGGCACAGTCCCAGCTTCATAGCCATAATCCCATGTTAGCTCTGTTCTTGCTTTCACATACCTAGAAAGTAGAAATTTGAAAAGAATCATAAAATACCCTAAATAACTACCAATGAACCAAATTATATCAATTTTCATATTAACATTAACCATCCTCAAAAATATGATCTGTTCTCTCACCCAACATCCACCAATTAGGAATGACCTTTTATTAAGAATAACCATTTGAGTTTTATTTCAAATCTACTAAAATGTTAAGTAAGAAGGAACCTATCAATATGAGGAAGAAGTGTATTTTGCCAACAGTGGGACCCAGTCATGTGTTGAGGCCTGCAGTGTGGAAGTAGCTGGGGAATAGCTCTGAATTAAAGATTATGTAGCACTCTGCATCATTTATCCCGAGTGGAACTGGGTGATACCTGATATCTTCAGCCCTTTCAGGCATTCATTCTAAATGGGAATAAGAGTCAAAATTTCAGGTGTGCAAAATCTTATTGAATAGGAACAGTTTAGGATAATTGAATATTCTACAGTACCAGATATTTGGGGCTATAGTATATATCTTTAAAAAATATTTTTCTATTATAATTATCATTTTTTGAGACAGGGTGCAAACTCTACCTCTTGGGCTCAAGTGATCCTCCTACCCCAGCTTCCTGAGTAGCTGGCCACCAAACCTGGTGAACTTTTTCTATTTTTTTTAGTAAAGACAGGGTTTCGCCATGTGGCTCTGGCTGGTCTTAAACTCCTGAGCTCAAGCAGTCTCCCCACCTTGGCCTCCCAAAGTGCTGGGATTACAGGTATGAGCCACAGCACTCAGCCCTCTATTGTTATTTTTAAAGTCACAATTTCAGAATTAAGTAAGCGAAATCAATTTCAAACCTGTTGGTGAAGAATGCCACCAATGGAAAATTCCTGTTGTGTGTTTCTACAAAAACATTCTGTACCAAGAGATTTGGGCAACAACTATGCTGTTAAATAAAAATAAACACAAAGGTTAGAAATAGCATAAAGTCTGATGCCTTGTGCTTTTGCATTAGAAAACCATTCTGTTTTTAATATATCACACTGATTTTGTTCTTTTTTTGTCAATGTATAAATTATCACAGCTCCTGTTAATAGTGGGAACCCATTCAGAAAAGCCCTGTTCTGACGCTCTTCTATGTTGCTGGCAGAAATGCAAAAATGGGACAAATCCCTATAAAATATGTCAATATTTATCATTATTATAAATGCATTTGTCTTTTGATTCTGCAATCTCATATCTAGAATTGTATTCCACAGATTCATCTGTATATGTTTCCATGTGTAATTATTCATTGAGCATTGTTTTTAGTGCTAAAGGTTTGGAAATAACCCAAATATTTGCCTAAAGCAGATTGGTTAAATAAACTTTGGTACAC
This sequence comes from Homo sapiens, assembly GCF_000001405.40. Classification (NCBI taxonomy): domain Eukaryota; kingdom Metazoa; phylum Chordata; class Mammalia; order Primates; family Hominidae; genus Homo; species Homo sapiens. Next base: position 49,490,389 of record NC_000013.11, on the reverse strand, counting down.
AATAGAATTCTATGCAGCTATAAACAAAAGCATACAAATAAAAACAATTTGAGAAGCTCTGGGTATTAATATGGAATTGCCACAAGATTTTTTTTTTTTTTTTTTTTTTTGAGACGGAGTCTCACTCTGTCGCCCAGGCTGGAGTGCAGTGGCATGATCCTGGCTCACTGCAACCTCCGCCTCCTGGGTTCAAGTGATTCTCATGCCTCAGCCTCCCAAGTAGCTGGGATTATAGGCATGTGCCATGACACACGGCTAATTTTTTTTGTATTTTTAGTAGTGACGGGGTTTTGCCGTGTTGGCCAGGCTGGTCTCAAACTCCTGACCTCAAGTGATCTGCCTGCCTTGGCTTCCCAAAGTGCTGGGATTACAGGCATGAGTCACATCACGCCTGGCCCAATATACTGTTAATTTGAAAAACAAAGTATAGAACAGTGAATATAATATGCTATGTTTTATGTAAAAAAAAAAGGGGGGGGGGGCGGGAGAAATAAGGCCAGGTGCGGTGGCTCACACCTGTAATCCCAGCACTTTGGGAGGCCGAGGCAGGCAGATCACTTGAGGTCAGGAGTTCAAGACCAGCCTGACCAACATGGTGAAATTGTGTCTCTACTAAAAATGCAAAAATTAGCCAGGCATGGTGGTGCACACCTGTAATCTCAGCTACTCAGGAGGCTGATGAGGAGAATCGCTTGAACCTAGGAGGCGGAGATCGCAGTGGGCCGAGATCACACCACTGCACTCCAGCCTGGTGACAGAGCAAGACTCGGTCTCAAAAAAAAAAAAAAAAAAAGAATAAATATGATGACCTACAGAGAGAAGGTGGAGTCGGGGCATGGGAACAGGAGCACAGTACTTCTCAAGGTATGGCTTTTTTTTTTTTTTTTAAACAAAAAGTTTTCACAAAGTAAGTTTAATATGAAGATGTACAGAACCTAATTTTTACATCACTGTAACAAACAAGCCTTTTGGAGAGGAGATATTGTAAGCAACAAATTTCTTTGCTGAAGATAGCCATTATGTATCGTCGTTCCGAGGCTTCTAAATAGATGATACCATTTCCTCATATTAGCACTATTCCAGTATTGCTCTGTTGCCCACTAGCCGCCATCTCCACACATTCATCATGTGATTCATTAACGCCTGTAATCTCAGCTACTCAGGAGGCCGAGGCATGAGAATTGCTTGAACCCCAGAAGCGGAGGTTGCAGTGAGCTGAGATTGTGCCACTGGTGACAAAGTGAGACTCTGTCTCAAAAAAAACAAAAAATAAAAACCAAAAAACCAGTATATTGTGGCAATCTTTCCATATTAATACACCATTAAATCCCTGCAGTATTCTTTGGACATATCTGCCACCATTTAACTTCACTGATAACTTCCTAGCCATACATTTTTTTCAACTCAGGTAAGTGAGCTTATTTAAATCTGATATATTTAAATACTTTTCTTATACACCATTTCTTACAGTTTTTTAAAAGCAAATGTTTACTATGTGCTAGGCACTGTTCTAAGCACTTAATGTTAATTCATTAGATTCTCATAACATCCTGAGACAGTTATCATTTATCCCTGTATTACAGAGGTAGAAAATGAGGTATCAGAGGTCAAGTAAAACATCCAACTGTATACAAGTGGAGGACTGGAATTCTAACCAGATGGTCTGACTTTAGAGTCTGTTTATTTTCCTCATAATTTTGTTAAGTAGCATAGAAAAAAACAGTTGTTCAGAAATAGGAATCTCAGCCCTTATACTCACATTAAGGAAGCGGCCGACATTTCCTTCTTTTGTGGCATCCAATAAAAACACATTCCCTTTATTGAACTTTGTTAGAGAATCAGATGAAGTATTCTTGGTTTCACTTAGCAACTCTTCATCACAAAATACCTGCTGTCTTTGACATGCTGTAGATCGTCCCTCTTGGGGTTTCTGAATTTGAACCTCAATTGCCTTTTTAATATTCTGATTATCCAATGTGGTCGCCTGGTTACATCTGCTCCTTGGTGGAGTTTCTTCTCTATATTTAGTTATATCTATCACATCTGATTCAATCAGCAGATTATCTTCAAACTCATCAACATGGTTTGAACTTGAGTCCTCTAATAGACATTTTGGAAGGAAACATCAGGAAATATACTTGCTGAGCAATAGTGCTGAAATTAACAACACTAATTAGATGCTAGGTGCTTTAATTATCGATCCTTACAATGTGTTAGGCAGGTAGTATTATTTTAATTGTATAAAGGAAACTTTCTCTGAGGGATTAAGGAATTCATCTGACCCACAATAACGAGAACTGGGGTAACAAACCTAGAAATGTTTGAATCCCAAAGTCTGCCTTCTTTCTACTACGTAACAATGCCTTTTTATGAATCTACATCTTGCTTCTTCATTATTATATTTAATCTCTACTCATAATAAACTGACTTTCTTCTCTTTAATTCTGGAATCTGCACTTAAGTATATTCTAAACAAATGTAACAGAGTGGGTGTTTTGGAGGCACTCTAGGCCTTTATGCTGCCAATAAAAGGCCTAACCCTGACAGAGACACCTTCCACAAGTCCCAGCAGTGACAACTGTATTGCTAGGGGTTTTGCACATATTAGTGTTTGGTGTTTTACTAGATGACCATTCAATAATTACACCTTTGTAAACAATAATCCTTTAAAAGCAGATGCACTGCTTAATCGTTTTTCTTATCCAATAAGGAAAATAATTTTTTGAGAGTATTCAAGAGTATGAATATGGCTGGGCATGGTGGCTCATGCCTGTAATCCCAGCACTTTGGGAGGCCAAGGCAGGAGGATGCTTGAGGCCAGGAATTCAAGACCAGCCTGGGCAACAAAGTGAGACCCCATCTCTACAAAAAATTTTAAAAAAAAGAAATTAGCCAACAAGGGGGTGTGTGCCTGTAGTCCTGTTTGCTCAGGAGACTGAGGTGGGAGGACTGTTTGAGCCCAGGAATTGGAAGGTACAGTGAGCTATGATCCCACCACTGCACTCCAGCTTGGGTGACAGAATGAGTCGCTGTCTCTCTTTAAAAAAAAAAGAAAAGATATGAATGCATGTCAGATGGAGTAAGTATAAATTACTTACTTTAAAAGAGCCACAAAGCTATTTGGACCACCTAATTCAATGGCGCAAAGAAATTATACTTGTCTAAAATTGAGGCTCTTGATTTAATCATCACTGTTGTTGCTGGCTGCTGTTCCTATATGTACTTATATTTTAATCATGGGTTACGTGTAAGCCATAATACAACTTTGGATTTTTTTATACAAAAAGTATGTAGCTTTTGACTTTTGGAGTACCCGCTATATATATTGTAGCAGTCAATGAAAAGGGCAAAAGAACCAAAAGCAACGGTATGCACTGTGGCTCACATGCATGATAAAATAAATATAATACACAAAATCCCCTTTTTTGATAGACCTTTTCTATCAAGGAACTGCCATGTCTCCTCCAATCTCCATCCTTTAATATTAGGTGGAGAGCTGCGGTTGCAGGGGGGAAGAGACAGCAGTGGCTCACCAATTCTTCACAAACGGATATCTCTCAGCAATGTCTCCTTGTGAAGGACACAGTGAAATGCAAAAGTACCAAAAACAATGTTTGTCCAGTTGTAATATTAACTATGGCAAGGACTAGTAACTCTGAAACACAAGGACTCAGGGTGGCAATATTTTAGCCTTTTGCCAGAGTCAAGCTGAGTATGCTCTGCGGCAGTATTGGCTAGGCAATTGCAGGAAAGTGATGTGTGTTTATTTTTAAAGGCGTCTACAAAGAGTTTGAAAGTGGCTGCTTTGCACAATGGTTCCAAAGCCACGGACAACACCTGTGCACCACAAAGACTCAAGAGTTTTCCAGCCCACCCCTCTTGTCATGCATCAAGTCACTACTGGCAATTAGACCAGAGGTCAGCAAAGTTCTCCTGCAGAAGGCAAAATAGCAAATATTTCAGGCTTTGCTGGCCATGTGGTGGTCTCTGTTGTGATTATTCAACTCTTGCTGTAATGTTGAAGCAGACAATATATAATGTAAATTGGCTGTATTCCAATAAAACTTACATTTTATTTTTTTTTTTGAGACAGGGTCTTGTTCTATCGCCCAGGCTGCAGTACCGTGGCACAATCATAGTTCACTGTAACCTCAAACTCCTGACCTCAACAATCCTCCCACCTCAGCCCCCTGAGTAGCTAAGACCTCAGGTGTGCACCACCACACCTGGCTATTTTGTTGTTGTTGAGACAAGATCTTGCTACATTGCCCAGACTCATAGCCTCAAGCAGCCCTCCTGCCTTGGCTTCCCAAAGTGCTAAGATTACGGGCGTGAGCTACTGCACCTGGCCAAAACTTTATTTCTGGACACTAAAATTGTAATTTCATATAATTTTCAAGTGTCAAAATATTATCACCTTCTGATTTTTTTCAACTATTTAAAAACATAAATATCATTCTTAGCTCACATGCCATACTGAACAGGTAGAGGGCCAGATTTGGCCCACACACGATATTTTGCTGATCTCTTATGTAGACAAGTTGTAACCTTTCTGACAAATGCAGCATGTTTATTATGGAATCTAAGAAAATGAGCTACAGGTATTGAGCAAGAGACAGAGAAACAGGCAGAAGAGGTAGGCATTCACAGAAGAAACAAAGCCTACTTTGTGCTCCCTTGGTTTTAGAGTTCAGATGCTCTCGGGGTGGTTTAAATCCATCATTATCTTCTGGAGTGACAGACTCCGAGGAAACAAATTCCTTAAAAAAACAAGGAAGATGTCTTTACTTTCCAGGTCAGGCAAAAGTATTTAGCAGTTAGGCCTCTTTCATCAAGTGTCAATCATCATAGGCTATATGTACTAGATTCGTTTTGAAAAGCCTCAAAGCTGATATCATAAGGAGTCTTTAGACTAATGGAGTCAACAAGTGTCATCCCCTTTGACTCTGTTCTACTTCTAGGTGCTTTATTAAGCCACAGCTATAAAGACTGTCAAGAAATTCTTTGGGAATTAAAATCTTAATGCATCCCTGTCTGTATCCCCCAATTCTAATCATCTCAGTACTTAGAAAGTGTTATTACTAGATTATAAATTTGCCTTCAACTGTAAGTTGTGTAAAGATGAAAAACACTCATTGGCTAGTTTCTACTTCAAAGAAAGGTTAACGAATGTGATAATGCTTACACATTGTAGACACTGCAGTCACTTTAAGTAGTAATGATAACTTTAAAAGAGGCGTATATACTCAGCACAATGCTTGGCAACCAACTAAGTATTCAATACACATTGACCATATTATTACTATGAAAGTTCTCAGCATGTGAATGGTCAACATGTATTGAGCACTTAGTTGGATGCTAAGCAAGTTGCTGATGCTTATCTCATTTAATCCTCATAATTCTGAAACATATACTATTACCTTTTTACAGATAAAAGAAATGTATGTATGGAGATACCACCCAGCTAGCACGCAGCAGAGCTGGAGGTTACACCTGGGTCTGTGTGACACCATGGCCAATCTTTTCATAATTCTCTGACCTTAAGGAGGTAGCTACTGTACCATTACCAGGCAGAGGGCAAATATTTGCATAACACCTAAAGCAGAGTTTTTACTCTTCATCAACAAGCCCTAAAGTAAGCTACCATTATGTCTCTCTTTGTTCTCTTTTCTCTTTCTCTGCTTCTACGTTTCAGTCTCTGACTAATCTTTAGTTCACAATGCAAAGGGTACCCTCAGAGGCTACCACATAAAATACTGTTTTCTGGATGATTCTTTCATAAAATTGCATCTCTTCTTTCTCATACATCTTAAAACCTTCAGCCAGGCGCAGTGGCTCACGCCTCTAATCCCAGCACTTCGGGAGGCCAAAGTGGGTGGATCACCTGAGGTCAGGAGTTTGAGACCAGCTGGCCAACATCATGAAACCCCGTCTCTACTAAAAATACAAAAAAGTAGCTGGGCATGGTGGCAGGCACCTGTAATCCCAGCTACTCATGAGGCTGAAGCAGGGGAATCGCTTGAACCCAGGAGGCAGAGGTTGCAATAAGCTGAGATCGTGCCATTGCACTCCAGCCTGGGCAACAAGAGTGAAACTCCATCTCAAAACAAAACAAAACAAAAAACAAAAACCTTGTTCTCCTTCACCTAAATTACTTTGTCCCTTTTCTTATATATCACTATTAACTCCTGAAGACTTTAGCTTCTCCCACAAACTCTCAGAATGGGATACCTCTCGGTCTCAGTGGAGCACACTGTCAGATCATGACCAGCATTCTCCTCATACAGCCAAGCTGGAAACATGTCAACTGCCGTGGATGATACTAAGTAAACAGAACATGGTCCTAGCATTTCCACCGTCCACCATTCCAAAACAATAAAAGAAATTCTACACACTATAAAGTAACACAAACATTTTGAGCTAAGTAAAGGATAGGAAGGCAATAGTTTACATCTCAGAAGGGCCCCAGCAGCTGGGTGCGGTGGCTCATGCCTATAATCCCAGAACTTTGGGAGGCTGAGGCACAACAGCTGCTAGAGCTCAGGAGTTGGAGACCAGCCTGGGCAATATAGTGAGACCCCATCTCTACTAAATAAGAGCTGGGCATGGTGGTGTGCACCTGTAGTCCCAGCCATTCGGGAGGCTGAGGGAGGAGGATACTCGAGCCCAGGAGATTGTGGCTGCAGTGAGCTGTGACTGTGCCACCACACTCCAGCCTGGGTGACAGAGTGAGACTCTGCGTCAAAAAAAAAAAAAAAAAAAAAAAAAAAAAAAAAAAAATTTAAAAAAGAAAAGAAGGGTCCCAACTACATTTTGCATTTTTTACCATTTTTTTCCCATTGTGTTGAAAAATGGCTGTCTTGGATTCAGGATCTCTAATAACTGAATGATATTGAATTCTTGAAATATTATCATATTTCGTTTCCCTAAAAAGGAAAAAAAAGTTATTCTGTATCACTAAAAATTCTCTTCATTCTCTTTACTCAAGTACAGATAATATCCATTATTACATAAATATCCTTAATTATTATAAATTAACCTAAGTAAGAACATCTATGTTTATTCCTTTCCCTAGAGAAAGGAAATATAATCATAAATAATTTTTGAAGTACATTTGGAAAAGGAAGAGAACCTATGAAAACTTTGCAGATAAAATGATAGAAAATTTTAAAAAACAGCAAAACTTATGACATCCATAAAAAACCTGACTAAAGTCATATAAGGTAAAATTCCAAAACTGGAACACTGAGGATGGTATATTGGCTAGATTTTTACATGTCCTGGATTTCTCAAAGTGTTAGACTTAACAACTTTGAAGCAAAATGATAAATACAAATGAGGAGAAAAGAAAGAGGGGAAGGAATGAAAAAGAACCAATTGATTGATAATAATTTAGATTTACTCTGGGTTCCTCAGCTGTTACTTACACAGTAAGCTCCTTGGGATTATTACTGAACTTTGGTGGACATTTCTCAGTTTTAGCAGTTCTAGGATGTGTTTCCAATCCTAATGGGAGAACTTCAACTTCACAATCTGAACATGCAACTTCTAATTTCCTCTTTTTTGAAAATATATTTTTCATAGTATTCTCATCTCTCCCGTTTTCATCAATACCATAAGATTTTTCAGTGTTAGCTCTGCTTAGTAATCTTCCTAAAAGGAAAATGTTAAAGAGTTTGAACAACACAGAAGATAATTGCTAATGATAAACAGACATCTCTATTTCTACTCCATGACTAAAGAACCCACACATTCTACAATGAAGATAAACACATTAACTCATCCTACAAAACTGTTGCAAGACAAAGACCAATGTGATATTTCTTATCTTCCAGTATATGAAAAAACAGGGTATCTAAAAAAAAACCATTTGTCTGTTTTGGTATAATACAAAAGAGAAGAGATTTAGCTAGAATGATACAAAAAGATATGGATGAGAAAGTACTCTAGAAAATTAGAGAGATGACTCTAGCCATAAAATTGTAGCTTTTATGTCTAGTTAAAAAGGCGTTATCATCTGAAACTTAAAATTTTTAACAAAAGTACCTATTTAAATATGTGGTGATATGTTCTTAGTGTTGTCATATTAAGTTCTGCATAACACTAAAATCTTGGTCTAAAGTTCATGCATTTTCTTTCAAGGGATTCAATATTATAGTTGCCAAGTCCAAATTAATAGCAGGATATTCTTACCCATTGTTAGATCGGAGACATATCTTAGTTACATTTTCCAGCAACAACGATAAAACCAATGATACTTCCTGGACACCACCTGGCATTTTACAGGTAGCTTTCATCCAAGAGTTATTTTGAGAAGTATGAGAGATGAACGTCTAGGCAGGATGTGTAGAATGTGGATCTGTAAATGGGGAGTGGCAGGGATCCATACGTGTGACTACTCTGAACTCTGCAAGCTTCTTCTTGCCCTCCCTGATGTGAACCTGATATTTCTTTTCTAAGCACATGGTCATGTAAACAGATTAAACCTGATTTTTCAGATGAGTAATTTTCAGAACCTGGTTGTTCTTTTCCCTGATGCCTAACTGCTAAAATAAGTCAAGGACAATTCCTTTAGACTGGCTCTAAAGCCGTGTTTCCCAAACTTTCTCACAGAAGGATGTGCACAGAAAATAAGGGATTTTGCCTGACATGCTGGAGGTAAATGTGTAAGACTACTGAAGACTGATGTGTTTGGCCCTGGGGGCTGTGGCCCTAAAGAATCAGTAATTGCATGACTGTAACACACTGCTCGGGAAGTTTTGCTCTGCAGCATGGACAACTCTCTGCAGTCCCCAAAATAGAGTGAGTTGCCTAAAGTCACTGACTGAATTATAACATGCAGATATTACATAATTAACTTGTTAAATTCTAATAATAGCTCAAAACATTGAATAAGAAAGTTTTTGACTGGTCATCTTTACCTTGGCAAGCCAGTCATTTAGTTTTTTTTTTTACTTTTAACAAGTTTTATTCCCTTACCCCAAAGTACCTGTAGCCATGCAGACAAAACAAATGTGCCTTGTACGTAACAGGCCCTCACACAAAAACCCAAGTGTCATCTCTGAACCTTTCTTTTCTTGAAGAAAGTACCTCCTAAGCATCTCATCTCTTTAGTGCTCAAGTTCCCAGTTTACCTGCCTTTCTCTGATGTTCCTCTTAGATACTGTTACTCTTTACCTTGCTGTAAGCTCTCAACAGCCCTGGCTAGGAAAATGGATATTTAGAAAAGTGGATTCTACTCTAGAATAATTTGAAAATAAACTTTTGCTTTACCTGAATAAATGCAAACAAATGTCCCTCTGTCAATGTCATCTAGACAGCGTACACCCCATCCCTTCTGCTCAGTTTTGAACACCTGTAACCTCACTTGAGGACCATGTTGGACAACTCGGTTTTGACACAATTGTCGATTACATTTGCACAAAAGGCTGCATTCATAAATGCTGTCAACAAAATATGCAAAAGAGAAAATCAGACATCTCAAAAAGCAGTTTATTGACACTTCACTGACACTGATAACTACTGAGGGAAGCAGGCTAAATGTGAAAGCTCTTAGAGGTAGAGTGCCTGGGTTCCCATCACAGCTTCCACATTTACTAGCTGTATTATCTTGGATGAGTTATTTAACTTTTCTGTGCTTTATCTTCACATTTTTAAAATGGGGATTATATGACAATACCTCCCTCATAGGGCTGCTTTGTGAAGATTAAGTGAGTCAGTACCTTGAAAGGTTGAAAATTCCCAATTCTCAAATGAGTTCTAGACAGTTATTTTTAAACGGAGAAATGGCTGCCCAAAGTAGGCTGATACTAGAGGGGTAAGAGCCAGACTCAAAGCAGATGAGTGTTCAAGTACACTCTGCATGATGTATGTGTGGTCTCTGACTACCATTTCCACGAACAATACACAGGATTTTTATTCCTTAATAATTTAGATTTTTGGTATTAGAACCAAATTAAACCAGATTTAACATCTATAAGATTTTGGACCACAATAAAAAGTACCCACCTTCAAAGATATACACACCCTGCAACAAATCCTCAAGGTACCTTACCCAGTAGGAATCTGTCTCTGTAGTCTTTTATATTTATATCCAGTGGTTATTTTGTCACTTGACAAGGGGGAAGTTTTGGCATTCCTTGCTGTCAGTTGAAGACATGCACATTTTGTTCTAAAAGGCAGGCAATGGATGGAGAAAGAATGAAAAAGCAGCAAGTCAAGTCAAGAGACTGTCTTGATAAATGTGTAAATGATGTAATAAAAGATGTAATAGCATTTAGAATAGTTTGGCTCATGAACACTATCAGCTTTTTCCCTAAATAGATCTCTTTGAAAGACAATACCTCCCAAAAGTTTATAAATAATTATAAACTGCACTGCAACTCTATTTGCTCATGAAATACTTAACTATATGAGTTTAGCTTTCCAAAATCAATTCCTTTAATTTCCCTGTTCAGCACAGAAGCTTGTTTGTGAGAATTCTGCTAGTTCTGCTCTTTTACAATGGATAAACTTAAATATGTCAAATTTGTAAGGACATAGTTTTGCAGATGTCTTAAGTTCTCTCTCACTCCAGTGACAGAAACAGACTGGGGAGATTGATGCCGGGTATCTGCCTACTATTATTGAATCCTTTTTTCATACTGTTGCGAGGCAGGAAGCTTGCAACCATAAAACTTCATGTACTTTCCCCTCTATTCAGATGACTAACTAACTTGATAGGGAACCATAATTTGATACAAAGTAAGGAACTTGGGGACTCTAGCTGTGTAACTAGGTAAATGACTGCTGGTGAGCTGGTTAAAATCTCTGGATCTTAGTCTCCTTTGCTGAACAAGTGACTTTAAGGTCTTTTCCTCTATGATTCTCTTCTGTATTTTCTGTATTAATTAATACACATCAGAATGGTGGCTGCTGTTTGCAAGAGAAAAGAACAACGACAACAATCAACAAATTCATTAATTTGGATTCTGTTTACAGATATGAAAATCTATAATTGTTCTTTCCCATGTGATTTTGTGTGCAAAGTTTAAAAAGTACAGAAAAATACAGATAATAATAAACACCCATATTTCCACCATCCAGAATTAGTTGTCAGCATTTTGTCTAGTTCTCTTCCCTGTATATATAATTCAAAATATACACACCACATATACACCACATATATATGGTCTTCTTAAAAAAAGTTAAAAAGTAAAACATAGATATAACTAAACTCTCAAGAGATTTAGTGTGGCATCCTTTATGCTTTTATATACACATGTATCTACAAACAATATATTGTGTATTTTTCATTATAAAAAATTTACTATAGGTATTATTCTATAACTTGCTTTTTTTGTTGTTCAATATAATGTTTTTGAGACCCATCCATGCTATATACAAATCTAGTTAATTCCTTTTAACTTTTCTACTGGATTAGGTATTGCTCACTTCATATACAATTCATAGTTTTTCTTTTTTGAGAAGGGGTCTCACTCTGTTGCCCAGGCTGGAGTGCAGTGGCGCAATCTTGGCTCACTGCAGCCTCGACCTCCCTGCACTCAGGTGATCCTCCCACCTCAGACTCCCGACTAGCTGGGACTACAAGGGCGTCCCACCACGCCACGCTAACTTTTGTATTTTTGTAGAGATGGGGTTTCGCTAGGTTGCTCAGGCTGGTCTCGAACTCCTGGGCTCAAATGATGTTCCTACCTCAGCTTCCCAAAGTGCTAGGATTACAGGTATGAGCCACTGTGCCCAGCCTCTTGGGACAGTTTAATTATACCTGTTTTAAAATCCCTTTCAATTAGATTCAACATTTACCTCTGATTCCTCAGGTGTTAATTCTCTCTACTTGTCGGGACTCATGCTGCCTTCATGGTCCTAAACATCTTTGTGTGCTGTAAATGTTTGTTTGAAATCATACCTTCTGTGGGGTTTAGTCCTGTGTGCTGCTCTACATTGGGTGCTTTCTCCAACGCTTTGGCTCTGACCCCATTGGTTTTACAGCTGTTAACAAGGTTTTCATTAATACAATTCCAGGCCCTGTGAGATACTGGCCTAGTTCCTAGTCTTGTGCAGGTACCTGTTTCTATTCCTTTGAAGAGCCAAGTCCCCAGATGAGGTAGTTGGGTTACATTTAGAGGTAATCTTTACAAAATAAAATACATATTTTTAAACAGAATAAAACAGCACAGTGAGAGGTTTCCTCTATGAGAGGCCTCAAGGAACTGAGCCAAACTGAGGTAACAGTAGATATAGCTCTCATTTTACACTCCAATTAACTTAGAGGATGGTGAAAACTATTATTATACTATTTAAATTATTTATCATTCTCTTATTCTTTTTTTGCCAAGTATGGGTAGCTAAATTTGCATTAAATTAAAAGTACATATAATGCAACACCACTCTACATCTGTATACCTACGAATGTATGTGTACTACACACCCTTAAAATGTTTTTCAAAGTCTTAATATATTAGAACATGTTTTCATTTTTTCATGGGATGTTAATACTATTCTATGATTAAGAAAATACTAGTTATAAGCATCACATTAGCCAGCAAATGATTTTTAAAAGTAAAATGCAACATATAACCCAATGGTTAAGAACATGGGTTCAAATCCTGTCTCTACAATTTGTTCTATGACCTCTCCAAATTGACTTCTCTGAGGCTCAACTTCCTCATGTATAACACTGAGATATTACCTATACCTCATGGGTTTTTGTGAAGATTAAGAGAATGAATGTGAAGTACTTGTCACAGTGTCTGGCACTGTTAAATATCATTTGTTGTAATGCCATTGATTATCTTTTAATGTATTAGTACTAGATTAAAGGAAATATGCATTCTTGGAAGAAATGTTTCAAATTACCATATTTGGCAAATAATTAGAGGTTTTTTTTCCTACTGCTAGTGACAGAGTTCATTTTCCCATTGTAGACTCTTTTATTTTTATTTTTATTTTTTGGAGACAGGGTCTTGCTTTGTTGTCCAGGCCTCTGGTACAGTGTGTGATCACAGCTCACTGCATCCTTGACCTCCTGGGCTCAAGCAGATCTCCCACCCCAGCCTCCAGAGTAGCTGGGACTATAGATGCACACCACCATACCCAGCTAATTTTTAAATTTTTTGTTAAGATGGGGTTTTGCCATGTTGCCCAGGCTGTTCTCAAACTCCTTTGCTCAAGCTGGCCTCCCACTCGGTCTCCCAAAAGTGCTGGGATTACACACGTGGGCCACCACGCCCAGTCTTACTGTAACTCTTGAACAGGTTTTAGATAGACAAATTAATACATAGCAAGACTTCTTAACAAGCGTCCTTACATTCAGAAGATTTTTTTGAAACGCCATGTTTTTCTACTCACATGTCTATGCAGCCCTCAGAGCAGTCACAGGAATCAGTAAACATGCTGGAAAAGTTGGTTAGATTATATGCTCGAGGCCACACAGTCTTTCTGTACTTAAACTGTGGGAGCTTTCTACTGTCAATTTCATTACAGAAAGAAATGGGCACTGATTCCACTCCATTGCTAATATCCACATCAGAAACAACTTCTTTTTGCTTTGGGTAATTCCGAGCCAACTGAACATAGGTATTGAAAGAAAAGTTATCTGTAAATAAAAAGTTACACTCTGTCTCAAGCAGGTAACGAAAAACTTCCTCCACGTTTCGTAGACTCCTTCCACAAGGGGTTTTATAACTCACGTGGAGTGCTGAAGAATGAGAGTTTGTCTTTGCATGTCGTCTTTGGAAGTGACATTTGATTGGCAGCTGCAGAGGGTTTTCTCCCTTCAAGTTCAGTGGCATTTTCATCAGACAAGCACCAGAGCAGTCATGACTTTGGTAAGATAAATTCGAAGATGAGTCTTTTTCTCTAAAGTCTACAACTTTATCTTCAAGAGAGAGAATTTCCTTATTTTCTGTTGTTCTGTTAAAATAAATTATTCATTAGTATCTCAAATTTATAGTTCAATTCCTCATTTTAAAAAAACTATGATTATTTTCTACCTTCTTAGACAATATTAAAATAAGCCAGACTCTAAGATACACATTTTAAGATGTTCTACAGCCATACAAAGATTATATCTATTTTTAAAACTTTTCTCGGAGATGGGGTCTTCCTATGTTGCCCAGGCTGGAGTGCAGTGGCCATTCACAGGTGTGATCACAGCACAGAGCAGCCTTGAACTCTTGTCCCCAAGTGATCCTCCTGCCTCAGCTTCCCAAATAGCTGGTATAGGCACGCACCAGGTCTGCCTTATACCTAATTTCAGAATATTCCAGGAAGTTGTGATTACAGCTGTAACTTTCTGTTAGGTATTTCATAGCACCTAGCAAATTTAGAGTTCATTTAGAGCATGAATCAATAAAGCACTGAAGAAGGTTACTTCTTCAGGCATGCTGAGATCAAGCTCTTTGCATGCAAAAAAACAAAGGCTGGCTGAAAACTTATTAATTCATCAAGAATCCTTTATACTGTTTGCCTTCAACAATAGTACCAACTTAATTCTTTCCATAATATGTAATCTACCTCACAATCATATTGATACATCTGAAAAAATGGCAAACTGATAGGAGAAAATGGGGTGGTTATTAATAAAATAAAAAAAAAAGTCGGCAGGGTGTGATGGCTCACAACTGTAATCCCAGCACTTTGAGAGGCCAAGACGGAAGGACTGCTTGAGCTCAGGAGCTCAAGATCAGCCTGGGCAACACAGTGAAACCTCATCCCTACAAAAAGTAAAAAAAATTAGTAAGGTATGGTGGTGCATGCCTGTAGTTCCAGCTACTTCGGGGGCTGAGGTGGGATGATCACTTGGACTCGGGAGGTTGAGGCTACAGTGAATCATGATCACACCATTGCACTCCAGCCTGGGTGACAGAGTGAGATCCTGTCTTAAAAAAAAAAAAATCCGTGAAAAGCTTCCTTTTGTTTGGAAATCAAGTTTTAAACTTTCACAAATAATCTGAGTTTTGTTTTACATAGAATTTTCTATCTTTAGGTGTCTGTTATGTATTATAATACAGGTATTTTAGAGATGCGTTGTATTTGCTCTATGATATGGTTTGGCTGTGTCCCTACCCAAATCTCATCTTGAATTCCGACGTGTTGTGGGAGGGACCTGGTGGGAGGTAATTGAATCATGGGTGCAGGTCTTTCCCGTGCTGTTCTCGTGATAGTGAATAAGTCTCACGAGATCTGATGGTAACGTAAGGGGGAGTTTCCCTGCACAAGCTCTTTGCCTGTCACCATCTATGTAAGATGTGACTTGCTCTTGCTTGCCTTCTGCCATGAGTGTGAGGCCTCTCCAGCCATGTGGAACTGGTAAGTCCATTAAACCTCCTTCTTTTGTAAATTGCCTGGTCTTGGGTATGTCTTTATCAGCAGCGTGAAAACGGACTAATACACTATATAAAGCAGTGCCATCCAAAAAAACTTCCTCCATTGATAGAAATGGTCTATACCTGTGCTGTCCGATATGGTAGCCAGTGGGCACATGTGGTTACTGAGCACTTTTAAATGTAGCTAGCACGACCAAAGAACTGAATTTTTACATTTTATCTAATTTTGATTAATTCAGATTTAAACAGCCACATGCAGCTAGTGGCTACCATACTGGATGTGCAGATATGGAGCTTCCTCATCCTTTCTCCGACTGTATAGTAATCCTTTGCGTAAGTCCACAATTTAATTACCTAGCCTGCAATAATGGACAATTTTCCATAACATGTAGTATAGGCTAGACCACAATAATGGACTAGTTAACTTACACAGTGATCTTTTAGAACGTATACAGTAAACTTATACAGTGATCTTTTAATAAGTAATTTTATTGTAATAATCTTTGCTATAAAATTATGAATCTATTAATAACAATTTCATACACGTAAAGATACTGTTAGATACTGTTGCAGAACATATTCCCAGAAGTGGGAGTGCTAGGTCACAAGGCAAATGGGTTAGTTATTTCATTAATATTGCCAAATTGTTCTCCATAGTGTCAGTTTCTTCAGCAATAAATGAGAGTGCCTGTTTTCACAGAGTTTCATCAATCAGGTGGATCTTGATGCTTTTGGATTTCAGAGTCTAACAGGTAAAAGGATATACTATAATTTATTTAGAAATCTTTTTTTTTTGAGAGAGAGTGAGTTTCAATCTATTGCCCAGGCTGGAGTGCAGTGGCATGACCTCAGCTCACTGCAACCTCTGCTTCCCAGCTTCAAGCAATTCTTGTGCCTTAGCCTCCCAAGTAGCTGGGATTACAGGCATGTGCCACCACATCCAGCTAATTTTTGTATTTTTAGTACAGACAGGGTTTTGCCATGTGGGCCAGGCTGGTCTCAAACTCTTGACCTCAAGTGATCCACCCACCTCGGCCTCCCAAAGTGCTGGGGTTATAGGTGTGAGCCACCATGCCTGGCCCTTGATTTATTTTAGTATCCAGTATCTTCCTGTTTTTCAAAGGTGGTACCTGGAACCTACTTGTTCCCTATTATTAGGTGTCAAGTTCCTTCTTACCACTTTTTCTTATAAGGAATTATGGTATAACCTGAACTCTGGATTTTCTATTTATTTGTCTCTCTGAGATAAAACACCCTATTTTCTTTCATTCAGAATTCACTGTAATACATTCCTTAGGTTCTCATGGCCTTGTTCTTTGTTTTGATATAGGTTACTCACTCTCAAGTTACTTATACACTTACAGATTTATAGAGATAGTAAACTGTTCTGTTGTCCTTTTCAACTTGACTTAACCAAATAAATATGTTTCAAACTGGATTCTGTAGTATATTATTCTGTAAATGTCATTTGACATTTTGCCTATGAATTTTTTTTTTTTTTTTTTTTTTGGAGACAGGGTCTTACTCTGTCACCCAGGCTGGAGTGCAGTGGTGCAATCTTGGTTCCCCACAACATCTGCCTCCTGGGCTCATGCAATCCTCCCACCTCAGCCTCTCGAGTAGCTGGGACGAAAGGCATGCGTCACAAAGCCCAGCTAATTTTTTGCTTTTTTGGTAGAGATGGGGTCTCACCATGTTGCCCAGGCTAGCCTCAAACTCCTGAGCTCAAGTGATCTGCCTGCCTTGGCCTCCCAAAGTACTAGGATTACAAGCATGAGCCACCGCACCTGGCCTCGGGTATGAATTTTTTGGTTCCTGTTTTGCTCTTTGGAGGAAGGGGAACATTAAATATTAATGTAGATGACTCAATAAATTTTTCTTGGAATATGAAGGGATTAATTCAGGATATATGTGAGAGAGAAAGTATCTGGGTTATCCTTAGTTCTTAAGTAACTACTAATATTTGAATAGTAGTTTAATGTCCTTTACATAATTTCCTCATATGACACAACAAATACAACTCCAAGTTAGCCACTACTGGAACAATATACAATTAGAACTACTTAGGACTAAAATTTGTAATAGTAAATATGCTGGTAAAACTTGTAATTTGGAATTTACATTTCAAGAAAGCCAAACTAGATTAAAAGTATTCTCCTTATGACTAATAAAAACTAGGAGATACAAGACTCTAGTTACTGAGCAATTAACACTGAGAAATACATGTTTTACATTTAAGAAGAGTTAGGGAGGAGTGGGAGGAGAAGAGAAAAAAACAGAAGAGGAGGAGAAAAGCATAAAAATAAAACACTAGTGTGAACCTTAGAAAAGATTAATTTCTTATCTGTGCTTCATTTTACTAAAGAGAAGGAAAAAACCCAACTTACAAGTCTTAAGTATAAAGTAACCTAATTTCATCCCAATTTTATGGAGAGGAGGGTTAACTTTATTTAGGTGTGAAGATACATTACTGAAAAAAAAAATAGAAATAAAACCAATTCTATGCACAGTATTGTAAACCCAGTCATTGATTAAAAGTGCTAGAGGTAAACACAGGATAAGGAGTAAGTAGTGAGAAGGAGAAGTCCACGGCTGTCTGGACCTGCTTGCCAGCCTCTGGGTAAGGATTTCTCAGTTTGCATATGATTTGACAATTGTTCAGGGTGTTGTTAGTCACTCTGAACATCAAAGTGGAGCATGGCTTAGAGGCTGCCAACTGATTATCTAGCTTTTGGCAAGGCTAAAGTAAGAAGTCATTCTATCCTCTATGACCATTAAGGGGGCATATTTTAAAACAAGAATGTATACTGTATTCATCTAAAGACTGCAGTAGGTAAATCTGGTATTTTGCTCAGTCCCTTCTTTAGTCATCCTCTTCTGAAAGGCAGGTATATTAATTTCAGTGTACTCAAAGATGTTGGGTCTTGTATACATACTGGGCTTTTTATACTGTCTCTTTCAATAATTTAAATTAAGATATTAAAAAAAATGGTTGGGTGCGGTGGCTCATGCCTGTAATCCCAGCACTGTGGCAGGCCGAGGTGGGAGGATTCATTGAGCCCAGGAGATCAAGATCAGCCTGGGCAACATGACTAGACCCTGTCTCTATTTAAAAAAAAAAAAAAATATATATATATATATATATATGTCACATGAGATAACACTTGCACTAGAAGGTTAGAGTTTAGCTGGGGCAGCTATGTTTGGTCATGTGGGAAGAGAAGAAACCTACTGGTAACAGAGAGAAGTAGAGTTGAGACTGTGTCAACCCTGACCTTAGGTATTGACTTTTAAGTTCCTATTTTAGTGTTTACATGGCCTGCTGTGTTACATTTTCTGTTCTTCAAGACCTATTTTATTTATATATGTGTGTATGTATGTGTAGGTACATGTGTGTGCATGTTTTTAAAAATAATCTTTTGGGTTTGTGTGCATGTCATGTAAAAAGCCATAAAAATTTAATGGCTTAAATTTACACCTGTGTCTTTAAGCAGTGGTGCAAGCCCAGTGTCACCCAGTATGCTAACCAAAGCTGCACACCTCGTACACTTCTAATAAATTCCACTACTTAAGCTAGCTTGAATAGGTATGTACTCCTGACAAACCAAAGTTTATACTTGACCAAAAAAAAAAAAAAAAAGGGAATTCAGACTTCTAAAATCACAAAAGTAAATATCCTTTTAAAAGAATTATCACTGAAGTAATACTTTTGTTTTTACATTTACCTATGTCATAACTCACTTATGTGGAGTAGAAATTCAGTTCAACTCAAGAATAGAATACTGGCTGGGTGTGGTGGCTCATGCCTGTAATCCCAGCACTTTGGGAAGCTGAGGAGGGAGGACTGCTTGAGACTAGGAGTTCACGACCTGCCTGGGCAACATAGTGAGACCACATCGCTACAAAAAAAAAAAATGTTAAAAATTAGCCAGGTGTGGTGGTATGCACCTGTAGTCCTAGCTACTTGAGAGTCTGAGGAGGAAGGATCGCTTGAGCTTAGGGCGTCAAGCCTACAGTGAGCTGTGGCTATGTGCCACTGCAGTCCACCCAGCGAGACAGTGAGACCCTGCTGTCTCAAAAAAAAAAAAAAAAAAGAAAGAAAGAAAGAAAACAAAAAAACCCCACAAAAAAACACCAAAAGCCTGAAGCCTGTGTCCTATTAGACCCAAGATTTCATCCTGGGGTTTGCCGTTGATAGTTTGTATAATCTTTTTTTGAAATAGGGTCTCACTCTGTCACCCAAGCTAGAGTGCGGAGGCGCGATCATGGCTTGCTGCAGCCTTGATCTTCTGGACTTAGGTGATACACCTCAGCCTCCCAAGTAGCTGGGACCACAGGCATGTGCCACCAAGCCCGGCTAATTTTTGTTACTTTTTGTAGAGATGGGGTTTTGCCATGTTGCCCAGGCTAGTCTTGAAATTTTGGGCTCAAGTGATCCTCCTGCCTCAACCTCCCGAAGTGCTGGGATTACAGGTGTGAGCCACCATGCTCAGCCTAATCTTGAGCAGTTTAGCTGGGGCTAAGAATTCCTGGCTTAAGTTATTGAATGTTTAGTTTACTAGGCAACCTATGTGACCACTGGGCTGCTAAGAGGGTTTAAGTACTGAAAATAAAATAAGCAAATAAACTTCTGGCCTGCAGAGGAAATATAAAAGGAATTATTTAAACATAATTCCAGTCAAGAATGAAATGCTTCCTTGGAATTCTTAATGGCAAAGGAAGAAAATCCTAAGCCTAATAAGACATGTCCCTTCATCTGAAAAGATCTCAGAATGCTCAACTCAAAAGTTAGGTATAATCTCAAAAAAAGCCTCTGAGTGTCAACACAGTACAAGAGAGATGGGAGATTAAGGAAATGAAATTCTGATTATATAATCATAAACAGTCCTAAAGAGATGGGAAAACAGTTAAAGAAACCAACTCAATTTTTCTTGGAAGCTCGGATTTTTAAAAGTATACATACAAAAGAAGACAGCTAATTATGAATACGCAACATTGGTACGAAACTGTAAGAAAAGTATCACAAAGCCTAGTAAGAACCGAGGTTTCCAAAAGTGCTAATAAAATAACAACAACAAAAAACAACTAAAGCTATGCTTAGAACAAGAAAATAATCTGTTAGGAGAAAAATAAGGTTAACTGATAACAAAGAGAAGGAAGAGTTTCTCAAAAACAATTCTGCCTTTGTCTTTTCCATCTTTAAGTATGGCTCTCAAGTTGGAAACAAGAGGAAAAAAATAAAAAGAAACTGAAGTCTGTGACAGTTAAAGAGAGGGTACTAGAACTCAAGTTTATTTAAGCATATAGAAGACTCTACAAATTAAATCTCAAGGTCTGGAAAAAAAAACTTCAAATATAGAAAAATTAAAAATAAAATAATACTGCCCTGATTTTTTCTTTGACCACTTATCCTCAAGTTCTAGCTGCCCTGATTTTTAAAAAGGGAAGGAGGACAGGCTACAGAAAATATAGAAAGGTTAGCTTAACACTGGTCTCTTAAAAATCTCTAGAAGAAGGCATCAAGGGTGTGGCTTCTAAATATTTTGAATTTAAAAGGCCAACCAACACTAGGTGCTGAGTTAACAAGTAGGTGAGAAAAATCCAAATTAACTGAATTTTCTTTTTTGACAACGTTTTCAATAAGTCTGAATAATGTCTGGCAATGCCACAGAATGCTATGGCAGTGAACCTTGATTTTTCATGACCACTTTGTAAGTGAGAAGTGTAGGCGGGACAACAGTAGAAGTAAATTCACAGTTGCTTAAAGCGTTCTTTCTGAAGCGTAATAAAAAGAATGTCTAGTAGTGAGCCAGCCACAAGGTTTTTATCTTTGGTCATGTCCTGTTCAATATTGTTTTCAGTGACCATAATGAAGATTAGAAAGCTTATTTATTTGTACAAGATGATAAGCTAAAAGGGACAAAAAATATTCCAAAATTCAAAAAGATTCTGATAAGCTGGTATAATGAACTTAAAGCAAAAAATGATACTTCACAGGAATAAACCACTCCTGCATTTAAGTTTAAAATATAATATCTAAATATATAGATAACTGTTTGGTAGAGAGCTTGTTTGGTGGTAATTTACATGAAAATTTAATTTAGATTTAGACTGAGTGAATTTGTTCCTAAAAACTTACAAAATTTTACACTGTATATTCAAAGGTCAGAATTTCTAGAAAAAAAAATGTTTTGTGAGCCACTGAAATGGCCAATTAAGGAGCTAAAGTGTGAACTTAGCTTTCTCTGTGAGCATTTTAAAGTAATTTTATGGGCCTTTTGAGACCCACTCAAACTGCAATGACATCTCTAATATTTGTAAATCCAAATTATATGAAACAGTGTCTATCTACAACTCTCACAGGCATGAAAATCAAAAAAATAATTATATAGTTTTTCTTAGTCAATTTAATATTAAGCTGAAAGAACAAATGAAATTAGGGTAACAAAGAAGTTTCTTTCTAAAGATACTTCTTTGTTTTTTGAAACTATGTTCTCTACTCTAGAGAACTTTCAGAAACTTCCCTGTAATTAGTACTTGAAGGGTTAGGCCCAGGTATTACCTACTAAAAATAAAGACTACGTGTCAGAGTATCTAGATTCACTCTTCCGCACATCTCCTTTATGCCAAAGAATCTTTATGGAAAGTAATGATAAAATGAGAAAGGGAAGGTCAGAAAAATTTAGTCTATTCCCATAAACTTTTAGACACTACTTAAGAGCTGTTACGCATTTTGAAAACTCAACTGATACTGAAAGAAACATTTTGACACTTTTAAATTCTCCAGATAATCTAAGCAGTAAAACAAAAAACAAAACAAAACAAAAACACACTACTTGGTAGATTTCAGTGTATTAATAAAATACACAAAGACATCTTAAGCTAAACTTTATAAAAAGACTTGATTAACTAGGAATATTCAATAACCTATTCAGAGACTCATGAAATTCTATCTTACATAAAATACTAAAATATACAACTTTTAAAGCTTTAATGGGAAAAATTTTTTTGTATATTTCATCTATTCTAATGTCAAGTGATTTATAAAGAAGAAATCTGTAGGAGCAAAAGCATTAATAACAAAGAATTTATATACATACAGAAATGTACAGTCTTCTGGAAAGGAGTTTTCACATGATGTAGAGGGAAATGCATTGGATTTGTTTTCCTGTTCCTTCTGAGTCACAGGCATAGGATCTACACAAAAAAATAATGTGAGCAACAAATATACCAAGTTAAAAACCATTTGCTATAAGTACCCAAGTAATATGTTCATTGACTAGAGTCTGCCCATATGGATCCCTAAAATTTGCAAACATAGTAAGGTTTCAAGATTGAGGCAAAAGATTAAGTGTCAATATTTTCAAAAATATGAATAAACTAGGATAAAATACTGAGGACAGAAAAGATTTCTACTGTAGAAACTCTAGTTTGGCCTGAACTTGATTTGAAGCTTAACCAATCTTTAAGGTGGACATTGAGTATCCCTACTTCTGCATGCATTTTATAGAGAAATCACATAATTCTTAAAGGCTCTATAAAAGTCAGAAAATGAAAAATTTATGTACCTTTTGTTTTCCTATTGCTCTACAACTATTTTAGGGAGGGGATGAAGTATCTGGGTATCTCTTTTGATCTAGTTGTTCACATTTCTTTTTTTTTGAGACAGAGTCTCATTCACTCTGTCGCCCAGGGTGGAGTGCAGTGGTATGATCTTGGCTCACTGCAACCTCTACCTCCTAGGTTCAAACGATTCTCCTGCCGCAGCCTCTCCAGTAGTTGGGATTACAGGCATGCAAAACCATGCTGGGCTAATTTTTGTAGTTTTAGTAGAGACAGGATTTTATGTTGGCCAGGCTGATCTCGAACTCCTGACCTCAAGTGATCCGTGCACCTGGGCCTCCCAAAGGGCTGGGATTACAGGTATGAGCCACCATGCCTGGCCCAGTATATTTATTTTCTAATAAAAAAATTATAACTTACTTTCCCCCTCAAAAGAAGTTTAATAAAAGGATATTGTATTTCAAGGTTGCTCCTTGGCTAACTGAAAAACAAATATCTGTCTTTAATTTTCCAAGTAAAGAAAGGTTTAAAATCTGATAGCTGAGCCAAGCACAAGGTTCATCCCTGTAATCCCATCACTTTGGAAGGATAAAGTGGGAAGATTACTTGAGGCCAGGAGTTTAAGGCCCCCCTGAGCAACAGAACAAGGCCCTGTCTCTACGACAGAAAAAAAAAAAAAAAAAAAAGTTAGCCAGGCATGGTGGCGCATGCCTGTAGTTCTAGCTATTTAGGAACTGAGGTGGAAACACTGCTTAAGCCCAGGAACCGTAGGCTGTAGTGAGCTATACTTGCACCACTGCACTCCAGCCTGAGCGACAGAGGAAGACCCTCTCTCTAAAATAAATGAATAAATAAAAGTCTGATAGTTGAAGAGAGCTATGTAAAAAGAAAATAAAAATTTAGGACCTTCCAAATTTATTATGCCAAAGGGAAAAGTTAAGCCCTGAAAGAGGACTCATGTAACATGATTGTTTTTTCTTTGGTGCATGACCATTGCTTTCTGACTTCTGTGTTGAGATGTTACACATTAACTAGACTCCACATTTTTTTTTTTTTTTTAAAGACACAAGGTCTTGCTCTGTCACCCAGGCTGGAGTACGTTGATGTGATCATAAGCTCACTGTGACCTTGAACTCCTAGGCTCAAGCTACCCTTCCACTTCAGCCTCCAGAGTAGCTAGAACTACAGGTGTGCAACTCCACACCTGACTGATTTTTAAAATTCTTTTGTAGAGGTAGAATCTCTACCTCAAGCCTGGCTGGTCTTGAACTCCTGGACTCAAGTGATCCTGCCACCTCAGCCTTCCAAGGTTCTGGGATTATAGGCCTGAGACACCACGCCCAGTCAAGACTCCCTATTCTTTATTCAAACCTAGTCTAAATGATATGGAGAAAGAGACCCTTGTGACTGTTACCTGTTTACAACAGAATGTTGGACAACCCACTTAGAGTGTAATCAACAGTAGCCAATCAAATATCTGTATGTTACCCTTTGTACAAAAATGCTGTAATCCTGTTCAACACCTCTGTTTTGCCTATATAAATAATCCTCATTTCTCCCACACCAGAAGCACTTATCAGTATTCTTTGGTGTAGCACTGGTCCTCAGATGGCTACCCTTACACTTTGCACCTGAATAAACTCTCTTTAAATTAGATTCTGGATGGGGCGCAGTGGCTCACACCTGTAATCCTAGCACTTTGGGAGGCCAAGGCGGGTGGATCACCTGAGGTTAGGAGTTTGAGACCATCCTGGCCAACATAGTGAAACCCTGTCTCCACTAAAAACACAAAAATTAGCCAGGTGTGGTGGCAGGTGCCTATAATCCCAGCTACTCGAGAGGCTGAGGCAGGAGAATCGCTTGAACCCGGGAGGCGGAAGTTGTAGTGAGCAAAGATCGTGCCATTGTACTCCAGCCTGGGGGATAAGAGTGAGACTTCGTCTCAAAAAAAAAAAAAATTAGATTCTGACCCTTTTGATTATTTTTGGTTCACAGCTATAACTGATTAGAAATTAATTTTACAAATAATAAGAGTTTCTGACTTTTCCTCCAGCTAATTTATTTGCATGAGTTATATAAATCTATATTAACAAATATGAACAAAACAAATGTATATCAAGCATAGTTGGAAATAGGATTTACTCAAAAACATGAGGATTTAACATTAGTCATTAGAAAAAAGAGGAAAGGGAAATAATTTCTCTCAAGAAAACACTATCCAGTCCTTCATATGGAGACAGAGCAAATACTGAGAGTTACACAACATCAAGAAAAATAAACATAATTAGCGGTTTGATGACAGCCTGGGGAGTCTAGGTTGGATCCAGGACAGCTTGTTTTGACCTCAACACAAAGTTCTTTTGTTTCTCTCATTCCCAACCTTCTTTTTAAAATAAATGCTAGCGTGAAACTTTTTTTTTTTTTTAGACAGGGTCTCACTCTCTTGCCTAGGCTGGAAGGTTGGAGTACAGTAGTGTGATCCCAGCTCACTGCAGACTTGATTTCCTGGGCTCGAGCGATCCTCCCACTGCAGCCTCTTGAGTACCTGGAATCACAGGCACACACCACCACAGCCAACTAATTTTTTTTTTTATTATCTGTAGAGATGAGGTCTCACTGTGTTGCCCAGGTTGGTCTCAAACTCCTGGGCTCAGGTGATCCTCCCACCTCAGCCTCCTAAAGTGCTTGGATTACAGGCCTGAGCCACTGTATTCAGCCCACATGAACCTTTATTACCAAAGGTTTTCAATCCTTACATTTGCCAACAGTGTCAGTTACATAACTCTCCCCAACTGTTTACTTAAAAACACTTCACTGCTAGCAAATAAATATACTCTTATCTTGATGCATTTGTTACATTTCAGATGGACCAACTACATAAAAATATGAAATTATAATATTCGGCATTTCTATTGATAAAATTATTTCCTTAAAAGACCCCAAACAAAAACCAACTTACTTTTTACGGAAAAAAAGGTTCTTCAGAAAGAAAAGAAATGTTTAGAATTAGTTGTTACCATTTTTCTTGGTAACAAGTGAGGTTAAAAGCCTCTCTCTTGCAAAACTAAATATAATCCCTTAAGGATTGTCCAGATGAGATATAGTAACATAAAGATTATTTTGAATTGAAGACATCTGAGAATGAACAAATACAGGAAGAAGTTGTCTCTGGAGTTCCCTTATCTGTCTAAAAATCGATCCTCCCAAAAAGAAACTCAATTGTCATAAATCCCCTCCCAGAAGTTTCATCAACCAGGAATGATTTCATCTAATCAGGGAGAGCAGAGGAAGTCAGTACTATACTCAGACAGACACTGTTACAAATCTTTCACTTATTCTCATAGGACCCATTTATCTTTGAAGTCATGTGTTCTTCCAGAAGTGCCCCTCTGCTCCTCCCTTTCACCTATTAGGGTGGTATAATGTGCTCTCAAATCTCACCACTGCTTTGGGCATTCACTTCTTTCTGTGATGCTCCTGTGAGGCAGGGAATTAAAGAAAGAAAAATAAAATTAAAAAGAGAAATAAGCTTTCCTGTATTAGGATGACTTATCCCAGAGGCAGCAATAGGCACAGCCCAGACCCAGAAAAAGTCTTGTTAATACTATCTAAGAAGCCAGGACACAAAGGAATGTGCTCTGGGACTCTCCCAGCACTCCCTCAACATAGAGAGGAGAAAAACAAATTTTCCTTTCTCTTATGGTATGAGTGTATAGATTCCTGTTCTCTGTAACTAGTAACTTCAAGTATTCTGTTTTATCTAAGCAGTGGTGGAGTGAAGGTCATGAGCCATCTGAGCAGGCCTGAATTATGGCCACCTGGGCACCACAGTGAAGGTCATGGAATAAGCTGTGCTAGGCACTAGAGAAAAACCTAGATAACAGACATCTGGGCTGCATAGCAAACGTGTAATGCTGAGTTATGAACCTGTCACAATTTGATTAACTGTCTTTGTTCTGCCTCTGTACCCTTTCATGCCACTACGCTTCATGCCACTGTAAGCTTGTTTCAGGCTAGCCCACCCCCTTGTGTATAAAAGTCAAGTGCTGTCTTTGTTCTGGGCCAAGTTTTTGGATGTTAAGTCTGCTGGGTCTGAGTGCACTCAATAAAGATCCTCCTGTATTCACCCGAAGGTCTCTCTGGTCCTCCTAATTCCCGCAACACTTGTGCATATAAAATTAAAAGTTGACCAGGCGCGGTGGCTCACGCCTGTAATCCCAGCACTTTGGGAGGCCGAGGCAGGCAGTTTGCCTGAGCTCAGGAGTTCGTGACCAGTCTGGGCAACATGGTGAAACCCTCTCTCTACTAAAATACAAAAAAAAAAAATCACCGGGTGTGGCGGCATGCGCCCGTAGTCCCAGCTACTCGGGAGGCTGGGGCAGGAGAATTGCTTGAACCTGGGAGGGGGAGGTTGCAGTGAGCTGAGATACCACCACTGTACTCCAGCCTGGGAGAGAGAGCAAGATTTCGTCTCAAGAAAAAGAAAAAAAAATTAACACATTTGTTTATGTCTCTTCTCCTGTTAACCTGTCTTCTATCTTTTGTTACAGCCCTCATCCCCCAGCCACTGAGATAAAATTTTTCCTCCCCTACAATTCCGAGTGTTACTGAAGGATACTGTGAAAGGAAGACTGTTTTCTTCAAGAAACTACTCTTCTAAAGCTATACTGTAGCACTGAAATTGAGGATACTTTGAATACCAAATGGTTTACTTAAAATAGACTGGTGATGCTAGACTATATTTTCAGAGATTTAAAAGCCTTAAGGCTCCAAATTATAAAAGACAAAAATTATTGACATTTATTGACAACATCTAACAGCATTAATACAAACCTAGTAAATATTGTACTTCCTTAAAACTTCAGCAAATGTGACAGACTAAGATTTATGGAATGGTGATTGATCCTGTTAAAATAACTTCTCAGTTTTTCTTTTTAAAGTCTTAGTACATGTAACATCATAAGAAATACATATTTGGTTTCTGCCCTGGCTCCTGACCTAATTCCTAAAACCCTTCTAATTTCAAGTAACAGGTATGAGAGGAGCACCTTCTGTTATAATATTTGTCTTAATCCCCAGTTCCTGACATAAGAACTTCTGAGACCCTTGGAATCTCCAGTAGTGATAAGAGTGTCTTTTGTATGCTAATGAGATGACTGTTGAGAGGTGAGCTATCCCTAGACAGCTTCAGAATGGGGGCTGGTTGTCAGAAAGACCAAGGCACTTCTGACAAAGGCATGGTTAATGAGTTCGCACTTTCATCCCTACTCTTTCCACCCCCATATCCAGGGAAGAGAAAGAGGCAGATTAAGCAAATCACCAATGGGCTGATGACTGAATCATGCCTATGTAATGAGACCTCCACAAAACCCCTGAACAACAGGGTTCAGAGAGCTTTCAGACTGGTGAATGTATCTACATACTGGGAGGGTGGTACACCCCAAAACTCCACAGGGACAGAAGCTCCTGTTCTCAGGCCCTTCCCAACTTTGCCCTTTGTACCTCTTCATCTGGCTATTCATTTGTATCCTTTATA
Source organism: Homo sapiens (assembly GCF_000001405.40). Classification (NCBI taxonomy): domain Eukaryota; kingdom Metazoa; phylum Chordata; class Mammalia; order Primates; family Hominidae; genus Homo; species Homo sapiens. Next base: position 49,461,961 of record NC_000013.11, on the reverse strand, counting down.
ATATCCTTTATAATAAACTGGTAATAGTAAATACTTCTGTGAGTTCTATAAGCCATTATAGCAAATCATGGAATCTGAGGAGGGGGTTGTGGGAACCTCTAATTTGTAGCAGTCAGTCAGAAGTACAGGAGGCCCAGGCATTGTGACCAGTGTCTGAAGTGGGAGCAAGTTGGTGGGAATGAGCCCTTAATCTGTGGGATCTGTGCTAACTCTGGGTAGTAGTGTCAGAACTGAATTAAATTTTAGAATACAACATCCATTGGTGTCCACAGAATACTGGAGAATTGCATGGCATGGAAAACCCACATTTGGTGTCAGAAGCTTTGTGAGAAGAGAAACAGTTTTTCTTTAGTACATTATCTTTGATCCTTCTAAGCTGATTTAGAGCTTGGAAGACTGATGGTCTAAAAGCAATCTAGAAATAAAAGATTTACCCACCAACTTATCTATACAAGAATATATCTTTCAAGTATTGTTCTTCACAGAAAGCGGATATATAGTGTTTTAAAGTTAGAATTCTATTTGCCCTCTTTATATAAGAAAGTCTTTTTTTCCCCCAAAGACGACACACATTTGTTAATTCTTTCCCTAGGCTGCTTAGTTGGATGTGCATTTACTATCTCTAGATGGGTAGGACTTTTCATTTAACAGAGGAAACTGTGATTTATGTAACTTAGAAATGTGGATGTTAGATTTTATTTTAAATTATCTTTAATTAGCCCAACATATTAAAGCTATCCTGCTTCATGGCAAGAAAATATCAGAGAATACTCTACAATGGGAATAGAGATGTACATACCCTTTATTGATGTTGAACTGTTAATTATAGTTGCTTCATTCACTAGAATCATTGCTTGGATGTATTCTGTTAAAGACAGAAAAACAGCATCACCATTACCTTTATTTATGGTGCCAGCTACTGTGCTAAACAATTTACATATTTTATCTCATTTAATCTTCACTATTCCTCTGAGAGGTTAATAGGACTATCTGCATTAGAGACAAAAGAAACTGAGGCTCAGAGGTTAAGCTATTTATTCCAGGACATTCAGCTAAGAAGTAGTACAACTGGATTAGAATCTAGATTTATCTGACTCATGAAGGATTGACAAGGAAGATTAAAATGAAAAACAGTGCCAATTTTTTTTGATAAACACATAATAATAATGTCATAAGACCATCCAGAAAGTACTAAAAATAATCTGGAGAAAAATTTGCTTCAAAACCGTATGTCCTGATGGATTGAAGGAGGATTTCATCTTCAAGTCTTACGTTCTACAACCAACCAGGGTTGACAACAAACAAATAGAAAAAATAAAAACTTGGATTACTGAACTAACTGCCTATGTAGAACACAAATTTTGCTTTCAGAAGACTGGTAGAGTAAGTTCTGTTTAAAGCAGGCAAAATAAAGTTATATGTACTTTTACACATACATATGAAAAAACTAGTTGTCTCTGAATGTGGAATAATTTTTCCTTGTTATATTTTTCTATAAGTGCCAAATGTTATATAATGAGCAGATGTTACTTTTGCAACATTCCCCTAAAAAAAAAGATAAATGAGGGAAAAAAGTAGCTTGAGATAAAAAGAAATTCAGTAGGTATTATTCAAAAGTAATTACATCCATCTACTTTTACAAACAGCAATATTGGAAATAGAATGATACTGTACTGTCAGAGAGAAATATTTAGTATTAAACATATTCAAAGTTTTTATTGCTTCATACCTTTATTGGTGGCAGACCCATCTTTGATCTTTTGTTTCAGTGACTGCAGCACATTTTGTACTTGTTCAAAAATGAAGTCCACTTTTCCATCATCTTCTAGCTCCATCCAGAAAGTTTTTGCATCGCCTAAAATAAAAATAAGTGACTAGCCTAAGAGCTAATAGAAAAATACTATAATTTATCTAAGAACATGTTATAGAACAATCTACTTGGTTTCTAAACAAGATCAAGACTCATCTGGTCTATCATTTTCCTTGAGGAAAATATTTTAGTAATGTTTCCTTACAAAGAGCTAGAAACAATATGATCTAAGTATCTTACCCATTTCTGTTAATTTTTAAAATATATATTGAAAATTTTAGTGACACTTTCTTGACTAGAAAACAGAAGGAAGACTTCACTGGAGAGTGGTTGTGGGGTATATGTATAGATTATACATGCACTTTAAAAAGTCTCAGTGGTATAATCTCCACCGAGTGTGGTTTCAGAATGAGACAACTCAATGGCTGCTGAAATAACTAAATGTCCAACAATACTGCTTTTTAAAAAAGTCTTCTATATGTTTAATTGCATGAAGCAAATTAATGTTTAAAGTTGTACAGAGAAAGTTACATAAATGAGCCAACATTTCTGATGCCCAGTAAGCTAATACTTCAAAATTTTCCTAAAGAAACAATCCTTTCAAAATTGAAAATATAAGAAAAACAATTATAAGTTGTCAAAAGCTAAATCTCACTTCGCGTTTAAAAGTAACAAAAATACCTAAAATGCTAAGCATATTTATACAATGTTACAATGTATAAAATTATTTAAAATTAACTAATAGGGCCTATAAGCAAAGGAAAGACATCGTAATAATTGCATTTTAGAAAGGTCACTGGAGTAGGCACAGGGAGGATTAATGAGTAGACAGTCCAGATGGCTTACAAAAAATACATTTTCCCTAACACAAATTAAACCCAGAACCTCCAAGTTTGGCAAAGAAGGGAGAATCTGCATAAGGGGCTTAGGTATCAAAGTCTCAATTCCTGCTGGGAAAGTCACCTTTCCCAAAGGGGACTTCTGGCTAGTTAGTGCTGCTGCCAACATAGTGGCCTCTGGAGGGGTGTTGTTTTACTACTAATACTCTGGACTGATGTATACTATGTAAGACTAAGCTTACTTTTAATTCCCCATAGCACAGCTCAAACAAAATTTCAAGATTTTAAACAAGAGCAATGTAAGAGGACAAAATGGATGAGAACTGGTGCTTAAAAGGCAGGTAGGGCATGACATCGAAGGCCCTATGTGCCATGCTAAGCACCTTTTATATGGAAAGCTACCCAAGAGGTATAAGGATCTTATGATGTGATTAGTTATGTTTTCCAGAAAGATCACTCAGGTAGCAGTGGGAGGAGTCATGAATGATCTCCACTTTTTTGCCTCAGGCAATCATATGGACAATAATGCTATTCATTAAGGTATGAATAAAGGTAGAGGGACAGGTGGCAAATTCAAGTAGTAAGAGGCTCTCCGAACAAACTGGATGCATAGGCTCTAGAGTAAGATCTGGTTCAGAAATACAAATTGGAGTCATTAACGTACAAATACTTGCTGATGCCATAGAGTAGATGTAATTCCATAGGGAGAACATACAGAATAAGAAGGGTCTTATGTAGAACATCAACAATACAAGGAAAAGGAACTATAGAGACTGAGGTGGAAGAGAAACCCAGGAGAGTAGTATCTCAGAAGCCAAGGAAAGAAAAAGAGTGGTGATTAACAACCTAGGCTTTGGAGTTCAAGTGTAGTTGGGTTTGAATACTAGTTCTGACCCATTTATTAACTGTGTGACCACATCTATAAAATGGAAATAACAAACTGGGCACAGTATCTCAGGCCTGTAATCCCAGCACTTTAGGAGACCGAGACAGGAGAATCACTTGAGGCCAAGTTCAAGACCAGCCTGGGTAACATAGCAAGACCTCCTCTCTACAAAAAAATCAGCCAGGCGAGGTGGTACATGCCTGTAGTCCGAGCTACTCAGGAGGCTGAGGCGAGAGGATTGCTTGAGCCCAGGAGTTCGAGGCTGCAGTGAACAAAAGGAATTCATCTTTCACTGTGGAATTTTAGAGAACAATCAGCTTAATGAGGAAAATATTTTGTGAAGCAGGGCTTTCTCAGGGTGCCTGAAATCATTAGGTTTTTCACTGATAATCAACAAAAACCACTTTTAGGCAAAATTATTTTTCAAAGCACTTCATAGATTATTGTTAAGTTTCCCTTCACAGATATGAGTCAATACCTCTTACTAGGGATTTATCTTTATTAGAGGTGGACATTGAGATGTATTTTGAAGTATTTTCAAGTATTTTGGAAGTATTTAAAAATAGCTTTTGGTAACATTAAAGTATTCTGGAATCACATAAAATTTTGTCCTGGACTGAGGAAAAAAAAGCTGTGATGCTGAAAGACAACAATCAAGACTCAATGAATTTTTGTTTTTTTTATCATTTAAAATTGTTTTAGAGGCTAGGTGTGGTGCCACCACACCTCATGGGAGGCTGAGGCAGGCAGATCACTTGAGGCCAGGAGTTTGAGACATGCCTGGCCAACACGGTGAAACCCCATCTCTACCAAAAACACAAAAAAGTTAGCTGGGCGTGGTGGCACACGCATGTGGTCCCAGCTACTCGGGAGGCTGAGGCATGAGAATTGCTTGAACCTAGGAGGCGGAGGTTACAGTGGGTTGAGATTGCGCCACTGCACTCCAGCCTGGGTAACAGAGCAAGACTCTTTCAAAAAAAAAAAAAAAAAAGTCTTAGAAATGCCAATACATGCTACTAAATTATTTGGTAGGAAATACTTAAAATGAGTTATTAAAAAAAAAAAGTCTTAGAAATGCCAACACATGCTACTAAATTATTCTGGTAGGAAATACTTAAAATGAGTCATTTAAAAAGTAAACAGAGTAAATGCTCAATCTTGGAACCGATTAATAAAACACAGAGCGAGACTCTTTCAAAAAAAAAAAAAAAGTCTTAGAAATGCCAATACATGCTACTAAATTATTCTGGTAGGAACTACTTAAAATGAGTTATTTAAAAAGTAAACAGAGTAAATGATCAATCTTGGAAATGATTTTGAAAAAAAAAAGGACACTGGTAATATAATTTAAAAACACAAAGCCAATCAAAGAAAATACTGAATCTGCTTCTACAATAAATGAATGTAACTAAGCAATTCATATTTATTTGTTCTGGGTTTTAAATAAATATGTTGTTCCTTATGACTTCCTTATTATCTCATATTGCTAGGTTTAATTTTCATTAAAATGGCACTTGTTCCTCATGTCTTCCTTCTTGATCATTTTTCTTTGTCTTCTTGCTATGGAAGCCCTTAACCACAGTAATAAGAAAAGAGGTAACCAAACTTTCTGATAAATGAAACTAATAGATCCAGTTAACAACTTCTGTGCACAAGGAGACTAAATGAGTATCACAAGAAACATCTGGGAGACTTTGGTTTCGACTGTAGACATAGTTACTACAATACAAACAATTTTAGTTTCTTGCTCCTGATCTTCACTTCTTTCGGCATTGTATGCATGCTCAGCATTATAACCTAAAACTAAATATTTCGGTATATTTTACTAGAAGATATTTACAAGGAATACTGGAGCAGGTACCTGAATTGAAGATCAATTCAGCATACTAATATTGCTGCTATTTGCCCCCAGAAATGAAGAATACCATCTGGTAACTTTATTATCTGTTCAAACTCTCTTTTTTATTTAGCCAGTTATGACTATTCATTGCAAGACTATAACCATGAGGCAAGAAGTGTAGCAGCCTTGTAATGAAGGACGCCAAGTACATGGTATAGTTATACTATGTCTACCAATCTCACTCTAGACAGTCTTTGTAAACAGACAATGCTCATGAATAATACTGATCTGAATTCATTTGCTAGCCAAGTATTTATGAAATACTTACCAAATACATTAATAATGACCTCAGTACACAGAAACATATGTAGTAAGGGGCTTATAGGGTATTGGTCTAGAGGAACTCTAAGGTATCTTTGAACCTGTAATTAGCAAAATGTGGTCTGTGGACCCCTAGGACTCCCCAAATCATTTCAGAGAATACACAAGGACAAACTATTTAAAAAATAATATTAGGACATTTGCTGTTTTTATTATATTGACAACTGATAGTACAAAGGCACTGGTGAGTAAAACTGCTAGTGACTTAGCATGAATCAAGTTAGTGGCATCAAACTATCAGTAAGTGATAGTTCACTTACTATTGTGATCTTCACCACCAATTTCATCTAAGTACACCTTTAATGAAACAACATAAGTTATTACAATCATTTGTACAGCCATTATAGTACAATGGCTGTCTCAAGAAAAAATACTAGTGGGATTGTTCAACTTGTAAACTAAACTATCTAGTTTTTTTTTGTTTTTTTTTAAATGAAAACCATTTTTACTTAAAAGAACCACTGATAAAACTGTAGTTTTCCAGACTTGAGTGTTTGGCATATGAGCAAAGTGAGCCTATCACTTGAAGGACAAAACTAACAATATTTCTTGCTAATGACAAAATTCAAGCTACAGAATGAAAATGAGAATTTTGAAAACCTTGTATCTGCCATGGCAAACCTGAAAGTTTCTGAAGAGTTAACCACTTTTAAAATGAGATCAGTAGCTATATTAACAAATGTGATTTTAAAATTATATGATTAAATGTGTCAACATTTGGAAGATCTGCATAATTCACTGAGCCAATATTTTACAAGTGGTCAATACATGTAAAATCATACATGGTAAAAGATCTACTCAAAGTGCAAGATAGACCAATGGATTTTAATGTAACATTGTAAAAATACTCAATGATATGTCAGACTCCACACTCCAACTAACCTTTAAGGAATGACTACCTGTTGAGTTTTGGAGTCAACAAAGAAAAATATCCACAATTAGATGAAAGGCTATTGAAATACTCTTCCTTCTTCAGCTTCCTGTCTGTGTGAAGCTTGTCTTTTATTCAGTTCAACCAAAGTAATATAACACAGAAGACTGAATGTAGAAGCAGATATAAGAATCTAATAAGCCAGTTATTAAAGATATTTCTAACAAGGTAAGACAATGTTATCCTTCTCACTAATATTTTTGCTTTAGAAAATAGTTTCTATTTATATTTTCAACATGTTGGATTTATTATTTTCTTAAAAATAAGCCAATTAATATTTTTTGAAACTTCTTAGTTTCAATTTCTATTACAGTAAGTATCAACAGATGTTACCCACATAAACAAAAGCTCTTTGCGGTTTTAAATACTCTAAAGAGTATAAAGTCATCCTGAGACCAAAAAAAAAATTGAGAACCACTGGCTTAGATCACAGCCTGGTGAAATCAGTACTATGATCTGTATAACAATCCATACATTACAACTATGTTAAAGGCACCGAAACTATTGTGTATGATACTATAATTATAGATGCATGACATTATGCAGTTGTAAAAACCCACAGAATTTAAAGAGTAAACAATGAACTAATAACGTATGCAAATTTTAAAAATCATTTAGGACGTCAGGGATCTCAGTAAGGAATGCAGACTATGAAGAGAATCTAACTGTATTACAAATGTATAAACAACTTCACCAAGGGCTGGGTGGAAAAGGTACTGACCTAAGTAACTTTGGAAATGAGTGGAGTCTGTAAAAATAAAGGCAAAAGTAACTGCATATACTTACTTACTTACTGTACTCTAGTTGATAAAGTATTTTCCTACCTGGGGATGGGTTAAAATTCTATTTTTATTTATTTATTTATTTTGAGATAGTCTTGCTTTGTCACCCAGGCTGCAATACAGTGGCACAATCTCAGCTCACTGCAACATCTGCCTCCTGGGTTCAAGCAATTATCATGCCCCAGCCTCTGGAATAGCTGGGATTACATATAGGCGTGTGCCACTTTGTATTACTATTATTATTTTTTTTTAAGTAGAGACAGGATTTTGCCATGTTTACCAGGCTGGTCTAACTCCTGGCCTCGGCCTTTCAAAGTGCTGGGATTATAGGTATAAGCCACGGTGCCCAGTCAAGGGTTAACAATTCTGATACTGCTACATATATATACTGGAATTGAACAATTAAGTAAATGGATGGTGGGTGATGGGAACTAAGTTTTTTACTACTGGAGTGGGAGCATACAGATAAGGTGAGGAGACTAAAATGATCCACGTGGTAATAGATTAGAGTTGGAAACATCAGCGTAATTTCATGGTTAGCTTAAGGCAGATACAAACAGTTACATATAGAAATATTTATAGCCATGAGTTGTGTATATATAAGTTAGTATATATATATATACTTCATTGCTCTGCCAGCTGAAAGGGCCTATAAACAAGGACACTCCAGTAACAACAAATACACCTATCATTCAGACCTTGGTTTCTAATACCATTTTCCAATAAAAATATTGACAGGTTATTCAAGAAATGGCTCACTCTAAGATGCGTAAGAAATATACGAGAGCAATCTAGAGCAATCTTCGAGTGCCAAAAGGGAAGTGCTATAAAACAAAGACAAATAAAAAATACCTACACTGATGACGGTATATCAAAGGGACACAAGAGCCAACTGAGCAGGACATGGTGGTTCATGCCTGTAATCCCAGCGCTTTGGGAGGCTAAGGCGGGTGGATCACTTGAGGTCAGGAGTTCGAGACCAGCCTGGCCAATATGGTGAAACCCCCATCTCTACTAAAAATACAAAAATTAGCTGGGCGTGGCGGCACACACCTGTAATCCTAGCTACTCAGGAGGCTGAGGCAAGAGAATTGCTTGAACCCAGGAGGCAGAGGTTGCAGTGAGCCAAGATTGCGCTGCTGCACATGAACCTGGGCAACAGAGTGAGACGCCATCTTAAAAAAAAAAAGAAAAAAAAGAGCCAACTGAAAGAGCTCCCAATAGCCAAACCCGGGACAATTTGAAAAACAAAATAAATAAAGTAGTACTGGCTTGTAACTCAAAAAGTATAAAATAAATAGCCATGAGTCCATGCTGATATAAATGATTAACTGAATAAATAAACAGGGAAGAAGAGAGAGAGATAAATCTCCCCTGCAGAAATATTCCAAATATAATTAACGTAGATATTCCACATTTAAGGAGGGGGAGCATAAATCCCCACTCCTTAACTGTGGGCTACCTATAGTGATTTATTTCCGAAGAGTATAGCAGGGAATGGGAGAAAAAGAGTAACTTTACAGTGGAGAAATTTGATACCACCACCTACATTAGCCAGCTCAAGCTCTGTTGATCAAGTTCAATATCAACTCTGAGAAATCATGCTGACAGCATGTACCCTTGATATGATGTGATGAAAATGACATTTTACCTCTGAGATCACACTCCCCAAAACCCATCGCTCCAGTCAAATTATGGAAAAACATCAGACAATAATTCCAACAGAGGGGCATCTTACAAAATATTTGGATACAAAATCCCAAAAAAATAAAAAACAAGAAAAGTCTCAGAAACTATCACAGCTAGGAGGAGCCTAAGCAGACATGACAAGTAAATGGAATGTGGTGTCCTGGATGGGATCTTGGAATGGAAAAAGACATCAGGTAAAAACTAACGTGAATATACTATGGACTTCAGTTAATAATAATGTGCCAATATTGGTTCATTAATTGTAACAAATGTAGCATCCAAATGTAAAATGTTAATCATAGATAAAGCTAAGTACCAGGTTTACTGGAACTCTGCAATCCTCTCAATTTTTCTGTAACACTAAAAGTATTTTGGCCAGGTGCAGTGGCTCACCTATTTTGGCCAGGTGCAAGTGCTGTAATCCTAGCACTTTGGGAGGCCAAGGTGGACAGATCATGAGGTCAGGAGTTTGAGACCAGCCTGACCAACATGGTGAAACCCCATCTCTACTAAAAATACAAAAAATTAGCTGGGCATGGTGGCACATGCCTGTAATCCCAGCTACTCAGGAGGCTGTGGCAGGAGAATCGCTTGATCCCAGGAGGCAGAGGTTGCAGTGAGCCAAGATTGTGCTACTGCACTACAGCCTGGGCGACAGAGACTCCATCACCAAAAAAAAAGAAAAAAAAAAAAGTTTACAAAAAAGTCAATTTTTTCACAACTAATGATAAAGACAGTCAAAATTGGTGGCTATACAAGAATAAACCCTTAATTCCCTCTAATTCAGAAAAGTTCCTCGCAATGCAAAACCTTGACAATTCCACATCAGCTTACATTGTCTATATACTTTTATACTTTTAGATATAAAGTGTAACAGTGTGTTCTTCAACCTACCATTTTTTTCTCCCATCTTTTGATGTCGCTTATAAATATAAAATGCTTCAAAATTAGGTTTATCAAATCACTTTGATTGCAGAATATCACTGGAATCCAACTGTGGTCTCTATAAAATTTGCAGTCCTCAGACAAAATACATCATTATACCATTCTAAACCTGGTATCCTTTGATACTTGAATTTTCAAATAGAAATTGTGGCTGAAGAAACTTTCAGAAATGAGTGACAGTCCAACCAAAAGACAAGTCCATGAATCTTCTCACGTAAATATTTGTAGTGGTATCAGATCATTAACATTATCTTTTTAAAAATAAAAACCAACTCCATCTTTTGGTCCACAAATGGATGAAACATTCTGTAAGGAAAACAATAAAGAATAGTGCATATTTGTAAAGGACCACATATATATATATATATATATATATATATGTATATATAAGGAAATAAGATATTGTTATAACAGCTTGATCTTTTAAAACAGCATGAACCATTACAAAAAAACATTATGTTATCTGGAAAAAATATGTAAAGTATCAAAATTAGAAATAATAGAGAAGGCCCACCCAATCCTATCACCCATATTTAATATATTTGTATTTATATTACTATCTCCATTTTATAAGTCTTTTATAAACCTTTTAAAAAGGGGATAATACTAACTATCTCACAGGTTGTTCTGAGGACAAGACTTAATTACATATAATGTGCCTGACATACGAAAGATTCAAGGAATACTACCAATTATTGTTATTCTTTCAGAATGTAGTTTTAAAACAAAAATTTGGATTGTAGTATATTTAATTTTTTATAATCTTTCATTAAAAACATTTCCTGCATTTTCCTCCATCACTAATATTTTTGTATAATACAACTGGCTGTATAACATACTTTGGTCAATAACGCATACATTATAGTACATTAAATATTTTAATAATTAAATTTTAATAAAAATATTAATTAATAATATAAACCTCTATATTCGATATTTAGATTGTTTTCCTTTATAGATTAATTTTTAGTATAATAAATAATGCTAAAATAAATATACTTTATACATATCTCTGGCAATTTCCCTAGGATAACATATCTGGAGGTAGAATAATAGGTCAAAAATAGATCAACAATTTTAATTCTCAAGATGTTAGTCAAGATACTGTAAATTCTTCTGCCACTTCCACACCAAACCATGGAAATGTTAGGAGATTTAAAATATATATATATAGCCATGCTGAAAACAAAAAGGGAACTCTCTAAGGGCCAAGTCAGTAAGGCCCTTCTGGGGAAAGGAAACAGATGGGAAGCTATAGAGATGATGGCAACCACAATCACAACAGCAAAACGATGGGCAGGAATCCTCTCAGAGGAGATTAATGCACAACTGAGAGTCCTCAAATATCTGAAGAAGGCTACACTATGAAAGAGACTGAGCTAAAGAAGGAAATCTCATCCATGAAATAACACACAATTTTGAAAAAAAGCCAGTTAGCTATCTTGGATATAAAAACAGTTGTTGAAATAAACTCAATAGATGACTGAATGACAGAACAGACTAACATGAAGAGCCAGTTAGTAAGCTGGAAGACTGAGTTGAGTAATTCACCAAGAACACAGAGCAAGGAAACAAGAGGAGGCAAAAAATTGAGAAAATGGAGAGGAGGCAATAATGAGCAAGAATTTCTCAGAACTGGAAAACACATAAGCAAACTGAATCCACTGAGTACCAACCAGGATAAAATTCTTAACACACATCGCTAGACAAACCGTGACTAACTTCAGAATATCAAAAACACAAAGTCTTAGATGTTTCCAGAAAAATGTAGATTATCTAAAAGGAAGGTGTATTAGACTAGTAATGAGATTTCTCATCAGAAATGTCAGATGCAAAATGTTAAAGCAAAGTCAGTATGAACCCAGAACTCTATATCCAGCCAAGCTATCTTTCCATACTAAAGATGAAAAAAAGACATTTGCAGACATTCAAAGAGTCACTCAGAGACTGTGAAAGAAATAAGTATCTGATGATGAAAAATGAACCTATAAGAAAGCACTGAGGTATACGTAGCAATAGTGAGCAAATAAATGAGTAAAACACATTAATGTTAAATGTAAACTGAATTTAATAACAAATGAAAGAAAAATTCTTAAAGATATCATGAGAGATTATGTTCTTTTCTGGAGGAGAGATGGAAGGGATTGTTTCAAGATGAGAGAAAGCAAAGTAGAAGCATGCTAACTTCTTCTTTACAGGGGCCTTATCAAAACTGACTAAATGTACACTTTGTTAAGAAAACATAAATTTAAGAACTGTGAAATGTAAAGTTAATCAACTTAAAAAAAAATGAACAAAGAAAACTTGGGGCTAACCTCAATTAAAAATAAAAGTGATGCCAGCGCTTTGGGAGGCTGAGGTGGGTGGATCACCTGAGGTCAGGAGTTCAAGACCAGCCTGGCCAACATGGCGAAATCCCATCTCTACCAAAAATACAAAAATTAGCTGGGTGTGGTGGTGTGTACCTGTAATCTGGGCTACTTGGGAGGCTGAGGGAGGAAAATTGCTTGAACCTGGGAGGCAGAGGTTGCAGTGAGCCGAGATCACGCCACTGTACTCCAGCCTGGGCAACAGAGCAAGACTCTGTTCCAAAAAACAGGTGGAAAAATAAGATATAAAAGATACAAAGAGAAGCTTGTTAAATAATGACAAGAATAAGGCCAAAATATGTCAATAATCACAATAAAGGTGAATTACCTATTAAAGGGCAGACTCTCAGATTGGATGGCAAGCAAAACCCAGATATGATATTTTAAAATAAGAGACCCACTTAAATTACACAAAATGTCACAGCAAGGCTGAAAACGAAGAGACTGGAAAAAGACATCTGCAATTATAAGAAGAAACGTATCAAATAAGAGTTGAATATGAAAATCAATAAAAGACACAAATATTTTATGCTGACAGAACAATTCACCAGATTTAATATTCATGACCCTTTATGTACAAATAACATCACTCTGAAATATATAAAGCAAAATTAAAAGGAAAATGCACAGATCCACAATTTGGTGATGAAGTAACAAATCTAAGGAACTGAGATAAAGTGGGTAAAAAACCAGAGTATAAAGGATTTAAATGACAAATTAACAAGCTTAATCCAAAAAATATATAGAACCCTGCACCCAACAGAAAATACTTCTTGTGGGAGGAAAAGCATGAAATTTACAAAAACTATTATGAGACCAAAAGGAATTATCAACAAATTCCAAAAGACTGTTTACACAGAGCATAGTCACTGAATGTAGTAAATCAACCCCCCACCCCATACTACCTGCGGAAATTAAAAAATCAAATTTCCCAAATAATGTATATGGTTTACAGAAGAAATCAAAGGAGAAATTTAAGAACATTTAGAAATGGTGATCGGTTGAAGTAATACATTTCAAAGCCTGAAGGATTTTGCCAAAGCAGCATGCCAAGAGATATTTAGGCCTTAAATAAATTTTATTAGCAAAATGAAAATATTGACTTAAACATTCAATTAAAGAAGCTGGGAAAAAAGCAACAAAATAAATAATAACAAATGAAGATAGATCTCTAGCTACTGAAGAGATTTTAAACATTTTAAAATTCAGACAGTTTTATGTCAATGAACCTGAGCACAGACGAACTGAACAATTTTCTAGGAAAATATAAATTACCAAATAGGCTCAAAACACTGAAGATATTACTAGAGATGTGTGCCACACATCCCCACCCCTCACTGCTAGTTCACTAGGTCCATTAAGTTTTACAGATGAATTGTACAAAACTTTCAAAGAATAGATAATTTTTATCAAACACAAACCTGTTCTGAAGCAGGAAAAATATGGGAAGCTACTCAACTTTTTCTTAAGCAGTTACTCAATTTTTTTTTATGAGATATGAAATTTTTTTCACTGCTAGTACACTAGGTCCATAAACTTTTACAGATGAATTGTACAAAACTTTCAGAGAACGGCTAATTTTTATCATATACAAACTGTTCTGAAGCAGGAAAAATATGGGAAGCTACTCAACTTTTTTTTATGAGATAAGTATAACCTTGACATGCAAGAAAAAAACTCAAGGCCCAAATCACTACTGGGTCTTAGACACAAAAATACTGAATAAAGGTATCCAGCAGTAGAATAAGAATGTATTACCAAAATAGTTTATCCCAAGAATACCTAAAAAGTTTAACATGAAAAGTTTATCAATGTGAATGCTTATATTAACAGGCAAAGGGAGGAAAACTATCACTTCATGCAGAAAAACAAAACAATTCAATATAAAATTATTCCATGGAAGGTGGGGGGGCCCCTTAGCAAATTAGGAAAAAAGAGAACTTTCTTATTCTGATCGAGGCTATCTACCAAAACATCCTACTCAATGACAGCAAACATCATACTCAATGATGAAACATTCGGAGAATTTTTATTAGGCACAAGATGAAGACAGTTGCTATCACTGTTTTTATTCAATACTGTACTGGAAGTCTTAGAGAAATTCAGTAAGATAAAAAGAGGCCTAAAGATTGGCAGAGGAAAATCCATCTGTAGAACAAATAAGTTAACAAAAAGTCAAAAGCCAAGCAAGAAGCTAAGAGAAAATGTTTTTAACATATTTTAACAATAGCAACAAAAAGGAGGCATAATTAACCATACACACCAAAGAGACTTCTAAAAATACAGTATCGAGGACACATAAAGAACTTAAACATGTTTTTAAAAAACTATAGAAATGCATATAAATTATAGGTTAACAAACATAATAGACACTTCAATCTTAGATCACAGAATGAAAATTAAAATTAAAAATATAATTTGCAGCCATCACTAGGCAAAAATGAAGAAGATAATATCTCATGTTAGTCTAAACTGTAGAGAAACTTAACTCTCATAAACTACCTGTGGAACATGTAAATTAGTAGAGGTATTTTTGGAGGCAAATTTAGCATGACCTATTAAAACTAAAAATGCTCACAACTTAAAACCAAGCAATTCCACTTTTAGGTATATATCCTAGAGAAATAGCACATGTGCACAAGAAAACACAAAGATTTTCCTTGCAGCATTGTTGTATGGTGAAAAACTGGAAACCTAATGTTCTCAGAGAATGGCAATAAAATGTGCTATACAGCACACATCAAACAAAATAGGATTTAACAACAAGACCAATAAAAGAGACAAAGAAATGTTTTATATTAACAGATCAATTCAGTCATACACTGGAACACTATGCAGCAGGTAAAAGAAATGATCCATAAATAACATAATGAGCTATAAATAACATGTACAGGCTGCAAAAACAATGTCAAGAAATAAAGCTACAGAATGATGTAGTATAGTATTTTTCCACTAAAAAATTACAAATGTATATATTCACCTATATAGAATATGTAACAGTATTAAAAGGTGTAAGTATTAAAAAACACTTGAAAGCTCTGTACCAAAGTCTCCAGCGGGAGTAGGGAGGGAGAGGAGTGAGGGAACATTCCTTGTACAAAACTTTCAAAGAACGGAGAATTTTTATCATATACGAACTTTCAAGAAGGAAAAATACGGGAAGCTATTCAACTGTTTTTATAAGTATAACCTTGACACGCAAGAAAAAACTCAAGGTCAAAATCTGGATTGTGCTCTTTATCTACAAGGTACCAATTCTGTAAAAGAATGTAAAAGTGTACTTAATTTTTAAAAATTAAGTATATATAAATGTTCAAAAAGGAATTCATTTTAAAGCTTTTTATAGCATATTGTCAAACTCTCTTCCAGAAAGGTTCTACCAATTTATACTTCCACCTAAGCACACTCAGTAATAGTTTTATTTTTTTTTAGACATGAGGTCTATGTTGCCCAGGTTGGTCTTGAACTCTGGGCTCAAGTGATCTGCCAAAGTGCTGGGATTATAGATGTGAGCCACCCACCGCGCACGGCCATAGATTTTTTTTTTTTTTTTGAGACGGAGTCTCGCTCTGTCACCAGTGCAGTGAGAAGGGTGCAGTGGCGTGATCTCGGCTCACTGCAGCCTCTGCCTCCCGGGTTCAAGCGATTCTCCTGCCTCAGCCTCCCGAGAAGCTGGGATTACAGGGGCCCGCCACCACACGCCCGGCTAATTTTTGTGTTTTTAGTGGAGACGGGGTTTCACCACGTTGGCCAGGCTGGTCTTGAACTCCTGACCTCAGGTGATCCGCCCGCCTCAGCCTCCCAAAGTGTGGGGATTACAGGTGTGAGCCACCGCGCCCGGCCCATAGCTTTGTTTTTAAGCAGCTCTCACCAGCGTTCACACCTGAAAATTTGAAAACTGAACGTGCACAAGTAAAACATGTTTCCTGGAGAAAATCTGCAAAATACAATAAAGCATAAAGGAGAAAATTTAAACACCATCCCATCATCCAGAGACAACTGGTGTTAATATTTCAGAGAGTAAATGGGCTTAAAAAACTTTTTTCCCCTTCTCACTTTTTCATTTTGGTAGAAAAATAATTAAGCCAGTCTGCTTTGCTTCAATGTATGGTTCCTTTTCGTTTCTAAAACAGGCTTTAAAAACACGTTTACCATTTCCTCTCGGCTCCTTACGTTTTAATTGTAACGACAGAACCACGGGTTAAGTCACGCTTAAGAACCACGGGTTAGTCACGCTTCTAACTACTTCACGTGTTCTTATTTAATCCCCCTAACAGTCATGTGGGTTAAATTAGCAGCTCGTTTGCTGATGAGGAAGCTAAGGAATGCCATACCGTAAGTGGCAGACACGAAATAAGGAACCAGGCAGCATGGTTTCAGAGCCTATGCTTTGGTTACTCCATTTGACCTCTTCAAATTTACTCCTCTCCTTGGCCTCATGTGTTAGTATTTACAGAGCTCACTGCAGGTTTCCACATGCCAAAGAGCACAGTTAATTACATATCTTTCCTTACTTAATTACTTATTGGGCTGTGGCTGATAGCGAGTCAGAAGTGTTACTATCTAATCTGAACTCCATGATCTTGGATGAATGACTGAACTTGCTGTATTTAAGGGCTCGTGTAATCTTACCTGTGAAATGGGCTAGTGGTTTAACCTTCAAGTTCTGCTTCTGGGTTTTATACTGCTGTCCATTTCCTGCCGCCCCTTTGACAACCTCAGGTTCCCAGCAGCTTAGGAATCACCTCTCATTAAGGCTGCACCCTGAGACAGACAGGCTGAAATGGAGGTTGGAAACTCAGTGCGCCCGCGGCCCCTTCTGCAGCCAGGACTGCACTTGGGTGCCAGGAGAAGGGAGGCTGCAAGGGCTGGGGTCCAGCCCCTGCTCGGGCGGCCGAGGGCTCCGCGGCGTTTTCAGCTCCTCCAACCTCCCGGCTAGAGGAACTGTCGGGGGCCAGCCACGGCGGTGCCTTGGTTTCACCTGGCTCCGCTGCGTTTTCTACGCCGCCCGCCTGACCTGAGGAGTGAGCTCCGCCAGCTCCGTTGGCAAGGCTGGGTTCCTCCGCGGGTGGGGCTCTCCTCCGACGCCAAGCCGCCCAAACCTCCCGAGCGCAGGTGCCCTCTGGCCGGGAAGTACTTCACCATTTACTAGCCTTCATCTCAACCACAACAGTCCCGCCCTGCCTCTACCGGGGATGAGGGAAGGCGTAACCTCCGCCGGGGACCAGGCCGACCTACCTAAACCGATCACTACATGGGAGGAGTCGGACGCCGGCCGTCCCACCACCCAGCCAGGAGCCCATTGATTGGTCGCACTCCCCACTGGTTCACGCCTCAGAGACTCGGCGCACTTACCGCTGGCACCGCAGTGGCGCCCGAGCGCGCCGCCTCCCGATTGACTGCTAGCGCTCTCGGCTTGTCTCGCGCACTGTAGCTGAGCCAATGGAGTTACTCGTAGTCGAGAGGCCGGCATCACTGGAGTGGTGGCGCAGCTGTTTCCTCCGGTAGGTGTGAGGCTGCCATCTTGTGTGTGGCTGGGACTGGGCTTCTTGGGGGTTGAAAACATACATAGCGCCTGGCCGTAGTGGAGGGGTCCGGAGAGAACAATGGGGTAAAGGAGAGGCCTAAGGGAGGAGACCCAGCGCCTTCCTACTTGCGGAAAGGATGGGTTTCCTGGGCCTGAGTCTCATCCCTGGCTAGAGAGAGCGAGGAATGGTGGTGGTGGTGGTGGTGATGGTTGTGGTGGTGGTAATAGTAGGGATCCCAGGTTTTGGTTTGTTGATCATTGTGGGGGCTGGGCGGGGCCTTTGATGCCTTAACATTGGTTCCTGGGAGCTCTTTTAGTAATTTTTGTCTCGCAAAGATTCTGACCATCAACCCCCTTTGACAAAGGAGGCTAGCTGATGAACTGCCTGATTGAGAAAGGAGCAAAGCTAGTAGTGGAAGGGGAGTGCCTCTCTACTATCCTCAGGTTCAGAAGAGACCTCCTCTTCCGTCCTTTTCGAGGGAGCGGCTGCTAAACAGTTTGCTCTTCGCGGGGGTTACTTTACTAAGGCCATCCTTTGGTAATAGTGGGCGTCAAGTTCTGCGTTTGGGCAAAATTGTACATTAGCGGGCAGCCAAGCATTCCTGCAGCTGTCTTTTTTTTTTCTTTATTTTAAGCTAGAAAGTGGTGGTCTTGCAGAAACGGGGCGTGAAGGAAGAATTTTGTCAAATCTTGATTTCCCCGATAACGATATGTTGAAGATTATAAATCTCTGGGTCTGCCATGACATGCTTGGTCACTTCATGGAGCAGGAGGAGGCTTTGTTAGGGAAAGCACCTTAATTTCTGAGCTCTTTTTGGGGTAGGAGGAAGAAGACAGGACTTAACCTTGTTTCCCTCCTCCTTTTTTTTTTTTTTTTTTAGCATTGTTGTGGATGGCATTGCATTGTCTTTCATTTGAGGGGAAAATGTATTGGATCTGAAGACCAAGCTGATGAAAGGCTAATATTTTGTGGTAGATTTTAGCAGTTTGACTTGCATGAAAAGAAAGCCGATGTATTATTGCCTTCAGCTTAGATTTCAGTTATTCAAGATTAACTGATGAACAACCTAATCAACAATACATGATAAAGACATCTCGCATCAGGAATACCAAAAAACAAAACAAACAGCAAAATAATTGATGTTTTTTTTTTTTTTTTTTTTTTTTTTTTTTTTGAGATGGAGTCTCTTGTCGCCTATGCTGGAGTGCAATGGTGCAATCTCGGCTCACTGCAACTCTGCCTCCGTGGTTCAAGCGATTCTCCTGCCTCAGCCTCCTGAGTAGCTGGGACTACAGACACCGGCCATCACGCCCAGCTAATTTTTGTATTTTTAGTAGAGATGGGGTTTCACCATGTTGGCCAGGCTGGTCTTGAACTCCTGACTTTAGATGATCTGCCCGCCTCCACCTCCCAAAGTGCTGGGATTACAGGTGTGAGCCACGGCACCTGGCCTGAGAATCATTTTTCTTAATTACTTGATTCCATGCTTGTATCTTCCACTTGACTTGTATCTTCCAGTTGGCTTGTCAAAATGCATGGAGAAACAAAAGTTCATATACCTTTTGACCTTTTCTAAGAAACTTGTAAGGAAATAGAGATAGAATCAAAGCTTTATAATCACAGTGTAATTTTGTTCTTGTGAAAAATTGGAAATAACAAATATCTAATGGTAGAAGAATGGTTTTATAAATTATGACACATCCCATCATTATATTTTTCAGCCTTTTAAAAGGAACGTTTTCAAAGAGTAGTGGCATAGGCTGTTGAATGACATAGGAAAGTGGTTACCATTTTGTGTTAAATGAAAGAAGTATAGAATAGTCATTGGGAAAATGCAAATTAAAACCACCGTCATTGGAAAAATGCAAATTAAAACCACAGTGAGATACTACACAACCTCTTACTCAGAATGTCAAAACAAACAATACATTTCCTGGCAAGGATGCAAAACAAGGAGAAACCTTAGTCTTGCTGGTGAGACTGCAAATAGTACAGCCACCTAGAAGACAATTTGACAGTTTATTATAAAATTAATCATATCCTTATCACATGATCTGGCAAGCCCACTCTAGATTGAAATTTACCACCAAGATAAGAGAGTTCCAGTAGTTTTTCATCCTTGTCAGCACTTGGCATTATCAGTTAAAATATTTAGCCTTTATATGAGGTATGATGGGGTATCTCATTGTGGTTTTAATTTCCCCTTTGATGATTGTATGCTTCTCTGATGAAAAGTGAAATGAAAACCTATATTGGCTGCTCTGCAAATATTTATAGCGATTTTATTTGTAATGGCCAAAACTGGAAACAACCAGATTCCACTAGGAAATAGATTTTTTTAAACTCCAGCATGTCCATACAGTGTAACATAGGAACCTCCTTTTTATTTTCTTTAGAGATGGGATCTCGCTATGTTGCCCAGGCTGGAATACAGTGGCATGATCACAGCTTACTGCAGCCTTGACCCCCCAGGCTCAAGTGAACCTCCCTCCTCAGCCTCAAGAGTAGCTGGGACTATAGATATGTGCCACCATGCCTGGCTAATTTTTTGGAGAGATGGCATCTTGCTATGTTGCCCAGGCTGGTCTCAAACTCCTGGACTCCAGTGATCCTCCTGCTTTGGCTTCCCGAAGTGCTAGCATTATAGGCATAAGCCACTGTACCTAGCCGGGAACCTCCTTTTAGTATATAGTTATATAAATATATGGGAAAAGGGAATATATATATATATATATATATACACTAAATCATTATAAGAAAATCATCAAAATAAGCCATAAAACATTGCACGAGATTATGAAAACATACCCCAAAAATGTGGCCACAAAGCAGATGAAAATGACAATCTAAATATTTCAGAGTAAGCTAAGAGAATTTAAGGAAAAGATGAAATCTTTGAAAGAACCACATAAATTCAGAAATAAGAGCTCAGACATGAGATACGTAGGAAGTTCTAGCCAGAGCAATCAGGCAAGAGAAACAAAAGGCATCCACATAGGAAAAGAAGTCAGACTATCTCTCTTGGCTGATGATCTGATTGTATACCTAGAAAACCCTAAAGACTCCACCAAAGGCTCTTGGAACTGATAACTTCAGTAAGTTTCAGGATACAAACTCTGTACAAAAATCAGTAGCGTTTCTATACCAATAATGTTGGAGCAGAGAGCCAAATCAAGAATGCAGTCCTGTTTACGATAGCCATACACACACACACACACACACACACACACACACACACACACACACTGCCTAGGAATACCTCTAACCAAGGAAGTGAAAGATCTCTACAAGAACTACAAGACACTGCTGAAAGAAATCATTGATGACACAAACAAATGGAAAAACACTCCATGCTCATGGATTGGAAGAATCAATATCATTAGAATCGCCATACTGCCCAAAACAAGCTACACATTCAGTGCTACTGAATGTGTAGCTTGTTTCAAATTATACTTTGAGGCTACAGTAACCAAAAAAGCATGGTACTGGTACAAAAACAGACATATAGGCCAATGGAGCAGAATAGAGAGCCCAGAAATTAAGCTGTACACCCACAGCCATCTGGTCAACAAAATTGACAAAAGGAAGCAATGGAGAAAGAACTTCCTATTCAATAAATGGTGCTGGGATAACTGGCTAGCCATGTGTATAAGACTGGGCTTCTACCTTACACCACATACAAAACTGGACTTCTACCTTACACCACATACAAAAATCAATTCAAGATGGATTAAAGATTTAAATGTAAGAACTCAAACAGTAAGAATCCTAGGAAAAAATCTAGGAAACATTCTGGACATCAGCCTTGGGAAAGAATTTATGACTAAGTCTTCAAAAGCAATTGCAACAAAAACAAAAGTTGACAAGTAGGACCTAATTAAACTAAAGAGCTTCTGCACAGTAAGAGAAACTATTAACAGAGCAAACAGATAACCTGCAGAATAGGAGAAAATATTTGCAAACTATGCATCTGACAAAGGTCTAATATCCAGAATCTATAAGGAAGTTAATTCAACAAGCAAAAAAAAAAAAAAAAAAAACCCATTAAAAAGTGGTCAAAAGACATCAACAGACACTTCTCAAAAGAACAAGTGGCCAATAAACAGATGAAAAAATGTTCCACATCACTAATCATCAGAGAAATGCAAATCAAAACCATAATGAGACATCATCTCACGCCAGTCAGAATGGCTCTTACTAAAAAGTCAAAAAACAACAGATGTGGGCAAGGCTGCAGAGTAAAGGGAACACTTACACACGGTTGGTGGGAGTGTAAATTAGTTCAGCCACTGTGGAAATCAGTTTGAAGGTTTCTCAAAAAACTCAGAACTACCATTTGACCAGCAATCCCATTATTGGGTGTATATCCAAAAGAAATTGTTCTACCAAAAAGATACATGCACTCATATGTTCATCATAGTGCTAGTCACAATAGCAAAGATGTGGAATCAACCTATGTGTCCATCAGGGATAGATTGGTTACATATGAACCGTGGAATACTATGCAGGGAAGGAATGCAATAAGTGTTGAAAAACTAACTGTTGAGTATAATGCCCAGTACCTGGATGACAGGATCTGTCATACTCCAGACTTCAGCGTTACACAGTATACCCATGTAACAAATCTGCACATGTACCCCCAAATCTAAAAGAGAACTTGAAATTATAAAAAAGTAAATAAAATTCACCTCTTTCTATGTTTTCAGGGGAAAAAAAGAAATGAGATGGCTAGACCATAGAAGGAGGTGCAATGAGAGCAGACAAAACTCAATAAAAGATTAAGAAAAAGACAGTTTAAAGTGATGATTGCATTAGAAACCAAGAGTGAATATACATCACAGAAAGTACGATAAGAAAAATGGAAAAATGAAGAAAATAAAAAGATTTTTAAAAAGGAGTCAAGAGGTGACAAGACAGGCAAAGAGAGCCAGAATAAATATAAATGGAGTTCCCCAAATGTAAGCCCAAGGATAGTGGTGATGTTTATGTAACACTGAATATACTTAATGCCACTTATTGAATACTTTAAAACAGTAAATTTTATGTTCCTTATTTTACTACAGTAAAACAAAGCAAGCCAAAGCAATGGACCAGAACAACTATTAGGACTGTAATTCAAGAACGCTTAACATTAAAGTAGGTTTAAATGTAACATATGTTGAAAGGCATACTGTAAACCTGGAGAAATCAACCCACAACAGTTAACACTGAGATGTGGTCCTGTAAAATTGTTGGATTTTTAAAAATAAACCCTTCTTGCATTGATGGGGGAAATAAAAAGAGCAGGTCACTTGCAAAGAAAATCAGATTGGATTTTTGGTGGCAACATTTTATGTCAGATATTAAGAAAGTATTTATTCAAAGAAATAAAATAATTCCTATCTCACCAAACTACCCTTCAAGAATTCAGGGCATTGACAAACATTTATAAACATGAAATAATTCAAGGAAAATGGCTATAATTGTTCCCATGAATCCTTCTGAAGCGTATACTAGAGAACAAATTTCAGACAACCAAGAAATGATTGGAAAATCTTCAACATAAGGTCAGGTGGTGAGCAAATCAAATATATTTTGTGTGTAGCATCAAGATTAAAAGATGAGGATAATGATGATAGAATAGTATATAAATATTACATGGTCTGACATTGTAGAAATAATATAACCCGCAAAAAAATGGGAGGAAAAGAGGAGGGTGAATGAGAAGTAGAATAAGGTTGTTTGCCTTTTAGGCATTAGCTGGGAGAAAAAAGCCCTTGAAGCTGACAGGTGGAAGCTTAAACATACTCAGAAGTGCAAGATAGAACACTAATAAAAATAATACCAGCTGGACACGGTGGCTAATGCCTGTAATCCCAGCACTTTGCGGGGCTGAGGCAGGAAGATTGCTTGAGCCCAGAAGTTTGAGACCAGCCATCCTGGGCAACATGGCGAAAGCTTGTCTCTTAAAAAAAATAAAAAATAAAAAAATTAACTGGGCGTAGTGGCACACACCTGTAGTCCCAGGTACTTAGGAAGCTGAGAGAGGTCGGAGGATCTCTTGAACGCAGGAGGTCAAGGCTACAGTGAGCTGTGATTGCGCCACTGCACTCCAGCCTGGGCAACAGAGTGAGACCCTGTGTCAAAATAATATTAAATAATAACCAGCAATTTGCAGGGAAGCTTAAATTTCGCTTCTGAAGGTTTGATAACTGAGTTGGCTGAACTAAACTAACAGTAGGTTAACAAGAGAAAACCCATACAAATTTATTGATATGTAAGCATACATTAATAGCTAGCAAAATGTCTATGGGCATGCAGGGAAATCAACACTGCAGTCTAGCAGAATCCATGGAGAAGTGGCAAGCAAGGTGGAGACTGTAAAAAAAGAGGAGAGGTTGCAGGACCTAGGGGTAGCAGAATACAGATAATTCCCAGAAAGAGAAAGCCCCACCCTGGATAGAGAAGTGAGAAGAGGTGTAAGATCCATTAGACAAAATAAGAGACTTGAAAGAAAATGAGACCAAAGACGCAGTCTCATGAAAGTACTGCTTCTGGGGAAAGGAAAGAGGGTGCCTTGGAAGGGTCACCATCTACCTGGAGGCTTGGTGATAGAGAGAAGGGGTAGTAGAAATTAAGGATCTTGGTGAACCAGAATAGAAAATAGATACTCATTTCTCCCACCCAAAAAGGAGTCATTAATTAAAAACAAACAAACAAAAAAACACTTTATTAGGTACTATTTACTAAGAAATCCAGTTAAGTCATCTAAATTCCTTGCTTCTGCCTATACACAACTATATCTGGTTTAGGAAAAATAAAATATTTCAAGATGAACAGAAGATGGCAGGCAACATCCATATAAAGTTACTTTAGCTGGAAAACAAAATGATAGTCAAAACATTTCAACTGGGCTGGGCACAGTGGCTCACAGCTGTAATCCCAGCCCTTTGAGAGGCCAAGGTGGGCGGATCACTTGAGCCCAGGAGTTCGAGCCCAGCCTGGGCACTATAGTGAGACCTAGTCTCTACAAAAAATAAGGAAAAAAGTTTTTAAAAAATTTTAGCTGATGAAAAGTCTTCCCGAAACATCCAACTATAGCACTAAAGAAAACTACAGCACAGTACTCCTACCAGAATTTAAAATATCCTTAAACTAACATTTGTAGAGATAAAAAGTCTCAAATCCAAATTCAAAACTGCAAAACAAATGGACAAAAAGAGGAAGATATGAAAAGTGAATTTACTGAACTCAGGAAATAAAATAAATCAAAAGAAAAATCAGCTTTTAAAATGAAGTTAAAGCCAGATGCAGTGGTGCATGCCTGTAGTTCCAGCTATTTGAGAGGCTTGAGCCCAGGAGTTTGAGGCCAGCCTGGGCAATATAGAGAGACTCCTGTCTCAAAAAAAAAAAAAAAAAAAAAAAAAAAGTCATAAAGAAAGAAATGAAGCTAAATTCCAAGGTACATAAGAAAAGATTGGACTGAATATAAGGAGCATTGAGAAAAGGTATGAAAACAACCAAGATAATGAAAATTAAATGAAGAAAGGTTAAAAAGTAATAGAAAGTGATTGATATAGAAAATAAGTAAAAGTAGAGTTCCTAAGAAGAAAAAAACAATAGCAAAGCTAATAGTTAAGTTTCAATCCATGAAAACATTCTGGAAATAAGAGATGACTCCAATCTACATGTTGAAAAGGCTCATTGTGTACTGGGAAAATTGATCCAGAATGGTCAGTTCCAAGTCATGTCCTAGTAAAACAGTTGGACTTTCAAAATGATGAAGAAAAATTCCTCTGGGCTTCCAGACAGAAAGGAGAGGTTAGCAACAGACTTCTAAACAGCAACATACAAAGCAAAACAGCCATGGAACAACATGTTTAAAGTCTACGAAAGTATAAGCCAAAGATTTTATAACTATGACTCATTCTTAAAGAAAAACCATGATAAATCCTACTATATTAATAAAAAAGTATTTAAATAGTGAAAAATGCCACGAGCAAAGTCAAAAGGCAAGCGACAAAGCGGGGAAAAATATTTGGACTTATATCACAAAGAGCTAACCTCCTGGATGAAAACACCTTCGTAAAATTCCAGGCAAGTAAGACCATCAACCCAGTAGGAAAATGGGCCAAAGATATGAAAAAGAAATGCACATGACAGACATATAAAAGATGTTCCAGACTGGGCGTGGTGGCTCACACCTATAACCCTAGCACTTTGGGAGGCCAAGGTGGGCAGATCGCTTGAGGTCAGGAGTTTGAGACCATCCTGGCCAACATGGTGAAACCCCACCTCTACTAAATATACAAAAATTAGCTGGGTGTAATGGTGAGCACCTATAATCCCAGCTACTGGGGAGGCTGAGGGAGGAGAATTGCTTGAACCTGGGAGGCGGAGGCTGCAGTGAGCCCAGATCATGCCGCTGCACTCCAGCCTGGGCAACACAGCAAGACTTCATCTCAAAAATAAAAGATGTTCCACCTTCAGTCATACAAAGAAAAATATAAATTAAAGCTATGTTAAAGCATTTTTCAACAAAATCCAAAAGTTATACAATAGGCCCTGTAGACTGTGGGGAAATAGGCACTTTGATACATTGCTGGTAAGGATACATAAGCATAAACTGCATGGGAGGGAATAGTCAAAGGGAGGTTAGTCATAGCAGCATATTACTTGCATTTGCAAAAGATTGGAAATAACTAAAATGCCCATTAATAGAGAACTGATTGCATAAACTAAGGTGCATCCAGACAGTACAACAGTCTGCAGGTAGATTGTGCCCCTTCCAAGTCACCGTCTTTCCATAGAGGTCATAAAAAAGAAGGGAGAAAGTCTCTATATACCAATAGAGAATGATCTGTAGAATACAATAGGAAGTGGAAAAAACAAAGGCATGGAAAAGTATGCAATGTATCCGCAGAAGGAAGGAGCAGGGTAAAGGTGCCAACAACAGAAGAGAGATTTCTCTAAATGGAAGTTGTTTCTATAGTTTTAACCCTAAATCATCATGTATGTCTACATATTCAAAAGTGGGATTAAATAAAAAAGTAGAATGAAAGAAAAATCTGAAAAGGAAATGAAACAAGTTTACACATCTATATCGCATTTTGGTGACATAACCACACACAAAAAGGAACAAATTCTAGTGGCTCTAGAACATAGATTTTGAAATGTACTTTCTTGGTGGGATATATTCAGTAGTAGTAGTAGTATTGATGTGCTGCTATTTTGAAGGCATTAAGTGTTGCAAAATGTTTTTATTTTTTATTTTTTTTAATTTTATTTTTGTAGAGACAAGGTGTCACCATATTGCTCAGGCTGGTCCCAAACTCCCAGGCCTAATCCTCCTGCCTCGGCCTCCCAAAGTGCTGGTATTACAGTGATGAGCCAGTACACCTGGCCTAAAATGTTGATAGTTGTTGGACAAAACCATAAAATTTATCAAGGCTATAACGTAAGAAAATTTAGTCTGGAAATTCGTTTGACTGAGTAAAGTGAAAATGAAGCATAAAATTACACAGGAAAGCTAACATAATAGAGTTTGTGTTATATGGTAGACACTTTGCTGACACTATATATATATGCTATATCATTTGTTTCTTGCAGCTGTACATTGAGACCCATCTTATTTTCCCACTAGGTTCAGAGAG
Organism: Homo sapiens; assembly: GCF_000001405.40. Classification (NCBI taxonomy): domain Eukaryota; kingdom Metazoa; phylum Chordata; class Mammalia; order Primates; family Hominidae; genus Homo; species Homo sapiens. Next base: position 49,434,329 of record NC_000013.11, on the reverse strand, counting down.
ATTAAAAATTTGCTTCAGATTAGCCAGTTACTAAGTAGAAGATTGAGATTTAAAACCAGATTGATGTGACTCCAAAGCCTGTGCTGTTTTTCCTACATTATTGCAGGATATCCATCAAATATTGAGAAGAAAGAATATCAGGAGCAAAGTGTTCTAAGTTGCTGTTCAGAACGTAAAGATGCGAACCCCAAATCAGTGGTTTGTTCATTCTTCATGCAAGAGCAATGCACTAAAGGAGAGAAGCGTAAGTTTTCTCTTATTTCTGATGGGGAAACAAGCACACGCATACACACTCTTGTGATGGAGATAGATTTTACAGAAATTGTCGCTGGTGACTGAAATTAGTAAAGGTGCGAACTAAAAGTGGTGGAGTAGAAAAGAAAAAATCTAGCAGGCATGGGTTTTCATGATGTTGTTAAAAGCAAGAAACCCTTCAAAGCTTCCCTTTATGACCCTTCAGTGCTCTTCTATGTTTTGTGCTAGGAAACAATAGAAATATGAAAGAGCTAAAATTTTACTGAACATCTAAGGGGAAGAAAGCATCCTTCAGTCAGGAAAGCCTTCCCACAGCCTTTTTGTAAACACTGACCTTTAAGATACTAGTTTAAATAAATTGTGTTTCTTCCTTTTGAAGATGGGGGCTGTTGGAGATTTCAGAGGTACTAGAGCGCCCTTTACCCAAACTAACGCTTTATGTTTCCACTGGTTTCCCTTGATGATAAATATATTTTTCATTCAGTTCAATACTACTGTTTGAAAGGTCTGCCACTTGAGTTATTGGGATATGAAAATTTACCTGTTTTAATTTGATGTATTAGTATTTGATTATGATGGAAATTTAATTTGTAATTCTGTATACCTGAAAGCAATAAGAAAATATGTTGGATTTACTATAAAGACTTTAAAAATTAATTTTAAAGCTTTTCTTTTTGTCAGAAGCTGTGGTGATCAGTGACTTTGGTGAAAGCTAAGAAGGTTCAAACAAATTTGCAAATGATATACAACTTCTAAGGTAAGCTAGTATGATGACTCAATCAAGATTTTAAGTGCTCTCGACAGACGTGTAGACTATGCTCAACATACCAAAATAAAATGTATCAGGAATAAATATAATATTGTATTTAAATGTTATAAAGCAGTTGCAGAAATAGTAGACTGATTTGTAGCAATATGATAGACTAGAGAGCCTGAATTCCTCCCTCCACCAAACATGTAAAGTACTAGATTCAGTATAAAAAATATCCTTTAACATGAATGGATGAGCCCATTAAGAAAATAAGGGAAACTTTCTGGGGCTAGAAACAAAACAAGTATAATATATCCTGTGAGATAAGCAGGTGCTGAAGTCATTGAATACTTTGGGGGCATCCATGGATTTCTGTTGGCATTGAAGCTTTGTGTAAGGAGCAGGATGAGGACTAGAGAAAAAGATCCCTGGGTCCCATATAAAGGTAAGAAGCCTGGTCAGAGACCATCTTGCAAAGATATTCAGTTCTGGGTAGACTTAAAATCTTCCCTAATAATTCTTGGTTATCAGCTCACATTCACTTGAATTTGGGGCCTTAATTTACACAATTTTTACAGTTTCTAAAACTCCACAAGTGGAGGATTTTAATTTAAATTGGACCTCAGTCTGTAATACTCTCAGGTACCTTGTAAGAACAATAAAAAAATCCTCCATGGAGGAATGTACGATCAATGCATTCATCAAATAATTGTAGTTAAAATTCTAACAAATAAGCTCATACACATTTTTTAAAATTACAAAATGTAACAAGGGAGAAAACATCAAAACACCAAGAGCAAGAGTCAGCAGAAACAGCAAACAACTGAAAGAGATCTATAGAGATTTCGATTATTAGAAATATACATTACATGAAATAAATATGTTTATGGCCAGTTGCAGTAGCTCACACTTATAATCTCAGCACTTTGGGAGACTGAGGCAAGAGGATCGCTTGAGCCCGGGAGTTCAAGACCAGCCTGGGCAATATAGTGAAACCCTGTCTCTACAATAAATAGAATTAGCTGGGTATGGTGGTGCGTACCTCAGGAGGCTGAGGTGGGAGGATTGCTGGAGCCTGGGGGTCAAGGCTGCAGTGAGCCATGGTCACACCACTGCACTCCAGCCTGGGCAACAGATCAAGAGCTTGTATGTATGTCTAAATATGTATATATGTACATAGTTTAATATGTTCAATAAATAAAATAGGGATTATAAAATAAATAAAGAGTAAGGGGCTATAAAGTGACCAGGTACATTAAAAAAAGAATTGGCAAGAAATAAATACTCGTTTTTTTGTTCTGCTTTTACTCAGCTTAGTTATTCTGAGATTTATCTGTATTGTCTGTAATGTATATTAATAGTTTATTCCTTTTTATTGCCAAGTAGTATGTCACTTTATGAATATACCACAATTTGTTTATCTGTGCTGTGTAGATGGAGATGAATTGTTTCTAATTTTTAGCTAATACAGATAAAGATACTATGAATATTCATGTATAAGTTTTTATATGGACATATGCATTCTTTTCTTTTGAGTGAATTCCTGGGAATGGAATGGTAGGTAGATTTTTTTTACTTTTTGTTTTTTATTTTATTTTTTGTTTTTTATTTTTTTTTAAGACAGAGTCTCACTCTGTTGTCCAGGCTGGAGTGCAGTGGTGCAATCTTGGCTCACTGCAGCCTCCACCTCCCAGGTTCAAGCAATTCTCCTGCCACAGCCTCATAAGTAGCTGGGATTACAGGAGTGTGCCACCAAGCCCAGGTAATTTTTTAATTTTTAGTAGCAATGGGGTTTCACCATGGTGGCCAGGCTGGTCTGGAACTCCTGACCTCAAGTGATCCACCCGCCTTGACCTCCCAAAGTGCTGGGATTACAGACGTGAGCCACCACGCCCAGCCTTTTTTTATTTTTTAAGAAGCTGCTAAAACCGTTTTCCAAAGTAGTTATTAACAGGTAATTGAATAACAAAATTGTGGTATATCTATACAATGGAATACTCCTCAGCAATATTTGTAACAAAGTGGATGAACCCCAGAACAATTACGCTATGTGAAAGAAGCCAGACAAAAAAGAATATATTACACTTATTAAAAGTTCTGAAAAATATAAGTGCTGTATTGCAATGGAAGCATATCAAATGCAGAGGAGACAACAAGGAAAGGGAGGAAAGGAATTCAAAGGGACAGGAAAGATTTAGGAGGTTCACTATCTTGATGTGATGATGGTTTCACAGGTAAATACACATATGTCCAAACTTTTTGAGTTGTACGCTTTAAATATGTGCAGCTTATTGTTAATTATTTCTTAACAGAACACTTTTTAAAGAAACAAAGCCAGAAAATAGAAACAGTGAATAGAGGAACATGTCTTGATAATAATTCATGTGAAAGGCTTGCAGATTGAGTTTCTATTTGGATTATATGACTATTAAGCCTTTCAGTGCAATTCTATGAAAATAGGAAGAGAACAGGTATGACACTTGCGGTATTAACAGGAATTACGAATTAGGCTTCAAAGATTTGATAACATCAGCAAAGATAGCCTTAGGCAGCCATGTCGATACCAGTCTCACCTCCAGATCAGAAACATCCAGACCCTGAGACCAGACAACTCACCTAGAGTGTACTTGAGAAAAAGTTTAGTCTCTAGGATAAAATAAGAAATAACTAAAATCATTAACTTCCTAAATAAAGGAGAGTGGGAGTACCACATAACAAGCACAGGAAGCTAAAAAACTCTTGAAAATGATTGGTGAAAAAAGAAATGTATAGTTAGTAGGAAGAATTAATTGAAAAAGGAGAAAAACCCAGTAACTTTTTTCCCTGCCCTATACGCCAGTGGCTGACCAGTGCCCCTTCTGAATGACCCATTTGTCTTCTAAAATAGATAATGTTAGAGCACTTTCAATTAGGTTATAGCCACCTTGTGTGGGTCTGGGAGCTGTTTTGTCTCTTTTAGGTAATGTTTACGTATGCCTTACTGATTTCCTATGGCAAATTTTATAGTTAAATTCACAGCATTTATATTATTTATAGTAGTTCCACATTATTTGGGTTATCTTAATCCGCCCAACTATCTATAGCAGTTAGCAGCATGCAAAAGGGCATCTTTAGTTAAGTGCAATTTTTGAATTGTGCAACTAAATTTAAATTGAATATCATAGATCAAAATAAACCCCAGGCTGATTAAAAGGAGAATAAGTATTATAGCTGGTAGCATGTTTATCAACTTTTTGGACAGCTAGTAACTTTTCCATTTTGGAGTGAAAAAACAAAACAAAACACTGAAGAGCATTTTATAGAATAGAATTATTATATAACTTTTTTTGTACAAATGAATGTTGGTTAAACCAAAATAAAAAAGGTAACATTAGAAGAAATATTTGAACCAAATAACAAAGCATGTTTATGAGAAATAACTTATTAAATTTTATAAGAAAAATCTCAAGACTATAGTAAATGAAATACAGATATGAATTTATAGTTCTCATAAGAACAAAGTGAAAAACACAAAAAGGAGTGTTCAATCCCACAAGTAATCAAATAAATGCAAATTAAAACTATAAGAGAACATTTTATTTCATTCTAAATAAGCAAGAATTCAACGAGGTACTTGGGGATGGTGAGGTTTTGGTGAACCTCATGGTATACTCATGCTGGTAGCATCTTTAGTTAACTAAACTATATTAAATTGCTTTTAGAAATCAGCATATAGCAAGGTTCTAAAAAATGTATGTATGTTTTGACCCAGTCAGCCAATTTGTGGTATTTTTTCCTAATAAAATAAACTAAGTAAGGAGGGAAAAATAATGCATGAAAATATTTTGATAGGATTGACTATGAGAGTGACAAATGGGAAATAACCTAATGTCAGTGATAGAGGGTTAAGCAAATTACTGTAGTATTAGTGTTGTCAAAAATGATAATTTTTTGCTGGGTGCAGTGACTCATGCCTGTAATTTCAGCTATTTGAGAGGCTGAGGCAGGAGGACCGCTTGAGGTCAGGAATTCAAGAGCAGCTTGGGCAACATAATAAGACCTCATCTCTAAAAAAATTTTAAAAATTAGCCAGTATGGTGGCATGCCTGTAGGGCCAGCTACTAGGAAGGTTGAAGCAGGAGCATCACTCTAGTCTGGGAGTTGAAGGCTGCAGTGAGCTATGGTCATACCATTGATTCATGTTTCTTATCTGTAAAGTGGGGCTAACATAATAATATTTGCTTTAGTTTTCTTTCAAGGCTATTGTAAAGAATACATATGAACAGTCTGGATATTATAAAATGCTATATAATTATAGTGAGGAATATTAATTTAGCATTTTTTGTTTACATTTATATCAACTTAAAAACAAATTTTCAGACATCTTTGAAGTAAACCATTTAATTTCTGGAATTTAGAAATATATATTCAAAATATGTGATTGTAATCATTGACTTGTTTATCTTTGCTATGCTTTTTACTTAACTTTTGTGGTAGACCGTTGTCTATGCAAAAGTCATACCAACCTCCTACTTTCCTGCTTTCTTTTTATGATTGAGGCAAAAAATGCCACATACTTATTTTTCTAGGCTCCTTGGCACTTAGTGGGTAACTGTTTTATTCTCTTCAGGCCAAAGAGATATAGAAGTTTATTGGAGAGCTCCCTGAACAATATTTTCCCCCTAAGAAAAGAGAAGTTATGTGAAGAAGTTCCCCCTTTCCCTCCCTGTTTCTTTCCTTCCTTATTTGGGTGTTGTAAATGAGACTCTGCCTGGAATTGCCAAGCCACTGCAGCAGCCAGCCTCCAAGATGGCCCCCACCACCTGCTGGTATTTGCGCCCTGTGGATTCATTCTTCTTCCATACTGTGCCAAGACTGGTCTGTGTGACCAATAAAAAACAGCAGAATGTTAATTTTAAGATTAGATTATTAAAGACATTGCAGTTTCCATCTTTATCACGCTTTTGCTGATCACTTGCTCTGGGAGAAGCTAGTCAAGTGAGCATCCCTATGGAGAGGCCCAAACAGCAAAGAACCAAAGCCTCTAGCCAGTAGCCAGTAGTCCTTCCAGCTCCAGTCAAACTTCATGATGATTGCATTCCTGCCTGAGGCTGACATTTGAGTCAGAACCATTGAGCTAACTACTCCTGGATTCCTGACTCTCAGAAACTATGTGAAATAATAGATCTTAAGCTATGTGTTTTAAGCTTACAAGTTTTGGATAATTGTTACACAGTAGACAACTAATTTGATACTGGCACTAGAGGTTGATTGATGCAGTAGACTGATTGTGTCCCCACAAAATTCCTATGTTGAAACTTAATCCCTAATGAGATGGTATTTGGACATGGGGCCTTTAGGAGGTGATCAAGTCATTAGGGTGTAGCTGTCATGAATAAGATTAGTGTCCTTGTAAGAGTCCTGAGAGAGCTTGTTTCGCCTTCCACTATGTGAGGATACAGCGAAAAGATGGCCATCTGTGAACCAGGAAGTGGGCCCTCACTGGACCCTGAATCTGCTGACACCTTCATCTTGGGCTTCCCAACCTCCTGAACTGTGAGAAATAAATTTATATTGTTTATAAGCCACCCATCTATGTTATTCTGATATAGCAGTTCAAATGAAGTAAGATAAGTGATGTCAACAATTTTTTTTTGAGCTAGGGTCTTGCTCTGTTGCCCAGGCTGGAGTGCAGTGATGCTATCACAGCTCACTGCAGACTTGACCTCCTGGGCTAAAGCAGTCTTCCCATATCAGTCTCCCAAGTAGCTGGGATTACAAGTGTGCACCACCACGCCCAGCTAATTCTTTTATTTCTTGTAGAGATATGGTCTTACTGTGTTGCCCAGGGTGGTCTCAAACTCCTAGGCTTAAGTGATCCTCCTGCTTGGCCTCCCAAAGTGCTGGGATTGCTTTGGGAACAATCCCATATGAGCCATGGTGCCCAGCAACAAATATTTTAAGTGGGCATGGCTTTGGAACTTCGTAGTGGATGAAAGGTGAATGGACATTGAAGACACTGTCAGTGTAAATCTAAAGTATCTTGGAGAAACTGTAGACTCATGTTTTTTTGGTGAGGTTGCCAGGAAGGGCTTAAAGGAAAATGGGAGAATCTTTTTAGAAACTGGAGGAAAGGGGATCCTTCTAATATAGTAGCATAAGCTTTATAATGCAACACTGTCACCTGTAGTAATGTAGAAACTAGAATGCACATAATGAACTGAGTACCGTAGCTAAGAAGATTTCCAACTAGACTTGAAGGTGCCACCTGGTTTGTGCCTAAAGAGTGACAGGAGCAAGTATGCTAAAGAAAGGATTGATAAACCTGAAGGTGCTGAGACTTGATAGTTTTGACCATGTCAGCCTCTCCAAACAGTAAATGATGCTAAATTAAGAAATGGCTTCTTCTAAGTGAAAGGGAGAAATAATAATTTTCCTCAACCTTCATAAGTTCGTAGTTGGGACAGACTCCTGCAGCAAAAAACAGATGAACAAGAGAGAAACAAACACGTATAGTAATGCTGCAGTGCAGTTCACATGAGAGAAAAGTAACTCAAGAGTGGCTTAGAGTGGTTTAGAATCCCAGCTCATAGAAAATCTTCAATAAAGAGCAATAAATTGGCTGGGCGCGGTGGCTCACTCCTGTAATCCCACCACTTTGGGAGGCCGAGGCAGGCAGATCACGAGGTCAGGGGAACGAGACCATCCTGGCTAACACGGTGAAACCCCGTCTCTACTAAAAATATAAAAATTAGCCGGGTGTGGTGGCAGGCGCCTGTAGTCCCAGCTACTCAGGATGCTGAGGCAGGAGAATGGCTTGAACCCGGGAGGCGGAGCTTGCAGTGAGCTGAGATCATGCCACTGCACTCCAGCCTGGACAACACAGCGAGACTCCGTCTCAAAAAAAAAAATATTTTAAAGAAGCATATTTTAGGGTGAAATATTCTGGTTTCCTTCTTGAACAAGGATCAGATAGATCCAAGGCATTGTCAGGAAAACTAAGGACAAAGTTGAGAGTGTGGCTGTAAAATCCTTTGTTAAAATTTAAGAAAGATCTAAGTTTCTGCCTCAGAGTACTTTTCAGTCACATAAAAGGGCCTCTAAAGAAAGACTAATGGTGTGACTGACCAATCCATTCAATCAAACAATAGCGCGTCCAAGAAACTTAAGGGGATGGTCCTTATCCTGCAGCCATTTCAGCAGAATCTCAAGGTAGAGGAGGGCTTATCTGAAAAAGATTTGTGCGTGTGGCTTTTGTTTAATGCAAAGAACCCCAGTGAGATTCCTAGGACCCCCACAAAGCTTTAAGAGGAATGTATTTTAAGGATCACTACTAGTTTGGATTAAAGGGGTCAGAGAGTACAAAATGAAAAGATGCCTTTGGACCCCCAAACTTCTACAAGTAGGAAGCATGATGAGAAAACTGCTTAGCAGAAAGCAAGTGCTACCTTTCATTAAAAAGAAAGAGTGTCTCAGAGGGCTGAACCTGGAAGATGGATCCCAGAGCCATGGAGAATCATTTCCCGATGGAAATAGGACTGAGTCTTAACGAATTTCCAGATTTCCAACATTTCCCTCTGTATTTTAGTAACCTGATTCTATGTACTTTGCATTTCCCTCCTTTTTTGAAAAGGATTGTCTGTAATGACTATCTCAACCTCACTAAAAATTGTGTGGGTCAGTGAATTAACTTGCTTCTTTAGCCCAGGGGTTGGCAAACCTTTTCTGTAAAAAGCCAAATAGTAAATATTTTTAGCTTTGTGCCTGTTTTTGCATAGTTTACCAAATAATTTTGCTACCAGAGCTATGCATTTTGCTATGTCTTGATTCATTTATTGTATTCCTACTTGGAAATTATTCCCTTGGCAATGCACAACTGAACTTTTATACTCATCTCTATATACGTGTGTATAGACATATGTATTTTTCTACATATGCCTATATTTTTGTATATGGATATTTTGGGTAGCAAGCTTTGTAATGATTTCTCCTAGTCTGTTACATTTATTCCTATAATTTTTGTTTTATTGATTGCATAAAAAGTTTTTATTTTTCATGTAAAAATAAAAGTTTTCAATATTGAAATTGTCTTTTTCTTCAGGACTCAAATTTTTCTTCTAAGGTAAAGTAAAAAAATGTTCTCCTGTTTAGTTATTTTTTGACTTTTCTTAGGTTTACTTTTTTAACCTCCTGAAATATATTACCATGTGCATTGTGAAATATTAATTCAGATTCATTCTTTTCTAAACTGACATCCTATTTCATTATTTATTTAATTGGAATTGCTTTGTGCTTGTTACATTTTAAATTAGTTTTACTACTGAAAAGTTTTTGGCCGTGTTTTCTGCTTAATGCATTCTTGTGGATTTTGTCAATCGTAGCTTTATAATGGTGTAATTCTGGTGAAATGAACTCAGTACCATTAACTTAAAAATATATAATTTGATATTCCCATCCTCTCATTATAAAATATACATTAAACTTATTTAGAAATTCCTGTCAGGAGCAAATCTCCATATACTTATTTATTCCATAATATATTCATGTATTCCTTTATTTTCCATCATTGGAATTTTTTGACTTTTAAAAACTAAATTAGTGTTCTGAGAAGTTAATTCTCAAGTTTTAAAATAAGTTTTATTTCTTAAAACCATTCTAGATTTACAGAAAAATTGCGAAGATGGTGCAGAGGGTTCCCATATATCCTACAACCAGTTTATTAACTGTTACATATTAACATGTTACAATTAATGAACTAATACTGATACATTTTTACATTATCATTAATTAGAGTCCATACTTTGTTCAAATTGTCTTGGTTTTTACCTAATGAGCCTTTTCTGTTCCAGGATGCCACGTTACATGTAGTCATCATGTCTCCTTAGGCTCCTTTTGGCTGTGACAGTTTTTCAGACGTTCCTTGTTTTTTATGACCTTCACAGTGTTCAGAAGTGTTGGTTAAGTGCTTTGTAAAAGTGTTCCTCAATTTGAACTTGTCTGATGTTTTTCTCTTTATTAGACTGGGGTTACGAGTTTTGAGGAAGATCGCAGAAGCGCAGTGCCATTTTCATCACATACTGTCAATGTGACTTATCACTGTTGATGTTGACCTTGATCACTAGGGTGAGGTAGTGTTGGTGAGGTTTCTCCACAGTCAGGTTTCCATTACCCCTCTTTTCATGCTGCTCTCTGGAAAGAAGTCACGATCTATAACTTACACTCAGGGAGTGGGGAGTTATGTTCCACCTGCTAATTACTTGGAATTCTTCTGCACAGGAGATTGTCTCTTCTCTCCCGTTTATTTATTATTCAATAGCTTATGTCAGTATGGACTTGTTATTCTATTTTTAGAGATTTTTATTGTTAATAGAGTGAAGTTGCTCCCTTTTTCTTTCCTGTCACCAAAGAATAAGAATGCCATTGAAGTTATAACTTAGAAATTTGCCGAACAGATTTTTCTGTGTTTGTCATTTTAGTTAAATTCCTTAACTTTTCTAGGTCTACAATTACTTTTTGTTCTGTTTCACCTTATAGATGATGAGCTCTTTAGCAGTTAATGCTTATTTATGTTTGTGTTCTCCATGTGTTGTACCTGGTATATAGTTCTTGTTCAATAAATGTTGAATAAATGCATTAATAAGGTTGTCGTGTATGGGAAGAGAGTTGCTTACTTGTTTTTATTTTCTGGTTTTTATGAACTTTTACCTTTACAGCAACTTAGGGTCTGACTTCCCTTTCTCTCCTACTAATTTTTACTCTTTTTTTAAAAAATGATTTATTTTATTTTTTGTAGGGATGGGAGTGTTTCTCTGTTGCCCAGGCTGCTCTGGAACTCCTGGCCTCAAGTGATCCTCCCACCTTGGCCTCCCAAAGTGTTGGGATTATAGATGTGAGCCACTGTCCCTGGCCTCTAATTCTTACTCTTAATTCAGAATTAGGTACAGCTGTTCTGCTTGCTTCACTAGAGTTAGGCTTCCAGTAGCTGACCTTTATTATTATATTTTGTGATCTGCACAGGCATCATCTCTTTAAGGCAGTGGTTCTCAAAATGTGGTCATTGGACCAGCAGAATCAACGTCCCCTGGGGACTTGTTTGATATGCCAATTCTCACCTGCCCTAGATTTATTTAATCTGAAATTCTGCGGAAAGGACCCAGTAATCTGTTTCACCTGCCGTCCAGGTGATCCTGATGATACTAATGATAGAGCATCAATGATCTATGGTATAGTCCTTCATGAGTAGCACAGCTGTTTCTTCCTCTTTTTATCCTCACCCAAGCTGTATCACATTTCTGCATTAGGTCTGTGGATTTTGTTTTTTCCTAGTTTTTACGTATAACTTGGAAAAAATTCTGTACACTGAGAATGTAAAAATAACATTTTCTAGTGTTCTTAAAAATGACCTAGTATCATCTCATTCATAAATTATTTTGGTGAGTCTTTCCAGTATATTTTTTAATACTTAAAGATTGACTTTTAAAATGCTTTTGGTCTTGTAAGAATTGCACGGTAACTAATATTAGAGAATAATAAATTTGAGAAGTGCAAGGAATTCATTCCGGTTGCTTCTAATCAACGGTAAGTTTAAGAAATAAAAAAGTAAGGGAAGCCGGGTGCATTTATAGTCCCAGCTATTCAGGAGGCTGAGGTGGGAGGATCACTGAACCTGGGAGTTTGAGACCAGCCTGGGGGACATAGTGAGACTCATCCCTCAAAAAAAAAAAAAATTAAGGGAGAAATACACTTTAAAATTATATTTATTTATTTATTTTGAGACAGAGTCTCGCTCTGTCTCCCAGGCTGGAGTGCAGTGGCACAATCTCAGCTCACTGTAACCTCCACCTCCCAGTTCAAGCCATTCTTCTGCCTCAGCCTCCTGAGTAGCTGGGAAGACAGGCTAATGCCATTATGCCCAACTAACTTTTTGTATTTTTAGTAGAAATAAGGTTTTGCCATGTTGGCCAGGCTGGTCTTGAACTCCTAGCCTCAAGTGATCCACTCACCTGGGCCTCCCAAAGTGCTGGGATTATAGGTGTGAGCCACCACGCCCGGCCAGAAATAAATTTTTAAATGCCGACTTTTCCTTGGGCTAAAATTCCTTGGAAATACTTAACTCTTTCCTTTATCACAAAGTTTATAATTTATAAATTAGTAAAGGCTTTTACTGTATAAGTGCAATGTCAGTGGAGTGTTAATCTGAAGGGCCAGAAGATTTTGAGAGGAAAAGAAAATTGTTGCACAGTCAAGCTGTTTCATCTCAGTGTTGACATCTTTTGATTGTCTTTAATCATTCAGTTTGAGATCTTTATTGGTTCTTGGTATAAGTTATCCCTCTCTCCCCGCCCCCATCAAACAAATGGTATATCTCTTTGTGATTAAATAAGTGATTTTTGACTGAAACTTGGACATTTGTGTATTATTATTATTTTTTGTGTGTATTATGTTATAAGACTCTGGGTCTTACTTAAATCTGTGTTTTAGCAGGCACCCTCCAACACTACTGCTGGGGGTAGACAGGGTTGCCTCATTACCACCAGAGGGGCTTGGTTCTCTCCCTGTTCTCAGTTGACCACCTAGGGGAGGGGGTTTGCTTGTTACTGCTGGGTAGAGGAGGAGGTTCAGGCTCTCCACTAGGCCTCCACTGGTACCCCTCTCATTAGGAGGTAGAGGAGTGCCTTATTACTGCTCTCTGATGGACCTCCACTGACACCATGTGGAGGGGAGGCCTTGGTACTGCTAAGTGGTGGTGAAAGTCCAGCACTCAACAAGTCTCCTCTGGCACCACTCCTGCAGTCGGGGGAGGAGCACCTTGTGACTGATGCGTGGGCTGCAAGTCCAGGCTCCTAAAGTGGTCTCCACTAGCGCAGATGGGAAGGGGGATATTAGATCATGCTCAAGGGGGATGAATGTCCCAACTTTCCCCTTGTTCCCCATTTAGGGAAAGAGCTTGGGGTGCCTCCTCTTACAGCCAGACAGGGATGGAAGTCTAGGCTTTCCACTTGGTTTTTGCTGGTGGGGGTCGGGTGGAGTTTCACTTTTTTCTGTGGTGTTTGTCTGGAGTTATTTATTGCCTTTAAGTTTTCTGTCTTGCTGCCCCTTTCATGTTCCTTTGGCTAGAGAAAGCAGTCTTTTTCCAGGGGCGGGCAGAGAGGGGAGGCAGTTTCTTTGCACTTGGTGTTCCTGGGTTGCTGGCTTCACCAGTATCCAGAGTGGGATATAGAAAGCAAAAATAAGAAAATTCAGGATATCATTACCATGTTTTCTCCTGGGTCCTGAGGTCCCTAGCCAGTTTGTCGTCTCTCCACCTTTCAGAATCCTTTTGGTTTTAGTTGAAATATAATGTACAGATATTTTGCTCACTAGTTCAGATCTTATTCTTTGCCCTTAGATATGATTATTATTTTTTTCTTCATGCAGATGTGTTCTTCGCTTGCTAAATTTATTTCTAAGTCCCTTAGAATTTACTGTTATATTAAATGTAATAATTTTTTTTCTGCTTTGTAGTTCTACTTACTGATTCTTGACCTTATATGCAGCTATCTTTCAAATTCTCGTAATTCCAACAGTAATACTGATGCTTAGCATTTCTAATAAAGTTAGAATAATGGGTGTTCTAGAATTCTAGGATACATTAATTCTATCTCAATAAAGCAAACACATTTTATATAATAAACATAATGTACATGGCTTTTGGTTTTACTTAGAAGAATAAAGAAAAATATGTCTACCCAGAAGCCCCTACTTGCATTTTATTGTCCAGGACTAAGTCACACTGACTCCTTTAGCTGACATTCCAGCTACTTGGGAAGCTGAGGCGACAGCCTGGAAAATTGAGCTTTTATACTGTTTGGCAAAGTGATGAAATAAACAGCGTTTTGTTAGGGAAGAAGTGGAGAACAGATATTGGAAGGCAATTAGCTGTCTCTAATACATTGATAAAATATATAACTATAACTGCAAAATGCTAATAACCCAGCAGAGGAGTAGATTTGGGAACATAAGATGAAAAAGTCAACAAGGTGAGGATAAATGAAGTTGTATCATTAAAGTATATTTATGCATTATTTTTCAGAACTGAATTTACTTACATAGAGAAATATGGCAAGACAAATCTATATGTTAGCCTACTTGTCAGTTCATTGGGGCCTCCTTTTTTTCTTGACAGTGCTGTAGAAATATTAATAAAATCTTGTACATTAAAGAATATTAAAATAATTGTCCTTTCACAGATATCTAAATGGATGTCTGCAACTTCCTTAAACTTGTCATCCTCTAATCTAAAGTTAATGCGTTTAATATAATATTTCTTATTTTATGATGGCTGTGATTGAATAATGTGTTTAAAACCTGGACAAATTGAAACATAGAATGAATTTAATTAATCCTATTTACTGTTTATTGATTCTTTTGACTTAAGTACTGGGATTGCTGATCTTGGCCCTGGATTTTAGAGATAGCTTGCTCTTTTGCAACTGTGGCATTCTTCTATATGATATGGAATAAAAGAAGGAAAAAAAGTAGTTTGAGCTCTTTGTTCAGATTTGGCGGGGTGGGGAGGGGAAGGTCATAAAATCCCGGTTAAAGTTTTCTAGATCCACCATCTCTTGCAAAATATGAACCAAATAGATTAAAATAATAAAGTTTGGGGTTTTTGTTGTTGTTGTTTTGCCAATTGACAGTACTGAAGCTGAATTTGAAAACTGTGATTCAAGCACTGGAAATTTTACATTTTGAATTTCATTTCTTCTTCTTCCTATTTTTTGAGACAGGGTTTCTTTTCTCTCTGTTGCCCAGGCTGCAGTGCAGTGGTATGATCTTGACTCACTGCAGCCTTGACCTCCCGGGCTCAAGCAGTCCGCCCACCTCAGTCCTCTGAGCAGCTGGGACTACAGGCATATGCCACCACATGTGGCTAATTTTTGTATTTTTTTGAGAGACAGGGTTTTGCCATGTTGCTCAGGCTGGAATTTCATATTTTTTAGTGGAATAGAACTTTATGATTCAAAGGAGGAAAATAAGCTTTTGAAGAACTTTTGAAAGACTTGATATTTATCGAATAGTTCTTTGAAAATATTTTGATGACTAAGGGTGGTTCACGCCTGTAATCCCAGCACTTTGGGAGGCCGAGGCGGGTGGATCACTTGAGGTCAGGAGTTCGAGACCAGCCTGGCTAACATGGTGAAACTGCGTCTCTACTAAAAATACAAAAATTAGCCAGGCATGGTGGCATGCACCTGTAATCACAGCTACTCAGGAAGATGAGGCAAGAGAATCACTTGAACCTGGGAGGGAGAGGTGGCAGTGAGCCGAGATCGCACCACTGCACCCAGCATGGGCAACAGAGTGAGACTCCATCTCAAAAAACAAAACATTTTGATGAATAAAATGTAAATTAATTAAAAACATAAGGTTCTTTTCAAATATACATGAGGTGAAAGAGTAAAAAGCACATGGCAAAATGATGCTTTTAAAATATGTTTGCTTGGCTGGGCGTGGTGGCTCATGTCTGTAATTCCAGCACTTTAGGAGGTCTAGGTGAGTAGATCACTTGAGGTCAGGAGTTTGAGACCAGCCTGGCCAACATGGTGAAACCCCGGGCTGTACTAAAACTACAATTAGCCGGGCATGGTTGCACATGCCTGTAATCCCAGCTACTCAGGAGGCAGAAGAATCGCTTGAACCTAGGAGGGGAAGGTTGCAGTGAGTTGAGATCATGCCACTGCACTTTAGCCTGGGTGACAAGAGCGAGACTGTGTCTCAAAAAAATAAATAAACAAAATGTGTTTGCTTTATTGAGATAGAATTAATGTATCCTAGAATTCTAGAACACCCATTGAAGTGTACAAGTCAGTAGTTTTTAGTATGTTCACAGAGTTGTGTAACTATCCTCACAATTATTTTAGAACCCTTTCATCTTCCTGCAAAGCAGCTCTGTAACCCTTAGCAGTCACTTCCCCTTTCCTCTCAACCCTCCTAACTCTAGACAACTATGAACCTATTTTATGTCTCTGGATTTGCCTATTCTGGACATTTTATATGAATGGAATCATACAATATGTGACCTTTTGAGACTGGCTTCTTAGCATAGTGTTTTCACCCATATTGTATTATGTATCAGGACTTCATTCCTTTTTTTGCCAAATAATGTTCCATTTTATGAATGTACCACATTTATCCATTCAGCAGTTAATGGACATTTTTTTTTCTACTTTTGGGGTATTATGGATAATGCTGCTTTGAACATTCATGTATAAGTTTTTGTATGGGTGTATGTTTTCATTTCTCTTGGATATAAACCTAGGAGTGGGATTGCTGGGTCATACGGTGGCTGTGTTTAATTTCTGAGGAACTATTGACCTGCTTCTAAAGCAGCTGCTCCATTTTACATTTTTACCAGCAATGTTTGAGAGTTCCAGTTTCTCTACATTTTTGCCAGTGCTTAGTATGTCTTTTTCATTATAGCCATCCCTAGTGGGTATTCTCACTTTCTGAATATTTAGCATAATGACTTGCAGGGTTTTTTTTAACTCAGATTTTAATTTCTGGATTGAAAACATGGGATAAGAATTCTGCCTGTAAGCACTGCTGAAAACTTCTTGGGGAAAACATAAGAGGCTATTACAGTTTTATTTCAGTCTTCCCCTGATAGAATATCCCCATCCTCTTAAGCTCCCAAAGGTGTATTTTATTGTTATTTTCTCTTTCCTTTCCCTGAAGGTTTTTGCTTCCGTTATTTGCTTCTGTTATTTGCTTCTGCCAGGTGCCTGAGTCCAATTTAGATAATATTTTTAATATCGTTAACATATTATTCTATTGTTTATTTACATTACAGGACATGTTGGCTTCACTGTAGAAGGAAAATGTAATTTCTATCTGGTACAGTAGTGTTAAATAGTTAAGTTGGGTATGTTAGTCATATTTGCGGGAATTAGTTGGGGTTTTTGGATGGCCTGGCAATGCATGATTGTTTTCCTCATTTAAAATAGGCAGACTGCAAGTAGGCAGATGATACAAATAGGAGTAAAGGAAGTGTTCTGAAATTGAATTGCAGCGTTGATTACACAACTCTCCTCAATCCCCTAAAATCATTGGCTGGTATACTCAAATAATGAAATTTTGTGGTATGTAAATGATATCTCAATAAGGCTATTTTAAAAATTGGAATATAAAGTGCCCACTATCTCAAAATTAACTATTCAACACTAATCAGGAATGGATTACTATCCAACCATTATCTTAATCAGGAGTGGATTGGGTTCAGATAAGAGCCAGTGAGATTTTAGATGCCAACATAAACTGTGAGATCTAATTCAAATATCTATTTAGGCATCAAAGAGAAACACCAAATTACTATAGACTAACATTTGCTTGGTTCTATGTAGAAGATTTTGAGATTATCAGTTTTCTTTTTCTGCTTCTAACAAGAGCATCAGGATACGTAGGACCTCTTGACCTTCTCTTACATCTTACCTAATTCTCAGTGTGTGTTTTTCCTCCTCAGTAGGCACATTAATAATAATAATCTTAGCTAATATTTATACAGTGCTCACTGTGTACCAGGCACTATTCTGAGTACTTTATACATTAATTCATTTAATCCTTATAATAATCCTATGACATAGGTATGTTATTTCCATTTTACATATGAGGAAATAGGGGCCCAGAGAGGTTAAGTAATTTGTCCAGGCACCTTGTAAGTTGCAGAGGCAGTACGTGAAGTCAGGTAGGAGGCTCCAGAGCCAGTTTTCTTCATGACTAGATACTCCGTTACATAGTGCCTACAGGTCCAGGGGAAGAAAGCACTGTCTCCTTGTCAGCATTGTTCAAACTGTGGCTTTCCACTCACTAGTAGGTCATAAAATCAGTTTGCTGAGCTGTAATCCACAGTTTAAAAATATTAAATTGAATAGCATAGACAATATCAGACTGCATCAGATGTGGTAAGAGCAGTTGTTTTGTGAAACTTTTGCTTTACTTGCACACATGTTAGCTTGTTACTGGGGTTTTTGTGTTAGCCGTATTTTTTGTTGTGGGTCAGGGGCAAGGTTTGAAAGCACATTCTGTAGAAGGGCAATAGTTCTTCTATTTGGAATCATAGGCCACTGGCTCTACTTTTTCTAAAGCCAGTAACAGAGTGACATGTTCTGTCCTCACTACAACCCAGTTTAGTTGCACCTCCCCATCCATGAACAGTGAGACAGTTGGGGTAAAAGCAAGACTTTCCAGAAGATGTGGTTCAGCATAAATGCTCTTTGCTTGTTAGGAAAGTCAGTAGTAAAGTTGAACATGTCAGAGTAAGCCTGAGTGAGCTTCTTTCTGAGAGAAAGCATTATTTGCTTTGTAGGACAAAAAACACAATGAAAACCAAAAAACTCCAGTTCTGTCTTTATGAGCTTCCCCACTCATCATCTAAAAGTCAGCACTTCCTCTCTGTTTTTCCTTATGATTAGAGACAAAAGGCATAGTAGAAAACAGGAAAGTAATTTATAATTTTTAAAAAATTAGTTGGAGATTTATTAACAAATATTTGTTGAGTGCCTACCGTGTACAAAGCATTATTTTAGGTGCTGAGGATGAAGCAGTGAGCAAAACACACCAACATCCTGCCCTCACAAAGCTCACATTCTAGTGTCACTAAAGTTGTTCTGTATGAGGTCCAAATCAGCACCCTTCCTGTGCCCTTAAAACTTTACTCAACATGGGGTTATAATGGAAACTCAGAAGTCTATAGGCTTCACCAGTACCATAGTGTAGAGTGTATAGATCATAAATATATCAGAGCCCACATTTTTAATTTTATTTTAATTTAATTTTTTTTTTTTCCAAGACAGAGTCTTGCTCTGTCACCCAGACTGGAGTGCAGTGGCACGATCTTGGCTCACTGCAGCCTCTGCCTCCCAGATTCAAGTGATTCTCCTGCCTCAGCCTCCTGAGTAGCTGGGATTACAGGTGTGTACCACCACACCCCGCTAATTTTTGTATTTTTTTTTTTAGTAGAGAAGGGGTTTCACCATATTGGCCAGGCTGGTCTTGAACTCTTGACCTCATGATCCACCCACCTCAGCTTCCCAAAGTGCTGGGATTACAGGTGTGAGCCACCGCGCCTGGCCACATTTTTTATTTTTTATTTTTATTTTTAAAATTTCTAGAGACAGGGTCTCACTGTGTTGCCCAGACTGGAGTGCAGTGGCATGATCTTGGCTAACTGCAGCCTCGACTTCCCAGGCTTCAGTGATTCTCCCACCTCAGCGTCCCAAGTAGCTAGGACCACAGGCACGCACCACCACACCCAGCTAACTTTTTGTATTTTTAGTAGAGATGGGATTTCACCATGTTGGCCAGGCTGGTCTCGAACGCCTGACCTCAAGTGATCCACCTCCACCTCGGCCTCCCAAAGTGCTGGGATTAAAGGCATGAGCCACCGTGCCCAGCAAGCCTACATTTTTTTTTAATGCCTACTTAATGGCGAAACAAAGCTGCTCCTTTTTTAAAACAAATTTTCCACTTATAAATGCTATTGTAGAAAATTTGATTGTTACAGAAAATTATAAAGAAGAAAAAAGTAATCTGTAGTCTTACTACCCAGAGAAAATTACTGTTAAAATTTTGTTGTATTTCCTTCTAGTCTTTTATCTATATAAAATTATGCATGTCTCTGTACACACACACATAGTTGTATATATATAATATTTATGATTTTAAAATGAATTTGAAGTATTAGTCCTATTTCTTGATTTTTATTTAACATATTTTATTATGTGACTATATATGGCACTTAAAATATTTTTATATGTCTATAATATTCTAAGATGGTAGCATAACATAATTTATTCAACTGTTTCCCTTTTGTAGATACTCTTGGCTTTCCTTTGTAAATAACATTGCAATAACATCATTTACCATCTAGCCATCTCTATTTTCTCAGGATAGCTTTTTGTTAGTAGAATTGATATGTTAAAAAGCATGAATATTCTGGTAAATTGTTTTCTAGAAAGGTTCCTGGGGATTTTGTTCTACTCAGCAGTATACAAGATTCTGTCTCACTACATTCTTCTAGTTCTTATTTAATTTTAAGAACTGTTGCTGCCTCTATTTCTTGAAAAGAATGATTCATTTTTTATAACATTATGCTTCTTTTTACTAAGGCAAATCTTTCATCTGCAGTTTTGACTCTATCCCAATGGAGAAATTGTTAATCTTTTAGTAAGCATTAAGAATTGTATAGAAAATGCAGAATTTGTTTGGAAGAAAAGCATGGATAATTCATTTGTGATGAATGTTGACTCCACAAAGGGTTTGTTCAAGTATTTGGAGACGGTTGTTAAATTGCCTTTTAAGGAGGTATGTCCTTGCCGTTGGAAGAGTCTCTGTTTTGTTGCAGTTTAGGATGAGTTAGGAATACATATTTGGAACTAGAAGAGATAGAGTTTAAATTTTCTGTTTAAAAAAGGGAAGAAAAACTTGAAAGGCACAGGGAAAATCCAGCAGGAAAGGAATAGGAACTCTGGAGAAATGCTATGTCGTGTATTGTGACACTTCACTGTGACCTCACATATAAAAACTTACAAAAGCCAGGAAATACTTGGTGTATCTGGATTTCTTGTAGAAGCCAGTTAAAAGGGTGAGTATTGGTTGAAATGGGACCAAAACGTGTTGGGCCAAGTGTACAGGGAATAGCTTTTTACCTCTCTCCAGGCTTCTTCCTTTGACAACAAATATATGTGCCCTCCCTGTCCACCACTCCACCTCAAAAACTTCCCTATGTATTTCCCTTTTAACCACAATTTTCTTTTCTCCCATTTCCCTACCTCTCTTTCCGTCCCTTTTCTACTTTCATTCCAGTCTTTGCATTTTTGCTAAAAAATTTTCCTATGCTGGGATATTGTTCCTTTTTCTATCTCACTATATCCAAATCCTAGTACTTTTTCAAAGTGCATCTAAATTCCCATTTCTTAGGTATTTGCTAACAAATCCTCAGGAAATATGTTGTTTTAGAAGAATTTATAAAGTCTATGATTTTTGTACAATTAAAAAAGTCCCATTTCTTTCACTTA
The DNA here is from genome assembly GCF_000001405.40 of Homo sapiens. Classification (NCBI taxonomy): domain Eukaryota; kingdom Metazoa; phylum Chordata; class Mammalia; order Primates; family Hominidae; genus Homo; species Homo sapiens. The sequence goes on along the minus strand of NC_000013.11, from coordinate 49,413,290 downwards.
CTCCTTTTCTTTCCTCACTTAGGTAATCTCTATATTTTACCTTATGATAAAATACGGTAAAATATACCTTGGTCCCTTGCATATTTCTTCTTCCTTTTGTATTTTCTTCAAAACTTTGTATTCAGGTGTAATGATTTTATATAGATAGCTAAGGTTTTTTGTTTTGTTTTGTTTTGTTTTGTTTTCACAAAAGTTGTACAAGCTCCTTGAAGACAGATCTTTTATCACAGACCTCTTTTGAATTCCTTAGAGAACCTAGTATCACACTAGGCTTCTGAAAACACCAATCAAGAGTTGCTTAATGCAGGGGTCCCTTACCCCTGGGCTGCAGACCTGTACCTGTCCATGGCCTGTTAGGAACCGGGCAGCACAGTAGGAGGTGAGTGGCTGGCTGGCAAGCATTACCATCTGAATTCCGCCTCCTGTTAGATCAGTGGCAGAATTAGAGTCTCATAGACAGCACAAACCCTTCTGTGAACTGTGCATGTGAGGGATCTAGGTTGCAGGCTCCTTATGAGACTCTAATGCCTGATGACCTGAGATGCAACAGTTTCATCCCGAAACCATCCCCTGCATCCCAACCTCCAGGTCCGTGGAAGAATGGCTTTCCACAAAACCATCCTCTGGTGCGAAAAAGGTTGGGGACTGCTGGCTTAACGTAATTGAGTAATAGTGGAGAATTAGTGAGATTTAGCCCTCAAACACATTGGGTATCCAATGCATATCCAAAGGCCATAATGTGCAGTTAATTTGAAAATGAGTTGCATGTGTAAATTTTCAGAATTATTGATAACATTGTATTGAAAACAATGACAGATTTTGCATGTTTATCAACTGTGAGAAACCAAAATATTTAAAATGAAAAAAATGCTTATTATTAGGTTGGTGCAAAAGTAATTGTGGTTTTTGCCATTTTTTTTTTTTTAAATGGCAAAGGTAAATTTTATTTATCTGTATTATTAGAATAATACAAATAATCACTTTATGGCTTTTTTTCCAAGGAGAATTAACATTGTGTTTTTAAATTCTGATTTGTTTATGTTATCAGTGACTAATTTTAAAATAGATTATAAGATAGCAAAACAAAAACAAAAAACAACACCCTCACCTACCTGTATGTCTATATATAGAGAAGTGGTTAAACAAACTGTAGTACAGCAATATTAAGGAACACCAATTTGTGCTGAACCCCTATCAACTCCAGTGGGGATGGCACCAGGTTCTAGAGGCCAAGGAGACCCAGAGCCAGCAAAGGAGACAGAGGGTTTTGGGGGGAGTTTACATACAGGGAAGAGAGTCCAGTGGCAGTGGGCTAGGCAAGAGAACCAACTGCTTGCAACAGTCATGCAGTTTACATAGCATTTTCACTTAATGCCTTCTCCCTAACAACCTCCACCTGGTAACCTTCATTTAACCCAAAACAAAGGACCTCGATCCCTTCTATGCCCTGTGTTCCATGAGCCAGGCTGGGGGCTCGAATGTTCCTCATAGATAAGGAATGGGTCTCCAGCTTATCCCAGATTCCTTAGCTCAAAACTGTGAACCACATTCAGGGTCATCCTCGGGATATACTTAAGTCGAGTTTTCAGTGCCAAGTGCATCTACTGTGCAACCATGCAACACTTTTAAAAGAATGAGATAGAGCTACCAAATGTAGAGAAATCCAAGATCTACTATAAAGAAATAAAATAAATTATAATGCAGTGTGTATAGTATTATCTCATTTAAAAAATTATCTTGGTGTGTATTCAAACAAATACATACATCTACGTATGCCTGGAAAAAGGGTCTGGAAGGATAGCACTTTGAATAGTGCTTAATCTTGGGGAGGGGAATTAGAGAAGAGGGAGGTGGGGGATTTTCTTTTTTTTTTTTTTTTTCTCAGGAGAGTCTCTCTCTGTTGCCCAGGCTGGAGTGCAGTGACGTTATCTCGGCTCACTGCAACCTCCGCCTCCAAGGCTCAAGAGATTCTCCTACCTCAGCCTCCTAAGTAGCTGGGATTACAGGCACACACCGCCATGCCCAGCTGATATTTTGTATTTTTGATAGAGACGAGGTCTCACTATGTTGCCCAGGCTGGTCTCAAACTCCTGGACTCAAGCAATCCACCAGCCTCAGCCTCCCAAAGTGCTGGGATTACAGACACAAGTCACCACACCGGGCTGGGATTTTAAAACAATAGAGAAGCATAGAAAATAAAAAATACTTTTTTAATGGACATTTAATTTAAAATTAAAAGATAAAAAGACATGTTTAGAATGAGTACAGCTAGAACAGTGCACTGGTTTGTATTTTATTTGTAAAACAAGATGCCATTCTGTGGTTATAGTTATTAAAACTAATTGTTCTGTGATTAATAGTTATTAAAGGATTATAATCATTTCTCCTATACTAGATCATGTTTTATAAGTCTTCAGATTTGTGGTAAAATATGTTTTATAAATGGAACCCACTATAATTACTGGATGAATTCCATAGAGATTTTTCCATTCAGTAAATTACCTGAATATGTTATATTGCAAATGCTATGTGTTTGTTTGCCATAAATGGCTTTGACTTTGAAAATTGTCATGTGAAGTACTTTCATTATTAAAAAGCATTATAACTCTGTAGAAAGAGATACTTTGAGACTAGTTTCTCTTGACATTTTAAACCAAGTTATTTATAACTCAAGGTTTTCTGTCCCTTCACTCAGCCTGCTTCTTTCTTTGTCCTTTCTTTCTGTGTTCTCTTTAGATCCTGTTTTTCTTCTTGGCTTCAGAGCACCAGCTTACAAGTTGTACTTTTAAAGATTTATAACAGTAATAATATGATTCTCCAACATAAAATTTTTGTATAGTTCTGGTTTCAATAATTTGTAGAAAAGTGAAAATTTGTAAAAACTTGGAAAATTGGAGTATGACACACCTCATAAAAAGAGAATGTACATCAGTTCTCAACAGGGTGGGAATTGTTCTTTTACTAAAAGGTATCTTATGTTCTTAACTGACTTGAGCAAGAACTTTTCATAAGCGTACCAGTTGTGGAGAAAACAGAACATGGATCCAGCAAAGAAGGACAGGGAAATATGAGAATTATTAGTATCACCATCTGCCTGTGGTTATGGCACTAAGCCCATTTTGTTGTTATGATACTAGCTGTATATCGAATCTTGGGGCTCCAAGATCTGTTTCTTAACCTCATCCTTTGTTATTCCTTAAATTGGGCAGTTGGTGGAAAAGCATAGCATGTACTTAGCGTTGTTATATTGTTTAGATATAAGTGGAATTGTGTGGATATAAGCGGAACTTTAACTGTTAAACTTAGGATTTGGTGTACATGAGTCACACCTTTTAGCTTTTCTTCTTACTGTATTTATGTGGATTTTTTTTTTTTTTTTAAATAGAGAGAGGGTCTCCCTATGTTGCCCAGGCTGGTCTTGAACTCCTGGACTCAAGGGATCCTCCTACTTCCTGCCAGACTGCTTAGGATTACAGGCATGAGCCACTGTGCCCAGCCACATGTGGGTTTTCTGATAAGACCAATTTTCACTCTGCTCAAACACATATTCTTTTACTCTACCTTTGTTCTCTTCAGATGATGGTGAGTCCTGCTTTTCTGAGAAAATTGAAGTAAACCTGTGCTTCCTAACTTCATTCCTCTTTCCCTGGGCAGTCTCTACTAATGCTTTCTCCTCCTTCTCATTTTAGAAAAATATATATTATTCCACTTATGTTCTTGATCCCTCCCATTGTGGGCTCAAAGATCATGCCCCATTAATTATCCCTTTCTCATCTTCTACCTTCCTCCTGTCTGTCCCACTCAATCTACCAAGAGTTGAAAGGTTTTTTTTTTTTTTTTAAAGCAAACAAAAACCTCTTTTATTAAGCCCTTCAAGCTGTCCTTCTAGTCTTTATATCCAACACTTGGAAACAGTAATATACGTTCATTTCTCTATTACCTCATTCCTAACCTCTTATAATCCTAATCCTATTGTTGTGTCAGGTACTACTAAGTCTCCAATCTCCCATACAGTGTTCTAGGCATGGCATGGCAGAGTTGGGTTATGCATGCTGCCTGAATCAGAGCCAGTGTTACCAGTTTCCCGGAAGGGCTGGCCTGGAGTCCTCTGCCTGCCTCATGCTTTGCTGTACTGCTGTATGCTCTGATGGTCCCTGCCTGTCTTTTGTCTCGCTGACTACCAGCCTATGTCTTTAGCAATTTAGGGAATATGAATTCTTAAAAGTCCCTTTCTCTGGGCCAAGTGGTTCTCTAAAGGCCCCTTTCCCACTAATACCTTTGCTTTGTAAGAATTGAAAGTGGGACTTAGAAATTAGACTACAGGGTTAGGTAGTAAGTACTTTTAAATGCTTCTTTTTCTTGAAGGTCTGGGTTTTTTTGGTCACACGATAACATACTTTTCAGTTTCTCCTCTCCCTCTCTAACCACTGTTTATTTAGTTGCCTTTTTTTGGGGGGGAGGGGACAGGGTCTCACTCTGTTGCCCAGGCTGGAGTGCGGTGGTGCAATCTCAGCTCACTGCAACCTCTGCCTCCAGGGCTCAAATGACCCTCCCAGCTCAACCCCTCGAGTAGCTGGGACCACAAGAGTGTACCACCACACCCAACTAATTTTTGTATGTATTTTTTTGGTAGAGATGGGGGTCTTGCCATGTTGTCCAGGCTGGTCTTGAACTTCTGGGCTTAAGTGATCTGCCTCCCAGAGTGCTGAGATTACAGGGGTGAGCCACTACGCCCAGCCAGTTGCCCTTTTTCTACCAACACCTGTAGATGTTTCTTGAAGTTTTGTCCTTGGCTCTCTTTTTGGTCTCTCTCGTACTGCAGTGGCAGGATGGATGACCCCCAGATATATTGCTCCAGTCTGTTTTCTCTCCAAGTTCTAGTTCTGTATGTTCAGCTGCCTGTGGGCATTTATATCCAGAAGCCTTGCTGGCATCTCGGACTTGTTATATATCAACTAACTGGCTATTTCATAAAATTTATTTTTCTTCCTGTGGTTCCTATATGTTTTAAAGGTATAACCTGCTTACTGTCACACAGGCATGGGAATGCCTTGTGATCTTGACTCGTCTCTCAATTACTATCCATATTTTTTCAGTTGCCAAACCTATTCTCTATTATACTCTTGTAGTCCTTTTATTCCCACTGTCTGGTTACCCTCACTGTCATCCTAGACTACTGAGTTACCTTTAATTTCATCACCTACTGTTTCTTTGCCCTTTGATTCTTCTGCCAAATTCACATTCATTACAGAAAGTTCTGATCATGGCCTGTTTTGTCCGCAAATTATTTAGCTCTTTTGTCTAGCACTCCGTCTCTCCATAATCTGACCGCAACCTGGATTTCTAGTTTTTTTATACTATTATCATTCACATAGCATTTGCTTCTGGCATACTAAATTTTTGTTTCTTCTATTTTTTTTTTTTTTTTTGAGACGGGGTCTTGCTATGTTGCTCAGGCTGGTCTTGAACTCCTGGGCTCAAGCAATCCACCTGCCTCAGCCTCCCATAAGGGCTGGGAATACAGACATGAGCCACTGGGCCTTGGCCTTAATACACTTTTTCTTACAACTGTTATATATTTAAATAAAAACAAATATGTTAATTAAATATAAATAACTGTAAAACCAATAAAGTAAAATTAATATTATTTAATTCAAAATATAGCACTAAATTGTGGAGGTGGCACTTAATCATATAATTATGTATTTGTGTATTGAGTATTTTACATGTTAGAGTCTTGATTTTTTTGGGGGGGGATCATGACAAACCAGGTTTTGTGCCATTGTTTTTATTGTTGACAATGAACTCTTTTTTAACCACTAATGTTTTAATTTAATGGACTAATCAATTCAATAATGTACCTTAAACATTCATTGGCTAGTTATAGGACTTATTGCTAGTGAATTGTTATAGTACGAGTATGCCAAGATGGATTCAAAGCCTTACAACACTCAATAATGTAAATATGACTGCTGAGGTGGAGGAGGTAACTTGGAATTCTGCATAGTTAAGCTACCAAAGCTACCACATTTAAGTGATAAATAATTTTCCTACCATTTTTTTGTATTCAAATAACTGTAGAATCATTGCATATTTAGCATGCCATGATGCCATTTGACTGTAACTTGATCTATATACATCATTTAATTTTTTCTTCCTGTGATTTTCTTAATAGTTGAGACAACTCCATTGAACTACACCATTTATAGGTTGTTAAAGTCTCTACTTAAAGAAATTGAAATCTTGTTTTATGAAATTTCTTTCAATTGTGAATAACAATGTAAAATAGTTTTGTTTTTATAACACGTAAAATAATTAAATTTTAACATTAGGACTCACTACTGACAGTTATATGCTGACCACTTCATTAGTTAACGGCAAAGAATTCTTTAAACTTCATTCAGTGATTTTATTTTTAGTAATTTTGGTACTGTTATTTTGAATCTATATTAGACATATTGAAAGAGTAGGCAAATATATCATTATGTTACTGTGTTATTAGAACAAAGATTTGTGGTATAAGTGAAGGTGAATATAAGAGCAAAGCAGTAGAGTTAAAATTCTGTAATGATAGATTAGAATTAAAAGCATCAAAACAAACTATTTTTTTGGAGTGACTTTTTTTTCAATTAAGGTGTTGTCTTTTTAATTTTCAAAATTTTAATTTTTAGGGTACATAGTAGGTGTATATATTTATAGGATACATGAGATATTTTGATATAGGCATGCAATGTGTAATAATCACCTCAGGGTAAATAGGGTATCCAATCATCTCAACTATTCGTCAATTTTTTGTGTTAAGAACATTCCAGGCTGGGTGCAGTGGCTCACACCTGTAATCCCAGTGCTTTGGGAGGCCGAGGTAGGCGGATCAAGAGGTCAGGAGATCGAGACCATCCTGGCTAACATGGTGAAACCCTGTCTCTACTAAAAATACAAAAAAAAAAAAAAAAAAAATAGCTGGGCATGGTGGCGGATGCCTGTAATCTCAGCTACTTGGGAAGCTGAGGCAGGAGAATGGCGTGAACCTGGGAGGCGGAGCTTGCAGTGAGCCAAGATCACGCCACTGCACTCCAGCCTGGGTGACAGAGCAAGACTCCATCTCAAAAAAAAAAAAAAAAGAGCATTCCAATTGTATTCCCTCAGTTATTCTAAAATGTACAACAAATTATTGCTAACTGTAGTCATCCTGTTGTGCTATCAAATACTAGATCTTATTCATTGTATTAAACTATATTTTTATACTCATCCCATTAGTGGATTAACTATCCCCTTTGCCCTGCTTCCTGCCACCATCATTCTCCTCTCTATCTCTGTGAGTTCAATTGTTTAAATTTTTAACTCCCACAAATGAATGAGAACATGTGAAGTTTGTCTTTCTGTGCCTGGCTTATTTCACTTAACATAATGTCCTCCAGTTCTATCCATGTTGTTTCAAATGACAGGATCTCATTCTTTTTTATAGCTGAATATTATTCCATTGAGTATATGTCCCTCCCTCCTCCCTCCCTCCCTCCCTCTGTCCCTCCGTCCCTCCCTCCCTTCCTTCCTTCCTTCCTTCCTTCCTTCCTCTCTCTCTTTCTTTCTTTCTTTCTTTCAGCAGGGTCTTGCTCTGTCACCCAGGCTGGAGTGCAGTGGTTCAATCATGTGCCAGCAATTCTGGCTAATTTTGATTTTTTGTAGAGATGAGGTCTTGCTATGTTATTCAGGCTGGTCTTGAACTTCTCTGCTCAAGCAATCCTCCTGTCTCAGCCTCCCAAAGTGCTGGGATTACAGATGTGAGCTACCGTGCCTGGCCCAGATGACCAGATGATTCTTATTGTACCTTAATGTCCTTTTCTTTCAGACTGAAGAACTCCCTTTAGCATTTCTTGTAGGACAGGTCTGGGTTGATGAAATCCCTCAGCTTTTGTTTGTCTGGGAATGTCTTTATTTCTCCTTCATGTTTGAAGGATATTTTCACTGGATATAATATTTCAGGATAAAAGGTTTTTTTCTTTCAGACCTTCAAATATGTCTTACTGCTCTTTCCTGGCCTGTGATGTTTCCACTGAGAAATCTGTTGCCAGATGTGTTGGGGCTCCTTTATATGTTATTCTTTTCTTTTCTCTTGCTGCTTTTAGGATCTTTCTTTATCCTTGACCTTTCATTGTTTGAGTATTAGATGTCCTGAGGTAGTTTTTTGGGGGTAAAATCTGCTTAGTGTTCTATAACCTTCTCATACTTGAATATTGATATCTTTCTCTACATTTGGGAAGTTCTCTGCTATCTCTTTGAATAAACTCTCTACCCCGATCTCTCTCTCTACCTCCTTTTTAAGGCCAATGACTCTTAGATTTGCCATTTTGAGGCTATTTTCTAGATCCTGTAGGCATGCTACATTATTTTTATTCTTTTTTCTTTTGACTGCTCTGTGTATTTCAGATAGTCTGTCTTCAAGCTCACTAATTCTTTCTGCTGCTTGATCAATTCTGCTTTTGAGAAACTCTGATGCATTTTTCAGTTTGTCAATTAAATTTTTCAGCTCCAGAATTTCTGCTTGATTCTTAATTATTTCAGTCTCTTTGTTATATTATCTGATAAGATTCTGAATTCCTTCTATGTATTATCCTGGATTTCTTTGAGCTTCCTCAAAACAGCTATTTTGAATTCTCTTAAAGGTCGCATATCTCTGTCATTCCAGAATTGGTCACTGGTTCCTTATTTAGTTGGTTTGGTGAGGTCATAATTTCCTGGATGGTCTTGATGCTTCTGGATGTTTGTCATTGTCTGGGCATTGAAGAGTTAGGTATTTATTCTAATCTTCACACTCCGAGCTTATTTGTACTTGTCTTTTTTTTTTTTTTCCAGACCTCTCAAGGATGAATGTATCTGTCCTTTTTGAGAAGGCTTTCCAGATATTCAAAGGGAATTGAGTGTTGTGATCTAAGTCTTTGGTCACTGCAGCCAAATTTGCATTAGGCGATATTCAAAGCCCAGTAATGTTGTGACTTGCAGACTTGAGGAGATACTGCCTTGGTGGTCTTGGGTAAGATCCAGGAGAATTCCCTGGATTACCAGACAGTCTCGTGTTCTCTTCCCTTACTGAGTCTTTCTCTGTCTCTCCTTGCTGAGCTGCCTACAGTTCGGGGAGGGATGGTGCAAGCCCTCTTGTGACCACCACTGCTAGGACTATACTGCGTCAATGCTGGGTCACACGTGAAGCCAGCACAGTACTGGGTTATGCCCAAGGCCTGTAACAACTATTTCTTGGCTACTGCTGATGTTTATTCAAGGTCCAAAGACTAAATATAGTATATATAGTATACATTAGGTTCTTTTAAGTTTCCCCATAGTTCAGGGATTCTCTGTTCATTTTTATTTTTTTAAACTTTTTTTCTCTCAATGCTTTATTTTGATAAGTTCTGTCACTGTGTCTCCAGGTTTACTAATCATTTCTTCTGCGGTGTGCAGTCTGCTATTCATCTCATTTGGTGTAATTTTCATTCCAGAGTTTATAGGGTTTTTTTGTTGTTGTTGCTGTTGTTTAAAGATCTTAGTTGGCCTTATTTGTGATTCTAGAGTTAGGCAACACTTCATTCCATGAAACAGAATAAATGTTTTCTCAGAAATTGTAATTTTAATTCTTAGAAATCTGATGTAGATCTTTTTTATATCTGCCATGTCTCTCCTTAACATTCTTATCTTTCTAATACCTTCTTGAACCTATGGAAGATATTTTTAATAGTTTTAATGTCTTTGTATACTAATTCTATTATTTGTGTCATTTCTGAGTCTTTTTCTAATGATCGATTTTCTCCTTATGCATTATGTTTTCCTGCTTCTTTGCATGCCTGGTGATTTTTGACTGGATGTCAGATATTGTGAATTTTACGTTATTGTGTGCTAGATTTTAAAAAATTTATATAAATATTTTAAAATTTTACTCTGGGTTGCAGTTATTTGGAAGTAATTCGATCCTTTCGGGGCTTACTTTTAATCTCTATTAAGAGGGACCAGAACAACCTTTAATCTAAAACTAATTTGGTTCCGCTACTGAGGCAATATCCTTCTGAATACTCAACCCAGTTTCCTGTATATTATGAGATTTCTGCACTCTTGCTGTTGGAAAATGGAATGGTATTTAATAGGAATTAAATATACAAACAATCATAAATAATCTTAGTAATTATATGTTTTAAAGTCCTTGACTTGACTTTGTGCCTTTGAATCCACTATAGATTGATATACAGTCTCCCAGTTTTAAATTAACCTTGCAGTTATCCTAAGAACCACTTTTATAAATTCTGAATTTCTTTAATTATACTACAACTCTCGGAGTATAACCTAAGGTACTAGACACTTCATACCCTCAGTGATTTAGAATTATTTCCATTTAACATCTCTTTAAAAAGGAGAAATAAAACTCTAAAAATTATAAAACTACTAATTGAAAGAAAAATTGGCAGACTAATCTCTAGTCGTCTTTGATACCTATTTAATAGGTGCTAAGAAATAACCAAATAACTGTATAATATAGTTAAATTTTAATTCTACTTTAAATAAACGAGATCAAAACACCTATATTTTAAGGCCGACTTTTACTGACTTATTTTTCTTAAGGGATATAAACAACTGTTTATAGATGTTTACCTTTCACCTTACTTAAGCTTATATTCTTAGAGAGATTTTAATTCTGCAGAGAATAAGAATGTGTTACTTAATAATAGGTCTAATAACTACTTCTGTTCCTTCTGTACTTGGAAGATCCGTCAGTAGAAGGGCCCAAGACTTTTGACTGGGGACATAGTGGGAGATGGAGAACCTAAAAGTGTTCTGGGCTAAGGAACTGGAACAGAACTCCAAAGCAGGATCTGACTAGCATTCATACAGAGCCAGCACGTATTCCAAGCTGCATACATTGCCTCCTAATTCCAAAGAATCCTACAAATGCCATCTAAACCTGCCAACCACGAGCCCACTCAGCTTTCTACCTAATTCCTCATCCCCAAACCTTACAGAGAGTTTCGTAATTTTAAGATACTTTACTCTATAATTGTATGTGTATAATCACTTTAATAATTTTTTGTAGCCTTTAGACTTTGTAATTCTTATAAGAGGTGTTATGCATTCTGACCGGTAATGTTTAGGGGGAAAAAAAACCTTCTTTCCAACAGCAATAATTACATTTGGTTTGCACATACATGATTAAACTGCTCTTTTGTTTTTGGTGTCAATATTTTTCTATGTTCTTTATAATTTTCCCTTTTATAACTGCAAATTTTGGTCCAAGTTTCAAAATATACCGTATTAAGAAATACATTTTTTTCATAAAATTGCACAGTTTAAATTATAAGTACTCTAAAACCTTCCTTGCTTTTTAAATGTTAAGATTAAGTTTCTAATACAAGTACTTGTGTGTTTACTTGCTCCACTTTCTTATGGTTGGGAATAGCATCTTCCTTCAGGAGCTAGCATATTAGCAGGTGAATCTGTTATTATTACTATCAACATGACTTTTTTAAAAATAACCTTTATTTACATTTTTAAACAAGGTGGTCCAGCCAGTTTAATCAGTTGACAAAACCCCATGCATGAACAAGTATAAGACTTAAGACAGAAAAAAGTGATGAGAAAAAATTTTGTTTATCTCTAGACTTTTTTCTTTTTTGGCCCAAGAATTTATTTTGCCTCAGCTTTACACGCATTCTTGTGACGTTACAGGACTGAGGAGGGAGGAAGTAAAAGGGAGCTGTGACTGTGGTACGTATCTGAAAGCAAGTGTTAGAGAGGGAGTGGAGAACGCATAAGCAAGCTGGTTTGACCAGAAACAGAACTGCCTGTGACAGATTAAGAGACAAGCAAGGCTTGGAATCTGAGAGCAAGCAAAGAGAGTGGAAATTTACAGCTGCCCTATGTGAGTGTTCAAGTGATCATTTTCTGGTAACGTTTTCCAGTGGTAACTGTTACTCTTCAAAAAGAGGGACAGAAAGTCAAGACCTAATTGTGGAAACTCTTTTCTCTGCCACGCTTGGTAATAGGAGGCAACCTCTATTAAATGGACGATAAAGGCTACTTCATCTAAAGTGCTTTGAGCTCAAGAAAGAGCTGTCTTCAGCACCTCACCATGTGTCTACATTTTGTTGCTTAGAAAAGCCTAGGCATTTCTGTAACATTTGGTGAGTATCAACAAGGTTATCTATACTGGTTTATAGAAATGGAAGGAATATGGTAAACTTTAGTTTTAATTGAGGTTCTGCAGTTATTACTTATATATGCATTATAAACCATGCTGTTACCTTGTTTCTTTGTGCATAATGAATTGCTGTTACTAGGAGAGGTTTAAAAAAACTACAAAACAATACTTCTCTGTTGCCTAAGGCACTTGAACCATTACCAACTATTCTGTGTTCATGGAATATCTTATTTTGGAAATGGGTTTTTATTTACAAAGAGTTTCCAAAAATAAAATAGTGGCAGTACAGTATACCTTTTTTCATGTTTCTCTTTCAACTGCATGAAAATTAGAAAGTTATCTCTTTCTGTCTATTGTTAGTAAATTTTGAATTATCACTGTTTTGTATTATAAATTACAGCATTCTCTCATAATTTAAATAAAAATGTTGATACTGTTACTTCAAAGGATATATAATTTAAATGTTGACTGCTTCTTTTAGACCCAATAAGTGACACCTGATTTTTCCTACTTTATGTAAAATGAATGAATGCATTTGGGTTTCTAAGTAAGGAATAAAGCAGTTATTTTGTTCTTACAGTTTATACCAAGCTTTCCTCTCGTATAATCTTATTCTGTTGAAGAGCTAATATAACCATGTGTGTGTGTGTGTGTGTGTGTGTGTGTGTGTGTTTGTGTTTGTATAAGCAATAGAGCAAAGAAAAATAAACTCTTAAAAATATCTATTCACATTCCAATAAAACTTTTTTTGTATAATCTTAAAATAGGAGAGTGTATGCCAATTATATATATCTTTTTAAAGGCATGGAGGGAGGCATGTAATCATTGTTCTGTAGGAGGAAGAAAGTGTATGTTGTTAACTGTGAAATTGAGTCACTGCATGAGGATACACCACTCTAAGCAGAGTTTCTAATCTACCCTCTGCTAGCCTCAAAAAATATATATGTCTTTAGTTATTGATTCAAGTGAATCCTTTAAGGCAAAACAACTGAAATGAAAACTTCTGCAGAGTATCAGTAAACACATTAGAAGGGCTTGTACCCTAGATAGACCATAAAATGGCTGTAATTTCTCTAACATTTCCTCTACGTGTACAGAAGCCTGTAAAACAGGTTTTGTTTTGTGGGATTTTGCAGGTTTTAATTTTTTTTTTAGACTGTTGACCTATGTATAAGAAGCAGCTCAACTGGTCTGTGGGAACCTTTTCTGGGCTAGTTAGTATCTTGCACTTAAAAGTAAACATCATAGAGATAATATCACAAACTTACTTTTACTTCTTTATAGATTTTCCCATGCTCAGTCCTTCTTAGACTGGTGGAAAATTATTTGCATACAGCTTCACACTCTTCAGAATAATTTTTTATTTTAAACTAATCATTCACTGTGTTACCTTAGTGATGGTACCATTTCCCAGGCCCATAGGAATGTAAATATAGAAATAAAGAATAATGCATTCCCAATTTACAAACACTTTGTATTTGAGAAGTTTACTTGTGAATGGGTTGTTGGAAATTTAGAACCCATTTTCCCTGGGAAACAGTTTATCAAGTGACTGTTGGGCGTTTATTATAGTCTAAGCATGTATTTTACCCATGCTGTAGAAAAACCATTGCTACCTTGAAAAATATAAGAAAGTCAATTCCAATGACGAAACTAAATATAAAATAATTATGTTGGATAAGATATTATTTTTATTCTAAATATGAATGCTTAAAGAAAAGCAAGTTTAATAGGTGGATAGGTATTTGGAAGGATGCTTATGGGTTTTCTGGGTGCTTTCATGAGCTTTCAAGGTTGATTGCACTGTTTTTGAGATCTAATCTGACATTGAAATCAGTGATTTCTCTTTTTCTTGCTACAAGAATATTTCTGGCCATTGAGTTTGTACTTAGCCATTCCTAAGGGTCTAGCCCAGTGTGTGGCACATAGTAGGTACCTGATAATAGTTATTGCATGAGGACTAAACTGTTTCTTTGGTTCACAAAAATTGAAATGGGTTATTTTCCAAGATATCCAATAAAGGAAAGAGGCTTAGGGGCACACGTTTTTCCTTATGAGAAAGAGATGGCCTGAAAAGAATTGACTGAATTGTGAGATGTGAACAAAGCAAAAGTAAGATAGAATAGGTCTAACTCTGAAGAGAACAAGAAAAGACCATGGTATAACTTGGTTGCTGCCTTGAATGAGTAGGAATGGTGCTGAGGGGAGGCAATTTACAAGGTTAGGTATCTTGAGTACATGGGACATTCTAAAGTCAGGTGTCAACTTTAACTCAGAAGGATTATGTATTTGCAAATGTTTACTAGGACCCATATGAAGAAATGTGACTTATTTGGAAAACTTGTCTTGGGTCTATCCAAGTTAACTTTACTGGTCCTGAAAGTCTCTGTGAATTGCCAGTATATGAAATTTAAAAGTCAGTAATGCAATATGCATATGTAATGAAATAATAATGAAATAAACAATACAGTAGATGCAGGTTTTGGTTATCTTGGATGATTTGTAATGGCGTAAAAACTCTTGCATTTGATCAAGAAATACTTTCTTTAGTCTATTGTAAATCTTATGTAAAAAGTAATGATTTTGAGTGGTCCTAAATGGTATATAATAGGTTCTTAACAAGTATTTACTGAATGGATACAGGTAGATTTGGACAATTTTCCATTTCTGGGATATATATATGACTGTGTTTACATGCACATATATATTCGTAATGTGGCTTAAAGATTATATTTAGCTGATAGTCACATAACAAAGAAAAATCTATTAAAACTATATTAGCATGTCTATTAATTATAGTCAAAGTTGGTATTTCACTAATTAATTAGTTTAAACAGAGATCTTTACTGCTTATAAGTGAGATAACATACTTTGCAGTTTTGTGACTTAAATGTCTCAAACTTCTAGCAGAAACTCATATAGTCCCTTCCAACTTTGGAAGGATGAAAGATTATATCAAATTACTCAGCCAGAAAAACCGAATCAACTTTGAACAGCTTGGGGATAACAGATAACTTTAGCAAAATCACTTTCATCTCTATTCTCTCATGTTAATGTTTTTATAGATTGACAGGTCATAGACAGGCACAGGGCTTACTGAAGCTATGAAATAGTTGTATTTCACACTATTTGTATAAACCATGTCTTAATATCAATAACAGTAACTAACCAAAATTTGTTATGTGTAATATGTATGTGCTTACAAGAAAGAATGAAAACTGAATTATGAGTCTCCCTTGATAATTCTGTTTTTTAAAGAGTAACCATTTGTTAATTTCAGTAAGATCTAATGCTTTAATGATAGTTACCAGTTTTTGAGAATACTGACTTTGGTTCAGATCGCTGCTATAAGTTGAGATTGTAAAATTCTAATATAAAATTTTCAATCATTGACAATTATTAATAGCTAATAAAGGTGGAAAATTTTAGCTCTGACAAATGACTGGAGCTGTCAACAGAAACATCAGTGTGAACGTAATGAATAAAGTTACTAGTTTTTTTTTCTGGAACTACAATAGCCTAGTAGGATCCTTAGATAATAAATGTAGTAGTAGTTGTATATATTCCTAACTTTATATGTTAATTATTTTTAAAAATGTATTTCAGTGTTACTGTACATTAGAAATAAAGAGTAATTAACAAGGGACATGAGTTTCTCTTATAAAAGAGTTTTTCTTCTGATGTAAGTCTGACTGAGGCTTCCAGATGAATGGGACTCATAAAAAGCTCCTCACAACTTTTCCATTTCTGTGTAAATTGCCCATTTTTAGAAAGTGCCTCTCCCTCAAATTTGGTTAATAAAACTTATAAAAACAAGTTATTCTTAGTCATTTTTAACTGAAAAAGGGATTGTCAGTGAAAGTTGTTATTTATACTTTATTGTTTCACTCATATCTATAGGTTTTCAAGTACAAAATTCAGTTGTGGTGCTTTGTAATTACATTTAGGATGCATATTTTAAAATGGAAAAATTGAAGCATAGAAGATACTGATTGGAAGATTCTTTGACATATATAATATGGTTCATAATGATATGGTATTATTACATATATAATGATATGCTTTGTAACTTAACCATCTCTGTGAAGGCAATTCTAAATTATGTTTTTTGGGGGAGAGTCTTCTTGGATACAGTAGCAAATACAGTAGAACTTTAAGGTGCACTTTTTTGTTTTAAGATTTTCATATAATCAAATGCACCCATTTTAGGAGAATGGTTCAATTAGTATTGACATATGTATGTACTCATGTAACCTCCATCCCATTTAATTTTAAAAAATGAATCTTACAGGCACAATTTTTTGCCATGTACACTTGATTTCATTTCTTTCTATCTGTGAATCCTATTTGGAATACAGGTAAAGGAATAGCATCCCTGACCTTTTCTGAATTTTTTTTTTGTTTTTTTGAGATGGAATCTCGCTATATCACCCAGGCTGGAGTGCAGTGGTGCGATCTTGGCTCACTGCAACCTCCGCCTTCTGGGTTCAAGTGATTCTCCTGCCTCACCCTCCTGAGTAGCTGGGATTACAGGCGCCTGCCACCACACCCGGCTAATTTTTGTATTTTAGTAGAGACGAGGTTTCACCATGTTGGCTAGGCTGGTCTCAATCTCCTGACCTCATGTGATCCACCCACCTTAGCCCCGCAAAGTGCTGGGATTCCAGGTGTGAGCCACCGCGCCTGGCCCTGAAATTTTTTTTTATGTGGTGGTAGGTTTATTTTAATTTTTTTAGTTTAACAGAAGGTGCCTGTGCCTTAAGTTAAATTAACAAGCTCTTAAGAAATCATTTTGGAAATGTTCCTGTCTAACTCATTGTTGATTGTAAAATAAACTTATGTGAGGAAAAGAAGGTTCATTTTTTAGTTGTCTTTCTTAAAATGAGTTAGCAGTTTGGTTATACCTCTGGAAATGTTGAGACATCTCTTTTGGCTTCAGATATAAATTTCCCACTCCCTTCAGTTTTCCTGGGAAAACTTTGACATTCAAAATGTTATTTTTTTAAGTTTTTTTTTTTGAGACAGAGTCTCACTGTGTTGCCCAGGCTGGAGTGCAGTGGCACAAACATGGCTCACTGCAGCCTTGACCTCCCAAAGTGTTAGGATTACAGGTGTGAGCTACCGCACCTGGCCTCAAATTATTATTGAATAGCATAGTTAGAGATTAGATATTAGACATTTTTCCCTTTGAAATATTTTAAGTGGGATAACAACAAGGGCATTTAATGCTCCAAGTGGCTATTCCCCTCTTCCCCTAGGTCCTCTCCTACCCCCCTGCCCCCTGCCAACTCTCCTTTCCATTTATGTCACTGAACATATTCAGATGACTCAATTGGGTGGTTGATTTTGGGCCATCTTCAATGGTGCTCACACACAAGTTAGGAATATGAAATATTTTACTGTGTATTAGGAAAGAGAATGCTGCCAAAATCTACTACAAAATCTACAGGGTGTGAGTTCCCTGGGAGCAGAGTTGGATGATCTTTTTTGGCTTTCTCTCCAGAATCTGAGCCAAGTACTACTCTTTATGAAACTTTATAGCCAAAGAAATCATGTTTGAATAATGCTTTGAAAAGACATGACAGGCCAGGCGTGGTGGCTCATGCCTGTAATCCCAGCACTTTGAGAGGCTGAGGCAGGCAGATCACAAGGTCAGGAGTTCCAGACCAGCCTGGCCAACATGGTAAAACCCTGTCTCTACTAAAATACAAAAATAGCCGAACGTGGTGGTGAGTGCCTGTAATCCCAGCTACTCGGGAGGCTGAGGCAGGAGAATCGCTTGAACCCGGGGGGCGGAGGTTGCAGTGAGCCGAGATCATGCCATTGCACTCCAGCCTAGGCAATAGAGTGAGACTCCGTCTCAGAAAAAAAAAAAAAAGAAAGAAAAGACATGACAATCAGATATTCCACAGTTTGAACTTAAAAAAAAAAGGTTATTTGTTTATTCATTCAAAATACCATTTAAGAGAGACATTTCTACTATAAAAGCATTTGCATGATCTATTATACAAGCTTCGGAAAAAACAGAACATTTGAAGAAAGAAGGAAATTAAGCATCCACAAGCAAACTACATTACTCAGAGGCAATCACCGTTAACATTTCAAAATTATTTTTTCTATACATAGGTTTTGTGTGTTTGTGTTTTTGTTTGCTTTACATAGTTGTAGTTATGCTCTGTAATTTGGGATGTTGTTTTTAACATTAACATTTCCATTCTATTTCACATTCTTTGGAAATATTTTCCTAGACATATTTCATCAAATTTAATAAGTCGCTGGTTTTAAGACATATGGTTACTTTATGTACAACCGAGAAAGAAAAGAATCTGCCTGTTAGTGTAAGGCACCAACAATTGTAAGACACACCTAAGCTTTGAAAATGTTAAAATGTAAAATAATTGTAAAAAGTTTAAAAGTTTAAAAAATCTGTGACATATGCTAATGTTCCATCAACTGGGTATATCACAATTTAATTATTTCCCTCTGTTAGATTAGATATTTCTCAGTTTTTTATGATAAAAAATTGCAGTAAACATTTTTGCATGTAAAGATAATCCTTTATTTTAGTTTATTTTCCTAGGACAGATTACCAGAAATGGAATTACTATAAAGCCAGAGGTTGTGAACATTTTAAGGTTCTAGATTCATATTTGTCAAATTATTGTCTAATTTATATCTGCACCAGTAAGAAATGAGAGCCTGTTGCAAAATACCATCAATAGAATTGAGTTTGTCAAAACAACAAAAAACTTAGTAACATAATGGACAAAATAGTCTTTCACTTTGAGTTTGCATTTTTTTTTATTATAGAGAATGGTTAAACATTTACTAATATGTTCATTAACTGTAATTCCTCATTTATGGTTTTCACTTATCTGTATGTTTCCTTAATGATTTTCTTAATTGTCTTAAAGAGATCTTTTGTAATGATATTAGCCCTCCATCTTTCAGATTCATATCACAGAATTCTCTAGTTTGTTGTTTGCCTATAATTTTTTTTATTATTTATCTATAGAAATTCAAATTTTTGTGTTTGTGGCATATTCGTATTAACTTTGATTTGTTGGTCTTTTTCTTTGAAATTTATTTTATCACTTATAAAATTACAGAAACTATTTCACATCCAGAAATTTGAAAGTCACTTATATTAACATCTATATCTGAGCTGTGTTGTTCATTGATGTGTTTGTTTCTTGTGCTATTACTGTGTTACAGTACTTTATAACACTTTTCATTTCATTTCCTCCTAATTTTCCTTTTTAAAATTTGTTATTCTTGCTTATTTAGTATTCTTGACTAAATTTAGATACCAAAAAAATTTTTTTGGACATTTGATTGGAACTGTATCAAACTGTGGACTTTAAGAATAACTGACATTTAAATAATATTTATTCTGTCTATTCAAGAACAAAATAGAGTGTTTTTTTTAACCTCAAATCTTTCCTATCTTAATTATGTAGGTTTTCTCCACAGTCTCTTTATTATTTCAGAAAAAAGAAATGTGCTCATTATAAATAATGCAGAAAAATACCTACATGAAGAAAGTTAAACCATCACAAATCTCATAATTTAGATAATGTCATTAAGATTAGCTAAGCCACATTCTAGAATCATTCTGTGACTATAAGATTAAAAGGATGGCTAGCTGAAGGGATGAATAGATAAATAGACACATACATCTATAAGTACATCTTCTATTTCTCTGTTTTATTTGTTAGTTTTCTATTTCAGGAAGAGTAATTATCCTATTTTCGAAATTAAGGTTTTGTAGTTTTTTAAAATACAGATCTGGTATAGATTTTGTACATATTTAGTTGGCAGTATGATCAAAATATGCTTTTCATTATGTTTTCTGACTGGCAATTTCTTATATGTGAAAGCTGTATGTATATTTATCATGTATTTGACTACTTAACCTAATTTCTACTAATTTCAGTTGTTCATATTTTTAGGTATATAATCATATTGTCTGTTAATTACAATTTTGTCACATCCTTCCCAAATTTTGTAGCATTTATTTATGTTTTATATTTTAGTGCATTGATCACAACATATGGTAATGATAGCGTGATTGTGATGACCTTTGTTTTATACCTCCTTTTAGTAAGTATGCCTCCATTAACCATTTTTTTGTAAATTGAGCTAAGATTTGTATCTCTCTTGGTTTTAATTTTATTAGATAACTTTTTCAGATGCCACTGAGATAATTTTTATTTGACTTATTGATATAATTTATTATATTCATCAATTTTCTATTATTAAAAACCTGATTTGGTATTTTGTTTTGTAAACACAGCTTTTGATTTTTATTGGCCAGAATTTTACTTAGGGTCTGTATTGAACATATTTAAACTGAAAATAATGTAGATCACTTTCCCAGTAGCTCCTGTTCTCATTTCTGTCAGTAGCTATCTTTTATCTCTTTCCCTACCAGACTCCTCTGTTTTTTGTTTTGTTTTGTTTTTGTTTTTTTTGAGACAGAGTCTTGCTCTGTCGCCCAGGCTGGAAGTACAGTGGTACAATCTCGGCTCACTGCAACCTCTGCCTCCCGGATTCCAGTGATTCTCCTGCCTCAGCCTCCTGAGTAGCTGGGATTGCTGGCATGCACCACCATGCCCAGCTAATTTTTTTTTGTATTTTTAGTAGAGATGGGGTTTCACCATGTTGGCCAGGCTGGTCTCAAACTCCTGACCTTGTGATCTGCCCACCTCGGCCTCCCAGAGTGCTGGGATTACAGGCGTGAACCACCGCCTGTTCCTCTGTTTCCTTTCAAGCAATGACTTCCTTGTTCTACCTAGAGCATATTAAGGTCACCAAATTAAAACTATTTAATATAGCCTTTATTGTACCTAATATACATATGAAATAGTATTAAATTTGCAAGGGTAATTGGCTTTATATGTATGATTATGTCTATTACATACACTGTATATGTAGTATAATAACCTCTATATATTCTCTTCATGACAACTAAATACATATATTAAATGCTTTGTGTGTGTGTGTGTATAATTTCTCATGAACTCTGCATTTCTTATATTCATGTTGTAATATTGCTTGATATATATTTATGCATCCTTTTATTCTGAACATTTTTGTGTCGTTTTGTTTCTATTATGGCTCTTGCAGAATTTAGAGCAGAAATGTGTGTGTGTGTGTGTGTGTGTGAACCCAATTTGAGAGTTTGAGAGTCTTGGTTTTTTAGTAGTAGAATTTAACACATTTGTATGTATTGTAATTATTGGTTGCTCTTATTCCTTCTATATTGTTTTATATTCTCTGTTTACTATTTGTTTATACTTTCCTTTTCATTCCTGATTTTTGCTGATTTGGTCAAATTATTTTTGTTCCTGTTTTCCCCCTTCTGGTGGTTGCATCCTACTTCCATTATTCTAATATTCATCATTAAATGTTTAATAAACAATTCAAGAAACAGGTTTATCTTAATTTGTGTATGATGTGATTATAGAAAACCCAGAGACTTAAATTAGTTTGGCATGACAAACCCATATAAATTTTATTATGATTTAATCATTATTTCTATCCTTTTCCTTGAACAAAGTCTATAAAAGAATTTTAGTTGTATTTTTCCAGATGGTTGGATTTTTTAAAAAACATTTTGCCTCTATCAAAATACTTCAGGAATACATTTTTAGCAGTCATATTAAGCATCACAGACACATTATCAACCTTTACTTAGATTTAGCCATGTATTTTATTGGTTTCTTTGCTCAACTGCTTACTTTTCAACTGTTTTCTCATTTTTCTGTTTCTCCTCCATCTTCCTTTCTCTTCCCCCTACTCCTTCACCATCTTTGTCCTTAGGTAATTTTAGTTTGCCCTCACATCTGCATAATTGGTAAAGTATAGAATTCTAGGTGAAAAATCTTTTTCCCTAGAAACTATGTAAACAGTGTTTCACTGCCTTCTGTCATTTGGTGTGAAGTTACTAATCCTGATTCCACTCTGACAGTCTGGTTCTTAGGTGCCACTCTAGATTTTTCCCCTTTATGGAAGTTTGTGGGATTTCGCTTTAGAGTTCAGAAATTTCACAGTGTATCTTGGAATAGGCCTTTTTGCATTCCCTCTGTGTAATAACCATTAGTTTACTTAAATCTGAAGACATGTTCAGCTCTAGGAATTTTGCTTCCTTTTTATTTGTTGATGTATTTGTTACTCTCTCATCAGTTATCTGTTTTTTTCTTTTCCTTTAAGCATTTATATTCAATCAATATTGGCTCTCCAGCTCTACCCTGTATATTTCCAACTTTTCTGTGAATTAGTTCTTTGCTTTTCTTTGTATTTTACTCTTCATTCCAGATTTCCATGGCTTGGTCTTTAAATTGTGGATTTGTTTTTCAATTCTATACCCTTCTACCAATCAGCTATTCTATTGCATTGCATGTTCTTAGTTCCAAGAATGTTTTCTCATTCATTGTTTACTTCTTTTTCATAGCAGCCTGTTCTTATTTTATGGATGTGATAGCATAGTATATCTTTTGGTTATATAAATATAATATAATTTTTACCATCCCCCCCAGGGTTTGCTCTATTTATTTTTACATTTCTCTTTTATATTCTTGATTTTCATCAAACACCTCATGATTCTTGCACGTGATTTATATTTATTAGCGAGGGACTGTACTAGTTGGTATTGGCAGCTGATATGACTTTCTTCAGCCACCTTAAAGAACTGGGCAAAGTAGCTGGGCACAGTGGCTCACGCCTATTATCCCAGGACTTTGTAAGGCTGAGGTGGGAGGATCACTTAAGGTCAGGAGTTCGAGGCTGCAGTAAGCTGTGACTGCCACTGCACTCCAGCCTAGGTGACAGAGCAAGAACTTGTCTCTAAAATTTTTTTTAAATATGAAATGGGCAAAGTATAGAATTAGGAAATGTACAGAATAAGAAAGTTAAAAAGCTAGTATGGGTCAGGTGTGGTGGCTCACACCTGTAACCCCAACACTTTGGGAGGCCAAGGTGAGAGGATCATTTAAACTCAGGAGTTTGAGACCAGCCTGGGCAACATACAGAGACCATGTCTCTACATAAAATTAAAATTAGCCAGGAGTTCGAGGCCAGCCTGGGTAACATGGCAAACCCCGTCTCTACTAAAAATACAAAAATTAACCGGACATGGTGGCACATGCCTGTGGTCCCAGCTACTTGGGAGGCTGAGGTGGGAAGATTGCTTGAACCCAACAGGTCAAGACTGCAGCAAGCGGTTATTACACAACTGCACTCCAACCATAATGGGACAACCTTTTACAGCTGTCATACTGGCGAAATTTTTAAATTCTGACAGGTCCAAATGTTAGGAAGGATGGGTGATAACTGCAACTCACACTACACAGCTGTGAAAGTATAAACTGGAATAAAAACTTGAGAAAGCAATTTGGCTATATCGAATGAAGATATAGCCATTTTCTCTTTTGTCTCTGCTTTGAATCTATTTTAAAGCAGTGTTTTGTTTTTTGAGACAGAGTCTTGTTTTGTCACCCAGGCTGGAGTGCAGTGGCACATCTTGGCTCACTGAAACCTCTGCCCCCTGGGTTCAAGCGATTCTCATGCCTCAGCCTCTTGAGTAGCTGGGAGTATAGGTGCCTGCCACCACACCCAGCTAATTTTTGTATTTTTTGTGGAGACGGGGTTTCCCCATGTTGGCCATGCTGGTCTCGAACTCCTGGACTCAAGTGATCCACCCATCTTGGCCTCCCAAAGTGTTGGGATTACAGGACTGAGCCACCGCACCCAGCCTGTACTACATTTTTTATCTATTTATCTTTTGATGGACACTTAGGTTGGTTCCATGTCTTGGCTATTGTAAATAAGGTTGCAATGAATACGGAAGTGCAGATATTTCCTTGACATACTGATTTCAGTTCCTTTGGATATATACCCAGAAGTGGGATTACTGGATCATGTGGTAGTTCCATTTTTATTTTTGGCATATCATCCACACCGTTTCTTATAGTGGCTGTTCTAATTCACCTTCCCACCAACAATGTACAAGAGTTCCCTTTTCTCAGCATTCTCATCAACACTTTTCTTTCTTCTTTTTTATTTTGATTGGCTATGTCACAATCTATTTACTAGCTAGTTGCTGCATCCAGGACAGGGAATACTGTGGCCAAACCTGGGTCATGTTCCCCCGCTTTTGTTGGGGTGAGGTGATGTGGGAAGTAGGGCAGACACATCTATCACCAGAAGAAACCCGGACCAAATAGCTACCAGAGGTTTTCTTCCTTTTCTTTTACTTCTCTGATTGAGTTATTTCTACTTCTATCATTATTTCCATCCATCTTTTCTTGGAGATTTTTGGGGCAGTTTCCTTTTTAACTTCTTTAGTTGAATCCTTATTTATTTTTATTCCTATATGAATGAGTTATAATTGTAGATTCTCACCCTCCCACATGTTCTGCCAACAATATACAGGCTCCTTTTCAAGAACTATTTCTGATTTTTTAGCATTAATTTTGTTGAGCTCTTTGTGGGCCTCATTCCATCTCATCTTTTTGTTCCATTTTTAGTAAATATACACTATCTGTTCACACATAAATGGTATATTGGCTAAGGATTTAATTATGGTGTTATAGACTTTACTTATCAGAACTCTAGGTTTTCTCCATGGCCTTGGGGCATTTGGTTCATGGAAGTCTAAAACCAACCTGATTTTTATGCTTTCGTTTGTTTTTTTAAGGTCATTTTGTTGGAATGTGATCTGAGAAGGAAATGTTTATTTTAAAAGCTGCAAGACACTGAATGTTGGGTCTTATCATGAATCTCAACTAGAAAAATCGTTCGAATGATCAAGTTTAGATTGTTTTTCTGTTTACGCTGTTATATCTTTGATTCTGTTCCAGTTTTAATGCCTTTGCTGTTTTTGGCTTCCTATCCTCCCCCCTCCATTGTTGTAACACCTGTTTGTTAGGGGATAACACTCCATTTTCTTCATATCGCTATAAAATACCTATATAGATATAAAGATATGTATCCATACACACTCTATATCTTTTCTTCATCATTTTAGTTTTTTCGACCTTTTCTCGCCTTCTGGGAAAATTTTGCACGTGTCTGTGTCTCTCACTACATCGTGAGCCCTTTGAGGCTTCTTTGTTTCGTATTTCCTTGTTCAGTGCCTAGTACATTATAAGTGCTCAGTAAATACTTTTCGAATGAATACATGCACACTAACTAATTTTGTACCTTGAAGTTGCCCCAGACCCATTTTCTGTATTGTTATTCTGCTCTATGCAGTTTGGGATTCCCAGTCTGCATCTTGGGCATGTGTGTATTTATATGTGCATATATGTGTGTATTTTCAGTCTTTTACCTTGGCTAGCTCTTTTTTTTGTCTAAAAGAGCTTTTTGTCTCCTTTTCTTCTTTTCTTAAATTTATATCTGTTCTAGCTTTATAGAGAATTAATTTCAGAAGCAACCTTTCTTGCCCAAGTCTGCAGGGCATTTATTTCCTTTCATTGTGTTCCTTTAATAATAATAAACAACCTATTTGTTGTTTATTCTGCTTACTGACTGCTGGAAGAGGAAAAGTATAACAGGGCCATTGTCAGTCCACTAACATTTCTGTGCTGCATGGCCTGCTGTCAGCATTAATGCTGAGGGCACGTTGATGTGCGTGGTCTCAACACCGTTTTCAATGCCTAGGAGGCATTTATCTAGTGTCAGCCTTCTGGACTAACATGCGTCTTTTCCTGTCCCCACTGCCTGCTTTGCTGAAACAGAATGTATGTTCTTAAAACTCTGAGGTAGACTTTATGGAAAAATTACTTTCCTGCCACCTTATCCCCACAAGGCACCATTGTCAGGCCTCTCCATTCCTTTTGTTCCCAGCTTAAGCACTTTATTTTTGGCTTTATCTTTATCATGATAGGATACTGGGGGTTAAAGACTCAGAATGGGTGTGGGACAGTGGTGAATAACCTAGAGCCCTGATGCTCAATCTTACTTTAAGAACAACTTCGTTTTACAGATAGAACAAGTGACACCTAGAAGGGGGTGATTAACTTCTTTTGAATCATACAGCAGATCAGTTACAATCAACTAGAGGGAGTTTACGTGTCTTGTGTTTGTGTAGAAGGTTTGAGTGCTACTTGCTTCATTGCTTAAATGACCACCAGTGGGCTAAATGATGTGATTGGAGTAGATGTATATATAGTGACCAGCATGGTCGCCCAGAGTGTGAGAAAGGCAGCCTCAAGTTTCCAGGTGATGGAGGAGGTGTTTAGTCTTGGAGTGGGGGAGGTGTTTAGTCTGGGAGTGGGGGAGGTGTTTAGTCTGGGAGTGGGGGAGGTGTTTAGTCTGGGAATGGAGTGGGGCTGGCCATGGTCTGAGAAGAACTGGGAGAGGCAGGAGAGTTCTGCCTTAATTTGCAGGGGGTCTGGGTGCTGGAACTCAAGCATAGTTTAAGAGCATGAACTTTGATTTCCTTCAAAATATGGATCCCAAAATAGAAGAATAATGATAAGATGAAATTTTAAAACATTGTTAAACTAATCATATTATACTTATTACAATAAGTAGGTATAGTAAAATATGAAAGTAATTTTTAAAGGAGATTGTATTGAGGCAGTATACTGTGTGTTATTTCCCCATTATATAACCCCATTGCCCTAAAATGTTTGCTTTTTCCACTTAATAATAGGCTTCAAAGAACAGGGATTGTGTTTTTCTTGTTTGTGGCTCTATCCCTAGTATTTAGCAAAGTGCCTGTGCTCAGTAATTACTCAGATTATTTATTCAATGAATAAATGAACAAACCCACCATCAGATGAAAAGGGGAGATAGTGAATCAGAAAATGCTTATCACCAGATTGACATGGAAACCCTGAAAACGTTTTTAATTTAAGTAAATTAGCATTAGCTTGTTACAGTGAGAACCAAGCAAAGTAATAATGGACAAAAAATCATATCATATCTATGATACCATGTTATAATTTGTACTCTGTTTTGATGTCAGGGAGTATTTAAAATTCCTACAGTTATATATCTTTCCCTTAGTGCTATAGAACTACAGGGAGAAAGACAGCAATTACAGGCATACCGTATTTTATTGTGTTTCACCTTTGTTGTGCTTTGAAGACACCGTGTTTTTGAAAAATTGAAGGTTTATGGCAACCCTGCATTGAGGAAGTCTATTGGTGCCATTTTTTTCACCAGCATGTGCTCACTTTGTATCTCTTGATACATTTTGTTAATTCTCACAATATTTCAAACTTTTTCATTGTTAGTACATATGTTGTGGTGATCTGTGATCAGTGATCTCTGATGTTAACTATTGTAATTGTTTTGGGACACCACAGACTGTGCCCATAATCGATAAATGTTGCATGTGTTCTGAGTGCCCCATCGACTGGCCGTTCCCCTGTCTCACTTTCCTCAGGCCTCCCTGTTCCCTAAGATACAACAATACTGAAATTAGGCTGGCTCATAACCCTATAAGTGGCCTCTACGTGTTCAAGGAAAAGGAAGAGTCACATATCTCTCACTTTAAATCAAAAGATGGAAAAATGATTAGTCTTAGTGAGGAAGGCATATCCAGAGCGGAGGTAGGCTGAAAGCTAGGCCTTTTGCATCAGTAAGTTAGCCAAGCTGTGGATGCAAAGGAAAAGTTCTTGAAGAAAATGAAAAGTGCTACTCCAGTGAAAACACAAATAATAAGAAAACAAAACAGCTAATTGTTAATACGAAGACAGTTTCAGTGGTCTGGATAGAAGATCAAACCAGACACACATTCCCTTTAGCCTAGTCCAGAGCAAGTCCCCAGCTTTCTTCAGTTCTGTGAAGGCTGAGAGAGGTAAGGAAGATGCAGAAGAAAAGTCTGAAGCTAAAAGAGATTGCTCCATGAGGTTTAAAGAAAGAAGCCATCTCCAGAACATAAAAGTGCAGGGGAAAAAGCAGCAAGTGCTATTTATAGAAGCTGCAGCAAGTTATCCAGAAGATCTAGCTGAGATCATTGGTGAGGGTGGCCACACAAAACAACAGATTTTCAGTGTAGATGGAACACCCTCGTATTGGAAGAAGATGCCATCTAGGATTTTCATAGCTAGAAAGGAGGAGTCAGTGCCTGGCTTTAAAGGACAAGCTGACTCTCTAGTTAGGAGCTAATGCAGCTGGTAACTTGAAGTAGGAGCTAATATTCATTTCCCATTCCAAAAACCCTAGGCTCTTAAGAATTATGCTAAATCTATTTGGCCTGTGCTCCATAAATGGAACAACAAAGCCTGATGACAGCATGGTTTACTGAATATTTTAAGCCTTCTGTTGAGACCCACTGCTCAGAATAAAATATTCCTTTGAAAATATTACTGCTCATTGACAATGTACCTCATCATCCAGGAGCTCTGATGGAGGTTTACAAGGAGGTTAATGTTGTTTTCATGCCTGTTAACATCCATTCTGCAGCCCATGGATAAAGGAGTAATTTTGACTTTCCAGACTTGTTAAAGAAATACATTTCATATGTTCATATTGTTCTAATAAAAGTTAAAAAAACAAACAAAAGAAATACATTTCATAAGATGCAAGCAGCCATAGATAGTGATTCCTCTAATGGATCTGGGCAAACTTAATAGAAAAACCTGCTGTAAAAGATTCATCATTCTAGATGCCATTAAGAACATTTGTGATTCATGGGAGGAGGTCAAAATATCAACATTTTCAGGAGTTCAGAAGAAGTTGGTTCTAACTCTCATGGGTAACTTTGAGGGGTTCAAGACTTCAGTGGAGGAAGTAACTGCCAATATGGTGGAAATAACAAGGGAACAAGAATTAAGAATAGAGCCTGAAGATGTGACTGAATTGCTGCAATCTCACGATAAAACTTGAACAGGTGAGGAATGTTGCTTCTATGGATGAGCAAAGAAAGTGGTTTCTTAAGATGGAATCTACTCCTGCTGAAGATGAAATGACAACAAAGGATTTAGAATATTACATAAATTTAGCTGATAAAGCAGTGGCAGGTTTTGAGAGGACTGACTTCAATTTTGAAAGCAGTTCTACTGTGAGTAAAATGCTAACAAACTGCATCACATGCTATAGAGAAATCTTCCATGAAAGGAAGAGTCAACGTAGCAAACTTTATTGTCTTCTTTTAAGAAATCGCCACAGCTACTCCATCCTTCAGCAGCCAACAACCTGATCAGTCAGCAGCCATCAACATTAATGCAAGACTCTCCAACCAGCAAAAAGATTAGGACTCACTGAAGGGTCAGGCAATAAATATTTTTATAAATCAAGTTATACATATTGTTTTCATTTTGTTTTTGCTTTTGTTTTTGTTTTATTATACTTTAAGTTTTAGGGTACATGTGCACAATGTGCAAGTTAGTTACATATGTATACATGTGCCATGTTGGTGTGCTGCACCCATCAGTTTAGATATAATACTATTGCACACTTAATAGACTGCAGTATAGCGTAAATATAACTTTTATATGTACTAGGAAAAACCAAATACATTTTATGACTCACTTTATTGGGAAATTTGCTTTATTGCAATGGTCTGGAACTGAACCTACAGTATCTCCTAGGTATGTCTATACATGAATGCATTTGGCTTCTTTTTAAAATTCTACTTTAATGCAAAATATTTGATCATTGATTATTATGCATTCAGAGAATAAGTTTATGTTTTTTAAAATAATGGAAAAAGGTATAATTGACTCAAAGAGCCAGAAATGTCTAGGACATTTAAGATAGAATCATATCTAAACTACTGTGCCTTTCTCTTTTGTGAAATAGTTCATTAACTATGTCATGGAACTTCTTGTAATAATAGCAGCTAAGCATTATAGAATACATATAGCTAAACATTATAGAATATATTTATTATTATTATCACTTTCTTTGGTCAAAATATCTAGTTTTACATATCAACTTGGACTCTAAAATTATTTCTTGTATAATCCTTATGTTTCTATTGCAGGAAAGATTTTAAACTTTGTATAAAAACTTTCAAGCAAAACTTTAAAAATATCTTTTTAAAAATATATGTATTTAAATTTGGCATAAAACTTGAAACTCATTTTAATTTGATCACTTTTAATGTTTCAGATTACTGAATTCATGTTATTGAAAACTTATAAGACATTGGTATAAAAATTTAAGCATATTAAGAGTTAAAGTTATAATTTTTGTTGGCTTATTTGTTTTTAGCATTCCATATTGGAAGAAGAGATTTCTACACATGAAAAAAATGCCTTTGTTTAGTAAATCACACAAAAATCCAGCAGAAATTGTGAAAATCCTGAAAGACAATTTGGCCATTTTGGAAAAGCAAGACAAAAAGACAGACAAGGTAAGAGCTAAAACAGTAACATTATGATTAAAGTACATGCATCGCAATGCCAAAAACCAATGTAAAAGCTTAATGAAGAATTCAAAATATGGTCTGTGATGTGCACATAGACCCTCTATAAATAGATTTAAGTTGATTTCAGGTTTTATGCAACTGATTATTATTTAGTCTGTTGTGATGAACTTTAGGTTCACTCTCTAGAGACTCTGACCACACCGGATCCCTCTAGACTACACAGCTTAAAGATCTAAAAGGTTATACTGGTGTGTAATGTTACATTTACATGAAAGGTAAAAAGTTTTTATTTAAAGA
The DNA here is from genome assembly GCF_000001405.40 of Homo sapiens. Classification (NCBI taxonomy): domain Eukaryota; kingdom Metazoa; phylum Chordata; class Mammalia; order Primates; family Hominidae; genus Homo; species Homo sapiens. The sequence continues at coordinate 49,382,487 of NC_000013.11, read as the reverse complement.
TTGACTGATAGTTTCTGTTACAGTGAATCTCATTTTCATACGGTTTTAAGGTCTTATTAAGTGGGGCTTCCTCATAGGAATGCTAGTTATTCCTTCAAAGGGATATTGAATCCTATATATTCGATTTCTCTCTAAAGTTTATGGCAAGATTCAAGATATCTATAAAAGAAATACACGAGTTCATAGTATCCTTCTATTCCAGTAAATGATACAATATTGAATTCTACAAGGGGTGTAGAAATAGCTTATTCTAATTCTAGTACACTTTGTAATATTGAGCCAAATCTTGGCCCAAATAGAAGAAAAATGGCTTTTTTGCAAGTATAAATCTAAATGGTAGAAGAGAGAAAAAAGAAAAAAAAACCTTTTTACACATTTTCATTAGTAACTAGGAAAAGGCCAACTAAAACCACAATAAATTCAGATTACACAACTACTGTCTTGGCAAAAATGAAAAGGTGTGATGATGTTAAGTGTTGACAAGGATGGAGAGCAATGAGGACTTTCATTAACTGTGGATGATGACATATACATTGATGTAACTGCTTTGAAAACCAGTTTATTATCTGTGAAATACGAAGATATGCATGTGCCTGCAGTGCCACTCCTAGTTATAAACTCTAGAGGTATTCTTGCACATCTGCACCAGGAAAAATGTACAAGAATGTTCATAGCATTGTTGTTAATAAAAATCCTTTCATGGAAACAACCCAATGTCCTTGAACAGTAGAACCAATAAAAAAGTTGTGGTATAGGCATTAGTGTGGAACATTAGAAAGTGATAAAAATTAAAGAACTTCTGCCTACATGCAACAGTATAGATGCATTTCTTAAAAATAATGTTGAATGAAAGAAGCAAGTCATGAAGGGGTAATGTACTGATCCATAAAGTTGAAAATCAGTGGAACTAAGCTATATTGTTTCAGCCTAAGTTTTCTCATCTATAAAATAGGAATAATAAGAAATGTAAAGACATGTTTGTCACAAGAGATATAAAAATATTTACATCTGAGCTGAAAGGGGCCTTCAGGTGACTCCTGGGTGCTGAAAATGTCCTGTTTCTTGACTGGGTGATGGTCATAAAGATGTTTCCTTTATTATTATCCTTAACTCTCTCTTAAACATACTCTCCATGTATGTTTAAAGCACTCTTCTGTGGATATATCTCACAATTTAAGATGCTTCCGGTCTTTAGTACATTAAGGATTGCTTCAGTCAGGCTATTAAGGATATGAAAAATTACTTTTTAAAAGTAGTGTCAGCCAGGCGCAGTGGCTCACGCCTGTAATCCCAGCACTTCGCGAGGCTGAGGTGGGCAGATCACCTAAGGTCAGGAGTTCGAGATCAGCCTGGCCAACATGGTGAAACCCCGCCTCTACTAAAAATACAAAAATTAGCCAGGCACGGTGGTGGGTGCCTGTAATCCCAGCTACCAGGGAGGATGAGGCCGGAGAATCGCTTGAACGCAGGAGGCAGAGGTTGCAGTGAGCTGAGATTGTGCTGTTGCACTCCAGCCTCGGTGACAAGAGCAAAACTCCATCTTAAAAATAAACAAATAAATAAAAGTAGCGTCACCCAAGAAGCAGAACTAGAGAAAAATAAAAATAAATAAATAACAAAAGTTGCATCATGCTACCATGAGTTATTTTTATGTAATTTGCCTTATTCTACTCATTTCCTTCTTCATTTATAATGATTACAATATTATACTTAAAAGTAATGAAAGTATATTTCTTTAAAATATTCAGACAAATTGTTAACTAAATTAATCTGCTCTCCTTTCCTACCTATATTAATTTTAAAGATTTTTAAATTGAGATATTAAAAATTAACATACCATATAATTCACTATTTAAAGTGTACAATTCATTGGTTTTTAGTACATTCACAAAGTTTTGCAACTCACCGCTATCTAATTCTAGAACATTTTCATCACTCCCAAAAGAAACCCTGGAGCCATTAGTAGTCATTACTTATTTCCCTCTCCCCCAGGCCCTAATACCTACTAATCTATGTACTTTCTGCCTCTATGGATTTGCCTAGTATTCTTTAAAATATAGTGAGTTTTTTTTAAGTTTCATAGATAGCAAAAAAGACAGTGATTCTGTGTGAGGAATAAATGGATTGACAAAGAAAGCTTATGAGTTTTGACAATTTACAATCTTATACTTGGACCATTCGAAAATCAGAGGAATAGGGATTTGTTGAAAAACCTTAACACAATGCTTTAAATAAAGATCAGTAGCTACTGATAAGTCTTCAAAATGGAATCAATTTAATTTTCAAGCATAAAGTTTATATTGAATTGCTAGCAAAATTAGACAATGAGTGTGGTTTAAAAGATTACTGGGCCGGATGCAGTGGCTCACGCCTGTAATCCCAGCACTTTGGGAGGCTGAGGTGGGCGAATCACAAGTTCAGGAGATCGAGACCATCTGGTTAACGCAGTGAAACCCTGTCTCTACTAAAAGTATAAAAATTAGCCGGGCGTGGTGGCGGGTGCTTGTAGTCCCCGCTACTTGGGAGGCTGAGGCAGGAGAATGACATGAACCTGGGAGGCGGAGCTTGCAGTGAGCCAAGATTGTGCCACTGCACTCCAGCCTGGGCAACAGAGCAAGACTCCATCTAAAAAAAAAAAAAAAAGATTATTTAGTGTATGTTGACTAAGTAGAAATACCAAAGAGCTGTTTTATATAAATAAATTTTATAATACTTATAATATTTTCCAAAATAAAAAAGGCAGTGCTTACTGTTTTTGTTTTTTTGTTTTTTTTTTTTTTTAAATTTATTTTTTTATTGATAATTCTTGGGTGTTTCTCACAGAGGGGGATTTGGCAGGGTCATGGGACAATAGTGGAGGGAAGGTCAGCAGATAAACAAGTGAACAAAGGTCTCTGGTTTTCCTAGGCAGAGGACCCTGCGGCCTTCCGCAGTGTTTGTGTCCCTGATTACTTGAGATTAGGGATTGGTGATGACTCTTAACGAGCACGCTGCCTTCAAGCATCTGTTTAACAAAGCACATCTTGCACCGCCCTTAATCCATTTAACCCTGAGTGGACACAGCACATGTTTCAGAGAGCACAGGGTTGGGGGTAAGGTCACAGATCAACAGGATCCCAAGGCAGAGGAATTTTTCTTAGTGCAGAACAAAATGAAAAGTCTCCCATGTCTACTTCTTTCTACACAGACACGGCAACCATCCGATTTCTCAATCTTTTCCCCACCTTTCCTGCCTTTCTATTCCACAAAGCCGCCATTGTCATCCTGGCCCGTTCTCAATGAGCTGTTGGGCACACCTCCCAGACGGGGTGGTGGCCGGGCAGAGGGGCTCCTCACTTCCCAGTAGGGGCGGCCGGGCAGAGGCGCCCCTCACCTCCCGGACGGGGCGGCTGGCCGGGCGGGGGGGCTGACCCCCCCCACCTCCCTCTCGGACGGGGCAGCTGGCCGGGCGGGGGGCTGACACCCCCACCTCCCTCCCGGACGGGGCGGCTGGCCGGGCAGAGGGGCTCCTCACTTCCCAGTAGGGGCGGCCGGGCAGAGGCGCCCCTCACCTCCCGGACGGGGCGGCTGGCCGGGCGGGGGGGCTGACCCCCCCCACCTCCCTCCCGGACGGGGCGGCTGGCCGGGCAGAGGGGCTCCTCACTTCCCAGTAGGGGCGGCCGGGCAGAGGCGCCCCTCACCTCCCGGACGGGGCGGCTGGCCGGGCGGGGGGGCTGACCCCCCCCACCTCCCTCCCGGACGGGGCGGCTGGCCGGGCGGGGGGCCGACACCCCCACCTCCCTCCCGGACGGGGCGGCTGGCTGGGCAGAGGGGCTCCTCACTTCCCAGTAGGGGCGGCCAGGCAGAGGCGCCCCTCACCTCCCGGACGGGGCGGCTGGCCGGGCGGAGGGCTGACCCCCCCACCTCCCTCCCGGACGGGGCGGCTGGCCGGGTGGGGGGGCTGACCCCCCCATCTCCCTCCCGGACGGGGTGGCTGGCCGGGCTGAGGGGCTCCTCACTTCCCAGTAGGGGTGGCCGGGCAGAGGCACCCCTCACCTCCCGACGGGGCGGCTGGCCGGGCGGGGGGCTGACCCCCCCACCTCCCTCCCGGACGGCACGGCTGGCCAGGTGGGGGGCTGACCCCCCCACCTCCCTCCCGGATGGCACGGCTGGCCGGTCGGGGGGGCTGACCCCCCACCTCCCTCCCAGATGGGGCGGCTGGCCGGGCGGGGGGTTGACCCCCCCCCACCTCCCTCCCTGACGGGGTGGCTGCCGGTCGGAGATGCTCCTCACTTCCCAGATGGGGTGGCTGCCGGGCGGAGAGGCTCCTCACTTCTCAGACGGGGCGGCTGCCGGGCGGAGGGGCTCCTCACTTCTCAGACGGGGTGGTTGCCAGGCAGAGGGTCTCCTCACTTCTCAGACGGGGCGGCCGGGCAGAGACGCTCCTCACCTCCCAGACGGGGTCTCGGCCGGGCAGAGGCACTCCTCACATCCCAGATGGGGCGGCGGGGCAGAAGCGCTCCCCACATCTCAGACGATGGGCGGCCGGGCAGAGACGCTCCTCACTTCCTAGATGTGATGGCGGCTGGGAAGAGGCGCTCCTCACTTCCTAGATGGGATGGCGGCCGGGCGGAGACGCTCCTCACTTTCCAGACTGGGCAGCCAGGCAGAGGGGCTCCTCACATCCCAGACGGGGTGGCGGCCGGGCAGAGGCTGCAATCTCGGCACTTTGGGAGGCCAAGGCAGGCGGCTGGGAGGTGTAGGTTGTAGTGAGCCGAGATCACGCCACTGCACTCCAGCCTGGGCACCATTGAGCACTGAGTGAACGAGACTCCGTCTGCAATCCCGGCACCTCGGGAGGCTGAGGTTGGCGGGATCACTCGCGGTTAGGGGCTGGAGACCTGCCCGGCCAACACAGCGAAACCCCGTCTCCACCAAAACCAGTCAGGCGTGGCGGCGCGTGCCTGCAATGGCAGGCACTGGGCAGGCTGAGGCAGGAGAATCAGGCAGGGAGGTTGCAGTGAGCCGAGATGGCAGCAGTACAGTCCAGCTTCGGCTCCGCATGAGAGGGAGACCGTGGGGAGAGGGAGACAGAGGGAGAGGGAGAGGGAGAGGGAGAGCCGAAAAAGTTTCTTGTATAGCCCCGGCTCTTAGAGCCAGGCTGGCAACCTTTGATATGTAAATGCAAGCCATTAGAAACTAGGTCCACCCAAACATGGTGATTCCCCTCACTGTTTTTGTTTGTTTGTAACTGTGCCATTCATTATAAATAAACAGAGCCCAAGACCAAGAAGTGGTTTTTTGGATTATTTGTTTGTTTGTTTATGGCCTAAACATTTTTATTCTTTTAACCGTTAGCATACGTTTTGGTCACTAGGCTTCAGAAGAAGTGTCTAAATCACTGCAAGCAATGAAAGAAATTCTGTGTGGTACAAACGAGAAAGAACCCCCAACAGAAGCAGTGGCTCAGCTAGCACAAGAACTCTACAGCAGTGGCCTGCTAGTGACACTGATAGCTGACCTGCAGCTGATAGACTTTGAGGTAAGCCAGCTGTAAAAGGATGTCAGTGGTGCTTTTCAATTTTAATATCTATCTATCTATCTATCTATCTATCTACTATTCAACTTTTGCTTTTCATTATGGCTTTCCATGTGTTATTTTTTAAAGTTTTTTCTAAAATGTCTACAATTAATCTATTTTTTACAAAAGCAAAAAGCCAAACTATAGTTAAGTTTTATGCAGCTAGGTAGCAAAGATAACGGTTAATAGAAGTAATAATAAGAAGTAACATTTGTTGAATGCTTGCTATATGCCAGGTACAGTTTCAAGCATTCAACTCGTTGAATTCTTAAAACTACCTTTGTGTTTAATACTGTATTATTAGCCCCATGTTATAGATGAAGAACCTAAAGTTCAAAGATATTAAGTAATTTGCCCAAAGTCACTCACTTACTTCAGAGCTTCAAATTCAGACAGTTCTTTTAATGAACATATTATACCAATGATTTAAGAAATGTGTTAAGTGCTAGTAATATACTTATCTCCTTTTGAAGGCAATTATACCTAATTTACCTAAATAATAAACTGACTAACTAAAACAAAAGCTTAGAAATGTAAGTGGTGAATATGTCTAGTCATTTTATTATCTATTGTGTAACTCAGAGGTGGTGATTTTTCAGTGAGAAATGGATACATAGACAAGTTTGGGCATTGACTGTTGAGGCGACAGAAGTCCTGGTTTGGCTTTGTTGCTTTGTTTCTATCATAATACGAATTTTGTTCGTATCAGGTAGGTACTTGGGTCTCCATTCATTCTCAGAGATAGAGGAGATATGCAAAGTGAATAGCTTTTAGTTTTGTTCACTGAATAAGTGGAAGGAAAACTAATGACAGTGATTACTGTGATTAGACCAAGATCAGGTCAGGGCTTTGGGGATCTGTGGAAGTAGTAGCCTACAGCTCTCTGCACAAGTTAGACCAGGGAAGATTTTAGCAGCCGAAGCAGAGGAGGAGGAGTGCAGAGCCAGGAGGCGTGCAGTCCAGTTGTGGCTAGAAGCAAGACCAAGTGGGGACCCCGAAGGGCCCAGACTTCAGCTCATCCTTTCAGTTACAGCTGTCTTTTTCTTTCTTTCCCTTCCTTATTCTATCTCTTTCTCTGCCTTTGGCATTTTCTGACCCATAATCTTTTTCTTTTTTTTTTCAATTTTTTTAAATTATACTTTAAGTTCTAGGGTACATGCGCACAACGTGCAGGTTTGTTACATATGTATACATGTGCCATGTTGGTGTGCTGTACCCATTAACTCGTCATTTACATTAGGTATATCTCCTTATGCTATCCCTCCCCGCTCCCCCGACCCCACAACAGGCCCCGGTGTGTGATTTTCCCCTTCCTGTGTCCCAGTGTTCTCATTGTTCAATTCCCACCTATGAATGAGAACATGCAGTGTTTGGTTTTTTGTCTTTGCGACAGTTTGCTCAGAATCTTTTTCTTTTTCCTCTTGCTTGGCTTGCTTACTCTCCCTCTCCATCTTAGGTCTCCATCTTAGATTTAAAATCAGCTATATGTGAAATTAAAGTATAGTCTTACTGTATGTATATACTTTTCTGTTTCTTTTATTTAGTTTAAAATTAGGTATTATGAACACTTGTAGAAGCTGTGGCATAGTGAAAAACACACTTGACTCGGAATTAGAATTGTTTAGAGTCCCAGCTCTGCTCTTTCATGGTCAGTAACTTAACCTCTTTGAGCTTAAGTTTTCTCATCTATAAAATAGGAATAATACGAACTTACTGCATTGTTTTAAATATTAAACTAAATAAAAATATATACATATATATGTTGTGTTATATAGGGACACTAAATATAAATGCAAACTGTATACAAATGTCAAGTAGTAGTATTTTTTCATTTCCTCTTTTTCTCAAACTCAGGAACTAAAGTTAAGTGTAAGCTGGTTTGTTTTTGTTATAACCCTTGATTTTTTTTAGATTTAGTTGGTCAGTGACCATAAATAGGAAAATGATTCCCTATTCTTATAGTAGTATAGTTTTATAAATTTTCTGTTGTTTTGCTTGTTTCTCTGAGAACAGCAGCATATTAAGCTACTGTCGTCATTAATTCATAAGTACGCTTGAGTTAGTTTATGAGATTAACCCAATTTGCAGTGGAGTGCTAGAAGGAATATGACTAAGGATGGTTATGTTTTGAAGAATGAGTCAGGGATGAGATGTCGTCAGGTTCAGTGACCTGTAGAAGCTTTGAGCAGCCACAGAACCTCATAGGTTCAAAGTGCTTTCCAAGAATTGGGGAGTTAGGGAGGAGTATACCAAAGAAAAACTTTGGGTGCCTTATAACTTTCTTTGGCATTGGCTCAGATAACAAAAGTGGAATGTAAGAAACAGTTATGCAAGTTCCCCTTCTTTTATGTGGCACATCAAATATAAATTAAAAATTTTGAGAAGAAGTTCATTTAAAAATTATTTTGGAATTAAGACATTTAATTGCCTAAAATAGACTTGTACATTTTTATCAAGTAAACTTTTATTCTCTGGAATCCTTGGAGAAAAGAAGTATCTTTCTGAACATTTGAATTTTCCATATAGCTGAAGATTAAGCCTTCAAATGCAGAGTTAAATTGATTACTCTTGTGGATTACTTTAATTTTTAAAATAAAATGTATTATATACTTGCCTTCCCTCCAGAATAAAATACTAGATATAATACGTTTTTAAACTGATGATTCAAAACTATTATGAAGATTTGTTATTGTGATAATAAGATAGGCAATTCTTAACTTTATTTATTCAATTGACGTGACACATACCTAGAACATAATTATAAGTGAATGTGATACTCCATAGATGCAGCCGTTATCCTTCTCTAGCCTGTAGAAAAATATATACTTCCTGGTTGAATGAATAAATGAATGAATGAAAAGGAGTGAAAGTTTAGTACAGTTCCATTTTAAGCATTCCAACTACATACAGTATTTTCAGGAAGGAGGCAGCCAGCATTCCTAGCATTATTAGCCTACTTATAGAAATGTACTATGTTATCTCTATGAACTGGAGGCATGGATGATCAGCCTGCAGGCAGCAACTCTCCTTCTCAAGCCTAAAGTATCTATGTAAGCTACTGACAGCTTGATAAAATTCCTTCTGACTTCAGACTTACTCCAGCGACACAGAACCCCCACCCCCATGTCTCTTGGTTCATGGCTTGCACTGGGACAGCCACTTCTGTGTTACCTTGAGTACGAGGACTGTGTTTGCCACACCTAGTGGCATGTTAATTTGTGAATTGTTTGAATGAATGTAGTAATGAGAATGAGATATCAAAGCAGAGGTAAAAGAATTGGACCAAAAGAAGGTATTGGGACATACCAGTGAGCCATTTTTCTGAAGGAATCAGTAAATTGTTTAGAAGATAATTCAAACTCTTTGGGGTGATGATTATATGATTTCAGTACGTGAATAGCCTCTCCTGGTGCTTCTTTGGATAGCAGAACAGTCATTTGACTGTAAAATTTCTGGTATGTTTTGATAACAGAAAGGAAAAATTATTATTTTAAGGATGGACTACAGCTTTTGCCAGATAACCTAGGAGAATGGCACATTCCTTACAGAGAAAAAAAGTGAATTTTTGTTTAGAAGATACCTTGATTGGCTTTTTTGTTAGTTTGAAAGGCTGAAGTCTCTAGGCAATGTCTGTAAGGAAAAGACTGAAAGAAAAAAGCTTAGATTTCCTTGGCAGAGAAAAGTAACAGAAATTTGAGAAATGCCCTCTTTGGCCAAGGTTGATAGGAGTAGGAAATAGAAGAAAGGAGAAAGGTTTGGAGGGAGGGAGAGAGAGGTATCCAGAACCATGACAAAAGGAAGATGTTCATGGAGAAAGATGATCAGGAAGACTGAGGAACCTTTCATAAAAGTGATCTGTAGACTTCAGCTTGAAGGTGTTTCTGCACTGTGCTGTGATTATCCTTTGTTCACCTTAAACCTTTGTAAAGGAACTTTGTACTAATAATACATGTTGAGGCCGGCGCAGTGGCTCATGCCTGTAATCCCAGCACTTTGGGAGGCCGAGGCGGGCGGATCACAAGGTCAGGAGATCGAGACCATCCTAGCTAACACGGTGAAACCTCATCTCTACTAAAAATATAAAAATTAGCCGGGCGTGGTGGCGGGCGCCTGTAGTCCCAGCTACTCTGGAGGGAGGCTGAGGCAGGAGAATGGCGTGAACCCAGGAGGCGGAGCTTGCAGTGAGCCGAGATTGCACCACTGAACTCCAGACTGGGCGACAGAGCGAGACTCCATCTCCAAACAAAACAAAAACAAAAACAACAACAAAAAACAAGTTGAGTGAAGAAGGGGTGGTTTTCTACACTTGGAGTAAACTGAGTGCTGAAAAAATAAGCAGTTGCAGGAAACAAGGCAATGAATGGGGGTTGAAGGGCGCTGGGAGCAGGGGTTTGGAACCCTGAGCTGACAGCAGTGATGGTGGCTGGCAGCACTGACTTAAACTGGATGGCAGGGACTGACTCAGGAATCTTTGACAAACCTACTTCTCTGTCAGGAATCTAGAGGAAAGTGGCCCACTGGGGTAGGGACAATACTGGAGGATCCGGCTATCATCATGTGAATAATGGCTAGTTAGGAGGTCGGCCTTTGGGTTAAATAAAAATCTCATTATGTAGCTATAAATTTTTATCTAATGCTTTAAGCCTTAAAATTGCAGACAGAAAAGAACCATTTCAGCACACTATTATGAGGTTCAAAAAATGATTTGTGGCTGAGTTTGCAAGGCTTCTGATTTTTATGGGCTCAGGATCAAACTCAGCTGTGTTTTTTGAGGTTTGGCTACTATTCAAGACACAGCTTTAGACTCTTTGATGTTTTGAAACACAACGTGATAAGAGATCAAAGGAGGGAAAATGTATTGCCTGTAAGGTCTGATACATTCATTTTAAAGGCAGGTGTGCCTTGCAAAACCAGGGTGGATGCAAAGTGAACTGTTCAGGCTGAATAAGCAGCTCAAAGAAGCAGAAAATTGTCTTCTATGGTAACTTAATCCCTAATGATTATTTCTCGCTACATTAAAAAAAATTAGCAAAACAGGCCCAGTGCAGTGGCTCACGCCTATAATCCCAGCACTTTGGGAGACTGAGGTGGGAGGATTGCTTGAGCCCAGGAGTTTGAGACCCCCCTGGGCAACATGGCAAAACCCTGTCTCTACAAAAAATAAAAAAAATTAGCAGAGTATGCCTGCCTGTGGTCCCAGCTACTCAGGAGGCTAAGGTGGAAGAATCACCTGGGCCCAGGTGGTTGAGGCTACAGTGAGCCAAGATTGTGCTACTGCACTCCAGCCTGGGTAATAGAATGAGACCCTGTCTCAAAAGAAAAAAAAATAGCAAAACAAACACTCCAGGATCAACTTTTCCACTTTTCATTAAGCCATTTTGTAGTCCTACATTTTGTAAATGTTTATCCTCTAATAATCTTTTTCTATTCCCTGGACCTGATTAAAGTGGCCCTTGGCCAGGCGTGGTGGCTTACGTCTGTAATCCCAGCATTTTGGGATACCTAAATTCAGGAGTTCGAGACCAGCCTCGCCAACGTGGCAAAACCCTATCTGTACTAAAAATACAAAAATTAGCCGTGGCCATGGTGGCATGCACCTGTAATCCTAGCTACTTGGGAGGCTGAGGCAGGAGAATCGCTTGAACCCAGGAGGAGGAGGTTGCAGTGAGCCAAGATCGCACCATTGCACTTCTGCCTGGGCAATAAGAGTGAAACTCCATCTCAAAAAAAAAAAAAAAGAAAGAAAAAGAAAAAGAAAAAAAAATGGCTCTTTACCTTTGGTTTTATTACTGTAAAAATATAACAGAAATCATAAAGCCTTAAAATACCAGCTTTAACTGTACATTATACATTTAACAATTTGAAATGCTTACTATGCGTGTCAGCCATTGATTTTATTTAATTATGTTTGGTCTTGATTTTATTTGATTGTGTATATATTTTGTGCCCCTCACTGGACAAATTAAAGAATTTACAATCTCAGGTAGGGAAATACTATGTCATAGAAAATGGCATTTTATGTTATCATTACCCTATTGCCCTAAAGCTTAATGAATATAAGCTTTAGAAGGCCTTTATCCTATAAAGGAATATAATTTATGGGTGATTAAAAATGGCATTTGGCATCAGGCTCTTAATTAGATGTGAAACCTGTTAATTGTTTGTAATAAAATTAAGACAGTGACCATTAGTTTGATCGTACCAGACATTTTAAGGAATGTAATCTGCATAAGGATGAAGACTGCTTGTGCTGTGTATAAAGTGTTGTGTCTGCCCACTCCCTCTGCTTTCTGGGGAATGCTCCCTCCTTCTCCACTCACATGGTTACCATGGGAACAACCATTTTGGGTGATATGACACCCTGGACAACACAAAGCTGAATGATCTGCAAGTGGATATCTGACCAAAAGAGGGCCAGAGGCTTTCTGCAGGAATTCTGGAACTAGAACTGAGACAGAACCCCAGTGTTTAGCCAGGTGCTAAAGATAGTAAATGCAGTTTTTCCATCAGTGGTCGTATTTTTCACTATGTGGCCTAAAGAAACAGAAGAAGCCAGCCTGCAGAGAAAATAGAATGACAAAGATATTGGGGCAGTGGGGGAGATAATCTCCCATATAAATTCCCACAGATGGATTTCATGTAATATATAAATTTAATATATTTAAATTTTTTTGAGAGCAACTTTGAGCTAGCTTGTAGTTTCATTCCCTATATCTTTCCCAATATCTATAAATTAGTCCAATTTGAATTTTAGTCCCCAGCAAGATCCCTCACTAATCCATTCAGTGGCTACCCCTCACCCGGTAGACTGTTCTGCCTATCCACTTCTGCTACTGAAATTCAGCACAACCACTTGCTCCCACCCACCTCAACTCCCCCGCAACACACCAGCAAGAATAGAGAAGTCCCTGACTTCACTGGCTATAATTTTCATTTTTAAAAATTATGATACAATTTATAAATAGTAACATTCACCCTTTTTAGTGCACAGTTCTGTAATGAAGAACAACAGTTCCATCACCCTAAAAAATTCTCCTATGCCGGCTGGGCACGGTGGCTCACGCCTGTAATCCCAGCACTTTGGGAGGCCGAAGTGGGCAGATCATGAGGTCAGGAGCCCGAGACCATCCTGGCCAACATGGTGAAACCCTGTCTCTACTAAAAATACAAAAATTAGCCGGGTGTGGTGGTGTGCACCTGTAGTCTCAGCTACTCGGGAGGTTGAGGCAGGAGAATCACTTGAACCTGGCAGGTGGAGGTTGCAGTGAGTCGAGATTATGCCACTGCACTTCAGCCTGGGTGACAGAGCAAGACTTTGTCTCAAAAAAAAAAAAAAATCTCCTTTGCCTCTTTGTAATCATCTCCTTTTCCTGTCCTCGGCCTCTGGCAACCATTGATCAGTTTTCAGTCCTTATATTTTCACCATTGCAAAAAGATTGGGTAAACAGAATCATATATATGTAGCCTTTTGAGCCTGGCTTCTGTCAGCATAACGCATTTGAGATTCATCCATGTCGTTGCCATGTATTAGGAGTCTGTTGCTTTTTATTGCTGAGTAGTAGTCCATTGCATGGATGGACCACAGATCATTTATCCATTCCCCACTTGTGGGATATTTTACATATTTCCAGTTTCTAGCAATTACAAATAAAGCTGCCGTTAACCATTTATGTATAGTATTTAGTGTGAACATAGGTTTTCCTTTCACTTAGATAAATACCTAGGAGTAGGGCTGTTGGGGAATGTCAACTTTTTGTTTTGTTTTATTGTTTTAGCCATTCTAATAAGGGTTTGTGATATCTCATTGTGATTTTAATTTGGATTTCTCTAATGACTAATGATGTTGAGCATCTTTTCATGTACATTTTTGCTACCATATCTCTTCTTTTATGAAGTATTTATTCATATCTTTTGCCCCTTTTTAATTTCGTTGCTGAATTTTGAGAATTCTTTATATATATTCTATATAAAAGTCAATGGCTTGTGTTTTGAAGTGGGTGTTTTCTAGTCTCCGCCTTCTTTTCTCATTTCCCTTTTCTCATCTATGCTATCTGTGAGGGATGCTCTTTTTCAGCAATCATTCTGGTTGCTGTGACTGCTGTTCACCACCTCTTTCTTCCCTCCTTTTCTCTTTTCTTATTTGATTTGAGTTAATACTTCCATATATATAATTCATTCATTCAGCAAATAATTATGGAGCATTTCATGTTAAAGCTGACTTTTTTGAATTTGCCAGCAAACACAAGGGCTTCTTCAGGTTTGGGATCTTATTGGTTACATTGTATGTAACCTTAGAATTGCCAGCTAATTTTTGGCATTTTGGGCCATTTCTGGATGTTGCTTCTTTATTATCAAATATATTTTTAGGGTTTTTCTGTCTTTTTTTTCTGGCCACTTCTGAGTCCAGGGCTTGAGATCTGGCAGCCTGCGGGTTGCAAAAAACTGGTTTTGAAATAGTTAAGGTTTCACTCCAGTTAGATTTGGCATGACAAATTGATAGCTACAAAGATTAACGTGTAATGTAGAGATCATTATTCACCAGCTTGTACCTGTTTCAGTGTTCTGTAATCCTTTCTATTCTAATCCTTTCCTCTGTTTTGGGAAGCGGTCCCTGGTAGCAGAACCTGCTTTTGTTATCCACAGGGGGCTTCCTTTGCCTTTGCACACATTTGCTAATGAACTAGAAGAATGTTTTCCTCTATGTAAAAGTTGGATAGAGTTCTGCAGAGCTTCATTTCTACTGGAATGCTGTATGGAATGTTCTTGTGACATTTCACTGGGAAGTATGAAAAACATGTTCCTATGACATTTCAAAGAGGGTTGATATTTATTCTGCAATATTACACTGCAGGGTCTAGAAAGGTTTGAACGAAACAGATGATTTCTTTCATTTTAAAATCAATTTATGCTTACAGCTATATCTTTTTTTATACAGCAAATATAGTCTTTAACATCAGTATAAATAAAATTTATGTAATTCAACCTTTTTTTTTTTTTGAGACAGGGTCTCACGCTGTCACCCAGGCTAGAGTGCAGTGGCATGATCTCAGCTTATTGCAACCTACACCTTCCACCTACACCTTCTAGGCTCAAGTGATCCTCCCACATAAGCCTCCCAAATAGCTGAGACTATAGGCATGTGCCACTACACCCAGCTAATTTTTGTATTTTTTTGTAGAGATGGGGTTTCACCATGTTGCCCAGACTGGTCTCAAACTCCTGGGTTCAACTGAGCCTCCAGGCTTGGCCTCTCAAAGTGCTAGAATTACAGGCATGAGCCACCGTGCCCGGCCTATAAACATTTTTTAGTGTTTTAAAATTATGAGAGCAACTGATTTTGGAGTATTCTTTTAAATTGAAGATTCACCTACTAATTGGTTTTTGTGTGAACATAGTTTTCATTTCTCTGTGATAGATGCCAAGAGCGCAATTGCTGTTATGGTTAGCTGCATGTTTAGCTGTTTCAGGAACTGCTAAAGTGTTTTCCAGATTGGCTATACTGTTTTACATTTCCACTACAATGTATGAGTACAGTTTCTCTTCATTCTTGCCAGCATTTGATGTTGTTGCTATTTTTTATTTTAGCCATTCTGATAGGCATGTAATAATATTTCATTGTGGTTTTGATTTTCATTTCCCTAATGGCTAACAATGTTGAACGTCTTTTATGTGCTTGTTGCCATCTGTATATCCTCTTTGGTAAAATGTGTCTTCATGTCTTTTAGCCATTTTCTCTGTTTTGTTTATTTTTATTTTATTTTTTAAGTAGAGATGGGGTCTTGCTATGTTGCCCAGGCTACTCTCAAACTCCTGGCTCAAGTAATCCTGCTTCAGCTTTCCAAAGTAATTTCTTGCCTGGGATTATAGGCATGAGCCACCCCACCCAGCCTTTTATCCATTTTCTAATTAGATTGCTTGTTTGTTTGAGGCAGGATCTTGGTCTGTTGCCCAGGCTGGAATTCAGTGGCACAATCTCAGCTCATTCCAGGGCTCAAGCAATTCTTGTGTCTCAGCTTCCCGAGTAGCTGGGATTACAGGCATGCACCACCACGCCCAGCTAATTTTTGTATTTTTAGTAGAGACAAGGTTTCACCACGTTGGTCAGGCTGGTCTCGAACTCCTGACCTCTGGTGATCTGCCTGCCTTAGCTTCCTAAAGTGCTGGGATTACATGTGTGAGCCACCATGCCTGGCAGATTGTTTGTTTTTCATACTATTAAGTTTTTTGGGCTTTGATGGGGGGTTGGGTTTTGGAGGGAGGGTGTTTGGAGAGCATGGGTTTTTTTTTTTTTTTTTTTTTTTAGACAGAGTTTCGCTCTTGTTGCCCAGGCTGGAGTGCAATGGCACGATGTCAGCTCACTGCAGCCTCTGCCTCCTGGGTTGAAGCGATTCCCCTGCCTCAGCCTCCTGAGTAGCTGGGATTATAGGTGCGTGCCACCAAGCCTAGCTAATTTTTGTATTTTTAGTAGAGACGGGGTTTCACCATCTTGGCCATGCTGGTCTCAAACTCCTGACCTCGTGAGAGCATGGGTTTTTATTTATTTCTTTTTTCTCTTTTTTTCTTTTTAATTTTTGTGGGTACATAGTAGGTAGTGTATATGAGATATTTTAGTACAGGCATGTAATGTGTAATAACCACATCATGGAAAATTGGGTATCCATCCTCTCAAGCATTTATCCTTGGTGTTACTAGATCTTATTCATTGTTTCTATTGTTTTTTGTACCCATTAACCATCCCCATCTCACCCTGACACACTCCCCTGCTACCCTTCCTAGCCTCTGGTAACCATGCTTCTATTCTTGATTTTCATGAGTTCACTTGTTTTAATTTTTAGATCCCACAAATAACTGAGAACATCTGATGTTTGTCTTTCTATGCCTGGTTTATTTCACTTAACATAATGGCCTCCAGTTCCATCCATGTTGTTGCAATGACAGAATCTCATTCCTTTTTATGACTGAATAGTACTTTATTGTGTATAGGGTACCACATTTTCTTTATCCGCATTTTCTCATCTGTTTTTGGACATTTAGGTTGTTTCCAAATCTTGGCTATTGTGAACAATACTGCAACATATATGGGAGTGTAGATATCTCTTTGATATACTGATTTCCTTTCTTTTGGGCATATACCTAAGAGTAGGATTGCTAAATCATATGGTATCTCTATTTGTAGTTTTTTGAGGAACCTCCAAATTATTCTCCATAGTAGTTGTACTAATTTACATTCCTACCAACAGCATATGAGGGGTTCCTTTTCCCCACATCCTCACCAGCAATAGTTGTTACCTGACGTTTACATGAAAGGCATTTTAACTGTCGTGAGAGGATATCTCGTTGTAGTTTTGATTTGCATTTCTCTGATAATCAGTGATGTTGAGCACCTTTTCATAGAAGGCCTGTGTTCTGTAGGTTTTCTCTTCACTTTGTTGATTGTACCCTTCACTGTGCAGAAGCTTTTCAATTTGATGTGGTCCCATTTGTCCATTTTTGCTTTGATTGCCTGTGCTTGTGGGGTTTTGCTCAAGAAGTTTCTGCCCAGACCAATGTCCTGGAGAGTTTCCCCAATATTTTCTTTTAGTAGCTTCATAGTTTCATAGATCTTAGATATAAGTCTTTAATCCATTTTGATTTGATTTCTGTATGTGACAAGAGATAGGGGTCTAATTTCATTCTTCTGCATGTGGATATTCAGTTTTCTCTGCACTATTTGTTGAAGACTGTCTTTTCCCCTCAATGTATGTTCTCAGCACCTTTGTAAAAAATGAGTTCACTGTAGGTGTGTAGATTTGTTTCTGGATTCTTTGTTCTGTTCCATTGGTCTGTGTGTCTATTTTTATGCCAGTATCATGCTGTTTTGGTTACTATATAGCTCTGTAGTATAATTCAAAGTCAAGTCATGTGATTTCTTCAGTTTTGTTCTTTTTGCTCATGATGGTTTTGGCTATTCTGGGTTTTTTGTGGTTCCATGTAAATTTTAGGATGGTTTTTTCTATTTCGATGAAGAATGTCATTGGTATTTTGATAGGGATTGCATTGAACCTGTAGATTACGTTGGGTAGTATGAACATTTTAACAATATTGTTTCTTTCAATCCATGGACACGGAATATCTTTCCTTTTTTGCATGTCCTTTTTAATTTCTTTCATCCATTTTTTTATAGTTTTCATTATGGAGATTTTTTTACTTCTTTGGTTAAGTTAATTTCTAGGTATTTAATTTTATTTGTTGCTATTATAAATGGGATTTCTTTTTTGATTTCTTCTTCAGATTGTTCACTGTTAGCATATAGAAATGCTACTGATTTTTGTATGTTGATTTTTGTATCCTGCAACTTTATTGAATTTGTTCATCAATTCTAATAGTTTTTTTGTGGAGTCTTTAGTTTTTTCCAAATATAAGGTTTTATCATCTGCAAACAAGGATAATTTGACTTCTTCCCTACCAATTTGGATGCCCTTCATTTCATTCTCTTGTTTGATTGCTCTGGCTAAGACTTCCAATATTATGTTGAATAACAGTGGTAAAAGTTGTCATGCTCCAAATCTAAGATCTGCTACTGTTGTATTGGGATCTGTCTCTCACTTTAGCTCTAATAATATTTGCCCTTCATTTCATTCTCTTGTTTGATTGCTCTAGCTAAGACTTCCAATATTATGTTGAGTAACAGTGGTAAAAGTTATCATGTCCCAGGTCTAAGATCTGCTATTGTTGTATTGGGATGTGTCTCTCACTTTAGCTCTAATAATATTTGCTTTACATATCTGGGTGCTCTAGTGTTTGGTGCATATATATTTACAATTGTTAAATCCTCTTGCTGAACTGACTCCTTTATTATTATATAATGACTTTCTTTGTCTCCTCTTACAGTTTTTGTCTTGAAATCTGTTTTGTCTGATGTAAGTATAGCTACTCCTGCTTGGTTTTGTTTGTTTGTTTTCATTAGCATGGAATATCTTTTTCCATGTCTTTATTTTCAGTCCATGTGTATCTTCATAGGTGAGATGTGTTTCTTGTAGGCAGCAGATCATTTGGGTCTTGTTTTTTTTTCATCCATTCAGCCATTCTGTGTCTTTTTTCTTTTTCTTTTCTTTTTTTTTTTTTTGAGACAGGGTCTCACTCTGTCATCCAGGCTGGAGTGTAGTAGCACAATCACAGCTCACTGAACCATTGACCTCCTGGGCTCAGGTGATCCTTACACCTCAGCCTCCCAAGTAGCCACTTTATGTCTTTTGATTGCAGACTTTAGTCCATTTACATACAATGTTATTATTGACAAGTGGGGGCTTACTCCTGCCATTTTGTTATTTGTTTTCTGGTTGTTTTTTAGTCATCTCTTCCTTCTTCTCTTCCTTTCTATCTTCCTTTTAATGAATGTGATTTTCTCTGGCACTATGCTTTAATTTCTTGTTTTTTATTTTTTTGTGTATCCATTGTATTTTTATATTTGAGGTTACCATGAGGCATGCGTATACCATCTTATAGCCCATTGTTTTAAATTGATGACAACTTAATACTAATTACATAAAGAAATGCACAGAAAGAAAACTAATAAGAACTCTACACCTTAACTTCCTCCCCCTGCTTTTTAACTTTTCGTTGTTTCTCTTTATGTCTTATTGTACTGTTTATATCTTGAAAAGTTGTTATTATTTTTGGTTGGTTCATCATTTAGTCTTTCTCCTTAAGACAAGAGTAGTTTACACACCACCATTACAGTATTATACTATTCTGTGTTTTTCTATGTGCTTCCTGTTTCCAGTGGATTTTATACCTTAAGATGATTTCTTCTTGCTCATTAACATCCTTTTCTTTCAGGTTGGAGAACTACCCTTAGCATTTCTTGTAGGATGGGTCTAGTATTGATCAAATCCCTCAGCTTTTGTTTGTCTGGGAAAGTCTTTAATTCTCCTTCATGCCTGAAGGGTATTTTTGCCAGATATACTAGGGTAAAAGATTTGTTTCCTTCAGCACATTAAATATGTCATGCCACTCTCTCCTGGCCTGTAAGGTTTCCACTGAAAAGTCTGCTGCCAGATATATTGCAGCTCCATTGTATGTTATTTGTTTCTTTTCACCTGCTGCTTTTAGGATTTTTTTTTCTTTGATGTTGGGAGTTTGATTATTAAATGCTTTGAAGTAGTCTTCTTTGGTTTAAATCTGCTTGGTGTTCTATAACCTTCTTATACTTGAATATTCATATCTTTCTCTAGGTTTGGGAAGTTCTCGGATATTATCTCTTAGAGTAAGTTTTCTACCCCTATCTCTTTTTCTACCTCCTCTTTAAGGTCAGTAAGTCTTAGATTTGCCCTTTCTAGACTATTTCCTAGATCTCGTAGGCATTCTTCATTGTTTTTTATTCTTTTTTCTTTTGTCTCCTCTAACTGCATGTTTTCAAATAGCCTGTCTGCAAGCTCACTAATTCTTTCTTCTACTTGATCAGTTCTGTTAAGAGGCTCTGATGCATTCTTCAGCATGTCAATTGCATTTTCAACTCTAGAATTTCTACCTGATTATTTTTAATTATTTCAATCTGTATTAAATTTATGATAGAATTCTGAATTCTTTCTCTGTGTTATTTTGAATTTCTTTGATTTTCCTCAAAATAGTGATTTTGAATTCTCTGTCTGAAAGGTCATATATCTCTATTGTCCCAGGATTGGTCCCTGGTGTCTTATTTAGTTCAGTTGTTGAGGTCATGTTTTCTTGGATGGTGTTAGTGCTTGTAGATATTTATCAGTATCTGACAGGACAGTGAGATCTAGGCAATCTCAATAATCCTTAATTTCCTTATTTATAATATGTATATATACATATTTACATTTGTACATTTTATAAAACATATATTATACATCCTTAATTTCTTTTTTATAATATGTATATTATAAGGTGGTTGTATGCATGCCAGAAAAAAAATAACAAAAAGAATATGAAATTTAAAAAAATAAGGTTGTTGTGAAAATTGGATAATACCTGTAAAGCTCTTAGCATAAGTGCCTGGCACAGAGTAAGCACTCAGTAAGTATTTGCTGCTGTGAAGGTGGAGGTAGAGGTAGTGGGAAAGAGGAGGTACTGATCGATGTGGCAAAGGACATGGTTGTAGTACAGAGAGGGGCACTCATCCCAGGGGAGAAAACTCCTGAACTGAATCTTAAAGAATGACAGAGTTCATGAAAAAAGGAAGAGCATCAACAAAGATATAGAACCATAAAATGTTGTGTATATGTGGTGCAGCAATTTGGTACTAATAGAACTTGATGTAGGAATTGGAAGTGATAGTTAGCTGATGAGACTGGAAAAGTTGGCTGCTGTCAAGTCATTGAAGGGTATTGGACTTTCTCTCTTTCTTTCTTTCTTTCTTTCTTTTCTTTCTCTTTCTCTCTCTTTTTTTCTGTCTCTCTCTCTCTCTTTCCTTTCTTTCTGTCTCTTTTTTTTTTTTTTTTTTTTTTTGAGATGAAGTCTTGCTCCATTGCCTGGGCTGGAGTGCAGTGGCACGATCTCGGTTCACTGCAACCTCTGCCTCCCGGGTTCAAGCAATTCTTCTACCTCAGCCTCCCAAGTAGCTGGGACTACAGGTGCACACCACCACAGCCGGTTAATTTTTGTATTTTTACTAGAGATGGGGTTTCACCATATTGGCCAGGCTAGTCTTGAACTCCTGACCTCTTGATCTGCCCCACTTGGCCTCCCAAAGTGCTGGGATTACAGGCGTGAGCCACTGCGCCTGGCCTTTTTGTATTGGACTTTTTTCTAAGCAAAAGGGAGACGTTGAAGTGTTTAAGGAGAGAGATGGCATGGTCATATTTGCATTTCTAGCTAGCTCACTCTGCAGGGTGAGGATGCTTTGAAGTGGAGACAGTAACTGAAGCAAGCTCTTTCATAGTTTAGTTGAGAGATGAAGGCCAGAACTAGGGCCATACTGATTGAGAATGCAATGTCATTGTATTAGTATGTTCTCACACTGCTATAAGGAAATACTTGAGACTGAGTAATTTAAAAAGGAAAGGGGTTTAATTGAGTCACAGTTCCACATTGCTGGGGAGGCCTCAGGAAACTTACAATCATGGCGGAAGGGGAAGCAGGCACAGACCTTCACATGGCAGCAGGAGAAGGAAGAGTGAATGAGCAAAGGGGAAAGAGTCCCATATAAGACCATCAGATCGTGTGAGAACTGATTCACTATCATGAGAACAGCATGAGGGAAACCACCCCCATGATCCAATCACCTCGCACCAGGTCCTGCCCTCCACACATAGGGATTATAGGGATTACAATTCGTAATGAGATCTGGGTGAGGACACAGAGCCAAACCATATCAGTCATTCTTGTACTTATTTTTCATATAGTAAACTCAGGTCCAGTCCAAGATTTCTTTTGGAAAACCAGGCTAGACAGGTTGTAAGGTGTATGAGAGTGCAGGTCTTGTCCATGAGGACTCTAAGAAGCCCTATCCATGATTGCATATCTGGTTCCTCTGTCTCACTGATTCGGTGATCTCTTCTGTTCCTCTAGGCTAGATGTGATTTGTTATGATCACCTAGATCAAATATTTCCAGCTAATGGAAAACCCACTTTATTTTTTAAGTCAAGGCACTAGGGTGAAGAACAGTGAATAAAGTGATAACGTGAAAGCAAAAAATACTAGAAAGTAGATCTAAGAAAAAGGAATTTGGTTCTAACCTACATTTTACTAAAATCTTATTTTCTTCTTCTGTTTTCCTTCCTTATTCATGAAGGTTTAAAAATGATAATCATAATTTTTTTCTTGCATAAAGGTAGACAGTGAAAAAACAAAGAATTCAGTTCTGTCATATTCACTTTATGTCCTTCCATGCTCTGTGGGAAATGGATTTCTCGTTGGTCAAATTTCCCCCAGCACACATCCTGTGGCAAGGAGCTGCATCCATTTTGTAGACTGTGTTTGCAAGCACAGCTTGTTAGGGGTCTATGGGAAGAGTAAGTTAACGTTTTTTTGCATATTAGAAAGGATGGTACCATTTCTGTCTGTGTGTATATATATATGTATATATTCCACATACTATACAATTCATCCATTTAGAGTGTACAATTTAATTTCTGTTTGTTTCTTTAACAGGGAAAAAAAGATGTGACCCAGATATTTAACAACATCTTGAGAAGACAGATAGGCACTCGGAGTCCTACTGTGGAGTATATTAGTGCTCATCCTCATATCCTGTTTATGCTCCTCAAAGGGTAGGTACATGGCTTCCTTTCAAGTAGGGCTAAGTTTTTAATAGTTGTTAAAAGTGCATAGCATTAGTCTCATTTGAGATATGATGAGTTCCCTTTTGGAACTGCAGTAAAGGTATTTGTCATGTGTGAGGTCAGCCCTCCAGATCTGTCTCTATGATTACTGCAGCAAAATCCTTTCTTTGCACCTTAATGTTTCTAAATGTTATGTTTCCATTTACTGCCTTCCTTTCCTCCACATTTCTGCTATTTCTGTCTCTTCCTATTACAGTATTGCTTATGCTTCCCTATCTGCCCTATTCCTAGCTGCCCACTTACCCTTTTCCTGCTTGCATGAGATTGAATGCCCTCACCACGCACATAAGCACACACATATATATTCTGGTTCTGGGAAATGAAATACAGGTATGAGAGTTTTTCCAGTAGCTAGCATCTGCCAAGGTGAATGTATATGGGTCTATAGGGAAGCCATAAAACTGAAGTCGAGGTGGGTGATAGAATCCCTGATTATTATTTTTATGTATACTTATTTATAAATGTTTCTTGGGCATTTGGAGGCTACTCTGAATCATAAAGACTGGAGATCTAGGTGTAGCAAAGCTTGAGGACAGCAGACCATCTTCTTCCTCCCCTTGTCTTTCTACTCCACCATCTCAAACCAGGACGTCTCTTTATTTTATTGTATTCCTGTTTTCAATTCTGCTGTTTCATACCTAGTCCATCTCACCTGTGTTCATTTTCTCTCTTGTACATTTTAAATATTTAATTGTATCAAAATAATACATAGTTTAAAAATCAGATATATCAATAAATAGCAGTTCTTTGTCTCTTTTTTCTTTTCTTTCTTTCTTTTTTTTGAGACAGCGTCTTGCTCTATTGTCCAGGCTGGAGTACAGTGATGCGATCTTGGCTCACTGCAACCTCTGCCTCCTGGGTTCAAGCAGTTCTCCTGCCTCAGCCTCCCGGGTAGCTGGGATTACAGGTGCCCATCACCACGCATGGCTAATTTTTGTATTTTTAGTAGAGACAGGTTTTCACTATTTGGCCAGGCTGGTCTCGACCTCCTGACCTCAAGTGATCTGCCTGCCTCAGACTCCCAAAGTGCTGGAATTACAGGCGTGAGCCACTGCGCCTGGCCTCTTTGCCTCTTTCTTCTCTATTTTTCAGTCCTATTACCCAAAGACAACCACTTTTATCTCTTTTATTTGTTCATCATTGTTTTCATCATATATTTACCTCTGTGTTACAAATAATGGGCTTATACTAATTTTTCACTTATCAATTTTAAGCAGTATCTTTGACAAGATAAACTAGATGATAGTCTTTTTACTGCCACCATTATTCTATTTCCTTTCCCTTATCTTCCTAATAAACTTTATCATAATTTTAAATTTTAATAATCACATTTAGATTATTATGATTGCACAGTTATTATTCACTAGTGAGCAAAGTAGTGTACTATGATTACTTTTGTTTTGGGTACAAAATAATTGTTTTACTGGAGAATTGTTTCTTTCAGCTCTGGAAAGGGAAAGATCCTTGTATCATCTATTAGTTAGGGGATACAAAGCTTCTATAACACATAGACCCCAAAGTGAATTGGCTCCACAACAAGATAAGTATATTTCTCATGTAATAGTGCAGAGCAGATGTTCTAGTTCATCAGGGGGTTCTGTCATCTTCAGCATGTGCTATCTAAGATCACTTTGTTCATTGCCATTTCGGCCCACAGAAAGGTGAAAGTATATAAGAGATTTTATGTGTTTGGAGAATGACAAGAATTCTGGTGTGACTAGAGTTCTGTGTGAGTCAGAGGGAAGGGTGCCGTATGAAGTTGGAAATACTGAGACCAGATGATGAAGAGCTTTCCAAGTCCTACTAGGGAGTTTGAATGTCATTCTGTAGGCAACATGGAGTCATCCAGGGACTAGACATGAGGAGTTCTGGTGGCAACATAGAAAATAGCTTGGGGTGGGAGGCTGAGATTCCAGCTTGGAAGAGTCTGGGGAAGAGATTATCATCAGAACTTTAATGGAGATACTGAGAATGAAGAGAATGCGTATTTGAAAACATTTCCATTTCTTTCCAATTCAAAAGTAATACATGGTTATTATTTAAAAACTAAAACATTTTAGAAATGTAGAACAGAAAAAGAAAGTACATCCCATAATCTCTCCAAACGAAATCATTAGTGACAATTTGGGGACTACACCTCTGGTTTTAATTCTCTATTGCAATGATTATTCTTCTGTTTTTCAACCCAAACTTTTAACTCATTCCTTCACATCCTGTTTTGTATAAACCATTTACTCATTGTTTGCTATGTGCCAGCTGTTGTAATGTCTTTACTTATGTTATGTTGTTTACTTTCCAATACTATGAGGACTACATATTATTTTTTTACCATTTTACAGATGAGGAAACTGAAACTCAGAGAGAGTAAGGATATTGCTCAAGGTTATATGGCTAATACATGACAGAGCCTAGTTTTCCATGCAGATCTGACACTAAATCCCATGTTCCTTACCATTAATATACCTTTAAGAAGATTCGAGGACTGTTCAAATGTGAAGGGAGCGGGAATTGTTGATGCTCCTGAGGACAGGGTAGTGGAACAGTTGTACCATAATCAGTTTTACCTGTTACCATTTTCTTTTTTTTTTTTTTTGAGATGGAGTCTCGCTCTGTCGCCCAGGCTGGAGTGCAGTGGCGTGATCTCGGCTCACTGCAACCTCTCCCTCCCAGGTTCAAGCGATTCTCCTGCCTCAGCCTCCTGAGTAGCTGGGACTACAGGCCCATGCCACCACGCCTCACTAATTTTTTCTATTTTTAGTAGAGACGAGGTTTCACCATGTTAGCCAGATGGTCTTGTGATCTGCCTGCCTCGGCCTCCCAAAATGCTGGAATTACAGGCATGAGCTACCGCACCCAGCCCCTGTTACCATTTTCTAATTTAGCACTGAATGCTAGAGATTTAGCCCTTCTTAAAAGTCAGGATTTTTACCGAATTATCCTTGTGAAGTCACTTTAAAACCTAGGGCATAACTTGATTGGTACATTTACACATCAAACAATAATATAAATGAGAGTATGATAGTAACATTCTGTATAGAACCTAAGTCTAACCATAAAGAATATAAGACAAAAAGCAATTGATACTTGTGTATCAAAGAGAATTATCTGGATATGTGGTATTAAACATGGTAAAATGTATTTGGAGCCCAAGTTCTATGAAAAGATTATAAATAAGGACTTACTCACTCTAAATGAATTTGTCTTCTGGCTCAGGCAAATGACATTCCAGGGTACTGAGAGAACTTGAGAATGAGGTCACTGAACAGCTCTCAGTGATCCATAAAGAACTGTGGCCAGTGGACTATGTTCCAGAAGGCTGATGTTAAAATCATAAATTTCTCCCAATTATCCTGTTTTTTTAAGTTTATTATAAAAAATTTTAAGCAGTTTCATTTTGGCAGTTATTTTGTAGATGGTGCTATGTAGTTCATATTTCATCACATTAGGAGATGTACTTTTAGTAATGCTAAGACTGAGCAATGGGTTCAGTTGGTGACAGTCTAATCCACTATAAAGTTTCCCATCAACCTTAAACTTAATTGTTTTACCATCCATTGATGAACATTGCCTGATTCCGTCATTTTGCTAGAGGTGACAAAAAGGTAATTTTGAATTCTGTCATTCCTTTTGTATTTTTTATTGGCTAAAGTAGTTTTATAGAGAATACTGTCATTCACCCACCACAGCTTCAGGTGTTAGAATACTCTGAAGTATAATTCATACCAGAGAGGCAGAATAAATGCTCAATTCTTTTCTTTTAATTATCATTTTAGAGAAAAATAAGATATCCTAGGAACTTTCATCGGTGTCTAATGAGTTATTTCCCTCCCTCCCCCTGCCTTTATATATGTGTGTGTGTATAAATATATATATATATTTATATATGTACAGAGACACACACTCTTCTAGTATCTGATGAACTAATGGATTTAATGTTTTCTATATGTCTTATTTAGTTCTACACATGTTTTTTTAATGCTCAATTGGCCATCTGTGGCCCCTTCTAGGTGATATCTCTTAACATCACTAAAATAGTTTCTGAGAGCTTCTTTGCTTTCTGGTGTAACGAGATATGCCACCCAACTTGTACATTTGCTGACAAAGACCTGAAATTTCTACCAAGGATGTTGGTTCTTTTTAGAGAGAAATGGTTCTTAGAGACTACAATCTGGTTGCTAGGGGTGCTCATTGACATTGGATTGTTATTGCTTCTAGGCCTTTTTGGTGGACAGAACTAACTCATTATTTTATTTATTTATCGAGACAGGGTCTTGCTTTGTTGCCCATACTAGAAGGTAGTGCTGTGATCACAGCTCACTATAGTCTCAACCTCCTAGGCTCAAGTGATCCTCCTGACTCAGCCTCCCAAATAGCCGGGACTACAAGTGCATGCCACCACACTTAGCTAATTAATTTTTTTTTTTTTTTTGTAGAAACAGGGTCCCACTATGTTGCCCAGGCTGGTTTCAAACTCCTGGGCTCAAGCAATCCTCCTGCCTTGGCCTCCCAAAGTGCTGGGATTATATGCATGAGCCACTATGCCTGGCCTAACTCATTATTTTTAGTCAGCAAATGTTTCTAGATTAGAAACATACGTTCTTGACTATATTGAGGAGGCCAAGTGTTTGTTGAATGGCATTTTACAAAAGCTTTCCAGGTATTTCCTGGCCTTGTTTACTTCCAGCAATAATCACAAAAGTCATTTTCCCCCTTACATAATGTAATCTTTGTTCTTAAATTGAAATATTCTTGCACAAGATCATTCTTCTGACCATTTTCTGTGTA
This sequence comes from Homo sapiens, assembly GCF_000001405.40. Classification (NCBI taxonomy): domain Eukaryota; kingdom Metazoa; phylum Chordata; class Mammalia; order Primates; family Hominidae; genus Homo; species Homo sapiens. The sequence continues at coordinate 49,354,856 of NC_000013.11, read as the reverse complement.
ATGATTACTGTAGCTCACTGCCAGCTGAGACCATTGCTCTTACATTTTGGCTTTCATTAAATTTGAGAGAGACTTTTCATTATGCTGTCATTATTTGATGGGCATGCCTAGATAGTGCCTTCTCCACACTGACACAGTTCATTATAGTCCAGACTATATGATCTAAATTACAAATCAAGAGGGAAGATAAGATTCAGTTCTATAAAATAGTGATTCAGCATTCATCAGATTAACCTTTACTGGGGACCTGCCATGGGTTAGCCATTGTGGAAAATGCAGTAATTAGGCAGGATCCTTGCCATCAGGAAGCTTATCTATGAGTAGAATAGATTAGGTGGGATACATATTGATTCTTTAACAGACCTAAGGATATTAATGTTAGTGGGATTTGAAACTTAACCTAAGCTTATCTTTTGGAGCACTTCTTTAAATAGTAAGCAATAACCTATCAAAAGTCAATATACTAGAGGGTAGTCAGGTAGAAATGATCTATGTGAATTATAAATCACTTAAAGAGTACTGAGGAGAATTAGAATTCCCTATATATCTCTGTATATCCCTATGTATTTCTGAATTTAAGAAGTTGTAATCTCAGAATGACAGATGTCAAACTGCTGGGATGAAATGACAAGTGTGCTGACCCAGAGGAGTCTTGGTTTTTTAAAAACATTCTTTTGATTCTCAAGAATAAACTGTCAGTGCATCACAGATGGTTTCAATAAGCTTCACGAAATGAAAGGAAAAAGAGAACTAATTATACCCAAAAGTTAGAGTGGAAACTTTTTATAGATGGTCTTAGTTTGGAAATTGAATTAAGAAATGAGAAAATGTTGGCCAGAGATGATGCATATTTTGTATACGTCAGAGTTTGACTCTCATTAGAGTACTCTAGTATTAAGACATTTCTTCAGTTTGAGGTTCATTAAATTCATTATATGCATGCTTCGTGAAAAACATTATAATAGGCACTCTTCGGAGACTGGGGTAGGGACAGGAGAAAGTAGCAATAAATGACATAGACACCAAATGGAGATGGGGATAGGGGAGGAGAGGAGAAGGTAACAGGATAAGTAAAACATATCCCCAACAATTAAATTGATTGTAATGAAGAAAATAGACCTATAGCAATTTACTGCAGTATAACATAATACAGAATGAAAAAAGTGTTAAAGAGAAATTACAGACAAGCTGTTATTTGAGTGTGAAGGGCAGAAAGAATAATCCTGAATTGTAGTGATTAGGAAAGGCTTCAAGGAGGAGATGGCATTTGAACTAAGCCTTGAGAGATGAGAAGCATCTGAGTTGTGGGAATGTAAGAAGGGCATTCCAATTGAGGGAATGAGGGGCTCCAGGGAAATAACGAATGTGATGGGAGATGAAACTGAAAAGTTAAGGTTAGGGCCAAATTACAAAAATCCACATATATCTTGCTGATCAATAAGTCTGGATTTTAATTGTCCTTCCCTTAGATTCTTTCTCTAGGCCAACAGCCTTTATTTTATACTCTCTTGAGTACTCTATCAATAAATGACAGTGCTTTTCTCCTTTACATTTCAGAACATATACCCCTCTTTACAACATCTTTAATAAAACCCCACCTGACAACTGTTCCTTGTGAGCCAATAGGCTGAGTTTCAGGTTTTTCTAATAAGAGAAATTGCTAGCACTATAAATTGGCATTCCTTATATTCTACAAAGAATCATGACTATCTGAATGTATCAGCATTTAATGTTACTATGAGTTATTCAGGGAATACTCAATATTTGTGAATATCATTCTGCATAAACAGGACAAAAATGAATAAATACCACCCTGGTATCTTTGTTTGCTGTTTCTTCTACTAATATTTGTAAATTTGATATTGGAAAGTAGTCTATTTCCTCAATTGAATCTTTATTCTTGAATCTGTCTTTCATGAAAATTCTATAATCTTATAAAGAGTAGTACATTACTTATTGTTCAACAAATGTTGTTACTAGTAGTTGATGAGTAATAAAATATCTTAAAGTTTTATAGTATCATAAAAGTTCCATAAAAACTAGTATTCAGTTGAAATGGTCAATGATATCTCTTTAAAAATATGGTCAGATTTTATTTTATTTTATTTTTATTTTTGGAGACAGAGTCTCGCTTAACTTTCCAGGGTCAAGCAATCTCCCACCTCAGCCTCCTGAGTAGCTGGGACTACAGGCGTGTGCCACCATGTCCAGCTAATTTTTTTAGTTTTTGTAAAGTCAGGGTCTCAGCTAAATTTTTTATTTTTTTATTTTTTGTAAAGTCAGCCATGTTGCCCAGGCTGGTCTCGAACTCCTGAGCATAAGCAGTCCATCCACCTCAGCCTCCCAAAGTGCTGGGAGTACAGGAGTGAGCAGTCACGCCCCACCAGATTTTTTTTTTTGGAGGGGGCCCTATATTCTGCTCACTTCCCAGTGTATCACAACTATATCTTTCTTTGTTCTATTCTTCCTATATTTACCACACAATTGTCAACTGTATTATTTCAATACAGGGCTTGTTGTACTTGGGCTAAGCATTATTCATTTTCTTGAAATCTTATCACACACTGGAATATATCTTAAACTTACTTAGAGACTGAATTTGACTTTGAGAGATTGTTGTTGTATTAGAAATGGAACCAATCTGGTATGCCAGTCCTGAATTGTTTCCCACAGTAGACGTTTCGTTTGTCTAGCATATTTTTTGCTGTGAGCCATGATTCCACTTAGGATTTAAGTGAGTCAATCAGTCCACAGCTATGTATTAGCCACCTACTGCATGCAAATCATATATTTATATAGGTCTCTCCTATCTTTTTCCTAAAGTCCAGATAAGTGTATCATACTGCCAAGGAGACCTTTCTACTTAGATATCAGCCATCTCAAAACTAATGTGGTCAACCACAAACTCTTAATTTCTTTACTAACTTGTTCCTCTACTAGTTTATTCATCTTAATAAATAGCACCACCATCTACCCAGTGATTCAAGCCAAAAACATAGGAATCATTCGTGAATTCTCAGTTTCCAAATTTATTCCCTCACCCAACTCCAGCTACATCATCAGCAAGTCTTGTTGACTCTTCCTCCGAACAGTATCCACCACCTGCCCACAGTCCTCTGTTCTGCTCCTGCCACCCCAGGCCAAGCCCCCGTTCCCTCTCCTGGGTTCTGCTCCTGTTCTTATATGTCTCCTGCTGTTTTACAGACATTCTCAACAAGAAGCCAGAGTGATCTTTTTAAAGCATAAGTTAGTCTTGTCAATTTCTTGCTTTAAACTCTCCAAAGGCTTCCCATTACACTTAAAATAAAACCAACTGCTTACCTTGGCTGACAAAGCTGTATCTGATCTGGGATCTGGCCCCTGCCCTTCTCTCCACCCCTGCCTCATTTCACACCACTCACGGTTCTTCCTCTACAATCGAATCACACAGGCTTTATTCCTCCTTCTCTGTTTCGCCAAGCCTGTTCTTGCCATGGAGCCTTTGAACAGTTTTTTCCCTTTGCCTGGAACATTTTGCCTTTTCCTTGAGTCTAAAGTAAAGTAACTTAAGTAGTCACTCACACACACACACACACACACACACACACACACACAATTTAGTCACCTTTATAATGTGGCGTATTTTATTGTCAACAGTTTTTACAGCCCTTCTCAGTGTATGAAATTATCTTTTCATTGTTTACATTCTGCCTCATCCCCCCACCCCCAGCTGTCACCATGTTCATATTTGAGTATATCTAAGTGTTTCAGAATACACTCAAATTCCAGAATACGTCTGCAATAGTGCCAGGCACATAGTAGATCTTCAGTGGATATTGAATGAATCGTGACAAATGGTATGTATGCTTCCATTAATAGCAGTATTGAAATGGTTCTTTTGATGCCATTAATATTATTTTAATAGGATAACAGAGTTCTCTATTTCTCTCTTGTTTACGCTTTAGATATGAAGCCCCACAGATTGCCTTACGTTGTGGGATTATGCTGAGAGAATGTATTCGACATGAACCACTTGCCAAAATCATCCTCTTTTCTAATCAATTCAGAGATTTCTTTAAGTACGTGGAGTTGTCAACATTTGATATTGCTTCAGATGCCTTTGCTACTTTCAAGGTAATTTTTTTTTTCCAACTCAGCTAGGTCAATTTATAGTCACTTGGCCCCTGAAGAGGCAATTTAATTTTAAAAAGCAAGAAATTTTACTTCTTAGGCCTCAGTGTAGCCAACCATGTATGATGTGGATCATAAGAGGAATCTGTAAATAGAATGCAGTCTATGAGGCCAGTCTGTCCTATTGCAGGAAAACAACTCAAAATATTTGTCACAAGCTCAAATGGAGTGAATTCCAGTATATACAGTTACGTGGGAAAGGAATATGTAGTGCTCTGTGTGTGGCATGCTGTCATTTATGTTAAAAACAGATTAAAGGGCATAAGCTTCCACTTAAGGTACATATGCACTGAATACCTCTGCAAGGATGCATAGGAAACAGCAACAGTGATTAATTCTGGGGAAAGGAACTAGGTAGTGAAGGGAGATGGAGAATTACATCTTTGAATATGAAGGACATCATGTTATTTTATGAATGAAATTTTTAAATGTCCACATGGTGAAACAAAATAGTAAGAAATTATATTGTCGTTGTTTCATAATCATCTATAGTTTGATCATGTATTATCTACTTTGTCACTATGTAGGAAATCGTAGGATGCAATATATTCACATTGTTAGGCAACCAACTACCAGAACTTTTTTATTTTGAAAAATTCAAACTCTACCTCTATACTTATTAAATAATAACTCCCCATTTCCTCCTCCCTCCAGCCCCTGACAATCATTTTACTTTTGGTTTCTGTATTTTATCATCAAAAAAATGTTCAGAGAATATATCAGAAAAGAGTGCAGCTAATTTGCAGACAAACATACCAAAACTTAGTCATCTAATGAGTGATGTTACATTCGAGATTTCTATTTTAGAAAACCAGTTACTTAGGCTTATGATCCTGCTATTATTTAACATATTTTGAAGTTGGTATCAATGTGTATTACATGCTCATTTTTCAATAATGGCAAACTTTTATCATTCAAGGGCAGATAAAAGTTTTGGAAACAAAAGCCTATTTGACATTCCGGTTAGTGTATAAAGTGGGTGATCAAGTTAGCTAGAATTATTTGGGGAGGGATAATAATTATAAGAAAACTAATTTTAAGATATAAATAGAAATAAAATAGATATGATTTTCTTCAATGTCTACCAAATCAGCTCTGAAGCTGTTTGAGAAGAGGAATTCAAAAAATACTATAGACTGACAATGTAACAGCATCATTGAAAAAAATAGGTTTTCAGGTTTAAAAAGTAGGTAAGACTCATTTAAATGTATATATATATATATATATATATGTATTCAGATTCATTTCTTCAAAAGCATTTTAGCAATTTAATTGTTCTATTTACATAACTCCAAATTAATTTATACTTTTTTCAGGATATACGTATGTAACTTTTTTTTACAAGTTTTACTTAATTGTAATCCATGTATGAATTTTTATTTTTTATATATTACCTTAAATATGTATTTCAATAATATCGATATAGTCCATATACTAATATTAATACATACTCCAATCGTATTACTTTATGAACAGTGATTGAAAGTTGCCTATGACTTAGATGGTAAATAGTTCTTTTAAATAGCTCTCCAGAGGTGGAAAAAGGGGAAAGCAGTGGTTTGCTCTGCTGAAAACTACCTATTATCTGCAGACTAGGAAGTTACCCAGCCTGTTCTGAGAAGGTGCCATAAATCTGTTGAAAGGTATATTAGGTCACATGGTGACACAAAGTGTGAGAGAGTGTCAGAGAGTGGTAAAGGGTAGGAGATGTCAGTGGGGCAGAAGGAAGCTGGGACTTAGGGAGAAGAATGCCTGGCGGAGGGTGAGGGACGGGGCGTGGTCTCCCTGGAGGCGGAGCCTGCAGGCTGGGCCGTCAGAGAGATTTGTTGTGATGGAGAAGACCAAAGAGTGGTGGGTGGTTAAGCGGGAGGCAAGTCCTGGCAGCTGCCTGGCACACGATCTATAAAGGCAACCAGGCCATCTCTGGAAATACAGGATGCAAAGGAAAATTTAATTGACAAGAACTCTGGAGGGAGAATACTGTTTGAGAATGATGGGAATATTTGGAAGCCACTTGGGGTGGGCTGGGGGTGGATTCCAGGGCAGGCTTAAGCAACAGCAGCTGGTTGTTAACAGCTGCCTAGGAGCAGGGTAAGCCCAGTTAACTGCAGCACTTTTTGAGACAAGGTCTCACTCCCTCACCTAGGCTGGAGTGCAGTGGTGCAATCTCAGCTCATTGCAGCCTCAGCCTCCCAGGCTCAGGTGATCCTCCCACCTCAGCCTCCCAGGTAGCTGGGACCACGGGCGCATACCACCATGCTCGGCTAATTTTTGCATTTTTAGTAGAGAGGGGGTTTTGCCATGTTGGCCAGGCTGGTCTCGAACTCCTGACCTCAAGCCATCCGCCTGCCTTGGCCCCTGCAAAGTGCCAGGATTACAGGTGTGAGTCACTGCGCCCGGCCACTGTGGCACTTTTGTTGTCGTAAGCAGGAGGGTGTGCGGGTTTCGGACAAGCACTGAATTGCCCGAGACATCAGAGGAAAGGAACCGCAATGCCATCATTTCCCCAAAGCCTCAGGCAAAACTGCAACAAACACAAGGCCTCTAGCGTCCGGGTTTGAAGGGAAGGAGTTTGCAGCCTGCTCGGGTGTCCACAGGCCTCCATTCAGCCTGCCAGCGTCCTATGGTCTCCCTGAAGAAAACAGGGAAGAGAGGAGGAGCCCACAGGGGAGGTCTGGGTAGACAGAAAAGGGCAAGGAAAAGAAGGGGAAGGGAAGAAGGGGAGTTAACGAGAGGCGGAGTATGAAGAATGGGAAGCTTGGAGTAAGGAAACTGAAATCTCGGGAGAACAGCCGAGTGAGGGAAGGAAGGAAGGAAAAGAAGGAGGAAGGGCTTGGGAACAGACTCCTGGAAGTGACTGCTGGGTGAAGGGAGGGGCGGTGAGGGCAGCATGGCTCCGGGCTCCGAGTGTTGGAAATCCCAGGAGTGGCTGTTTCTCACCCCGGAAGACAAAAATTGTACAGCGGCTAGAGATGATCCCCTCAAAAGGTGGATCTAGAGCTAGTGGTGAGATAGGCCTCGGTTGCATCCAACATGAAGAATGACATTAAATACAAAGGATGATTCCATTTCTTTCTACCAAAATGTCTGTGTCTAAACTACTAAGGAGGTGTTTGCTAATAATAGACACTACAGTCCCATTTTTTTCCCCTTTCCTATCAGATGGCTCTTCGCTGTCATGGAAACAAGTAAATTCATTTTTTAAAAAAAAGTAAGCCTTCACATAATTACAAACATAGAACAAACGCCAATAGAGGAGGAAAGCAAATACTTAATATGTATTTCTGAAAATTTCCCCAAAGGTTTTTAAACATTTGATAGAATAAGATGTACTTGATAGTAATTTCTTGCTGTCATATATTCAGCCCAATTTAATTTTCAGCAACAATATTGAATGACAAAAATAAATGGTGTTTTGATTTGTATTTAAGCCAATTTTCCATTGAATTTAAGTCAATCCTTTAAAATCTAAATAATCATAAAAAGTTTTCTAGTATGCTGTCAGTTTTGGAAACACCAATTTTCTTTATTTTACCAAATGCTTATGGTTAATATAATGTAACAATGACCATAAATCACTTTTTTTTTTAAAGTAGCTGGTTTCAAAGGGTTTTGTTTGGTTGGATGATTGACTTGATTTTGGCATTGGTTTTGGGTTTTTTATAACCTCCTAATCTTTTTGGTTTTGAGCTCTTAAAGGGACTGTTGCTCAGTTTAGTTATTAATATTGTAACATTGTTAGTTTTTTATTTTGGCATAGATTTGTCTACCAAAAGTCTTTTCCCAAAAAGGATTCCATACAACCATAATCTCTTTCATCCCTCCCTCTAAAAATTCCCATAATAGAAGTGGTTTGAATTCTGTCTTTCTCTGCCACCTGATAAGCTGGATGTCCTTGAGCAATTTAGTTAACCTTTGAGTTTTATTTTCCACATCTGAAATGAAGAAAATCATCCCTTTTTCACGGACTTGTGAAGATCAGAAACCGTATTTGCAAAGTGCTCGGTACACTCCCCAGCACAGTCAGCCCTCTAAACGGCAGCTGTCGCTGGCTCCTCAGCCTTTTATGTCCCTGCAATTAAGTGTCTCTCTCACTCTACCCCAAGTTTCTCTCAAGCAGTATTCATTAAAAATATAGATATCAGATTTTTCAGCATAATATACTATGCAAAACTTAGGCCTCTCAAAACAGAATTGTTAGGAGGTAGGATGAAAGAGTACACTATTTGAATTAAGGTTTTTAAATTCTAAATTCTTTGGAGTTTGAACTTTATTTTCCTTCACAATTTTCTGTCTTTTCCTTCTTGGGTAGGATCCTAGCTGTTTTTTTTGTGGTTTCTTTTTTTTTTTTTCACTCAGTTATGTGATCTATAATGCAGCAATTATATTTGTCTATGTATTATGTGTACATAAGCCTGTGTGTATGTATATGTGGTTTGTATATACATTTATTATGTACATAAATTTGAGGGTATATCCATGTATCAATCCCATTACACACTGGAGTGGAAATGTGGGCGTGAGAGAGGGAATGTGTGCATTGTTTATTGGCTGTATCCATGATATATATATATATATATATATATCTAGCATATATATATATATATATATCTAGCATATATATATATGCTGGAGGAATTCTACCCCACCCTATTATGGTTTCCTAATACTGGATTTTCAAGCTGTTTCAAGGTTTTCTTGCCTTGGAATTTGAAAGTGTTGGTTTTAACCTAACTCCCTCCTGATCCCTTTTTCTTTGGGGTAACACTAATGTATGACACAACCTTTCAAGGCAGCACTGATCTGCAACCTGCTCTTTTTGTTGCCACTGGGGCTGTGTGCGCTGGGCCTGCAGTGTGGGGAACCCAGTCCTCACTTTCAAGGCTGACGATAGTTGAAGCAGGTAGAGAACTCCCATGGGTGCAGCAATCCACAGTGTCTGCTGCAGCCCATAGAGGGGGCTCCCTCTGCCCTGGTTCAGCTCAGAAAATTTCTATTACTGCTCATGGGGTTTCTATGATGTTAGGGGAGGGATGCTTGAAAGCATGACACCAATATTATCCTTTAAAAAAAAGAGTAGGGACCTCAAAGGATCTTGTGGAACTACCTTACTCTTTCAAGGGTCCCCTGATGCAGGAACTAGTTTGAATCAAGACCTTTGACGGGGTGGGAACGGAACCCCTGTAAATGGTTTTCCATTTTAGAACTTCAGTTCCAGAGTGGTAATGAATGCTCTGCTCCACTGGGGGGGAAAAACACCATGTTTCCACTGATAGGCCCAGTGGTTGATCAAGTTGTGTGATAGCAATAGGGAATTAAGAGCCACTCTTATTATTTTTGAATTTGAAAATTATAGTACACAATGCTTTAAATATTTTACTTTTTAAAAAATTAAAGTAGAAATAAGTGGGTTTTATTATGGTTGTTATCTGCCTTTTCTTTGTGAAGTTATGTTGTGTACCTTCTATATGCTTTTAGGAAATTTTAATTAAATATGTATTAAAAGAATTTATTTTGGAAAACTTTAAAATTCTTGTTATGTTTTTAATTAAATTTTTCATAGCACCTAGACAGGGCATTTAGCCTCTAAGCATATAAAAGGGATTAAGTGAGGCTTGTTTTCCTACAACATTAAAGTGAGTTAAGGATATAATTTAGGTATGAGTTGAAGACAGTCAAATGTTTCTTCATGCTTTGTTCAGTTTTCTGCAAGTTTATATCTGCCATAAGATAGGGCTACTCATCTTCAATTTTGAAAGGATGGATTGTGCTACTTAGTAACTTGCACAACACCTTACATCCCATTAACCCAAGAGCAGGAACAATACTGGTTTGACACTGCTAAATGTCAGTCCTACGCTTCCAGTATCCGAGGCGCCCATTTTAAAAGTGGTTAAGGCACTTTGGGAGGCCGAGGCAGGTGGATCACAAAGTCAGGAGATCGAGACCATCCTGGCTAACACGGTGAAACCCGTCTCTGCTAAAAATACAAAAACAAAAAGCCGGATGTGGTGGCGGGCGCCTGTAGTCCCAGCTACTCAGGAGGCTGAGGCAGGAGAATCGCTTGAACCCGGGAGGCAGAGCTTGCAGTGAGCTGAGATCATGCCACTGCACTCCAGCCTGGGTGACATAGTGAGACTCCATCTCAAAAAAAAAAAAAAAAAATTAACTCATCTCAAGTTCCATTTGTTTCACCAGTTAAATTATTTCTATCATAAATCTAACAATATGAATTTGAAACACTAGGTTTAACACCAGAGTTTTTCTTTTCTAACATGAAACAAACTTGTATTTCACATCTTAGGCTAAGCTAGGAATGGAAATAATTTTGTGGCGCAAATGAAAATGTTCTTCTGCAACTTTTATATGTTCTTAAACCTTAGAAAAGACACATTTGTAATATTAATAGCTATAACAGTTTTGTTTCACTTGGTTTTTCTTTTTCTAGGATTTACTAACCAGACATAAAGTGTTGGTAGCAGACTTCTTAGAACAAAATTACGACACTGTAAGTAGAAATCATTTTTAAAGACTTTCCCACTTTCTCTCTCCCTCCCTTTTAGATCTATGAGCAATTGCCCCTGTGAATTATCCACAAGAGAAATCAGTCGCATTCAACCATACTCCTGATTTGTCTACCTGGAAACCAGGTCATCAGGAAACTTTATGGAAAATTGAGATGGCAGGAGGTCAGGGCTTTCACCTTTTTCACATCTCTTCGTGTTGTGCTCTGAAGCTCAATAAATGACTAGCACCTGCTTGCTTTGATGTTGCAAATCAAAGGAGGCAGTAGGTAACTCCAAAAGGAAGAGAACCCCACCCTCACTAAAGTACATCATTTTACTTGGTTGATAATTAGTCTTACTTAGTAGTAAAAATACCAGAAATATTTTTTATCTTGCAACTCCCTTCCCTGACAGTGAATCCAACTCATCCTTTTGAGATTTGGTTGAAATATGACTCTTTAGAAAGCTTTCCCTAATCCTACCCCTCCCAAAACATGCATCCTTTCTCTTTCTCTCTCTCTTTCTGTCTCTGTCTCTCTCCCCTCTCCTCTCTCCTCTCTCTTCTCCCTCCTCTCCCTCCTCTCCCCTTCTCTCTTTCTTCTCTCTCTCTCTGGCTCCCTCTTATTTTTCACCTTGTATTATTATGGTGTGTCTGTATCTTTCTGGCTGGCCCTTGCACCCCCTAAGAGGCAGGAATCTTATCTGCAGGACACAGGGTTAAGAGCACAGTATGGACTTTAGAGTCTTCGTGCTTGCTTGGCTTCAAGACCTGCCTCCTTAGTGGCCCTGGGCAAGTTACTACACCCACTGCAAAATGAACATAGTAATAATACCTGAATCATAGGGTTGTTGAGGGAGTTTGACGGGATTTAAAGTTTTCAGCACAGTACCAGAGTAAGCACTCAGTATTAGTTTTTAATCGTTGTTACTTGTTTTCCTAATGCCTAATGCAGTGTCATACATTTGGTGGTGACAGATCCATCCAAAAGCAACGATACTTTTACTAAATGTGTAAGCAATAGAAGCAGCATTATACAGTAAAATATAGCTCAAACCTAGAAGGAAAACTTTGTATGTTTTGTTCTAGTGTTGGTTCAGATGCTCTACCTCAGTGCTGTCCAGTAGAAATATAATGCCAGCCAGAAATGAGAGCCACTATGTAACTTAAAATTTTCTAGTTAGCCACACAAAGAGGTAAAAAGAAACAGGTGAAATTAATTTTAATAATATACATCTATTTAACCCAACATACGAAAAATGTTATTTTAATGTACAATCAATATGGAAAATGATCATCGCTTCTCGGTCTTTTGGCTAAGATGAAGTGAAAAATGATCAAGCTATTTTACATCCTTTTTTCATGCTGAGTGTTTGAGATCTGATGTGTATTTTACACTTACAGCACATCTCAGTTTGGACTAGCCACATTTCAAGTGCTCAGTAGCCGCGTATGGCCCTATGTTGGACAGCATGCATCTAAACTAGGACTTAGGGAAGGGGAGTCTCTGATCCTCATCCTAGCAACAGCCACAGTTATTTTTTACTGGGATTTTTGGCATTTTTACATGTGTTAGTTAATGTTACTACTCTGTCTCCATCACCCAGTCTAGTGCCTGACACCTAACAGCAAGAATGTAATCTGCTGTCTTAAAGCAGCACTTAACTATTTGTATTATTGATGCCTAAACCAAGAAGTTCTAAATATTTATATATATGGTATGATGAATGGATTTTTTTTGTCTTCATCTATTAAAAGCAAAAAACAATTTCATGTGTATATGATATTTATGGTAGTAATAAGTAAATTAAGGTAAAGTATCTTTATTGATTGAAATCTTTAGTATTAAATTAAATTACATGTGCTTACAAAAAGAAGTACATTTTTGATGATTACTATGACTTTATGCCTTCCCAACAGTATGCAGTATAGTTGGGCACATAATAGGCATATGGACCAGTGGTAGCAAACAAATATTAATAATAGTCCTCAAGGAGTCTCTGAATCATTTATATCCTAGACAAAGGTTGCAACATACTCCTGAATACTGGGAAGGTGTGGCCTACTCTGCCTATCAATAGTATATCTTCACACATTCAAATCACAAATATTTAACTACTTCTCTTTTAATTATAAATAAAATAAATTTTATTTTTGCCAGTTGTCCTTCAATTTAAGATTAGGAATTAGCAATATAATTATAAAATCAAAAGTGATTTTTATGTCCTCATGTTATAAAGGAAATAGCCACAGAATCAACTAGAGTATTTGTTTTAAGTGTAAAATGTGAGGGGAGGATGATTTTTTAAATTGATACAAAATAATTATACATGTTTATGGGGTACATCAGATATGTTGATATATGCATACAATTTGTAACGATCACATCAGGGTAATCAGGATGCCCGTCACCTCAAATATTTATCGTTTCTTTGTGTTGGGAACTTTCCAAATCTTCTCTTCTAGCTATTTTGAAATATACAGTAAATTATTAACTATAGTCACCCTACTGTGCTGTTGAATACTAGAACTTATTTCTTCTAACTGTATTTTTATACCTGTTAACCAGTCTCTCTTCATCTTCCCTCCCTCCTACCTTCCCCAGCCTCTGATAACCTCATTCTACTGCAAGGAGAATAATTTTTATTGCTAGAGGCATCCCAAAATGTATAGACTGAAAGAGGCGGGTGGATCACGAGGTCAGGAGTTCAAGACCAACCTGGCCAAAATGGTGAAACCTTGTCTCTAATAAAAATACAAAAATTAGCCAGATGTGGTGGCGGGTGCCTGTAATCCCATCTACTCGGGAGGCTGAGGCAGAGAATTGCTTGAACCCGGGAGGCGGAGGTTGCAGTGAGCTGAGATCACATCACAGCACTCCAGCCTTGGCATCAGAGCGAGACTTGGTCTCAAAAAAAAAAAGAAAAAGAAAAAGAAAATTGTCTATTTTTGAATTTAGGAAATGAACTGTTAATATATAGTTTGGTTGTTCAGTAACTATATATGCTAGATGGAATGTTAAGGAAAGATTCATTAGATGTCACATTTATAAGAAATAAAATTTTTAAAAGGCTAAGATAACGTGGATAAATCTACAATATCAACTAATTACTATTTTTTCCTATAGAATGAATGAGGTAAATGTGTTGTGCAGTAATGCTTTGTGTTCAGGTATAATACATGACAGTTTGAGAGACTAATAAATTCATTCTCTTTGACTCCTTTTTTACCTAATTTTGTTTTTACATCCATATATCACTTCTTGTGTAATTTAGTAATTTCACAGCTGCTGAAGCTCCTGCATTGGCCTGAATGCGAGCTCTGAGAACTCATGCCCCTTCAAACCTTTCAGACTCTTTCAGCTGATATTTCTTTAGCAGTATGCCATGAAACTGGAGCACATGATGCATGACTCTAAAGTAATAAAGCTGGTGGACTCGGGAGTAGGTCATACCACATACATGTATTTGCATTTTATATTTACTATTCAAATTTATCACAAGGCTTGTCTGATGCATTTAATGATCCACAAAATTCTCCTTGTGTTTCAGGATAGAATAAATAAGTCATTCATATTAAAGAGTATAATTACTGTGATTTTAATGTGAGCTACACCTTTGTATTTTTACTTTTCACTTTATTCTCTATCGGTGATTGTCAGCATGCACAGCTTGCCCTCATTACACAGCGGCACACACTCTCCCCTCGCACTTGACTCTCCGAGGGCTAGGAGTTTGTCACCCTCTTCAGTTCCTGATCTCTTGTCCTCCGTCCTGGCTGCGCTCATTCCTCCCACTTCAGTGCTCTATGAGCTGTGTGCCCACACCTGATGGAAGTGAATGCTGAACCTCCCCAGATGCCAGCACTCTGTGTTAAACTGAAGGGCTAGGCCATGGTTGGTGACCATGTTAGGAAAGAAGACTTCGTGCACCAGTGTCCCCAGCTTCCGGTGAGAGTGAAGTGCTCCAGAGAGACTAGTTGGGCCGTCATGCAACAAAGGTTGCCTCGTTCTTTATCTGTTTATGCAGTGAATTGAACAGTCTGATTCTTTATGGCTTGCCAAGTGAAGCCTTAAGTGTATTTAATATTTTCCCAAATTGTGGACCCATAGCCACCAGCAAGGCTACTTACATAAAGATTTCTTTAAAATGGCATAAAATGAGTTCTCTTGCAACTTTTACTAGAAGTTTTATTCAAAATGATTTATTGGAAGGACTCAAAATTACTCAGTTTTTATCTAATTTGCAGAACTAAAATAAAATAGGGAAGGATGTCTCTTGTAATTCTTGACCTCCCTGTCCCCCAGTGTCTTCACATGTAAAGAAGGATGGTAAAATGGCCAGAAGTTGGGAATTTGCTCCTGAAAAAGAAAGCAAGCCAGCCTAATACGGAGAATCCACTGCTGCTTTTACACTCTAATGTGTATTTTCTTTTCATTAGATTTTTGAAGACTATGAGAAATTGCTTCAGTCTGAGAATTATGTTACTAAGAGACAGTCTTTAAAGGTAATATCAAATTTCTTTAAGTCAGTGTCCCCGTAAGTTTATATCTCATTAGCAAATGACGGGTCTATTAGTATATGAGTAAACACAGAAAAATTAAAATATCCTTTTTTTAAATAACTTGAGAAGTATTTACTATATTTTATGTTATGACTGTATTTTATAGCAAAATAATGTAAGTGTCCTGTCCTGCTTTTGGAAGTAACAATATAAGTACATGATAAGTAAAATTTAGAATATTTCTGCTGAGGCCAGGCATCTTGGCTTACGCCTGTAATCCCAGCACTTTGGGAGGCCGAAGTGGGCGGATCACCTGAGGTCAGGAGTTCGAGACCAGCCTGGCCAACATGGCAAAACCCCATCTCTACTAAAAATACAAAAATTAGCTGGGCGTGGTGGTGGGCTCCTGTAATCTCAGCTACTCGGGAGGCTGAGGCAGGAGAATCGCTTGAACCTGGGAGGTGGAGGTTGCAGTGAGCCAAGATCGTGCCAATGTACTCCAGCCTGGGCAACAAGAGCGGAACTCCATCTCAAAAAAAAAAAAAAAAAAAAAAGACATGTAAAATGCAAAAATTAAACCTTCCCTCTAAGTTTTAAGCACAGCAATTGATAAATTCTTAATATCTGTATTTTTGAGTATAAAATAGCTTTTTACTATCAAATTATGTTTATATAGTTGAAATGTTATGGGGCTTCTGTTTTATGGGAAGCATTTATCTCCCAGATTTGTAACATATTTTCCTAAAGAATTTTTTATGCTATATTTCATCACCAGGTCCCATTCCCTGAGCATTCACGACAGTCAGTGTTTTCCTGCAGGTTGCTTAAAATACTTCCACCACTTAACATGACATGTTCACATGATATTTACGGGAGAGATTCTGAAATATGAAACATGGTCATTCCCTAAGAATTAGAAGAGAAATGTTTTTTAAAAATCACCTCTAACAAACAGATATGTCAGAAGACTACATGATCGCATATACGAAATTTTGCTTTTCTTTTTTACAGTTTTTTTTTCTTTTATTATTATACTTTAAGTTTTAGGGTACATGTGCACATTGTGCAGGTTAGTTACATATGTATACACGTGCCATGCTGTTGCACTGCACCCACTAACTCGTCATCTAGCATTAGGTATATCTCCCAATGCTATCCCTACCCCCTCCCCCCACCCCACAACAGTCCCCAGAGTGTGATGTTCCCCTTCCTGTGTCCATGTGATCTCATTGTTCAATTCCCACCTATGAGTGAGAATATGCGGTGTTTGGTTTTTTGTTCTTGCGATAGTTTACTGAGAATGATGATTTCCAATTTCATCCATGTCCCTACAAAGGACATGAACTCACCATTTTTTATGGCTGCATAGTATTCCATGGTGTATATGTGCCACATTTTCTTAATCCAGTCTATCATTGTTGGACATTTGGGTTGGTTCCAAGTCTTTGCTATTGTGAATAATGCCGCAGTAAACATACGTGTGCATGTGTCTTTATAGCAGCATGATTTATAGTCCTTTGGGTATATACCGAAATTTTGCTTTTCTAAAATACTGCCAGGATTACACTGAAACAGAATCTGGCAAGAGATTAAAAGACGATGCAGCTAGCTGGAAATGAAAATAAAGCCAATTCTCAATTACCCGTAAATAGCATAGTTTGATGAATTATTGGAGAAGGAGGTGTGAGGGAGGTAATAAGACATTCCATTTAGTTAACAAATATTTATGTGCTCATTCTCCAGACATATGATGACAGCCAAGAACAGCTCTGGGCCTCACATTCTGTTGTTGGAAAACAGACAATAGACAAATAAACAAATAAATACATAGTTTTCAGATGGTTTTAAGTACTAAAAAGAAGAGTAGGGAAAGGAGACAGAAAGCGGCGACTTGGGAGATAGGCGTGTGTGTGTGTGTGTGTGTGTGTGTGTGTGTGTGTGTGTGTGCGCCAGAGCAGCTAGACGATCAGTGAAGTCCTTGATGAGTTGATCTTTAAACAGAGGGCTAAATTTATGGAAAATTAAGATGGCTCTGATAAGGGTGTTTTTGTGTGTATGTGTGTGTTGTGTGAAACCAAGTTACATCTGCTACTTGAGGTTATGCACCTATTAACTGGCTGTGGAAATGACAGGGAACCCAACAGAGTAAGACCACATCCATCTATAAGTGGCCCTCTCTCCCACAGTGGAATGGTGCCTGGAAGCAGCCATGTGGCCAGGGGGAGGTGGGAGAGCCCCTGAGGGGAGGGAGATGTGGGCTGGAGTTGTGTCTCTGTCCTTCAGATCCCTCTCAGAATCCCACAAAAAGAATGTTTTCAGCAGATGATAAAACTGACTGTTTTTAGTGCAGCAACTCATATGATGGTCCAGCTTGCTAAACATCACACTTGTATTGTCATTTTTTCCTATTTTTTCTAGGTTTGGGATATAGTGTCACACACTTGTGTTATTTTTACATGTCAAGATGATGGCATTCATAGAACAATGCATTTGCTTCTAAATTTGGAGTATAATTTTAAACTAAGACAATAAAGTCAATCTGTTTTGTATCACATTTTTTGTCAATTTACTTTGCCCACGATCCTGCATCAGCCATGACCTGGTTTCCTTTATATTTGTACCCTCACTGGGTGTTAATGGGGAGGCCATTTTTCAGCCAGCCATCCAGCACTTTTTATTGAGTTTCCCCTTTGTGTAGAAACTTATACCAGGAGACCCATCTAGAAAAAAAGCCCAGTAGTGATGAGACCAAACTGTGTGTGGAACTGACCTTTGGGCAGAGAGTGACTTCAGCGCTGTGTTCTCCCATGTCCAGAAAGCTTGCTAAGAGCAGATGAAGATAAGGTTGTATTCTCTTTATACAGCTGCATACGTAAAGAACAGAACTCGTTATTTGTAGGGCTCCACAAGGATAGCCAAATGAGGTAAGCTTGTCCATGGTACAACGAGTAGTGGCCCTGGAAGGAAGATGGCAATTGGAGTAGTAAACAGAGGTGACAGTGCTCTGAAGGTCCAGCATATAGGAAGTTGCTCATAAATTCTCCAAATCCTTCCTTTTTTTCAATGGGAGTCTATCAGATACTGGATCAAAATCGAGAGATTTATGTGAACTAAGGTGATTGAACCAAATTTGGAGGAAGAAAGCTGTTTGTATTTCCTACTTATTTGCAGATGCCTTAGCCTATTCACGAGGCATCTTTCCTGTTTTTCATTAATTCACCCAGACATACCATTTGGCTGCTATTCCTCCTAAAATCTTTACAGTTAGGCATCTCATGGATATCTGATTTATAGCATGGTAAAACCAAGAATTGATAGGACACTGGAAAAAAATGCCTGACAAAATGCAGATAAATTACCTAAGAATGCAGAAAGTATTAAAATGGTTACTGGAGAGCTGGTTTTTTTTAATGTTAGATTATAGGAAGAGATGTTGCCAAAATGGTTTTGCATCACTCTGTTCAAGCAAACAAAAAGGTAGACGACTGTGAAATAAGCTCATATATAAACATAGAGCTCATTAAATATTGTTTACTCTTTTTTTTTTTTTTTGCTAGAAAAACATTCTGGAAGCTCCACTGATGCAATTTTGGTTTTTCCTTTTGGTAATTAGATCTGTGGTAGCAGTATATTCTATTTTGACACAACTGTGTTTCTGTATAAATGGATTCTGTAATACTTTTTACATAGATGTTTCATAATTGCAGGAAACAAGAGAGGTTAGATTATTATATAGCAACTTTGTAAGTAATAAACTGTCTTAAGTACTAGGCTATTTTCTGATTCCAAAGTAGTTGCTACCTGCTGCCTTTTATTAATCATATTCTAAATTTTCCTGCACTGCTTAATTCCTGGTGTCAATAAAAAATAATTAACAGAGAAATTCCTTTCCATCATGTGACAGAGCTTTGGAATTTTTTCCTTATCTTCTGCAGAGGCCTGGCATTTAATTACCAGCAAGAAAGATTATAATTCAAAAGAAGCTTGGTGGAAACTGGGGAATTTTTTGGGCTCTGGTCAATTTCATTAAAACACTTAGGTTTCTAAAAAACTTATTTCCACTTGCTGCATGGCTTAACTATGTACTATGAGGCATACAAAATAAGAAATTTAAAGAAGTAAAATATGTGTGTTTCCCATTTACTTGGTATAGTATTGCTTTATAGTGCTTTGTATTATTCTGGAATGCAGCATTTTGTCATTGTTAATATTAAAATAGATTAACATTTAATGGCTAAAAGATTTAGTGTTGAATTAACACAATTAATTGTTTCAGAAAAATTGTGAAATTCTATTAGCAGAGGATAGATTGGATAGAATTTATATGTAGGTATCCCCAGGTAATAAAAATTGAAGTGACCTAATCTGAACTTAACTCATAAATATAACTTCAACAAATGTTTATTGAGTGTGTGTGTGTAAATTTTCAAAAATGAAATTTTCCTTTTGCTGAAGCCTTTTAACATGAGTGTATATGATATATATGTGTCTATTCAGTATTTGATTATTTTTGTATATATCTTTAGAAGATAAGTAAGGCTCTGGACAGGCTTACAACCCAGAAGTTTTTTAGTTTTTGTTTTTTCTTTTTGGAGGGTCTGGAAGCCCTACCTTTGAAATATAAGCATCTAGGAAGATAATACTATCTCTCTGTCACAAGGAGAGTTTAACCTAGGTGCCCTTTTCCAACTATTTGCTTGTCAGAGAGATAAGAGAAGTTTTATTATTCAGATAAATAGCTAAAACAAATGGTCACCTTAATTGCTAGGTGCATTAGGGGGAACCATGAAAGAGTGCACAGAAATGGTAGTCAGGTCCTCCCCCAGTGGACAGGTTACCCTTCATCTTGAGGATATATATATGTAATGGATTGTAGCTTCTTGACTGTAATAAGGGATAGTTTTGTCTGTTTGCAATCTCTTTTTCAGAGATGAGTTACTGTATTGTGCTCTGGATATGTGGGTAGGACTTTTATTTCCCCAACAATACCCATGCACATCACACAGTTAGGTTGTAAGGGGATTTGAAACACGCCCTTATGGAGCTTATTCTTTAAACAGGGTCACAAATAACTCTGCACTACAAGGCAAAGCAAAGTCAACTGTAGAGAAGAGGAAAGGCTTTCCCGAAGACGATGTCTGAGCTGGTTCTGAGAGGATGGGCCAGGTTTGAACAGGCAGAGAAGAGGTGAAAGTGTTTCTCAAGATTTTGGAGCTGGGGAAGTAAAGCCACAGAGACAGGAGAGTGGGGAAGATGGAGGAAGGGAGCTGAGGAAAGGAAGCAGGAGAAATGATTCCACATCACAGAGGCTGGGAACGGCATCTTAATGAGTTACTTTTTTCTAAATCTATGGGAATCTAGGAATTTGCTTGTTTATTCGTTCACTTTCTAATCTAAGTGGAATTGGTAACAAATACTGATTTTTGGAAGATTTCTTTGACAAAATGTGCAGAATGGATCGGATTAGGTGAGGACTGAAGGAGAGACCATTTTGCATGCTGTGGTAGTAGGTCAGCTGAAAGGTAGTGAGGGTTTGAATGAGATTACTGGCTGTGAACATTGAATGAAAGGTGTTCAAGAAACACTTAAAAACAGAAAATTGGTAGGTCTTAGATGGAGATTTGATGTGAGGAGCAAGGGAAAGAAAGGAGCTAAGGAAGACCAATTCTCTTCCCAACCGGAGGAGGGCAGCTCCTGGTGCCATTAACAAAGAGAAGAAAGGGAGTTGGTTTTAGAGACGCTAAGTGTGACAGTCCAGCAGTGTTCAAGTGCGACTGCCCAGTGGGCAGTTAGAAATGTGGGTCTAGAGGCCGGGTGTGGTGGCTCACACCTGTAATCCCAGCATTTTGAGAGGCCGAGGCGGATGGATCACCAGGTCAGGAGATCGAGACCATCCTGGCTAACATGGTGAAACCCCGTCTCTACTAAAAATACTAAAAAATTAGCCGGGCATGGTGGCAGGTGGCTGTAGTCTCAGCTACTCGGGAGGCTGAGGCGGGAGAATGGCATGAACCTGGGAGGTGGAGCTTGCAGTGAGCCGAGATCGCGCCACTGCACTCCAGCCTGGGCGACAGAGTGACACTCTGTCTCAAAAAAAAAAAAAAAAAAAAAGAAAGAAAGAAAGAAATGTGGGTCTAGAGTTTAGGAAAGAAGCGGAGACTAGAAATGTAGATTTGGGAGACATCTTCCTAGATGTTACAGTTGAACCCATGGGTATAGATGAGACTGTTGGGAGATAAAAGATAGCAGATCCAAGTATACAGCTTGGAAAATTGCTGCATAAGTAGTGCAAAAGGCAAGGGAGCCATTGAAGAGGTAGCAAGGGAACAAGCTGCACAAGGTAGGAAACCAGGAGCAAAGAAAGTTTCCAGAAGGTGTTAGGTTAACGTTAGAAGCTGCAGAAAGATGAAGGAGGTTGCAGATTAACAGTTTGACTACGTGGTTGCTATTCCATGTGTATGAGAATAACTAGTGACCAGCCAACATCCAACAGGGGTCATCCTTTTTTCAGGTTTGACAAACGTTATTTTCATGCATTAAAATAACCTCAGGTTGTATACTTCTTTCATGTTAAATACACAAAAGATACATCACAGGCAAGGTGGTGGTTTACTGGCAGCCAGATGCTTGCACACATCTGGGACTCCTTTGATAGACAGTTGGCCCTCAGTTTGATGTGCGCTTTTCTTCCCATCCAGGATTTCTGTAACCATGTAATGATGTGTTACTCCCCTGAGGCCTTCAGAAAAAGTCCAGTAAATAGGACAATTGAAAACTAAACATATCTTCTATATAAAGTTATATTACAGTATGTTTCAGCCCCCTGGCTGCTGAAGCTTTAGGAATTGCTACAGCAGCCAGGGGGCTATAATTCTGTTCTCCAGAATTATGGTGAGAACAAAAAGTTTCTAAGATAGAGCAACAATACATTCAGCCATGTTGCTAGAGGGTCTTCAACTATTCTTACTTTGGGTATTTTTATTTTGTTTTAGGGTAATGCTGTATTTGGGGAACTATCAATTTGTCACCAAAAAATGTTTTGCTTTGCTTTTTAATAAAAACTTGCTGCACTTACTAAATTTGATACAGATTTGGGGTCAATTTTTTTTCTGACTTTATATCAGGTTTTATAATAAAAGTCAGGGGAAATGTAAGAGTCATTTAACAAACTGTCTTAATAGTGAACTCCTAGCATACATTTATGCAGGTAAAGAAGGTATCATTATGGTACCAATTTTGTTATTACTTCTACCTGAATGCCTATGGAGCAATACATTAGTGCGAAGCAAGATAATTAAAGTGAGTATTGAAAACCATAAATTTATTTCTGCCTAGCTCTAGGTGAGCTGCAGCAAAGACCAACTAAAAAAAGGTACTAAGCACTGACATCAGCAAAGCAGTGTGAAAAAATTGCTCAATAACTATTGCTTTTATGCCTGTGCTTTGAGATGCACTTAAGGACACTCTAATTTTTTTCACAACACCATTCTTACTCACATTTATATTTTGTTTTTCAGTGAGAAGACGTGAGCTATATTTTGAATCAGGTGGCTCTGAGATTACAGCTTTGGTTTTGTGTTTTCCTCTAGCTGCTAGGGGAGCTGATCCTGGACCGTCACAACTTTGCCATCATGACAAAGTATATCAGCAAGCCGGAGAACCTGAAACTCATGATGAACCTCCTTCGGGATAAAAGTCCCAACATCCAGTTTGAAGCCTTTCATGTTTTTAAGGTAAAAAGTACAAGCTCTGGAAACAATGTTGTAGGCAATTTTTTTTCCAGTTCCAAATGGCAAACTCCCTGCTCTTTACTCTCCTTCATACTTGAAAGAAAATGAAATAGGCAGTCTTTGTGTTTTGCATGATTTAGATGAAATTTCAGAGTTATCTTAATGAATGCCCATTCATAAAGGTTTGCTGACTAATCCATACATCTAAATATTTTTATTTTTTCACGGAGAAAATGCATGATACTCTTTCCCAAAACTTCTAAAACAATCAGTGATTGAGCTAGATCCCAAACCCTGAGTGTCGGCCTTGAATGCTTTGCTTCCTACAAGCACTGTCTCTTCGAACTTTAAATGACGCCCTGAAGACACAGTCGGGTACTACTCACATTATTAATATTATTATTTTTTTACAATGTATTTTGTTATGATAGAAAAGTAACCCCTTTAGACAATAGTGGTTTTTTTGTTTTTTGTTTTTTGTTTTGAGATGGAGTCTCACTCTGTTGCCCAGGCTGGAGTGCAGTGGTGCGATCTCGGCTCACTGCAACCTCTGCCTCCCAGGTTAAAGCGATTCTCCTCCCTCAACCTCCTGAGTAGCTGGGACTGCAGGTGTGTGCCACCACTCCTGGCTAATTTTTTTTTTATTTTTAGTAAAAGCGATTTTCACCGTGTTAGCCAGGGTGGTCTTGATCTCCTGACCTCGTGATCCGCCCTCCTCGGCCTCCCAAAGAGCTGGGATTACAGGCATGAGCCACTGTGCCTGGCCCTACAATAGATTTTTTTAACAGGTGGGGTAGGTGGGAGAATTCTATTTGTAATTCTGTATTCCCAGCCTAACTATTGTAAATAGTTTAGTACATTTTATTTTTCAGTGCACACATTCCAGAGTTTTTTCTACAGCTGTATTCACAGTGTACCAACAACTGATATCCTAATTTTATTACTTAATGCTATACCATAAGTAACCATTTTCATTATTGCTATAAATAGTTTTTAGAGCCAGTATATTTCTCACCATCATAGTGTATCATTGGGTATATTTCTTCTAGTTTAATAGTCCTATGTCATTGATATTTAGGTTACTTTCATTTTTTCCTACTCTAAGTAATGCTACAATGTGCATTTTATGCATCCAGCTAATTTTTTTAATATTTAAGATTCTTATCTTCTGATAGATACCTAGAGTGGAAATAAGCATTCAGAGAGTTCCAGATTTTTTTGGTTCTTTTTTCTAATAAATAAAAAATAAATAATAAATTTATAATAAATAAAAAAATAAATATTTTTCTAAATAAAAAATAAATTTTATTTATTTTTTAAATTCAGAGACAGGGTCTCGCTCTGTTGCCCAGGCTAGAGTGCAGTGGTGTGATCATGGCTTACTGCAGCCTCAAATTCCTAGGCTCAAGCAATTCTCCCACCTCAGCCTTCTAAGTAGCTGGGACTATAGACACGTGCCACCTCGCCCAGCTAAGTTTTTTATTTTTTGAAGAAACAGGGTCTTGCTGTGTTGCCCAGGCTGGTCTCAAAATCTTAGGCTCAAGTGATCTTCCTGCCTCAGCCTCTAAGTGCTGGGATTGTAAATGAACACAAGTTGGATTGCTCACCACACGCAGAGTCCAGTTAACAAGAGGCAGGTCTGGTAAAAAGAAAGTTACTTTATTAGCCAAAAGTAATAATAGGAAAGTGGCCAGATTCCCATCCAACGCAACTACTTTGAATTTTAGGGGCAAGGCAAGGTTTTAAAAAGAGAAAACATGATATGGAAGGCATGTAAAAATTATGCTGAGTACAGTGTCTGTATTTCTTGTTCTGGTAGCTGTCTTGGGTCCCAGTCCAGGTGGAAAGCAGGCTGGCATCGTCTCAACGATGGCTGGGTTGTTGACTAGCCACCTTGAGGTTATCTCTGGAATTTTGCAGCTGGGTCTCCAAGCTTGGTCTGTCTGACTCAAGATTCACGTTTAGCCCCTGGAACTTCTAAGTAGGCAGATAATTAGATACCAGCATGCAGTTAGATAAATGTGAAGGGAGTATAGACAGTGAGAAAGGGGTGGGTCGTGGAGTCTATTTTAAGACTAAGGGAAAACACTTCTGCAGTTTGCTTCAAGGTTACATTTTTAAACCCAAGAGAAAGGGGAAAAATGTTTTAAATGCACTTTGAAGTTAAGCTGCCTAGTTACAGGATTATAGGTGTGAACCATGGCACCTGATCTCAGTTTTTATAAAGAATGTTTAGTGATAGAATTTGTAAGTCCATAAATGGGAGGCATGGCAGTTTATAAGGTAATTGTTGCTTTGAAAAGTAAGACATTTTTAGTTGATCTTTCAGCCACCAGATATTTATTACATCATTATATATATATATATATATATATATATATATATATATATATATATATATATATTTTTTTTTTTAATTGAAGAGATATGTAGGACAAGGTATGGGGAAAGGGGCATGGAGCTTCCATGCCTTCCCTGAGCAGCCACCCCTCAGGAGTCTCCATGTGTTCGGCTCTCTGGAAGCTCCAGCCCAGATATTTATTGTCCAGAAGCCCATTAGAGCAGTTAAAATCCTCAACTAATTTATAAATTTTATTCAGTTCCATTCAAAATCCCAACTGGACTTTCCCTGGAACTTGACAAGCTGATTCTAAAATTTGTGTGGTAGAGCAATAGCCTAGGATTATCTATGGCAATTTTGAAGAAGGAAGTAATCTTCTCTACCAGATATTAAGACTTGTTATGGATTTAGAGTAAATGAAAACAGCATTGTATTGCCTTAGAAGCTGATAAATAGAACAGCAAAACAGAGTAGAGGGCCCAGAAATAAACCTATATAAATCCGAAACTTGATATTTGATCATGGAGGGATTATAAACCAGTGAAGAAAGGGTTAAATATTCAATAAATGTTTCTTGGATAATGGGTTGTCTGTGTAGAGAATCTTACCCTGCAGTATACACAGAAATAAGTTCTAGATAAAGATCTGCACTAGAAAAGCAATTTTTTTTAACTTTTAGAAGAGAAAATAAGAGGCTGTCTATATAATATTGGGGTAGGAAGAATTCCTTTAAAAAGAAATAAAAAGTCACAAAACATAATAGAAATTTTTCTTGAGACAGGGTCTCACTATGTTGCCCAGGCTGGAGTGCAGTAGTGTGATCATGGCTTACTGCAGCCCTGACCTCTCGGCCTCAAGCAGTTCTCCTGCCTCAGCCTCCTGAGTAGCTGGGATTGTAGGCCTGCCCTTACCATGCCCAACTAATTCTATTTTTATTATTTGCAGTGATGAGGTCTCGCTGTTTTACCTAGGCTGGTCTCAAACTCCTGGGCTCAAGTGATCCTCCTGCCTTGGCCTCTATTATGGCTGGGTATGAACCACCATACCCAGCCATAATAGAAAATATTTAAAAATGTGACCACACTAAAATTTTAAACTTCTGTTCAAAAAAGAAATCATAAACTGAAAAGACAGGATAGAATGTGACATATATAACTGACAAGTCTTTAAGAAAAAGACAAATAACAGAAAAATTGGTAAAAGATACAAGTTGGTAGTTTACAGATGAGGAAACCTGATTGGCCAATAAATAGGTGTTCTTCTTACTTGTAATTGTGGAAATGGCCATTAAAATATCAATGAGATACCACTTTATGTTCTTCATATTGGCGAAAATGTCCAACCATATCAGATTTTTGTAGGATTGGACAGCAGTGGGAGCTGTCATACACTGTGTAAATTGGTGTAATCACTTTGGAGAACAGTTTAGCAAAATAAACTCTTGAAGCTGTGGATACCCTTCAACTCTGAAATCCATTTCTAAGCAGTTTCTTAGAGACACTCTTGGATGTGTGCATAAGGGGTTATGTACAGTAAATCCTCTCTTAAAGTCGTTGATAGGTGCTTGGAAGCAGACTTTAAACAAAACCATGTACATTACAGCAAGTCCTCGAATAACCATGTTTTGTTGTAAATTTGATGGAAAAATTGTTTGCCTTATCTGTTGTTTTGCTTAAAGTTACAATTTCTAAGAAGTTATCCACCTTAAATAAGGACTTACTGTGCAAAGATGTTTATTGCAACATTGTTTAAAATGGGAAAAGCCATACATGGGCACCAGTGGGAGACTGGGAAAATAAATTGTGCTACACAAATACAATAGCACATAATAATGGGTTAAAATAAATAGAGTTATGTGGATCGCTTTGCCTAATCTTAGAAACATTTTGTTGAGTGGAATGACCAAATATTTAAATATGTCATTTATTTAAAGTTTGAAAACATGCAAAAGAACACTAAGTGTGGATTCATATATATGCAGTTAGAGTCCAAAAACATGCATGGAATCCGGGCATGGTGGCTCATGCCCGTAATCCCAGAACTCTGGGAGGCGGAGGTGGGTGGATCACTTGAGGCCAGGAGTTTGAGACCAGCCTGGCCAACATGGCAAAACCCAGTCCCTACTAAAAACACAAAAATTAGCCAGGTGTGGTGGTGCATGCCTGTAGTCCCAGATACTCAGTGGGCTAGGGCAGGATTGTCACTTGAACCTGGGAAGCAGAGGTTGCAGTAAGCCGATATTGTGCCACTGCACTCCAGCCTGGGTGACTGAGCGAGACTCTGTCTCAAAAAAACAAACAAAATTGCAAAATGCATGGGAATGCCAAATGCCAAATTCAGGATAATGGTCATCTCAGGAGAAGAAGTAGGGAAGAGAATAAGCGATATCATACAGGAGTGTCCAATAGCCTTCAACTATATCTGTAATATTTTATTAAAAAAAAAATCTGAAGGCAAGTATGGCAAAAGATATTAGATTTTGATAGAGCCAATGGTGGGAATATGAAGTCTGATATGTTACTCTTGTACTCTTCCATGTGTTAGAATTATTTCATAAAAAGTTTCAAAAAAAAGAATGAAACAAAAATAGAGTGCTGTAGGCCTGGAAAATGCCTACACATTATAAAATGATAGGCCCTCTCAAGACCCTTGGACCGAAGGAATTGTAGAAGGCTGTGTATCATATCATTCAGCTCCCACAGAACTTTAAATGAGAATAAACTTCATATAATTTTGTTCAAAAATGCAGTATTATATATAGAAGGAAACAGTGGGTTGCAAAATAAAAATAACCTATTTCCATCCTCTGAGAAGATCAGAATTTGGGTCACCTAATCATTGGACAGGGTAGGTACATTTAAAAATAGTTGACCGCTTGTTTACTTGTATGTGTGTAACTTGGCCTGCCCCGTACCCCGGCTATGTTCCTTCCACTGAAGTATGAACTACATTGTTTACTTGCCAAAAATATTTTGTTATTTAGAAAAAAGTAACAGCTAAGTCCTAGGATTGTTTTCACATCGTTTAATTAATAGGTTTTTTTCCCCAGAGCACCTTCCGTAGGGTGCAAAGAATGTGGAACCCAGTCCTGAAAATGTCTTTGCTGGATTGTTAATGGCTGACTCTCATTAGCCTGCTAATAGGCTCAGCACGTGCTTCCTACTATTGGTGAGCAGGATAGTGTGGTGGGAAAGCCCCGATGGAGGTCAAGAGAGCAAGGTCTTTGTTCTGTCTCAGTTGCCAGCAGCCACTTTGGGCAAATCCACCTGGATGCATTTTTTCACTTGCAAAATGAAAGTGCTGAAGTGTAATTCTAAGATACTAGGTCAGGAGACTTTTGTCTCTGGTCCTGACTCTCCCAGAGATGTGCCCAATATGGATTGAGGGATACATTATGAGATGATCTTCTCCCTTTCCTTTCCCTGTTAACCTTGATAGCAAAGGGCCGTGTTGCCCCTTCCCACCAAACCATGTAAGGTGTAAGAAAATGGTCTGTGTCGTTTGCTCGCTCAGAGCTGCTGGAACTCAGGCATGGCCAGTGCCAAATATGGCACTAGTCTGTCACTCAGATCCTAGCATTTGGCTATAATAGCTATTCCCTTCAAAACAAGAAGTTCTGTCCCCAGCTTATTCCAGAATATAAAAGTCGGCTTGACAGTTCAGCCAAAAAAGTATGTAGAACAAGAATGAGAATAGTTTCCGTGTGGTCTTACTGAAAATAAGCAAAATTACAGATGAATTTAGTGAAGGACTAACCGTGAATTACTCACTTCCTTAAGGACCCACTTTTTAATATTATTTATTTATGTATTTATTTTTGAGATGGAATTTCACTCTTGTTGCCCAGGCTGGAGTGCAGTGGCATGATCTCGGCTCACCGCACCCTCCACCTCCCAGGTTCAAGTGATTCTCCTGTCTCAGCCTCCCGAGTAGCTGGTATTACAGGCATGTGCCACCACACCCAGCTAATTTTTGTATTTTTAGTACAGATGAGGTTTTGCCATGTTGGCCCGGCTGGTCTCAAACTCCCGACCTCAGGTGATCCGCCCGTCTCAGCCTCCCAAAGTGCTGGGATTACAGGCGTGAGCCACCACTCCCGGCCTAAGGACCCACTTTCTAGCACACCAAACTACTATGGTCATGGTGTACCAAATCTAACCGTACTCATGGAGAAAGCAATTGAGACCAAGTGAATTTAGGAATTGGCTATGAACTAGTTTAATAATGATAATTTCCCCTAAAATTGTAACAGCATATTGAAAAGTATACCAACTTCTGACTTAATGTCTCACCAACTGCTTTTAAATGGTGTCGAACATTCAGCTTTATCGTGTCCTCATTTGATCTTATTTTACCCTTTTGCATATTTAACAAAGAAGCCAAGGAGAAAATGTGGAAAGTCATAATTAAGGCCTCACTTCTCCTTTCTATTTTTAAAAAGACTTTCTTTAAAAATTCATAAAACAATCAACTCTATGTTTCTTTATAGAAAGGTTTGCAATGGGTATTTCTGGCAAACTTTAGCAACATCATCAAACAAGTATATAAATATGTTACTTACGGCTCTGTTTGATAATCCTGCTACTGAATGTTTATAATGTTGTTACCTACTTTACAAAATATTTTTGCAGTAGTATATAAAGAAAATGCAGCCTATACTTAATGTTTGTGAATATTACCTAGCATAAAAAAATTTAAGTTGCTTTTCCATGTAATTTTGGGATACATGTCTAGTTTCCTATGTAACTTCCACAATTATATGAAATTTGTAGATCCCAAAGATTTGATTTCCAAAATACCAAAGCAATTGCATTAACAATAATGTTAGTAACATTTTAACATTTTGTAGCGTACAGAACACTTTCCCTGACAAAATTCCATGTGATCCTCACCCCATCTGTGAAGTCAGGCAGATGTGGTGTCCGTTTCATTGGCGAGGAAACTGTCTGAGAGATTAAGTGACAAGCCTGAGCTCTCACAGACAAGGCCATCTTCTGCTTCCAAATCCCATGTTCTTTCTTCTACATAGCCCCACTTATATGTGGGGAACTGAGGCTGGTAAATTCGAAATGGCAAAGTGCCTCTTTGCCAGACCTTTGTATTTCGTAGAAGCGCTTTGCGAGCAGGAATTTTCCTCTGATTTGTTCTTTCTCTGCTCTATCTCCTAACAACTAGAAGGGTTTTTGGCACATAGTGGCTATTTAAATATTTAATTAATGTCTGAGTAAGTAAATTAATATGTATGTTCTTTTTTTAGAATTATTTTTATTTTTATTTATTTATTTTTTATTTGAGACAGAGTCTCGCTCTGTCACCCAGGCTTGAGTGCAGTGGTGTGATCTCGGCTCACTGCAACCTTTGCCTCCCAGGTTCAAGTGATTCTTCTGCCTCAGCCTCCCAAGTAGCTGGGATTACAGGCACCCACCACCACACCTGGCTAATTTTTTTTTTGTATTTTTAGTAGAGATGGGGTTTCACCAAGTTGGCCAACCTGTTCTCAAACTCCTGACCTCAAGTGATCTGCCTCCCTCGGCCTCCCAAAGTGCTGGGATTACAGACATGAGCCACCGCACCCAGCCAATATGTATGTTCTTAAAGGAAGGAAACTGAGAGCCTCTGTGCCTCTGAACCAGATAAGGATTGCCAGATAAAATACAAGATGCCCCATTCAATTTGAATTTGAGATGGCCAAAGTATAGCACTGCACGGAACATACTAACATTAAAAAAATTACTCATTGTTCATCTGAAACAGAATTTAATGGGGCATCCTCTCTTTCTGTTTACTAAATCTGGTAATGCTAACCTGGAGGGACTCATTTCAGTTTTCAAATATTGGGACAAGAACAGAGTCCTGGGTAGTAATATAGTATCTTTTAAAAAAATCTTTCTGACAAAATGTTTGACAAGCATCGTCATGTTAAATAGAACTATTCTGACTTGTGAATATATTTAGATCCTTCCTTCCTGGCATATTCCATTCAGAAAGCGAGAATGTGTAGGTCTGGAATCTATGTTTTGTGCAGGCGGCTTCCCCTGGGAAGTCCTGGTCCACATTTCCATCTGAGGCTTGGAGAATGAGGTCAGCAGCGTGTGTGCTCATCACATTCGCCAGACCTTCCGATGGAGCTGAAGGCCTCCGGGAAGAATAAGGATTCTGAATGGCTGTAGTATTTGTCCATTGTAGATGAAACCAGGAATAAGTGGCTAAAAGCTCAGTGATGAAAAGTACAGTATCACAGACCTGGGAAGGAAATAAAATCATTGAGAAAGTGATGGCACAAAGAGCAGAAAAGTCCAGGGTGAGCAAGTGATAGCAGAGTGAAGGCCCCTGATGCACAAAGCCAGTGTTCTCTTCAACTCGAGTCAGATTTCACCGGGATGAAGTTTATATTGACAGCTCTGGGAATCTTGAGGTTGGCCATGTCATCAGGTAAATGACTTCTCCTTAAGGATCCTAGGAAAGGAGACTGCACAGTTCCTCTGAGGTGCTTACCTGGAGGAGGGTATAGAGAATACAGAGAGGCTCAGCAGAGAGAAGCCACAGAAATGATTGAGCTATTTGGAAAACAAGACCTATGTGGAAAGATTTAAAAACACTTATGCACCAAAAAAGAAGACTGACAGAGAAATTTAACAGTGGTACTTGAGGGCAGAGCACATGTTTCATAGAATATCATAATGCAAGCCAACAGCAGCTATCTCAATAGGCTGCGGAGAGTGACTATAAATAAAACCAATTTTCTGAGAACGGGAGTTGTAGACACTGGAATAGGTCATTGAGGATGGTTATAGAATCACCTTTTCAGGGGATCTAATAGGAATCAATTCTTGTTTGCCAAGAATTACCAGTGGGTTGTGTCTGAAGTGGAAGGATGAATTAGCTAAGTTCCTGAGGTCCCTCCCAGTTACAAGAGTCTATTCTTTCTACAATTGACTGTGATAAAGTATATTAGAAGTATGAATTCCTCTTTTTACAGTATTACTAGAGGAAATACTAGTATACTCATTCTTTGGATGGAAGATAAAATATTTTACCCAAAATAGTTAAAATGAGCTATTGGGTTTAAATATGAATCTTAATAACTTGCATCTGCATAACAGTAAATATTTGGGAAAGCGATTACTGCTGTATGTGACACTGCAGTGATTTCACGTTGAAGGAAGTAGCAACTGTAATGAGCAGTCGCTGCGGGCCAGAAACTCTGCTAAACACTTTATAAGGACATACTCATTGAATACTTTCAAAACCCAATCCAATTTTGGCCACAAAAAGGATGTGGCATTCGTAACATGCTACAACATGGATTAACCTTAAAAACATTGTGCTACGTGAAAGAAGCTAGTCATAGAAACCACGTATTTTATTAGTCCATTTATATGAATGTCTAGAATACGGCAAAGCTCTAGGGGCAGAAAGTAGATTAGTGTTGCCTAGAGCTGGGAGCATGTTGGGGTGCGGAGGGGGCGGGCGACTGCTAATGGGTATAGGGTTTCTTTTTGGGATGATAAAAATGTTCTAAAATTGATTCTGGTGATGATTGCACAACTATGTGAATATACTGTAAAACATTAAAAAGTATACTTTAAATGAGTCAACTATATAGTCTGAATTTTAATAAAGCTGTTTTTAAGAAAAACTTTTTAAAAACTCCGTGAGATATAGGTAATCACTATGCTATATTCCTTTTACAAAACTGCCTACAGGCTTGAATTGTTCAGTTCAAATCAACGTGTTCTGTTACTCTAAGGAAGTGTCCAGACATCCACCTTGCATTTAGCTGTCTAAAGGCAACATTAAAATGCTGAAAAAACTTTGGAAAGAAGGCGTTCCCATTTCTTTGATCCACTAGTTTACTTAACAGTTTTAAAGATGAGAAACGTGATTATAGCTTGACCCCAAGCCCCTTTTCCCCTCCTTGCCCCTACCTTTAGATAAGTAGTTAAGAACATTTGAACGAAATAGTCGGTCACTGCCACACATGGAGAGGGCGAAGCTGGCAGCCATACTGTCGTGTAGTCACTAGCGGAAGCACCCAGCACAGCCCGGAAGGCGCACGCTGCACACACAGCCTAGTGGTCAGGGATGCTGCTTTAACTTCTCTCAGCTTCACCTGGAGATTGGGGAAAAATTGTATCTTCCTCCCAGAGCCGTTGTCAAGATAAAAGAATACAATTCGTATAAACTGTTTAGCACAATGCCCAGTGCATAGCAAGGATTCAGCAGATGATATCTATCTTTTTGAAATGGCGATCATCTCATGTAATGTAAGAAGAATCTACAAGCATTAAAAAACATATTGTTAAGGAAAAAGTAGTTTACAAAGTACTATGTACAGAATGCAAGCCCAGTTTTGTTTAAAATATTTCTACAAATAGTGACGTGCACAAGAAAAAAATGCTGCACATACATACACCAGATATTCACAGGGGTTATCTCTGGGTGGAGGAATTATGTCAGTGATTTTTTTACTTTCTTCTTTGTGCTTTTCTTTATTTCACTAGTTTTCCACATGTATCACTTGTGTAATCAGAGTGATGGTAAGAATGGTGGCAGTGAGGAGGAGGATTTCAGGAGATTCTAGAGGTTTTTAGAGCATCCTGTACTTTCAGGCTGCTGGCCTCCACCACCCTCACTTCCTTCCTGGGGCTTTTCTTCCTCCCTTGATGTGCAGTGGGGTCCAGTCTAATTCTGTCGTGGGCCCAGTGATGCTTATAGACACCCAACCAGCTTGCAGATTTAACAATCAAGTCCTTTCTTAAACAGGAAAAAGTTAATTGTCTCTGATCAGTACTAGCAAGTATTGTGTCAAAATATTCTAAATTATTACTCAGATGTGTAGTCATATGAATAAGGACATGGTTGCCTTATTTGACACTTCGATGGGGTGGGATTTTGCTTGGAGTAGCTTCCACATAACCGTAACAGGAGCATATACAGAGCATTCCAGGCTTGCAGCACGCATCAAAGGCAGTGAGGTCAGCAACGCAGAAGACTAACCTCCCCATACCTTGTCTGGCTCAATCCCTGTTGGCAAAATAGAATTTGAATGAAATTAATGGATATGTGTGTAAGATGTAGATATTTTATTTTCCATGAAATGCATTCAGTTTTAAAATGGAGAGTGCAATATTTTCAGTCTTCTAAACTAAAAATATTTGAGTTGTGGTCATGATATTTGCCTTCCTCTCACCACGCCTGAGAACTCCACAGATCACATCTCTCAGGCATGTTATGTAAACTGAGGGATACAGGCAATAAGGCGGCATTCTAAAAGGAGAAGTCCTGGGTAGTTTCATTTGTTTGGGGGTGGTTTGAAAATTACATTTTTTAAAAAACAGGGACAACAAAGACAACCAAAAAAATTTCTACCCTGGACATAATATTCAAAAGACTTGCTTCCATATACCTTGAATTAGAAGTGTGTTTCTTATCATCAGTGTGTTAATCTCAGGCCTTGACCAGTGTCCTGGCTGCCCCAAGGGAATCATGCACTATTGCATTAGCTGACTCCAGTCAGCAACTACTTTTAGAGGCGGCAGAGTTCAGAAGCCATAAAAAATAAAAACAAGAAAAAATTTAAAACCTGGGCACAAACTTAGCATTTTCCTTAGGTTTATGGTACAGTGAATGAATTCAGTGGAATTGAACCAGTGATGCCTGTCTGCAAATTCCAGTACATTTTACATTTATTTTGGTTTGCAACATCAGTTTGTCTATTATTTTGGTTTGCAACATCAGTTTGTCTATTATAGTTAATCTTTTTTTTTTTTTTTTTAAGAAAGAAAGACTGTCATGAGTTATTTATGTAGTCACCACAAAATGCCAGGCAATTTTTAGCTAAAACTTCACAGCAACTCCCTTGTAAACAAATGGTAACCAGAGCAGCCACACATTTCTGATAGGTATTACATAAACATCAGGCAGTTTGTATAAACAGGCCTGGAGTCCCTTTTTTTTTTTTTTAATATAAGTAACAATTTTAGTTTATTGTGGTAAAATTCACATAACATAAAATTCAGCATTAACCATTTTAAAGTGTACAATTCAGTAACAGTTAGTGTATTTACGATGTTGTACAACTGTCACCAATATCTAGTTCCAGAACATTTCATCATCCCAAAAGGAAACCCTGTACTCAGTAAGCAGTCATTCCCCATTGCCCCTCACCTCCATCCCCTGGCGATCATTAGTCTGCTTTCTGGCTCCATGGATCTGCCTATTCCAGATATTTTATATAAATAGAATCATACAGTGTGTGGCCTTTTGTGTGGTGTTTTGTTCATACACTGTTTTCAAGGTTCATCCATGTTGTAGCATGATCCATCAGCACGTCATTCTTTTTTTATTTTGTTTTAATTTTTTTGAGACAGGGTCTCGCTGTGTCACCAGGCTGGAGTACAGTGGCACGATCTCGGCTCACTGCAACCTCTACCTCCCAGGTTCAAGGGATTCTTCTGCCTCAGCCTCCCGAGTAGCTGGGATTACAGGCATCTGCCACCACACCCAGCCAATTTTTGTATTTTTAGTAGAGACAAGGTTTCACTATGTTGGCTAGGCTGGTCATGAACCCCTGACCTCAAGTGATCCACCTGCCTTGGCCTCTGGGATTACAGGTGTAAGCCACTGCACCCGGCCCGGTACTTCATTCTTTTAAATGGCCAAATAATATTCCATTGCATGGGTATACCACAAATTTGTTTATCCATTCATCAGTTAAGGGACATTTGGGTTGTTTGCACCTTTTGGCTATTGTAAATAGTGCTGCTATGAACACTACTACACAAGTTTTTGTTTGAACAATGTATTCCATTTTTAGGAAAGGAGTTGCTCGGTAATATGGTAATTCATTGTTGAACTTACTGAGGAACAGCCAATTTTCCACAGAGGCTGTGTCATTTTATATTCCCACCAGCAACAATTTCTTTTCTTTCTTTCCTTTCCTTTCCTTTCCTTTCCTTTCCTTCCCTTTCCCTTTCCCTTTCCCTTTCCCTTTCCCTTTCCCTTTCCCTTTCCCTTTCCCTTTCCCTTTCCCTTTCCCTTTCCCTTTCCCTTTCCCTTTCCCTTTCCCTTTCCCTTTCCCTTTCCCTTTCCCTTTCCCTTTCCCTTTCCCTTTCCCTTTCCCTTTCCTTTCCTTTCCTTTCCTTTCCTTTTTTTGACACAGTCTTGCTCTGTTACCCGGGCTGGAATCACAGCTCACTGCAGCCTCAACTTCTCGGGCTCAAGCAATCCTGCTGCATCAGCCTCCTGAGCAGCTGGAACTACAATGTGCACCACAATGCCCAACTAATATTTTAATTTTTTGTGGAGACAGGGTCTTGCTGTGTTGCTCAGGCTGGTCTTGAACTTGAACTCCTGGGCTCAAGTGATCCTCCCACCTTAGCCTCCCCAAGTGTTGGGATTACAGGCATGAGCCATCATTCCTGGCCCAGGGTTTCAATTTATCTCCATCCATCTTTGCAACACTTGTTACTGTCAGAGTTTTTTGTTTTTGTTTTTTTGTTTTGTTTTGTTTTTGCAGTCATCCTAGTGGGTGCGAAGTGGTATCTCATTGTGATTTTGACTTGCATTTCCATAATGACTAGTGATTTTGAGGATTTTAAAAATGTGCTTATTGGCCATTTGTATATCTTTTTTGGAGAAATGTCTGTTCAAGTTCTTTTCCCCTTTTTGGAATGGGTTTTCTGTTGTTGTTGTTAAGTTGTAAGAGTTCTTTATATATCCTGGATACAAGACACTGATCAGATATATGATTTGCAAATATTTTCTCCCGTTCTGTGTGTTTTTTTCACTCTCTTGATAGTATCCTTTGATATACAAAAGTTTTCAATTTGGTTCAGTTTACCTGTTTTTTCTTTCATTGCTTGTATTTTTGGTGTCATATCTAAGAAACCATTGCCAAATCCAACATTATGAAAATTTACCCTGTATTTTCCTGTGAAAATTTTAGCTCTTATATTTAGGTCTTTGATTGATTTTACTTTTTATTTAGAGTAAGATAAGGGCTCAGCTTCGTCTTTTGCATGTGAATATCCAAATGTCCTATATTGAGTGTTTTTTGTTTGTTTGTTTGTTTTTTGAGACAGCATCTCACTCTGTTGCCCAGGTGGGAGTGTGGTGGCACCATCACAGCTCACCGCATCCTCAACCTCCCAGGCTCAATTGATCCTCCCACCTCAGCTTCCCGAGTAGCTGGGACTACAGGTGTGCACTACGGCACCTGGCTAATTTTTATATTTTTTGTAGAGAGGGGGTTTCGCCATGTTCCCCAGGCTGGTCTTGAATATCTGGGCTCAAGCGATTCGCCCACCTCGGCCTCCCAAAGTGCTGGGTTTAGAGGTGTGAGCCACTGCACCCAGCCTCCGTGTTGAGTGTTTTTATCATGAAAAGGTGTTGGATTTTATCAAACTCTTTTTCTGTATCAATTGAGAAGATCATGTGGTTTCCCTATATTCTGCTAATGCGGTACACTTGTGTTAGTTTTCTAGGCTGCCATAACAAAGTACCACAGACAGAATGGCTTAAAACAACAGAAAACACAGTTCTGGAGGCCAGAAGTCCAAAATCAAGGTGTTGGCAGCATTGACTTCTTTTGGAGACTCTCAGGGAGAATCTTCCTTGCTTCTCTCCCAGCTTCTGGTGGTTGCCAGAGGTCCTTGGTGCTCCTTGGCTTATAGAAGCATCTCTGTTTCCATCTTCACATGGCGTTCTCCTCTATATCCCTAAGCGTCTCTGTGTCCAGAGTTCACCAGTCATTGGAGTAAAGCCACCCTAAGCCAGTATTGACCTCATCTTATCTTGAGTACATCTGTAAAGAAAGTCTGTGTTTCCAAATAAAATCACGCTCACAGATACTGAGAATTAGGACTTGAACATATCTTTTTGGGGAACACAGTTTAACCCAGTACATGTGATGTGTTACATTGATTGATTTGCTTATGTTGAACCACCCTTGTATTTCTGGGGAATAAATCCCACTTGGTCATGGTATAGAATCCTTTTGATATAGTGATGGACTTGGTTTTCTAGTATTTTGTTGAGGATTTTTTGCATTTTTATTCATAGAGAATACTGGTATGTAGTTTTTTTGTGTTGTTTTTCTCTGGCTTTGGTATTTGGGTAATACTGGCCTCATATCATAAGTTAGGAAGTGTTCCCATTTCTTACAGTTTTCAGAAGAATTTGAGAGAGATTTGTGTTAATTCTTCTTTAAATGTTAGGTAGAATTTACTAGTGAAGCCATCTGGTCCTGGTCTCTTTTTTGTTGGAAGTTACTGATTTGATCTCTTGTCAGAGGTCTGCAGATTCTCTGTTTCTTCTTGAGTCAGTTGGGTAGTCTGCATGTTTCTAGGAATTTGGCCATGTCATCATCTAGGTTATCTAATTTTTTAGTATATAATTGTTCATAGCATCTCTCATAATCCCCTTTTATTTCTATAAGGCCATTAGTAATGTTTAGCATTTGAGTCTTCTTTCTTTTCTTAGTCAATCTAGCTAAAGGTTTATCAATTTTATTAATTTTTTTCAAAGAACCAACTTTTGGGTTCATTGATTCTGTCATTTTCCTGTTCTCCGTTTTGTTTATCTCTGCTCTAAGTTTTATTCTTTCCTTCCTTATGTTGCTTTGGTTTAGTTTGTTCTTCTCTTCCTAGTTCCTTAAGCTATAAAACTAGGTTACTAATCTGAGATCTTTCTTTTCTTTTCTTTTCTTTTTTTTTTTTTTTGAGATGGAGACTTGCTCTGTTGCCCAGGCTGGAGTGCCGTGGCACGATCTTGGCTCACTGCAACCTCCGCCTTCTGGGTTCAAGCCATTCTCCTGCCTCAGCTTCCTGAATAGCTGGGATTACAGGCGCACACCACCATGCCCGGCTAATTTTTGTATTTTTAGTAGACAGAGGGTTTCACCATGTTGGTCAGGCTGGTCTCAAACTCCTGACTTCATGATCCGCCCGCCTTGGCCTCCCACGCTGCTGGATTACAGACGTGAGCCACCGTACCCAGTCCAGATCTTTCTTTTTTAATGTAGGCATTTATAGCTATAAATTTCCCCCTGAGCACTGCTTTTGGTGCATCTTATGAGTTTTGATATATTTTGTTTTTGTTTTCATTTGTCTCAAAGTGTTTTCTAATTTTCTTTGTGATTTCTATTTCCCATTGGTTGTTTCAGAGGAGCCTAGGATACTTTATAACCCAGAAGGTCAAAGGTCAGTTCCTCCTTGTCACCCCATGGCTGTAGACCCACCAAGCAGAAGCTTAGGAAACCCTTTTCCTTCTCTGTTATGGGTCCCCTGGCCTGGCTGAGCGGTGGGCTCACTGTAAGTAAGCCATGTGGGCTGCCAAGAGACTGTCTCATCATGAGCCACTCGTGACCACAGGGACGTGCAGTGTTCCCAGAGAGGGTTCTGTATTCCTTAGCACTTGCTGTGTGAGTGAGTCCATGACCTTTGATGGAAAGAACAGAAACATGAAGAATTTATATATCATATTTATGAACAATTTCAGAACTAAATTGGCCAAATGAACTGAGTATCAGATTTGTGGGCTTTGATTTCTAGTTCTGAACCTCACCTGGTAAAATGTCACATCTCATCAGTTCTCAGAACAAGCATCCTGGGATTAATCTCAGCTTCAGCCCTTGCTAGTTCTGTGAGCCTGGCAAAAGCAATTTTGCAACAATGTATGTGTTCTACTCCATGCATTTGAATGGTGCATGCTGTGTGCCATGTACCATTTGAATGCATGGAGTAGAATACATATACTGTTCTCATTAAGCCTCACAGTTACCTAATGGCACTCAGGTACTGTTATCATCCCCATTTTTCAGATGAAGAAACTGAGGTACAGAGAGGTAAACAAGTTTTGTGAAATCATAAAGCTAATAAGAGATGGTGCTAGGATTTGGGCCCAGGCTGTGTGCTTCTGAATCTGCGCTGTTAACCATACTACTATGTGGTCAAGTTTATTAATATGACTCAGCCTGTTTCCTTATTAACAGATGAGGATAACAGCTCTTATACTTCAGGGCTGTTGTGAGGGTTAAGTGTTCGATGAGTGTGAAACACTTAGCCCCATGAATGAAGACAACCAGCTGGGAGGGCTATGAACTGGCTGCCCACGGTCGTGTGTACAGTTGACCAGAATTAGGGTGATGGGGCAGTGACGAGGCCTTGAATTCAGTTCAGGCACTTTGCCTCCAGCAAGCACGACTCCCCACATACAGTGACAACAGAAGGCTTTCAGGAGACTTACTTGTGCTGAAGCTGCTGATGTTCTCCAGCACATTCTCCCCACCCAGACAGGCAGAGGTCCTTTTATTTCTAGATAACAAAACTTTGCTGGTGGACACACTGCTAACATGTAGGAGAGGTGGAATTTGAACCCAGGTTCCAGAGCCGGCGCCGCCTTAGCTCCCACGTTCCCTTACTCATTCTTACTGTTGCTCCCACGTCCTGTCCCGCCCACCTCAGAGCCTGCAGTGGGACAATTCAGTATTCCTGGAATGCTGCTTTTCTTACCACCACGTGTAAACATTCTCTGCCTGACTCATGGACTAGCTCTCATGCCGCCCACACCATGAGCCTTCCTGTTCCAAACCCGGAAATGTAATGTCATCGCCACCTCCTGGGATGGGAGCCTCTGCAGTCTTGTATTCTCCACATTGGTACTCAACATCCTAGGGTAGTTTTCTCCTTCCCCACACTTGCTAGGGTGGAGGAACCTTAAAGGCTTAGCCATGAAACCCCCACTGCCCCATAACTAAGCCCTTTCATAGTGTGTTCCCTGTAGAGTTGGGCACTGCACAGCTATGGGACAGGGATGGGTGGGCAGAGGGGGTGCCAGGCAGAGGCAGGAGGCCAGACCATCACACCAGAGAGCTCTGTAGGGCTCAGAGACACTTTGATCTGCATTCTGGTCATGTGGTCATGTATGTAGCAGTAACTAAGGAGTGTGTCTTTTACAAAATAGTGCACCAGTCAGTATCAGATCGTGGTTTCCACCAGGAGTTCACATAAGAATCTCTGTGGAACTTCATAGAAATACAGAATGCTAGACATCCACCACAGACCTGCTGAGTTGACGTATCTGGGAGGTAGGACCTGGGCAGTTGTAATTTTTTTTTTTTTTTTTGAGACGGAGTCTCACTCTGTTGCCCAGGCTAGAGTGCAGTGGCGCGATCTCAGCTCACTGCAAGCTTCGCCTCCTGGGTTCACGCCATTCTCCTGCCACAGCCTCCCGAGTAGCTGGGACTACAGGCGCCCGCCACCACGCCTGGCTAATTTTTTGTATTTTTAGTAGAGATGGGATTTCACCGTGTTAGCCAGGATGGTCTCGATCTCCTGACTTCGTGATCCGCCCACCTCGGCCTCCCAAAGTACTAGGATTACAGGCATGAGCCACCGCGCCTGGCCCAGCAGTTGTAATTTTTAAAGCTTCACATATGTAACAAACAGTGACATTGGTGACCTCCAGGGAGGGAAGGTGAGAGGAGGACTATTCACGTTTGTCCTTTTTGAATTTTGAACTAGGTGATGATATTATGTGTTCAAAAAATAAATTATGTTTAAAAATCATAAGCTCTTTCATACTATATGTTGTTTATGTTTAAATATCTATGTAATAGGAGGATAAGGATTGAAATGTGCCCAGAGATGGTGGCACACTGCTGGAGGTGGGAGGGGAAAGGTGGAAGGTGAGGGTTTGGTTCCATTTGTAATGTTTTATTTGTTTAAAAAGAGACTCTTGAGGCACAATGGTAAAATCTATTCAATTTGTGAGGTACGTATACTGGATTTGTTATGTTATTTTCTGTTTGAAAGATTTTATAGTTAAGAACAAATATTTAAAAGTAAAACAAAGTCAAATATGAAATGTTCATAGATAGCTCCCACGTGCTCCTAGCTAGTGACTTAGGAGAGTGATAGGAAAGGTGAAGTGCAGGCCTGTGGCGCTTAACAGCAGGGAGTTGTTCTGAGAAACATGCTCACTAGGCGATGTCCTTTGTGTGGGAACATCACAGAGTGCATTTACGCAGACCTAGGTGGTGGAGCCTGCCACACACCTAGGCTATATAGTGTGGGCTATTGCGCCTAGAGCACAAACCTGTGCAGCATGTTACCATACTGAATACTGCAGGCAATTATAACCCAATGGTATTTGGGTATCTAAACATAGAAAAGATACAGTAACAAGATGGCATAAAAGAGAAAAAATGGTACACCTGTATAGGGAACTTACCATAAATGGAGCTTACAGGACTGGCAGTTGCTCTGGGGGAGTCAGGGATTGAATGGTGAGTGAATGCGAAGGCCTAGGACATTACCGTACACTACTGTAGACTTCATAAACACTGCTTAGACTACACTAAATTGATTTAAAAAATTTTTTTTCTTGTTTTAATAATAAGTTAACCTTAGGGCCAGGCATGGTGGCTCATGCCTGTAATCCCACAGCTTTGGGAGGCCAAGGTGGAAGGATTGTTTGAAACCAGGAATTCGAGACCAGCCTTGGCAGTCATAGTCAGGCCTGCCTCTACGAAAAACTTTTTAAATTAGCCAGGTGCAGTGGCATGCACTTGTAGTCCTAGCCACTGGGGAAGCTGAGGCGGGAGGATCGCTTGAGCCCAGGAGTTCCAGTCTGCAGTGAGCTCTGATAGTGCCACTGCACGTCAGCCTGGGTGACAGAGCGAGACCCTGTCTCAAAAATAAATAAATACATACATAAAAATAACCTTAGCTTACTGTAACTTTTTACTTTTATAAAAAGTTTATTTTTTAATTTTTTAAAACTTTTTTACTCTTTTGCAATAACACAGCTTAAAACAAACACATTATACAGCTGTACAAAAACATTTTCTTTCTTTATATCCTTATTCTATAAGCTTTTTCTGTGCTTAAAGTTTTTTATTTTTTACTTTTTAAACTTCTTTGTTAAAAACTAAGACATAAACACTCACATTAGCCTCGGCCTACACAGGGTCAGGATCATCAGTATCACTGCTTCCACCTCCACATCTTGTCCCCCTGGAAAGTCTGCAGGGGCCATAACACCCATGGAGGTGTCACCTCCTACGATAACAGTGCCTTCTTCTGGATACCTCCTGAGGGACCTGCCTGAGGCTG
The DNA here is from genome assembly GCF_000001405.40 of Homo sapiens. Lineage (NCBI taxonomy): Eukaryota > Metazoa > Chordata > Mammalia > Primates > Hominidae > Homo > Homo sapiens. Next base: position 49,311,489 of record NC_000013.11, on the reverse strand, counting down.
TTTTACAGTTAACTTTTTGTTTACTAAGTAGAAGGCATATACTCTAAAATAATGATTAGACGTATAGTATAGTAAATACGTAAACCAGTACCATCGTCGTTGATTATCAAGTATTATGCACTGTGCATAATTGTACGGGCTTGAATTTTATGCAGCTGGCCGGGCAGTAGGTTTGTTTACACCAGCATCACCACAGACACATGAGTAAATGCACTGACCTACGATATCACAAGGCAATGGGAATTTTTCAGCTCCATTATGGTGCTATGGGATTACAGTCGTATACATGGTCTGTTGTTGACTGAAATGTCGTTATGTGGTGTGTGACTGTATTGATCACCCTCACTGAGAATTAGAGTCAGGGGCTTCTACGCATTAATAATATCAGTCACGCATGAAACGCGAGTAGTGTGGGTGAGGTCCCTGGCCTGCACTGCTGTAGCGTGGGTGAGGTCCCTGGCTTGCACTCCTAAGTATTTGTTTCTTTTTGTTTCAGGTGTTTGTGGCCAGTCCTCACAAAACACAGCCTATTGTGGAGATCCTGTTAAAAAATCAGCCCAAACTCATTGAGTTTCTGAGCAGCTTCCAAAAAGAAAGGACGGATGATGAGCAGTTCGCTGACGAGAAGAACTACTTGATTAAACAGATCCGAGACTTGAAGAAAACGGCCCCTTGAAGAGCTCCCCGGCCCCTGTCACAGTCAGTCGTCTCATTTGTCCAGTTTGTACAGTGTGTCATTTCAGAAAGTCATCATTCTTGGGAAGACTTTGGAGGTGCCTATTTTTTCTGCTGTAATTGTTCTGGGTAGATGGAGTATAAACATTTGAATGGAAAAAAATTAACCTAGAATAATATATTCATTTTAGTCAAGTCTGTGATTATTTATGTGAAATGAGAACCATTGTATCAGATGTTGATAAAAGCAATTTTAACTTGCAGATGTGAGCCCCTGGGCACAATGAGCCGCTAAATGGGAGCTCAATTGACAGGCATCACCAAGTCTTCAAGGAGGACTGAGTTCTCAGGGGAGAACTGGGAATGGGGCCAGGGTGCAAAAATGCTTTGCCCATCTGTAGGTAGACACACAGATCGCTCAGGGCACTGAGAGATCCCAGAAGGTAACGTTAATGTTTTCAGTCATTGTGTGTCCTTTGTTGCTGCCAATGTCTTTGGACTGTAATCAGTGCATCCACACCTCCCAGGATCCAGTGCTCCCTCTCAGCTCAGTCTCCCCTCTCTCCCTGTCCTGCATTCCATCCCAGCTCCTCAGCATGGCCTCAGTGGGCGCACCCATGCCTCCCGCAGTCCAGGTGAGCAGGGGAGCAACTGAGCAGGAAGAGGATGGATCAACAAGGGTCACGGGGAATAGGGGACCCACGGGGTGTGACCTGCTTGCTAGAGAACTGTGAACATGTGGCTCTGGATAGAGTGACTGCTGCTCCATATTAGCTTCCAGAGGGTGAGTGAGGGACAGAATATTTCCTTCATAATGGTCATGGGTGAATGCTTTCTGCTGTAAGTGTCTTTTAGAGTAGGAATCAGCATAGTGGGATGCCCAGCAGGCACAAACCATGGGTCCAGGGAGTCTCAGCGGGGAACTTCTATCAGTATCAATAACCATTGGAAGGAGAAATGATTCATGTGTGAAAAAATTCTCAGATCCATCAATAAATTTTTTTCAGAGCCATTGTATCAGATGTTGATAAAAGCAATTTTTTTCTAATAAGCTGTCATTCTATAATTGCCCATCACAGTCTTTAGTGAACACATAGAAAGCCTATACAGTTTTGGTCCTGAATAGTCTCTTGTGACTAGGATGATTGAGGTGTTAATTCCTCTTCCTTATAAAAAGGCTTGGAATCAAAAATATTTTAAAAGGCCGTGGTTTCGTTTCAGACATCAACCATCTAAAACGGGATTTTAAAGCGATATTTTACAAGAATGAAAGGCACAATTGTTGATCTGTATTTTTTACACTTCAGTTTCTAAATCATGAATCGTTGCCTTCCACAGGAACCCTCCCTTATACATTACTTGAGTGTTGTGTAGTTTTTCTTCAGCCAGGTATTTCTCTGCCTAGAGAGGGGAAGAGAAATGTGTTCTCCAGGACTGATCCCCTTTGTAGATTTTGTACCTGAAGAGTTACCTGGCAGGGCACCACCCTTGGCTAGGCCCAGGTGTGTGTTTCTTTCTTGCCTGGCATGGACCCCGAGGCAGGTGATGTGGGGCCTGGCGCACCTCCCCGCTTTGGCAGCTGTGGCCTCCCTGGCCAGTGCCCTTGCAGGAGGCCGGCCGGCAGCCTGATGACCCGTACTCTTTAGTCACTGACGTCAGATTATTTTTATAACGTTCCCTGACAGTTCAGAGTCCCTTCGAATTGCACTTTTCTGGTTTCGCTTATTTAATTAAAAGAGATGAGTGTAAGTATAAAAAATGAAGGTGAAATAACCATTGGAATTGTATTTGGTTACTTAATACTGTTCCACAACATCTTGGGACGTCTGTTTTCCTTTGGAGAGTGAGGCCTTGTTATTATTCTTTTCTGATAAAGAAAACATTTTATTTCCTTTGGGCTTGCATTAGCTCTTTCCTAGCAACCCATTATCCCAGCTCAGTACCTTTCAAACAGAAAACTAGAGTCTGGGGTTTTGTTGTGATCTGAATTTGTAAGTTATTAATGTGAAAGGGGGAGCAGGAAGCTCCCCCTTTGCACAAAGGGGGATTTGTTTGCACAAAGTTCACTGTAAATACTGTGAGAATTGAATTCTGAAAAGGTCATATTTAGTGATTTCAAAAGCACACATTTAAATGAAGACTGACTAAATAAAAGGTACCACACACTTCTTGGTTGGTTTCATTCCATTGCATGTGTGTGGCTGTGTTTGTTCTTGCCACCGTTCCAGGCAGGGAAAGCCTTATGCTGCCCCAGGGCCCCAGCACACCTTCCTGTATGCCCCACCAACCAGTGACCCTGCACCCGTCCCATCGTCAAGGCTGTGAACTAGGGATGGTCCAGGGCATCAGAAACCATGTGGAACTCTCCCCCACTGCTGCCTGGGAGGTTCCCCAGCTGGAAGCGTCCTAGCGTTAGGCCAGTAGGGACTGAGATCATAATGTTCTTGGACGAGGCTCTTGGCCAGAGCCAGGCATCTGCCCAGAAGTTAGGATTGCTCCTGGAGAAAACACTCAGGAGCACCCTCCCCTTGGAAATGTCCCAGACCCTCAGCCTCATAGGCGGACCTCCTTTGATGGCTCTGGGGGAGCAATGTGGCTGTCCAAGGAGGGGCTGTGAGCTTTCCACAGCCCCCCTCACCAGCCAGACTGGTTTGTCTGCATTTCCCATGAGACACAGCTGCTGTGAGCCATAGCACAGTCTAGAAATTATATAAGACTGAAAGTGATTGTAACAATGTGAAGGAAAATGAAATTCAAAGATTCCTGGAATCGTTTTTAATGTCAAAAGATAGTTGTTTCAAAACAGATTTACAAATCTTGCTGGCCTGTTGTATTAGAGGACATTACGATTTTATGTCTTTTACTTGTTTTGCCATTTTATCCAAAAGAATATTATACATGTGGCATGAATGAACACCATCTCTTCATGAGTGTTCTTTCAGAAAGGTTTTGGATATTGTATTGGGGGCTCACAGTTAGATAAAGGTCTGAAACATATACTATTGGGATACCCTGAAAAGCTAGACTTAGTCTACATAAAAAGATTGAAAAGATTGAAGATGGATGTAAACAAGGTGTGATTTTGTTTTTGAAACATGGAAACTGCTGTTATGTAGCTGCCATAATAAGCAGAGAAAAGCTGAGTGTTCGGTCTGGTCTGCACTAAGCCTGCACAGACATCTCACTCGAGTCTCCACCTGATGGAGGGAAACTTGGACCACAGAGAGGGTGAGTAACTCCCTCCAGATCAGACAGCTGGCCACAGAGCCAGGATTTAGGGCCAGGGCTGACCCCAAGGTCCATGTCTTTGGAAACCAGGCTGTGAATTCAGGCCCCTCGGCCTATTCTTCAGCTCTCTGTCCCAGGACAGATAACTTCATCTCCTCCCAGCCCCCACGGAAAAAGGAATTCTGGATACCAGCGCTAAAGGATAACTCAGCGGAAAGATTTCAAAAGCTAGATTCATTCAAGGGGGTAGGTAACTTAACTTCACTTGGTTGTCTGATGTTTGGAAGATCTAATTAGACCTCTGTATAGCGTAGGGACATTCAGTCTTGAACCTCTCCAATATTTTGAGCAGTCCTTCAACTTGACATAGGCATTAATTTCAGATTGCAGCGGTGGCAGTGGCTTATGCCTCTAATCCCAGCACTTTGGGAGGTGGAGATGGGGGTGGGCTGGGGATGGGGGGCGGGTATGGCAGAGTTGGGGGATCAGGATTGCTTGAGCCCAGGAGTTTGAGACAAGCCTAGGCAACGTAGCGAGACTTCATCTGTAGAAAATAAAATTAAATAATTAAAGTGTTAAAAAATTTTTTCAGATTGCAATTCTGCACCTGTTTTGTTTTCTTGGCTTTCTTTTTCAGTTGGACATAACATTAGCTTAGATTTCCTGACAGGAGCGATTGCCACTCAGCCAGCCATTCCACCATTTCCCAGTGGCCCCAGCACCATGGGGCTACAGAGGCTGAAGTTCATGGTGGATGCACATCCAATACCTGCCAGGGTCCCCGCCTTCCCTCATCACTTCCTCCTCATGGAGGAGCATGTGCAGTTACAATACCCTAAAATAAAGTCGCCATCAAAACACACAAAAAGCCGCAACCCCTTTACCATCAACCAATGTAACATAGATGCAATTTAATCACTCCACTGAGAGCCATCTGTGTTACTTTAAAATACTGTGATCATAGGGTCCCTTTGGAGAATATGTTGCAATATACATTGATAATTTATCCTTTAGGGAAGGTTGGAAAAAATAAGATCACTTTTAGTTTTAGTTCTGATATTTAAAGCTGTAAAGCAAAAATATGTATTCAACTACTCATTTATTTGTTCATTTAACATCTGTTGAATTCATTCTCCTTGCTGGTTAGGGATGGATCCTGGGACAGGACCCCGAGTGACACACCGGGGTTACTGTAGGCCTCCTGTGGTGGTGGAGCTCGTGGGGCAGGGGAATCAGAGGCCTTTGTAAGTCTGTCCCCTGCAGCTGGCACTGGGGCCGAGTCAGCAGAGAAGGGAGGATAGACAGGAGGTGAGGAGCCCGGGGGGAAGGGCAGATCCCTCTGCCGACCCTGAGGACATGGCGGACCTACAGAAGGGCAGGCACCCTTCAGTGCAGAGCCCCCCACACTGGGCCCACAGTGGTGAAGCTGAAGGGGGAGGTGCAGGGAATGGGGAACCCTGACAACAAGGGGAGCCAGAGGTCTCTGACAACGCCAGCCAGCTGTGACCACACGGGGCCCGCCCCAGTTCACCTCCCCTCACAGCTGACACGATGTGCTCTTGGGACCAACTCTAATTCATCACCTGCCAGAGAGGGAATTGTGGAAACACGCTCATGCTTAGCAAAACAGACATTGCAGATGCCGCCAGATGTGTTCTGCCCTGGGGAGATGCTGACATACACCCTGCTACCATCCTTTCCCATCTCGGAGACGTCAGGTCCCTTTTTCCTTTGAAATGTCATCTACTCATGAGAGGTTTGTGTGGATTAACTAGAACCACCTGGACTTTGGGATAGGCCACACCTGGACTGAAATCCTGGCTCCACGGCTAGCTGTTCCCTCTTGAGAATCACCGAGCTTCCAGGAAACAGGCCAAAAGAGGACCTGCCTCACAGGATTGTTGTGGGAACCAACGAGGTAAAGTAGGTGACATGCCGGGCTCAGATTCGGCGCCCACATTAGCCCCGTCACCAGAGCGAGAGATTCCCGCTGCAGGGAGGGCCGTGGGCACGAAGCATGGCTGGAAAATGACGAGGCGTGTGCGCTTTGTCCGGGGCATGTGGGGATGTGAGAGGGCCGGGAGGGAGCCTTAAATGCCCAGCTAAGGGTCTGACGCCATCATTAAGGCGGCTGGCCTTTATTCAGGAAGTGACCTGAACACCTGTGTGTCTGGTGGGGGAGAGCTCTGGAGCCGGGCCTGGAGGGGGAACAATGAGGGAGGGTGGGATGATGAGCGCCAGCTGGTAACAGCGAGTGCGAACTCGGTGCTGCTGGCAGTCCCCCTCCAGATGCTTTAGAGTATTAACATCAGTCTTCAGAAACCTTATGAGGTGCGTACTGTGATTATCCTGTCAACCTAAATAACCAGAGAGTGGCTCTCAAAGAAAGTGATGTTTACTCAGGAATAGGGCACTGCCAGGGAGTATGCCTGCCAGAGTAAAAAGCACGTGTGCCTTCAGGGAGATGAAGGAAGGCAAAGGTGAAGGAAAGTGAGGACTGTATTGTTGCTTTGAAGTAATGATCCTTGGCTGCAAGGGTTAATTGCAAGAGGGACACCAGTCCAAGGCTGGACAGGTAGTTACTGGGCAGCTGTCCTCCTAGAAGCATTTTTTGTGCAAGGTTGCAGTTTTCATAGTCTGCCGTGGTAGTTTTTGTTATTAGGCATTTATGCATGCGAATATTTCTCTTCATGGCCTTCCCTTGGCTCTATTTGTCAGGATTTGTTTTTAACAAAAGTGGCTCCATTCTGATTATGACATCTTTCACAATCCCAATATTACAGGCATGGAAACAGGGACTGAGAGGGTTGCTCACCCAATTATACAGTGAGCAGATGGTGGTGCAGGATTCAAACCCAGAGCCCAGAGGCAGCAGCCATAGAACTTGGGAGATACTTAGGATTTACTATTGACCAGGCATAGCTGAACCATTTCTGGAGGACATGGGCCTGTGGCGTGGGTGACCTGAGTAGAAGGGGATGTGCTCAGCCAAGACAGGGAGCCCGGGATGGGGGGCAGAGGCACACGAGTGTCCTGTGCCTGGAGACGTGGCGTGGGGATGTCCAGGCAGCCGTTGGACAAATGAGTCTGGGGCTCAAGAAAGACGTGGGCCAGAGGCACCGATTTGGCGGTCACTGAGATTTAGGGAGCAGCTGAGGTCTGGGTGAAGAGGAAGCGATCCATTCCTTGCTGCGATTCAAACCTCCGGACCCACCCAACTTTTCACCTGCCTCCATTTGTATTTTAACCTTATCTGTAACCTACATCCCACCTCAACCCGAGGTGTGGGGGTGGCTGGGCAGCAGGGGGACCCCACGGTTCCCATGTCCTTTCTCCATGGCAGTGTCCATGCTCAGTCTAGGTCTCCACCTGGCCTGGGGGCACGCAATATCATCCCAAAGTTTGTATTTGATCCAGTTAGTTCTGAGGGCCAATTAGTCATCCAGAGGCTTGTAACCCTGTTATCCCAGAGACCAGGCTGACAGTGTTTTTATAAAGTGCCATCAGGACAAAGGGTGGTTGAACTCCAGGCCAGGGCCTAGCTGTGTCACCCCAGCCCCGCCCTGGGGAAGTCTTGACCAGGACCCCAGCATCAGGGACAGATGATGCTTATATAATCACAGGACTCTTGGGGAAAACGGGCAAGGCCCTAGGTGCAGACTGGTTCTTCTGCAGGGGAAAAAGCCTCTGCCCTTTTCCCTGGGAACTGAGCATGACATTCCCATGGCTGTGACCTGCTGGCCTGGATGAATGAGGCTCTGTGCTACCAAGCGTGTGGGAGGAAGGAAGAGGGCGTGCCTGCAGCTGCCTGGTGGCCTCTGGCAGCACCAGGCGTGTCCTTCACCTTGACCAGGGACCATTTCCAAGCCGGGTGGCTTTGTTCAGTTGTCAATGTGCTATGCCCATCAGAATCAAGATGTGGCACGTGACCTGCAGCCAGGGAACAGGCACCCGTATAAGAAGGCCAGGGCAGGGCGGGCATGACAGTTTCCCTCGCACCTTCAATTCCCTTCTTGGGTCTTGGCTCTTCTTTCTAATGTCTTCACAAGTTTTCAGGTAGTTCCTGCACAAGATGTGCGTCACCCGTCAAAAAAGCACCATTTATCCCTCAGCTGCCCCTCCAGCCCCTTTTCTGTCTCTCTGCCCTCCTTCAGGGCAAAACTTCTCCAATTTCTCCACGAATGGGCTACACCTCCTCACCTGTGATGTACCTCACAACCCACCCATCTCTGGCTTCCCCACCTCCCTGGAAGATGCTCTTCCCAGGGCTATCCAGGGCCTCAGAGCCACCAGATCCAGTAGCGATTTCCTGTGCTCATCTGACCCCTCAGCAGCAGGTGACAGAGCTGGTGGCCTCTTCTCCAGGCCCTCTCCTCTCCTGTCGCCCAGGCAACCTCACCCTCCTGTGCTCTCTCAGCTCAGCCTCCTCCACCTCAGAGCCGAGCACTGAGCACCGTTGTGCCTGGACTCAGTCTCCTGCGCATCTCCTCTCCATCTCCCTGTCTTCCTGCAAGGCTTCAGGTCTGTGGTCTGTGCGTGCCCCACCGTGGCTCCCACCTCTGTGGCTCCGGGCCGACTTCGGCAATCTCCAAGCTCATGCATGCACTCACCTGCTGGCTGGATGCCTCTCAGGCTCCCTCTCTCCAAGGTACAGTTCAAAATATGGCATGTGACTTCCTGTCACTCCCTGCACCTGGCTTCCCCAGCTCTGCTGATGCCCCTGAAATTCCCCCAGTTGTTCATGCCAGAAACCCAGGAAGGCACATGAGTTCTCTCTGCCTCTCACCTGCAGCCAATTCATCAGCATTTCTGCTTCTGAGACTTGTGTCCCATCTGAGCAGCTCTCTGCATCTGCATGGCTCCCACCTGGACTGCACCCCATCTCTGCAAGCATCCAAAGTGATCTTTTCATAGGTCGCATCTGGTCATGGTTCTCTCCTGCCCCCAAACCCTCTAGTGGCTTCCCTTGATGCACAGAATCAAACCCAAAGCCCTGACCACTGTCCTTAAAGCACACAGGATCAGGCCGAGCCTTCCTCCTGCAACAAGTCCAGCAAGCCTGGCTGCTTTTCCATCCCTCCCAAAGGGCCTTCCCTGATACCGTTCCTTCTGCTGGGAATAGTCTTCCCAGCTTTCTTCACCGGCTGCTGCTTCTCATCCTTGCTCTCTCAGCTTAAATACCCACTTCTGGGCTTCCCAGGCCCAGCACAGGAGCCTCCCGCCCCAAATACCTGCTGTCTCTCCACTAGGGTGCAAAACTCCAGGGCAGGGGCAGTGTCTGTTTCCCTCATGAATGTATCCCCAGGGTCTAGCCCAGTGTCTGCGACATAATAAATGCTCTATCGTGAGTGAATGTACGACTCATTCTTTACAAAGCACAATTTCACTTTCCTCTTTCTCTCCTCACTCCCTGGCCCCCTCACATCTTCCAGGTGACCCTCCCTTCCCTCCCATTCCCTCCCCCTCCCCTCCTGTTGGGTGGCTCCTGCCATTCTGTCCCCTGCCACTCTGCCCTCATTCTGCTCAGTTCACTTACATTCCTCTGTCCCCTCCTTTATTCCCTTCAGATGTCACCTTAGACCTTTATCATTTCTCATTCTGAACCAACCAGCAGCCATCCAATTCCCTTCTTCCTCCCTCCATTCCACACGGATGCTGGAGTGACTGCTTTAAGATGCAAATAGGGGCTGGGCGCAGTGACTAGTGCCTGTAATCCCAGCATTTTGGGAGGCTGAGGTGGGAGGATCGCTTGAGCCCGGGAGTTTGAAACCAGCCTGGAAACTGTCTCTACAAAAATAAAAATAAAAAATTAGCCAGGTGTGTTGGTGCACACCGGTAATCCCAGCTACTCAGGAATCTGAGGCAGGAGGATCACTTGAGTCCAAAAGGTGAAGGCTGCAGTAAGCCGTGATCATGTCACTGCTCTGCAGCCTGGGTGACAGAGAGAGACCCTGTCTCAAAAAAAAAAAAAAAAGCAAATATGATCGTGTGGCCTCTGCTTAAAGTCCTTCTATGGCTCCCTATTGCTCCCCAGAAGTGTTCCTAAGGCCCTTCGTGGTCTCTGCCAACCCCCTACTCCTCCCTCTCCTTGCCCACGAATGCTACAACCATCTGCTGCTCCCCAGTGTGCTACACTCTCCTCTGCGCCCCCGCCCTGGAAACTCCAAACCCCATAGAACCCAACAGTGCTCACATTTCCTAGTTTCACTTCTAAGCAGCACCTGCATCAATTTCTGGGACATGCAGCCCTCTAGTGGCTAAAACAAGTAACAGTCTTTACTGTGTTCCTGCTGGGCCCTTTCTATTCAACATTATCGATGACTTGGATGGGACACAAGTAACACATTGATCAAATGCCTGAGTGACCCTGGTCTCTGAGAGCGACGCCTAATTAGTGTCTGAAACAAAATTAGCAAGCGGTAGGACAAGCTGCAGTGTTGGGTGCAATCTGACCATGCCTAGATTTAATAAGGATAAATGTGAAGTCCCACACTAAGGTCTGCAAACAAAACTCCAGCTCTGCAGGTAGAAGCATGGGTGCCCAGACAGGGGGTTCTGGTGACCCTAATGCCCTGTTGGGCCGCATCGCTTCTCGCCTGGACTCCTGCAACACCTCTCTGGCGGGAACCCTGGCCACTCTCCCCTACGCCAGTCTTTCCTCACGTGCTGGTGATCATTGCTGTGAATCAGGCCCCCGGGGGAGCGGTCTAGGGGCGTGCACACACAGCTGCACCTGGGAAGAGACGCAGGCTGGGAACAGTCGTCAGCACTTTGGTGGTCCTCGAGGTCCTGGGAAAGGATGGGGGCCCTGGAGAGGAAGCAAAGAGGTGAGAGGGCCCAGGAAGAGCCATGGGAGGAGAGGAGAGAGATAAGAAACACAAGAACAGGTCGAGGCCGACAAGAGGTAAGCGTTATGAAGCCAAAAAAGGAGAGGTTCAGGACGAGTTGATGCTGCACACTGAAGGCCCAGGGCCCAAGCAGGGTTAGGCCACTAGGAGTTGGGGAGCACCTTCCCATGGGGAGGGGGAGCAGAAAGGCAGCAGTGGTTTGTGGAATAAACAGGAGGAGGATGTTGAGAAAGCTAGCACAGGCTTCCAAGTAATGAAGGGAAAGGAACCCCGTGGGGAAAGGGAAGCTTTTTGAAAGTTGGAGAAATGTATTGCTTAGCAACTGCAGCATAACCAGCCCCCTGAAACGCAATAACTTAAATAAAACCAATGTTTTCTTCCTAAGTCTGTGGGGTGGCTGGGAGTCACCTAATCTCGGCTGGGCTAGCTGGGGTGGCTCTGCTCCGGATGTTTGGTGATGGCAGAAACGCAAAGTGGAAACACACAGGCTTCTTGAGCCTAATGTCGAAACTCACACGAGGACATTTCCATCTTATTCTATTGAAAACAAAGTCCCCCAACAAGTTCCACCTGCTGATGGAACTGGCAAAACATGTGAAAGGGAAGGGTGAAAAATTGGGGCCACTGATGCCTTCCACCACAGGAGACATGCGGAGTTGTAATGGGAAGAATGAAGACATCAGAGGGAGAGGCTGGACAAAACGAATTGCATATTGTGCCGGGCGCGGTGGCTCACGCCTGTAATTCCAGCACTCTGGGAGGCCGAGGTGGGCACACTGCTTGAGTTCAGGAGTTTGAGACCAACCTGGGCAACATGGCAAAACTCCATCTCTACAAAAAATACAAAAATTAGCAAGGTGTGGTGGTGTGCCCCTATAGTCCCAGCTACTCGGGAGGCTGAGTTGAGAGGATCACCTGAGCCCAAGAAGTCGAGGCTACAGTGAGTCGGGATCACACCACTGCACTCCAGCCTGGGCAATAGGAGTGACATTCTGTCTCAAAAAGAAAAGAAAAAAAAATGAAGTGCATATTGGGAAAATTATGAAAGGCATTGAATTTGGAGCAGATTCATGTTCTGGCTCTGCCAATCGTTAGCAGTGTAGCCTTGGGTAAGTCGTTTAACCTGAGACTCCATTTCATTATCCGTACAGTGGAAATGCTAATCCCTGCTTCACAGTGTGAACATTTAATGAGGTGAAGTAAAAAATGCTTCACTGTAAAATGCAAACCTAGCTACAATGACACAGTAAGTTTCCAGGAGAGGTGGGAGGCTGTCACAGGACAGCAGGAACACAATGGCTACTTTCAAGTACTCCAGGGCATTCCTGTAGGGGAGGAGACACAAAGAGGCCTGTGTTATAGACAAGGTCTGAGGGGGTGATGGGGGAGGAGTTTACTCCATAAAAATAACATGTTAATAATGAGGACAGGCCAATGTGGCTTCAGGAGGTGGTGACTTCTTCATCGCTGGGGATGCTGGAGCAGAGCCCGGCTGATCTGTCCCTTTAGGGGAGTGTTGAAGAGGAGATGCAACCGCTGACCAGTGGTTGGATCGATCAGCTGTGCTCAAGCAAGGGCAGCCCACTATCCCAACATGTGGGGGGCCTTCTGTTGTTGTAGAAATTTCTGAGTGATTGAAATGGCATTTGGTGGATGTGTGCCAGGGCTGCTAAACCTCTGGCAGTGGTCATGCCAGTCGTAATCAATGGCAATGCCAGTGGTGCTCTGTGCATAAACACTGGACTATGTGAATTCAGAGCTCCAATCTTGAGAGTCCAAATAAACGCAAGATTTATTTTCAGCAAGTGTAACCAGCAAGCCCCCACTTTTTTGCCAACGCCTCACTGTGATAATGGAAAAAGTATTTGACTTCAGAAAAGTCTTAGCTATGATTAAACAAGCAAAGTCACAACAGCAAAACAGTGTAATCCATTTAAAAATTAAGGCTATATGCAGAGGGTATTAAAGTCACAAATACACATGACCATTATGTAAATGGCTATGATAAGACTGTCAGAAGCATAAATCATTGATTATTCTCCCAGATATATAACAAGAGCCAACTACTCTGCTTGGAGACATCACAAATAAACAGTACACATTTAATGAACTTGTTTGCTTGCTACTTAGGACCAAAAAAGGGGTCTCTGGAGATCTCTGTTTTCTTCAAAAACACTGGCCAGGCAGTTTGAACAAATACCTTCCTTTTTTACATCAGCATTCACATTTTCTTGATTTGGGGGCTTGGATCATACTAGGAGATTCAGTAAATATTTGCTGTTGTTGCTGCTGCTGTTGTTTTTCTCACTGATGCATTTTTACAAGAAATGCATGTGGCCCTTTTCTCATTGAGGCATTTTTACAAGAAATGGATGTCACCCTGTCCTCCCTCTCACCTTATGCAGAACCTGTGTCATCAAAAGGCAGGGGGAGTGGCTGGCTGCAGAAGGGCTAGAAAGCGGTTCACCCTTCCTGCAGGTGTCTTCTTAAAAGGAATTCTCAGAATTGCCTGCAGGGTCCCTGATGGCATCTGATTCTGGCCCATCCCCAGGGAACAGGGAGGCGGGAAGCACCAAGGTTTATCACTTTGGCATCAACCTCAGCCAAGAAAGGTGAAACCTCCCTGGCCCATATTCATCTTAAAATGTGAGCCTTCCATTCATCAATGAGGGGATGGTCTGGGCATTATTAGACTAGCTATCATGGTGGCTTTCCCTAGCATGTTGAAGATGAATCTTTAAACTTTCAGGAATACCCACGTTTGTGCAGCAAAACAGTTACCCAGAACCTCTCAGACTTGCCAACTAAAATCTGGGTTTGTGGATTTGGACAACTGCAACTTCTTAGGAAACATCATGAGGGCTTCAATTTGAAGGTTCTCAGAACCGTGTGTAGTGACTGTTAGCATTGCCGTAAGTGTGAGGGAGGTGAAAAGTTCCATGAGGAGTAATGGTCTTGGGGACAGAACTCTGCTCAGGGGCCAGGACATGGGGCTCGATTCCCAGTGGCATTCCCTTCAGTGATCTGCTCTGTCCCTGCAGTGAACGTTACTTTTGTGTTCCCCTGTGAACTATACCTCCTGGCTTCATGTCCTGTGCAGGCCCCTCCACATGGACTCTGGGTGTGGCCACGAAACTGGCCTTGGCCAGTGATCCATGAGCCAGCATGATGCAAGGGGGACACACTGGGCCCATCCTTGTGGAGCATTCACTTTCAGAGCCCTTGCCACCTCATAGAGGTCTGGCCACCCTGCTGGAGAGCCCTGGCCAGCTGCCAGCTGTTTCAGCCATCCAAGCTGAGGCACCAGAAACCTGAAAGAAGCCCCTTGGATGGTCCAGCCTCACTGTCCCTGTGCCGGCTGGGCCCCCCTCTCAACTGACCCACCAGTGGCACACAACCGTCCATGACCCCAGCCAGTGCCACAGGGAGTAGAGCTGTTCTGCTGAATCTTGCCCAAATTCCTGGCTCACAGAATCATGCAAAATAAAATAGTGGCATGGGCCACTAAGTTTTAGGGGGTAGTCTGTCATGCAGCAATAGATAGCTATGGAGTGAATGGATAACTGTTGCCCTCTGTGGAATTTGTGCTTTTTCTGCAAAATAAAACACTTTCCACCAATACCGCAACCAGCATAGAAGTTCTTCATCAGATTACACTAAAGCGTGTTCAGCTCAGCAGAAACTGTGTCCTTTCACAAGGCCACCTCCGCATCAGAGAACCAGGAATGGTAAAATTCCTGGTCAACAGAAACACTCATATCTGAGAGTAAAGTACTATATGCAGTTTTTTTTCTATTTGAAACAGTGTCTCACTCTGTCACCCAGGCTGGAGTGCAGTGGTGCAAGCATAGCTCACTGCAGCCTTGAACTCCTAGGCTCAAGTGATTCTCCCGCTTCAGCCTCTCTAGCAGCTTGGGACTACAGGTGTGCACCACCACAACTGGCTAATTTTTTAGTTTCTTTTTGGAGAGACAGGGTCTTGCTATGTTTCCCAGGCTGGTCTTGAACTCCTGGCTTCAAGTGGTCCTCCTGCCTTGGCCTCTCAAACACTATAAAATCTTAATTACATCAATAGAAGGAATTTCTGGTTACTAAAAATAATACATTTAATGCTTGGTACAGTTTCTCTAAATTCCCCTGCTCTTTATTAAAGCTTATCACATCTATACTTATTTACATACATTTTTTTCCACCCTGACAAGTCACAGAATCTTGAGGTTAAGGGTCATGGTCCAATTTTTTTTTTTTTTTTATATAGTCTTGCTCTTTTGCCCAGGCTGAAGTGCAGTGACACGATATTGGCTCACTGCAACCTCCGCCTCCTGGATTCAAGTGATTCTCATGCCTCAGCCTGCTGAGTAGCTGGGATTACAGGCCCACGCCACCATGCCTGGCTAGTTTCTTTCTTTCTTTTTTTTTTTTTTTGTATTTTTAGTAGAGACAGGGTTTTACCATGTTGGCCAGGCTGGTCTCAAACCCCTGACCTCATGATCCACCTGCCTCAGCCTCCCAAAGTGCTGGGATTACTGGTGTGCGCCACCGTGCCCAGCCCTATTTGCATGTTTAATATGATTGTTCTTCCAGAGGTTTCCAAAAGATTCCCTGCTTAAGCGTGTAGGATATCTTTTAAAAAACCCAAACCAGTAGAACTTTCTGGGTCCACTAAGTGCAGCCCATGGTGCCATTATAATAGTACCAGATCTCTGTGAAGTGGAAGAACTGAAAAAACATGTCCCTGTATTTGTTGGGAGGCCAGTTCTTTTCTGTGTACCTTTCATTCATTTTCATGAATACTGATGTATGTCCATCTCCCCAACTAGACGATAAGCTCCACGAGGGCAGGGTTTGTGTCTGGTTTTCCTCACCACTGTAACTGCACTCCTCACAGTGCCTGGCTCATGGTAAGCTAAGCCCTGGCAAATATTTGTTAATGAATTGTACCATGTTCAAAAATAAACAACCTGGAGAACCTCTGCTGGTTATCATCATGGGTGAAACAAAGTTGGTCAGGAGTTACGATCTGCCACACAGAAGCCTCCCGGCTCACGAGCTTCCATTTCTTGCAACTCAACAGCATCATACACCACAGTATTTCAGACTTCTCGCTTAGCTCTTGTTTTTGTTTTTTTCTAACATTGTGAATGTGCGCACACACTACACAAGGTACTTCAAGCTGTTCAAGCCACCCCCAGCCCCTCATGCACATTAGGCAGAGCCAGGCTGTTTCCATTCACTCCACAGGAAGTGAACTCCCCCCAGCCTCCTCCCTCCACCTTTTGTCCTTGGGATACATCCCCGGCCCGGGCCTCTCTGGGTACGGGTGTCAGCACTGGGATGAACTGTGGTTTCTTTCTCGTTCATCCTGGCCTGGACCCCAATTTCTGAGAATCATGGGGTGGTGGGAAGTATTCCAGGAAAGTTCTGGCTCATGTCCTTCTGGAAAGACATGTGCTTTCCCTAACAAATCACTCTGTGCTACACTCACCAAAGGAGCTCCTGTCCCAAGATGGGCTCACTTCTTTCTTTCTCCTTCCCAAGTGTTACGTGGGTTTAGATATAGACATTCAGGGGCGATAAGCTCATTTATGTATCATAGTGTCACTAAAGATAGAGTTCATGTTTATAGAGTGTTGGTACCATTCATTGACCCAGAAATAAAGCTAACTTGGCCAGGCGCGGTGGCTCATGCCTGTAATCACAGCACTTTGGGAGGCAGAGGCAGGAGGATTGCTTGAGGCCAGGAGTTCAAGACCAGCCTGGGCAACATAGCAAGACCCCTGTCTCTACAAAAAATAAATAAAAAATAAACTAGCCAGGCGTGGTGGCACGTGCCTGTAGTCCCAGCTACTTGGGAGGCTGAGGTGGGGAGGACCGCTTGAGCACAGAAAACAGTCAAGGCTGCAGTGAGCTATGAAGGCACCACTGCACTCCAGCCTGGGCAACAGAGTGAGACCCTGTCTTGAAAAAGGAAAGAAAAAGCTTCAGCAGCAATACAATGAAAATACACACACCTGCGTATGTTCTGCATGACTGGGATGAAGGAAGCCAGGCAAATGCTTACACTTAGCTCCCCTCACAGTAGCATATTCTGTGGCCACTTAGGCAGTAAACAAATGGCAGAGCTATTTTTTTTTTTTTTTTTTTTTTTTACAAATTATGAACTTACCATCATCCTCCCATTCTTTGAAATTTAGAAAGACATTGTATTTTTTGTTTAAGTGTAAGTTCTGATTTCTCAGGCTAAGGGATGAAGACTGGGAATTTATAGATCTGGGTCAAAAGTGCCCCACAGAGCTTCTCCAAACCCAGGCGGGCTCCTGGGGTGGCTCAGCAGTCTGTCTCCATCACTTTTTCCCAGAAATTTGTCTCATTCCCACTGTTTACCTGGCAAACCCCTGGATCCCCTCAGGCCCCACCTCATCACCTCTGCCTCTACAGGGTCCTTTCCATGACTCCCCAGAGTGCTGGTAAATCCTCGTGTGCCCCCACTGTTCCTACAGTTACATCCACAATGGCAGTTCTCAGCCTTAAAGGTCACCAGAATCACCCGCAAGGTCGTGAAACCCCAGCTTGCTGGGCCCACCCTGAGAGGTTCTAATTCAGTAAGCCTAGGGAGCACCCTAAGAATATGCACTTCTAACAAATAGTCTGCTGGTCCAGAGACATTTTTTTCTTTTCTTTTCTTTTAGACTAAGTCTCGCTCTGTTGTCCAGGCTGGAGTGCAGTGGCATGATCTCAGCTCACTGCAACCTCTGCCTCCTGGGTTCATGTGATTCTCCTGCTTCAGTCTCCCAAATAGCTGGGATTACAGGCATGCAATACCATGTCTAGCTTTTTTTTTTTTTTTTTTTTTTTGTATTTTTAGTAGAGACGGGGTTTTACCATGTTGACCAGGCTGGTCTTGAACTCCTGACCTCAAGTGATCTACCCCACTCAGCCTCCCAAAGTGCTGGGATTACAGGTGTGAGCCACGGCACCTGGCCTGAGAATCATTTTTCTTAATTACTTGATTCCATGCTTGTATCTTCCACTTGACTGTGAGTGTCTTAAGATCAGGAGGCATTTCTCACACATCTCATCCCCGCAGTCTAGCAGTGTTTAGCAGTCATTCAATCAATAAACAAATATTTATGGAATGCCTACTGTGTGCCAGGTACTGTTCTAGACACTGGGGTTCAGCAGTTAAAAAGTACACACACACACACACACACACCTCCCTGCCCTCATAGACTTCACCTTCTGAGGCTACACAGTAAACCATCAATGATTATTTATTGAAATCTGACCAGTTGTACAGAAGAAAAAAAATGGCATTATCATGCCTCTCTTAATAGTACTGTGGAAATGCCTATTTTTCCCTTTCTAATCACAGTTTTTCCCACTTGTATGCTTCTTCCTCTGATATCCCATCCCAACACCCAACAGGCAAATCCACAGACCTGGCAATATGCCAGGATTTTGGGTCTTACAAAATATTTACTGATTGATTTATAAAATGTTTGGTGTACATGACATGTTAGTTAGAAACAACAAATCCAAGAGCTGAAGCATGAGAGTTAATACAATAAAGCAATTTGGGAGGTAAGCAATCTCAGTGTTTTTATACTGATAAGAATATCTTAATTCACGGTTTTCAAACTAGCCTTAGTTACCTCTAAGTGTACATCACCTCCTCTCCTGTCCTATCCCATGCCCTCCATCTGTGTAGTGTTTATGGCAGTTCTTGGCTGCCTTGTATGATGACTCTGAACTCCCCATGGTCCTACACAGGCTGCAGTCACAGCCCTGGCATGGAGCCAATGTTTGGATGGTCGTGCGTGTAATTCTGAGAAACTGGTAGGAAGCCCAGTGAGGCCGTGTGATGTGGCGGAAAGGCAGGGAACAAAAGCAGAGGCAAACCTGACCACCGCAGATCCAGGAAGACATTTCTCATGAAGCACCCCAGGCCACCCCTCTCTAACCTAGGAGAGAACAGAAAATGTACCTTCATTTTTGGAATAATTTTCTGAATGTTTCTCAGCAAATAAAAATGTGAGAAATCACAGACAGCAATCTGGAATAGCTGAA
The DNA here is from genome assembly GCF_000001405.40 of Homo sapiens. Classification (NCBI taxonomy): domain Eukaryota; kingdom Metazoa; phylum Chordata; class Mammalia; order Primates; family Hominidae; genus Homo; species Homo sapiens. The sequence continues at coordinate 49,292,671 of NC_000013.11, read as the reverse complement.
ATGACCATACTTTCAAGACTTTCAGTATTTATTCTTGAGGTTGGCAAATGTTTTTAAAAGGCTCTTCCTTTTGAAGATCAAAGCCATGAGACAACCTATGTTAATTATACAGAAGGGAAGACTATATGGGGGAGCAGCATTTATTAATGGAATTCTAGGAAAGCTAGTTTCAATATTCCAGACTCAAATATTTCTTCTCTGTTAACATCATAACCAAATTTGAGGTTCACTGTTAGTGATTTCAAGAGTCAGTGATATCAAGCAGCGACACTGTCTCAGAATAACACTCTCTTCCTATTGCTACCCAAAGTCTGTGATAAACAGGACCACAGAATTAACATTTACAAAATATACTTTAAAAATGGAGACAAAGTCCACTAACTTTATTTTTATGAGTCAATTCTAATTAAGTAAATTCTGATTACTAGAAAGCTTTGGGTATAAATGTGATCTTTTGGTTTGCTATACACTGACTCTTAAAAGATGACACTTATTTCCCTGGAGCAGTTTACTAACTGTCACTCTTGTAATTCAAAAGAATTAATATTTCTCAAAAGGTGTGTGATTCCCTGCAGAGGCATGACCTCTTGTGAAGCAGACCCTTTCAAATTGGCTAATATAAAGTCAAGATAAATAGAAATCAGTCCCTGTTGGTGATTACATTGGTTGAAGTTATTGCTCCCTCATTTCGTGTAATAAAATAACACACTACTACATTATGGAAAACCCACACATAAATCTAAAAGACAAATATTCTTATTAACACCATTTGTATCCTAGAAATAAATTAGCTTCCTTAAAAAATCTTTTCAATTATTCACAAAATCCATCCTTATTTTCTGAATGAACAAGGCTGAATTTTAGAAGTGCAATGAAAAGTTCTTGAGGTTCCCCTGCAGTGTAGACAGGCCTTCTTAGTGGATTCCGAGGCGCAGCTTCTTGTCCTGGTGCTGCTCTTCCTTCTGTGGGACAGGTCTCAACACACCATCTAGCATTGAGAATAACGCTAGGTCAGGACAGCTTCATTTCAAACCCATGGGCACTTGTTTCAGCCTTACATGTTGTAAGAGCAAAACAATGCTTAAGTTAAAGGAACTTTCACTTTATTTTATCTTCAAATTCTCAATTGTAGAGAATCCAATCTAGATAACTTACTCTCAGGCAATACAGAATCTGGCTTTTAAAAACTGGATTCACATTGGCCGGGTGCAATGGCTCACGTCTGTAATTTTAACACTTTTGGAGGCTGAGGAGGGAGGATAACTTGATCCCAAGAGTTCAAGACCAGCTTGGGCAGCATAGGGAGACCCCATCTCTACAAAAAAAATTTTTTTTTTTTAAACAGGTGTTGTGGCGCACACCTGTAATCCCAGCTACTCAGGAGCCTGAGGTGGGAGGACTGTTTGAGCCCAGAGAGGCCAAGTCTGCAGTGAGCCATGACTGTGCCACTGCATTCCAGCCTGGGTGACACAGCGAGACCCTGTCTCAAAAAAAAAAAAAACCAAAAACTGAATTCACTCAACAGTGTACGGCAAGTAATTCATAAAACTTTTTGTTTTATGTTTTTGGTGGGGGGACGTCCTATTACTAGACTGGAAGAAATAAAATGTACCTCCTAAGGGAGAAGGGGACTGTGTGTGGGGTAGGGAGAATCTGGGGACTGGAAGGAAGACGGACTTATCTGACTGGGCAGGCTGGGAAAAGAGTATGGCTTCAACCTCTTCCTGGCTTTTGTGTTTAATAGCTTTATTTGTACAATAAATGATACATGTTTAAAGTATGCAATAAACTAAACATAAAGTGTATAGCTTGATGAATTTTTTTAATTTACTTTTTGATTTGTAATATTTGTAGAGATGGGGTTCTCAGTCTGTTACCCAAACTGGTCTTGAACTCTTGGCCTCAAGCAATCCTCCCACCTCAGCCTCCCAAAATGATGGGATCACAGGAAGGAGCCATTTTGCTTAGTCCAGTTTCATGATTTCTGACATAAGTACACATTCATGAAACTATCCCCACAGTCAAGACAATGAACATATCTATCACCTGCAAAAGCTTCTTTCTGCCCCTTTCTTCCCATCTTTTGAGGGATTTCCTGCCCTGAGCCTGTATGTTCTGCCCTGCTGTTTCCTTGTCCTAAGGACACCTGGGCCAGGGCTCAGACTTGCCTTCCAGAGGTAGATCTGGAAAGCCACCCCTCTCTCTTTCTTGTTCTCATCATATCATGTAATATTTGAAACATTCTCTCTCTCTATATATAATGTATTATGTAATATATAATAATACATACATAATACAGATGGGAGTTCTAAAGCCTAACAATAAAATGAACACTCATGAACTTACTGCCCCAAAAGAGTTACAGTTTGTTTAAAACTGAATAAAACTACATTATGTGTGTTGGGGGGAGATGGAAAAAAAACAAAACATACTGCCGAATCCAACAACTAGAACATTATCAATTCCCGTGCGCTCCCTCTCTCGTCCCATCCCCTTTCACCCCACTCAGAGGCAACTCCTATCTTGATTTTTGTGTTTATCAATCGATTGCTTCTTAACAATAACTTTACTGTATATACTATATATTAAAGTATATTTTATTTATTTATTTATATATTTTTTGAGACAGGGTCTGTCTCAGTCTGTTACCCAGGCTGGAGTGCAGTGGTGTGATCTCAGCTCACTGCATCCTCAACCTCCTGGGCTCAGGTGATCCTCCTATGTCAGCCTCTGCGGTAGCTGGGACTACAGGCACAGGCCACCATGCCAAACTAATTTTTTGTATCTTTTGTAGAGATGGAGTTTTGCTGTGATGCCCAGGCTGGTCTTGAACTCCTGGGCTCAAGCAATTGGCCCGCTTCAGTCTCCCAATATGCTGGGATTATAGGTGTGAGCACCATGCCTGGCCTACCACATTTAACCAATATATGGTATGTCTTTTTGAACTTTATACAGAAATGGTATCATAATTCTGTAGTTTGCTTTGTTAAATTCAACATTTATATTTCTAAGATTCATCCATGTTGAAGAATGTAGCTCTAGTTCATTTGTTTTCACTGCTATATGGTAGTCCATTGTGGGAATACACCATAATATTTTTATCTAACCACCCAAAACAAACATTTGTGTTATTTCCAGTTTTTGCTTTTAAAAACAATATAGCAACAAATTCTTTGTCTCTCTGACTCTTATACAATATGCAAGAGTTTCTCTAGGGCATACGCTTATAAAAAATGCTATTTCAGGCCAGGCGTGGTGGCTCATGCCGGTAATCCCAGCACTTTCGGAGGCCAAGGCGGGCAGATCACCTGAGGTCCAGAGTTTGAGACTAGCCTAGCCAACGTGGTGAAACCTCGTCTCTACTAAAAATACAAAATTAGCTGGGCATGGTGGTGCATGCCTGTAATCCCAGATACTTGGGAGGCTAAGGCAGGAGAATCTCTTGAACCTGGGAGGTGGAGGTTGCAGTGAGCCAGGATCACGCCACTGCACTCCAGACTGGGCGACAGAGTGAGACTCCGTCATAAAAAAAAAAAAAAAAAAAAAAAAAAGCAAAAAAAAAGCTACTTCCGTGCAATGTTAATTTGCATTTCTCTGACTACTAATAAGTTTAATCATCTTTTCATGTGTTGATTGGGTGAACTAAGTTCAGTTCACTCACCTTGCAGCAGACCCAGACCTGATCTCAGATCCCAGCTTATATGGACATTTGTCCCCAGGATAGCTCTGGCTATTGTGTTCGCTTACTATTGCTCCTCAGATTCTAGCAAAATGCCTTCTTATCTCTATTTTGTTCTTAGGAGAATATTTCTCTTATTTTCTTGAAAGCTCCATGACTCTTTAAAAAGAATGCTTGTTATGGGTTACCTGGGTTCCATTTGCATGGAGTGGAAGGGCACTTGAGAGTTGTCAGTCACACTGCCTGCCTTCCTTCTCTGTTTGTCCCTGCTACTGGCACTGAGAGAGTATCCAGCAGCAAGTCCCCCTCTGAGTTAGACAGACTGATTTACCCAAAAGTCAAGCCCCAGTCTAACAACAAAGCTGGTGTTGTAACTTTCATCTGTTGATTCTGGTGTCTATTTCTCAACTGAATCAAAAATTGGAAAGGAATTACATACTGTATGATTCCATTTATATGAAATGGCCAGAATAGACTAATCCATAAAAACTGAAAGAGTGGTTGCCTAGGGCTAGGGGGAGTGAAGAATGGGGAGTGACTGCAAATAGGCATGAGACTTCTTTCTCAGATAATGAAAATGTTCTGAAATTATGTTGTAGTGATGCCTGTACAACTTCGTGAATCTACTAAAGAAGCAAATTTATGATAGATGAATTACATATCAGTAAAACTATCATATAATTAAAAAGGAAATGGGGTATTGCTTACTGAGATCAAACACTTGTTCAAAAATGCATAAACATAAACTTAACTGTTCAGTTGAACTGTCACAAAGCAAACATATGTAACCATCATCTGGGTCAATAAATAAAACATTGCCAGCAAACCAGAAGCCTTCCTTTTGTCCCCTCCTTCCAATCTTGGGGCTTTAACCACAGCATGTCTTCCTTTTCCTTAGTAATCTAGGAATAATAAATCCTAGATACAAGCCCTTTGTTGATTATAAGTGGCAAGTATCTTCTCATATTCCATGGCTTGCCTTTGCACTCTTGTAGTGATATCTTTTTTTTTTTTTTTTTTAAGGCAGGGTCTCACTCTGTTGCCAAGGTTGGAGTAGAGTGGTACAAGCATGGATCACTGCAGCCTCAACCTCTTCATGCTTAAGAGATCCTTCCACCTCAGCCTCCTGAGTAGCTGGGACCACAGGCATGTGCCACCACAATTGGCTAATTTTTGTATTTTTTGTAGAGAGAGGGTTTTGCCATGTTGCCTAGCCTGGTTTCAAACTCCTGGGCTCAAGCAATTCACCCACCTCAGCCTTCCAAAGCACTGGGATTACAGGTGTGAGCCACTGCACCTGGCCTAGTAATATATTTTAATGAACAGATATTCTTCATTGTAGCATAGATAAATTAACCTTTTTATGATTCGTGCTTTTTGTATCCTTTCCCTAACATAGGAAATTATTCATTGGCCCCTTCAAACACTGTCATTGAGTGTACATTATTTAATCAGATGTATAGATAGACAGAGAGACAGACCGATAGATAGATAGATAGATAGATAGATAGATAGATAGATAGATACAGCCTTTTTTGCTAATAAATTTTTAAAAAGAAAGATGCAGTGGATATGTACTTTTTTCCAAATTGCAAACAATACATTTTCTATTTGAATCAAATAAAGCTAATTCAGAACACTGAAAATCAATATATTCACAGAAAAATTATTCTAAGACCTTTATACTTCTTGATTTTTCAAGGTTAAAAAATTGTTATTATCAAGAAAACTTACAGAAAACTTCCATTTACTTCAAATCCAAATAATTCGATAATATAGTTACTGTTTTATTTTTATTTTTAGAGACAGAGTTTTGCCCTGTCGCCCAGGCTGGAGTGCAGTGGCGCTATCTCGGCTCACTGCAAACTCCACCTCCTGGATTCAAGTGATTCTCCTGCCTCAAACTCCCAAGTAGCTGGGATTACAGGCATGTGCCATGATACCTGGCTATTTTTTGTATTTTTAGTGGAGACGAGGTTTCACCATGTTGGCCAAGCTGATCTCGAACTCCTGATTTCAAGTGATCCCCCTGCCTTGGCCTCCCAAAGTGCTGGGATTATAGGCGTGAGTGACCACACCTGGCCTATAGTTACTATTTTAGAATAATATTATATAGCACTCATATCTAAAATTATGTGCCTAAAGAATTGTAAGACTTCTCAAAGATTATATTACATTCAAAATATCTGTAGTAGTATACGAATAATAAAGCTTTAAAGACTAGTAATTCATTATGGTAGCTGTGATGATTCTTAGTTAATCAGATTATTCAAGTTACCAGAACATTTCCAATCTGGGCAAATGTGGGTTTACTCTAGAAGAATGTATATATCCTCATCATTTGGTCCCAATCCATCTGTACTAATTATACATATTTTTCCTTTCTCACTCCCCAATAAGCTTTTGTTTTGTTATAGAAGAGCATTGCTGTTTACTGTTTCATATGCATTTAATTTATAAAGTCAATTTGTGCATAATTATTTGTATTAACCTGTAGATTCTATAGGAGTAATTATTAATCGGCACTTTCCATAGCACCTAGCATATGGTAGACCCACAAATATTTATGAACAAATTGAATGGCAAAAATCTAACCTTCAAAAATAATATGCTCCATCTATTAACACAATTTTCATCACCTGATCATTAAAATTCACTGTATATCCTTTCTCCTCAGCAACAAAGTTCACCTCAATACATAAATACTTACTTTCTCTCCTTTCAGGCTCATTTTGTTCAAGACCATAAGCTCCTGATGGATTCAGCTGCCACTGTAAGAGTGCACAAACATTTTACTTGTTTAAAGAGGATTTAATACATAGCATTCCAGCACATTGATTTTAAATATCAAAACAACTTCTTAAAAATGGAAGAAAAATGGCTGGGCATAGTGGGTCACACCTGTAATCCCAGCACTTTGGGAGGCCAAGGTAGGTGGATTACCTGAGTTAAGGAGTTTGAGACCAACCTGGCCAACATGGTGAAACTCCGTCTTTAATAAAAATACAAAAATTAGCTGGGCGTGGTGGCACGCGCCTGTAGTCCTAGCTACTTGGGAGGCTGAGGTAAGAGAATTGCTTGAACCTGGGAGGTGGAGGTTGCAGTGAGCTGAGATGGTGCCACTGCACTTCAGCCTGGGTGACAGAGCAAGCCTCCATCTTGAAAAAAAAAAAAAATTAAAAAAATAGAAGAAAAAGAAGTTAGCATGTTCAAATTAACAAAGCCCTAATAACGCCACACTGAGTGATCCTGAATGATATAACTTCTGGGATCCGAATCAATACTCTTAGAGAAGTTGAAGATTCTTTACATTCATTTTAATTGGAAGTAAGTGGAAGACCAGAGGATTGGAGTGACTTGTCTCAGGTTACACCCTAACTACAGGAGGCAATAGAATTAGAACCCATGCCCAGTACTATGGAATTAACATCGCATTGTATTCTATCTCCAGGTCCTAGAGAATCTTATAATAGCTAGAAAAGGCCTAGGTATTAAAGAATGAAAATATGACCAAGATAGGCCATGCACAGTGGCTCACGCCTGTAATCCCAGCACTTTGGGAGGCTGAGGTGGGTGGATCACGAGGTCAGATAGAGACCATCCTGGCTAACAAGGTGAAACCCCGTCTCTACTAAAAATACAAAAAATTAGCTGGGCGTGGTGGCCGGTGCCTGTAGTCCCAGCTACTCGAGAGGCTGAGGCAGGAGAATGGCGAGAACCCGGGAGGTGGAGCTTGCAGTGAGCCGAGATTGCACCACTGCACTCCAGCCTGGAAGACAGAGCAAGACTCTGTCTCACAAAAAAAAAAAAGAAAAAAGAAAAAAAAAAGAAAAGAAAAAGAAAATATGACCAAGATTACCTTGCCTTTTAATGTTGTTATATCATAAACTATTACCTGCATCATATCATTTTATATCATATCATATATCTCCTCTGATTACTGTATTTCATCTCAACCATTCAGGAATAAATAGGGAAGCCTGAAGATTCACAGATATTACATAGAATATTGGGGCAGGAGAAAATAAAAATGGAGAGTAATCGGTATCTTATAGCACAGCCCTTCTTTTCTCAGCTGGATAGAATCTCTATCAGAATCACTAATGACTTAACCAAAAGGCCCTGCTAGGGCACCATCTCAGGACACAAATATGGATTACCCGGGAGCCTCTTCCATAAGCATCAGTTCACTCATCAGATTAACTAGTTAACATCACGAGCCTTGAGGGGGGATGAGATACAGGACAAACATTTTACCATGTATTAAAAGTCCCTGGAAAGGGAGGACATCTAGAAATGGTTGGTTATTTAAACGAATGGGATGGTTTAGGCTAGCACCAAGAAAGAGAGAAGACTTAGAAAGGGTAGGAAGCTACATGAGAAATTACCAAAAAAATGTTTAAAATTAGGCATTTTTTGAAAGACGTCAAACCACTAAAACCTATTAATTTGGGCAGACAAAGTAAAAACAAGTAATCCTGAATTTATGTTTAAGGACATTCATAAAAAGGCTTCTTATAACTGTAAAAACTTAGAAACAATCCAGGTGTCCAACAACATGGGAATGGTTAAATAAGTTAGGCCTATGGGTTGGAATATTGTGTTAAATTATTTAAAATATTTTTTAAAGAACTTTTAGTGGCAGAAAATACAGCAACATGTTAATTGTGGTATCTATGAGTTGTGAGATAATACACGTTCTTTTTTATTTTCCTAGTCTTCTACAATGAGCATATACTACTTTCATAATAAAAATAAGTAATATAACCTAATAGAGAAAAATCCACACATATTAAAGAGAAAACAAAGAACTGAGTATGTGGACATGGATATAGATTGATAAAATCTATTCTTGGAAACAGTGTTGCCCAGTCCTAGCCTGGTTTGTGACAACACCACAGAATAGAACTACTTATCTCAAGGTCTATGGTAACTTATCAAAAAGGAAAGCAAAAAATCTTTCAAAGTAATTTCAATTTGCTTTAATCTTAAAAACAAATACCAAATTTATTGACACACACTATTTTTGATAATCTTGGTACTGAAATTCAGATTTAGAACAAATTCTAGTTCATGTTAATTACTTGCATTTACAAAACTAGGTATCTAGCTAACCATCTACATAATATTTGCAGCCAGGCCAGATGAGAAGGATGAGAAGATGGACAGCTCATCTTCACTGGAGGTAGAACAGAGAACAACCATGAACAACAGCCTTTGGAACATGTGCCTGAGTGAGGGTATTTCCGGGAGGGTCTGGCCCAACTGGGTGCTTCCTTTCCCATCTCTGCCCCTGAAGATCCCCTTAGTCTTCCTGCCTCCTTCTGCTTCTCTTGCCCTTTCTTAAGTTCTTCTGATCTCTTCATTCTCTTTACAATTGAAAAGCTATTAAAATCTACCAGTAAGCAAGATATTTCAGAATTCTCCATAACCCATCACTCATAGTCCTTAATCTTTATGATTAAGTCACTTAATCTTTATGAGGAGAACTTGAAAAACCTATTTATTCACACTCTTCAGGAGGAATGAAGAGACAGAAAACAAAAACACGGAAGTAGAGATTTCTCTGACTAGTTGGATATAAGCTTTTATTGAGTTTTACAAAAAAGGTATCTTTCCCATCTCTGCCTTCTTTCAGTGCCATGTCAACACCCCCTCATTTAAAAATGTGATAAACTTTAAATAAGACAATTAGAAAAAAATGACAATATTACAAATGGTAAAAACTTATGATACTTCATATACACATGACAGACACTGGATAGTATGTTTCTATATTTAAAATTATATACATATATAATTATATGTTATATGTCCAAGTTAATCATATATATGTATGTTCCAGGTATCCTGGACTCAAACTGATGTATATGGCAGGAATGTAAAGCTGAAATATATAAACGGTTCTTTTATATCATTTTTCTTCCCACTGCAAATTCTAGTAGTTAAATGTTACATTAACTCATTCAATGCCAGGATTAAATCATTGGATGTCATAGAAACAATGTATGATTCTGGACAGGATCCTTTTGCTATATAAAAGCAGTCCCCAACCTTTGTGGCACCAGGGACCAGGTACCGGTTTCATGGAAGTTTTTCCACAGACCAGATGGTGAGGAATGGGGGATCATCAGGCTTTAGATTCTCATAAGGAGTGCACAACCTAGATCCCTTGCATGGGCAGTTCACAATAGGGTTCACACTCACATGAGAATCTAATGCCGCTGCTGATCTGGCCGGAGGCAGAGCTTAAGCAGTAATGTGAGCAATGGGGAGTGACCATAAATACAGAAGAAGCTTCTTAACTGGTACCCAGGGGTTGGGGAAACCTGCTATATAAGACATTTCTTGGGCAGCTAATGAACCTTGACTGGAATCTGTGGATTAGTGGCAGTAATGTATCAATGTTAATTTCCTGATTTTTATGGTTGTAATTATGTGGTTATTTCTCATTTGAGGAAATAAAGGGTGAGCTGGTATCATGTCAACAACTTCTGGGAAAAAATTTCTTTGTAGTGTTTTTATAACTTTTCTGTATGCTTAAGGTTTTTTCCAAATAAAAAGCTTTTTGAAAACCAAAATAGGCTGAGAACAGTGGCTCATGCTTGTCCCAGCACTTTGGGAGGCTGAGGCAGGCAGATCGCTTGAGCCCAGGAGACAGAGATTGCCAAGATGGCGCCACTGCACTCCAGCCTGGGTGAGATAGTGAGACCCTGTCTCAAAACAAAAACAAAAGCAAAAAAAAAAAAAAAAAAACCCACAAAAACCAGAACCCAAATAGTGAAGAGGTATAAAGACTTAAAAGTTCTTGTGTTTTCCATGAACTACCTCAGTACATTTTTGGAACTATCAAATAAGAAATTCTTTTTTTCCCGGGCCAGTCGTGGTGGCTCATGCCTATAATCCCAGCACTTTGGGTGGCCGAGGCCGGTGTATCACCTGAGGTCAGGAGTTCAAGAGCAGCCTGGCCAACATGGTGAAACCCCGTCTCTATTATTAAAAATACAAAAGATTAGCTGGGCATGGTGGCGTGCGCCTGTAATCCCAGATACTGGGGGGTGGGGGGAGGGGGGTGGGGGTAGCAAGGCAGGAGAATCGCTGGAACCCGGGAGGCTGAGTTTGCAGTGAGCCGAGATCACGCCATTGCACTCCAGCCTGGGCAATGAGTGAAACTCCATCTCAAAATAAATATATAAATAAATAAACAAATATTCTTGTTTTCCTGATTTTTCTCATGAGAAATGTGTGTGTTTGTGTGTGTGCACCTCCCTTTGTTTGGGGGTGGGGGTGACCTTTAAACTATTGCAGGGGATCCCAAACCTTTGGCAGCAACCAGTACTGGTCCGTGGCCTGTTAGGAACTGGGCCGCACGGCAGCAAGTGAGTGCAGGCGAGCGAGCATTACCGCCTGAGCTCCACCTCCTGTCAGATGAGCGGTGGAATTAGATTCTCATAGGAGCAGAACCCTACTGTGAACTGCACACCTGAGGGATCTAGGCTGCGTGCTCCTTATGAGAATCTATTGCCTGATGATCTGAGGTGGAATAGTTTCATCCCAAAACCATAACCCCATCTGTGGAAAAATTGTCTTCCACAAAACCGGTCACTGGTGCCGAAAAGGGTGGGGACTGCTGAAGTATTTTCACCTCTATCCACCTCTCTAAGCCAGAAAGGAGAGGGAAGAGATGGGTCAGAGATTTTTCTTTTATCAGCCACCAGATGGCACCAAAAGATCCACTGGCTCAATTCTCTACAGAGATGTAAATTCATAAGGCAGGAATCCTTAGCTGAACAGTTGCAGTTAGGTAAGGGTTTGCACATATAAATAAACTCAATAATAATAATAATTTGTTGAAACTCGGCCGGGCGCGGTGGCTTACGCCTGTAATCCCAGCACTTTGGGAGACGGAGGCGGGCGGATCACCTGAGCTCAGGAGTTTGAGACCAGCCCGGACAACATGGCGAAACCCCGTCTCTACTAAAAATACAAAAATTAGCCAGGCGTGGTGGCCGGCGCCTGTAATCCCAGCTACTCGGGGGGCTGAGACAGGAGAATCACTTGAACCCAGGAGGCGGAGTCTGCAGTGAGCCGAGATCGAGCCACTGGCACTCCAGCCTAGGCAACAGAGAGAGACTCTGTCTCAAATAATAATAATAAAATAATAATAATAATAATAATAATAATAATTTGTTGAAACTCTTTAAAAGGGTGGGAATCACTAACTTACAATATTGCAGCAGGGTACCTAACAACATAATACAAAATACACCTGAAAAAAATGTGTATCTACTTACCGTAAATTTGCTAACACCTTCAAGCTCCCCGAACCTCATGTAAGAGATGTCTGCCTTCTTTTTTCCAACATCTACATCTCCTGCATAGATTTGTTTTATGCCTGCACCTTTAATTAAAGGTACACACTCATCACATGGGCACTTTGTCACAAAAATCATGCTTCTTTCTTCTGGTTTTATTTCTTGACACCTACAAAAAAAATTATAAAATATCAGAAAGGTCGTTTCTGAAAGGGTAAGTTATTTTTTAGAAAAATCTTTAAACACTAAAATTGAGCTGTTTTAAAAACAGATTTATGACATTATTAATAATGATCATCAAGCCTTAGACTTGCTGAATTACTGAATGTTCAAAGTATGTAAACCCACAAAAGTGTTATGATACAACCTGAACATGACAATTATTATAACTAAAAATAATTTATTGATTCTAAGTAAGAGGTTCAGTTTCAGATTACAAAATAAATGAAATCAGGAAGATACAGACACCAAAGAAAGAGAGAAAAAACCCCCAATGCTTTCTAAATAAGTACCTGTTTAGAATACTGGAATTAGATTTGAAACTGATACCTTAAGAGCTAATCATGTCTGATTAGACACTAACTCATCTTGTTAGACAAATGACACAGCCCTATCTGGTACCTAGTGGATAGTCAATAAATGTTTACTAAATGAATAATCAAATACTTAAGTTCTGTTTTGACTTATAGTTCCCTTACCCCTTCCCTATCATAGGATAATTTTAAAAAGAAAAGTTTCTATTTGATATATTCACACCTCTGTACAAAATGAAGCAAGTAAATCTGTAATGAAGAGGACAAGGAAAAGAATAGAGGGAATTTTGGGTGAAATTTTGCATGCTGAGGGTAGTTTAGGACTAACAACTGGGGCTGCAAGGACTGACTTCCGGGTTCTGAGGCTTACGTAGCTCTCAGCCAGCCATCTTCAATTCCTCCACCGCCAGCCTTCCACATCCATCTTCCTTGTTGAGACTGTTATTTACGTTCACCTGGACTAGGGCAACAGAATTCTATGCATCTAGTCTGTTCAAACAATACTACCTACATAATCTATAGCGTATGGCTCTGTCAATGCCATTCCATTTCCCCGCTGCCTACCAAATGGAGCATAAACTCAAAGTCCTCTCGAGTCCAGTCCCAGCCTGTCCTTGTGAGCTGTCTTTCCCTTGTGTCCACATTCCAACCTAACTGGAATATTCATGCTCCTAAACACACCACGGATTTTCCTACTTCTAGACCGTTGCTTATGCTAGAAGCAAGAATGGTCTTCCCTTCCCTTCCAATTGCCCCAGTCTAGGAATCCTTTAAAGCTCAGTTCAGATGCCAGTTCTTCCCTAAAGCCTTTCCCTTGCACTCTCCCATTTGTCCATAGCAGCTCCAGAATGTCCGCAGCACTTTACATTTGCCCCTCCCACAGAATCCACAGCACGAGGTGGATGCCGTCTCATATCCCCTATTGCATTAGAAGCTCTCCAAGGACAGGAGTCATGTCTTACACAGTTTTTTAATCCCTTAACCTTAATGGTAAAGGCTGAGAAGTGTTTGTGAAAATGATGTAAATTAACAGGTATAATCACTAACAAAAGCTCTTTTGAAGCAATTTGGTTCATTATAAATCCCTATTCTGAATACTGCAGGCCATTGTAACACAATGGTAAGTATTTGCGTATCTGAACATAAAAAAGGTAACGTGTGATGTTACAATGGCTACTTCACTCAGGAATTTTTCAGCTCTGTTATAATCTTATGGGAACACGTTGTGCATGTAGTCCATCGTTGCTCAAAATGTCTTTCTGTGGCGTGTAACTGTATTAATAAATGCGTGCTCCAGATTTAGAAAACAAAGGAGCCTTAACATCCAGAAATATGAGAGGCTGAGCAAGATCCCAAAGGATAAACTTAAAGCAGTTTCATATTGGAGAGAGGCAAGGGAAAAAAAGACATGCTCAACAAATTGGGAAGACCTGAAGAGGCGATGACCTCAGGTCAGGTCATAGCTTCAGGTCTGGCAGTGAGGACCAAGCTTTACCAAAGTTATACTTCTGAAAGGAAACTTTCTTGGAATTTGAAAAAGGAAATAAATTACAATTATAAGAAAATTAATTTCAACCAACCCTTGCTACATTTTAAAGAAAAGTACACCAAGAAGGATTTCATACCTAAATGTCAAGGCATTCTGTTCCGCATGTATGATGTATCTGAATTTCCTTATTTCTCTGTCTTTCTGCTTGTCATCCATGTGTGGGAAGTCAGCATACTCAGATCCAACAGGAAAAGCATTGTAACCACATCCTACAAAGTACATGGCACCTGTTCCATCACAACTTCTCTACGAGAGTGAGCAAACCAATGGTTAGTTTCAACATTCTGAAAAGACACTTTGCAATGTATTTTTGAAGCTTGCTATCATACTTTGTATAATGAATATTCATTCAATTTTCTACAGTAAACTGAGCTATCAAAAAATATAATACCAGATACTCCTACTGCAGTGTGATCTTGTCAAAGCTAAATTCCAAGAAGGCCAACCACCTCTCTAATCTATAATCTCAAGGAAGTCCTTGTTTTTTGCAATTAATTAAATACTATCTTACTTAACTAACAAATTATTTCACTTGATTCAGATATTACTTCCCAAATAAATTATAGATCCTGGAGAGCAGAAACCATGTTATATATTTCTTTTCCATCCCTTCAACATGTTCGAGTATTCTGTACATAGCAGGTACTCAACAAGTGATTGTTAATTTCTTATGTGCTCTGTGCCATGCTACTGGTTAGCAAGTCAAAAACTTTTAAATACTTTAAACAGAAAATTTCTGTTGGGCTAAAAATGTGCTATTGTGATTTAGTTGGAAAATAAAAAATGCATTTTCATCTTCAGTATTTATTAAGCCTCTATTATATGCATATTATTATAGAACTTCTTACTTCAATGGCTCTTATTTCTCTTTTAAAGAGAAATAGTAGTTAATATGAATGCTTTATCAATTATTAGAATGAAATATTAGTAATGTGTGTGTAATAGTTTTTTGGAATATGCTATAAAACTCATTAAATTTCAATATATTATAATTACTCATGATAATATCAACAGACTCATTACTGTAGCAGCTTCATAAAAATCATGTAATAGTGAGCCAACAAAAGCCTGCAAACAAAATATTATCTCATTAATAAATCTGTTTGAACATTTACTAAATGTCAAACATCATGCTGAGTTATTTATTTATTTATTTATTTAGAGACAGGGTCTCACTCTGTCACCCAGGTTTGACTTCCTGGGCTCAAGTCATCCTCCCATCTCAGCCTCCCAAGTAGCTGGGACCACAGGCGTATGTCACTATGCCTGGCTAATTTTTTCTTTTTTTGTAGCAACGGGGTCTCACCATGATGCCCAGGATTGTCTTGGACTCCTGGGCTCAAGGAATCCTCCCACCCCCGCCTCCCAAAGTGCTGGATTACAGGCATGAGCCACTGCACCCAGCCATACTGAGTTTTACATGGATCATTTCATTTGATCAATTCTTGAAACAACCTAAAGAGTGATACTATTAATATTACTGTTTTACAGATAAGGAAACTGAGGACAAGAGTGATTAATTGTCTAGGGTCACAAAATGAGTAAGTAACATAGCCAGAATTCAAGCCCAGATTACTTGACTCTAAGCCATGTGTCTTTCCATTTCACCGTGCTGCCTGCTGGCCTACTCTAGAGATAACTAGAAACTGACATTCTCCACAAAATCATTAACAACCAGATGTTAAGCCAAAAGTCTGCTGAGCATTCATGTACACACAAATGAGAGTTCCAACCACCAGTTAGACCTATGCTAGGTGCTGGAATACAACTGTAAACAAGACAGAGAGTCCCTACCCTCATGAGCCTTCTAGTCTGGGGAGGGTAAGAAATTGAACAGATAACTTTAACTGTGATGAATGTCACAGACAAGTTGTACAGAGTGCTGAGGAATTTCTGGCAGAGGAGCCTAGTATTCTAGTAGGAGTTAACAGTTGGGGTACAGGTAAGTAGAGTCAAGAGGTATTTTGAAGGTGGAATCCATTGTGCTAGGTGATTGTATGTGTACAGTAACAGACAAGATGGTGACCACTGATGAGGGAGGAGGTTAGCAGGGAAGATACTGGATGAGTGAACTTGAGGAGTTTGTGAAACATCAAAGCAAATTGTCAGATTACTTTCTGTGAAGTCCCTGAGGCAAAATGTAGGCTCACCTTTCAGTCAGCTATATAGTTACTAAATATCTCTTGATTCTAGCCTCCTAACCCATCCCCACATCTCCAAGTCCTCATCTCTTTTTATTAATCTCCTTATTTTCTGTCTAGCCCTACCTCATTCTATTTATAATGCAAATCTGATCAAATCATTTCCCCACTTAGAACATTCTTGGAATGCACTGTCCCATACAGTCGCCACTAGCCACATGTGGTTAGTCTAGATTGAGAGGTGCTGCAGGTGTAAAATACACATAGAATTTTGAAGATTTAATATTTTTTAAATGCAGAATATTTCATCAATAATTTTTTATTGATTACATGATTAAATATTTTCTTAAAATTAATTTATCTGTCTTCCTTTTAAAAACATGGCTCCAGCTGGTTGCAGTGGTTCACACCTGTAATCCCAGCACTTTGGGAGGCCAAGGCAGGTGGATCACGAAGTCAAGAGATTGAGACCATTCTGGACAACATGGTGAAACCCCATCTCTACTAAAAACACAAAAATTAGCTGGGTGTGGTGGCACACACCTGTAGTCCCAGCTACTGGGGAGGCTGAGACAGGAGAATTGCTTGAACCCAGGAGGCAGAGGTTGCAGTGAGCTCAGACTGCACCACTGCACTCCAGCCTGGCAACAGAGTGAGACTCTCTCTCTCTCTCTCTCTCTCTCTCTCTCTCTCTCTCTCTCTCTCTCTCTCTCTCTCTCTCTCTCTCTATATATATATATATATATATATATATATATATATATAACACCTAGAAAATTTAAAATTCAGTTTGAGCCTTGCCTTTTCTCTCTACTGGTTAGTGCTGTGCTATAGTATGTCACTGCCAGGATAAAGTCCAAAATCTTTACATGGAATATAGAGTTCTTCATGGTCCCGTCCACTTTGTTGCTTACTCTATGTGCCAAATCAAATGCGTTTTCCCATATTCTCTCTCTCACCCCAGTCTCTGTGTGTTATTCTCCTGGTCCCATTAACTTGCTCTGCCTGATGATATCCTCCTAATCTTCAAGAATTTTAACATTATTAATATTAATATTAAGAATATTCAGGGCAGGCATGGTGGCTCACACCTGTGATCCCAGCACTTTGGGAGGCAGAAGAGGGTGGACTGCTTGAGGCCAGGAGTTCAAGACCAGCCTGGTCAACATGGCAAAATCCCATCTCTACTAAAAATACAAAAATGAGCCAGGTGTGGTGGTACATGCCTATAGTCCCAGCTATTCAAGAGGCTGAGGCATGAGAATCACTTGAATCCAGGAGGCAGAGGTTGCAGTGAGCCAAGATTGCACCACTGCACTCCAGCCTGGGTGACAGAGGGGGACTCTGTCTCAAAAAAAAAAAAAAAAGAATGTTCACCAAGAATATTCATGTTATCCTCCTGGTCCTATTGACTTGCTCTGTCTGAAGAAATTATCTTATTCTTCAAGAATATTATATTAGTAACATTAATAATATTCACCAACAGTATTTACTTATTTTTCCAAGCAAAGGTTCCTCCTCTATGTTCTCATGATATCAGTTATAATTACACTTACATATCAGTTATATTTTACTTCTACATCTCCATCACTAAACTATGAGGCCATAAAATGTGATCTTTAATCCCCAGCATTCACTGTGGCACAGTGCCTAACCTGTAGAGAGTGTTTAACAAATGTTTGCTGAATGAATGCGTCTATCTAGAAAACTGTTGAGGGATGAGCAAATCTTTATAGATCTTCATAAATGCACCATTACAAAAATATTAATATTTTTTTTTTTTTGAGACGGAGTCTCGCTCTGTCACCCAGGCTGGAGTGCAGTGGCACGATCTCTGCTCACAGCAAGCTCGGCCTCCCGGGTTCACACCATTCTCCTGTCTCAGCCTCCCGAGTAGCTGGGACTACAGGCACCCGCCACCACGCCCAGCTAATTTTTGTATTTTTTTTTTTTTTAGTAGAGATGGGGTTTCATTGTGTTAGCCAGGATGGTCTCAATCTCCTGACCTTGTGATCTGCCCGCCTTGGCAGTCAGTAACCTGTAATGCACCGAAGACTGAACTATGTTTAAACAAAATCCAGGTTAAATATTTAAAGAATTGTTTTCATACTTACAGATTTCCCTTCTGCCCAAATGACTGCCCCAACTCCTGTTTTATGATCCTCTGAAAGATATATGGCATTTAACTCAGTAAAAATTATGATATGTTAGTTTTAGAAATATATTTTTCCAAAAGTAATAAAAACTTGTATTGAAACATACTTCATAAATGTAGCAGCAATCCTTGTATCTTCACTAATTACAGAAAAGTATTAAAATAAACACTTTTAAGTATGGAATATGGGAGCTAGGTACCAAATAACTAGAGAGAGTCACTACCAACTCAGTCACACATACGTATGTGGAGGCCACTAAATGGCAGTGTCCACAGTCAGGTCCCTCAAAGCTGTAGCCAGAACTAAGTGCAACTTCATTGATTCTCCATTAACAAGCCGGTTTCTAAACAACTACTTCTGATAGGTGATAAAATTTAATAAAGGTTTCAGAACTAATGGATTTTGTGTAATAACTGTTCACAACAACCAAATTTGTCTTTTCCCAGCATTATTTATACTCTAATCATGGAAAATATATCTTATGAAAATGTTCTTGCTAAGAAAAAAGTTCAAACTTCTCATACGAACATAAACAAATCTTTATGGATCTATCTATCTATTGCTAGAAAGTACATGAAGAGAATTCTGATTTAAACAAAATGTTGTCCTTTCTTTGACCTTCAGTTTACCTTGAGGGAAAAAGAATGCAAGTTAATGACATCTTGCCCATTTCTAAATCAAATAGCAGAAGTTATAAACAAACATAAGATTATAATTTCCCTGTAGAACCAAAACCTTTGCAAAAGTAAAGCTGTACTTCTTAAAACCATTAATCTGAAACAGAAAATTAAAAAACAAAATAGAAATTCTACATATTAAGGATTTACTTTTTCCTTCTATACAATGTTGAGTTTCAAATTTCTAAGACAAATTACACTAATTATGAAAACCATAGTATTTATCAAAATCTTAATAAGGGACTAAGGTAGTTAAGTGGCACATTTACACGTAGAAAATAACAATTATCTGTGAACTTACCCTAAGGCATTTTCATTTTGGGGAGGATTAACTGAAACCGTGGTTTCACCCTACAATTTCCTAAAAGTGAATCCCTCCAATGATAACATTTTTAAATACCTACTTTCCAGTAAAGGTACAAAGAAAATTTGTGCCACAATTGCATTAAAAACTAGAATGAATGTCTTATTAAGAGGTTAACTTTAAAACAGTTATGATACTCTAATAAAATTTCCCATCTCAAATTCAAGCAAACCCTGGTTTTCAAAATTATACCACAAAGCATTTGTATAATTTATGTTAAACATGTTTATTCATGATCTCATTTTTACCCTAAAGGTAAAGCAGATAAAATTTCCATTTCTAGATGCAGAAACAGGCAAAGAAATAGACTAAAACTTAGCCCTCCAGATCCAACCTGCTTGGCCTTTCCTCCACCTTGCACCGTGACATAAAGAATTCCTTGACACAGCCTGGCCAACATGGTGAAACCCCGTCTCTACTAAAAATACAAAAATTAGCCAGGTGTGGTGGTGCATGCCTGTAATCCCAGCTACCTGGGAGGCTGAGGCAGGAGAATTGCTTAAACCTGGGAGGCGGAGGTTGCAGTGAGTTGAGATCGTACCACTTCACTCCAGCCTGGGGGACAGAGCAGAACTCCATCTCAAAAAAAAAAAAAAAAAAGAAAAAGAAATCCTTGACAAAAATTTCCATTTATTGAATGCCTCTTATGTTCCAAGTACTGTGAGAACTGAGGATGCAGTGGTGAGGGAAACTGTAGTCCCTTCCTCATACGACTTACAGTTGGATGGTGAAGGAGAACAGCAACAAGGAAACAAACAGTACTTTATGTGCTGTGCTCTGAAGGAAATAAATGAGGCTGAACAGCAGAGTGCACGAGATGACTTCCTTCTACAGAGTAGAGGGAAAAGGGATTTTGGTGTAAACAAAATTGGGTTCCTTCCTAGACCTTTAGAGTTTAACATGAGTGGGCAAGAATACAAATCAATGGCTTTATGCTCATTTCTAAGGTAAGTGGCAGAAGTTATAAACATAAGATTATATTTGCCTGCAAAACCAAAATCTTTAAAGTTTTATTTAATTTATGCATAAATCTAAAATGAAAAAATAAAAAACCAGAATAAAAATTCTCCATATTAAAAGCCCCCTTTTCTACCATCAACACTGCATATTTTTAATGTTATGTTTCTTAGTCACAGAAGCCACTTTTTCTGTTTCAGCCTGGGGACAGACTAAACCTTGTTAGGAGGAAAAAAAAAATGTGATTTTTCCATCAGCATGCAGCTCTGCTGCCTAGCTAAGGTTGGTTACATCAAGAGAATATTCTTTACTACTTGTCTTTTAAAATAGGAATAAATTTTCATCCATATAAAACAGATTTGATGTCACTCAGCATCAAGGCTGGTGACAGATGAGGTAATTTCTCAAAAATCTTTTCATGTCTATAATTTTTACAGAAATTGCTCCCTATGATCTGGTCATTCACAGGGTTTTCTCTGTACAACTTTGAAGGAAAGGTCAACTTACAATCATTGAGTCAAATTCCTGGGGCTCTTTGATCACTGAAAATCAGAGGGGAACTTTTTGTTCTAGAACACAGGTGTGGTTATTTTAGCTCCCAATCCTGTGGTCATGTCAGTGTCCAAGGTGCTCCACAGTCCTCTTGCATCAAAATTACTGGATGCTTGTTTTTAAAATTTAAAAAAAAAAAAAAAGAGGCAACTCCTGGCTTCCATGGAAGTCCCCTAAATCAACCTCTCTGAGAGAGGCAGGCAAGGCTTAGGAATCTGCATTACTCCTGAGCTCCCCCTTGATTCTCAGGCATACTCATATCTGAGAACCACTGAGTTCTGTTTTAAAAGTTAACTTTCTTGATTACTCCAGCCTACTCTCATTATCAGTACTGTGGCCCAGGAGGAAGGCATAATCCTTAGCTTTGGAAAACACCTAATCTGATGAGAAAGCAAGACACGAAGAGATCACAACTCAGTACTTAAAGCAGATAGATAAGATTTTTGATGCCTTCCTCCTGCTCTTTTTTCCCCAAGAGTCTAAACACTTTTTTTTTCCACTTTTTTGCTACCTTCGGGTATTCTAGAAACATACTTTTGGAACTCCTGGCCTCAAGCAGTCCTCCTGCCTCAGTCTCCCAGTGCTGGTATTACAGGCGGGAGCCACCGCACCTGGCTAGTAACATACTTTTCATGACATCTCTATGGATCCTCTTTATTCATCATTCAAAAAGCAATTATAAGCAACTACTTTCAATTCATTTTAGAACTCTGTTGTTAGAGGTTTTGGAATTCATTTTAATCATATGTACATTTTTAAATGAAATGGTATCTTCATCTATTAATTAGGGAGAAATGAGGTCATCAAACCAAACTGAATAATGTGAAATTAAAAGCTTAATTGGAAGCGCACTGTATCATAGGGATATCCACCTTACTGAAGTACCCTCAATGTTAAATGAGATACATATATAAATCACCAAGCTCAGTGCTTGACACATAGTAGGTGTTCCATAAACTGTCATTGTTATTATTTATCATTAAGGAAGAATTACAGGTCCAGAGTCCCTGATCTGAAATCTTTTACATCCAGTTTTTTTGAAGTTTGATGCACTTATTTTGCGGCCAAATCTGACCCAAATTGAGTTATTTATAGCCCTCAATTATTCTTAGTGCAAATATTCCTACTTTTTTCACTCTGTATGTATTAATGTGATTACAGGGTACTGTCCCAGATGCCACTGGGAGTCCTATATAACAGTATATGTACCATATTACCTTTTTAAAATCTGGATTGGGCATGATGGCTCATGCCTGTAATCCCAGCACTTTGGGAGGCTGAGGCAGGAAGATTGCTTAAGCCAAGGAGTTCGAGACCAGCTTGGGCAACACAGTGAGACATATCTACAAAAAATTAAAAATTGGCTGGACATGGTGGTGGTTCACCTGTAGTACAAGCTACTCAGGAGGTCGATGTGGGAGGATTGCTTGAGGCTGAGAGGTTGAGGGCTGCAGTGAGCCATGAGTGCCACTGCACTCAGCCTGGGCAACAGAGTAAAACCCTGTCTCAAAAAAAATAAAATAAAATCGGAAAAATTCTGAATTCCTTTACATTTGGCTCCAAAAGTTTTGCATAAGGGATTGTGGACCCTTTATCTTTGGATAAAAAGATTTGTTTTATCCATTCAACGCACATTGTGTTTAGTGCTAAGGAAAAAATGATTAAGACATGGTTTCTTCCCTGGAAGAGTGCACAGTGGAGTAGAGTGAGTGACAGAGGAGTTGCACCCTATTCAGGATTTGAGTTCCATGTAAAAAAAAAATCACCAACAATTAACCTTGAAAAATCTTTTAAATTGACCATCAAATGCGTAAGCAGGGCTTTATGTACAAAATTCTGCACAATAGTGGATATACTTATAACTATACAGTAGTGTAGAGTATCTAATAAACAATATAAATGCAAATGTATACATACTGCGTCTTTAAACACTGGAATCACAGCTGGTATGATAAGGTGTTCTATGAGAAGCAAGAGGTACTAAGATCCAGTAAAATAGCAGATTCACATCGCCCTCTTACTCTGGAACACAGGCAGGGTTCTGCTGAATTCTAATTAGTGAAGGGTAATTAGTGAATTATAGCTACAACAGCTGTTCCCATTTATGTTTTCTATCTTTTTGAATGGTTTACAGAAAAATTCTTTACAAAGCTGGAGTTGGCAAAGAAACAAATATATAACCCACAATAGAATATAATTACATGAAACCAGACTTTTACACAATGCAATTGTTTGGGGTCATATAATGTGTGCCTACAGAATCAAAATCTTTAAGAAGAATTGAGCAATTATTAACTCTGCGAACATCAGAACACCTTGTGGAACTTTTAAAAACATAGAACTTGGCCATATTTTGTTAGGGACTTGGTTTAATAGGTCTGGGTTGGGGTTTGTACTTTTTATAAAAGTAAAAAGTATAGCATCTGTACTTTTTATAAAAGTAAAAAGTATAGCATCTGTACTTTTTATAAAAGTAAAAAGTATAGCATCTGTACTTTTTATAAAAGTTTCAATGGCGATTCTATTTGCTGCCAGCTGAGAACCTCCCTTCTGTTGACTACTGCAGACCAGCAGCATCTGTAGAGACCTTTTCTGATGACTTTCTCTTCTTTCTTGGGATAATTTTTAAATCCTACTACAGTACACTCCCCAAACAAATCTTACTCTACTGCTCCTCCTGTCTATGTTTTTTCCCCTTTATCACAAAGATGCATTTTAAAAAGTGATCATGATTCTACTTTGAGAAATCTTACATCAGGTAAGATGTGATAATATTGTTCCATGTTTGGAAATACAGATGCCATCTTTTATCATAACAAAGAAAAATCCCAAGTAATATTTTCCTTTTCCAAATATACAACTTAATACAATACAGTAAAAATGTTTCTCAACTTGCTGATTGAAGACATACCAGCAACTGGAAGAATCTGCAATAATCACCATTCCTTTACCTTGATTCTATTAGTTATTTTGAATTAATGTTATTGTAAAGATTTTTTAAAAATTGTTAAATATTCAGTACATCAAAATATTGAAGAGTTAACAAAAATGAATAATTTTGGTTTTCTCCTTTTTCTTTTTTTGGAGATAGAGTCTTGCTGTGTCTCTGGAGCTGGAGTACAGTGGTGCTATTGTAGCTCACTGCAGCCCCAAACTACTGGGCTCAAGCAATCTTCCTGCTTTAGCCTCCCAAGTAGCCGGGACTATAGGCACGCACCACCAGACACCACCATGCCCAGCTAATTTTTTTGTTAGAGTCGAGGTCTTGCTATGTTGCCCACGCTGGTCTTGAACTCCTGAGCTCAAGCGATCCTCCTGTCTCAGCCTTCTAAAGTGTTGCAATTACAGGCATGAACCACTGCACTGGGCCTCTCCTTTCTCTTCTTGTCCTACCTTTAGTGGAGGGCTCAAGGAACAGTGAAATCATAAAAGCAAGAAGCAGAAAGAAGGGCCTAGATTAATGAGGGCCTGATGTAGAAATGTGGTACTGAATATAAGGCTACAAGGAATCCCAAAACTGCTGGGAGAAAGAGTTGTCTACTCAAGGGTCTCACTAACTTCTCTATATTGTATGAACAGCAAAACTTAAGTAACTATGAGTAAATGAACTCTACCATAAATGAGACGAACACTTCAGAGACAAATACAACCCAACCAATCAGCCCCAATTTACGATCTATGTAACTCACCAGTTCGATATGCCAATAACCTGGCCTGAACCATGCAGTGCCTTGCAATTTCCTGTGGCAAACTTTGATTGTGAATTTCATTAATCTGTTCTGGATTGCTACGGTAAAATCCGAAGTGTTTAAAGTTCGGCACACTGGAAGCTACTGTGGCCAAAAGTAGGATAAGGTCTTTCATGTTTTGCCTTAGATTGCTAAAGTATGGATTTTCACACAGGTTCTCCAAACCTATAGTCATCAGTATTTGCTTATGCATTTCTTCATTTGAAACCAAAAATAACATTTCATATTCTTTTATTCTTTCTTGTTTACATTCATAATAAAAGTCAGTGTTAGCATCCGGCAATGTTTTTGTAATTTTTTGAATAAAGTCACATTTGTAAGAGGTCTCCTCTACAAACTGCACCATATAACACACCAAAGGTTGAAGTAAGACACACACATGGGCCCGACTGTTTGACTTCAATCTTTCCACTGCTTTGGCATCTAACTTTGCATCTTCAGAACTAGAAGCCTCCGTAAGCAAACTTATTTCTGGATCAGCAGGCCAGTATGAAATTCGGTTAACTCCAGCTGAAATACAAAATACGAAAGGTAATTATGAGATACATGCTGAATTTAGGGTTTTCATTATAAAATCCACCCTATCATTGCAGTATATCTAGAACCCTCAATATAATAAATGTCTATTACCAAGTCACCTATTATATAGCCTGAGGGTTGGCAAACTACCACCCACAGGCCAAATCCAGTCCACTGCCAGTCTTTGTACAGCTCACAGGTTAAGAATGGGTTTTACATTTTAAAATAGTTGGACAAATCAAAAGAACATTTTGTGACACATCGAACTGTCAGAAATTCAAATTTCAGTATCCATAAATAAACCTTTATTGAAACACAGACACACCCATTCACTTATATAGTCTTTGGGTGCTTTCGTGTGGCAGAGTTGAGTAGCTGTGACAGACACCACACGGCCTGCAAAGTCTAAAATATTTATTATCTGGCCTTTTCAAGAAAAAGTTACCCAGCCTCTCACAGAGCCTCTAGGAATGCATTTGTGGAGTTACTGGTGTTGTGAAGTGTGATCCCAAAGCCCAGCGCTAAAACTATATACTCGAAGAGTCCTCCATGGTGCCATGGCTGTTTTTTAAAATCTTACAGGGAACAACTAATATTGCCTAGTTTTCTATCTGGAATAAATACCTCTTCCATGCATTAAAAATGTTCCTCTCCACAGACTGAGAATTCTTCTGAGAATCCATTCTAGGAAAATATTCTAAATACAGAGAAGAAATCTCATGCATGCACATTTAGTGCAGCATTCTTTAAAATAGCAAGCAAAGACGTTAAACAAACAAAAAACCCAAACCCAAAAACCTAAATGACCAAAATAGGGGAATGGTTGAATTAATTATGGTCCTCCTCATAATAAAACAGTTATCAAATATGTCCACAAAGAATTTATAACATGAAAAAATTCTTATGTGATGTTGGGATGGTGTCTGAAGGGCAATATTAACTTTTTAAAGCTTACAAAATTAAAGACAAAACAACAAACTAAATAGATCATTTTTCAATCAGTGTGACAGAGGAAAGGTTAGTAATGTTTAATATACAGAAAATATTTCAATTCATTAGAGCACATATGAATTGACAAGAATAAGGCCTAAAGAGAGACAAAAAGATACGAACAGACAATTTGTAAAAGAGAAAACATAACAGGATAACAAATGTGAAAAAATATTTTAATTTGTATTTGAAATTGAACGATGAGATGCCTTATACATAGTTAAGTACACAAATGTTCGTCAATTAATGAACAGTTTATAACAAAGAGACCCCTTTGCTAGTACTGCATGTAATTTCAGCTAGGAGAGATTTTTTTTTTGTGATTGTACCCAGAAGCAAATAGAAAGAGAGCCCACAGAGTGTTCTACCCTTCAAAATAATTGATGAACTAAAAAGTCTCAGTTAAACAAATAAACATTCTATCCACTCCCTGGTACTCCTGACTCACTGTGGCTTATGCTGCAAAGCAATTTTGAAGGCCTCAAACCTCATATCAGAGTGTTTCCTCCGGTTGCATTTCACCTTCCCTCTGTTCGAGTTCTCATAATCCATTTCCTAACCAGCAGTGATGGTAAACCTTTCATCTAGGCATCTTAGCTGCTTCCAGTAATCCTGATTCAAGAGGGGAAAAATCCTCTTTAGACAGACATTTGTGTATTAGTGGCAAATGCTAAAGCAGAGTTTCTCAAATTTTTTGATCTCAGGATTCCTTAACACTCTTAAAAATTATTGAGGACTCCAAAAAGCTTTTATTTATGTGGAATATATCTACTGATATTTACTGTACTTGAAAATTAAAACAAAATTTAAAATATTTATTAATTCATTAAAAATAACAATAATCTGTTATACATTAATATAAATAACATTAGCTTTATGAAAAAAACTATTTTCCAAAACAAAAATTTGTAAGAATGAGATTGTTTTAAATTTTTACAAATATCTTTAATATTTGGATTAATAGTAAAAGGAAAAACAATAGTTATCAGCAATATCACTGGAAAATTAAGAAGAGTGGAAGGACAAAACTGAGCAGCAGAATTCGTATAGACATTTAAATTTAAATTCTAAAAGCCCAATTGAGATTTTCAGGGAGGGTTTGTTCTGCCCTTTGGCCTCATGAATGAGTTTCATGAAGGGTTTCATGGATGGGCTTCAGTGGCCTATAAACTCTGTAAATTCCATTCTAATTTTTGCACATTTATTGTGTTCTGGTTAATTCCAGAAGACATTTCTAACATTTTTCTTACATCATATAATCAAAGTACTTAAATAAATTGACAATTATAAAAATAGATCAGTGAAATGCACCTTATACTTTAATAAAAAATGTTTTCAGAAATAGATAAGTGAAAGCTGAGTGTTTCTTTGATAGATTCCCCTGTACTATAGGAGTGATAATTGCAGCTATTGCAATAGTAGTAATTGTTAAATGGATACTAATGAATAGCATAGCATAGTGGGTAAGAGTTTATATAGCACAGGCTCTAGAATCAGATTAAGTAGGTTCAAATACCAGTTCTGCCAGTAACTGGCTTTAGAAACTTGGGCAAGTTAAATAATGTCTCCCAGCCTCAGTTTCCCTATTTGTAAAATGGGGGAAATAATGGTAGCTACCTCATAATTCATTATGAATTCAGTGAGTTAAACTTGAAAAGACTTATTACAGTAGCTGGCACATAAAGACTTGATAGTAGTTTATATGGATGCTATCTCATATTAGCATACATGGAATTAATAGTGTATCACTATACCTTTTTTTTTTTTTTTAAATAGAGACCAGTCTGTCACCCAAGCTGGAGTGCAGTGGTGACATCATAGCTCACTGTAACTTCTAACTCCCATACTCTACCAATCCTCCTGCCTCAGCCTCCAGATTGGCTGTGATTGCAGGTGTGCACCACCACACCCAGCTCTTTTTTTTTTTTTTTTTTTGGTAGAGATGGGGTCTCGCTATGTTGCCCAGGCTGGTCTTGGGCTCCTGACCTGAGGTGGTCCTCCCACTGGCCTCACAATGTTGGGATTGCAGGTGTGGGCCACTGCGCCTGACCTGTACTATGCTATCAATTCCATATATGGAAAGGTGTTTTCCCTTTCAGAGCTCTTTAAAGCTCTGCAGAAGATTTACATGTGTTTATAGAGTTAAGAGAAATCAGGGCATGGAAATTGAGTGTGTAATAGAAATTAAACTCTTCATGTTATATAATCATGCATAATTTCTATCTTCATTCTCCGAAGTTGCCTAAAGCACCATCACAGTTAGGAAACTTCCATTGTGAATTACGTTATTGCCAAAAGCAAGTACCCAAATAATTGTCTCAAGAGAGGAAGGACAAAACTGTTACAAGCTAAAATATTTGGGGATTTGTGTGACTTGACTAGGGAACCACAGGGTTTTATAATGCCTGATCTAGCCCTGTGCCTAACAGTTTATTTAAATCTTAATGCTAATGTTAATTAGTTCCCAGGTGGTTGACCTTATAAGAAAACACTGTGTGGTATTTTAATGTGGTAAACATGTGAATGAAGGCCTATGGCTCAGTTAATCACTCCCACAACTTTGAGCTGTGGGTTTTACTGGTGGAAGGAACTTTAACAGGTCTTCGCTCTTGTCATTAGATATCAGAGAACTGAAATTGGTTGGAATTGTAAGCAGTGAATAGATGTGTTGTTAGAATGATTCCATCACTTATACATTGTTTAAAATTCTAATAAAGTAACTTGCTTTGTAAAAAAAAAAATTTGGCTTAATAGAAGACAACTGGATGCTCAAATTTGCTTCTGTTTTCAATCTGTTGCAATATGTTGTTTTCATTGAAGTATACGAAAATTATCTGGCCTCATATAGATATGTGGTTGAAAAAGGAGTATTTTAACAGCCATTTCAGATACTTGTGAATATTCTTCTTTGGCACTACATAAAAATTTGACAAGGGATAGTTTCTTAAAGGTTAGTTACAATGTAGAATCTGAAACCATATCAACAAACTTTTTGAACTGTTACGTTAAAGTCCGTTGGTCTGTCTTGCACTTAGAATGGCTTTTACTCATGCATGATTTTGTAGCATTGTGCATTGGTCATCCGGAAAACAATGATTTACTGATTTTACAATATTAAAAAAAATCCCGTTCATTAATATCACCACCAATCCCATCAAAAGAGTCTAAGTGGTGAGATGCTGTCAGGCTCATAATAGAGAATATGAGTTTTCCAAAATTCTAATTTTCACTTGATAGCTCAAATTTTATCACTGGCAACAAATACTGTCAGTTGTTTATCTGAAAGTGACAGGTTCACTATATTTTCAAGAAAATATCTGCCAAATATCCAAGTCTAACTAACCATTGTCAGTTCATGATGTTCCATTAAAAAAGTAGATAAGTCAGTCTGCAACTCAAACAATCACATACATGGTTTTCCTTAAAGCCATCTTCATACCTTAGGTCTGTAGCAAAAGCACTTTATACCCACCTCCTGTTTCCTCACACAGAATATTAAAAAGATGCAGACTCAAGTTGGGATTTAATAAAATTGATACTTTTTACTGTTTCATCAAGGACCTTCTTATGTAAAACTGGTTTTCTTTTTTCCCTCTGAGTGCAGTGAAGAGTATGACGACTACCAGGGCAGTTTGGCACCACTGTCTTAATGATATGGAAACAGGCTGGGTGCAGTGGTTCACGCCTGTAATCCCAGCACTTTCGGAGGCTGAGGTGGGCAGATCATGAGTCAGAAGTTCGAGATCAGCCTGACCAACATGGTGAAGCCTTGTCTCTACTAAAAATACAAAAATTAGCCGGGCATGCTGGTGCACGCTTGTAATCCCAGCTACTCAGGAGGCTGAGGCAGGGGAATCGCTTGAACCTGGGAGGCGGGGGTTGCAATGAGCTGAAATTGTGCCACTGCACTCCAGCCTGGGTGACAGAGCGAGACTCTGTCTCAAAAAAAAATAAAATAAAAATAAAGATACGGAAACAGTAGTTTTACCTATCATTGTTTTGGTACCATTAGTATGAATGTAGT
Organism: Homo sapiens; assembly: GCF_000001405.40. Lineage (NCBI taxonomy): Eukaryota > Metazoa > Chordata > Mammalia > Primates > Hominidae > Homo > Homo sapiens. The sequence goes on along the minus strand of NC_000013.11, from coordinate 49,262,466 downwards.
GTTTTTGTTTTTGCTTTTTGGGACAGGGTCTCACTCTGTGGCCCAGGCTGGAGTGCATTGGTGAGGCACGATCACAGCTCACCGCAACCTTTGCATCCTAGGCTCCAGTGGTCCTCCCACCTCAGCCTCCCGAGTAGCTGGGACTACAGGCATGCACCACCACGCCTAGCTAATTTTTCTATTTTTAGTAGATATGGGGTTTCTCCATATTGCCCTGACTGGTCTCAAACTCCTGGGCTCAAGCAATCCACTTGCCTCAGCCTCACAAAATGTTGGGACTAGAGGCATGAGCCACCATGCCCAACCTGAAGGTAGTATTATTATGAAAATAACATTGACCTCGTGGACCATCAGGAGTCCACAGACCACACTTGGAGAACCACTGTGCTACAACAATCTTTGCCTTATAACTGAGGTAATAGCAATTCTAACTAAAGTAATCTAGCTATAGCATGGGGTTCAACCATGCCCCCTTCCTAAGATAACTAAATATAATACATAAGCCTAATCTAACATAGCAATTTTGTTTATATATTGTCCAACACCAATACACAAGCATTTCCACTGTAGGTCCTTCCTGACTTTCCATACTTCATTATCTTTTTTGTCAGGATGAAATGTCTTAAGACATCAAGCAGTGATGAGTTACCTGCACTCTCCTATTCTTCCCTCTAATTTGTGGCTCCGAGGCTATTAAGACTGCTTTCAGCACAGTTAGCTCAGCACAAAGCACAACTATCTTTTATTCATTTTTCTCCCTTGATCTGGAACAGATCAGCCAACAAATGTTTTGGTTCTTTCACATTCTTTCATTTCTGTATCAATGTCATCATCTGAACCCTATTTGGACCTTGCCTAATGCAATAGTCTACTAATCAAGCTCCCAATCTCTAATCTCTCCCTGCTCCAATTCAATAACAGCAATAACAACAAAAATTTCAATCACGTTACATCTTTCTCAAGAATCTTCAATGTCTCCACATTACCTACAAACAGGAACTGTAGGTCAGTTGAACATGAGTGATGAAATGCATGTCCAATCTGCCTGGTTAATTGGGAAAAGGTGAAAAAAATGCCACCACCACTTTCATACCTATCTTCTCAATGTATTGGTAACTGCAGTTGAGAATATAGAATCCAATCACTACCACAGATACCTACCTGCTCGAAATACTTGTTGCAGGCCGAGAGGTTTCTAGCCACATGATCCATTTCTTCTAGAAGTTCTGCCATTTATAGCTCAAGGCACTGACCTTGACATAGATCTGATCATTACTCTTAAGGCTTTGCTGTAAATAAAAATAGCTCTTTCTCACAACAGGCCTAGGAACTCTGTTTTATAAGATAAAGTCCAAAGGCTCTACAGTTCTTCAAAGTTCTCCACTATCACTATAATTCATCTGCCACTGTTCTCCAAGAATAATTCTCCATTTCAAATACTGACCCCTAGAACTTTGCTTCTTACAACTTGATGACTCCATATACACTGTTCCCCCTGACCAGGAATGTGTTCCTCTTCCTCTACCTATGACGCATCAAGATCAAGCTTAAGCCCCAGCCTTTCATAATATGGAAATCTGCAGGGATCACTATTTCTCCTCTGAGACCAAATATCACTTACAACCTGTATCGCTGATTTGGTACTAGATAATGCATCATATTAAATTGTTATTTTGGCCCCCAAATAACACCTCGAGAGTAAAGATTAGGAACCACATTAGTTTTTTTTGTTTTTTGATCTACCATGATGCCTATGCAACAAGATGCATATTTTTTAAATGAAAGAATGATCGGCATATACCTGGGTGCAAAACAGAATCATAAGCACAAGGAGGTTTAGTGAATAGCCTGGTGTGGACGGATGGCTATACATTAAAAATTTGTGTTCCTCCTTCCAAAGTGTATAGTAGTCACTGAAAGACAGCTGCCCAGTGGGAACAACAGTTCCCACAATGGATGAGAACAGAAATGATGTATGTGACTTCCAGGTCAGGGTTTTTAAGAAGCAGGTTCACCCTCTCTACTCATTCTTTCTCAGTCTGCCTCTGGATACAGAGGACTCAAAGCCCTAGAGGTGACAACAGCAATGAGACAGAAGATGCCTAGCCCAGGAATCAACCAAATGGAGAAAGCTGCCTGCTGTTTAGCAACACATGTGCTGGACTATTATACAGGTGATAAATATCTAGTACATAAGTCACTGAAATTTTGTTTTGTTATAGCAGTTAGCATTAGTCTACTCATACACTGAGGGTCATTTAATAGGTTAGTAGACATGAATGAGACCAGAATCCATGTTTTCTGATGCTTACTCTTATAATGTATCAAACTGTCTTCAGATATATATTTACATATTTTTTATTTTATTTTTTAGAGACAGGGTCTTGCTCTGTCACTCAGGCTGGAGTGCAGTGGAGCAATCATAGCTCACTACAGCCTTGAACTCCCGGGCTTGAGCAATTCTCCTGCCTCAGCCTTCTGAGTAGCTGGGATTACAGGTGCAAGCCATAGCACCTGACTTTCAGATATATATTTCTAAATTATCTCTGTGGTATTTAGCAAATGTGTTCCCACTGACTGCTCTCAGAGAAACGCTCCTTTCTTCGTTTTTTTTTTTCTGGAGACAAGGTCTTGTTCTGTCACCCAGCTTAGAGTGCAGTGGCGCAATCACGGGTCATTGTATCCTTGACATCCTGGGCTCAAGCAATCCTCCCACCTCATTATCTCAAGTAGTGGGGACTACAGGCGTGCATCACCATGCCTAGCTAACTTATTTTTTGTAGTGATGAGGTCTCCCTATGTTGCACAGGCTATTTGTGAACTCCTGGGCTCAGGCGATCCTCCTGCCTTGTCCTCCCAAAGTGCTGGGATGACAGGCATAAACCACCACGCCCATCCCAGATAAATACTCTTAATCCCCAACAAACCCTTTTCTGCACTTACCATTTACAATCATTTTCAAACAAGCAGAACATGGTTTTCTGGAAAAATAAAGATCACAGTTTTTCAGCCTTGACCCATGTTTAATAAGAGCAATCTGCCCGGCATGTAAATCTTCACTAGAACAGTGGAGACCAACAATTTTCATGTTTTTCACCACCACAAGACCAGTTCTCTTTACCTACATTAAGATATAAAATAACAACTTATTAGTTATAACACCTAATAATCATATTATGGATTATACTTGAATTATTAATAAAAATGGAAGTTTTGTTTAATTCTTTATCTAAACAGAGTTTGTACAAAGCACATTTCTCATTAGATCCAAAAAGCTTCTGAAACTTTAGTGTTGACTTTAGGCCAGAAATTTTCTAAACCTAGGCTCTACTAATCAAACAATTAAGCATGTAATTATCATTAATTTGTTCTAGTGAAAGATTAGATACATTATAACCTAGTAAAGGGCAAGAACTAGATCAATTTGACTTGTTTCTTATAGGATTAAGTGTAGTACCATTTAGTATTAAGCTTCTAGATGGTAATAAAGAATATAAAGCCCTGATTTTACACATGGATAAGTAAAGCCCAGAAAGTTTACATGACTTTCTGAAAGACCCACAGATGGTAAAAGGCAGAACTAAAGCAGAGGTCATCTTAAATTCTAAAATATTTTAGATATTGACCAAAGAAAAGATAATTCTCAATTTCTTTTGAGAAACTACTGGCTGTATCAATTTTTAGCACTATGGCAGTCTAGACTACTATAGTTAGGTCCCACCTCCTACTATAGGTAAGTTATAAAAACAAAAAGAAGGAAGACATACCATCAAGTGTCAAAAAGGATGAGAGAACTTGATGTCAGAGTAGTGAGCTTGAGCTACCTTAGCAATATTCCACAGAGCAGGGACTGGCTGAGCCTGAATTAAGCCCTGCAGACTGGTTACTGACTGGGGTTCTAAGCACTTCCAGTGGATCTCTTTGAGTGAAGGTTTTGTGTTACTATTGAACCTAAAGTTTCTCAACTTAAACAAATACTAATCAAAGCTGGTATAACAATATCAGATAAAACAGACTAAGGTTAAAAAAAAAAGTCAGTTCTGCATAAGGCACAAAACAGTCTATGCTGTTTTCACAGCAAAAGCCTCTGAAGTAAGGAATGTAAACCTGATCCTTGGGCTTGGGACTGACTGTTACATGAGGGGAGCTTGGGCTAAGGAGAGGGTGTCCCTATTCCCCATCCCCTTCCAAAGGGATTTAACCCTATACTTATCCCCCAATACAGCATATCTGAAATCACTTTAAGGATCAGACCAAAGCGATATTAACTAGTCAAGTTTCAGTTTCGGTTTTGAGTATGAATGTTTGAGATTACGGAGAATAATTTGTAAACTATCTAAAAAAGAAGGAACAGAGAAGATTTTATGGAATTCCATTTCTGAGTTAACCAACCATCTCCTAAACTAGAAGGACATTTATAAAGGAATACAAAAATCTCTGCTTTACAAAATATGTACCTAAGGATGTATATAAAATATGAAAAACCTATCTATATTGGCTTTTAAAATAAGCTTTAAATTGACCTTGAATTTGTGAACACTTTCCCCTCCCTACCAAAATTTCTTGAGTTTTATGCTCCTCAAATGCGAAGCATATATTATTATTGATTTCTGAATACTTTCAATAAGTTTGTTTATTTATTTATTTGAGACAGAGTCTCACTCTGTCGCCCAGGCTGGACTGATTGATTGATTGATTGATTGATTTGAGACAGTCTCACTCTGTCGCCCAGGCTGGAGTGCAGTGGCACTATCTCGGCTCACTGCAAGCTCCGCCTCCCGGGTTCATGCCATTCTCCTGCCTCAGCCCGTGGAGTAGCTGAGTAGCTGCCACCACGCCCGGCTAATTTTTTGCATTTTTAGTAGAGATGGGGTTTCACCATGTTAGCCAGGATGGTCTCGATCTCTGGATCTCGTGATCCGCCCGCCTCGGCCTCCCAAAGTGCTGGGATTACAGGCGTGAGCCACCGTGCCCGGCCAATACGTATCATCTTGGAAAAGAAGTAATGCTGCCTCATCAAAAGATCTTGACAGAGCTCCTATTGTTAAATTGAACCAACGTAACCAGTGGAAGTGGCTGCAAGGGAATGATTTCAGCTTTAGATTTTCCTAGTTAAACAGACAGAAATAAAGCCAGAATAAAACATAAAAAAAAAAATTGTTCCTATCAAGTGAGAAGCACACTCATCAACTTATTTGTTATTAGAACAATCTTTTGGGTCGAGTTTATTTATCACTTTTTTGTCTAGAGTCCTTTTTACCTCAGAAAATATGTATTTTTTCATTTTGCATCTAGGTAAGGCCAAAATACCAAGTTTGAGACAAAGATTTTTCCATCCCAAACTCAATAAAACAAATAAAAGCTCAAGTTGCATTCCATTTTGGCACTTCCATTTACCACAACTCCCAGAGGACTGAATCTTTTCAGTGAATCGCTGCTCTGAATTTGATTTTGCCTCACTTCGCTAACATTTTGGCAAGTCATCTGTTTGATCCTAGTCACAGAGTTTTACACTAAAACATGGGCAAAAGGGTACAGTCTGTTTTGTATATGGACTAGTACATTGACTTAAATGGTGATTCACTATTTTTTTTCCCTTGGCCTTTCTTATTATGAAAACATGTAAATATTCTGAGACAAATTATTTCTATATTCCTACTGGGCTCACTCTCAGAATGAATTAGGAAATCTCTAGGAATATACATCGGAATCATCAAGGTAACTCTTCAAAACATACATGCTTAGTCTCCACTCTGCATCCAATGAATCGGAACCTCTGGAAAACTCAAAGGAATAAAGTAACAAGGAAATACTATACAATATTAAAAAGAACAAGGTTCATCTTTCAAGTCTGCACTTTGATTTTACCCTACTTACCAACTAATAAGTTAACCTGTTACTGTTTCATGGATATTAGCAGAAAACATGAAACTTCTGGGTTAGAAACAATGAACTTTATTATTTGCAGCACAGCAGTCAGTATGAGCATCATTTCTGTTTCCTGCCCTCAAGCCCCATGAGGGGTAATACAAATGGGCACAGATGGCTGCCTGGACACAGGGTGGGTAGTGTTATAGGAGAGGAACACTGAGCTTGAGGGTCCTACTGTTTCACAGCAGAAAGTAAGCCAGATTGCTTTTTGTCCTGGAGGGAGATATTACCTCAACCTTCAGGGTTGATCACTGCAAACACAACTCTGAGAAATGACCCAGGTAAAAAATGGTTAGGGCCTTGCATTCTTGGCATACCCAGCAAGGTGTGTGGGAGTGTGAGAGAACTAAGGGAGAGTATTTCTTAACACATCTATATGAACCATCAAGAGTTTTTTTTTTTTTAAAGCAAGATGTAGGATGTAGCATAGAATAATCCCATCTGTACTTTTTTTTTTAAAAAAAAGGAGTGACATATAGTCTTGTAAATATACAGACCATTTTTAGAAGAGTATTTTAAAAACTCCCTTGATAGTAGAAATGGAGGCACTTTTATTCTACTTTATACTATTCCTTTTGCTTTGTTATTATGAGCATATATATGTGAAATCATAAAAATTTACCTGTCTTTTGTCAGTAGATACTCTGGTCCTCTCTTCATTATCTCCTAAGGGTCCATGCTTTCCCTCTTCATTTTTCTAATAAAAATCAGATTAAGGAAAAAAAAAGATTAGCACATAAGACATATGACTAATTCAATATTCCCATATTTAAAGGCTGGCTTCCTTGGCTTTGACCATTTTTTTTTCCATGATGAAACTCTACATTGACTTCCCACTTTGTTTGGATCAAGTTCATACTACTTTACCTAGTAAATAAACCTTTATAATCTATCCCCTATGTACTTTCCCAAAACATAGAAGGATTGGAAATTGTAATGAGAAAATAAAATTCTGAAGTTTATGGTTTCAGAATTGTGGCAGTTTTGAGTAATGGAAAAGTCCAAAGTGTGGCCATGAATGACTAAAGTGGAATAGAGGTAAATTAACTGGAATTGAGAAGATAAGGAACTATGTAGCAAAGGTATTAGATCGGGATTGTGGTAGGCAGGATAATGCCCCGCCAGAGATTTCCTTGTCCCAGTCACTGGAGCCTGTGACTATGTTTTGTTACATGGCAAGGAGGAATCAGTTTGCAGCTGGAACTGAGGCACTAACCACCTACCTTGACATAGGGAGATTATCCTTGATTATCTGATTGGCCCGATGTTATCACAAGGGTCATTATGAGTAAAAGAGGGGTGTGGGAGAGTCAGCGATGCAACATGAAAGACCTGACTGGCCATTGCTGGCTTTGAAGATGGAAGGGGCCCATGAGCCAAGGAAAACAGACAATCTCCACAGGTAGAAAAGGCAAGGAAAGGTCCTCCCGTAGAGTGTCTGAAGGGAATTTGGCTCTGCCAACACTTTGATTTTAGCCCAGTAAGGCTCATTTCAGACCTCTTACCTACAGAACTGTATAATAAATTTGTGTTGTTTTAAGCCACCAACTTTGTGGTCATCTGTTATAGCAGCAATAGAAAACGAATACAGGTATATCCATGAGGGAAAAAGTGAAAACTTGAAGTAGAAAGAAAGTTTTGAGGCAGGGACCAAAGTCCTTCATTTATTAGTTCAACAAATACTTATTGAACCCTTGCTACATGACAGCCTAGTTGCTCAAGATGCAGCTCTCACAGGGCTTATGATTTATGAAAACAGGAAAGTGACTATGAAGTAAGTTGATTAAGACAAAGAAAGTGACACAGAATTCTGTGAGCTCCAAAATAGGTGAGATAGCCAGGTGCAGTGGCTCACACCTGTAATCCCAGCACTTTGGGAGGCTAAGGCGGACAGATCACGAGGTCAAGAGTTCGAGACCAGCCTGGCCAACATAGTGAAACCCTGTCTCTACTAAAAATACAAAAATTAGCTGGGCATGGTGGTGCGCACCTGTAGTCCCAGCTACTCGGGAGGCTGAGGCAGGAGAATTGCTTGAACCCGGGAGATGGAGGTTGCAGTGAGCCGAGATCACGCCACTGCACTCCAGCCTGGGCAACACAGCAAGACTCTGTTTCAAAAAAAAAAAAAAAAGGGTGGGATAGTTAATACATTGATAAAGTTTTAAAGTAGGAATGGGAAACTTTGTAAATGTTGACCTGCTAGTCTTATGAAACAAGTGCTGGATGCTAGAAAAGAAAGAACCATCAAAAAGAAGTTTATAAGAAAACCCATGTTCTGGGAATGAGGTTTCTGTTCAGACAGAACAGGAAGTAGAGGAAGTGATGGTATCAGTGGAAAAACGGTAAGGATGTGGGTGCTAGTAGTGGTAATAATTATATATATGAGTGATGATAATAACAGTACCTAACATCTACTGCATGTTTATCATGTACCAGGCCCTAAATTATCTCATTTAATCCTTATAACTTTATAAAGTAGCTCCTATTATTCCCATTGTACAAATGAGGAAATTGTGGCTGAGAGAGATTAAATAATTCAACCATGGTCACACAGGTAATTAAGTGGATATGCCAGATCCAGCCCAAGATCCATTGTCTTAACCATTATGCCACATTGCTTCTGTTCTGGAAAAGTACAGTGAGGGCCTTTAGCATAAGGTACCAGAAGACACAATGGAAAGAGTTAGGAGGCTAGGTGCGGTGGCTCATGCCTGTAATCCTACCACTTCGGGAGGCTGAGGCGGGTGGACTGCTTGAGCCCAGGAGTTAGCGACCAGTCTGGGCAACATGGCAAGACCACATCTCTATTAAAATAAATACATAAACAAATAAATAAATAAGGAGACAACAACAACAACAACAAACACATAGTACCTAACATGTGCCAGGCACTAAGACCTTTACAAATATTAACTCATTCATTTCTCATAAAAGCCTCATGTAGTATATACTAGTAACATTTCATTTTACAGATGAGGAAGCTGACACAGAGAGGTAGAGTTACCCAAAGTTATACAACTAGTAAGAGGCGGAGCCAGAGTCTGAACCCAGGCAGGCTGGCTGTAAAACCACTGGCTACTCTAAATTACTAGACTAAGGTGCTGCTCCAATGTTTATACTAGCATTACAGCATAAGTATTTTCTTATGTTAAGTGAAAAGGGTAGGATCCAGAGTTAAATGATCTCATGTAAGTAAAGAAAGTAAGAGAAAAAAGACTGAGAAACAATTTTTAAAAAGTAATTAGTCTCTAGGAGGTGGAATTATGATAAAATTTTTCTTCTGTCCATTTTAAAAATAACAAACATATATTACTTTGGTAACTCATAAAAATACTTTTAGTAAGACAAATGTTGGTAAAGTATCAAAAGCAGTATTTCCAATACAATTACATGTCTAATTGCATCTTGGTATTTCTGTGATTTACTCTGTACAACAAAAGCAGACTAAAGAATTTAAGTGAAACAATCTTATTACTTTAGCTTAAAGAAGACTTTTTTTCTCTTAATTGGAAAAAGTTTGTACTCAACTCTAAGAATACCATGTGCAAATAATACTGGAAAAAATATACTATAGTAAATGGTAAAGAAATATTAGGCACAAAATTGGGCAACATTTTGAGAAATTTAATATTTCCACAAGTATAAACACAATGGCAGCATATACTACATGCATATGAAATTTAGATGTATTCTTACTGTATAATTTAAAATTAATAACTTATCAACCCTGTAACAGTACCAAAACTGTCAAATACAAAATTGTGTTCCTGCTATGACTGCAACTACCTGCAAAATTATGTGGATATTAACTAGTACAAAAAGGAAATCCAAGAGAAAAAAATAGTTTTTAAAAATGTTGCAGCTATAAATTCAGTTTCAATGATAATGTTTGTACAATAAATAACACTATAAAAGTGGAGTACAATATGCTCCCTTTCATTCTGTATTCTTCCCCCACACTATCATTGGTCTTGCTTTTTTGCAATGGCCATGATATCAGAAGAACTAATGAAATTATATACTTCTGCTTTATTGACATTAAATATACAAGTAATTGACAACCTACAATCATGTTCTAAATACTTGGTAAATCTCCCTTTTCGGAATTTAAAACACATTTTTCTCATATAAACAATGTTAAAAATGATAGTCAAGTTCCCAAGTTAACATGCAAAAGCCTCTTTCACCCAGATCACTGCCAGAGTAATCCTGAGGCTCTCCCTCCCCAAGTGCCTTGGAGTCCCAAGCCCTGTAGGTAAGAACAGAAGTAAAGGCCTACCCAAGACCATGGTGAGAGGGTTGTAGTCCTAGGACACATGGGTATGGGAGCACAGCTGGAAAGACACCAATGCAGTGAATAGGAGCTGGGCATGCTCCAGGACCAGGAGCTAAGAGTGATAACCTTTCATATAGCCAAGTCAATCCTAGTTCCAGGTTGCCTGGCTTTCTGAAGACATGGATGTTCTTTGTTTTGATGCCTTCTGTACTCATTTCTATGTGTTATAACTTTCCATTTAAAAGCCTTAAATAGACATGCGTATGAGTCAGATTTCTAAATAAGATCCCAAATAAAATATCTGAAACAAAAGACTTATTTATTTTCATTTAGAAAACTTCCATGGTGCCCACCAGATGAAGGAATGAGATGCCAGGAAAACTTAAGAGTTGTTGGCTTGGGAGAAAATGAGAGTCATAACCTTGATCTTTTGTTAAACATGATATAAAGTTGTATAAAATTTTGTTGCTAATATAGTTTTGAAATTTCCTTGGTAGTATTTTTTTTAACAAAATGCTAACTGAAAGCTTCATCTCAGTTTTCTCAGATCCACAGCTTTCTCTATATAGTATGAGGAAACAGTAGGGTGTGTATTATTTGCAAATAAACTTCAACAATTAGTTGGCCAATCAATTCCTTCCTAATAGAAACATAAATGTCATTTCTCACTAATTAAATACAACTTGTGCCTGTTGAAAAAAAAAACTTAATTTCAGCACAGGATGTGGTGTGTATATAAAAAAACAGAACTAAAACGAGATCACATCTGGATATTTACAAAAAAAAGAACGCCTTTTCAAAATTTGTATTCAATCTCTAATATGTCCAGTTTTTATACGTTTTTTTTTCTTTTTTTTTTCTTTTTTTTTCTGTCGCCAGGCTGGAGTGCAGTGGCGTGATCTCAGCTCAATGCAATCTCTGCCTCCTGGGTTCAAGTGTTTCTCCTGCCTCAGCCTCCTAAGTAGCTGGGACTACAGGCACGCACCACCACGCCCAGCTACTTTTTGTATTTTTGGCAGAGACGGGGTTTCACCATGTTGGCCAAGATGGTCTCGATCTCTTGACCTTGTGATCTGCCTGCCTCGGCCTCCCAAAGTGCTGGGATTACAGGCATGAGCCACTGCACCCGGCCTAAAAGTCTTAAACCTCTAAATATTTGTTTCTAATCTGGCTCTTCAAAATAAATTTTATCTGAAAACAAAACAAAACAAAACAAAAAAAACACAACACTACATAAAATCCCTAACAGCTTGGAAATCTACTTTCATAAAATAATACTAAACTATTAACAAGTAGAAGGAATAAAGGAATTTCAAAATTAATGAAGGAAATGAAGAGCTTTCTCAGCCGTTAATAACATGTAGAGCCAGAGTGGGGGGATGAGGGTGAGAAATATGGAATAACGATGTATAATATTTTAAATAATGTTTTACTATCTATAAAACACTTCACATAGGAATTGGGGGAGGAAACTACACCAAGAGATATCATTTTATTATGAGAAGCGAATATCCTCACATCCTGTTAAAATTCCTCAATGCAATTCCTATATTGATAAGATAAAATCTAAACTCCTTTGCAAGGCATACAATGCTTTTTATGATATGATTCCTGTCTACATTGTCAAGCTCCTTTCCAGTCTCTTCCCTCTACCTAACTTCACTTTCTGGCCTGAGGACCACAAATTCTCTCATTGCTCCAAGCTTTTCCATGTAGAGTTCCTTGGCTTGGGCAAAAGTCCACTAATCCTTCATGTCTCAGTGCAAATACGACCTTCTCTGTGAATCCTTCCTTCACTTCCCCATATAGAGCCTGGCTCCCAGTCTTGCCAACATCTCTGCTTATACTATGTACTCACTCCACCAATTCTGTTTTAATTGTTTAAATGCCTAGTGTTTCTACTCATTAGAAAATAAAGACCATGTTTTTTCTGCTTTGTGTCTCCAGTGCCAAGCACAAAACCTCATCCACAGTAAAATGAAAAGAGTAGGTGGTCTCCTAAGAGTACTGTGGGAATTTAAGGATTTATAGTCTTTCTCTGGAAAATCTAAAGCAACCTTTCAGCAGAATTATGGGCAAGTTGGAAACCTCAGCGAGTACATGCAGAATATAACTACAACTTTGTAAGAGTAAAAATAAAAAACCTCATGCTTAAGATTGGAAGCACCAAAATATTAACAGTAATGTTGTTAGAGTGGTGAGAAGCCATGTGTAATTTTCTGCCCCACCCCCCTCATTTTACCTCTGTTTTAAAAAAAGTCTTAAATGCTCAACTTAACCTAATACTATTTTCCAATGGCCGTGGCCCCCTATAAAAATTAATGCCAACACCCTAAGCTTCCAAAATTATCAAACAGAAATGATGAGAACCTAGCATCATGCCATTCCAAGCATGGAGGAAAATGAGAACCTAGCCCCTTGTTGCCCCAAGGGTAGGAGAAAGAAAAGACGCAGGATGTTTATACTTCCAATTCCAATATATTGGCTTTTATGATTATTCTTACTATACATTTCTGATTTTTTTTTTGAGATGGAGTCTTGCTCTGTCACCCAGGCTGGAGTGCAGTGGTGCAATCTCAGCTCACTGTAACCTCCAACGATTCGTTCAAGCGATTCTCATGCCTCAGCCTCCCGCGTAACTGGGACTACAGGCGGATACCACCACTCCTGGCTAATTTTTGTATGTTTAATAGAGATGGGGTTTCACTATGTTGCCCAGGCTGGTTTTGAACTCCTGACCTCAGGTGATCCACCCACCTCAGCCTCACAAAGTGCTAGGATTACAGGCGTGAGCCACTGCACACAGCCCATTTCTAATCTGTTTTGATCCTGTCTTTCAAGATCCAAAAAGAGACTACTTCCATCCAACATTAATCAATTAGCACTCATATAATGCTAGACTCTAAAGGGTATATGCTAGGTAAAATAAGACATGGTCTCTATCTCCAGGCAATTTATATATTTCTGTGGCAGAGGAGTAAACTACCTAGATAAAACACCAACAGTATATATAATTGGGGGAAATTATGTGGTATAGACAATAATCTTATTAGCCGAACTGACATATGAATACCATTAGTACCCGATAAACATGGTATTCTCAGAAAGTATTTTTAGAATGGAAGATGACTTATTACGGCTGGGAATTATAAAGTGTCATGTTAATCAATAAAGATATTTTTTAAATCTTAAGCCTTGTTAAGTTTGGTTTTAGGTATGACAGAAACTGGAGCAATAAACTCAGATTTTAAACCACTGCTTTTCTAAGGGGAAAAACTATGAAACAAATTATACCTGAGATTTTTGCCGCTGGGCTTCTGCTGGAAAGAGCTCCATCCAGAGGCTGAGCAGAGTGAAAAGGTTGACTTTAGAAAGCCTTGGTATCTGACCTACAAAAGAGACGACAAACACTTTAAACTTTGTTACTAATGGTGAAAAAGGGAGCCAATCTCAATGCCACTTAGGTGCTGCAGCCTAAGCCCAGCTGCTTTCGCAAGAGGCACAGAAAAAGATAGGGGACAAGAGAGTCAGAGGTATCTTAGCAGTAGACGCTTCAGCCTTAGTCGTGGCTACCTCCTTCTCCACTTAAAAAGTTGAGCCTTCTTTCTCCAGCCCTCACCCTGCAGGAAAAAACGGTACAGCTAATACACATAGCTGAGGGGGACAACCCAAAGCAAGCTGTGAAAAGTCTTCGCATCTGACGTCGTCGTGGTGCAAGCTTTTCTTTGGACTGTGATGGGGCGTTGCTAAAAGGAAAGCGATTAGAACACAACCCGAAAAATGCGCTGACCTTCGACGGTAAAGCAGTCGAAATACAGGAAAGCGTCACGTGCGGTTAATTTGGAAATCAAGGCAAAAGCGCCGTTTGGAAATGTTCAGGCTCTTTGACCTCAGAGGCCCCAGCTCTAGGTCCTGTGAGAAGTAGCTAACAGGGGTAAAAAGCGAGACTTCAAAAGCCAGTGCGACCGAGCCGATTGGTCCTGGCGACCGCGGAGGGGACACGCAGAGGGCGGGCAGGAGACATCCAAAAGCAGCAGGGGAGGCAAAGAGGCTCAGACAAGGAATCTGGAGTTCAATGACGGGAGACGCACAGGGCAGAGCGAAAGGTAGGGTGGCGGGAGCAGGGTCCCGGACACTCACCGGTCATGCTGCCAGTCTGGGTGCTGACTGACCGCCCGGCCCTCGCGCTCTCCAGATTTTGCATCTGCCCAGCTTCTTTCATCCCAAACCTAGCGTCCTCTGCTGCCAAGGAAACCTCTCCCAGTCAGACATGATCTCGGCCCTAGCGCCCCCGCCTCTCGCCTCCTCTCAGCAACTGTAAGGCAACGGCCCACTAGGCGCAGCCAGATGACGCCTCAAGCTTGACCGCCACTTCAGGGCTCCTCGTGTGACGTCATAGAGAGGCGGGGCTTTGGCGCCAGAGGGCTGCCCCTCGGCCGGTGACCGAGTTAAGCACCGAGCTGTAAATCGCTTGAGACCTGTATTTGGTTGTTTTGTTGGTTTTGCCAAGTAAGGTCACTTGAGGATTTCTTGGCTCGAGGTCCCAGGTTGCGCAGACTCTGACTGCATCGAGTTGAGAATTTTGGTCAGAATGTTAAAGTGGAAACCTACCCCAGGCTGTCATGGTCAGTGTTTTAGAGAACTTCTTGGGTTGGGGTGTGGAGCTGGGCGGTCCAGGATGTTCTGTCATCAGAGACTGGCGGGTTCTGGGGAACTTGGTGCCATGGAACACAGTAGGGACGTTCTGCTTCTCATCAAGAACATGAAGACATTAAGAGGTGGAATTGTAATGGGGAAAAAGGTGAGAGGAGGCAGTAGGAGTTATTTTGTTTTTAATTTCTAATGTCTAGTTTATTTCCACAAAACATCTGTATCATACCAGTTCTTTGAAATTTGTTCAGACTTGTTTTATGACCTAGATCAGCACTGTCCAGTAGGATTTCCTGTAGTATTCTATATCTGCACTGTCCAATATGGTAGCCACCAGCCACATGTGGCTATTGAGCATCTGAAATGTGGCCAGTACAACCAAGGAACTGCATTTTTAACTTCATTTAGTTTTAATTAATTTACATTTTAAGTAGTGACATGTGGCTATTGGCTACTACTGTATTGGACAACATTACTCTAGACTCTCCTCCTGGAATTCCTATTAGGCATAGGTTAAACCTTCTGAGGTTCTAAATTATTATTTTTAAAATATTGCATCATTTTGTTTCTCTGAGCCACATTCTGGCTAATTTCTTCAGATCTATCTTTCAGCTTGCTATTTATTTCTTTGGCTTGTAGAATTTTTTCTAGTTCGCCTGTTCTGAGGGTAAAGCTCTTCAGGTGATTTGACTATATCCAGAGAACTCCATTCTGCACCTTTCCTGAAGTGTAGACTTTGTTGACAGTGCCTTCATGGCAATTAACACTAAGGTTTAAAGACAGGCCATGGACTAGGAGAAAATATTTGCAAAGCATGTATCCAACAAAGGACTCATATCCAGAATATATAAAGAACCATATAAACTCAGAGTAAGTAAACAGTCCAGTTAGAAAATGGATCAAAGACTTGAATAGTCATTTCACCAAAGAAGATATACAGATGGCAAATAAACATGTAAAACAGTGTTCAGTGTCATTGGCCATTAGGGAAATGTATATTAAAACCACAATGAGATTCTACTACACACCTATTTAAATGGCTAAAATAACAAGTACTGACAGCACTAAATGCTAGTGAGGATGCAGAGCAACCGGATCTCTCAAACATTGCTGGTAGGACTATAAAATGGCATAACCACTCTAGAAAACAGTTTGACAGTTTCTTATAAAGTTGCACATATGCTTATCATATCACCCAGCAATCACACTCCTGGGTATTTATCCTAGACAAACCAAAACTTATGTTCAAACAAAACTCTGTACATGAATGTCATGGTGGCTTTATTTTTAATAGTCAAAAACTGAAAACAGGCCAGGCATGGTGGCTCACACCTGTAATCCCAGCACTTTGGGAGGCCAAGGCGGGCGGATCATGAGGTCAGGAGTTTGAGATCAGCCTGGGCAACATGGCGAAACCCCGTCTCTACTAAAAATACAAAAAATTAGCCAGGCGTGGTGGCATGTACCTGTAGTCCCACCTACTCAGGAGGCTTAGGCAGGAGAATCACTTGAACCCGGGAGGCAGAGGTTGCAGTGAGCCAAGATTGCACCACTGCACTCCAGCCTGGGCGACAGAGTGAGACTCCATCTCAAAAACAAAAAAACAAAAAAACTGTAAACAAGCCAAACAGTCCTTAGTGAATGAATAGAAAGCAAACTGGAGTATATCCATGCCATGGGACACTACTCAGCCATAAAAAGTAATGAGCTATTGATACGTACAACTTGAATGAATCTCAAGGGCATTGTGGTGAGTTTTTAAAAGCCAGTCTTAAAGTGTTGTATACTGTATGATTCCATCTAGATACCATTCTCATAGCCAAAGAAAAATTATAGCATTGAAGAACAAATCCATGATTGCCAAATGTTATGGTTGGGACAAGGGTCTGACTGTTAAGAGGTAACACGACAGAGTTTCTTTGTGTTGACAGTTACTCATATCTATACATGTGATAAAATTCATAGAGCTATACACCAAAAATGCAAAGTGGTACATTCAAAACTAGTAAAACACAAATAAGATCTATACCTGTATTAACAGTATTTTACCAGTATCAGTTTCCTGCTTTTACCAAAGTGCTGTGAATAGGTAAGACATTATTATTGCAGAAGCTGGGTGAAGGGTAACACAGGAACTCTGTATTATTTTTGCAACTTTCTTTAAGTCTTAAACTCTCAAAATAACTATATGTATATATATATACATACACACCTATATATGTTATATGTGTGTTTGTGTGTGTATCTTTAATCCCCAGCAGTCTAGATCTGCCCTGCCCTTCAAACAATCATTAGCTTTATTGCTCATTAACCTCTCTTTGGACTCCTGGTCTCATTCCATTTTCAGTCCTTTAGTATTTCAGAGCAGTTTAAATACTTGGACTATTTCTCTTACTTTCTTGCTAGCTCAGCCATATTTTATCCTGCATTTTTAGGTATTTGTAGCTGAAATATTTTTCAGACTAGGCTAACTTTTCCACAGTATTGGTGGAATAATTGTTCTGCTGCAGAGGAATAAGAGGACTAAAAAGGATTATAAAATGAAATTTTCCCTAAGTGCTGAGAAGTGGACAAGCTCAGAGCAGCTGAGTTCTACAAAGGCCAGTTTAATCAATAAAATGGTTTTTAAATCAATAAACAATTCTATATATCAAGTGGAAGGACCATGGGCTTTGATATGAGAGAGACAAGCTGTATTCACACTCTAAGAACAGAAGTTATTTACCAGTTACTGTATCAGTTGGCTTAGACCCGGCTTGCTGTGGGTAACAAATGTGAACCCCCAAAATCTAAGACGGGTCTCAGTTAATTTAGAAAGTTTATTTTGCCAAAGTTAAGGATATGCGCCTGTGACAGCCTCAGGAGGTCTTGACGACATGTGCCCAAGGTGGTCAGAGCACAGCTTGGTTTTGTACATTTTAGGGAGATATGAAACATCCATCAACATATGTAAGATGAACATTGGTTTGGTCTGGAAAGGTGGGACATCTCGAAGTTGGGAGGGGGCTTCCAGGTCTTAGGTAGATAAGAAACAAATGCTAGCATTCTTTTGAGCTTCTGATTACCCTTTCTAAAGGAGGCAATCAGATATACATTTATCTCAGTGAGCAGAGGGATGACTTGAATAGAAGGGAGTCAGGTTTGTCCTAAGCAGTTCCCAGCTTGACTTTTCCCTTTAGCTTAGTGATTTTGGGGCCCCAAGATTCATTTTCCTTTCACACAAATGACCATGAAATCTCAGTGGCTTGCCCCCACAAAGGTTAATTTTTACTCATGTTACATGCTGCTGCTCCTGTGAATTGGCTCTGGGATCCAGGCTAAAGGAGCAGCCTCTGTCCTTTCTTTCTTTTTTCCACCCTCAGTTCCCCTGTATGTGACTCACCTTCCTAGCATGCTAGTTGCTTCTTTGGCTTTCCAGCCCCTTCCTCTTCCTCTGCTGTAATAGCCTCTTCTCCCTTGAAGGGGAGGGGAGGGGAGGTTATCAAATGCCTTTTTGACTGACTTACTCAGGGAAGAAGGAAGGGAGGAAGGAATAGCCCAGGGAAAGAAGGAAGGAAAGGATGATGGTAAAACATTTATCACAAATTTTCATGAAGGGCTACATGATCCCAAGTAGTATGGTGCTTGGCAAAGCACAGGTGCTCAATACTGTTGATTGTCCCTCCCTTTTTCATCTTTCATTTACCTATTCTCTAAGTAGCCTGAATTTTCTTTTATTCTAGGTCCTGTGGATTGGGAATGTTAGTCTTAGCAGTGTGTTTATTAGGACAGAATCCTCTCAACAAAGCAAGCTGATGGTCTGTGGAGTTGATCATAGTCACTGAATCTGTAGCTGGATCTGCTGATGCTGGTGGTGCTTATGGAATACCTGGCTTGTGGAAGAAAATGTACCTTACACTCAATTTTGCTCTTGTGAGAAGGCACTCCATGACCAGTGCCAGAGACACTGGGTTTTAGCAGATAAAGCATTTACCTATAGGGTCACCAAAGGAGGAGATGGGAGGGAATCTTAAATCCATCTGTCTGAGGAGTTTGGGGCTACAGTCTTTAGGGTTTTGGAGTGGGCCCAAGTGTGGAGAGTGTTCACTGGTCGAAGAGCACAGGGTGAAGTCATGGGACAGGGAGATGAAGAAGCTGTGTTCTTATGCTCATCCCGTTCTTCTGTGAGGGTCTCCAAACTGGTCGCTGAAATTTGGATCTGAGAACATCTTAAGCAATCCTTAAACAAAAGCCTTATGATTCCGTCAGAGATCATCTCTATAGGAACAACAGGGATGCAAATCCATTTTTAAACAGTCTTATTGAAGTAGGATATTTCCCTGACCGCTTTGCAGGACTCGCAATAGGGGTGCCCCATTTACTCAGCCCACAGCTCTCAACTCCTTGCGGGAGGGAGCGCATGAGCAAATAAGGCAGGAACTGGAGTACACAACCACTGGAATCAGCTGGCCACTTCGTCACCAGCAGGAGTGAACTCCACTCATTCGGACTCACTGCTCTCCACCCCTTATGGGAGGGAGCACACAGGTGAGCAGGTGCAGGAGCCAGGTGAGCACTTTTGAGCACCAGCAGGAGCAAACTCCATGCATGCCCCCAAGGCAGTATCTGGTGGGGTTCCTGCAACCCCTGAAGCCCCAGAGGGAGTGTTACAGTGGTCTTTTAGCTCTGCCATTTGCAGACAGCTTAAGTGTTAGCAGCTCTGCAGAGCCTCCCTCTGCCTTTTCATGTGAGGGAGCTGTCTTCCACCAGTGAGGGCAAAGGGCCAGTGTGACAGCCTTTTGCATCTGCACTTGTGGCTCCTAGGCTCTTGTTTGGCATCCAGGAGAAATGAGTTTGGACGAAGGAATTGAAAGATGGTAAAAACAGGATTTTATCGCTGATAAAAGTGGCCCTCAGCAGGAAGGGGAGCTGAAAAGGGGATGGGGTGGGAAGGTAATCTTCCCCTGAAGTCCGGCTGTCTCTGGCCAGATTCTTCTCTGAAGTTATGCTGTCAAGCTGTCTCTCTGAAGTCAAGCCACTTCTCTCAGACGTTGAGCCATAGTCTCTGATGTCCAGCTGCTTCTCCTTTTTGCCGGCTGAGTCTGGGGTTTTTATAAGCACAGGATAGGGGGCAGGGCGGGCCATGGGTGGTTTTGGAAAAGGCAACATTTGAGCGGGAGAACAGGGATGTAAGTTCTCACTTTGGGCTGCAGTCTCAGGCTTTTTGGCTTGAGGATGGGACTTTGCCAGGGACCTGCCCCTGTCTGCCTAGAATTTCTCTGCCTCCTGTCTCCATCATTATAATCTTAATGTCAGAAATCCTATCTTTAGGAACAATGGGGATGCAAATGGTCAGGATCTAGTGACTTTTGGCAACAAGGAAGTGTGCTGAATTGTGGCCTGATTAGTTCTTTTTTTTTTTTTTTTTAAGACAGAGTCTCATTCTGTTGCCCAGGTAGGCTGGAGTGTAGTGGCACAATACTGGCTCAATGCAACCTCTGCCTCCTAGGTTCAAGTGATTCTCATGCCTCTGCCTCCTGAATAGCAAGGATTACAGACACATGCCACCAAGCCTGGCTAATTTTTGTATTTTTAGTAGAGACCAGGTTTTACCGTGTTGGCCAGGCTGGTCTCGAACTCCTGAACTCAAGCGATCCACCCACCTTGGCCTCCCAAAGTGCTGGGATTAGACGTGTGAGCTACCGTGCCTGTCTGATTAGTTCTTTTTTTTTTTGTAGATACGGAGTCTTGCTCTGTCGCCCCAGGCTGGAGTGCAGTGGCACGATCTCGGCTCACTGCAACCTCTGCCTCCCAGGTTCAAGCATTTCTCCTGCCTCAGCCTCCCGAGTAGCTGGGACTACAGGCACATGCTGCCATGCCCAGCTAATTTCTTTTGTATTTTAGCAGAGATGGGGTTTCACCGTGTTGCCTAGGCTGGTCTCGAACTCCTGAGCTCAGGCACTCTGCCGGCCTTGGCCTCCCAAAGTGCTAGGATTACAGGCGTGAGCCACCGCGCCCGGCTGATTCATTCTTAATTATAACTATATTTCTGTCCAGAACCCAGCATGCCATTCTTGTCAACCCTGTGGGGATGGTTTCAATTTGGTCATTTCGGGCAAAAAATGTGATTATCCCCACCACCCTGAGTCTGGAGATTAAGGTTTGCTAAGCAATTCTTAGAAGGCCATTCCTGGCAGCACTTAAACCCTGAGGAAGCAAAAAGAAACCTGAAACAAAATCCAGATGCCCTTCAGGAATATGTGCTTTGTTATGGAGGGCAGTGCTGCCAAAGAGAAATGACTTCTCAGATTTTCCATATATTGTCCCAAATAATCTTCTCAGAAAAATAAACTTGGTGCCACGTAGATTAATGTGCTGCAGAGTAAGAATGTTCAGGCAGCCCTGGAAATGGTGCTCCCCTGAGGTGGGAAGGACTGGCAAGCCCACTTTCCCTTGTTCTCCCAAACTCTCTACCAAAAGCCTGCCTGAGAGGGGGTGGGCAGAGGGGCCTGGGCAGCACAGTCAATGTCCAAGCTCATTTTGGGTCCCTGTTTGTGTGGCACCTCTGGACTGTCAGGTAGGGCCACCTGGGTTCAGGTATTTCTGAATCAGCATTCCTATAGAAGTTATCTAATTAGACACATTAGAAATCAACAGAAGGAGGGCTGGGTGCAGTGGCTTGTGCCCATAGTCCCATCCCTTTGGGAGGCCAAAGCCAGAGAATCACTTGAGGCCAGGAGTTCAAGACCAGCCTGGGCAACATAGCGAGACTCCATCTCTACAAAACACTTTTTAAAATTAGCCAGTTGTGGTAATGTGCACCTGTAGCCACAGCCACTCCAGAGGCTAAGGTGAGAGGATCGCTTGAGCCCAAGAGTTTGAGGCTGCAGTGAGCTATGATTGCACCACTGTATGCCAGCCTGGGCAACAGAGTGAGACAGCATCTCTAAACAAAAATAAAAAAGAAATCAACAGAAGACACTAGAGGGAGGGGTAGGGATGAGAGGATGGATAGGAGAGGGAGTAGGGAGGAAACTAACACTGATGGAATATCTGCTATGATCAGACACCCTATGTAACGATAATGATAATAGTAATAATAGTATCTTACATTATTGAGCCTTTACAGTGTTCCAGGCTCTGTTCTAGGTACTTTATGTTTATTATCTCATTTGCTCCTTCCAGCAACCTTGTGATGTGGGCAATATTATTTAGCTCCACTTATAGGAACCAAGACATTCGGTAACTTGCCCCAATAGACATAGCTTGAAAGGGGTGGGGGCAGGATATAAATGGACATTATGACTTCATTTACTACCCACAACAACCCTATGAAATAGATTTTTATCATCTCCATTACGCAGGTGAGGAAACTAAGGCCCTCAGACCAGCAACATCGCCATCATGTGGGAGCTTGTGAGAAAAGCAGAATCTTGGGCTGCACTTCAGACTTTCTGAGTCAGAATCTGTACATCCACCACTGGGCTAGGCCAGTGGGCTCCAGCGATTCTCCAACTGGAGTATGCATAAGAGTCCCTCAGAGACTATGTTAAAACCCAGATTTCTGGGTCCCAGCCTTAGAGATTCTGAATCAGTGGTTTTTAGCTAAAGTATTTTGGCCCTCTGTAGAATTGCTTTTACCAAAAGCAACTGATACCAAGTACTTTTTGGTATCGTATCATCTGCTGATGTTAACTGATGATACCAAGTACTTTTTGGTATCATATCATCTGCTGATGTTAACTGATGCTACAAGCAAAATTTTCATACCAGATTCGAGCAAGTGTCAAAGTTTTATTTGGCCCGGAGTTTACAAACTTTTTTGGAAAGGCCCAGATAGCAAATATTTTAGGTTTTTCAGACCATTTAGTCTGTGTCACAACTATTCCATTCTGCTACAAAAGCAGCCATAGATGATATGAAAACGACTGAGTGTGGCCGTTTTCCAATAAAACTCAATTAACTCCCCCTCATTTAACTCCTAAAATGAGTGAACCGTTGGTGGCAGCAATGAGACCTAGTTCAGAGTGTATTTGAGGAACAGGATTTAAATACTTGAAGAGAAAAGGATTCTCTAAAATAGCTAAGTTAGGTACAATATGCCTGGTTAACTTTCTTTAGGGCAATAAAACCATATACTTTTGGGTTAACTTTTTAAAAAAGATTTTATTTTTTTAGAGCAGTTTTAGGTTCACAGCAAAATGGGGTGGAAAATAGAGATTTCCCATATGGCCCCTGCCACACACATGCACAGCCTCCCCAACTATTAACATCCCCCACCAGAGTGGTGCATTTGTTACAGTTGATGAACCTACACTGACATGTCATCATCACCCAAAGTCCACAGTTTACATTGGAATTCACTCTTGGTGTTGTACATTCTCTGGGTTTGGGCAAATGTGTAGGGACATGTGTCCACCATTGTAGTATATCATACAGAGTAGTTTCACTGCCTTAAAAATCCTCCGTGCTTTGCTTTATTCATCCCTGCACCCTAACTCCTGGCAACACTAGTCTTCTTTTTTACTGTCTCCATAGTTTTGCCTTTTCTAGAATGTCATATAGTTGGAATCATTGTATGTAGTTGTGGAGGCTAACGCAACTCCATCTTGGATGCCAATCCGCCCTGTTGACTTCTTGATTAACCTCAATTTAGGGAAGGCTGCTATCTTCCATTTTATCTACTGTTCCTTGTGTAAGAGCTTGTACTTACTGTAAATCCTGCCCTTAGGTCAAAACTCCCTTGACCATAAATTCTGCTCTAGGCAGATTCACATAGCATCTTGCCTTTCCCTATAATTGTCCTACACATTCCTTCCCTATGACATGGAAGCCCTGGGTCTGTGGGGGTCATAGTGTGGGAATCCAACACCTTGTCTGGCAGCTGCCCAGGACATTGTGGCTTCTCTTCCTAAGTCCCTATTAAATGTTTTTGTTTGTTTGTTTGTTTGTTTTTTCCTGAGAAACCAAATGTGTCAGCCTCTTTCTTGGCCTCTTAGCTTCCGCAGACTTTAGGGGTAGATTTCCATAGACCTGCCCATTGCAGAACAGTAGTCTTTTCAGACTGGCTTCTCTCTTAGCAATATGCATTATTTAAGTTTCCTCCATATCTTTTCGGGCTTGATAGCTCATTTATTTTTAGTGCCAAATAATATTCCATTGCTTGGTTGTAGCATAGTTATTTATCTATTCACTTACCGAACAACATCTTGGTTGCTTCCAAGTTTGGACAATGATAAAATTAAAAAAAAAAAAAAAAGAAGCTTCTGCAAACACCCATGTGCAGGTTTTTCTGTGGACATATTTTCAACTCCTTTGGGTAAATACCAAGGAGTATGTTTGTTAGATCATATGGTAAGAGTATGTTTAGTTTTGTAAGAAACTGCCAAACTATCTTCCAAAGTAACTGTACCTTTTTTTCCTTTCTAACAGAAATGAATGTATAAACCAAAAATAAAATTCTAAGCCCCCCAACCATCTGATTGGACCCCTCCTCTCGACCAAGGGCATTCCAAAGTTAACCTGAAAAACTAGTTCAGGTCAACTTTCAGGCCATGATGGGAAGGAGGAGCTGGACCTGCCTCATTATGCCCTCCTCCATTTTGGAATTACTGATAGAATAGAGTCTTTAAGTCTGATAAGAAACCTTTACAATCTATTCTCTCTGAAGCCTGCTACCTGGAGGCTTCGCCTGCATGATAAAACTTTGGTCTCTACAACTGCCTATCTTAACCCAGACATTCCTTTCTATTGATTCCAGGTCTTTAGATAATAACTCTTTCAAACAATTGCCAGTCAGAAAACCTGTGAATCCAACTATGACCTGGAAGTCCCCACTTCCGGTTTTCCTGCCTTTCCAGACCTAACCAGTATACATCTTACATGTATTAATTGATGTCTTATATCTCCCTAAATTGTATAAAACCAACTTGTACCCTGACCACCTTGGACACATGTTCTCAGGATCTCCTGAGGGCTGTGTCACGGGTCATTGGTCTCTCATATTTAGCTCAAAGTAAATCTCTTCAAAGATTTTTTTAGAATTTGACTCTTTTCATTGACAAATGAGAGCTCTGGTTGCTCCACTTCCTCACCTGCATTTGTTATTGTCAGTGTTCTGGAATTTGGCCATTGTAATAGGTATATAGTGGTATCTTGTTTGGGGTTAATTTACTTATTTAAAAAGGCTATAAAATCCTAACACTTTTTCAGTTTCAGCAAGGTAATCTCTTTTTAGAGGGCTATGCTTCTATGAATTGTGTGCTATTAATTTAAAAAATGTGACAACAAACTTGCATTCCCCCCGAATATCAAATGAGAGTTCCCTTTAACAATGTCCTGCTTTTATTCAAGCAGTCATGTTATTTTCTAATACTAGAAAATGTGACTGGGCACAATGGCTCACGCCTGTAATCCCACCACTTTGGGAAGCCAAGGCAGGTGGATCACGAAGTCAGGAGTTTGAGACCAGCCTGGCTAACATGGCAAAACCCTATCTCTACTAAATACTAAAATTAGCCGGTGTGGTGGTATCATACACTTGTAATCACAGCTACTTGGGAGACTGAGGCAGGAGAATTGCTTGAACCTAGGAAGTGGAGGTTGCAGTGAGCCGAGATTGTGTCACTGCACTCTAGCCTGGGTGACAGAGCAAGACTCTATCTCAAAAAAAAAAAAAAATGCATAGCAAAAAAATTTAAGTAGTCACTATTTAATCATTTTCCAAATGTGGGACAATTTTTCTCATTGGCTTTATAAGAAAAAGCTCTAGGACATTCATTACTATGCTTGCCTTAAAGATTGTTGTTGAGGACATAGTTTTCTAGCTTTTAAGATGTCATCTTGGAATACTTGAAGGATCGATTCTCCTGTCTCCCATGAATCACGTAAACTTCTTAACCATACACCAGGATATGAATTTTATGTCCTCATTTTCCTCCTGGTATAATCTTATTTTGCCTATCCTAATTTTTTGTTAGTTTCTACTTTCCCCATTTACTTCATGTGTGTTTTATTTTAGATGCTTTTATAAATTGCTTTATATGCTTTTTGGAGCACAAATTTATTTTAATAAAAAGAATGTTCAGATTTGAGGACTCTTTAGTTCAAAGTGCCTTGAGGAAGAAGAGGGAGTTAGTATTTGCATACTTATGCAATAATGCACATATGTCTTATCAACAGCTAAAATGTAATTTATTCACATTTACATAGTCACTCATATGACAAAAGCTGAATGTTGTTAGTTTACATGTGCATCATATACATTTCACCTGAGTGACCTAAATAATCTGGACAGTTGAAACTGCCTTTGCAAAGATTATGACAGTCAGAAAAATCTAGCATGGCTGACCCCGTCTTGCTTCTAGGTTCACAGGCTGGCTGTCCTCACTCATTCCTGGTCATAGGCCAAGCTAACCATGGGAAGAATTTAGTTTATAGTTTAACTTGAAAGCAGTAGTCTCTCCCTAAAATGACCCTCTCCTTGTCCAGGAACTAAAACTGCCTTTGTAAGTCTAATGAAAGGCCACGAGGTTAGGATTATGGGACGGCCTGAATTCTGCTAAATATGGGCATAGTTTTCATACTCTCTTACTGCCCAGGAGTCATTGCTCCTATAGATAACATCACTATTGTAGAATCTAAGATTGATCTTTTGATGTATTTTTCAGACTTTTGCATTCTGGTAACCAACTGATCCTACCCGGACCCATGATGCATAACTCAGCTGGTCCTGTGGCGCACACCCAGAGGCCGACTCAATGCATGAAGACTGTTTTCCACACCCCTATGATTTCATCCCCAACCAAGCAGCAGCATCCATTCCCTAGCCCCCTGCCCACCAAATTATCCATAAAAACTCTGGCTTCTGAGTTCTCAGCAAAACTGATTTTAGTAATAACTCCAGTTCTTCCACTTGGCTGGCCTTAGTTAATTAAACTTATTCTTTACTATAGTACCGTGTTCCCAGTGAATTGGTTTTGTCTGTGTAGCAGGCAGGACAACCCATCAGGCAATCACACAGTTACTCTGCAGTGCTTCTTTTTATTTTGCTTTTCAAACAAATTTCAAATATTATTAGATTGAAATAAACTATACAAATAGCTTTTCCTCACAAAAATGCAATATTTTGTGTATTATTCCTAGGTAAACTACAAAACTTTTATTTTTGGAAGTTTTTTTTTGCAAAAATAAATCAAGATGCTTATGCATATAAATCAAGATGAGGCAATGAAAAAAAACCAAAGAATAACCAAAGAGAGACAAATCAGTTGTCAGTGTCTGTGAACTCATGTTCTGTCTTGCTTGTAAAACAGAGGGTTCATGTGTGGTCCGCTAAAAAGCTGATGGCCCAGTTAGGGTAGAGATACAACAAAGGGGTGCAAGCCCCAGCAACACATGTGGGGCAACAGTGAGGCATCCCTCCATTCAAACTGTAACTGTAACTCCTTCCTTTCTTCCTTCCTCCCTCCCTCCCCCTTCCCCCTCCATCCCTCCACACTTCCCCCTTCCCTTTCGCCTCCCCTCCCCTCCCCTCCACTCCCCTCCCCTCCTTCCTTTCTCTTTCTTTATTTTTTTTTTAAGAGATGGGGTCCCACTATATTGACCAGGCTGGTCTGTAACTCCGGGCCTCAAGGGATCTTCCCAACTCCACCTCTCAAAGTGCTGGATTACAGCCTGAGCCACTGGACCTGGCTACTGTCCATTCTTTGATGAAGACAAAGTTTACCCTGAAATCCTGTTCAGGTGAGCACACAGTTTCTATCACTTTCTGGTAACTTCCTAAACTATTCCTTATGGAATAGTTTTAATAGTGCACTTAAAACACAATGTATTTGAGTTGGAAGCTTCGTTCTTTTGTATAAATTTTTTTCTCCCTCCCTCACTTCCTCAACATTTATTTCTTCCAAAAGCTGATAACTCAAATCCTGGTCATTAGATTGGTAGATTATAAATGTAATTCCCAAAATGACTTTAATCCCTTCATCACGCCACTGGCGGGCATCGCACAGAAATGAAACTTGACACTTTGAATACCATCTTCTTGGAGACAGAGAAGTTTTCAAAGCATGCAAGTTCAGGCTGTGATTATTCAACATGTAGGACATAGATGGCTAATGGATTTGGTGGGAGGCCTGTAGCCAAATTTACCTTTAGTGACTAAGTGGCCTAATGCAAATCATAGTTTTACTTCCTAATAGTGAAAAACAAAGCATCTTAAAATATTATCTCAGGTATTGTCAGTAATTTCCGAGTTACTTTTGGAGGCTCTGACTCATTTGTATAGAGTTTGCTTTATGTGTCTATCATTAAATGCAAACCATGTTTTGTATTAAGAGTTATGTTAACCAAGTGACATGACCTGACCTCTGGTCAGTGTTTTTTTGGGCATATTTTGTGATGCTTACATCCATCTGTGCTCACTCTCAGTCTCCATCCTGGGAACACAGGACCTGAAATGATATGTAAACATTAAGAAAGAGACATAGATGTCAGGCAGATAGCGAGCATCATAAATTGTGAACAGATAGAAGTTCTTTGCCTTTCCGTGTGTATTTCCACTTGATCTTCCAGCAATGGAGCTCCATAGAAGTGCGTCTAGATTGGTGAGTCACTCTGTACATGTCAGCAGTGTGTTACTCTGACATGTTGAGCTGGAGATGTCCTGTGTCTTAGTATAAGTACTTTGAGGTGCTGATCTGAGAAAATCTAAGTTTCTGAATAATGTGCTCTACCATTGGGACACTGTTTCTAATAATGTCAAAGGCTAGTTGAGATTCTAGGTTATCCTGGTAATCCCTGAAAAACTTCCCAGAAGGTTTCATTTGAACATCATGTTTAGTGGCCACATTAGTGGCTTCCTCAAACCAAAAAGTATAATAAAATTCAATATTTTTTACCACTTCATTTGTGAATGTGATAACTGTAGTTAAGCTGCTGCCTGTCAAGAAGATGCCAGAAGTTTGCCACTGGAATTTTCCCCCCAAAGGCTCTTGTTAAGATAGGGCATTTTTTGAGGCGGGTGGATCATGAGGTCAAGAGATTGAGACCATCCTAGCCAACATGGTGAAACCCAATCTCTACTAAAAATACAAAAATTAGCCAGGCTTGGTGGCAGGTGCCTGTAGTCCCAGCTACTCAGGAGGCTGAAGCAGGAGAATTGCTTGAACCCAGGAGGCAGAGGTTGCAGTGAGCCGAGATCGTGCCAATGCACTCTAGCCTGGTGACAGAGCGAGACTCCATCTCAAAAAAATAAATAAATAAAATAAAAATAGGGCATTTTTAAGAACAAATGAAACCAATGAAATAGAAATCTATTGATGCACAAAAGAGCACAAATGCTCAACAGCTATAAAGCTATTCCATCTAGCGTTTGTGCCATTCCTTATACCGTCCATACAAAAAACAAATGCAAGAGCTCCACTTAAATTTCAAAAGCATCATGCCTATCAGTGGAGGAAGGCCCATTTCCTTCAGTTATTACATCTTTCTTGACTGCTCTAAAGAAAGGGCAGATTTAACACTGTGGAATCCTAAAAGCAGTTGCAATGACCGTTAAGAAAAAGAACAGTTTTCTTCAGATGCTTCCAATGCGACAGATGTGCTTACGACAAATCCTGACTTTCCAAGAACAGCAGAGTGCGTAGATACCTTGGGACTATTTCTCTAAAAGCCCAGTAGCCTGGACATTCATTTTGGAAGGAAACCTGGTGGACACAAATATACCTGACCACACCACTACTCCCTGATCAGCCCCCACCATGTGTGTACGGAAGACACCACACATTGTGGGCAGAAAGACTGATTCTTAAAAATGAACAAGTCAATAGCCAAGATATGGAATCAACCTAGGTGCCCATCAATGGATGAGTGTATAGGAAAATGTGGTTTATACATACATACATACATATATGCATACATTGGAATACTATTCAGCCTTAAAACAGAAGGAAATCCTGCCATTTGCAACAACACAGATGAACTTGAAGGACATTATGTTATGGGAAATAAGCCAGGCACAGAAAGGCAAATACCACATAATCTCACTCATATGTGGAATCTAAAAAAATTGAACTCATAAAAAGCAGAGAGTAAAACAGTTACCAGGAAACGGAAGCAGGGAGAGATTGGGGAGGTGTTGGTCAAAGGATTCAAAATTTCAGTTAGTCAGAGGGAATAAATTCAAGCAATCATGGCTGAGTGTGGTGCCACATGCCTGTAATCCCAGCATTTTGTGAGGTCGAGACAGGAGGATTGCTTGGGGCCAGAATGGGCAACAAAGTGATACGCTATCTCTACAAAAAAAATTTAAAAATTAGTCAGGTATGGTGGCGCACACCTGTAGTCACAGTTACTCAGGAGGCTGAGGCAGCAGGATCACTTGAGCCCCTGAAGTCGAGGCTGCATTGAGCCATGATCATGCCACTGCACTCCATCCTGGGCGACAGAACAAGACCCTGTGTCAAACAAGAAAAGAAAAGAAAGCAAATCTATTGTACATCATGGTGACTATGGTTAACAAAAATAAATTGTATATCTAAAAATTGCGAAGACAGTAGATTTTAAATATTCTTACCAAAAAAGTATGTGAGGTATCAGATATGCTAATTAGCTTGATTTAGCCATTCCACAATGTATACAACATATATCTATCAAAACATCATGTTGCATACAATAAACATATACAATTTTTATTTGTCAGTTTAAATAATTTCTTTAAAAAGTGCTGAGCATAGTTTGGTGTTGCCGTCGGGGGCTCAGGATCAGTGTGATGGACCTCACCATTGGATGTCCCACTTTTCCTCATTCTTTCCTGTCAGTCTAGTTACCCCATCTCCCAACATCACTGTTCTGTTGCTAATAGCCCTTCCTCTCTTGTGCCATCCTATTGAATGCTTTTAACATGCTATTGGTGGGCACAGCAGATGACCCAACTTGTTAGCAACTGTATTTTAAATGAAAATCAACCTCATGGACTTGAAAGCTTTATAAAAAGCTATTTTAGGTGCAACAAGTCTCTTTTGTTTAATTCTAGTACTTTTTTTTTTTTTTTTTTTTTGAGGCAGGGTCTTGCTCTCTTACCCAGGCTGGAGTGCAGTGGTACAATCACAGCTCACTGCAGCCTTGACCTCCTGGGCTCAAGTGATCCTCCCACCTCAGCCTCCCGAGTAGCTGGGACTACAGACATGCACCGCCACACCTGGATGTTTTTGTAGTTTTTGTAGAGATGAGATTTCGTCATGTTGCCTAGGCTGGTCTTGAACTCCTGGGCTTAAGCGATCCTCCTGTTTTGGCTTCCCAAAGTGTTGGGATTACAGGTGAGAGCTACTGTACCTGGCCTAATTCTAGCAAATTTCTAAAATATACCCAAACCTACAAGGCTGAGGGAAGTGAGGGATTCACAGAATAATTTATGTAGAAGAGATGACAAATAATTTGGTTCTAACCTTCTTACTTTACATGTGAGCAAACTGAGCTCAGAAAGATTTAATGACTCCTCAGATGGAGAGTTATTGTTAATAAACTATGTTCAGCAGAGTTTGCATGGTTTGAGCCAACAATCACTATAACATCTTTTATTTTATTATTATTATTTTTTGAGACAGGGTCTCACTCTGTCACCCAGGCTAGAGTGCAGTGGTGCAAGCATAACTCACTGCAGCCTTGAACTCCTGGGCTCAAGTGATTCTCCTGCCTCAGCCTCTCTAGCAGCTTGGGACTACAGGTGTGCACTCCCACACCTGGCTAACTTTTTAGTTTTTTTTGTAGAGACAGGGTCTTGCTATGTTGCCCAGGCTGGTCTTGAACTCCTGGCTTCAAATGGTCCTCCTGCCTTGGCCTCCC
This sequence comes from Homo sapiens, assembly GCF_000001405.40. Classification (NCBI taxonomy): domain Eukaryota; kingdom Metazoa; phylum Chordata; class Mammalia; order Primates; family Hominidae; genus Homo; species Homo sapiens. Next base: position 49,230,788 of record NC_000013.11, on the reverse strand, counting down.
AAATACTATAAAATCTTAACTACATCCATGGAAGGAATTTCTGGTTACTAAAAGTAATACATTTAATGCTTGGTACAGTTTCTCTAAATTCCCCTGCTCTTTATTAAAACTTATTTAATCACATCTATACTTATTTACATACTTTTTTTCCCCCATCCTGACAAGTCACAGAATCTTGAGGTTAAGGGTCCTGGTCCTATTATTATTATTATTATTTTGAGACAGTCTCACTCTGTTGCCCAGGCTGGAGTGCAATGGCACAATCCCGGCTCACTGCAACCTCTACCTCCTGTGTTCAAGTGATTCTCATGCCTCAGCCTCCCGAGTAGCTGAGATTACAGGGATGTGCCACCACGTCCAGCTAGTTGGTTTTTTTTTTTTTTTTGTATTTTTAGTAGAGACAGGGTTTTACCATGTTGGCCAGGCTGTTCTCAAACTCCTGACCTCAAGTGATCCACCCACCTCTGCCTCCCAAAGTGCTGGGATTACAGGCCTATTCATTTTTATATATAGCCCAACAACTTAAACATAAAATATACTTTGTATTTTTTCCTTGTCGAAGGAAATCAAAATGTATATGGAAATTAGTAAAGGAACATTTAAAGAATCCAACTTAGGAACTGCTACTGGGAAATGTGTTTATGAAATGCATTTTTATTTTTATTTATTTTTAGAGGTGAGGTCTTGCTCTGTTGCCTAGGCTGGAGTGCGGTGGCTCGATCATAGCTCACTGCAGGTTTCAACCCCTGGGCTTAAGAGAGTAGTCCCCACCTCAGCCTCTTGCGTAGCTCGGACTATAAGGCTCAATCCATTGCACCTGGCCATTTTCATCTTTATTTAAGAAAGCCAGATGCTTGCATTAGGCACAAGAATCCAGTTTTTAAAGATGCATGCTGGAGGATAACTCAGAATCATATGAATGGGGTTATTATAAATACAAAAAATAACTGAAGACTTTCAGTGAAAGATAGCATCCTTTGGGAGTAAAATGCCAATGGTGTCCCTTAAAAAGCTAAGTAATGAAGTGAATATGCCTCTTATGAGTTGTTGGATTTTTAGAAAATAAATGTTCAGTACTTTTGTTTCATGTTTTTAAAAACAAACAAAAAGACCCAACAAGTGATAGTTAATAGGATATGAACTGAGGACAAAAATGCTAGCTCACATTTACTGAGAATTACTGCATTCCAGATGGCATACCAAGTACCTTGTATTATTATATGTTATACGTACATTGCAATAGTTATATAACTAAACACTCCATTATAATGTATTATAATACTGCAATGAACTTAGTTTTTAAGAAATCGATATTTTTCCCTGTCCAAAATGTTGCTATCCTCCATTTACATTTAAGTAGTATTTATCAAATCTATTACTACCCGGCACAATGCTAGTTGCTTTACACAGATTTAAATATTACTTCATTATCCTTTATGGTCTCAGTCATCACACAGAGTTACATTTTTTTTAGAAGAAGAACCACCCAGCTTGGAGCAGTGGCTCATGCCTAGAATCCCAGCACTTTGGGAGGCTGAGGCAGGCGGATTACTTGAGCCCAGGAGTTCAAGACCAGCTTGGGCAACATGGTGAGACTCAGTCTCTACAAAAAATTCAAAAATTAGCTGGGTGTGGTGGTGTGTGCCTATAGTCCAAGCTACTTGGGAGGCTGAGGTGGGAGGATTGCATGAGCCTGGGAGGTGGAGGCTGCAAGTGAGCTCTGATCACGCCACTGCTCTCCAGCCTGGGAGACAGAGTGAGACCCTGTCTCAAAAAAGAAGAAAAGAACCACCCCTCATTGTAAATTAATTATTCATTTAACAAAATTTTATTTCATTCAACCCCTTTTGCAGAAAGAGAAAATTAAGCCTTAAAAAAATGCCTAAGTGTACATAAACACCTAGGAACAGGTTAGATACAAACGAAGCTTCTTCAGTTTGACAGATTGTCATGACACATTATATTCCAGGAAGTTCTGAATCAGACACATTCTTCAGTTTTGTGATTTAAAAAAATCAAAATAATTACTGACTGTGCAGTGCAGATGCCTAACACAAGGGCGGTAGGTGCTTTCCTAACTGGGGTGCTGGGATACAAGCCACAGCAGGAGAGGCTGGCTCTTGGGTGGGGGTACAAGTCAGTACAGTACAGGACTAGCGGCAAAGTTGCTTAATCAGCTGCTGAGCTCCCTGCACAAAGAGGGCCCCAAGGCTGGGACCATCTAACCCACTGTTGCTCAGTGGCCATTTCCTTTCAACTTACCATCTTCCGGCTCCTGCCCCAGCACTCTCTTGAAAGGCACTTTCTAGATTCCTTCCTTTTGCCAGACTCTGTGGTCTTTCCATTGCCAGTATCCTAGGGTTACCAGATTTAAAAATAAAAATAGAGTGCCCATTTAAATGTGGATTTCAGATAAATAATAAATGATTTTAAAATGTAAGTAATAGGTATGCTATATTTTTAAAGTGCGGTAGCGTGATCAGAGCTCACTGCAGTCTCAAACTCCTGAGCTCAAGCTATCCTCCCACCTCAGCCTTTCAAGTAACTAGGACAACAGGGGCACGCCACCATGCCCAGCTAATGAAGAAATGCATTTTTTTGTGGAAATGAGATCTTGCTATATTGCCAGGCTGGTGTTGAATTATTGGTCTCAAGTAACCCTCCTGCCTCGGCCTCCAAAAGTGCTGGGACTCCCGGTGTTTGCCACCACGCCTGGCCCTTAGTGTGTCATGCTAATAATATTTAAACTTATACATAAAATATATGTTGTTTATCAGAAATTCAAATTTAGTTTCAGGCTCTGAATTTCGTCTGGCAACCCTACTTCATTCTCTTTGTGTTCCCTGTGGTGCGTGACCCCTTGACCTCCGACCCTCTGTGAAACGCTCTTCCTTTGGGTTGTATCACATGCATCACATGCTTTTTCTTTTCTGCTCTTCTGCCTGCTTTGGTGACTTCCAGCCAGCGTGGGGATCATTAGAGTGCATCCCTGCACCTCTGCTTTGATCTTGGTAAGCTTTCTCCTAGTCGGGGCCATCTATTTCTATCACTTAAATCAGTGGTTCTCAAAGTGTGATCCTGGAGTTGCAGCAGCAGCACCACCTGCAAACTACACAGAAATGCAAATTCTCAGACTTACAGAATCAGAACTTCTGGAGTGGGCCCAGAAATCCGTGTTTTAAGAAGCCCTCTAGTGTTTCTGATGCAAGCAAAAGTTTTTGAGGCACTGGATAAGATGATCATTTCCATGCTGTTGCCTCCCAAATCTTTATGGTGAGCCCTGACTTCATACCCAAACTTCTCTCTAGAATTTCAAGGTGGAGTATTTTGGGGAATGTTAATATATGAGAGGAAAAAAAAAGCTGTATGGCCAAAAAGAGTTTATATAGTATTGCAACATTTCTTAAAAGTATTTAAGTGCTGAGGCATGGTGGCTCACGCCTATAATCCCAACATTTTGGGAGGCCAAGGAGGGCAGATTGCTTGAGCTTAGGAGTTTGAGAATAGTCTGAGCAACATGGTGAAACCTTGTCTCTACAAAAAAATTAAAAAATTATCTGGGTGTGGTGGTGTGCACCTGTAGTCCCAGCTACTCAGGAGGCTGAGGTGAGAGGATCATCTGAGTCCGGGAGGCTGAGGCTGCAGTGAGCCGTGATTGTGCCACTGCACTCCAGCATGGGTGACAGAGTGAGACCCTATATCAAAAAAAAAAAAAAAAAAAAAAAGAGTATTTGACCATCAGGACCTATTTGCAGGAGCCTGTGGAAAATGCAACAACAGAACTTTTCCAGCTGGATGGCTTCTTTGGAACCACAAAGTAGTCCCCCTTATCCATAGTTTCGCTTTCTGAGGTTTCAGTTACCTGTGGTCAACCATGGTCCAAAACTATTAAATGGAAAATTTCAGAATTAAACAGTTGTTAGGTTTTCAGTCGAGCGTGCCCTGAGTAGTGTGATGAAATCTTATGCCATCCCGCTGTGTTTCACCTGGGACATAAACCAGCAATACCTGGGAATTCAATAGAAATACAGATTCTTGGGCCCCACCCCAGACCTACTAACTCCAAAACCCTCTGGGGGAAGCCCAGCAATCTGTGTCTTACCACGTCCTCCAGGTGATTCTGATGCAGGCTGAAGTTTGAGAACCACTGACCCAGAGAATTAGTGTGGGGAATAAAAAGCCTTTTAACCCTTAGTACACAGGTGTGCACTATTTAAAAAGTGTGTAGTGTTTTCCTAAGGGGGCCGGTCGAGTCCCCTCCTCTGTAGTGTACACCAGAGACATAGTGTACACCAGGGACAGGTTGAGTGACTTCCACAGAGCATTCCTTTGGAGCCTGTGCCCTGTGCGCTCAGAAGAGGAAACGCTGAATTCAAAGGCTCCTCGTAGAAGACTAGGGGCTCTGTAATAGGGTTTGGAATCCTTAGAAATTGGGCTCATAATTAAATATTGCATCCCATCTATGTTTAAGTAAAGCCACTTTTAAAACACTAAACCTAAGCTGGGCGTGGTGGCTTATGCCTATAATCCCAGTACCCTGGGAGGCTGAGGTGTGAGGATCGATTGAGGCCAGGACTTGGAGACCAGCCTGGGCAACATAATAAAACCCTATCTCTTAAAAAAAATTTTTTTTTAATTAGCTAGGTGTGAAGATGATGTGTGCCTATAGTCCTAGCTACTTGAGAGGCTGAGGTGGGAGGATTGCTTGAGCCCAGCAAGTTGAGGCTAAAGTGAGCTGTGATCAAGCCACTGCACTCCAGCCTGGGTGACAGAGGAAGACCCTGTCTCTAAAACAAAACAAAACACACTAGACCTGTGCAACCACTAAAATTTGCTTCCATATACTGGCAAATGTCATTATGACATGAGTAGAAAGGGTCAGGAGAGGGCGTGTTTGAATTTTCAACACCATTAGCACGTTGCCTGTGTCTCTTTGAGAACCTGGCACAGGGAACTCTTGGATCCCAGTGGATGTTGTGCAATAGCTCTTTGAACATTTCCTTCAGAAGTGGAAATGTCTCACATACAAAAGAGGAGGAACATCCAGACAGATAGTGCAAACCTGATGTTCTGCACTTCCATCTGATCTAAATGGTGAATCCATGTTAGTCTAGATGACACAATACACATTTCAAACAGAGAATGCCATTAGAAAGTTGATTGATTTTTACATCATCACATGGACTAGTTTTTCTAGTGTATTGTATTATACACGTCTGGCACTTAGCAGTTGCTTGGTAAATATTTGCCATGGGAATGAATGAAATACAAACTCTCTTCCAAGGTTGGCAGCTCACCTAACAAAAGTGGTTCTGCCTGCAGAAGGGAGAGGGGGCTCAAAGAGAAGTGGCTGGAATGCCAGCACGGGTCTCTGTTGGGGTGGAGGGAGTGGCTGGCCCATAGCCTCCATGATTACCACCCTGGGTTGGGTGGGTAGGGAGCCCTGGACTGGAAACCAGAGCTCAGTGATTCTCCTGCTCCAGTGATTCGCTGACTTGGCCTCCCTTTTCATAGCCAGTTGTCAGTGTAAGAACAGAGAAAAACTTTAGATCTTAGAACAACTTTTTAAACATTTTCCACCATGACCCACAGTTAGAATGTATTTTATTTTGTGAACCGGGAAAGACACCAACCAAAACATAATTGAAACAAAAGTTTCACAGCACAATAGTTACCTTAGTACATGTGATACACAATGGACTCTATTCTTGTCCACACTGTTCCATTAAAGAAAAATATGACACACTTACTGATTTCACAGTCCACTAGTAGGCTGAGACCACACAAGAATCCTGAAGGAAGGGATGGCCTTCAGGCCCTCCATCTCAGGTACCATCTGGGAAGGGAAGGATAATCCTCCCTATGCCCACACCTGGAAACATGCTTAAGTCCCAGGAAAGTGTCATGTAAATCCTTGTTTTCTAGATTCTGAACGAGAAAGCTCAAAAGAGAGGTCTTTGCTTCTACATTTAGAATATTATACATGAGCCAGGTGTGGTGGCTCATGCCTGTAATCCCAGCACTTTGGGAAGCTGAGGCAGGAGGATTGCTTGAGGCCAGGAGTTTGAGACCAGCCTGGGCAACACAGCAAGACCCCAACTTTACAAAAAACTAAAAAATTAGCCAGGCATGGTGGTGTGTGCCTGTAGTCCTGCCTACTGGGGAGGCTGAGGTGGGAGGATGGTTTGAATCCAGGAATTTAAGGTTACAGTGAGCTATGATTGTGCCACTGCACTCCAGCCTGGGCAACAGGGTGAGATCCTGTCTCTAAAAAAATAAAATAAAATATTATATACATCTTAATAAGGTTCTTTGCTGTGACTTTCCCTAGGGAGGTGGCCACTCCTGACTGCTCCAGAGAGGAGCTCCCATGAGCAGAAGGACTGTGGCAGCTGCTGTACTCAGTGCTACCAAGCAGAGAGTTATGGAGGCTCCAGGCTGACACCTCCACTGTCAGAACCCCTACATCAGTGCTCCCCAAAGTATTTCTCACTCCATGAGATTTTACTAAGTGTTCTTGGGAGGGAAGATGGAGAGTTGGTTCTGTGATAAAATAAGTCAAGGAAATGTTGGTTGAGACAACTTCTCAGAGCCTCTGACATGCTATATTGTGTTATGTGTGTGAAATGTTTAGGGTGTGGTAGGGGGAACACAATGTGGTATTTTCCTGCCATATTTAACCCCAGAACCATTTTTTCCAATAATCCCTGGAAATCTGCAGAACACAGTTTAGGGAATGCTTCCTGAAGTGACTGCAATCTGCTTCTTCCACTAGCTAGGAGAAAAAGCAAACGAGAGACTTCATTCCTGTGCCAATTGTGGACCGGGCTGGGGACTGAGCTAGGGCTTTGGCTAAGAAAATGAGAAAGCAACAGAACTTTGAATGCATGTCGGGCAGACCCTTGTTATTTATGTATTCATCTTTTGTAGTTTTAACTATTCAAAAGAGACTATGGTGGCCTGTGGCGGAAAGTAATTTAGACATTTACCAAAGCCACCCAAACTGTGGGCTGTGAAGCAGAGACATCAAGTCAGTGAATCAACGGAGCTGCCTCTCTAGCCTCCAAGTCTCAATGTGACTTTATGTCTATCTGTCTTTATAACTCTGAAGTTATAGCATTTGTCATTTTTCTGGTATTTGTAGATGTGAAGATTCATGAAGGTCTCAGGACAAATTCCTCATACAAATCAAGATCCTATTGTAATTTAGGTTTGAATTTATCAATCTGAAAGCCCCAAAAAAGGTCCCATGTACAACTGTGAAAGCTGTACCCTGCCCACATCTTGGGGGTGCCATTCATACAGAAGGTGGCATAAGTGAAGCCCTTTGGAGCTGAGTGACAGCAGTAACCCTCTAAAAATATTTGTGTTTTAAACTCTAAAAAACAAAACAAAGTTACAGAGTTGTTGATCAGAATGTCCAGTGAGTTCTCTTTCACTCTTGACTAAATCCATTGGCTGGCGTTTTTCAGTAAGGACAGCATCTTGGCTTGGGATTGGGTGAGCAACTTAAACACTGGATTCAGACTCCAGCTCACCAGCTCCTGTTTGGGCAATCCAAGACTCACTTCCAAAACAGGAATGTTGACAACAGTACTCACCCCACCAAGCTGAGGTGAGATAAAGCATATTAAATAGCTCTTTACAAACGTCATTTGTAGTCACTGGAGAAAGCCATGTCCTGCTGAGCTCTCTACTCTCAAATGTTGATGCCCAAAGTTTGCCACCCCATGGCCAGTGGCACTGGGAAGGTCCCATGGGCAGTGTCAAGGAGAAGTGGGTTGCAACACAATTGCTTAATACTTCTGAAAGAGGCTATTATTTTGCCTAAACTTTATGATTTGCTGTGATCTGGAGAGAGGTGGGACCCCTGAACACTGGAGTCTACCCAGAATTCCTTTTACTTCTAAAAGTTTTTGCAGCCATACATAGGTATTAAATCATTTCTTGGATCAAAACTATCATTATCCTGGTTCCTTGTAGATGTACTGTTACATTTACATCCAAAACATAAAATACACTCATGATCTCAGAGGTGGCAGTTTTGGGGCAGCATCTTTGTGTATCATTTAACTGTAAAATGAACAATCATCTTTCCGAAGAGTAGGAGAATGAGGACTTCATGAAACCATCACACAAGAGCACACTTTGAGATGTGGGATTTCATGATGGTAAAATCGACCTTCCTTAGGAGGTACGTGGGAAGGAAACTAGAAAGGTTGGCGCAGTTACATTTCATACCTTGGTTAAATAAATCATGCGGTCTATTTCTTAACCAACTGGCACAACTGCAACCCTCTTTCCATTCTTCTTAACAGGATCTGTTCCTCATTTGCAGTCTTTATTTCTCTACACACCTGTTTTCCCCAAAGTCTTAGAACTGCAAGAGGAGCCTGGCTTGGCCGTGCTGGTTATCCCATCGTCTTCACGTTAGCGCTTGTCTCGGTGTAGCCCACCGTGTCTCCTCCAGTGTCCCCTGCAACTTCCCCCGCAGTGTCCCTGCTTCTGTGGAAGCCTCTCGGCCTGGACTTCCTTGCGAGCAGCAGTTTAAAGGCCGCCGCTCTGTACTTCTTTGAAATGAGGTTGTAGAGGATTGGGTTGATAGATGCGCTCAGATAGAAAAGTTGCAGAGCGACGATGTTAAAGTACTGAGAGAAGTACATCATCCGCGAATCTTCCGTGTTTATGTAAATGATTCTGCCAACGTGGAAGGGCAACCAGCAAATTATAAATGCCAGAACCACCACCACTGCAACATAAGACACAGCACCGGGATTAACAAAAGCATTGGGAAGCAAATAAACCCCCCACCCCGACAAGGAACCATCTGCAATAACAAGTAACAGCAAAATAAATTAGAGAAAACTTCTACCTAGGCAGATCCTCACCCCAGAAAAAATGACCAGGCTGCAGGCTGCATGGATACTTGCTTTAAAACTGCATAGTAGGCTCCCATATGTGTTATCAAGGCTGGACATAAACCAGAAGGAGCAATTTCTCTGAACAAGCCGCCTTGGCAGGCTTCCTTCCACAAACCCACTTCGGAGACAAGTTTTCTGTTCTCTGTTGAAAAGAATTCTACAACAGGTCTGCACAATCTTTACTTTTTGATACGAGCAAGGTTTACTTTAGCCTTCAGCATCACTTAACATTAAATAAAAAATTTTAGCTTAATGAAATCTCCCTCGTCTTCTCAAGAGCACTGTGAGGACTCCTCATCTGTGGCATCTAACAGGTGGTTGGATTAAGAATTACCAACTCTCCTTTCTGGTCTCAGAGGCTCTGGAAAAGCACTGCTGGTTACTGAATCGGATCCGGGGATCCCACCCTCAAAGCGCCCTGGGGTCCCCCAGAGCTCCTGGGGGACAGGACATGGTTTTCTCGGGGGATGGGAAGTACCGGCGGGTGGAGGCTGGAATCGAAATAGGAAAGGGAGCTGGAAGCGGCGCCCAGAGCTGGGCGAGCAGGGGAAGGGGACCCAGCGTTTGCGCGGTCCCCGGCGGGGCGGACTGCAGGCAGGCGTCTTTGGAACCACGGCGGCTCCACTTACGCAGGACGCGGACGGTCTGCCGGTGGCCTCTCTCCCGCCCCGAGGCGGCCGGGCCTCGCAGCGGCCGCCGGCTGCTCCACAGCTCCCGCCCGATGAGCCCGTAGAGGATGCTGAGGCACAGAAAGGGCAGGAAGAAGTAGGCGGTGGTGACCCACAGCATGACACGCAGCGCGCCCAGCTGCGCGGGGCTCGGCCGGCATTCGCGGCTGAACAGCGCCGCGGCCTCCGCGGTCTCGGGCCCCGACGGCGGGGACGGCGGTGGCGCCCGCGAGAGCCAGAGAGGCGGCGACGAGGCGAGAGGCGAGGAGGCGATCCGCGCGGTGCCATTGAGGCCCGGGACTACGGAGATGCCGGGGTCCTGCTCGACGCCCACCAGGAACAAGAAGGGACCGGCAGAGAGCAGCGCCACGGCCCAGAGCACAGCGATGAGCGCGCGGACGCGGCGCCGGGTGACCAAGACGCGGGCGCGGAGCGGGCGGCAGATGGCCAGGTAGCGCTCGACGCTGAGCGCGGTCATGTGCAGCAGCGTGGCGTAGGTGCAGCCCTCGCCCACGTAGAGGGACAGGCGGCAGAGCAGCGGCCCGAACACCCAGGGCCGCGAGCGCCAGAGGCGGTACAGGTCGAACGGCAGCCCGAGCAGGATGAGTAGGTCGGACACGGCCATGCTGCCCAGGTACAAGTTGGTGGTGGTCCGCATGTCCCGGTAGCGCCCGATCAGCATCACGGTCACCACGTTGCCGCTCACCCCGACGACGAACAGGCACAGGCACACAGCGGTCACCGGCACCAGCGCCCCCAGGGGAAAGGGCGAGCAGCGGCGCTCGTCGCAAGGCGGCAGCGCGGGCCACGGCGGCTCCCGCGCCCCCTCGGGGCCGTCGCTGCCGTTCCAGGGGCTGCCCATGGGTGCTCCGCGCGGCCGCCGCGTCCCGGGTCGGGCTGGGAGCCTGGCGCGTGGTCCCTCTCGGTGAGCGCCTCCTTTCCCAGCCCGCACGCTGCGGGCGCGGCAGGTCAGACGGCGGAGCGCTGCGCTGCGCTGCGGGGCGCGAGAAGCGGCTCTGCGGGGTGGGCTCCGAGGCGCTCCCGAGCTAGCTGCGCGCAGTCTCCGCCCACGGCCGCGGCCCGCCCCGGCCCGGCCCTGCTCCGCTCCCGCGCCCTCTCCCGGGCCCATGCAGTTCCAGGGCGCTTCCCTCTCCACTAACTGGAATACCCGGCGCCCTTAGCGCACGAGCCCTACCCGGTCCGGTGAGCGATGTCTGCACCCTAGACAGCTTTGGTTACAGGACTGAGCACTGTACGGGCGCTTTTGTCAGTCTGGTACTCCGGGCACCTTCGAAGGGATCTGGTCTGGTGGCTGGTAGCTGCCGCTTGACGGTGGAGGAGGGCTCATGGTAATCCTCAGGAAGCCATAATGCTAAATAATAGGAGGGGAGTCTAGACCAGAATCTAGAGCCTCTCCTGTCTAATCCTGGCTCTACAACCGAGTAACTTGTGTAATCTTGGGCTAGTCCTGGTCTCGCCCAGCCCAGTTCTCCTCTTCTGTAAATTCGCGAGTGGTGGAGGGAGCTGACCATATAATTGACCAAATAATTTCTTTTTTTTCTTTTTTTCTTTCTTTCTTTCTTTTTTTCTTCTTGAGACAGGGTCTCACTGTCGTCCAGGCTGGAGTTTAAGTGGCGCGATCACAGCTCACTGCAGCCTCGACCTCCCAGGCTCAAGCAGTCCTCCCACCTCAGCCTCCTGAGTAGCTGGGAGCACAGGAGCGCCCAAGCCCCGGCTAAATTTTGTGTTTTTTGTGTAGTCAGGGTTTCGCCATGTTGGCCAGCCTGGTCTCGAACTCCTGACCCCAGGTGGTCCACCCGCCTCGACCTCCCAAAGTGCTGGGATTACAGGCGTGAGCCACCGCGCCCGGCAGTGACCAGATAATTTCAAGGATCCGTGAGCATGTTTACTTATTATAAAGAACAAGACAAATATTTACGTGGACACTAGAGTACTTTCACATGTGATATGTCATTCTTATGTACAACATGTTTTATAAACTTAAAAAACTAGAGGATTTGTCAACACCGGAAAGAACGAAAATTGGGGAAAGGGGCTAAAACGGATGTTCAGTCTGTTCGGTGTGGTCTTAATAACAATAGCTAACACTTACTGAGAATTTAGATGGATCTGGCCCTGTGCTCTCCATTTAATCCTCATGGCCCGGGGCGCTCCTTTCGCCCATGAACAAAGCGGTCTTGCTTGAGATCAAGCAGGCAGTAAGAGGCGGGACTGGGATATGGGCTCTGGTCGGCCTAATCCCAGAGCTTGCAAGCCTGACGTCCTACTCACTGCCCAGCTCCACCCCCTCAGTGGCTTAAATCCTCAACCTCTTCTCTGGAGTCTCGATTCTGGACCTGACACCTGGCTTTGCCTAGGGCAAGCTTCTCCTGCAGTTCTCTCTCACATGCAGACTGTGAGCTTGGAGGAGGGACACCTGTCGCCTCCCTCATCGCTGCTGTTTCCAGCGGTCCTAAAACCGCCCTCCCTAGCGCTTTCCTCCGTGGTCACCCGTAGTCCCTGAGGGACAGGTGCCTGCGCTCTCTTTGAAGCACTGCATCTGCGGCCGTTCACACCCATGCCGAGTCTTGGAATGCCTTGGCCTCTAGTTTGTTGACCTCCTTTCCACCTATGACCTTGCTCTCCACCCGATCTCAGCCGCGCCTGTCGACGGAACTTACACCTCACGGTTGCCTGCCAGCCTTCCTCCACCTCCACTTCAGTCAGCCCTCTTTCTGACCTCCGCCCGCTCTCTTTTTAGCTCTCTTCCCCTAGCACCTCAGTTCCGGTAATCCTTCAACCCACTGCGACCTCCATCGCTGGCTCCTCCTTCCTTTTCCCGGTCCCTTGCCTGCCCCAGGTCTTCACTTTCTTCCTTTACCCAACGTAAATTCCACGGGCAGTCGCCATCACTCCCACACAGACGCCCTCGACTCCCTTGCTCTTTTCTCCATTGTCAGCCTCGTCCATCCACCAAGAGCACCACAACCCTGGTGAAGCCGAATTCCCTGCCTACTCCTTGCCTGCTCTCACATGGCGTTGTTTCACTTGAAAGCACAACCTCTAGCGGGGTGCTTCGTTCCCCCGGCCTTCCCAACTCTCACCTGACCTCATTCACTCTCCCACCACCAGGCTGCTGGTTTATACCCCCTCCTCTCTCCTTAGACCCAACACCCACCACCCCTTCCTTTGGGAGGTTTCCTTGCACCCTGTTTCTCTGAAGATAACTACCACACCCCCACCTCTGCTCGTGCTCCCCTGGGACAGTTGGTGGTACTTGCAGCTGAAGTCAGCTCTGCCCCTTAAGTGCTCCTTTCTCCTCCTCCAGACATCACTGCGTCAATTCTCTTTCTCTCTCTCTTGTCATCAGTTTTTCTCTCCTGGATCATTTTCATGCAAAACTCCTCAAAATAGTTTCTGTACTCACAGTTTCCACTTTTTCTTCCTCCCTGTCTCCTCCCCCTAGGCAGAGAAAATGTAATTTCTTCATTTATAGTTGATTTGATTTTCCCCTGTGCTCTCAACAAGAGAAATGAATGCTCTAGCCTAGGTAAGGCATGATCCAGGCGGATCAGTTAAGCAGCCCCTCTGGGCAGTGTTCCCTTCTCTCAGACATCATGCCTTTCCTCAAGGTGGCCCAGGTGTACGGGGAGAGGGGTCAGTGGCTTAAAGCTAGAGGGAGAGGTCCTTATGAAGCTTCACGCCGGCTCCTGGGGTGTCAGGGGCTGGCATTTGCTAGACTCCAGTTCCATGTTCCCTTCCTGCCTGGTCACCAGTGGCTCTGCTAGCCTTGGGCGCATGGGCCTGTGGCTAGTGAAGAGGTAGCTTCTTTCTTGGACTCAGGTGATGCTATCAGGAGCACTTGACATCTTCCCCATGGCTCTCATGGGCTGCGAATCCCTGAGTCTCTTTGGTTTTTCCCATTTGCTCCTTGGCCTGATGGACTACCCCAGCCTCTGCTGAAGCCTCCCTTATTCCCTTCCCCACCCACCATGGTGGCGCTGAGGCAGGCTCACTGAGTCTGCAGTCAGCATCCTGGCTGTTGTGAATTACTCACCTCCATTCAGGCACTCCCTCTCTATGGTATTTTCTCCATATTGCTTATTATCAACTGACATACTATTTAATTTACCTAGCTATTTGTTTATTATCTATCTCTATCTCCCAACATTATGTGCACCAGAAGGCAGGGCTTTAATCTGCTGTGTTCACTGCTGTTTCCTTAGTGCCTGGCACAAAGTGAGAATTTAATAAATATTTGTTAACTTGGAGAATGAATGAGCTTCTGTAGAACCAGGTACCATTGTTTTCTTTACAATTCCTAGCCGTTAAAACAGTGCTCTGATTGTAGTGGGTGCTCAGTAAGTAGTCACTGATACTTCAGCTTAAGACAGAATACTGATATGGAGAGGTGGAGACCCAGCGGGCTTTTTTGATAACATTGCTATGCTGAGGTTCAAACATAACTTGGCCCTTAGGACATATCTGAGCTCTTATGATGGGTTGGCATTCAATGTTTTAGGAAGGAATGGGACCAGATCTGTTTTCTACTTTGTGTTTCTGTAGACATTCACCAGCTTCCTGACTTCATAGTTAATCTAGCGAGAGGAAGAGGAAGTTCTCAGTAGACCGGGAGCATGGGCGTCTCTCTTCTTTACTCTTTGAGTACCTCTCCACCTGTAACTCATGTGGGGCAAGGGTGGGTCTAGGTTTGGCCCAGCTACGGCCTGCGTCCCCAGAGGCAAGAGGTTGGTGTCATCAATAGGCTCTTGGCCCCGGGCTGGAGGCCTCACTTGTTGGCTTTTGATGAATATAAAGGGATGGTCTGGATGAATATAAAGCTAATGCTTGCTGTGTGCAAGGCACTGTTCCAAGTACTTTCATATCTGAATGCATTTAATCCTCCACAGCAGTCCAAGGCAGCAGGTTCTTTTAGTATCTCTATGTTAGAGATGAGAAGAGCAAAGCACAGAGAAGTGACCCCAGGTCACTGGGACAGCCAGTAAGGGTGGTGCTGTCCACTTCCAGAGTCCATGGGCATAACTACTGTGCTGGGTGGCCTCTTGCTATACAGACCATAGCACCACCAGCTGCAGAGAATGCTAGGTTATGATCTGGATTCTGCTAGGAAAGTGTCTTCCAGTGTCTTTCTCAGAAACCAGATTTTATGGGCAAATTGAAGAATCTGGAAAGTTGTGAGGAGCATTAAAATACCTCCGTAACGGCCGGGCGCGGTGGCTCACGCCTGTAATCCCAGCACTTTGGGAGGCCGAGGCGGGCGGATCACGAGGTCAGGAGATCGAGACCATCCCGGCTAAAACGGTGAAACCCCGTCTCTACTAAAAATACAAAAAATTAGCCAGGCGTAGTGGCGGGCGCCTGTAGTCCCAGCTACTTGGGAGGCTGAGGCAGGAGAATGGCGTGAACCCGGGAGGCGGAGCTTGCAGTGAGCCGAGATCCCGCCACTGCACTCCAGCCTGGGCGACAGAGCGAGACTCCGTCTCAAAAAAAAAAAAAAAAAAAAATACATCCGTAACTTGTACAATAGTTTACTTATGTAAACTTGTAAACACTCCACAGGCTTTACACTCTTTTCCCCACATAAGAGCAAGGCATGAAGTTTGTAGAGATGGGGGTCTCCCTAGATTGCCCAGGCTGCTCTTGAACTCCTGGGCTCAAGTGATCCACCCTCCTCTGCCTCCCAAAGTGCTGGGAATACAGATGTGAGCCACGGAGCCTGGCCATTTCATAATGTTTTGAACCAACCTTTTACAATTGGGAAATTTCAGGTAAAGTTCCAGATTGTCAGCATGATATCTTGGGCCTAGGCAGACCAAATTCTTTAATAGCTCCCAAGGACATCCATAAAATATTGTTGTAAACCAGGCACGTGCCGCAGGCTGAGAGGAGTGGTAACATCCGGGGAGGTGTGGGAGTTTGAGAAGGAAGCATTGTCTTGCAAAACCGGAAGCTGTGGCAGCTCTGAGCTCATGTTCCCCAAAGACTGCCACCTGCAGCCTGTAGGCTGGTGCCACTCTGCAGGCACCTCACAGCTGTCACCACACACAGGGCATCTGTGGCTTCACACTCAGCCCCTTCCTCATTCACATGACCCACTGGGTCCTCTAGACCCCAGGCACCAGGAAATGGTATCTTTAGTAAAATGCAGAGATAGCAAAGCTGGCCCTGGAAGGGAGCCCCTGGCAGAGAAGTTCAAGGCCAGCTATTTCCCAATCTCACCGCCAGGACCTGACCGCCACATTGACCAGGGGCTCAGTCTTTCCTAGGTTTTCTTTTTACACAGCAGGGACACGGCAGGGCAAATTCAGGCAAGACTTTTGTGGAGTGCAGATTCCTGTTACTCTGTGGCTGTTGCTTTAGCAGTTTTTCTGTTAGTCCCAGTTTCTCCTGAGAGACAGACAGGCTCAGCGTGGCAACAATTACCAAGGGGGATGGTGGAGAGGGAGCAAGCCCTTGGAAGCGTGGGTGGGAAGAGGTTATAGGCCTTACACTACTGCATACGAGCATTCTTACTGTGCAGCTGCTGCCATTGATTAACTGTGAAACTGAAAAGGTAATTTCTTCTTTAAGACCTCTGTGTCATCCTAGAAGGATTAAGAATGAGATAGAGCTGATAACTTGGGTGTGGGCAGGCGAAATTGTTTAATCACACTCAAGGACATCCATAAAATATTCAGTTGTAAGCCAGGCACATGTCACAGGCTGAAAGGAGTGGTAGCATCCTGGGAGGTGTGGGAGTTTGAGAAAAAAGAGACAAGTTGGCCTCTGTCCTTAGCAAAATGAACTTACTGACTACGTCAGTTTTATGGACTTGATGCCCAGGATTCTCTAGTCTTATGTTACCTGTGTATCAGTTTATAGGTTTTATATTCCCTTCTTAAGCAATTCAGGTGAAATTCACATAAAATTAACCATTCTGAAGTGACAAACTTACTGGCATTTAGTGCCCTCAGAGTTGTGCAACCACTACCTCTGTCTGGCTCCTAAGCATTTCCATCAACCCAGCACCCACTGGGCAGTTACTCCCCATTTCCTCCTCCCTCCAGCCCTGGCATCCACTAATCTGTCTCTATGGATTTACTCATTCTGGATATTTAATACAAATGGAATTGTATAATATGTGACTTTCTGTGTCTGGCTTCCTTCATTGTAGTGTGTTTTTGAGGTTGGTCCACATGGTAGCTATATTCATTTTTGAAAATGTCAGCTTGTCTTAGTTGCGGTAAGTGGCAAAAATGGCGTTTTCATCCTTGGATTAATATTTAAGATGGGCTAGCCTTAAGGATTGAGTGTGGGCTCAAAATGGTAGTAAAAGTATCAGGGGATGAAATTCAAGAGGAAAGAAATTAGGGTTTCTCATTTAGTCTGTTATGCTTATACCAGATTCTTCTCATCTGATTTCTTTCTGTTCAGTCCTTAGAGGGCTGTGGCTTGTTTTGCATATGAGGAAGTGCTTAGCACATTGCCTAGCAAACAGGTGGTACTCAATCAATAAATGCTATCATAAACGCACTATTAAAGTCAATTCATATTAATTTTGATTTCCTAGAGTTTGTAAATTTTGGGCCAGACAGCAGAGGATAGTGGTCAAGTGTGGGAGCCCCAGACCTGGATCAAACCCCAGCTTCATCATTTATTAGCCATGAGACCTGTGGCAGAGAGCTCGACTTCTCTGTGCTGCAGATAATGCTTACTAGAGCAATTAAGAGGACTGTATGAGATGCCCAAGGTAAAGAACTGAACATAATGCTTACAACACATTAAATGGTTGACAGATCCTAGCCATAATGATTTGAATGGGCCATGTGGCTTCAAAATCTGTTCAGTTTTGAAACCCTTTTCTCTTGGCAAATTTCCCGTAGTAAGTGGAAATGGCACAATAGCCCCGTTTATGAGACAAAAAATAGCCATTACAGCATCTAAACATTTGAAGGCACCACTCTGGACACAGAATTTGATGACCACCTTGTTGAAATCTTGGTTCTTTGGTTGATTTTCTTTTTTTCCTCCAAGTTTTTTCTCCCGCCTTAGGAGCATCAGAGAGAAAATGATAAATAAACAAAAGGGATACACATTCTCAACGGCATATACTTACAAAATGTATATGAAAATAGAACACTTAAAAACTCTCTAAAAACATGAGGCATCATCTCTTTTGATGATGGGAGTTAGGTTACAGAATCACTGCTTAAGTTTGGGGGAATATTTTCTTTTTTTTTTTTTTTTGAGATGGAGTCTCGCTCTGTCACCCAGGCTGGAGTGCAGTGGCACGATCTTGGCTCACTGCAAGCTCCGCCTCCCAGGTTCAAACGATTCTCCTGCTTCAGCCTCCTGAGTAGCTGGAATTACAGGTGTGCACCACCACGCCCAGCTAATTTTTGTATTTTCGGTAGAGACGGGGTTTCACCATGTTAGCCAGACTGGTCTCAAACTCCTGACCTTGTGATCTGCCCACCTTGGCCTTCCAAAGTGCTGAGATTACAGGCGTGAGCCACCACACCCGGCCTATTTTCTTTTGAAGCCTGTTTGCCTCCTTGAGCCACCACGTCAATGGAATCTTCCTGCAGAAATAATCTTATAATGGTGAGAAGCAAGGGATTTGTGTTGGAAACCAACCCATGGAATGCTCAAACAGGATGCAAAAGACTCCTATTTCCAATCTACAGAAAAAAAAGAGGTGACGTGCAATCATACTGTCAAATCAGTATCATACCCCACTCAAACCTGGACTCATGCTTAGCTGCTTCTGTGATGTTCCTATTTCCGGACTCTCCTTCCCCAGCCCAACATTTTAAACTCTATCACGGTCCTTGGAGTTGTGGCAATTAAGAGATCTACATGGATTTTAAAAGCACTGAGTCATATGGCGTGGCTCTGTACCTTGTGAGGAGATGAAACGGCCAGTGGAGCCCGGCCGGACCCGGGTGGGAAAAAAGGGAAAGAAGGAGGTGATGGCGGAATTTTCAGATGCCGTCATGGAGGAAACCTTGAAAAAGCAGGTGGTTGAGGCCTGGAGCTACGAAGCCATTGTCAGGGACATGGACCCCTTTCTTCACTGCATGATCCCAAACTTCATCCAAAGACGACTTCTTGGAAGGGCTTCAGAAGGAACTTATGAACTTAGATTTCCATGACAAGTATAATGATTTATGTAAGTTCCAGCAGTCTGATGATTTAAAGAAGAGGGCCTCACATCTCTGCTTTAAGGAAAATTCTGTTTGAAGATTTCTGGTCCTGGCTTTCTGGCATTTCTAAAATTTACTGGAACCAACCATCGATGTGTCCTGTGCTAAATATGAATTCACTGATGCCCTGCTGTGCCATGATGATGAGCTAGAAGGGCGCTGGATCGCCTTTATCCTGTACCTGGTTCTTTCCTGGGACAGGAGCCTGGAGGGTATCCTGGACCTGTACAACATTGATGAACACTTTCAACCGAAGCAGATTGTCGTCTCTTACCCCTTTATGGAACAAACTGGTTTTCTTTGAAGTATCTGCAGTGTCCTTTCACCAGGTGTCCAAAGTCCTGTCTGAAGTCACATTTGTCTATAAGTGGCTGGTTTCATGGTCCTTCACTGACTAGGCCTCCCAACTACTTTGAACCCCCTCATATCTTGGAGCCCTCACACCCCACAAGAACATGAAATTGTTTGATTGGATCAACCTTACTTATCTGGACATGGATTACCAAATTCAAACTCAAGAAGAGTTTGAAGAAAGTTCTGAAATTCTCCTAAGAAATTTCTTAAGCCTGAGAAATTTGCAAAGGTCTGTGAGGCCTTGGAGAATGGAGATGTGGAAGAGAGCAGCTGAGGTCCCCCTAAGAAAAGGTTTTTTTTTTTTTATTATCATTTTTTAAATTTTAAATCTCGGCTCACTGCAACCACCGTTTCCTGGGTTCAAGCAATTCTCCCGTCTCAGCCTCCCGAGTAGCTAGGATTACAGGCACCTGGCATCATGCCTAGCTAATTTTTCTATTTTAGTAGAGACAGGGGTTTCACCATATTGACCAGGCTGGTCTTGAACTACTGACCTCAGGTGACCTGTCTACCTCGGCCTTCCAAAGTACTAAGATTATAGGCATGAGCCACCGTGCCTGGCCAACAAAAGATGATTCTATGAGAAAGCTGAGGAGAGTAAGCTTCCTGATATATTGAAGGAGTGCATGAAGTTATTTTGCTCTGAGGCACTATTCTTGCTGCTCTCCAACTTCACAGGCCTGAAGCTTCACTTCTTGGCCCCTTCGGAAGATGAGATGGATGACAAAAAAGAGGAAGCAGCAGCCTCTGCTGCTGATAGAACTGAGGAAGGGACTGGCCATAGCCCTCCTGAGCCAGAGAATAATCAGGCAGCCATCAGCATCAACGGCCAACAGAGCCATGAGCAGACAGACCGAGTCAGAGGAAAATGAAACAAAGAATGAATCAGGTGTTCCCACATGCCAAAGGGAACTGAGGCGTTGGAAGACTGGTCACCACACTTTTAATTCGTGACCATGGCAAGGCTGATTTTGCCCTAGACTTAATTCTCCACTGTGGCTGTGAAGGCTGGGGGCCAGAATATGGTGGTTTTCTTACATTGCCAAAGATGAAGACGAAGAGCTGCTAACAGTGAATCCAGAAAGCAATTCTTTGGCATTGGTCTACAGAGATAGAGACTCTGAAATTTGTCAAGCATATTAACCACTGAAGCCTGGAACAAAAGAAAACCTTCCCAAACACAACAGGTTTCTGGGACTTTTCATTTATCTATTATGAATGACAGCACTGGGCAAAGCTGAACAAAAACATGATCCTTCATCAGTACTGGGAAGTCTGGAACAGCTAAGCCTGGAGTGAAGGAGAGCTACGTGGTAGCTTGCCTGACAGTGTTCTTTAAACTGGTTGTCCTTTAATAGGACTCATGATTGTCCTCAACCTAGACCTTGAGCTTGAAGCTATGTACTTACCTCTTGAATAAAAAAAAAAAGTTGGCTTTATTTTAAACATTGAGTTCTCCTCTTTCCATATTGGCTTCTTCAGTGAATTTTTCAATGATTTTTTTATGGTGGTAAAATATTTATAACATAAAATTTACTAGCTTACCCATTAAAAAAAGAAAAAAAAAAAGGCACTGAGTGTCCATCCCCAGGAGGAAGTTCTTGGGATGGAAATTTTAATGGGGGATGAGTGAGAGAATGTTGGATTTTCTGGTGGAAGGCAGACCCAGCAGTGCCACTACCAGGAAGGTTCTGGGCCTCTGGTGGTGGGCGAAAGAAGGTACTAGAAAATAGGGATGTGGGAAAGGCAAGGAGAGGTTAGGGATTTTCTTCCCACTGGGAAGTTTACCTTAGACTCACTGTATTCTTTATATGTGGAAAGGAAGTAA
This sequence comes from Homo sapiens, assembly GCF_000001405.40. Taxonomy (NCBI): domain Eukaryota; kingdom Metazoa; phylum Chordata; class Mammalia; order Primates; family Hominidae; genus Homo; species Homo sapiens. The sequence continues at coordinate 49,209,811 of NC_000013.11, read as the reverse complement.
GATATTTCATGAGTTGCACAAAATCAAGTCACTAGGATAAAACTTCTAATTTTATTCTTTACTGGGCTTTATATAATAAATATACATCCTCTCATGTTGAAGATTTATATACTGTTGGGAAAAATGTTTTAAGCTCATTGGAAGAGGGGAGACCATAACATTTCACTTTCTTAAACAGGTAGCAAATAATGAATATATATGAATACAATAAACGTATCTCAAAAAGAATGATACAACTTTTATTTTCCATGGATTTTACAGATACTTTTGCTACATAGTTTATGTATTTTTATGAGATTTTTTTCATTTGTATGAAGTTCATTCAGCCTTATACAATTTTAAGGTGATATGTTTGGTAGTGTATCTATAATCTTTAAAAAGTTTAGAGTTTTTGGAATGTACAGTATATGAGGTAAAATCAAGATTACATTAAAAATTGTTTTCTCCTCTGCACTAATTTTGCAGTGAGGCTCAAATGGCAAGTATACTATTAAATGACATTTACTATCAAAAATAGGAAGTTCATTTGAATTACTATGAAAAACATAAGCCACTGTAACTTGACACAGTGGCACATTTTACCATTTTAGACATTCAACTATATATAAATCTCTGGGCTATTACACTCAGACTCATTTGTACTGCCAAATGTGGCACTTTAAAGAAGTTTCTAGAAAACAATCGCAATCACTGTTGTTTCTGGGGAAGGTTATCACCCTATACATAAGAGATTAAATTTAAATAAAATGTAAACATACAGTATATTATAGTGACAGGTCATTCTTACCACTTAGAAAGGCCAAGTTTATCCATTTCTTTTTTGAACAAGGGTTAATGTTTTTCTACAGCACAGATCATTTGACATAAAACTGTTACAATACATGCCCATTCTATTATAAAAGAAATTCTTCAGAGATCTTCAAAGCACAAAAAATACGTTCTTTTTTCAAAGACTGACAGAAGTGCTTAATAATCACTAAAATGCCAACCTCAGCAACTAAAAATTAGTGATTCGCTATCCTAAAATTCAAATAATAAATTAAAAAAGCTAGTTACAGGTGTTTTACGGATAACAGATGTGCTAAAACAAGAATTGTAGATAGTTTCATTATAAACTGTATTATTACTTGCAGTCATCGACATCTAGGCAAGATGTACAATGTGATACTTGACAAAATTCAGTCTGATCATCCAATAACTCACAAATGCAAGCTCACAAAACATTAATGAATTATGCAATTGCAAAGTGCTCTAATGCAACATTAACCACATGCAATCAACAATTTGGAACAGTATCCAAACAGACATTATACGTTAAACGTTTAGTTTTCAAGAAAGAAAGCAGCTTGAAGTTTACTGGTGCAAATTAATTTTGTCTTCAGATTTGGTGCCCCAAACAAAAAGGTTAGGTTTGATTATGAATTCTGATGGTGGTGGCAGCAGTTATGGGAGAAGCAGCAGAAACTTATGGGAGTTCTTCAAAATTAGCCTATACCAGACAGAGTGAGTGTATGTATGTAATATATACTTCTACACTTGTTATGTGTATATGTGTACACTTGTTATATGCCATATATGTATGTGTATACCCTTATACACATACATATAGTTCAAAGGTTCACAAAACAGAAGCCAAATAGGTTTGAAATTCAATTTACTTTTATGATTACTTTCTAAAAAGTATTTAAAAGCACTCAATTCTTTTCCATGTTCTCAAGACCTGAAGAGGTACTTTTTGAGTAAACATCAAAATATTTTTAGGCCAAGTAAACTGTCTGTTCTTTAAGTACTTATCTGTGAATTCATGAATATATATTTATAATGAAGAACTCCACATTTATCAAAGAAGCTTTTCTTCATGCATACTCTTTCATCCAGTTTTTGTTTCTAAGCCCCTCCAGTTACTCATCATAATCCCACTTACCAAATAATTAAGACAAATGAGGAGGTAGAAATATAGCACTAGATTGCTTTCACAGCATCAGACTTTAACATTTTATATAGCATGTTAGTGTAAATTCTATTCATTCTGAATTTTTCACTTGGTAATAATCTTTAAAACAAACAGATCAGGTTATCACTGTTACACTCATGCCGATTCGTCAAAATATCCATTCTAAATTGTTGCCTCTTAGAAAGTTTTTCTATAAGAAGGCATTTGTTAAAAAAAGAGAGAGGGAAAGAAAAAAAGAAGACCCACCCTAACAAAAAAAACAAAATTGATATTTTTGTGGCTTGCATTCTAATAAAGTGCCAGCCTCTACCTAACAATATAAGCACTGAAAATGGCAAAAATGATGTGCTATAGTCTCAATGCCAGTGCTAAATGCCACTGTTTTTTATAAAAGCAATACAGAAATAATTTTAGTACATGACAAAATAAAATGTAATAGAGTTAAAAAATAAAGTTATATTTTCACTTGATTACAAAGTACTGAATGATAAAGGCAATCAAAATGGAAAAGAAAGCAAACAGCACAAGGATGACGGCAGCACACTGCTCGTCACTCAGTGCCCGTCGGGTCCTTGTGCTTTCCACAGTGTCTCTGTTGGTGCTGGCTGGTGGTTCAGTCCTCTGAGAGATGAAGAGCACTGTGGTGCTGTAGGGACCTACGAGGTCCTGGTGTCCCAGAGAGTCTTGGCACTGGCGAATGGCACATACACGGAAGCGATATTCACAGTTCAGCTGAAGGCTGGAATACCGGAAGGAAGAGTCGGGACCCTTGTAAATCTGTTAATAAAATATTAGAAGGAAGAATTACGTGTGAAGGCTGGACAGAAAATGTGTTAAAACTGGCTAGTGTTAGAATTGTTTTTCATGTGAAAGCCAGTGAATGCCATTGATTTTATCTTTTAAATGACATGTTAAAAATACCTGTCCATTAAAGTACTTATCTGTTTGTTGCATAGGGGCAAGAGAAATTTCAAAAGCGAGGATCTACCCTTATACGGTTCACAGATGAATTAAGGAGTGCAGATGTGCCCCAGGGCAGCTAGAGAACAAGCAAAATCGGTCCTCAAGCATTTTCTTGCTTTTCTCAAATGTAAGAAGTCATTTTTCAATGCAATCATTCCATCAAAGAAGGGATAGTGTCTACTTTTGCTTCCCCCATTATGTCTTTGTATAACTGATAAATTTCCATATAATTTCAAACATATCTGTACAATGAAATGGAAAATGAATAAGGGGAGCTTTCTATAGGTGCCTATGGCAAATCACTGTATAAACCAGAGAGGGGAGATCACTTAGAATCAGAAAATAGGACCTCCTCTGCCATGCCTCACAAGGGAAATAAAAAGAATGAAATTCCACGGATTTTCAGAGGAATGTGCTAGTAATTAACCCATTTATGCCAGAGGTTGCAAATTTTTTTTTTGTGAAAAATCAGACCTTGGCAATAACCTTGATCAGTGAGATATAAATAACTACCACAAGCTTAGTGTTCCAATAATGGAACACTAGGCATAAATAAGAAGCTATATACTAGAACTGTTCACCCCTGGCATCCAAGGTCTGCTCTACCACTTCACACTCCAGATGTGATTTTAGACCAACTACCTTAGTATAACAGACATACTAGTAGTTAACATGTATGATAATTATGAGGATGAAATGAACTAATGCTTGTTAAAGCACTTAGCGCAGTGCTCAGCATGCAGTCACTGCTCAATCTGTAGGAGCTATCATTTCCAATAATGAGCAACCTCCCACCACTCATTCTGTAATTGAGAAAACCAAGGTTCATAGGGTTAAATGACTTGTCAGTTGAGTTTCTCCAGTTAGTTGGTGGGCTACAAGTCAGAAGAACCAACACATGGGGGCTTTCAAGTACTTTTAGCTGCCTCAATTGTACCTGTGATGTAAATCTAAATTTTTACATATTGCTTTGCTCTCAAAGTAAAGTAAGATCTCTGTCTCATTTTTCTGTCTCCAGAATCTAGCATATAGTAGGTACTTAATAAAAGGACATTAAATTAGTGAATTATTGGCAATAAATAAAAATGTGGATGCTGATAACAATATATAAAGGAACTTACTGAAAGAAGCTTTAAGATAAATCTGAAAGAAAATGGTGACTATACATTAGTTCTAAGGATGCATAATGTTTCAGGGAATAGAATGTAGAAATGATCCATGTTTGGGAGATGGTACAGGTTGGGTATCCCTTATAAGAAATGCTTGGAACCAGAAGCATTTCAATTTTTTTGATTTTGGAATAGTTGCATATTTACTAGTTGAGCATTCCAAACCCAAAAATCTGAAATTGGAAATGCTCCAATGAGCATTTCCTTTGAGTGTCATATCGATCCTCAAAAAGTTTCAGATTTTGGGTGGAACATTTTGAATTTTGGACTTTATTTGGGATGCTTCAACCTGTAAAAGGATTCACTTAAAACAGAATGTTGTATGATAAAGTAGTGTAAAATTGTATACATAACACTGAAGTAAATTGAGTAAAAATTAAAAATATGTATTTGTCTTATGGATATAATAGATGATTTTTGTCTTTATACTTTCCATGTGTCTTCATATACCATTCCATGAGCCTGGCAGTATTAGGTTAAGAAAGAAAAACCTCAACAAATGGCATGAGGGTGATAAGAGATCTGGTACAAAGAGGAAGAATACATTAATTACACTAGTTGGAAATTTAGGTTAATTCAAAAGGGACCACTGTAGGTGTGTGACATTAAAACAGTGTTTATGGAATCCTAATCGTGAGGCTGTGTGAAGGACTGAAGGGAGCTGAGTAGGACAGGGACTCTTGATGTACATGTAAAAAGTGATGAGGCCCTGATGTAGTTTTATGGATTTAGAAACAAATTCTGATTAAGAGTTGATAGGAAAAAAAAATTCATCTAAGAATTTAAAGCTTGGAGACCAAGATGATATTGGTGTCTATGACACTGATGAAGTAAAGATGTTGGAGAGGAGATACTGGGAGGGAAGATGATGGGATCAAGTTTTCAATTTTGTATTTCAGATGTGGGAAGACCTCTAAGCAGGAAGAGACACAGGTAACTGTAAATACAGGACTGAAGAAAACAGATTAACCTGCTCAAGCTAATTTCAGAAGGTTTATACACCCAAGAAAAGTCATTCAAACAAGCCTTAAGGTTATTCATATACTACTCAAATGTGGAATCCCTATTTCCTTTAAACGTGTAATACAATTATATTTTCTTTAATATTAATTTTGCTTCCTCCTTAGAAGGAAACCTACTTATCTGTAAATTACATTTCAAATCTAATTATCCTGTCAATTTGCAGATGGCTTAATAAAGAAAAACAATTGCATGCCAGATTTAATCTGACTCTTTGGATCTTTTGTAATTTCAGTTAAGATATTACATAGAGTGGTTACAATAGCACAATACTGGAATAAAACAAATGAAGGATCTTTTTTTTAGTGGAAGAGGAAAATATAAGACACAATGAAAACAACCCAGCTTAAAAGCCCTCAAAATTAAGGTTACAGGAAAAAGGGAAAATCAGGTGAAATGTATAGGTATTTAATTAGTCTTTGGAGTGGTATAAAAGCTTATTCTTTTTAAAAGTTGTAACAAACATTGGCAACACTCCACTCTATCTCACTGCTATTCTTGCTTTATCAGAAAGCTATCTTTGAAACCTCTTGGCTAGGAAGGTGACAATTCCTCTAGGTTTCCATTATAACTTCATGCCTAATGTCATATTTACAGCACTGCATTATGACTATTATTAATACTATTATTGTAAAAGCCTCCTTATTAGTCTTTCTAGTTCTGCCCTTGTCCTACTGTAGTTTCAACACTATAGTCAAAACAACGTTGTGTCTGATCACGTGAATACCCTGGTCAAAATCCTCCACTGTCTTCTCATTTCACGTGGAGTAAAAGCCACAGTATGGCCTATTATGCCTTACGTCACTCCATACCACCTATAGGCCCCTTAGGATTAACTATCCGACCTTATCAACTCTTCCCTTTGCTCTCTCCATCCAGTCATATTGGCTCCTTTATGTTCATCAGATTTAATAGGCATGTTCCTGCCTCAGCGTATCTTCTTGGAACACTCTTCTCTCCATAGTCATCTCCTCTGGGCCATGCTGAAATGTCAGCTGAGTGCCCCAAATGAAATAACACTCAGTGCCCTCCCCCTCCACTCCCTATTTCTTTTATCCAATTTTGTTTTTTCTCCATTACACTTATATCTGACAATATATTGTCATGTTTACTTGCTTATAGTGTCTTCTTTTCCACCAGAATGTAAGTAAGCTCCATGGAGGCAAGGGACTTTTTGTTCAGTGCTATATCCTGAGTGCCTGGCACAGAATTCAATGAATACTTATCAGATAAATGAATAATCTGTTCAAGTGTAGTTCATACTGAAAAGATTTGGAATCTTGAGATCTCTGGAACATAATATATACTGAATAAATATTTATGAATTAAAAGGTAAAGATGGCCAAATCTTACACTGAAAATACATAAAAATTAAAAAAGGGTAAAAATATGCATCCACACATTAATATCTTGGTACATACCTGTTTGAATTCTGAATCTTTTCCCAACATAACTTGAAGACTGTAAATAACTGGATCACCTTTCATTGGCTGTAAACACTCCCATGTAATTTCACAAATGTGATCATTTACTTTCTCTATTTTGGGGGCTGTAGGAAACAAATATAAATAATATCTGTTCCACTTGATTTTTAATTTGGTACATCATGCAGACACTTGTCTTAATAAAAATCAACAAATATTTAAAATCCACTTATAAACTTGAAATAAGTATCAGTGAATTTTTGAAATTTGCATCCAAAGAGGTTAAAATCAGCACTCTTGTATTCTAAGATATGGGATCTCACTCTGTCACCCAGCCTGGACAACAGTGGTGCGATCATAGCTCAATGCAGCCTCAGCCTCCTGTGCAGCTACACACACAGGCATATGCTGCCATGCCCAGCTGATTCAAAATTTCTTTTGTAGAGAGGCAGGTCTCAGTATGTTGCCCACGTTGGTCTCAATACTCCTGGCCTTAAGTGAGCCTCCCACTTCAGTCTCCCAAAGCACTGGGCTTATAGGTGTGAGCCACTGTGCCCTGCTTATAGTCAGCACTCTTCTTAAAGCTAAGAGACACTAAACTTGATGAGCAAACAGAAAAATGACTCAGTGAAACTCAATATTATTAGAAAGACTAGTCAAGAAGAGTTCTGCTGTTTAACAAATGATAGGTTTAAGTACATGATCTAGGATATGGTTCTAGAAGTCTCTGTGATTAGTCTTCAGAGCAATTAACTTTATAGACTTTTCAGCTAAAAATAGAGTGTAGCCCTTGCCAGAGTCACTTTAAAATAAGAACCCCTCTAAAATTAAAAGATAAATGTATATACAAATGTGTGTAAATATGTGTACATGTGTGTGTAAAACTAATTGAAAAACCCACATTAATGAAGAATTTGTTTTGCTTAACAGATGACCAAGCTTTCCTTCTGAAATCCAAATGAATGTAATATCAATAACTCAAAACGTTTAAACAACCAGAGTTTGTGATTTTTTTCTTTAAGCAAATGACCTCATTAGAAAACCAGCCTTCCTATTCAATTTAGTATTTTTATGCTACATTATTAAAAACATCAGTGACAAAAGCCAGTACTTGTCTGAATATGAGCGTGCCAGATAAAACAGCTTTTATTATTGAGTGGAACTCTCAGTAGAGTTGGGCTTGCCTATACGATTTTGTATAACTGGTGGACATATACTGGATGCTAAATTTTAATATCAGTAAACAAAGCATTTATGAAAATACATTAAAAAGTAATTTATTATAAAGAAAATAAGTTCAGGATGTATAACTTACCTTTCAAGGCAGCTGGGACAGATTTTGGAGTAGTGAAAATATATTCTTGGGAGAGGGGACCTTCCCCAGCTTCATTACAAGCTTGAATACAGAATTTATAGGATGTTGACTCATTAAGTCTTTGTACTTTGTATGTATGACATGGTCCTCTGTATAGGGATACAAACCTAAAATGGAAATAACTATTAGATAAACCTTATACTACCTTATGATACCTTATTAAAGTGTTTTACAAACTAGTATAAAAACACAGTTATGAACATTATTTAGGAGTGATAAGTTACCCCAAAAGTTTGATGCCAGGAACTCTATGTCACTTAAAATAAATCTGTTTTTCATCAGATTAAGAAAAATAGGATATTTGGTAAATTTCCCAATTTGACATGATTTACCAAAAGTCTGTTACTAAATTTCATGTCCGACCATAACTGTTTCTTCTCAGGCTTCCGGTTTAGCTTTGTTTCTGAATACTGTTTTGTTAATGTACATTTTAAAAGATGCTCAGAACATCACAATTTTCATTACAAATTATTTCTAACTAAAGTCATATTGATAAAATTTGCCAAGTATGGCATAGAGACCTGAGCTATGAGATTAAGTTTCTATTTTAATCTTCCTTGTCTTTATCTGGAAAAAAGAGAATTCTCAATTCCCAGGCAGATTTTTAGTTGACTTGGTGACGTTTTTTTAGAGATTTACAAAAGCAGTATGATAATATAAAATTTCCAATACATTACCCACTTGAACTGTTCAATGAAGTTGAATATCATACATATTTCTCCTAATATGTTATCTATAAGTTGAATGCATCCCATTATTTTTGATTGGATGTTTCTAAAATTTTTGGAAATTAGAGAATGAATAATGAATGCTTATTCAATGCTAACAGTCTGAAAATTGTAGCCAAGTTAAAAATAAAGAAATATTTAATGACAGGAAGAAACAGTACTTCCAATAAGCAGTAATTGGATAAGCCTTGCCTTTTCAACCTCTAAATTTTTTTTTAATGACAGGAAAAAAAAATAGTGGTAATACCACTGTTTAAAAAAGCTGAACAATGACAAAATCTGGATCAGGGAACAACTAAAGTATCATTATGATACCATCCCACAGCAAGTGTATATAGTTGTGAAAATCAAAGGGAATGAAAGTAATCAAAGATATTAAATTGATTTAATTTATTAAATGTGTGCATTAAACTTAACAGTATCATAAAAGGTTTTAATTTCTTTATTTTCCACAACCAAAGGCCATGAGCCATATTCATACCCCATAACAATTCTCTAGATGCTAGCTGAATATTAAGTTGGAAGTTCTATAATAGAATTTATATCTAATAGAATCTTTATTCTATTATCTTTCAACCAAACACTAATTAGACCTGTTTCCAGTAAGCCTTCTTGCACTACCCCAAATGTATGCTAGAAAGGGGAGGAAAAAAATTTAAACAATTAATTTGTCCAGTAATAATAACATATATTAAAGATAAATGGCTATACCAAAAACCTGTACAAGGCAAATAATCTCTTTGTAGAGATAAGGCTACAAAGATTACATAAAATTCTGCCAAGAACAAAGGCTAACATTCATCGATACAGATTTTAGGAAATGATCACGTTTGTTCTGTGTAATGTTCTTACTGGTGATATACTAGTATACAAAATTATTCCATATGTTATTTTAAATGTATAAGTATTTCTGATAGAGAGTGGTTATGTACAAGCACCATGAATATTTCATTGTTGAATACCTGGCTAAGATACAAACAACACAGAAAAGTAAATCTTGGGAAAAACTGTTACTAGTATTCTGAGTCCATCAGATTTGGAAATTGTTTCTAATATATTCAGTGAAAAGTAGAAAAGCAAAATTCAAAATTCTTAAAATATTAAAGGATTAACAGCTGTGGGAGGTATGTGGCATTGCTTATATGGAATATAATGTGAATAAATAGCCCTAGTTGGCATTAGAATGACTGTTACAAATATTCAGAGTTAACACTGTAATTAAAATACATGATTTAGTGTGGCAGTATATGGCACATTATATAGGAATAGTACAACATGTACATGAAGATGTGAAAGAGGCACAGAAAGAACCTGAATGAAATTAGGTTCTTTCTAATTCAAAGATTAGCAAAGATTAGCAACAGTGATTAGCAAAGGGACTAGATAATTAATCACAGAATCTAACTGAGATCACACAGTGAAAAACTGAACTGTATTCATTTAGCGTGCAGGCCCTGTGTCAGGAATCTGGAAAAGACTGAAACATAATCTCTGCCCTCAAGGATCTCAGAGGCCAGGAACGATCATAATCATTTACTATAAAATTGTTTCAGGGCCGGGTGCAGTGGCTCACGCCTGTAATCCCAGCACTTTGGGAGGTCGAGGCAGGTGGATCGGGAGGTCAGGAGATGGAGACCATCCTGGCCAACATGGTGAAACTCCGCCTCTACTAAAATACAAAAAATTAGCCGGGCGTGGTGGTGCGCACCTGTAGTCCCAGCTACTTGGGAGGCTGAGGCAGGGGAATTGTTTGAACCTGAGAGGCGGAGATTGCAGTGAGCCGAGATCGCGTCACTGCACTCCAGCCTGGTGAGAGTGAGACTCCGTCTCAAAAAAAAAAAAAAAAAAAATTGTTTCGGTCAGGCACAGTGGCTCATGAGTTGTAATCTCAGCACTCAGTGAGGCTGAGCGGGGAGGACCACTTGAGCCCAGGAGTTCGAGACCAGTGTGAGCGACATGGTGAAACCCCATCTCTACTAAAAATACAAAAATTAGCCAGGTGTAGTGGCCCACGCCTGTGGTCACAGATACTTGGGGAGCTGAGGTGGGAGGATGGCTCCAGCCCTGGAGGCAGAGGTTGCAATGAGCCAAGATAGTGCCACTGGAGGCCAGCCTGGGTGACAGAGCAAGACCTTGTCTTAAAAAAAAAAAATTGTGTCCTGCTAGAAATAAACACTGAAGAGTTTATTTTGTATCTAAGATTAGGTGTCTTTTACTATCATGAAAACAGTAAATGGATTACAGAAAACAACCAAACAGTAGCCCACTTATTTTTTTCTCTTGGTATTCCACTCACAAATTATAAACAGGAAATGTACATTGTGTTTTCTAACGTTTTAAAAACAGCACACTTTTGTATGACAATCTTGACTTCGTTTTTGAAAACTTACTTCATTAAAATAAATTTTTTTTAGAGACAAGGTCTCACTGTCTTGCCCAGGCTGGTCTTGCACTCCTGGGCTCAAGCAATTCGCCTGCCTCAGCCTCCCAAAGTGCTGAGATTACAGGTGTCAGCCACCACACCTGGCCTACTTCTAATAGTTACAGAAATGTATATACTTAAGACCTAAGAAACTATATAAAGAAGCAATTAAAAAAACCTACCGTCCATTCTTATCCTCCATCTGAAGGTGGTACTGAATAGAATCGGTTGACAATGTCTTTGGAGTTCCTTCTCCCCATTTCAGCTTAAGGTTCTGGTGGCTAAAGGCAACACATTCCAGACGAGGTGGATCAGGAGGGAGAGGCTTAGTTTTTAATTTTATCATATGGCTGAAAGGACCAGCTCCAAGGCTATTCAAGGCTTGAATTCGTATTCTAAGTGCCACATAAGAAAAAAAGTTTGGTTATGATTGTTTTATTTAAAGCGTCTCTCTGGTCTAGGCAAAAATCAACATAATTTTTAGAGTATACCTGTATGTTGTATCTGGTTGCAAATTGTTGATAATATAGCTTGTAACCTTTCCCACTGTTAGGGATTGTTTATCTCCAAAGTCTATGCTGTAGGCAAGGATTTCCGAACCATGATCACAAGGCTTTTCCCAGCTTATTGCAAGGCATGTAGAAGGTGAATAATGGGGATTTTCTATCTCATCATCGCTTATTTCTTGAAGACAGGTCACAATGCCAGGAACTGATGGTGGAGTCACACAGGCTACTACTTCACTGAAAGGGCCTGCACCCACAACACTCAGAGCCTACAAATTAACAGAGCCTCCGAGTTAACAAAGTCATGACCATGAAAATGCCAATGAAATATAAAACTCTGGATAGAGTTAAGTGACAAGGTACTGATCATCTTTACCTGGACCCTGCAATAATAGGTAGTTGCTGGTGAAAGTCCTTTTATTTCATAACTGAGACCAGGCCCACAGTAACATATCTGCATACTTCCTTCAACTCCTCCCCACTCCAGTCGATATTCAGTGACATCTGTTCCATTACTCAAAGGAACCTTTAAATTAAGAAAAGGATAAAGGTCTTAGTCTTGATGTTGATTAAATAGCTTTTGGCCAAAAATGCTCTTTACCTGAGCACATGTAAAACTAGATTGCTTTTGAGTTTCTTTAAAACTTTTAAGCACAATCAAAACTGTTCAATTTTACATTTTTTATTCATTAAGATTATCTGAATTTAAGATTGGTCAAATATATAACTGTTTTGAATTAGAAGTAGAAATATGACTAAGTCACTTTAGAAAGAGTGTTTTAAGGTAAATATGTTTCAAGATAATTCTATTAATATGAAATGTTAAAAGCATACACACATTTTGTTAAATTTCAAAGGGAACTGAAAATATAATAATTATCATCACTGATTATTACTATCCACAATAAGTACACTGGAGATGTGTACTGGATAAATATAAGAGAAATAGAATTTACTAATTCCTGTGTATGTCTATTCTGAACATTAAACTTACAGTGGCTGAAATATCTCAGTACTGAGACAAAGCCATTCATAAAAATACAAAGCACATAATGAACAGGAATCTAAATATTTGTAATGCAAATATACCTTACTCAAATTCTTCAAAGAGGAAAAAGAAGTCACTGTTTTTCATGTGAATTAAACTAGGGCTTACTCTGTATAATATAGGCGGTAAAAATGAACAGTATCTTTATTCTTTTATATAAACTATTCTATTCACTTAAGAAAGTAGATACAAGTCAATGGAAATTACAATACCTCCCAATTCACTTGTGCACAAGTTGCAGATCTACATGTCACTTGAGGGGGCTTGCACTGATCTGGTGGCCCAGGGGCTGTAGTAATATCACATTTTTCTGAAAATGGTCCAAACTAGAAAAACAAATGTAACTAGTGTTTTTATTTTTCACCCTTAAATGTCCACTGATTGCACAGAACTGCATATTTAAAGATTCATTAATAAAGTCTTTTCCCTGTGTTTCAAGATTAATTTGGTCATAATTCTATAAGTATTCACATTAACTAAAAAGACTTAAAAATCATGAAAGTAAAGGTGTGAGAAATTTTAAAGTTTCATTTACCTATACTTTCTTCTGCCCCTTATTTCTTCAGGAAATGGTTTTTGTAAGAAGGGCAGGACATTAGGGAATGAGGTCGGTGGAATAATTCAGGAGAAATATAAGGAGTGAAGAAATTGATACTAATTAAAGGTACGGGAGATGGTAGGTGTAAATTATTATTTTTAATTTTTTAATACTTCACGAATCTTTCTTAGGCATATTCCATATCAAATTTTACCAACATTCTGTTCTATAAATTTGTTTATTTTGTAACAGAATTTGATTTTTCTGTTCCATGCTAAAAAGCTCACTTTCTCATAATTACTTTTAACATACATTACCCGGAATATAAAAAATTTTATTCAGTATTGGCAAATTCCTTCCCCGACACATAGGAGAACAATTACAGAAATTTCTTGTCATCAATTTTTCAAAGCTCATTAGCAAAAGAAAAGCCCCAATACACTGGTATTTTCACTTAACAGTGGCGCATCATTATAATGGTCAGAAGTAAACCTACTTGTTACTGCACTGTATCAGGCAGTTTTGCCAAATGCCCATCTTTAAGAGCTAGCTCAACTTCTTTTTTTTTTTTTTTTTTTTTTTTTGAGACAAGGTCTGGCTGGCTCCATCACCTAGACTGCAGGAGTGCAGTGGTGCAAACATGGCTCACTGCACCCTCGACTTCCTGGGCTCAAGCCATCCTCCCACCTCAGCCTCCTGAGTAGCTGGGACTACGGGTGTGCACTACCATGCTGGGCTAATTTTTCTACTTTTTACAGAGACAGGGTTTCACCATGTTGCCCAGGCTGGTCTCAGACTCCTGGGCACAAGTGGTCCTCCTGTCTCAGAGGGAGGACTGCTTGAGCCAAAGTGCTGGGATTACAGGCATGAGCCACTGGGCCCAGCCAGCTACGAAAACTCTAAGAAACTCAACTTCTCAGAAAATTCTATGGAAACATTCAGTTGTTAACAAATATTTAATATTAAAATTATTCCAAGTTATTTATTTTTAATTTAGGAAAAAACATGTATTAATCACCAATAAAAATGTTAATAAATAACGACTTACCAAAGGGTAGGGATTTTAAAAATATCAAGTTTCATGAATATTGGTAAAAAACCTTAAGAAGGTGAAACCAACTATTCAATGTAACCATTAGGCCCTAAAAATAACAGTATAATACTTTAAAAATAAAATTTTAAAAAGTTTTTCCAAAAGAAAATAGTTCACTCCTTGACCATACTTATTCAGAGTATCAGTGACTTCAGATAATGTTAAGTCCTTCATTTTTCCTCCAAATCCGATTGCACAGGGAATATACACCATTTTGTATCATCACAATGTCATTAATACCTCAGGCTAATATTGTGAACGTAACTGTTTTATAAAAAAGTAAAAAATCAAGGCTACTATATATGGCAAACAGAAACAAACGTAAATGTTTCCTTTTGTTTACAGCACTGATTTTAGCTAGACTTTAAATGAAGGTCATCAACTCTCCTGAAATAACCTCAACCTCTGGCCATAAATCTACAGTATAAATATGATGAATAAAGTTAAACTATATACTAATCAATTATAACAACTAATACGGCTCTTGAAAACCAATCTTATAATAAAAGTATTATTTGATATGGTGAGAAAATACAGACAAATCTGCACAATCTAACATCTATAAAGGGCAAAATCAAAACTCCAACTTCCTTATAGAAACTATTTCATCTGTATAATTATAAATGTTAAGGAATCTTGCATTTTATAAACAGAAGATAGGCTCACTTTAATTATATCAACTTTAAAATTTATATTAATAAGTTTAAAAAATCTTTCCATAAAACTTTATATAGTTTAAAGCTATATACCAATCTATAAATCTCAGAAAATGGGAAAAAAAAGAAACCTTTTATACTATCATATGTATAAAACAAGAAGTAGACTGTGATTTTGTTTAAGGCAATGCTGGGCTATTTCACAAATCACCACTTCAAATATTTGCACTGCTCAACACTACCAGTTTCTATCATATTCACGATTAAAAAAAAATCAAATGTTTAAAGTCTTCAGTAAACTCCTTATTCACATTTCCATTATATTTCATGGACTCATAGTAACTATATCCTGTTAGAAGCAATGAAAAAAAACAAACAAACCTGTAGCTATAGGAAACTGCTAGAGAATATGCTTTACTCTCACATGAATACCACCCAAAAATCCCAGATGGCAAGTTTACAAGGCAGAGCAAAATGGTGATATAATGCGCCTGCTTTGTGAAAAGTAATCTTGAAACCATCTTGAAAATAAATATTTCATGTAAAAATCAATGAACTATGGCAGATAGTTTTATTAGTAGTTCAAAAGTTCCTAATTTAAAACAATAAATTTGAAAACCCAATCAATTTTAAAATTCCAAATATGTTATTATTTTTTTGAGAAAAAGCCTGTTGCCCAGGCTGGAGTTCAGTGGCACAATCTCAGCTCACTGCAACCTCCACCTCCTGGGTTCAAGCGATTCTTGTGCCTCAGCCTCCTGAGTAGCTGGGACTACAGGTGTGGGTACCACCAAGCCCAGCTAATTTTTGTATTTTTAGTAGATATGGGGTTTCCCGATGTTGGCCAGGCTGGTCCCGAACTCCTGGCCTGAAGTGATCTGCCAGCCTCGGCCTCCCCAAGTATTGGGATTACAGGTGTGAGCTACTGTGCCTAGCCAAAATTCCAAATATAAATCTGTCATTTAATAGTTTTTTGTTTTTAATTGCTTTTTTTTTTGAGACAGAGTCTCACTCTGTCGCCCAGGCTGGATGTAGTGGCATGATTTCAGCTCACTGTAACCTCCGCCTCCCAGGTTCAAGTGATTTTCCTGCCTCAGCCTCCAGAGCAGCTGGGATTACAGGCACACGCCACTATGCCCAGCTAAGTTTTGCATTTTTAGCAGAGAAGGGGTTTCACCATGTCGGTCAGGCTGGTCTCGAACTCCTGACCTCAAGTGACCCACCCACCTTGGCCTCCCAAAGTGCTGGGATTACATGCATTTACCACCATGCCTGGCCAATATGTCATTTAATAGTATAGACTTACAGACTGCTAGTGGCAGCAAATGATTTACAATAATAAGTATATATAAAAGGTCAGGTGCAGAGGCTCATGCCTGTAATCCCACCTCTTTGGGAGGCTAAGGTGGGGGAATCACTTGAGCCCGAGAGTTTGAGACCAACCTGGGAAACATAAGGGGACCCCCATCTCTATAAAAAAGTAAAAAATCAGCCTGGTATGGTGGTGTGCACCTATAGTCCCTGCTACTCAGGAGGCTGAGGCAGGAGGATCGCTTAAGCCTGGGAGGTTGAGGTTGCAGTGAGCCATGATCATACCCCTGCTCTCCAGCCTGGGTGACAGATACCCTGTCTCAAAAAAAAAGTCTGTCTATCTGTCTATACACACACATACATACAAAGGTATCTACAAATAAAGAGTACTGTTATACATGTTATAAGGCAACCTAAGAAAACATATCAGTCACACAGATAATTCAGTTTAGTTCATGGAGAGCATGGAAAGGGCCACTAAATGATAGAAACTTGAGGTTTAGCACAACTATTTATAAGAACTGAAGTAAGGATTCTGTTCCTCAAGTCCTATAGGGATTAAAAAAAGTTTTCCATGACAAATGTCATTTTTTTGCCCCCCTTTTTTGAACAAGGTTAATTCATGTCGACAACAACAAAATAATGACAAAGCTTCACCATTCTAGCATGCTGAATGGATTTTATTTAAAATAAAACTGTAAATAGTGTACTTATAGTACATTATTTATCAGTACTGCTCTCTGGTAGGCATAAATTTTATCTTAAAATCTGGAATAGCTTTAGAAAGGTCTAAAATGTATGTTCTCTGGAAATACGGAAAGTAAATATTTACTTAAGGTGATTTTGACAAATTATCACAAACCTGAAAATATAAATTAAGACGTAAGTATTAAAGATGCGATCCTAGTGTACTGCAGCCTTGTGAGGCTGACAAGATGGCTTCTTACAGAAAGGAATGACTTGTGTAAGAGCAGCCTAAGTATATAAATTTGACATATAAGAAATTTAGGCCGGGCATAGTGGCTCTTGCCTGTAATCCCACTACTTTGGGAGGCCGAGGTGGGTAGATCTCTTGAGCCCAGGAGTTTGAGACTAACCTGGGCAACATGACAAAACCCTCTCTCTACTAAAAATATGAAAAAATTATCCAGGTGTGGTGATGTACACCTGTGGTCCCAGCTACTTGGGAGGCTGAGGTAGAAGGGTCACCTGAGCCCAGGAGGCGGAGGTTGCAGAGAGCCAAGATCACACCACTGCATTCCACCCTGGGTGACAGGGTGAGACCCTGTTTCAAAAAATCAAACAGAAATAAATTGAAAAATAAGTTTACAGATGTAAATACAGAACCCTGTTGGAAAACAGGATTTGAAATATAGTATAGTTCACCAAAATAATGGGTAGGAGAGAACTGTCAGTTTAATTCTATAAAAATTTTAATTATACAATAGTTGAAAGAAATTGTTATTTAGCTGAGATAGGAAATTACTGCTTTGTCCTTAGGGAACCTGCTTTATTGCAGAGAGATGAGAGGTGTCATAGCTGAGTGGAAAGAGCTTTGGCTCTGGAGTCTGACAAACTAAGGTTTGTAGCTTACCTCTATCACTTATTAGTTTGTATGACTGTGGGCAAAATATTTAGCTTTCCTGAACCCGTTTCCTTAGTTGTGAAATGGAGATATCACCTACTTTGTCCACTTTTTGGAGTTATATATTAAATACATAGATAATATTTCAAAAAATACATACAAAACCAGAATAGTTTCAAGCATAAGTTTTTTTTCATTTGGGCAAAAAAAATGAATCATAATTAGTTGCCAACTGAAAGTAAATGCTACTTTAGCCTCAAAAAACTTCAATCAGCCTCAAAAACCTCAAAAACTTCAATCAGCCTCAAAAAACTTCAGTACTTATGATTTTATTTCTACTCTTAAATTGATTAAGTAAACTCTATTAACACTGCCTAAAAGGTAAACTCTAGCCCAGCTGAAGTCCAAAGTGTCACAAACTGTAAGTGGGATCTAAAAATACTGAGATTTCATAAAAATTAAGTTATGGAATATACCGACTTCTCTTGTATTTATCAATGTAGGCTTGTTAAAAATTGTAAAATTTGGAGTCATATGTTAAAGCCAAATGGCCAAATAATGGATATGATGATATATGTTAAAATGAAACATATATCACCATTGTGATTATAATTCTACCAGCACAGTCTTCTTACCCCCATTTTGTTAGCTGCACGTAGTCTGAAGCTGTATGTCTTTCCAGGAAGAAGGCTGCTCACTGTACATTCTACTTCAGAACCTTGGTAAACTTCTCTAGGTTCATCTTTTTCTATAGGAGACATTTCCACACTGTAACAGGAAATGGGTGATCCACCATCAACCAGAGGGGGTCCTAAAAGATGGAAAGATTAATGCAATTTAACAAGACGAATACTTCCTGTTCTAGCTTAATTATAATTTATTACCAAAATGGAAATTACCCCATCGTAACTGTATTTCTTTTGCTTTGGGTCTACCCTGTAATCTGGGAGGGAGGCATGGGCCAGGAGGCACAGCTGGAGTCTGCACAAGTAAAGATTCAGAGACCTGCCAAAACAAAAGCAAAAAGAAAACAAAAATGCCCCAAAACCAAATAATCAGATTGCTTTTGGTAAGGAAAAATAATATAAACACAAATATTGCACTGATAATTTGAAATTGTACTTGATTGTCAACAAAAAAGGAATAAAGTTCTGAAAAAAAATGAAAACCCAATTAAATAAAAACTCAAAATTTTCATAGACAAAGAAAGACATGTACTGTGCAACTACTATATACAAAGCAAGTTACTGAAAAAGAACTTCAATGAACCCTTCCTTTCCTTTTCTTTCCATAACTAAAGAAAAAAACAACTTCCAACACAATTTAATGGGCAATATTTTTGATCTTCTCCAAAAGGATCCATAAATCTCTTCTAAGGAGGGATGTTTTAAAATACTGTATATGCTGTTTGTATTGTTGTAAGGAGGTTTAGAATATTTTGGCTACTTTACTACTGTAGACTGTATTTTTAACCTAAACACTGATTTATTTATTTATTTTTAGAGATGGGGTCTTGGTATGTTGCCCAGGATGGAATGCAGTTGCTATTCACAGGTATGATTACAGCCTCAAATTCTTAGGCTCAAGCAATCCTCCCACGTCCAGAGTAGCTGAGACTATACACATTTGTCACTGCACCAAGCTTAACTTATACATTAAAAGATTATCTTTCCTTCATCCTTTCCACCTAAAAATAATTCTAAAATCAGGTAAGCTTTTCCAGTTACTTGGCATCTTTCTAGGTATTTGATACTGCTTTTAGTTTCTATGCTATATTTATATTTTAAAAAGCCTTTATTTTTAAAGACACTCTGTTAAAAACAATGCCACACTGGGCCGGGCGCGGTGGCTCACACCTGTAATCCCAGCGCTTTGGGAGGCTGAGGCGGGTGGATCACAGGGTCAGAAGATCGAGACCATCCTGGTTAACATGGTGAAACCCAGTCTCTACTAAAAATACAAAAAAGTAGCCGGGCATGGTGGCAGGCACCTGTAGTCCCAGCTACTTGGAAGGCTGAGGCAGGAGAATGGTGTGAACCCAAGAGGCAGAGCTGGCAGTGAGCCGAGATCGTGCCACTGCACTCCAGCCTGGGCAACAGAGTGAGACTCTGTCTCAAAAAAAACAATGCCACAAACTCAGTGGCATATTACTTACTTGCAACATATTAAGGTTCATACTTAACATTCTTTTTAAACACAAAATATTTGGTCATCTTTTTATCAGAAAGCTATCTATGTAAAAATGCTGTAAAATGCTATAGTAGAACAGGATTTTGTGCATGTCTATGTGTTGTTGCTTTTCTGAAATCCAGGGAGATTTTCTTACTGGATAAAATGAAGCAACTGGAGCACAAGCCAGTTGGGCAGGACTCACACTCAGTTGCACATTAGTTTCATTTTCAACAAAATGCCTATATTTCATTTTTAAAAAAGAATACTTTCATTGCATTAAATTTCATTTCAAAAAAAAAACCCAGCAATTATGAATGATCCAAGAAACCATTCTTGGTTTAATTCATTTAAAAAAAAAAAATCACTTGGCCGGGTGCGGTGGCTCATGCCTGTAATCCCAGCACTGTGGGAGGCTGAGGCCGGTGGATCACGAAGTCAGGAGTTCGAGGCCAGCCTGGCCAACATGGTAAAACCCCGTCTCTACTAAAAATACAAAAATTAGCCAGTTGTGGTGGGGGGCGCCTGTAGTCCCAGCTACTAGGGAGGCTGAAGCAGGAGAATTCTTGAACCCAGGAGGCAGAGGTTGCAGAACCCAGGAGGCAGAGGTTGCAGTGAGCCCCAATCGTGCCACTGCACTCCAGCCTGGGCGACAGAGTGAGACTGTTTCCCAAAAAAAAAAAAAATCACTCATTAATAAACATACATCCCTAGAACATTATGTCTTTATATCAATGGTACATTTTAAGTTCATTTTGGTTATTGAGTCTCTAATAATAAAATAATGGCCAACTTTTTTGAAGTAAGTAAATATTAGAAAGTAGATTAAACAGCAGATACTATTTTATGATGTGTCCTCACACACATAATTTATGGAGCAGTAAATCGGTCTATAATTATTTTATTTCTATCTCTGCTTAGTATGGTTATTGAGCATCATTCTCAAATTTATCTTTATAAAATTTTCTCCAATGTTTTCATGTATTTGTTTTTCCAAAGCTGAATACCAACCAGACAACAGACACACACTGAATACTTACTGTGAGCTAAGTACCACATTAGAATATTTTGGTCACTATCAAATTAACCCAACAGGTTACAGAAGTTACTTTTCTCCATTTGTGGATATGTTTCAATATTTGAAGTGGCACCTGGTGATCCTACCCCATTTGGCCAAACTTAATAACAACACAAAAGAATCTACATATAAGTATTACCGCACTCTGTCCTCCATCACTGATGCAGTAAACTCGTAAACGATAGAAACAGCCTGGATTCAGTCGATCACAAAGATGTTCCCTGGTAGCACCACTGTATATCATTTCCCATTTGTTTCCTGTAAGGTGAGGAATTGTGTTCAATCAGATACTAGGTAATGTTTAACGTTCTGGTATCATGGACACATCAGGTATCCTAGCTTCACAAAGTAAGTATTTGTGTAATTTGTCAGAAACAATTTAGGTTTGTTTCGGTTTCCTGGAAATGATCTAATTTTCTTTATGTGTGCAGCTTCCTAGACAAGTCTGCATGGCTTTGTGGAAGTGAAATATCTCTGTAACTCTGTACAGACTTTGGCCTAGATTGATAATTTACTTTTAATTAAGCATTTTAAATGTGTTTACTGGTCCAGTAATAACGTTATAGCATACAAAGAGTACAAAAAACCAGTATCAGAGGAAGTCTAGTCCTAATTAAAAGACATCTTTTTTTTCTTTTTGGCAGGAAATAGGTCATTTCATAGAAATAAACACTGCTAAATGTGTGATTCAAGAATAAAGTTCACTAGTCATAAAACTTACTACTAAAACTAGTATGATGTGAGTTAAATTTTAGAAGTTAATCCTTCTCTGATATATCTGTATATAAATCTAACTGAATAAACTAACCTTCAGAAGATTCATAGTATCTAATGACTTGGTCTAGGTGTATAGAGGCTGAGCAATGTAAATAAATGAGAACAAAAAGAACATGTAAATGCAACGATACAGTTGTTCAGCACTCTTACATTTGATTCACTGTATTTCTGGAAATCACAATTTAAAGTGGATCATAACAGGCAAAATCCTAACTGCTACAAACAAAGAAAAAAAAAATCCAGGAAAAAAAAAAGGTCTTGGTGAGGTGCCGCCATTTCATCCGTCCTCGGTTTCTGTGCCTTTCGCAGAGCTTCCAGCAGCGCTACGTTGGGCCAGAGCATCCGGAGGTTCACAACCTCTGTGGTCCGTAGGAGCCACTGTGAGGAGGGCCCTGGGAAGAATTTGCCATTTTCAGTGGAAAACAAGTGGTCGTTACTAGCTAAGATGTGTTTGTACTTTGGATCTGCATTTGCTACACCCTTTCTTGTAGTAAGACAACAACTACTTAAAACATAAGGATGTTTCAGTTCATCCATTAACAGATATGAAGAGCATTTTAAGAGGTACAGCCTCTGGAAGTGGATCAAACTTGAACTCATATGGCATACTAGATATGTTTGTCAATAAACTTATGACATTAAAAAAAAAAAATCCAGGACAACCCAAAGTGAAGTGAACATCTTTTTATGGTGTACCTTATGAAAAGCAAGAAGAAAGAAAAGATATGACATAAAATGTAAAGCCATAAAGAATAGAAAGAGACTGGCTGGAATAAATCTATCAGTGTTTAATATCCATTCATACCGTTAGAACCTTCTGCCATCTCCACTACATATTTATTGATGGTTGCTCCGCCATTGTCTTTTGGTGGATCTATCCAAAGAAGCAAAGTAGTATTAGGCAAGGTACAAAACAACATAAAAATGATAAAAAAAACCTAATAAACAGAATACCAAACTAGGTTTAAAAAAAAAAAATCACCTGCAATGACTTAATACCAGTACCCAATTACTCCATGCTGTTGTCATCTGCTTTTCACTTAATTTACCATATTTAAAATATGGCTCTCTATAACAATTTTTAATGGCTGCATGATATTCCATTTACTTATTTTTATTTATTTTTTTTAGATGGAGTCTCACTCTGTTGCCCAGGCTGGAATGCAATGGTACAATCTCGACTCACTGCAACCTCTGCCTCCTGGGTTCAAGCGATTCTCCTGCTTCAGCCTCCTGAGTAGCTGGGACTACAGGCATGTGCCACCATGCCCAGCTAATTTTTGTAGTTTTAGTAGAGACGGGGTTTCACCATGTTGGCCAGGCTGGTCTCGAACTCCTGACCTCATGTGATCTGCCCGCCTGGGCCTCCCAAAGTGTTGGGATTACAGGCGTAAGCCACCATGCCCAGCCTCCATTTACTTTAGATGTTAAGGTTGTTTGAAATTTTTGAATATTATAAATATCACTGAAGCATTTTTATTGGTCTGAATTTTTCAGGCAAGGGTCAAGTTTATGGGATCTTTGTTTTTCCATTAGGTATGTAGGTAGGTGCTCGATAAATGTTTGTTTTAAATGAATGGTTTTCATTTCTTACGAGAGCCAGATGACCCAGGTGACTTTAGCTGCAAGTTCAGTAATCCTTCATTTCACAGTGCTACCCCTGCTCATTATCTTACAGTGGATCGCAAGTTCCTTTTTATCATATCTTAACCTAGCATGTATGAGAGTATAAGGTTTTCCACAAAAAACATACCCAATGAATGACTCTCACATTTCTTTTTGGACTGGCTTGAGATAACAAATTTACTCAAATATCTTAAAAATTATCTTCATATTCAAATTATTTTAATCAAACGCAAAAGTAATAATGTATAAACATGCATAATATCTTACCCCAGGTTATTTTAAAACTGTGTGAATGTATCTTTCCTTTCACTGAAGGCTTTACAGGTATGCCTGGTTTATCAGGGCAAGTAGTAAATTCTACTACTTCACTTGGATTACTTTTACCTTCTGAGTTGTAAGCAATAACCTGTGATGAGAACAGAAAGACATTAAATAATACACTTGATACCTAATGATACTGGCTTAATAAACAAAGTGATAGGAGACAAACAGCTTCAACCAAATGATAAAATACATTTTTTTTAGCTTGGAATGGCTTGTTCTTTGAGAATTGCTTGTCTCCAATAGATACTTGGCATATATGAAGAGTATGCAACTGTACTTCCCCTTTTAGAGTCCGTCCTGGGAATACAAGTGTAAAACCTAATATTTTGATACTAAATAAGAATCAGAGGAACAAGCTATAATCTGGTGATTCTTCATGGGCTTTAGGCTTGCTTTGTTTCTTCTTTTAACATTCTTTGTGAGTTTAGAAAGAGGTCCACACATTCTCTGAATCTCCTTTCTTCAAAAGGTGAAGTCTAATCCCCCTTCCCTTGTGTGTGTGTTATACTTAATGACTCACTCTAACAAACAGAATACAGCAGAAATGACGGTGTGTGTAACTTCCCTATGGAAAAACTCATGTGGTGAGGAACTGAGGGTTCCTGGAGACAACCATGTGAGTGAACCTGAAAGTGAGTGAAGTCCCAGGAGAGCCTTGAGATGACTGCAACCCCAGTTGACATCTTGATTACAACCTCATAGAGACCCTGCATCAGAATTACCCAGTTAAGCTGGTTCTCAATTCCTGACCCACAGAAACTATAAGTTTGTTTTTTCAAGCTGCTAAATTTTGGGATAATTTGTTATAAAGCAATAGAGAAATATAATTCCAATCTAGGTATTTTTCTATTATAGAAATTTAACTATACCTGTATTGTTACATTTTCTCCTCTACTGAACTTAAAGATCCTCAAGTCCAATATCAAACCATGATTTTTTCTTCTCTAAACCTGCCCCTCTTTTTCTCTCCCCACAGTAAAAAGCTCTACCATCTACCTAGTTGCTCAAGTCAAAAGTGTTAGAGACAAACTGCCCCAAAAAATCTTGGTACTGCTGACGCTCCCCTCAAACCTCTCCATGCTGCCCACCCCCCTCCCCCTTATGCTCTGCAACTCTTCTCTGTGCTGCCCACCTTTCCCTCTGAGCCCCTTTACATTTCTAAGCCCTTATCTAGGTGCCACAATGAAGCCAGCAGACTTCACCTATCAGGCCTTGCTGTGATAAGCAAATCCCAATTACAGGCCATTGGGACCGCACAGGGGGAGGTCGTGGGAAGCACAAACAAGCTTTACCTACACCTACCTGTAAGTTCCTTCATTTAGCTGCTACCACAAATGTCACAAGGTGATATATGATAAAGTTAACCAACAAACGACCCCAGGGTCTCTCTCCCCAATATAAACCCCTCATTTTATAAGCTCAGGGCTTCCTCCTCTGTCTGTAGTGGAGCAGCCGGCAGGTTCAATAAACTTACTCGGCTGACTTTGGGTCTATTCTTCCTCTCGGTTGACCTTACAAAAAGGAGACATCCTTGATTCTTCTCTAAACCGCATCCAATCTCTTACTATATCTGGTTAACTTTACCTCCACTTCACTGTTCTACAACTACGACCACTTTAATGAAAGCCTCCTTTCTCCTATCTTTCCTGAGTGACTGTAATTATACCACTAGCTAGTTTCCCAGTGTACATTCTTGCCCTTGACCCCCAACTACTTTCTACACCGAAGCCAGAGGGACTTTTTATCACTGCTTAGCTCAGAACCCTCTAATGGCTTCCCATCTTACTCAAAATAAAATCTAAATTCCACACCATGCCTACAAGGCCCTATGTGATTTCATCCTTAACTACCTCTTGAAACTCCACTGTAGGGTCTTTGTGCTAGCAGTTATTTCCTCACTTGGAATGTTTTTCTGATTTTGACATGTTACTTCCTTGTTACTCAGATCTGTTTAAATGTCATTTCCAAGAAGACTTCCTTAACTACCCAGTCATTCTCTCTTACCCCATTCTATTTTAATTAACCTGCATTGCACTTACCACAATCTATTTGTTTGCTTATTTATTGTCCACTCCCCTCATCAGAATATCTGTTGTAGTCTTAGTGTTTAGAACAATGCTTAGCAGAGAGTAGATGCTCAACAGATATTGGTTGAATGAATGACTCATAGATGGGGACTATGATGCTATATAACACCATACACAAGGATATGAGTAAATCTACCACCCCAAATAAATCACAGAGCCCATCAGAACTCAGTAAAGTTTAGTCCAATTGTTCAATTTTGCTCAGGCTTCCTCAGTCCTCTCACAGTCACATGGATTTTCAGGATGTTTTCTTACTCTACTCCTTTATAAATGAGACTACAAATGGGTTTAAAACACTTCTCAATGTTGTGCACAGAATCTACTTAAACCTTTTAACCAGAAGAGTCCTCCTAAAAACTATATTCATTTAATTATGTTTTTAAGGCTCTATAGTTCAACATTGTCTCCTTTTACTGTAAAGCACCTTCTAGTCATAAAGGTAATTAAAGGTATAAAGTCAAAAAGATAATCTCCCCCCACCCAAATTTTACAAATAATCAAAATGTTCATTTAGTGCCTATCACATAAGGAGCACTGTGCTAGGAACCCTGTGTGAGCAGATTGTACCTTGAAGGAATTTAGAATCTTCATGCAGAAGATAAGCAATATGCATATCAAAAGAATGGGGCAGGAGGACAAAGATTACTAAGGCCTAAAATGGTTTAGGAAGGCTTTGAAAAGGGAAATGGAAGTGTTATGGAGTCTTCCTGGGCAACAGCAATCAAAGGGGAAGCTTGGGTAAGAGAAAAAACAGAAAGCCCTGTACATAAGAGCACAAGTGAATAGTGAACAGTGAGCTCTGCTCAGGGAGAGATGAGTAGTTAATCTGGTGAGGTAGCTGGTTCAAGTATGGACTGGAAGGTAGTAAATTTTAAAAACTGAACAGAAATATAAAGAATCTTATATCAAACTAAGGAAATTGTTTCTTAGAGGGAAAGGTGTTTTTCAGAAAGATTAATCTAGGTATAGAAAAGAACCTGGATTGGAAGGTGAAAAAAGAGCCTGAAGGCAGTTATATACATAATATGTTTGAAGATTTAGTATTCTTCAAGACAGAAATGGAAGGCAAAAAGATGGTATATCCAAGCAAGAGAGGGATACACCAAGAAGACCTAAGGACTTAGCTAGGGCACACTTAGGGCAGAAGTGACACCAGATAAGATGAGAGGAAGAAAACATGACTACATACTATGTACTGTAACAGATGCTGACATAAATGAATTTCAAGGATGGAACATAAAAGTAGTTAACGGAGCCAGATAGAAGCTGTTTTGATTTCTCTTTACCTATAAAAAGACCTCAAAAAACAAGGAATAAGCTGAAAGTGAAAGTATCTAAAGGTTCTTAGCTCAAGATAACTTGACCTTTAGAAGCCTTACTACATCCAAAGTGGGGACTGGAAAAAAAAAAAGAAAAAAAAATCCCAGAAGGCTTTCTACTTGAAAAACTTTTTCAGAAAATTCAGGAAATTCAGTTTTCTAGTGGCCTAGGATTATAGGACTGGCCACTCGGCTCTGAAGGCTTTGATCGTTTAAAAAAAAATTTAGACACCAGGTCCTAGCCCAGCCTTCAGTGAACCATTAGATGAAATTAGAATTGCTTATAACTCTTAATTTTAAATAATTTTAAAGAATTCTGACTGCTTTGCTGTGCTTTAAAATTTTATTTTTGGCCGGGTGTCGTGGCTCATGCCTGTAATCCTAGTACTTTGGGAGGCTGAGGTGGGAGGATTGATTGAGTACAGGAATTCAAGACCATCCTGGGCAACATACAAAACTATCTCCACAAAAAAATATAAAAAAATAAAAAATAGCCAGGTGTGGTGGCTCATGCCTGTAGTCCCAGCTTACTCAGGAGGCTGAGGTGGAAGGAACCCTTGAGCTCAGGAGTTTGAGGCTGCAGTGAACTATGATTGTGCCAATGCACTCCAGCCTGGGTGATGGTGTGAGCCCCTGTCTCAAAATAAACAAATAAATAAATAAAATTTTATTTTCATTCTTCTTTATCATTTAAATTTTTTCACTGTTCTTATCTTGTTTTAGTATTTTGGTTATCCCAGAATTGTCCTCAGTGTAGAACCTAGAGCTCTAGTATTTGGTAAACTTGGTCATATTAGTAGTTCACTTTACATTAATCATATTCTTATTGTTTCTTCAGAATAATAATATGCTACTTAGTCATTACTTCCTGGATTATTTTTTTTTTGTAGCTTTTCTCAAAGTGTTCTAAGATCTCTCTAAAATATTAAGATTTTATTTTGATACGACTGTTTGAAAGAATCTGCAATATCTAGCTAGAAAAGGAAGACCAAGACACAACAATAGGATTTAATGATTCAAAATGCCCTCAAGCTGGGTTCCCTGCACATGGCAGATTTAAAATAAGTGTCTGAGCTCCTAGAACTTCATACAAGCATCATTTTCTACTTCCTGTTTTTTTTTCCTCCTCTAGATCAGTTGTTTCCAAATTTTGGCAAGGATCAGAATTACTTAGAAGTATACCACAACAGACTGCTAGGCCTCTGCCCCCCAAATTTCTAATTTAGTAGATGGGGGTGGGGAGGGGCAGGGCCAGAGAATTTACATTTCTAACAAGTTCTCAGGCGATACTGACAAAATGGCCTGCTGACTACTTTGAGAACTATTGCTCCACATCTTAATAAGCCAGAATATAGCCCCCTTCCTTTTATCCAGTGATGAGTAAAGAGGTGGCTTTCAGACATATTGTTTTCCCATCTCCAACCTCATTATCTGGGAGAATTTTGTGCAACAGCCTACTGTCTCCTTGGAGATTCTGACTGTATACTTCTCCCTCCCCTGAAATTTGACAGTGACCACCATAGTGAAACACACTTTAATTAATTAGTTAATATTATTAAGAGATGGGGTCTTGCTCTGCTGCCTAGGCTGGAGTGCAGTGACACGATCATAGCTCACTACAGCCTTGAAATCCTGGGCTCATATGATCCTCCTGTCTCAGCCTCCGAAAGTGTTGGGATTATTACAAGCGTGAGCTACCATGCCTGGTGGCTTTTAAATAGAAAAAACAAATTTTTTTTTTTTTTGAGACAGAATCTCGCTGTATTGCCCAGTCGGGAGTGCAGTGGCATAATCTTGGCTGACTGCAACATTTGCCTCCCAGGTTCAAGCAGTTCTTGTGCCTCAGACTCCCGAGTAGTTGGGATTACAGGTGTGAGCCACCATGCCTGGCCTAAATAGAAATTTGATTAGCTTATAGTAGAATGCTAAGGAATTTAACACATATGTATATTTGTATCCATTTCAGTCCCTATAATACCATGGTGTTACATGGTAGTAGAATTTTAGGATTTTCATAAACTTAACAAATTACAAAGACATTAACAACTTCCTCTTTAGGAGACCTGTTGGAATGCTTCATTAATGAAGCAAAAATACAATCCAATATCATCACAAAACTGGAATGGATGTGCCTATTTCTCAGGTATTTTATAAATCTTGTAAATATGAAAATCATATTTAGAAATTAAATTGACATAGCATTATTATAAGTTTTTAAAATGAAGCTAATAGCATAAAATAAAGCATAACAATTATTATGTGCTAAATAATCAAATTTCCCATTGCTAAAGACTTAAGATTCTCAAGAAGTAATAAAATTTCTTTGCTTTTTAATAGTGAAAACAATTTACAGTGGCTTTTATCATTTATTTGAAATGGTTTGATTAAATAAGCACTGGCAGGAAAATTTAAATGTTGAATTTATCAACTAATGAGCAAAGTTTCTCACTGATGATGAAGGAAGTTAGAAATAAGGACAGGGGAAAACTAAAATTAACCTGTGGCACTGGATTAGAATTGAAGGTATCTGGTGTGAACTCATGATTTTTAAAAATACAGAGATACAGAGACACAGATATGTATCTGTGTTGTAATTGTCTATTTATGTATATACACATGTATAAATATCTGTATATAAACTAAACATATACACACATATAGTTCCTAGCTGTGTCCATTGGGAGGGTGCTCAGGAGCAGTAAAACCTCTATGGCAATTAAGTATACTTAGTATCTAGATCTTGATTCCTAAATATCACTGTCCACTAAAAGGATCCTGGTGCTTTGAGAAATGGCCAATTCCAGAGTTGAAGAAGGTAAAGTTTAAGATGAGACTAGAAATCTTGTGCCAGAAAGGAAGGGCTCAAAGAATGAGAGACATGTCAAAAGGATTCTGAAGCCAGCTTGTAGGGGATCCCAAATCTGGGACAATTTGAGCCTCACAATAATCAAAGTAACAAAATATAAGCCATTTAACAGACTTCCATGAGTACATACTGATATAAATGGGGAGAAGAGAAAGTCTTTCTTTCCTTACAGTATAATACCAACTAATGAATGTAGAAAAAATGATAAAATTTTAAAAATCACCACTTGGCACCATCAATCATGGTAATAATTGATTTAGGCAAGTATCACCAATGGGTGTTAAAACTATGGATGAAAGTTTGATGAGGAACAAGATGCTCACAGGGTACACAGTATTTACAAAATACTTATTAATTACAAACAAAAAAGAATAACTTTACAGTTATTATAAATATGAGAAGAATATGGTAGATACAGGCTTTATCAAGTGACTACCAGTAATAAGACAAATTGAAATTATACACCACTTGATATGCTACATTGAGAAAAATGTAGCATTATTTTCTGTGATATCCCTGCCAACAAAGCATATACTTAGTATGTTCTAACATTCATATTTTAAAAGATGTTTGGTCACATTACACAAATAAGAGCCATATAAATTGGTTGTTAAATATATAAAGTTTGAGAAGCACCGCTATATAACAAAGTAAAACAAAAAAGCTCACTAGAAAAGGTCAACATTATTTAAGATCTAAAACCAAAGGAGTGAAGTATATACTTGTCTTTAAAACAGTAAGAATAGAGGTTGGGTGCAGTGGCTTGTGTCTGTAATCCCAGAACTCTGGGAGGCCGAGGCAGGAAGATCACTTGAACCGAGGAGTGTGAGATCAGCCTGGGCAAGATGGTGAAACCTCGTCTCTACAAAATAAGTTAGCCAGGTGTGGTGGCATGCACCTGTGGTCTCAGCTGCTTGGGAAGCTGAGGTGGGAGGATGACTTGAGCCCAGGAGGTTGTGGCTGCAGTGAGCCATGATTGTGCCACTGCAGCAGCTTGGGTGACAGAGTAAGAGCCCGTCTCAAAAAACAAACAAACAAACAAACAGAAAACAAAGAACCCCACCACACCAGTAAGAATAGGAACAAGGAACAAATCGTTTAAGGGTTTTCAAAGCTTACCTTAAATTTATACTTAGTACTACGTCTGAGATTTTTCACTGTGTAAGCAAGATCTTCTCCATCATATTTAGGCTTAAAACCATATCCCTGGAAAAGGAAAAAACAAAGTCTTCATTCGATGTCTAACAATAGAAATATGGGCAATAATGAATATGTGAAAAGACCCGGGTTTCTCTTCATCTTCTACTATGTGCAATATGACTAATGCTCTGTTGAGTGGAATCCTCACCTCGATGCTTCTGTCTTCAGTGGGTAGACCCGGAAATGCTTATTGAACATTTGGTAGAAGATGAAGCAGGCCACTTAGTCTCAGTAAATATAGTAGCCAAGAGAAGACGATCTTTGTGTTGAGGGAAGAGTTTATAGAGTTGGAGCCAATGGTAACTTCACCATCAGTAAGCTATCCCAAGAACAGAGATTTCCCAGAGACATCGTGCAAGAGCTGAATAGAACTGTAAGTAGTTAACATATTTAACTTGCCTTTAACACATGGTTGTCTAAGTAAATAATTGAAGGGTTAATTGTGCTGGCAGGTGAGGATGTCACTTAGGTTTGGGATGGCTATTTCCAGCACTAGTGACAATGCTTTACAAATTTTCCGAACGTTATCATTTTTTGAATTAAAAAAATTGAGATATAATTCATATACTGTAAAATTCACCATTTCAAAGTATAAAATCTAATGGCTTATAGTGTATTCACAAAGTTGTGCAACTTTCCCCTAATTCCTAATTTCAGAAAAAGCCTGTCCTTTTTTGGGTAGCAGTCACTTCCCTCCACCTATCTACTAACATACTTCCTGTCTCTATGGATTTGTCTATATCCATATAAATGGAATCATATAATATGGAGTCTTTTGTAACTGGGTTCTTTAGCATAATGTTTTCAAGGTTGGTTCATATAGGTCATCAAGGTTGGTTTCAAGGTTGTGGCATATACTGGTACTCTTTTTATGGCTGAAAAATATTCCATTGTATGGATACACCACATTTTGTTTATCCATCTATCTGTTGATGGACATTTGGGTTGCTTCCACTTTTTGACTATTATGAATAATGCTGCTATGAACATTTGTGTACAATTTTTTTGTATGAACATGTGTTTTCAATTCTTTTGGGTATATACTTAGGGGTGGACCAATGCCATTTTTGACCCATATTCCTTCAAAGTAGCTCTGAAAATCTATGAACTATATATAGATTTAATAATAGAATACACCCTAACTCCTGGTCAGCTAGCCTCTAGGTAATAGGATGTCAGTGATGTGTAACTAGATTCAGGCTGTACTACAGTTTCACAGGAAACTTTTAAAATCTTCTGTGACACCTTGGGAAGCAGTGTATAAATACAGTTAGAGAAAGGCAGACCCAATATTTCCTCATCTTTTAGAGCTGCTTAGTCAAGAAGGCTGTGGTGATCTTCCCCTCCTCATAGTTTCCCTAAAACAGATATAGTTAAAGTGCAGCCTATGTGGTTCCAAAGCACAGACAGACATATATACACACACACAAATAAAACAAAACCCCCTTCACATCAAAAGAAAAGACAGAGTTTTCAGGCTGGGCACAGTGGCTCAAGTCTGTAATCTCAGCACTTTGGGAGGCTGAGGTGGGAGGACCACTTGAGCCTAGGAGTGTGAGACCAGCCTAGGCAACATAGCGAAACTCTGTCACTACAAAAAATAAAATTAGCCAGGCATGGTGGCATGTGCCTGTAGTCCCAGCTACTTGAAAGGCTGAGGTGAAAGGATTGCCTGAGCCCAGGAGTTCAAGGCTGAAGTGAACTGAGATTGTGCCACTGCACTCCAGCCTGGGCTACAGAGCAAGACCCTGTTGCAAAAGAAAAAAAAAGACTGAGTTCTCCATCATACCTAACCTCTCCCAAACAGTAACAAGCCAAGGCTTCAAAGGACTGGGAAATGAGCTAACTACTGTGGCAATACTTACTGTATTAGGAGTGGCAATATTTATTGTATTAGGATTAATGCCACACTAAAATGTTTTTTTTTCTGATTTTTTAAAAAATTATACTTTAAGTTCTGAGATACATGTGCAGAACATGCAGGTTTGTTACATAGGTATACATGTGCCATGGTGGTTTGCTGCACCCATCAACCCATCATCTACATTAGGTATTTCTCCTAATGCTATCCCTCCCTTAACCCCCCACCCTCCAACAGGCACTGCTGTGTGATGTTCCCCTCCCTGTGTCCAGGTGTTCTCATTGTTCAGTTCCCACTTGTGAGTGAGAACATGCAGTGTTTGGTTCTCTGTTCCTGTGTTAGTTTGCTGAGAATAATGGTTTCCAGCATAGCCTACCAACCAAAAAAAGCCCAGGACCAGATGGATTCACATCTAAATTCTACCAGAGGTACAAAGAGGAGCTGGTACCATTCCTTCTGAAACTATTACAAACAATAGAAAAAGACGGACTCCTCCCTAACTCATTTTATGAGGCCAGCATCATCCTGATACCAAAACCTGGCAGAGTCACAACAAAAAATGAAAATTTCAGGCCAATATGCCTGATGAACATTGATGCAAAAATCCTCAATAAAATACTGGCAAATTGAATCCAGCAGCACATCGAAAAACCATGATCAAGTTGGCTTCATCCCTAGGAATGCAAGGCTGGTTCAGCATATGCAAATCAATAAACGTAATCCATCACATAAACAGAACCAATGACAAAAACCACATGATTATCTCGATAGATGCAGAAAAGGCCTTTGATAAAATTCAATACCCCTTCATGCCAAAAACTCTCAATAAACTAGGTACTGATGGAATGTATCTCAAAATAATAAGAGCTGTTTATGACAAACCCACAGCCAATATACTGAATGTGCAAAAGCTGGAAGCATTCTCTTTGAAAACTGGCACAAGATAAGGATGCCCTCGTCTCCTATTCAACATAGTACTGGAAGTTCTGGCCAGGGCAATCAGGCAAGAGAAAGAAATAAAGCGTATTCAAATAGGAAGAGAGGAAGTCAAATTGTCTCTATTTGCAGATGACATGATTGTATATTTAGAAAATGCCATCGTCTCAGCCCAAAATCTCCTTAAGCTGAAAATGTTTTAAATACACTATTTAAAATCCATATTTGCACTTACTGAAGTTTCTTCCTCCATCTCTAAAATGTAAGAAATTCCTTCATCTGATGGTGTTCCTGAGGGCTTACTCCATTGTAAGGATAACCAAGTAATTCCAGCCTTGGTTAATACAGGACTTGCTGGCATAGAAGGAGCACAGCCTGAGGTGTAATATAAGACTTCTTCACTAAAACCACTGTTGAAACAAATGGTTTTAAAAGGCATGAAAAAGTTATTTTTACAGTGAAAGAACAAGTTTGTGACAGATGTAATTTTTTTGGAAAATGACAAGTTTTGATAATGAATTATAATACAAATAATATATCTTGGGTTTGATCTCTTTATGATAACCAGGTCAGATACCAAACAGTGAATTAGTGTTCTATTAAAAATGCAGTTTTGTTCAGATTTGTAAGCCTTTATATCATAATTTATCGAGTCAATGAAAAAATATACACATTACCTTATGGAAACAATAACACTCGTGTATTGGTGTAAATGTTGTAACTTTTAAACACACTTTCATATAATGCCATTTATATAAAATAGAAAATGTAAGTTCTCAGTTGTGTAATTAAACGCACCTGCCCCTAAGGTGAGCAGAGCTATCTCTAGAACAAAAATAATTTCAATGACTCTTGAAAGATACTTGGCCTTTCTATTTAAATTGGGTATTTTAGATGTTCTTACAGTTCACCTGACTTTAAACAAAATACTGTCATCACATATGCTGAGGAGCAAAAGAAAAATCTCTTTGTCACATATAAAAATCTAATTTATATCTGAAAATCTTGGAAAGTTGTAAGTTTAATGTTTCCTGTGGTTCCTATGTAACTAACTCTCTTATAGCTTTTGCTAGACTGGTAACACATCTTAACTATATCAACAAAGAGATAAACTAAGCAGAATTTTTAATGAATAATTTGGACAGTAAATAATTATACAATTGACGTTGACTTGATAATCTAAAAATATTTACATTCTTTTATAAAGTACACCTTACCTTGTACCATAGTCATTTCTGGCCGATAGTCTGAATTTACAGCCCATTGCTGGTGAAAGTTTAGTAATTTTAAATTGTTTCTGTGAGCCCATGTAACACTGACAAAATTCTCCATTTCCTTTTCCCTACAAGAAATGGCTGATTATTATATACCATGTACATTACTGTAAAAAGATAAATTCGCATCAATTCCTTCTTGACAGTTACATATTAGCAAGTGTATACTAAAAGTCATGGATCTCAAGAGAAGGCTGAGATACAGCACATCTTTTATATGATATAGATCATCAAATGCAGAATTAAAACACCAGAGAGCAGGTATCTTTGTACAGCTTCTTGAATTAAGTACCATCTTTTAGCCAATGTTAAATCTCTGGCTTTAATAAAGGAAACTCTGCAGGTATGGACCCTACAATCTCCATAGAAGACTACCAGTGGTAGAAATGGGGTGACGATCTTTGATAGGGTCAACTGGCGGCTTTTTTCAACCTATGGAAAGCTCTAAGCAGACAGTTTTAAGAAAAGGTCCTTACCCATGCCCAAACTTCCAACTAGATAGCTCATAAACTTCTTTAAAATAAAACTTTTGGCGCTTCTACTGCTTAGATTAACACTGAAAATGTTCTAGCAGAGAGCACAGCCCAATTACAGGCAATAAGAAGGAGAGAGAAAAGAGGACAACTAAAGAGTTTTAGAAATTTAGAGTGGTAACTAAAATGGGTAAGTTTCACATTTGCCACCCATTTTTCTTTATTGTGTTGCTAGAGATAAAATGGTAGTTAGGGTGACTTCTGCTTCAAAGAAAACCTGTAGACTGTACTTGACTGCTTTACTAAATGCTCTTTTTAGTTCTGATGTTGTTTAGTTGATTCGACTGAGTTTCTAAGTAGAAAATCATATCATCTCTAAATAATGACAGTTTTGCCCCGAGCCAGACACCATGACTGTACTTTTTGCTTTGGTTTCAAGTCATACTGCCTTAAGTGTAACTTCTGAAATAATGTTAAATAAAGGTAGGGATAATTGGCAATCTTGACTTATTTCAGCTTTGCATAAAAATGCCTTTGTTTAGTGATGGTACAAAAATAACTATCAAGTAAGAAATTACCTTTCTATTCCTAATCTGCTTTGAGTTTTAACTGAGATGAATGGTAATTTTTATCAAATACTCTTCCTTAATTTAGCAATATAGTTTTCTTCTAAATTAATGTGATATGTTAATAGGTTTCCTAATTCTAAATTATCTTAGAATTTCCGGAATAAAATCTACTTGGTTGTGCTTTATTATTCTTTTAATATACTGCCGAATTCCCAACTTATCAATGGAATTTCTTCCACTCCCTCTGGCCCCTCTTCTTAGCTTGGTACAAGCCATAGGGCAAGAGAGAACATGGTAACTGATAGTAAAAACAATGTACTAAACCAAGCTTGTCCAACCTGCGGCCCAAGGGCCACATGCGGCCCAGGACAGCTTTGAATGTGGCCCAACATAAATTTGTTAACTTTCTTAAAACATTATGAGATATTTTTGTCATTTTTTTAAAAGCTCATTAGCTATTGTTAGTGTTAATGTAGGTTGGTGCAAAAGTAACTGCTGTTTTTACCATTACTTTTAATGGCAAAAACAGCAACTACCTTTGCACAAATGTAGTATTTTGTGTGGCCCAAGGAAGCCAAAAGACTGGACACCCCTGTACTAAACAATGAAGTCCAGTATGCTTGCTGTGGTTGGCTGAGTCATGGCCACCATGAATATCCAGGTCCCAATCCCCTGAACCTGTGAATATAACCTTATATGGTAGGTGGGACTGTACAATGTGACTAAGAATCTCGAGATAGGAGCTTATCCTGGATTATCTGAATAGACCCTACATGGAATCATAAGTGTTCCTAAAAAAGGAAGACAGATTTGAAGACAGAGGAGGAAGGTGATGTGATGATGGAAACAAGGGGAGAAAACGCAATGTGATGTGGCCATGAACCAAGTAATGAGGACAGCCTACAGAAGCTGGTCAAGGCAAGGAAACAGATTCTCCTCTAAAGTCCCTGGAGAGGGCCTGGCCATGCTGACACCTTGATTTTGTCCCAGAGAAACTCATTTTGGATTTCTGGCCTCCAGAAAAGTAAGAGAATAATGTGCTGTTTTAATGTCAGGTTTGGGGTAATTTGTTATAGCAGCCATAGGAAAGGAATACACTTGTCTTTAAGGCTGATGTGAAAAAAAAGTTCCTTTATCAAGGTAGTTACCTAAATAATAATTTTGATGGTGATTTATTGAAAATAGGGAAGTTAAGTCAGGAATGTTTTCTGAAAACACCATCAATCCACTCATGCACCACACAAAATCATTCATACTTTTTTTGACAGAAGAATATACTTGATGATTAAAACAAACAAAAAAGTTAATTTTGCCTGAACATATGCACATAATGTTAACCATTTAAAAAGATTCAATTTACTTACTTCATCCCATTCTAATACAAAGTTTTGGATTTTAGAACCATTGTCACTAGGTGCCTAAAACCAACACCAAAAAACAAAATGAAAACAAATTAGTACATTCATAAATGATACTGTGATGATCTAATATAAGGATCTAGTTTATGTGGCAGATGTTTTCTGTGACTTGGTCCTGCGAAAATGTTCATAAAAATACAAAAATATATGTATTGTATGCCCTATAATCCTTTCAAATTTAAGGAAAGAAAGCAAGAAGCTACTCAAGTCTTTCCGAACACTGAACAATCTCTTTTAGCAAGAACTATTAATAACTTGAAAAAGTCTTTAAAAAAACCATTTTGCTTTTCTTCCAGAGAGTTTTATCAGCTTTAAGGTTGTAGGATTGATCCTGTCATTTGTATTAAAACTCACCTTACAAAATAAATGGAATATTGTATAAAATACCAAAGAGTGAAGAACCAGGGTGCTGAAAGGAGCTCTGAGAGGGCAGTGTCTTGGTCCTTGTTTCTATACTCACTGTGCTGGTTACCTGAGACTGCTGACTCAGCAATCTGTTATTATTTTAGGTGTAAAAGTATGCAGTCTCCCTTGGCATTTTATTTCAGTATTTAATCACTCTAAAAATCAAGAATTTCAACCTTACTTCCATCTGAATTTTCCTTCTACAATTTCAGCCCATTTCCTCTTTGCAGAATAAATGGTCACCCCTATTCTTATTATAACTCCATATATTTGCAGACAATTGACTTTAAGACTCCCCTGGTCAAAATTAAACCATTTTAATTTTTGAAATGATGTTTTTTGGACTCTATCCAGTTTTTATATAATATTGCTAACTATGTAAATGGCAATCAAGGATCATTAAGTTTTTAATACAGATGAACATGGAGGTCTAAATTATTTGTTAAACGCTAATACAGATCTTACATTAATTTTTTTTAAATTATAATTTTAAACTGGTTAGCATGGCCAGAATTTGCTTGTAAGTTAGGGTAATATCTCACTGACTGGCAAAGTAGTGGCAGTTAAAAATGAATATAATGTGAACGGGGCAGAGGAAGAATCTTTGGGAAACTCCAGCTCTTATGATATAGAGGAAGAGAATCCAAAGAGAGAGATCAAAAGTCTCAGCAGGAAGTGAGGGATATAAAAAGACATTTTCCAAGTGTTAATGACTCCAGATTGCTCTAGTCTAGTTGCTGAGGTCTCTCACACTTACTTGATTAATTTTTCTCTTTTTCCAGTGAGGCTATTAAAATGTCCACCTTAACCTAAGACTGATCCTCTAGCTTTTCTCCAAGTTTGAGGGGATACTATTAAGTGTAAAGTGTTTTACCTTATCTCATTTAGTCCTCCAATCAACTCTATGAAGTACTATTACCTGAACTTTACAAAAGAGAAAATGAGGGCTTCAAAGAACCAAATAAATCATCCCAGATCACAAAGTCATTAAAAGTAGAGCAGAACTGAATTTGTTCTATCTGCCCACAAAAATCAGTGTTCCTACCCAGCACTATTCTAGGGGCTGAGAAGTAGATAGTCTGCCTTGGGGGACTGGCAATAAGACAGAAAAAGACCATCTTTAGTGAGCTTTTTGTCATCACCATGCTCTGGCAATTCTAAACAATGTCAGTTAATAAGATACCTCTCTCAACTGCTATCTCCCATGTTAACCACCATAGGAATGCTTTTAGATTAGGTGAGGTAGCAGAGTCAAAAGACCAGATATTCAAGTCACTAAACTACTTTTAGTGACTTTTCTTCATTTTTAATATTAAATAACAATAGTTATTACGCTCATTATGTTCCAGACATTATACTATGGGCGATTTAGATGTTACCTGTTTAATCCTCCCGACTCTGAGGTATATAATACTATCCTCCAATAACAGTGACAATGATATCTTTTTCCAACCATGTTGATTACTGTGTGTGTATATAGGGTCATTTCTAGAAGGGTTCAAGCCTGGGAAACCTGTGTGGGTAATCTGAGGTACCACCACCTACATCTTATATAGGGATGTTAGGATATTGTTAAAGGCAGACATTTCAAAATTCTATTTTAATTATCTTCGAAATAAAGAACAGTCACCTACAGAAATCTTAACCTATATAAACAACAATGGGCTGCTACCTCAACTGCTCTACCAAAGGAAAGGGTCTGAGCATATCCACAAATAAAATACTACTGTAAGTGACACGAAATAAAATTAGTCATACTTTTTTATCACACATGAATATATGTATATATACACAGCTGCTTGACTTACATGTGTTAACAGTACTTTTTGACTACAAAAGTATCTAATATCCTCAGAAGAACTAGAAACTAACAAGCTACAGAACAAGTAGTAAGCCCCACATTTTTAAAAGCTTTCAAAAGTAAGGCTAGCCCTGAGCTTGCTCTCAAAGCAAGGACAGATAATTAAAATCAAGAGGAACAGTTACATCTCACTGCAAACCAATGCTAACAGGAGTGGTACCCCATTCTAGGGGATGTTTTGAAATTTTGTGGGGGCTATTTCTAACCTGATCACAATAATGCAGGAGGGGAGAGTCTGGTGGTATGGGGTGAAGATCAAGGGCGCTAATAGCCCTGCAGAATGGGGGACAATCAGTATGATGGGGAATTGTTCTCTTCCTCTAGGACTTCTGAATATCTATCAGAATTGAAGAACCAAATCCCATTTTATAAAGTATTTTTTGTATGGTTTTAACAGACACCAAGTTTTCCAAAATGCAATAACTGTGCAATCTGGGAAAGACTGCATTTAATTTGTTCAGAAATTTACCAAGTCCACACTATTTCAGAAAATTATATAATCAGTGACAATGTTGTCTGTGGTATTTGAATGACTAATTCTATGTATGGTATCTGTCCACTTCATTGTATCTTCTTGTGTAGCTAGGACCAAACGTTTATGAATTAAAATATATATTTTTCTATTGACAATAACTTTATTCCTCCTTTTAGGCAGCATATTGATTTATGAGTATAGTTATTATAAATCTAATTTTAGAATACAATTCAGAATATAAAGGCATCATGACGAAATATTACAAAAAGGAGTAATGGGTTAAGAATCACTGTTGTGAATCTCAATGTCATCACATGTGCAATGTAATAAGGACTGTTAATTACAAATCGTTTTTGCTATATTTACATATAGTAAGAAAAACCAGTAACAGTGCTATTTTAAGATACATTAAATAGGCATTTGTGTCTTATATGTAAAAAGCAGGAACAAATTAAAGCTCTTTGTCTCCAGCAACAATTGAAACTTAATACTACCAGGGGAAACAAAGAAACACATGTCCAGTTGGAAACACCCTAAAGAATATTCTTACCTTCCATTGCAAAGTGAGTGAATTTTTGGTCCGATTGGCTATCCTTGGTGGATTAGGTATATCAGGTTCACAGCTCAAGGTGGTAAAGATTTCAGCCTCTGAAGGAGTTCCCTTTATAGAATTATATTCTGCCTGGACTCTATGGTGATAAAATAAATAGTTTTACCTTTCATAATCACTGTATCCTGTTTTCAATAGTGTCACCTTTAAGTACTTGCAGATTAGGAAGGTGTCCACTAAAAGTTCTATCAAGAAAATATGACTATTAGAAGTAAAAGGTGACCGTTAAAAAAAAAAGGACAAGTTTTTTTTTCTTTTTTGCTGCAACCCAAAGAAATAATTTAAAATTGTGATATAACTGTGAGTGTGCATATATATTCCTGAAACAATGTTCTCAACTATGGGGAATACACTGATGCTTTCTGTCCTATTTGATTCTATTTCTCTTTTTTAAAAAATGCTGAATATAACCCACAGAATTAAATTCATGATTAAATGTGACTACAATCTACAGTTTGAAAAAGGTTAGGTTGGACAATACTTTGAGTATATCCATAGTAAGTACACTTGAACACTTAGTAGTTTAACAGAAATAATCCCAACCACATGTGCTCTTTTTAAAAATGGGGGTAATTAACTAAATGTGTTATATTAGGCTTCAGCTGGGTAAGCCCTAGAGTCTATGAAATTTTAGTAAATTACACTAGAAGACCTGCATAGAGTAAAACATTATCTAAGTTCTTCCTATTAAATGTTGTGAAATTCTAGAGTCTTGGTATCCCGAACCCTAAAACAGGATGTAGTAAAAGATATGTGTAAACAAAATATTTATAATTATTTTATAAAAATTCCAAAAGCTGGGACAAGTTTCCAGTGCCAAACCAGATGCTACAGACATATTCTACAGATTCATTCCAAACCCAAAATTCTACAAACAGGATGATTAGTCCTTGACTGTAACATGAGTTAAATGTTTTTTTTTTGGAAAAATTTTGATAATTTTACCAATAGAAAAACTGAAGTCTGCAAAGTTTTTTTTTTTGTTTGAGACAAGGTCTCACTTTGTAGCCCAGGCTGGAATACAATGGCACAATCATGGCTCACTGCAGTCTTAACCTCCTGGGCTCAAGCAATCCTCCTACCTCAGCCTTCCGAGTAGCTGATACCACAGGCCTGCACCACCATGCTTGGCTACTTTTTGGATTTCTTTGTCGAGATAGGGTCTCACTATGTCACTCAGACTGGTCTTGAACTCCTGGGCTCAAGAAATCCTCGTCTTGGCCACCCAAAGTGCTGGGATTACGGGCGCACTGCGCCCAGCCCACAAAGTCTGTT
This sequence comes from Homo sapiens, assembly GCF_000001405.40. NCBI lineage: Eukaryota > Metazoa > Chordata > Mammalia > Primates > Hominidae > Homo > Homo sapiens. Next base: position 49,167,416 of record NC_000013.11, on the reverse strand, counting down.
TTTAATCCAAAATTAATGTTTAAATTATATACTAGATTTTTAAGAAAATAATTATTTAAAAAAAAAACCCCTTATGCTGTATCTTATAAAGGCAATCTGTAGGAATTCCTTACTTTGCATGGTAATCCATGGCTGGCTTGAGATCATTTAAAGTGATATTTGTTTCTTCTCCTCTGGGGAAAAAAGGGTAATATATCATGTCTGATAAATAAAGCATTTTCAACCAATGTACATTATATACACTATAGTTTAGAGTATTTTATGAAACTACTTCTTTCTTTACCAACTGTAACTGTATTCAGATTCCACTAATATGGAATTTGGCAGTTAGGATATGTAACAAACTTAACATGTGTACCTGCATACTACTTTAAAACAGAAGGTAGTGCTAAGCAAATCAGCTGTGTAAGCCAGACTCTTTTTTTTGGAGTGGAGTTAAGGAAGATATTTAGCTTACTGAAGAAACAAAACTATTATCAATTATTTAAAAATCCATTTTGCACAGTTAATAAATAAAACATGTACTGTTGAAAGCAAAATTGCCAATTTTTTACAAGGACTCTGCCACTATTTTATTAGAAAATAATGTGGAACTTCATTTAAAATGTTACACTTTGAACAGATCACCTAAGAGAGAACACTGGAATTAAACTGGAAACATGTAAAACAAGGAAGGAGAAGGAAGTAAGCCTGCTCGGCTGCAATCAGCTGGGAGCCTAGAAAGGTTGTCCAGTGTGGGGAAAGGGTAAGTAAGTGACCCCCAGTGGTACACATTCCCACCGTGGACTCCTGTATTCTAGTCATGGGAAAGACCCTAGACCCTTGTGGGCTGCAACTAACATAGGGAGATGCCTGGAGTTGTGCAAGACATTGCTCAAGAGAGGGAGTTCACGCTGGGTCCTATATACTTCCCAAACCCTAAGCAGCTAGAACAAGGTATCATATTGAGAGCACAACCCCCAAAAGACTGCATCCTGCCCACAAGCCCTACAGTCCCCACATCTCCACATGTCTGGAGCCCCACTGACATTTCCTACCCACAGGCCACCACTGTCACTGGCTGCTGCTTTCAGGACTAAAGCCTGAGCCACTGGCAAAGATCCTGTTGCCCCCAGCAGTGAAGCTGCTGCACATCTTCATGCACTCCAAGGACAAACTTCCTGTCTGCAGCAACTGCAGCTGTGGGCTGCTGCAGCTGGGGCCAAAGCGCAAGTGAAGTGGGTATTCCCTAGCAGCCTGCATATAGCTGTTGCCACTGAAAGCCCTCCCTAATAGCAGGTCTGCAGCATAGCCACTGCCGCCTCCACCTGAGGATTCTTCCTTGGGCCTGGGGGTCATCCCTACCCTGCCAACACAGTTAGCACCTACAAACACCACTGGAGGGCCTGAGGACAGGTCTTGGCTCTGTGCCCCCAGTGTTTGAGCACACTGTCTGGGAGGCCTGGGGACTACCTAGCCCAGTCCATCACCTGTGCCACACACCTGAGCACTCCTCCTGGTGGCCTGAGATTGAGCCCACCCAACCTGCCTTTAATCACTGCAGCAGGCACCCATCTGCATGTACCACCTGTGGGCCTGGGGACTGGCTTGCCCAGCCTGTCACAGTCACCATCAACATCAGCATGGACTGCTTGGAACCCAGAGGTTAGTCCTGCCATTGCTAATGACATCACCGAAGCCATATCTGCTTCCAGAGGCCAAAGAACCCACCTGGCCACCTGCCTGACCCACTGCTGCCACTACTAGCACCTGAGCAAGCTGCCTAGAGGCCCAAGAATCAGCATGCCTGGATTTGCTAACACTGGTACTCATGTACAACACCTGGGGGCCCAAGGACAGGTAGGCTTGGGCCTGCTGCTGCCCCTACTGAGGCCCGAGGACAGGCCCACCTCACATCCCCATCCCCAGCAAAACTTCACTACAGCCTCCACTAACAACTGCACCCTAAGCCACTGTGGAAATCACAGACACCATAACACTGTTTATAGCAGAAGTTATACAAAGACTACACTTCAGCATGTACCCTGAATCAAAGTCAAAGTGTTCTACCCAACCAACACAATAGATGCATCTTCAGGAAAAAGTCCTCCCCTATGAAAGCAACCTCAAAAAATTGAAAGAAGTGACTGCTATACCAGATGCATGGATACTGACATAAGGACACAAGAAATATGAAAAAGCAAGGCAATATGACACCTCCAAAGAAACACAATAATCCTCCAGCAACAGATTCCAATCAAAAACAAAAATTTAAGAAATCCCAGATTATAAATTTGAAATAGTGATATTAAAGATGCTCAGCTCAAATATAAGAAAAAACAGAAAAGCAATACAAATAATTTAGAAAAACAATTTGGAATATAAGAAATTTACCAAAGAAACATAATTATAAGAAAGAACCAAACAGAAATTCTGGAACTGAAGAATTCATTAAATGGAATACAAAACACATTCAAAAGCATCAACAAAGGACTAAAAACAGCTGATGAAAGAATTTCAGAATGTGAAGTCAGGTCTCTGGAAATAACCCAGTGAGACAAAGATAAACTTCGGGAGGCCGAGGCAGGCGGATCACCTCAGGAGTTCAAGACCAGCCTGCCCAACAAGGCGAAACTCCATTTCTACTAAAAATGCAAAAAATTAGCCGGCCGGTGGTGGCGGGCACCTGTAATCCCAGCTACTTGGGAAGCTTAGGCAGGAGAACTGCTTGAACCTGGGAGGTGGAGGTTGCAGTGAGCCGAGTTCATGCCACAGCACTCCAGCCTGGGCAACAAGAGCAAAACTCTGTCTCAAGAAAAAAAAAAAGAAGAAGAATAAAAATGAATGAACAAAGCCTATGTGACATATGAGACACTATAAAGCAACCAAATATTTGAATTTTTGGTATCCTAAACGGTGAAGAGAAAATAAAAGGGTTAGAAAACCTACTCAACAAAATAATAGCTGAAAACTTTCCAAGTCTAGCAAGAGATTTAGATATCCAGACACAGAAAGCTCAGAGAGTCAGATATGAAACAGATATAGATACAAAAGAGACAGAATGCAAAAAGGTCTTCTGCATGAAATTATAGTCAAACTGTCAAAAGTAAAAAACAAAGAAAATTCTAAAGATAGTAAGAGAAAAGCATCTAGTCACCTGTAAGAGAACTCTTATCAGACTAACGGGATTTCTCAGCAGAAAACTTACAAACCAGCAGGGAATGGGATGATGTATTCAAAGTGCTGAAAGAAAAACAGCTGTCAGCCAAGGATATTATACCCAACAAAGTTATGTTTCATAACTTTGAAGAGGAAGGAGAAATAAGGTATTTTCCAGACAAGCAAAAGCTGAGGGAATGCATTACGACTACAGCAGTTCTATAAGAAATGCTTGAGGGAGTCTTACACCTGGAACAAAGGGACAATATCTGCTGTCATGAAGACACATGAAAGTATAAAACTTACTGATAGAGCAAGCACACAAATGAGGAAGAAAAATAACTCAAATGTACCATTACAGAAAACCACCAAACCACAATCATAATAAGAAAGAATGAAACAAAGAACATAAAAACAACCAGATATCAATTAATAAAATGACAGGAATACACTCTCACGTGTCAATAGTAACTTTAAGATAAATGGATTAAACTTTCTACTTAAGGAGGCTGATCCAAGATGGCCGAATAGGAACAGCTCCAGTCTACAGCTCCCAGTGTGAGCAATACAGAAGATGGGTGATTTATGCATTTCCAACTGAGGTACCAGGTTCATCTCACTGGGACTTGTTGGAAAGTGGGTGCAGCCCAAGGAGTGTGAGCCAAAGCAGGGTGGGGCATAGCCTCACCCACAAAGTGCAAGGGGTCAGCGAATTCCTTTTCCTAGCCAAGGGAAGCCATGAAAGATGGTACCTGGAAAATCAGGACACTCCCACCCTAATACTGTGCTTTTCCAATGGTCTCAGCAAACGGCACACCAGGAGATTATATCCAGGGCCTGGCATGGAGGGTCCCACGCCCACAGAGCCTTGCTTACTGCTAGCAGAGTAGTCTGAGATCGAACTGCCAGGTGGCAGCGAGGCTGGGGGAGGAGCGTCCGCCATTACTGAGGCTTGAGTAGGTAAACAAAGCAGCCGGAAAGCTCAAACTGGGTGGAGCCCACTGCAGCTCAAGGAGGCCTGCCTGCCTCTGTAGACTCCACCTCTGGAGGCAAGGCATAGCTGAACAAAAGGCAGCAGAAACTTCTGCAGACTTCAACGTTCCTGTCTGACAGCTTTGAGGAGAGTAGTGGTTCTCCCAGCACGGAGTTTGAGATCCGAGAAGGGACAGACTGCCTCCTCAAGTGGGTCCCAGACCCCCGAGTAGCCTAACTGGGAGACACCTCCCAGTAGGGGCTGATTGACACCTCATACAGCTGGGTGCCCCTCTGAGACGAAGCTTCCAGAGGAAGGATCAGGCAGCAATATTTGCTGTTCTGCAATATTTGCTGTTCTGCAGCCTCCGCTGGTGATACCTAGGCAACAGGGTCTGGAGTGGACCTCCAGCAAACTCCAACAGACCTGCAGCTGAGGGACCTGACTGTTAGAAGGAAAACTAACAAACAGGAAGGAATAGCATCAACATCAACAAAAAGGACATCCACACCAAAACCCCATCTGTAGGTCACTATCAGCAAAGACCAAAGGTAGATAAAACCACAAAGATGGGGAGAAACCAGAGCAGAAAAGATGAAAATTCTAAAAACCAGAGCACCCCTTCTCCTCCAAGTATCACAGCTCCTTGCCAGCAACGGGAACAAAACAGGACGGAGAATGACTTTGACGAGTTGACAGAAGTAGACTTCAGAAAGTTGGTAGTAACAAACTTCTCCAAGCTAAAGGAAGATGTTTGAACCCGTCACAAGGAAGCTAAAAACCTTGAAAAAAGATTAGACGAATGGCTAACTAGAATATACAGCATAGAGAAGACCTTAAATGATCTGATGGAGCTGAAAACCATGGCACGAGAACTACGTGACACATGCACAAGCTTCAGTACCAGATTCCATCAAGTGGAAGAAAGGGTATCAGTGACTGAAGCACAAATTAATGAAATGAAGTGAGAAGATAAGTTTAGAGAAAAAAGAGTAAAAAGAAACGAAAGAAGCCTCCAAGAAATATGGGACTATGTGAAAAGACCAAATCTACGTCTCATTGGTGTACCTGTAAGTGGCAGGGAGAATGGAACCAAGCTGGAAAACACTCTTCAGGATATTATCCAGGAGAACTTCCCCAACCTAGCAAGGCAGGCCAACATTCAAATTTACGAAATACAGAGACCACCACAAAGACACTCCTTGAGAAGAGCAACCCCAAGACACATAACTGTCAGATTCACCAAAGTTGAAATGAAGGAAAAAATGCTAAGGGCAGCCAGAGAGAAAGGTCGGGTTACCCACAAAGGGAAGCCCATCAGACTAACAGCAGATCTCTCGGCAGAAACCCTACAAGCCAGAAGAGAGTGGGGGCCAATATTCAACATTCTTAAAGAATTTTCAATCAGAATTTCATATCCAGCCAAACTAAGCTTCATAAGTGAAGGAGAAATAAAATCCTTTACAGACAAATTTACAAGCAAATCCTGAGAGATTCTGTCACCACCAGGCCTGCCCTACAAGAGCTCCTGAAGGAAGCACTAAACATGGAAAGGAACCATCAGTACCAGCCACTGCAAAACATGCCAAATTGTAAACATCATCGATGCTAGGAAGAAACTGCATCAACTAATGGGCAAAATAACCGGCTAACATCATAATGACAGGATCAAATTCACGCATAACAATATTAACTTTAAATGTAAATGGACTAAATGCCCCAATTAAAAAACACAGACTGGCAAACTGGATAAACAGTCAGGACCCATCAGTGTGCTGTATTCAGGGGTCCCATCTGCTGAATACATGCAGACACACACACAGGCTCAAAATAAAGGGATGGAGGAAGATCTACCAAGCAAATGGAAAACAAAAAAAAGCAGGGGTTGCAGTCCTAGTCTCCAATAAAACCGACTTTAAACCAACAAAGGTCAAGAGACAAGGCCATTACATAATGGTAAAGGGATCAATTCAACAAGAAGAGCTAACTATCCTAAATATATATACACCCAGATTCATAAAGCAAGTCCTTAGAGACCTACAAAGAGACTTAGACTCCCACACATTAATAATGGGAGACTTTAACACCCCACTGTCAACATTAGACAGATCAACAAGACAGAAAGTTAACAAGGATACCCAGGACTTGAACTCAAGTCTGCACCAACTGGACCTAATAGACATCTACAGAACTCTCCACCCCAAATCAATAGAATATACATTCTTCTCAGCACCACATCAGACTTATTCCAAAACTGACCACATAGTTGGAAGTAAAGCACTCCTCAGCAAATGTAAAAGAACAGAAATTATAACAAACTGTCTCTCAGACCACAGTGCAATCAAATTAGAATTCAGGATTAAGAAACTCACTCAAAACCGCATAACTACATGGAAACTGAACAACCTCCTCCTGAATGACTACTGGGTACATAACGAAATGAAGGCAGAAATAAAGATGTTTTTTGAAACCAATGAGAACAAAGACACAACATACCAGATTCTCTGGGACACATTCAAAGCAGTGTGTAGAGGGAAATTTATAGCACTAAATGCCCACAAGAGAAAGCAGGAAAGATCTAAAATCGACACCGTAACATCACAATTAAAAGAACTAGAGAAGCAAGAGCAAACACATTCAAAAGCTAGCAGAAAACAAGAAATAACTAAGATCAGAGCAGAACTGAAGGGGATAGAGACACAAAAAAACCCTTCAAAAAATTAATGAATCCAGGAGCTGGTTTTCTGAAAAGATCAACAAAATTGATAGACCGCTAGCAAGACTAATAAAGAAGAAAAGAGAGAAGAATCAAATAGATGCAATAAAAAATGATAAAGGGGATATCGCCACCAATCCCACAGAAATACAAACTACCATCAGAGAATACTATAAACACCTCTATGCAAATAAACTAGAAAATCTAGAAGAAACAGATAAATTCCTGGACACATACACCCTCCCAAGACTAAACCAGGAAGAAGTCGAATCCCTGAATAGACCAATAACAGGCTCTGAAGTTGAGGCAATAATTAATAGACTACCAACCAAAAAAAGCCCAGGACCAGATGGATTCATAGCTGAACTCTACCACAGGTATAAAGAGGAGCTGGTACCATTCCTTCTGAAACTATTCCAATCAATAGAAAAAGAGGGAATCCTCCCTAACTCATTTTATGAGGCCAGCATCATCCTGATACCAAAGCCGGGCAGAGACACAACAAAAAAAGAGAATTTTAGACCAATATCCCTGATGAACATCGATGTGAAAATCCTCAATAAAATACTGGCAAACCGAATCCAGCAGCACATCAAAAAGCTTATCCACCATGATCAAGTTGGCTTCATCCCTGGGATGCAAGGCTTGTTCAACGTATGCAAATCAATAAACGTAATCCATCATATAAATAGAACCAAAGACAAAAACCACATGTTTATCTCAATAGATGCAGAAAAAGGCCTTTGACAAAATTCAACAGCCCTTCATGCTAAAAACTCTGAATAAACTAGGTATTGATGGGACGTCTCTCAAAATAATAAGAGCTATTTGACAAACCCACAGCCAGTATCATACTGAATGGGCAAAAACTGGAAGCATTCCCTTTGAGAACTGGCACAAGACAGGGATGCCCTCTCTCTCCACCCCTATTCAACATAGTGTTGGAAGTTCTGGCCAGGGCAATCAGGCAGGAGAAAGAAATAAATGGTATTCAGTTAGGAAAACAGGAAGTCAAATTGTCCCTGTCTGCAGATGACATGATTGTATATTTAGAAAACCCCAGTGTCTCAGCCCGAAACCTCCTTAAGCTGATAAGCAACTTCAGCAAAGTCTCAGGATACAACATCAATGTGCAAAAATCACAAGCATTACTATACACCAATAACAGACAAACAGAGCCAAATCATGAGTGAACTCCCATTCACAATTGCTTCAAAGAGAATAAAATACCTAGGAATCCAACTTACAAGGGATGTGAAGGACCTCTTCAAGGAGAACTACAAACCACTGCTCAATGAGATAAAAGAGGACACAAACAAATGGAAGAACATTCCATGCTCATGGATAGGAAGAATCAATATCGTGAAAATGGCCATACTGCCCAAGGTAATTTATAGATTCAATGTCATCCCCATCAAGCTACCATTGACTTTCTTCACAGAATTGGAAAAAACTACTTTAAAGTTCATATGGAACCAAAAAAGAGCCCACATTGTCAAGACAATCCTAAGCCAAAAGAACAAAGCTGGAGGCGTCATGCTACCTGACTTCAAGCTATACTACAAGGCTACAGTAACTAAAACAGCATGTTACTGGTAAGAAAACAGAGATGTAGACCAATGGAACAGAACAGAGCCCTCAGAAATAATACCACATATCTACAAACATCTGATCTTTGACAAACCTGACAAAAACAAGAAACGGGGAAAGGATTCCCTATTTAATAAATGGTGCTGGGAAAACTGGCTAGCCATATGTAGAAAGCTGAAACTGGATCCCTTCCTTACACCTTATACAAAAATTAATTCAAGATGGATTAAAGACTTAAATGTTAGACCCAAAACCATAAAAACCCTAGAAGAAAAACCTAGGCATTACCATTCAGGACATAGGCATAGGCAAGGACTTCATGACTAAAACACCGAAAGCAATGGCAACAAAAGCCAAAATAGACAAATGGGATCTAATTAAACTAATGAGCTTCTGCACAGCAAAATAAACTACCATCAGAGTGAACAGGCAACCTACAGAATGGGAGAAAATTTTTGCAATCGAAGATGGCCGAATAGGAACAGCTCCGGTCTACAGCTCCCAGCGTGAGCGACGCAGAAGACTGGTGATTTCTGCATTTCCATCTGAGGTACCGGGTTCATCTCACTAGGGAGTGCCAGACAGTGGGCGCAGGTCAGTGAGCGCGCGTACCGTGGGCGAGCCGAAGCAGGGCGAGGCATTGCCTCACTTGGGAAGCGCAAGGGGTCAGGGAGTTCCCTTTCCGAGTCAAAGAAAGGGGTGACAGACGCACCTGGAAAATCGGGTCACTCCCTCCCGAATATTGCGCTTCTCCGACCGGCTTAAAAAACGGCGCACCACGAGATTATATCCTGCACCTGGCTCGGAGGGTCCTACGCCCACGGAGTCTCACAGATTGCTAGCACAGCAGTCTGAGATCAAACTGCAAGGCGACAGCGAGGCTGGGGGAGGGGCGCCCGCCATTGCCCTGGCTTGCTTAGGTAAACAAAGCAGCCGGGAAGCTCGAACTGAGTGGAGCCCACCACAGCTCCAGGAAGCCTGCCTGCCTCTGTAGGCTCCACCTCTGGGGGCAGGGCACAGACAAACAAAAAGACAGCAGTAACCTCTGCAGACTTAAATGTCCCTGTCTGACAGCTTTGAAGAGAGCAGTGGTTCTCCCAGCACGCAGCTGGAGATCTGAGAACGGGCAGACTGCCTCCTCAAGTGGGTCCCTGACCCCTGACCCCCGAGCAGCCTAACTGGGAGGCACCCCCCAGCAGGGGCACACTGACACCTCACACGGCAGGGTATTCCAACAGACCTGCAGCTGAGGGTCCTGTCTGTTAGAAGGAAAACTAACAAACAGAAAGGACATCCACACCAAAAACCCATCTGTACATCACCATCATCAAAGACCAAAAGTAGATAAAACCACAAAGATGGGGAAAAAACAGAACAGAAAAAGTGGAAACTCTAAAACGCAGAGCACCTCTCCTCCTCCAAAGGAACGCAGTTCCTCACCAGCAACGGAACAAAGCTGGATGGAGAATGACTTTGACGAGCTGAGAGAAGAAGGCTTCAGACGATCAAATTACTCTGAGCTACGGGAGGACATTGAAACCAAAGGCAAAGAAGTTGAAAACTTTGAAAAAAATTTAGAAGAATGTATAACTAGAATAACCAATACAGAGAAGTGCTTAAAGGAGCTGATGGAGCTGAAAACCAAGGCTCGAGAACTACGTGAAGAATGCAGAAGCCTCAGGAGCTGATGCGATCAACTGGAAGAAAGGGTATCAGCAATGGAAGATGAAATGAATGAAATGAAGCGAGAAGGGAAGTTTAGAGAAAAAAGAATAAAAAGAAATGAGCAAAGCCTCCAAGAAGTATGGGACTATGTGAAAAGACCAAATCTACGTCTCATTGGTGTACCTGAAAGTGATGGGGAGAATGGAACCAAGTTGGAAAACACTCTGCAGGATATTATCCAGGAGAACTTCCCCAATCTAGCAAGGCAGGCCAACGTTCAGATTCAGGAAATACAGAGAACGCCACAAAGATACTCCTCGAGAAGAGCAACTCCAAGACACATAATTGTCAGATTCACCAAAGTTGAAATGAAGGAAAAAATGTTAAGGGCAGCCAGAGAGAAAGGTCGGGTTACCCAAAAAGGGAAGCCCATCAGACTACCAGCGGATCTCTCAGCAGAAACTCTACAAGCCAGAAGAGAGTGGGGGCCAATATTCAACATTCTTAAAGAAAAGAATTTTCAACCCAGAATTTCATATCCAGCCAAACTAAGCTTCATAAGTGAAGGAGAAATAAAATACTTTACAGACAAGCAAATGCTGAGAGATTTTGTCACCACCAGGCCTGCCCTAAAAGAGCTTCTGAAGGAAGCGGTAAACATGGAAAGCAACAACTGGTACCAGCCGCTGCAAAATCATGCCAAAATGTAAAGACCATCGAGAATAGGAAGAAACTGCATCAACTAACGAGCAAAATCACCAGCTAACATCATAATGACAGGATCAAATTCACACATAACAATATTAACTTTAAATGTAAATGGACTTAATGCTCCAATTAAAAGGCACAGACTGGCAAATTGGATAAAGAGTCAAGACCCATCAGTGTGCTGTATTCAGGAAACCCATCTCACGTGCAGAGACACACATAGGCTCAAAATAAAAGGATGGAGGAAGATCTACCAAGCAAATGGAAAACAAAAAAAGGCAGAGGTTGCAATCCTAGTCTCTGATAAAACAGACTTTAAACCAACAAAGATCAAAAGAGACAAAGAAGGCCATTACATAATGGTAAAGGGATCAATTCAACAAGAAGAGCTAACTATCCTAAATATATATGCACCCAATACAGGAGCACCCAGATTCATAAAGCAAGTCCTTAGAGACCTACAAAGAGACTTAGACTCCCACACATTAATAATGGGAGACTTTAACACCCCACTGTCAACATTAGACAGATCAACGAGACAGAAAGTCAACAAGGATACCCAGGAATTGAACTCAGCTCTGCACCAAGCGGACCTAATTGACATCTACAGAACTCTCCACCCCAAATCAACAGAATATACATTTTTTTCAGCACCACACCACACCTATTCCAAAATTGACCACATACTTGGAAGTAAAGCTCTCCTCAGCAAATGTAAAAGAACAGACATTATAACAAACTATCTCTCAGACCACAGTGCAATCAAACTAGAACTCAGGATTAAGAATCTCACTCAAAACCGCTCAACTACATGGAAACTGAACAACCTGCTCCTGAATGACTACTGGGTACATAACGAAATGAAGGCAGAAATAAAGATGTTCTTTGAAACCAACGAGAACAAAGACACAACATACCAGAATCTCTGGGACGCATTCAAAGCAGTGTGTAGAGGGAAATTTATAGCACTAAATGCCCACAAGAGAAAGCAGGAAAGATCCAAAATTGACACCCTAACATCACAATTAAAATAACTAGAAAAGCAAGAGCAAACACATTCAAAAGCTAGCAGAAGGCAAGAAATAACTAAAATCAGAGCAGAACTGAAGGAAATAGAGACACAAAAAACCCTTCAAAAAATTAATGAATCCAGGAGCTGGTTTTTTGAAAGGATCAACAAAATAGATAGACCGCTAGCAAGACTAATAAAGAAAAAAAGAGAGAAGAATCAAATAGACACACAAAAAAAATGATAAAGGGGATATCACCACTGATCCCACAGAAATACAAACTACCATCAGAGAATACTACAAACACCTCTACGCAAATAAACTAGAAAATCTAGAAGAAATGGATAAATTCCTCGACACATACAATCTCCCAAGACTAAACCAGGAAGAAGGTGAATCCCTGAATAGACCAATAACAGGAGCTGAAATTGTGGCGATAATCAATAGTTTACCAACCAAAAAGAGTCCAGGACCAGATGGATTCACAGCCGAATTCTATCAGAGGTACAAGGAGGAACTGGTACCATTCCTTCTGAAACTATTCCAATCAATAGAAAAAGAGGGAATCCTCCCTAACTCATTTGATGAGGCCAGCATCATTCTGATACCAAAGCCGGGCAGAGACACAACCAAAAAAGAGAATTTTAGACCAATATCCTTGATGAATATTGATGCAAAAATCCTCAATAAAATACTGGCAAAACGAATCCAGCAGCACATCAAAAAGCTTATCCACCATGATCAAGTGGGCTTCATCCCTGGGATGCAAGGCTGGTTCAATATACGCAAATCAATAAATGTAATCCAGCATATAAACAGAGCCAAAGACAAAAACCACATGATTATCTCAATAGATGCAGAAAAAGCCTTTGACAAAATTCAACAACCCTTCATGCTAAAAACTCTGAATAAACTAGGTATTGATGGGACGTCTCTCAAAATAATAAGAGCTATTTGACAAACCCACAGCCAGTATCATACTGAATGGGCAAAAACTGGAAGCATTCCCTTTGAAAACTGGCACAAGACAGGGATGCCCTCTCTCACCACTCCTATTCAGCATAGTGTTGGAAGTTCTGGCCAGGGCAATTAGGCAGGAGAAGGAAATAAAGGGTATTCAAGTAGGAAAAGAGGAAGTCAAATTGTCCCTGTTTGCAGACGACATGATTGTATATTTAGAAAACCCCAGTGTCTCAGCCCAAAATCTCCTTAAGCTGATAAGCAACTTCAGCAAAGTCTCAGGATACAAAATCAATGTACAAAAATCACAAGCATTCTTATACACCAATAACAGACAAACAGAGAGCCAAATCATGAGTGAACTCCCATTCACAATTGCTTCAAAGAGAATAAAATACCTAGGAATCCAACTTACAAGGGATGTGAAGGACCTCTTCAAGGAGAACTACAAACCACTGCTCAATGAGATAAAAGAGGATACAAACAAATGGAAGAACATTCCATGCTCATGGGTAGGAAGAATCAATATTGTGAAAATGGCCATACTGCCCAAGGTAATTTACAGATTCAATGCCATCCCCATCAAGCTACCAATGACTTTCTTCACAGAATTGGAAAAAACTACTTTAAAGTTCATATGGAACCAAAAAAGAGCCCGCATCGCCAAGTCAATCCTAAGCCAAAAGAACAAAGCTGGAGGTATCACACTACCTGACTTCAAACTATACTACAAGGCTACAGTAACCAAAACAGCATGGTACTGGTACCAAAACAGAGATATAGATCAATGGAACAGAACAGAGCCCTCAGAAATAACGCCGCATATCTACAACTATCTGATCTTTGACAAACCTGAGAAAAACAAGCAATGGGGAAAGGATTCCCTATTTAATAAATGGTGCTGGGAAAACTGGCTAGCCATATGTAGAAAGCTGAAACTGGATCCCTTCCTTACACCTTATACAAAAATCAATTCAAGATGGATTAAAGACTTAAATGTTAGACCTAAAACCATAAAAACCCTAGAAGAAAACCTAGGCATTACCATTCAGGACATAGGCATGGGCAAGGACTTCCTGTCTAAAACACCAAAAGCAATGGAAACAAAAGACAAAATAGACAAATGGGATCTAATTAAACTAAAGACCTTCTGCACAGCAAAAGAAACTACCATCAGAGTGAACAGGCAACCTACAAAATGGGAGAAAATTTTTGCAACCTACTCATCTGACAAAGGGCTAATATCCAGAATCCACAATGAACTCAAACAAATTTACAAGAAAAAACAAACAACCCCATCAAAAAGTGGGCGAAGGACATGAACAGACACTTCTCAAAAGAAGACATTTAGGCAGCCAAAAAACACATGAAAAAATGCTCATCATCACTGGCCATCAGAGAAATGCAAATCAAAACCACAATGAGATACCATCTCACACCAGTTAGAATGGCAATCATTAAAAAGTCAGGAAACAACAGGTGCTGGAGAGGATGTGGAGAAATAGGAACACTTTTACATTGTTGTTGGGACTGTAAACTAGTTCAACCATTGTGGAAGTCAGTGTGGCGATTCCTCAGGGATCTAGAAGTAGAAATACCATTTGACCCAGCCATCCCATTACTGGGTATATACCCAAAGGACTATAAATCATGCTGCTATAAAGACACATGCACACGTATGTTTACTGCGGCATTATTCACAATAGCAAAGACTTGGAACCAACCCAAATGTCCAACAATGATAGACTGGATTAAGAAAATGTGGCACATATACACCATGGAATACTATGCAGCCATAAAAAATGATGAGTTCATGTCCTTTGTGGGGACATGGATGAAATTGGAAATCATCATTCTCAGTAAACTATCGCAAGAACAAAAAACCAAACACCGCATATTCTCACTCATAGGTGGGAACTGAACAATGAGATCACATGGACACAGGAAGGGGAATATCACACTCTGGGGACTGTGGTGGGGTGGGGGTAGGGGGGAGGGGTAGCATTGGGAGATATACCTAATGCTAGATGACGAGTTAGTGGTTAGTGGGTGCAGCGCACCAGCATGGCACATGTATACATATGTAACTAACCTGCACAATGTGCACATACACCCTAAAACTTAAAGTATAATTAAAAAAAAACCAAACAATTTTTTTTGCAATCTACCCATCTGACAAAGGGCTAATATCCAGAATCTACAAAGAACTTAAAACAAATTTATAAGAAAAAAATCAACCCCATGAAAAAGTGGGCGAAGGATATGAAGACATTTCTCAAAAGAAGACATTCATGCAGCCAACAGACACATGAAAAAATGCTCATCATCACTGGTCATCAGAGAAATGCAAATCAAAACCACAATGAGATCCCATCTCACACCAGTTAGAATGGTGATCATTAAAAAGTCAGGAAACAACAGGTGCTAGAGAGGATGTGGAGTTACAGGAATGCTTTTACACTGTTGGTGGTAGTGTAAACTAGTTCAACCATTGTGGAAGACAGTGTGGTGATTCTTCAAGGATCTAGAACTAGAAATACCATTTCACCCAGCAAGCCCAATACTGGGTATATACACAAAGGATTATTAATCATGCTACCATAAAGACACATGCACACATGTTTATTGTGGCACTATTCACAATAGCAAGGACTTGGAATCAACCCAAATGTCTACCAATGATAGACTGGATTAAGAAAATGTGGCACATATTCACCATGGAATACTATGCAGCCATAAAAAAGGATGAGTTCATATCCTTTGTAGGCACATGGATGAGGCTGGAAACCATCATTCTGAGCAAACTATCGCAAGGACAGAAAACCAAACACCGCATGTTCTCACTCATAGGTGGAAATTGAACAATGATAACACTTGGACACAGGGCCGGGAACATCACACACTGGGGCCTGTCATGGCAGGTTGGGGGGATGGGGGAGGGATGGCATTAAGTGAAATACCTATTGTAAATGACAAGTTAATGGGTGCAGCACACCAACATGGCACATGTATACCTATGTAACAAACCTGTACGGTATGCACATGTACCCTATAACTTAAAGTATAATAATAATAAAAAAAACAAAAAGAAACAAAAAACTTTCTACTTAAAAGACACAAACTCACTGAATGAATTAAAAAATGTGACCCAATTATATGCTGTCTACAAGAAACTCATCTCACCTGTAAAGATACATACAGACTGAAAGTAAAGGGATGGAAAACGATAATCCATGCAAACAGAAACCAAAAGTGAGCAGGAGTAGCTACACTCAGATAAAACAGACTTTATGTCAAAAACAGTAAAAAGAGACAAAATCATTATATAATGATAAAGGGATCAATTCAGCAAGAGGATATAACAATTCTAAACATATATGTACCCAACACTGGAGCACCCAGAAATATAAAGCAATTATTGCTAGATTTAAAGGGAGAGACAGACTCCAATAAAATAATAGTTGGGGACTTCAACCCCCCACTCTCAGCATTAGACAGATCATCTAGACAGAAAATTAACAAAGAAATTTCATTGTATTTAAATGGCACATTAGACCAAATGGACATAACTGACCTTTGTGAATACATTTCATCCAAAGGCTACAGAAAACACATTCTTCTTTACAACACATGAAACATGAAACATTCTTTAGGGTAGACCATATGTCAGTACACAATACAGGTCTCAACAATTTTTTTTTTTTTTTTTTTTTGAGACGGAGTCTTGCTGGGTTGCCAGGATGGAGTGCAGTGGTGCCATCTTGGCTCACTGCAACCTCTGTCTCCCAGGTTCAAGCGATTCCCCTGCCTCAGCCTCCCGAGTAGCTGGGACTACAGGCGTGCACCACCACACCTCGCTAATTTTTTGTATTTTAGTAGAGACGGGATTTCACCATGTTGGCCAGGATGGTCTTGATCTCTTGCCATCGTGATCTGCCCACCTCGGCTTCCCAAAGTGCTGGGATTAGAGGTGTAAGCCACCGTGCCCGGCCTCAAGAAATTTTAAAACACTGAAATTATATCATATATTTTCTAATAACTTAATAGAATAAAACTAGAAATCAATAACAAGAGGAACTCTGGAAACTGTGCAACTACCTGGAAACTAAACAACATGCTCCTGAATGACCACTGGTAGAGGGACAAATTAAGGAAGAAATAAAAAAAAAATTCTTGGAACAAATTAAAATGGAAACACAAAATATTAAAACCTATGGGATACAGCAAAAGCAGTGCCAAGAGGGAAGTTTATAGCAATAAATGTCTACATTAAAAAGCTTAAAGAGTCTAAATAAACAATCTAGCAATGCACATCTCAAGAACTACAAAAGCAAGAACAAACCAAATCCAAAATTAGTGGAAGAAATAATAAAGATCAGAGCAGACAGCCAGGTGCAGTGGTGCAGATCAGAGCAGACAGCCAGGTGCAGTGGTGCACACCTACAGTCCCAGGTACTTGGGAGGCTGACGTGGGAGGATCACTTGAGCCCAGGAGTTTGAGTCCAGCTTAGGCAACATCGCAAGATGCCATCTCTAAAACAAATAAAAAATCAGAACAGAACTAAACCACCACCTAGACTAATCAAGAGAAGAAGAAAGGGGACCCAAATAAAATCAGAAGTGGAAAAGGAGACACTACAACTGATAACACAGTTACAATCATCAGAGACTATTATGGACAACCTACACCAACAAACTGAAAAATCTGAGGAAGTGGACAAATTCCTAGATACATACTACCTACCAAGATTCAATCAGCGAGAAATAGAAAATATGAACCAACCAATAACGAGTAATGAGATTGAATCAGTAATAAAGAGTCTTCAAACAAAGAAAAGTCCAGGACCAATGGCTTCACTGACAAATTCTA
Organism: Homo sapiens; assembly: GCF_000001405.40. Taxonomy (NCBI): domain Eukaryota; kingdom Metazoa; phylum Chordata; class Mammalia; order Primates; family Hominidae; genus Homo; species Homo sapiens. Next base: position 49,149,786 of record NC_000013.11, on the reverse strand, counting down.
CCAAACTTTTAAGGAACACCAATTCTCCTCAAACTATTCCAAAAACATTGAAGAGGAGGGAATTCTCTCTAACTCATTCTACAAGGACAGCATCACTCTGGTACCAAAACCAGATACGGACACAACAAAAAAAGAAAAGTACAGACTAATCCTTGATAAACACGGACACGAAATCCTCATCAAAACACTGGCAAACTGAATTCAACAGCACATTATAAAGACAATACACCATGATCAAGTGGGATTTATACCAGGGATGCAAGGATGGCTCAACATACACAAATCAATAATGTGATACACCATATCAACATAATGAAGGACAAAAATTATATGATCATCTCAATAGATGTAGAGAAATTTTGATAAAATTCAGCATCCCTTCATAAAATCTTTCAACAAACTAGGCACTAAAGGGACATACCTCAACATAATAAAGACCACATATGACAGACCCATAGCTAACATCATACAGAAAGGGGAAAGTCTAAAAACCTTTCCTCTAAGAACTCGAACAAGACAAGGATGCCTACTCTCACCACTCCAATATGGTACTGGAAGTCCTAGCCAGAGCAACCAGCCAAGAGAAAGGAATAAAAGGTATTCAGATTAAAAAAAAAAAAAAAGTCAAATTGTCCTTCTTTGTAGATGACATGATCTTACATGTAGAAAAATCTGAAGACTCCACCAGAAAACTCTTGGATCTGATAAATAAATTCAGTAAGTTGCAGGATATAAAATCAAAATACAAAAATCAGCATCATTTCTATACACTAATAATAAACTAGCTGAGAAAGAAGCCCAAAAGGCAATCACATTTACAATAGCTACAAAAGAAAAAACACCCTAAGAATAAATCTAATATAACAGGTAGAAAGATCTCTACAAGATAAAACTATAAAACACTGATGAAAGAAATTGAAGAGAACACAAACAAATGAAAAGACATCCATTGCTCATGTATTCAAAAAATTAATACCATTAAAATGAACATACTGTCCAAAGCAATTTATATTCAATGGAATCCCTATCAAAATACCAATGTCATTTTTCACAGAAATATAAAAAGTGATCCAAAAATGTCTATGGAACCAAAAAATAGCCTGAATAGCCAACGCAATCCTAAGTAAAAAGAACAAAGCTGGAGGCATCACTCTACCTGACTTCAAAATATACTGCAAGACTATAGTAATCAAAACAGCATGGCATTGGTATAAAAATAGACACAAGAACTAAGGAACACAATAGAGAAGCCAGAAATAAATTTATAGCCAAATGACTTTTTAACAATGGTGCCAAGAACATACACTGGGGAAAGGATACCCTTCTCAATAAATGCTGCTAGGAAAATTGGATATCCACCTGCAGAAGAATGAAACTGGACTGTATCTCTCATCTTACATAAAAATAAACACAAGAAGGCTTACAGACTTAAATGTTTAAGACCTGAAACTATGAAATCCTGGAAGAAAATATAGAAGAAACACTTCAGGACACTGGTTTAAGCAAAGATTTTATGCTAAGACCCCCAAAGCACAGGCAACAACAAAAAAAAGAAAAATAGAGAAATAAACTAAAACTTTTGCACAGCAGAGGAAACAACCAACACAGTGAAGACACAACCCTCAGAAAGGGAGAGAGTATTTGCAAACTATTCATCTAACAAAAGACTAATATCCAGAATATACAAGGAATTCAACTCAACAGGAAAAACACAAATAATCCCATTAAAAGTGGACAAAGGACATGAATAGACATTTCTCCAAAGACATACAAATGGCCAACAGGTATATGAAAAAATACTCTACATCATTAGTCAGGGAAATCCAAATCAAAATTACAATGAGATCATTTTACCCTAGTTAGAATGGCTACTATTACAAAGACAAAAAAATAACAGATGCTGGTGAGGATGCAGAGAAAAAAAGCCCTTATACACTGTTGGTGGAATGTTAATTAGTACAACCAATATGGATACAAGTGTGGAGATTTCTCAAAAAATTAAAAATAGAAATATCATACAAATGAGCAATCCCACTACTGGGTATTTTTCCAAATAGGGGAAAAATCAGTATATTGAAGAGATGTGCTTTTCCCACATTTACTGCAGCACTATTGACAAGAGCAAAAATATAGATCAACCTAAGTGTCCATCAATGGATGAATGGGATAAAGAAAATGTGGTATATATACACAACAGAATATTATTTGGGTATGTAGCCGCAAACCAGCCTATTCCCTACTTTTTTTTTTTTTAAACTTAAAATCACGATTCCCTATTTCATTTCCTTCCACCAAGTCTCTCTCCTCTCCACTTTATGGACTTCTTTCCATTCCCCACCCCTTACCTCCCAGCTACTCTATTTCTCAAATCAAGGCCAGTAAATATGATGAAAAATAAATATGTTTCAAGGCTGAAAGTACATTTTAATGAACTGGGCAGTTGCAGTAGCATCCTTAGAGACCTTAATTCCTGTAGGATATGGGAGATGACTAATGCCCCCCTCGTGCTCCCTGGTCAGGCTGCAAATGGAAATAAAGCATTCCTCTTAGTAAGCAGCCATATATAACTAAAAAACAGTCATTAACATAGTAAGAAACCTTTATGTTGATAGTCCTTTATCCCCTACTTACCCCTTAGGTTTACTTGTCTCTCTTAAGAAAAATGAATAGAACACAAGGAAATCTCAATAGAGAGGAAACAGGAAATTTTTATAACCTTATGTAACTAGATGAGAGGCACCGGAGCAGTTTCACTTTCCTTTCTTCTCCTTGCCAGCTATGTTTTGAAAAAAGATAGCAACAAGGCTGATGGAGCCAGTGTTCTGTGCTAATTGTGATCATTCAAATGATTAACCATCACCTTTACAGTCTTCTTGGTGCTTAAATAATAACTAACCATTAACATTACCCTTTTTTATTAGAATAATCAACTTCTATATGAATATGGACAGAATAATTTATTTCAAAACTGTCAATCATAAATGTCACAACTTTAGCTACTGAATCTTTCTAAGGCTTCGTGGTGCGTAATATACTTTTATTTTTTTCTTGAGATGGAGTCTCACTCTGTCACTCAGGCTGGAGTGCAATGACGCGATCTTGGCTCACTGCAACTGCCACCTGCCAGGTTCAAGCGATTCTCCTGCCTCAGCGTCCTAAGTAGCTGGGACTACAGGCATGTGCCACCACCCCTGGCTAATTTTTATATTTTTAGTAAAGACGGGGTTTCACCGTGTTGGCCAGGCTGGTCTCGAACTGCTGAACTCAGGTGATCCACCCGCCTCAGCCTCCCAAAGTGCTGGGATTACAGGCGTGAGCCACCGTGCCTGGCTGTGTGTAATATACTTTTAAACCAAGGAAAGAAATACGTAAGTTTTCAAAATATGACTATAAACATACTAACATGCAAATAAATAACAGTGCTACTAAATTCATTTTACAACAGGACATGAGCTTGTACATGTAAGAATTAAATCCAGTCCTTAGAGGAGCAATGTCATACTTTATGAGTTTACAATCATGAATTGTCCATTTTTGGTCATGGGTTCTACATACTACAACTTATATTTAATGCATTAAGAATACGTGAATACTGAACCATCTATTAGGGAGCCTACTGGGAAAAAAAAAGCTGAATGTGGCCAATAAAAGTGATTATTCTGAAGGAAGGTAGACAGAAATGTGTACCAAGCTACATTTGGACCATTTACATTGAAATCACTATCATTAGCCAACTTAAAGATTCAGAATAAAAGCGTGAAGAAGGAAAAGTAGAGCAAAATTAGTAATAAGCTCTTTATAATAAACCATTAATTTACACAATGGGAGAAAGCAAAACAACAAATACCTACACATATACACTTTTGTATTTCCCATCTTTTCCAGTACTTGAGATCAGAACTTCATAACCATAGAGCTCTGGTACACTACTTTCATCTGTTTCACCATTAATGAGGCTGGAAGGTGGTGACCAGGTAAGTACTACTGTCCTTGCCTGGATGTCGGAGGCCTGTAAAAATACAACATTTAAAAGTTCTTTAAAACAACTGTAATGTATACAATGAGCAGTGAAATATCTAATGAGGTTTCAAGATTAAATAAAATGTATCTGTTTATATAGATAAAATGGCTCACAAATATAAACCTGCCCATTGCAAATAATTTGTTGTGGGTTCCACAACAAATGAGATGGGTTCCACAAAAGTTTAAAAACCAGGCCATTCAAAACTATTAGCGTAGACACCATACATAGTCAAAAGAAAAAAACTGGGATTAAAAAGACCATTGTAACATGTTTGAAAGGGTTCATTTCCTCAGCTTAGAAAATGTTTTTACAACAGGAGGATGACAAAAACTCAAGAGAAAAATGAGCAAAGGACATCGACATCCAAAGATATGTAAATATAAATGGACAACATATAAAATGATGTACGTGTGAAACTGCATTCATAAATACATGTAAATTAAAACAGAATCCCAGTTTTCATCTACTGGATAGGGGAAGATTAAAAAGCTAATACTATCTAGTGTTAAAAACTTGGAGAAATGGCACTCTCTAAGTGTGGTAACAGTATATGTAAGTTCAATCCTTGTGTATAGCAACTAGTGAATCATTATAAAATGTAAGATGTGTTTACTTTTTGATTCAGAAATTCTACATCCAGGAATTTTTTTTCAGGGTAATATCCTATAAACTTAACATATGTATACAAATATACACACTTAAGAATGTTCATTGCAGCATTATTAATGGCAAAAAACTAGAACTATAGGGCACTGACTACCTAAATGATGGTACATAACACAGCCTATGAACATATTATTCTGCAAGTGCTCAAAAAAGAACATGAGGTGGACATACATGCGCTAACATCTGAAGATTTCCTCAATATACAGGTGCTACGTAATAGGAGAAAAAAGTGAAGCTGGAAAGCAGTACATACACTGTGATTGCAGTTGAGTTAGCTTTTATAAAACTGTACAAAAATGTCTGAAAATGTACTGTACAAATGTACCAATTGTTATCTTTGGGGATTTTGTGTAAGTGTGGTGAGACGCAGAGAAAGTTGTGACAGAAAAAAACATGTGGTTTCAATTATGTTTTATATATTTTTATACTACTGGAATAATTTTATGAGTACAAGTTACTTTTGTTAAAGCGAAAAAAATCTAGAGATTAGATAAGGTTTACAGATTGGTGAGAAAGGTACCAGATTATATGTAGGCATTTATATAAAAGCTTGCTTTAAAATTATATATGTTTAACAACTACCTTAGCATTTCTAAAACCAAACTAATAACCACTAGGATGACAATTACTCCTATCTTGAATTAAAGTAAAATTAAGTAATCTCCATAAAATTGTAACATTCTGTCCTTTTCAAAGTTCTCGAAGTCTGAATAAAAAAAACTATTACTATATTTATTTTGCTTCTGTTAAATCACAGGAAATGTAATACTGTATTCACTCTAATACTGTCTTAAAGTCTTGGTACTGTGTTTCATTTACAATGAACTTAAAAATGATTCTTTGTATGATCCAGTATACAGCTGGCTATTAACTTGAAACTGAGCAGGTTTTTTTTTCTTTTTTAAAACAAACTGCTACTATACATGTATGTATACCCATAAGTGTCTCTTGATTTTATGGGATGATAATAGTTGTGTTAAACTTTGAGAACGTGAATAGGACTATGAAGGTGGGTCAGTCAAAAGCATTAACTGGCATCTACTTTATTATTATTATTATTATTAGTAGTAGTAGTAGTAGTAGCAGTAGTAGTAGTAGTAGTAGTAGTAGTAGTAGTAAAGATGGGGTCTTGCTATGTTGCCCAGGATGGTCTCGAGCTCCTGGCCTCAAGCCACCCTCCCGCCTCAGCCTCCCAAAGTGTTGGAATTACAGGTGTGAGTCACTATGCCCAGCCTGGCACCTACTTTATGAAGCTTGCTTTATCAGGATCTGTGGGGAGTACAGACAGTAGAGAAAATATTAAATAGGGAAGCACAAGATGTGTCACTAATTTGCCTGGTGATACTGAAGTCTCACCCTCTTAGGGTTCTAGGCCTCATCAACAAAATGAGTGGCTGAGTGAAATGAACTGTTTACCAGAGTTACACAAATAAAGTATTTTTAAAAGTCTTTTATTTGGAAATAAATTTAGGTTTAAAGAAAAGTTGGGAAGATAGTATGGAATCCCTGTCTATCCTTTACCCAGCTTCCCCTAATGTTAAAATCCTATATAACCATGCATTTTTGTCAAAACTATTAATATTGGTAAATACTATTAACTAAGCTTTTAACTATACTTTTAACTAAACAGACTTCCAGAATACTATGTTGAATTTAGCAAACATAGTTTTAAAAATAAATTAAAAAAATTTTAAAATGCTAATTTCAACTTAAAAAATATTATTATTATTTTTTTATTGAGACTGGGTCTTACTATTGTTGCTTGGGCTGGTTGCGAACTCCTAGGCTCAAGCGATCCTCCTGCCCCGGCCTCCTAAAGTATTGGGATTAGAGGTGTGAGCCACTGCACTGGGCCAATTTCAACTTTTTCAATTTCTGCTTTTCCAGAAAATCTTTTAGTACTAACTCATTCTATTAAAAAGATCTTATGGCTGGGCACAGGGGCTCATGCCTGTAATCCCAGCACTTTGGGAGGCCGAGGTGGGCAGATCACCTGAGGTTAAGAGTTCAAGACCAGCCTGGCCAACATGGTGGAACCCTATCTCTACTAAAAATACAAAAATTATCTGGACGTGGTGGTGTATGCCTGTAATCCCAGCTACTCAGGAGACTGAGACCCAAGAATCACTTGAACCTGGGAGGCAGAGGTTGCAGCAAGCTGAAATCATGCCACTGCACTCCAGCCCTCCAGCCTGGGTGAAAGAGCAAGACTCTGTCTCAAAAAGAAAAAGCTATCTTATTACTTGCACTTATATGTTAAGTCACAGAAAGAGTGACTACATTGGGATAAGATGTGGAAAACTTCATAAGTGAATTTTGAATTGAATCTTAAAGAACTTGGATGAGATAAAATTTGGTAGAAAGAGGTGGGTAATTAGTACAGGAATGAGTATTTATATTCCAAAGCTTATAACTGAAATCTGGTAGTCCAAGGCATGTTCATATGTATTTTTAAAATCTTCTAAAAATGCTGTTTTCTGTTGCTGGTTTCAGGTGAATTATAGAGTTGCATAGAAGAAAAAGAGATGGACTCCCACATAGATACCACAAAATTCCTGTGTGAAGACTGAGGTAGTAATTGTGTGTGTATGTGGAGTGGTAGGGGACAGTGGGGAGAGTGGATCCTATAAACTTATAGTGAAATAATAAAGCTGGAGTACTAATCTAGCATGGGGAGAATGAAAGGTAAAGAAGAAATGTAAGATGATACTGTAACCCAGGAAAACCTGGATGGGTAAGTGTTTACCGACGGAAACAATGAAAGGAAACAGAAACGAAAGAGATCTAACCCAATTCCTTCTTCATTTTACAGGAATGAAGAACGTGATAAAATAGTATAGACAAGCAGATTAAGAATTTGGTTTTCTAAAGTTGCTAGTGAAACATTCAAACTTGGGTATTCTTTAGCGTGCCTCAGGAGATACAGTTCTACATGAACAGATTAGTAATTAGGATCGAAAATATAGATTTGGAAGTAATTTGAACTCTATTTGTATGCTAATGTTAGAAGTAAAATTTGCTTTTATATCCATATCACTTGATTCTTACAACTACCACCTAAAGTAGGCAAAATAGGCTTAACTATCTTCATTTTGTGAAAGGAGCATATTCAGAAAGATTAAGTAACTTGTCTAGAGGTCACAGAACCATTGACTAGGACCTGAATAATTCAGTTATTTTCCTACTACTCAATGATCCCACTCTGAATCCACTTCTAGGTGGTAGCTGAAAATAGGTATGATTGTGTAAAAATCTGTCTAAGAACTGATAAAGATGGTAACAGGAAAAAATGAAAATAGCTCCTTTAGAAAGTGGCTAGATTATGTACAATATATTTTTTGAGGCAGATTGTGATCCTTGTAAGGTAGTCATCAAAACTACCCTTGAGAAAAACTGTCCATTGGGTTAAATTAAGTATATATCTAGGAAGCTAAACTGTTAAAAGAGTTCAAAGCCATATATATTACATGAATTTTGACAAAGACTGTAGAAGAAAGAAATGAGAGTATCTAATTTCTGGATTTCCAGAAATACTAAAGTAGAATAAACATAAATGTTTGATCCTTGTCTAGATAAGGGCATCAGGAGGTGAGAGAATAATTCTGAAGATAACTCAAAGGCTGAGCCTAAGGAAACTTGGAGTTAGATAGTACTTCTAGTAACCACAAAAAGGTAAAGGGAAGGGGTAATGATTCTGAAAGCAAAAAGGTAATGAGTAAAAGGCATGACACATTTAATTTTAAGCATTACTGAAATAAAAGGAAATGAAATCCACTGAAATAAATGTCAGTAGATTTTCACAGAAATGAGACTGAGAACAATTTCAAAGAAGAACAAATGAAAAGACAACACTTTCAATATAGTTAATTATTTCATGCATGTGAGGGTATACAATACCATTATTCTCCATTTTCTGAAAGAAGAAACATTCACAAAGGTCAAGTGACTTGTCATGGGTCACTCAACTCCTAAGTACACAGTTGAGACTATGAGACTTGTGCATGTACCACATTCTCCCCTATACACTGCACTCTGGTCACATGAGTGAGCTTTTCTCTGCTTTCCTTTTTTTTTGTTGTTCCTCAAATGTGCCATGTCCAGTGCTTTTCAAATGCTGCTCAGTTTGCAATACTGTTCCCACACTTTCCACCCCTGTCCTCAATGCCCAACCACTACTTTTCCTTCAAATGTCAGTACAATAATCCTTCCTTAGGAAAACTTCCCTGATTCCTTGTCAAGGTTTAGTCCTCCTATTACACACTCTGACTGCTCTCTATCTTTTTGTCCTGGCACTTCACCGTTACAATTTAACATTCATTGTGTGATGCTTAGTTTACTGAACTAAGCCTTGTGGCAGAGCCCGTGTCTATCCTTTGCTTTCCATTCTATCTCCAGCTTTAGCACAACATCTGTCACTTTGTAAGCGGTAAAATATTTATGGAATGAAAAAGTGAATGAACACATTTAATTTAGTGCTCTAAATGAACTAGAGCATGCAAAAACAACCACACACACAAAAACAAGCAAGCAAAAACCCTGACCTGCACTTTGTAGCTCACAATTAATTTAATCAAAGAGGAATCGGCATTCAAACTATAAACTAAAACAAAGCAAATAAAACCATCAGCATTACTTTATGATACAGGGCTCACTATCTTATTAAACTACATGTTCTTCCTAATGTTGAGTAAGAAAGTCTTTGAATTGGCTTTAAGATTTACTTTTCCTGTCTGTAAATTATATATATATTTATTTATTTATGAGACAGGTTCTTGCTCTGTCACCCAGGCTGGAGTGAAAAGGCACAATCTTAGTTCACTGCAGCATTGAACTCCTAGGCTCAAGGGATCCTCCCACCTCAGCATCCCAAGTATCTGGGACTACAGGTGTGTGCCCCCTTGGTCTGTAGTATCTGTATTTGTTTTTTGTAGAGACGAGGTCTCAATATATTACTCAGGCTGGTCTCAAACTCCTGGCCTCAAGTGATCTTCTTGTCTTGGTTTTCCAAAGGACTGGGAAAGTGTGAGCCACTGCACCTGGCCTGAAAATTATACTTTTAATATATACTACAACAAGTAAATGCTACTAGCATTAGCTATTAAATCACTCAAACATCAATCTTATTAAGCCTACTAAATTCTTTTTCTAGTAAACCTAGTGATATACACTTGGGGTCTTGGAAGGATACTGCCTAAATTTCAGTCATAGCTCTACTACTACTAATTGAAACTCACTGTTGCTTCAGTTTCCTCATTTGTAAAGCAGGGAAAATAGTACATATATGGTTGTCACAGGTATTAAATAATGCACATGTGCATTCCAAGCACTCTGAACAGAGACTGATGCTAATCAATTTGTGTTAACCATTACTATGAAATAATTGTGTAAATTTACATTTATTTACACATATATGCTCTATTCTCAAGAGAAAACAGATTAGAATAAAGAAAGCTAGAGCAACCAAATCTATTATTTGGGAGTTGTCAGAAAAAGTAGGACCATATTAGTCTATTAGATGAGGAACTGGCTTACTCAAACATCCTAAAACATGGCAAGATAAGCTTAAAAAGCCTTTATGGAGATGGTACTAAGAATAATAACTTTTCTAATCTGTTTTCTCAGAAAAACAAAGTATTTTTGGGGCAACTTAGTATAAAACATTTTACCATGGATGTTTCTGAGAGTTGGGAAAGAGTAGTTTGTTTTATGAACCAAAAAATATTCTTATCAATCTTAAATTGCCTTATTCTGGCTGAAAAAGTCCTATGGCCTACTTCTTCCACCACATCTTTCTCCCCTTCACTATACTCCAGTGATAATGGTTCTTTCCCTCTGTCCAACTCCCCATGCTTACTTACACCTGTTCTCCCTCTCCCATTCCTTCCACTTTTGCACTTTTTCTCACTTGTCAGAGAAAGCTTCCCTGATTGCTCTATTTAACCTAACAACCTCTCCTATTAATCTCATCATATCATTCCTATTTCTATAATAGCAATCTTTACTATCACACAGAATTCTGTTTGTGCATTTGTTTTTTATTTATTGGCATATAGTAAGGGATCAATAAATATTTGATGAATGAATGACAAAACTATGTAGCTCTTCAAAGAATCAGGTAATGACATAGAAAGATAGCTAAAGCATACCATAGTGAGTGAAAAAGCTTGTCACAGAATACAGTATGATCCTATTTTCATAAAAAGTTAAAAGAAAAAAACTACATTTTGATGGATGAACATCTTATGCTAATATATTAAATATAAACATCAATAAAATACATAAGATACTTACCACTGGTTTGACAATGTTGGAAAGAAGTGCTTCAAATGCTTTAGTTTCTTCATCTTTTTCTTAAAAAAATAAAACATTTGAATATTTAAAAAAAAGAACTTAGATACAATCCCTTCTTCTCCCTAAATATGTATTCTGAAACTAGGTTGGTATTTGAGACTTTTATTTTCTAGTTTTTATTCCTTTGTTCATACTCAGCAGTTTGTGGCCCTTCAGCATTTATCTACTTTAGTTTTTATTTCTATCTTAACTGTGACTACTAATTATAACACCACTATATACAGATATATCTATATATATTTAGACATAGCTATATCTATCTGAACCAAATTTTTCTTATATCAAGTATATTTTTATTCATGGTTGTAAGAATATTCTCTCTGGAAAGTTCTCATTTGTCAATCTCATACCTCTTAATAAAGTTAACTATTTTTTCATGACATGCCTTAGTTATGGTTTCCCAAATTAGAAATATAATTGGCTTGACTGTAACTTATAGCCACCACTGATAGGCAAAAAACTTTAACTTAATTTCTTCTGAAACATCAGTGCTGAAAACGATGATCAGGTCTCAAATAAATGGGAGAACATTTATGTAAATGTTGTTAATATATAAGTCATGAACAGTTAAGACATTATTTGAAATTTGTTAGTGAGGCATGGAAATTTTAAGGAAAAGGAAGGTAGGAAGAGTTCACATGGCTTACATTTTGATATTTCCCTCAAAGTTGGAAGCATTTTAGTTCCTAGTCATATATTAATTACCTACACTATTTGATAGTAAATATCAATTTAGATAAGCATATTCAAGGACTGATAGAGTTGTGGTTATTGGTGCTTGTGAAATGACATGTTGGTATGGTTCATAGTCATTTCTGATGAAACCTTTAGAACCTGACATGGTCTACCATGCATATCTATGTATTTCTACATACGCATATCTACGTCAAACAGATAATAGTCAGTATTAAGGAAACCTAAAAGAACATACATATAGAAACTACATTAATCAAAGTAAGCAGTAGTTACAAGCTTAACATTACAATCAAAAGTACTGGGTACTAACTCCACAACTGTAGGCATATGAAAGACAGGCTGTTAACCCAGCTATATTTTACCTTATAGAGATTGATTCAAGTATATACAAATAATAGTGCTCAAAGTCCATATAGTAGGCTCATGCCTGTAATCTTAGCACACTGGAAGGTCAAGGTGGGTGGACTGCTTGAGCCTAGGAGTTGGAGACCAGCCTGGCCAAGATGGTGAAACCCTGTCTCTACTAAAAATACAAAAAGTAGTTGGGCGTGGTGGCATGCGCCTTTAGTCCCAGCTACTCAGGAGGCTGAGGCACGAGAATCGCTTCAACACAGGAGGCGGAGGTTGCAGTGAGCTGACATTGCGCCACTGCATTCCAGCCTGGGTGACAGAGCGAGACTTGGTCTCAAAAACAAACAAACAAACAAAAACCAATAAAACAAAGTTCATAGAGTAGAAGTCAGAGGTTAGGGGAAGGATCCAAGAGTAACAAGGAGAGTTTAGGAGAAAAGAACTTTTGAAGAAAGAAATGAAAAATACTCTATCCTAATTACAGAGTATATAGAGAGATTAGTAAATGATATAACTATTTGCTATCAAGGTTTTACTCAAAAAGAAGGTGGGAGAAATAAAAAGTTTTGATAGGTTGGGGACAGTGGCTCAGGCCTATAATTGCAGCACTTTGAGAGGCCAAGATGGGAGGACTGCTTGAGCCCAGGAGATCGAGACCAGCATGGGCAAAACAGCGAGACCCTGTCTCTACTAAAAATTAAAAAATTAGCTGGGTGTGGTGGTGTATGCCTGTAGTTTCCAGCTGCAGTTATCTATGATCGTGCCACTCCAGCCTGGGTGACAAAGCAAGACCCTGTCTCAAAAAAAAAAAGTTTTGATTAAAAACCAGCAGCATAGCCTTATCAAACGCCCAGAATCAGAAGAAAGGAATCTGGATTAATGTTCTCTGAGTTTTCCTATCAAATAGAAATTTCAGTCAGTAAAATTTACGATATAGATGAAATTACTAATTGAGGCTTTCCAAACTGTCGAAAGCAGCAGCCTGTAACAGTCTATTTGGACCATGACAAAATGACTGAAAGGTTAGAATATACTTTTAGTAGGTTAAATCACGAGAATAGCATCAATGAGAACAGTTCAGTACTTCAAACAGTTACCTTCAATTTCTGTATCAACTTGTGTACCACCTTTCCCCTTCCCAGACTTGATTTTTGCTGATCCTGTGTTTATACCACCAGCAATTTGTCCTTTTATAAGTCCATTATGTTCATTAATGGGAGAAGGGCATTTCTGGGGTGATGATGGTGGACTGCTCATTTTATCTTTCTGTGTTCCTTGGCGATCCTTCAATTTTTTCTGCAAACGTTCATATGTTTTACTAGATCGTTCATCTCTAAAGTTGGACCTTCCATGTGTAGAGTGAGCATCTAGGAGGCAATAAAAACAAAATGTTAAGAAGATCACTTTCTCCAAATAAGTTTATGCCATGAAAAAAGAACAGAAAATAAATCTATCATATAAAACTTTTATAAAATATTTAAAAGAATTTTGCATAACAAAGCAACCTTTGTGTCTCCATAAACTATCAGAACCAAGCTTTGTGATTTATTCTAATTATATATATCTCTCTCTCAAGTAAATTTACAGAGAGATTTATTTCCTTCTGTTCTCAACTAATTATTAATCTCCATAGAAACAGCTTGGTGGTAACTTATGATTATTGTAGGTGAGGAATGAGACTGGAGCTGAGCAGTCCACAGTTCTTTTTCTTTTACTCTTTAGTAACTATTACTTTTCACATCTTTTTGAACCTTAAACACATAAAATAGGTAAAAAGAAAACCACTGCCTGCCTAAATTCCCTTATAACTCAAAAAAGCAATCATCACTGAAAAAAAGTTAGCCAAAAGAAATGATTTAGACTGTTTAACAATAACAATCTACATATAATGTATCTTCAGATACTATAAACTCAAGGTTGTGATTTAGAAGAATCCACTCATTCTAATAAAAGTCACATAGGAACATAATTAAGTCATTATGCTCAATAAATATTAATTCAATTGTCCCCAGAGTTTTTTAAATTTAAAATTTGTGATGAGAAAAATATTTTTTAAAAGCCTCAGTAAAAAGTTTTAATTTAGCAGTGCCTTAAGAAAATTAGTACAGTATTTTTGAAATGAGTATTATAAGGATATGTACAATAACATTAGAATGAACGTGGACCTCTACCTCACACCATATACAAAAATTAATTCAAATGAATCAATGACCCAAATGTAAGAGATTAAACTATAGAACTCTTAGAAGAAAACACGTCTCTATGACCTTGGATTTGGCAATAGTTTCTTAGACGAGACACCAAAAACACAAGCAATCAAAGAAAAAATTAGATTTCATCAGAATTAAAAACTTTTCTGCACTAAAGGATACCACAAGGAAAGTGAAAAAACAACAAGGGAGGAAATCATATATCTGATAAGGAACTTGTATCCAGAATATATATACTCTTACCTTTCAACAATAAAAAGACAAATATCCCACCCATTTAAAAAATGGGTGAAGAATTCAAATAGACATTTCTCCAAAGAAAATATATGAATGGGGCTGGGCGCAGTGGCTCACGCCTGTAATCCCAGCACTTTGGGAGGGTGAGGCAGGTGGATCACAAGGTCAGGAGTTCAAGACCGGCCTGGCCAAGATGGTGAAATCCCATCTCTACTAAAAATACAAAAAATTAGCCGGGCGTGGTGGCGCGCACCTGTAATCCCAGCTATTCGCGAGGCTGAGGCAGGAGAATCATTTGAACCTGGGAGGCAGAGGGCAGAGGTTGCAGTGAGCCGAGATCATGCCACTGCACTCCAGCCTGGGCGACAGAGCGAGACTCTGTCTCAAAAAAAAAAAAAAAAAAAAAAAAAGAGTGAAACTCCATCTCAAAAAAAAAAAAAAAAAAAAAAAGGAAAAGAAAATATACAAATGGCCAATAAGCACATGAAAAGATGATCAACATTAGTAGCATTAGGGAAAAGCAAATCAAAACCATAATGAGAGAGAAATTTATTCAGGATGCCTACAATCAAAAGACAGACGATATCAAGTTTTGGCAAAGAAATTGGAACCCTCATACATTGCTGGTAGGAATATAAAATGGTGTAGTCACTGTGGAAAAGTAATATAGAATTAACATATGACCCAGCAATTCCACTCTGAGGCACATACCCGGAAGAAATGAAAATATGTCAACACAAAAACTTTTACACAAATGGTCACAGCAGTATTGTTCATAGACAAAAAGTGAAAACAACCCAAAGGTCCATCAGCTAATGAGTGATAAAATGTAATCAACAGAATGCAATATTATTGCAGCCATAAAAAGGAACGAAGTACTATTATATGTGAGAACATGAACTTTGAAAACATGACATTAAGTGAAAAAAAACTAGACACAAAAGTCTACATACTGTATGAACATTTTAATGAAATTTTTATATGAAATACTTATATGTATATTTATATGAAGTCTAGAATAGGCAAACCCATACAGACAGAAAGTAGATCATGGGATGTGAAGGAACAGAGAGTTGGGACTGACTGTTAATATGCACAGTTTCTTTTTTGGGATGATAGAAATGTTCTGGAATTAGACAGTGGTACTTAATACAGTACATACTGAATATAGAAAACATTGAGTTGCATATGTTGCACAATAAAGTAAATATATTAAAAACCACTGAAGTGTAAAATGATGAACTGTTACCTAAATTATATCTCGACAAAAAGTTAAGAAAAATAGCAACTGCAATCAATTAGATCAATTAGTACATACTTTAAAATGCTTTATCTATTATTCAAAATAATAAAGCTACCATGGAAGAGAAAAAAGAATATATTATAGTAGAAAGAGAAGGAACTTAATCATTGAATAGATCTGAGAGGGTTAAAATTCTGAGCAATTAACTAGCAGTGTGGCCTTGCAGAAATTACTTAACATTTCTGAGCCTCGGTTTCCTCATTTGAATTTTGCAGAATTTTATTGAAAATTAAGTGAGATAATACATGTGTGAGCATAGTGCCTAGCAAGGTTCAGGCTCACTAATGGTACTGCTAACAGTGAAATGCTGGATCAGATTCCACTTTGAGAATCCATATGGATTGTGCATGGAAAGGACATCACGGAGGTATAGCCATTGGTTAGAAAACCAGTACTGTCAATAATTAGCATTTAGTGGTAGAATCTCTGGCTTATAACCTCAAGTACAACATGACTCCTCCCTTTTACCACTGGGTAGCTAATTTGTGGATTTGTGCCCTTCACTTTCCTTCATATCAATGTAGATCACATCCATGTATTCTAATGCATATCCCTACAGAATAACAAGGGGTTTTAACAATGCAAAATAGTAATAATTGTAATACTAGCTTTTTCTTATAGTTTTCTCAGATTATAAGAAAAAATTAATATTTTTAAAACTAAGTCATAATTAGCAGTAAACAAAAATAGGATGAGACTAATCTGCAGTATAAACTTTTGGTACTCAAAAGTATGTTCCTTGGAGCACAGCATGAACATCTCCTAGGGGCTTGTTAGAAATGCAGAATCTCAAGCACTACCCAGAGCTACTGAACCAATTTGCATTACTTGGGCAATAGAAATAAGTTTGACAAATACATATGATGTGTACAATATATCCACTATTTACAGGCTGTGTTGTGTAATTTCAATTTTGTATTTGAAGTTATTTCTTCTGCAAATGTACTGAGCATAAGTGACAGGCAATGCTAAGTGCAGGGAAACAATAGTGATTAAAATAGATTCAGTTCTTAGGGAGTTGATAGTCAAATAAGGGAGACAGCCATACAAATACACAATGACAAAAAAGAAATTGTGTTAAGTTCTGTGAAAGATACAAAGTTCAGTGCTAGAGACTAACAAGGTAAGATCAGGAAGGTCTCTCTGAAAACTGAAATCCAAAGGTTAAAGGAAATTTACAGAAAAGGCAGAGAGAACACCATGTACACAGGGACCGAGGCAAGAAAGAACTTGGTGGTTTTGAAAAACTGAAGAAATAAGGGGACTAAGGGGAAGCAATGGGACAAGGAAGTCAGGGGCCACAGGGCAGAACATTGCAAGAGCAGTTTGCAACCAGAACTAATTTTGGTTCCTAGGGATCATTTGGAAATGTCTGGAGATATTTTTAGATGTCAGAATATTTAAAATGTTGTGTCAGAGTTGTGTGCTACAACTGTGCTACACAATGGCAGTTAGTGAGTAGAGGCCAGGGATGCCTTTAAACATCCTACAGTGCAGAGTTTTGTCCTCTACAATGAAGACTTATCCGTCCTAAAACATCAATAGTGGCATGTTTGAGAAACCCTAGTCTAGGGGAAGGGTTTAGGATTTTATTCTAATTGCAATGGGAAATCACTGAAATAGTTTAAACAGAACAGTCTGATTAATATTTGAAAATAATTACTGTGGCTGAGAATTGATTATTGAGGGCAAGAATGGAAACAAAACCAACTGGAAGGCCATTGTTGCAGTTGTCCTGGCAAGAGCTGATGGTGGATGGATTTGAGTGGCAGTGGGGAAGTAGTAAAAAAAATTTCAGAAAATTCTGAAAATAAAACTGATACTAATTGATGTAAGGGTTGGAAAAGGAGAAATCAAATTTGACCATCTGGCTTTCATTTGAGCAAACTAAGTGACTAGTGGACCACCTACTGAGATGAAGGGACGGAAAAAAAGCAAGTCGTGGGGGTCCACATTTGACATTTCTGTTTAGAAATATTCTGAAATGCAAGAGACATCCATGTGAAGTTATCGAGAAGGCAGTCAGGAATAAGTCTGGCACTGTTTAAGGCAGTGTTTAAAGCTATGGGACATAATAAGGTATTATTTTGTGTTTATGTTTGGTAGCCTATATATTTATTAACTTTATTTATTAACTTTCCCCAAATTTATTAACTCCCTGAGGGCAGAGGTTATGGCTTATCCTGTTTTTTCAATCCCTCACAGAGCTTAGCAGCTTTGTGTAGTGGCATCACAGCCAATAGGATTTAACAATGACATGGTTATTCCTGGCTGAAAATTTTCTCAGTGCCTAGATTGCAGGCCAGAGGAAAAGACCTCTTGTTTGAATGTGGCACCACTAAGTAGTGCTGCATGATATAAGTTACTTCCCTTCTTTGATTTTTCTGTTTACTTACCTGCCTTGAAGGGTGATCATGAGGATGAAGCACCTAATATAGTACTTGAGTAAAAGAAAAATGCCTGTTACATCATTACCATTTGCTGTTTTTTTAATGTGATATGATAATGGCATCTATTATATCCAAGCGAAGAATATCCAACTCAATAACAGTGGAATACTTTTAGATGTCTTACCTACATCTCCATAGACTTGTGAAGACTGATACTGTGGCATATACTGTGTTGTCATGTCTCCAGCTCCAGTCACGGGTGAGTACATATGACGTGGTGGAGGCGGCATCATAGTTGGGACAGGAATGAAACCAGGTAGAGGAGGATGTGGAGAACGGTGGAGAACTGTGTGACTACCAGGGTGAAACTCTGGTGCCTGAGGGACCACGACAACTCTTCGAACACCATTGTCTTCAATAACCTACAAAATGAACATCAGATTAAAATTTCTTCCATAGAATATAAACAATTCTTTTAAAAATGTTAAGAGTAGGGTAGGCACGGTAGCTCATGCCTCTAGTCCCAGCACTTTGGGAGGCTGAGGCAGGTGGATTACCTAGGGTCAGGAGTTCGAGAACAGCCTGGACAACATGGCGAAACCCTGTCTCTACTAAAAATACAAAAATTAGCTGGGCATGGTGGCCCATGCCTGTAATCCCAGCTACTTGGGAGGCTGAGGCAGAATTGCTTGAACCTGGGAGGTGGAGGTTGCAGTGAGCCGAGATAGCACCATTGCACTCTAGCCTGGGCAACAGAGCAAGACTCTGTCTCAAAAATAAAATAAAATAAAAATGTAAGAGTAAGAATTTTTACACCATTAGAAATTTTAAAAATTTGGAGAATCAACATGAAAACAACTTATTAAATATATTGGTACATGTAAATTAGCACTAAACAAAATGAATTAGTTTTTGTTATACAATTCAATATAAATCTTAAAACACTGATTAGACAAGCTAAAGAGTAACCTAATAAGTTATGATACTAGATATTTATCCTATGTGTTATGTGCATTTCCTGATGGAGTAATTTTGGTTTAGACACAAGAGGTTCAGGAATCAATTTCCTTTTCTATATTATGACTAGGAGTAGGGGAAAACAAGTTGTGGAAAGACCAAATAGAAAACAAAACAACTGGATCCAGACTCAATCAGATAATCAATGACATGTTAGAATTTGGATGTAAAATTCTTATGACCATGACCAGGACAATTTTAACAGCTGATCATTTCAAGGGACACAAATACTGAATATTACTATATTAACTCCTAGCTAGGAAAAATATCTGTGGCTTTGAGGCTTAGAAATTACAAACTAAAAAAAAAAAACCAAAAAACAAAAAACAGGAATTACACCGTGGGGATAAATTTTTTTAAATGACAAGACTTACTCCTCTTTGAACCTTACTAGAGCTGCAAAGACACACAGGAAACCCTAAAAAATTAAAGGACTTTATCTTAAAATTAGAAATCCCTCACTAAAATAAGGCCCTTATTCTTTTAGACTTATATGGTAATTATTAAGGTATAACAAATGGCTAATACCTTCCTCAGGAAACAGAAAATGATCATAATGTTAAGTGCTAATTTAAAGGCAAATCCTGATTTTCAGGAAGGCAAAGGTTTATTATGCTTAAGGATAGCAAATTATTTTATAAATATATGTGCTTGGTAGGTATAGGTATACTAGAAAACACACTTATCTGGGTATAGATAAGCCTAAATTACAAACATTAATTAGATTATTAAACTATCCTTACCTACTGGAGTGTGACATGACTCTTCTAACAGGGGACTAGATGACCAAATGAATTAACTGTTTTTAATATGCTGGGTCTAGAACCATAATGCCTTGTTTTCAGCAAAATGGATGCCTCAGACCCCTTTCTCCCTATTTAACTCAGTTCTGAATTTAAGTCTCAAGCAAACATATATGATTGATGGGAACTAAACAATATCTAGAACCCTACCTGAAGGGAATCTGGGAACTGCTGATAGCTTTTTAGCTTCTACCCTACAGGAACGAACACTGGAAGAAGTTTGAAATGGATTTTAAGTGAGCCAAATCACAGTATCTGTCACAATACTCATTTCACCTTTATCACTCTCCAATTCACAAATCTTAAAAAACGGAGCCATTTCCAAGAGGCTTGTACTTCATATTCATTCAACCTGGTTCCAAACTACCTTCTAAGTTGTATCGTTCTTTTGCAACAAATCCTGAACCATTAACTGCAGTCAGGCTGGTATAATAAAAAACCTGTTTTCACAGTGACTATACATTTCTATACCCTGTACTTTTATTTATGCAATTATTCTTCTTCACTTTGCTTCCCTTTAATCTATAATAATCTTGTCTATCCTTCCAATTCTAGCTCTAACTTTACCTTCTCCACTCATTTAAAACACTATTTTTCAGCAAAACAAACTGATAATTCAAAGAGGGAAAAACCTCAGAATGATATATTAAATATTTGTGGGGAACCCACACTAACAGGGGCAGACAAACACAACAAGTAAGTTACTTAGCATGTTGCAAGGTGATAAATACTATGGAAAAGGCATAGCAGGTAAGGGCTATTAGAAGTGTTGTGAGAAAGGAGCAGGTTACAGAATAAACACAGGGATCAGAGTAGGCCTTACTGGCAAAGAAAAGCTTAAGCAGAAACTTGAAGGAAGTGGAGGAATTAACTATGTAGAAATCTGGAAGATTTGTTCTAGGAAGAGGGAACAGTTAGAATAAAGCCCCTAAGGTAGAAGTGGGGCTGATTATACCCAAGGGATGAAAGGAAGCTGGTGTGACTGCATGAGTATAAAGGAGCAAAGGCAGAAGCAGATGAAGTCAAAGAAATGAAGCGGTGATAGGGTGGTCAGGTCAGGCACCACGACACAGGCTACTATTAAGGAGTTGGAGTTCATCATTTACTGTCAGTGGAATGGGAAATCATCACAAAGTTTTGGGCAGAAGAGTGATAAAATCTAGTGTTTCTGACTCCTAGAGGATATGTGGTAGGGTCTGGAGACATTTATAGTTGTCACAACTCGGGGCAGTGGGGGAGGTGCACTATTAACACCTAGAAAGTAGAGAGGCCCGGAATACTGCTAAATAACCTACAACACAGAGGGCAACAAAAACATCACCCCACCTCAAATGTTTACATTACTATGGTTGAGAATTCCTGATGTAACCTTATATTTGACAGGACTATTCTGGCTGCTGAGTTGAGAAGAGATCGTAGGGAGGCAAAGACAAAAGCAGGGAAACCATTCAGAAAGCTACTGTAGTAATCTAGGCAAGAGATGATCACAGCTAAGACCAGGGAAGCAGCAGTGGAGATGGTGAGAAGTGACCCACATTCTGCATATATTTAAAAGTAGAAGCCAGGTGCAGTGGCTCACGCCTGTAATCCCAGCACTTTGGGAGGCCGAGGTGGGTGGATCATGAGGTCAGGCGTTCGAGACCAGCCTGGCCAATATGGTGAAATTACATCTCTACTAAAAATACAAAAATTAGCTGGGCATGGTGGCACGCACCTGTAGTCCCAGCTGCTCAGGAGGCTGAGGCAAGAGAATCGTTTGAACCCGGGAGGCAGAGGTTGCAGTGAGCCGAGACTGTGCTGCTGCACTCCAGCCTGGGCAACAGAGCAAGACTCCATCTCAAAAAGAAAAAAAAAAAGTAGAGAAACAAGACAAGATTAGCTGATGATTCCATGTGGGAAGTGAGAAAAAGAAGTTAGGGAACAATAGTCTTCCATCAATGTGATGAGGAAGGCTGTGGAGTAGAACAAGTTTTTTTCAGGGGAAGAGATTTGGAGTTTCAAGTTTTGCACTTGTGAGTTTGAAGAGTTTATAAGACAACTTAGTGGAAATGTTGAATAGACTGTTAAGATATACTAGTCTGCAATTCTGGAAAGATTGGGAAGGGATGACCAAGCGAGGCAGAAGGAAAACTAAGACAGTGTATAGAGTCTGAAGTTTGGTGAAGCATGTCAAGGAGGAAGGATTAACTGTGTCAAATGCTGCTGATAGGTCAAACAAGAGGAAGACTAAGAATCTGACCACTGGATTTAGCAATGTAGACATTACTGTGACCTTGAAGAGGGCAGTTTTGGTATAGTCATAGGGTCAAAGCCCAACTGCAGTGGGTTTAAGTGAGAAAGTAAGGAGAAGAATTAGAGCTAACTGCACAATTTTAAAATGTTCTGCTGCAAAGGGGAATACAGAAATAGGGTGGTGGCTCATACAAGTAGTGAAGTCAAGAAACTTTGATGTTTTGTTGTTTTCAGGAGTGAAATTACAAAAGGCTCAAGATACTAATGAAAATAATCTAGCAGAGAACAAGAAATTGATAACACAGAAGAGAGAAAAGAAAAATGCTAGAGTAATGTGTCCTTACACAGGCAAAATGGGATGGGTTCCAGTATCCCAGTGGGGGAACCGGGTCTGGACAGGAGCAGGAAAGTTTGTGTTACAGATGAGGAAACAGAGTTTGTGGGCTGGATGAGAAGCAGAGCACATAACTGCAGATGTGCAAACACTGGTGGAAGTGTGGGGCTAGGAGTCTGTGGAAGATACCGTTTGACTGTTCCTCCATGAACTCTTCCCTAGGTACCACAATCTCAGTGATCTCTCTCTCCTATAATTTCTACTGCATTTATTCTGTATCACTTGCTGGATATTTGTAACACTGAAATGTTAATTTTCCAGATGCATATGTCTTACTCTATAATTTAAATGTTAAGTTTCTCAAGGAACATATATGAACTATTTGATCCTTGGAACAATGCTACATACTATTATTATTTCAATTTTTCAGATGGAGAAACTGAGACATAGAGATGTTAAATAACTTGCCCAGGGTCATATAGGTAGAAAGTGAGGGAGCTAGTATTTGCACTTGGGCAACTTGGCTTCAGATTCCATGTTCTTATCTACTTTGTGGGCATAGAAGCCATAGGTCTTCTAGTGTCTTTTTTGTTGTTGTTTACGACAAGATATTTATTTGATTAAAAATAAATGGCTAAATTATTTATGAAATTAAAACCACTTTTCTGATGAGTAAGAACATTTAAAATACAAAGATAAGCTTAGGGGAGAGGAAAATGGAGAGCTATTATTTAACAGGTTCAGAGCTTCAGTTTTCAGCAAGATGAAGAGTTCTGTGGATGGAGGGTGGAGCTGGTAGTGCAATGCTGTAAATGTACCTAATGCCATTAAACTGTATACTTAAAAAAGGTTAAGATGGTAATTTTATGTTATGTGTGTTTTACCACAATTAAAAAAACAAACAAAAAAAACCCCCAAACCTAAGATGTAGACAGAAGAGGGGAAAAAAAAAAGCCAGACAAGAACCAAGAGCACGGTGAACTCCACTACCTCAAGCAGCCAGTAACTTCAGAGGAAGGCAACAGACTTCAAAACTATTTGCTAAGTCTCCAGAGGCTTAGGTGCTAAGAAATGGCCATCATGTAGAGGTCAGATTTCACACCAACAGGGTACACTGGTTGTGATGTAAAATAAAATAAGTACGTTGTGAAAAGGAAAAAAAAGATAAAATATAATTCAAATTTGTCAGTGTTCATAAAAATTAAAATACAGATAAGGCAATAAAATATAATTAAATGAGGCATTAGCATAGTCTGACCACTTAACCACAGATGCCACCTAATTTCTAAGTAGGCAAAGACATGTTTTTTTTTCTTCCTTTATTGAACAGAGACACAATTGAGAAGGGCTGCAGAGAAAGGAAACTGTATCTGACATTTTATATTGTGTATCTTCCTTACCAGAATATAAAGCCCACAATAAATGTTTTATTTATTGTTTTTTTCCCCCAGGACCTGGAATAGTACCTAGCACATGGGTTGATGCTCTAATAGTTATTTGTTAAATGAATGATATGATCAGAAATATATGTGTTCTTTTAGCACTAACAGAATGCTACATTTCTTTCTCCCTCTCTTTACACCATGAAGCTATTAGGGTTCTGTGACTTTCTCAATTCCTACAACCTTTGCTTCCTCTCTACTTTTTGCAACCTACTTCTGTGGTCTCACTCTGAACCCAGAACTATTCCAACTTTAAGCTCTTAATAATACAGCTTCACTTTAAGCTCAAAACAACTTTAAGCTCTTAAACAATAACATAGGCCATTCATTTAACAAACATTTATGTGTCTACAAACATATACAACAGTATGTGATCACAATCTCCTTTCTCTCCAGTTCTTACTATATCTCTTCATTCTCATATAAATCTCTTAGGTCTCCCCATCTTATAGTTTCTCACACTCCCCTGCCCATCCCTTTTGGCTGTTGTCCCCAGGAGAGCAGCAAGAAGTCTGAGATCAGATTGATTTGCAGAATATCTGAAAAACACACTGACCTCACTCCTGCGTGCCATCATAAAAGCAAAATGAAACAGCAAGCACAGCTCAAAGGAGTAACCTGAAACTTTTCCCAAAGTCGATATAGTTTCTTTCCCCACGCTATGCGATCTACAATTCCTTCCTTGTTAGGCACCCTCTCATTACCATAACAGCCCACATTCTATAAAAAAACAGTTAAGGGAGCCATTACCAGAAAGGCAGAACTTCTGATATTGCCTTTCAGGAGTCCCATTCAGGTAGTTCATAAACTTCTCTTGATAAGTTATTAACTTTATCACTGAAATAGCGGAAGTGTTATCCTGTCCTGCAATACAATGCTCTTAGGGACTCTAAGTTAGTACTATTTGCCAGTGAATTAAGTTCCTTCTACTCCTGGCATCACTTGCTTTGTATTTAAGTTTTATAGTTCTATGTTTTGTTCATTTCCTCATTTGATAACTTAATTCCACTGGCACATATTTCTGCCTCTGTGCAGTACACCAATTTCTTAAAAGTATCCTTATTTATTAAACTGCAACAATAAAGCTCATTAAGGTTCTGCCTAAAATAAGGACCAAGCAGGCCCCAGAAATGGCTATGGAGGTTATTTATGTGTAAAGTACATAATCTTGGTATGTGGACTATGTATCATCTTTTCAAATAGTTTGCTTCTTCTGAAGCTTTTTTTCTCTACTTTTTTTTTTTTAATTAAAGTTCTGGGATACATGTGCCAAACATGTAGGTTTGTTACATAGGTATACACGTGCCATGGTGGTTTGCTGCACCCATCAACCCATCATCTATATTAGGTATTTCTCCTAATGCTATCCCTCCCCTAGCTCCCCATCCCTTCACAGGCCCCAGTGTGTGATGTTCCCCTCCCTGTGTCTATGTGTTCTCATTGTTCAACTCCCATTTATAAGTGAGAACATGTGGTGTTTGGTTTTCTGTTCCTGTGTTAATCTGCTGAGAATGATGGTTTCCAGCTTCATCCATGTCCCTGCAAAGGACATGAATTCATCCTTTTTTATGGCTGCACACTATTCCATGGTGTATATGCACCACATTTTCTTTATCCAGTCTATCACTGATGGGCATTTGGGTTGGTTCCAAGTCTTTGCTACTGTGAATAGTGCTGCAATAAACATACATGTGCATGGTCCTAGTACAATGATTTATAATCCTTTGGCTATATACCCAGTAATGGGATTGCTGGGTCAAATGGTATTTGTGGTTCTAGATCCTTGAGGAATTGCCACACTGTCTTCCACAATGGTTGAACTAATTTACACTACCACCAACAGTGTAAAAGCGTTCCTATTTCTCCACATCTCTCCAGCATCTGTGGTTCCCTGACTTTTTAATGACCGCCATTCTAACTGGCGTGAGATGGTAGCTCATTGTGGTTTTGATTTGCATTTCTCTAATGACCAATGATAAGCTTTTTTTCATATGTTTGTTGGCCACATAAATGTCTTCTTTTGAGAAGTGTCTGTTCAGATCCTTCGCCCACTTTTTGATGGGGTTGGTTTTTTTTTTTGTAAATTTGTTTAAGTTCTTTGTATATTCTGGATATTAGCCCTTTGTCAGATGGATAGATTGAAAAAATTTTCTCCCTTTCTACAGGCTGCCTGTTTACTTTGATTATAGTTTCTTTTGCTGTACAGAAGAAGCTCTTTAGTTTAATTAGATCTCGTTTGTCAATTTTGGCTTTTGTTGCCATAGCTTTTGGTGTTTGGTCATGAAGTCTTTGCCCATGCCTATGTCCTGAATGGTATTGCCTAGGTTTTCCTCTAGGGTTTTTACGGTTTTAGGTTTTATATTTAAGTCTTTAATCCATCTTGAGTTAATTTTTGTATAAAGTGTAAGGAAAGGGTCCAGTTTCAGTTTTCTGCATGTGGCTAGCCAGTATTCCCAACACAATTTATTAAATAGGGAATCCTTTCCCCATTGGTTGTTTTTGCCCGGTTTGTCAAAGATGAGATGGTTGTAGATGTGTGGTATTATTTCTGAGGCCTCTGTTCTGTTCCACTGGTCTATATATCTGTTTTGGTACCAGTACCTTGCTGTTTTGGTTACTGTAGATTTGT
Organism: Homo sapiens; assembly: GCF_000001405.40. Classification (NCBI taxonomy): domain Eukaryota; kingdom Metazoa; phylum Chordata; class Mammalia; order Primates; family Hominidae; genus Homo; species Homo sapiens. The sequence continues at coordinate 49,123,101 of NC_000013.11, read as the reverse complement.
AGTATAGTTTGAAGTCAGGCAGCATGATGTCTCCAGCCCTGTTCTTTTTCTTTAGGATTGTTTTGGCTATATGGGCTCTTTTTTGGTTCCATATGAAATTTAAAGTAGTTTTTCTAATTCTGTGAAGAAAATCAATGGTAGCTTGATGGGGATAGCATTGAATCTATAAATTACTTTGGGCAGTATGGCCATTTTCACAATACTGATTCTTCCTATCCACGAGCATGGAATGTTTTTCCATTTGTTTGTGTCCTCTCTTATTTCCTTGAGCAGCGGTTTGTAGTTCTCCTTGAAGAGGTCTTTCACATCCCTTGTAAGTTGGATTCCTAGGTATTTTGTTCTCTTTGTAGCAATTTTGAACGGGAGTTCACTCATGATTTGGCTCTCTGTTTGCCTATTATTGGTGTATAGGAATGCTTGTGATTTTTGCACATTGATTTTGTATCCTGAGACTTTGCTGAAGTTGTTTATCTGCTTAAGGAGATTTTGGGCTGAGACGATGGGGTTTTCTAAATATACAATCATGTCATCTGCAAAGAGAGACAATTTGACTTCCTCTCTTCCTATTTGAAAACTCTTTATTTCTTTCTCTTACCTGACTGCCTGGCCAGAACTCCCAATACTATGTTGAGTAGGAATGGTGAGAGAGGGCATCCTTGTCTTCTGCTGGTTTTCAAAGGTAATGCTTCCAGCTTTTGCCCATTCAGTATGATATTGGCTGTGGGTTTGTTATAAACAGCTCTTATTATTTTGAGATATGTTCCATCAATACCTAGTTTATTGAAAGTTTTTAGCATGAAGGCCTTCAATTTTATTGAAGGCCTTTTCTGTGTCTATTGAGATAATCATGTCATTTTTGTCATTGGTGCTGTTTATGTGATAGATTACGTTTATTGATTTACGTATGTTGAACCAGCCTTGCATCCCAGGGATGAAGCAGACTTGATTATGGTGGATAAGCTTTTGGATGTGCTGCTGAATTCAGTTTGCCAGTTATTTTATTGAGGATTTTCACATTGATCTTCATCAGGGATACTGGCCTGAAATTTTCTTTTTTTGTTGTACTTCTGCAAGGTTTTGGTATCAGGATGATGCTGGCCTCATAAAATGAGTTAGGGAGGAGTCCGTCTTTTTCTGTTGTTTGTAATACTTTCAGAAGGAATAGTAACAGCTCCTCTTTGTACCTCTGGTAGAATTAGGCTGTGAATCCATCTGGTCCTGGGCTTTTTTTGGTTGTTAGGCTATCAATTACTGCCTCAATTTTAGAACTTGTTATTGGTCTATTCAGGGATTCCACTTCTTCCTTGTTTAGTCTTTGGGGGGGTGTATGCGTCCAGGAGTTTACCCATTTCTTCTAGATTTTCTAGTTTATTTGCATAGAGGTGTTTATAGTATTCCCTGATGGTAGTTTGTATTTCTGTGGGATCAGTGGTGATATCCCCTTTATCATTTTTTATTGTGTCTATTTGGTTCTCCTCTCTTTTCTTCTTTAACAGTCCAGCTAGTGGTCTATCTATTTTGTTCATCTTTTCAAAAAACCAGCTCCTGAACTGATTGATTTTTTTGAAGGGTTTATTTTTGTCTCTATCTCCTTCAGCTCTGCTCTGATCTTAGTTATTTCTTGTCTTCTACTAGCTTCTGAATTTGTTTGCTCTTGCTTCTCTGGTTCTTTTAATTGTGATGTTAGGGTGTTGATTTTAGATTTTTCCCGCTTTCTCATGTGGGCATTTAGTGCTATAAATTTCCCTCTACATACTGCTTTAAATGTGTCCCAAAGATTCCGGTATGTTGTGTCTTTGTTCTCATTGGTTTCAAAGAACATCTTTATTTCTGCCTTCATTTCATTATTTACCCAGTACTCATTCAGGAGCAGGTTGTTCAGTTTCCATGTAGTTGTGTGGTTTTGAGTGAGTTTCTTAATCCTGAGTTCTAATTTGATTGCACTGTGGCCTGAGAGATTGTTTGTTATAATTTCTGTTCTTTTACATTTGCTGAGAAGTGTTTTACTTCCAATTATGTGGTGAGTTTTAGAATAAGCGTGATGTGGTGCTGAGAAGAATGTATATTGTGTGGATTTGGGGTGGAGAGTTCTGTAGATGTCTATTAGGTCAGCTTGGTGCAGAGCTAAGTTCAAGTCCTGAACATCCTTGTTAATTTTCTGTCTCATTGATCTAATATTGACAGTGGGGTGTTAATTATTATTACCCATTATTATTGTGTGGGAGTCTAAGTCTGTTTGTAGGTCTCTAAGAACTTGCTTTATAAATCTGGGTGCTCCTGTATTGGGTTCATATATATTTAGGATAGTTAGCTCTTCTGGTTGCACTGATCCCTTTACCATTATGTAATACCCTTCTTGTCTTTTTTGATCTTTGTTGGTTTAAAGTCTGTTTTATCAGAGACTAGGATTGCAACTCCTGCTTTTTTTTTTTTTGCTTTCCATTTGCTTGGTAAATCTTCCTCCATCCCTTTATTTTGAGCCTATGTATGTCTCTGCATGTGAGATGGGTCTCCTGAATACAGCACACCAATGGGTCTCAACTCTTTATCCAATTTGCCTGTCTGTGTCTTTTAATTGGGGCATTTAGCCCATTTACATTTAAGATTAATACTGTTATGTGTGAATTCGATCCTGTCATTATGATGCTAGCTGGTTATTTTGCCCATTAGTTGATGCAGTCTCTTCATAGAGTCGATGGTCTTTACAATTTGGCATGTTTTTGCAGTGGCTGGTACTGGTTTTTCCTTTCCATATTTAGGGCTTCCTTCAGGAGCTCTTGTAAGGCAGGCCTGGTGGTGATGAAATCTCTCAGCATTTGCTTGTCTGTAAAGGATTTTATTTCTCCTTCGCTTATGAAGCTTAGTTTGGTTGGATATGAAATTCTGGGTTGAAAATTCTTTCCTTTAAGAATGTTGAATATTGGCCCCCACTCTCTTCTGGCTTGGAGAGTTTCTGAAGAGAGATTTGCTATTAGTCTGACGGGCTTCCCTTTGTGGGTAACCTGACCTTTCTCTCTGGCTGCCCTTAACATTTTTTCCTTCATGTCTACCTTGGTGAATCTGACAATTACGTGTCTTGGGTTTGCTCTTCTCAAGGAGTATCTTAGTGGTTTTCTCTGTATTTCCTGAATTTGAATGTTGGCCTGTCTTGCTAGGTTGGGGAAGTTCTCCTGGATAATATCCTGAAGAGTGTTTTCCAACTTGGATCCATATTCCCCATCACTTTCAGGTATACCAATCAAACATAGGTTTGGACTTTTCACATAGTCCCATATTTCTTGGAGGCTTTGTTCGTTCATTTTCATTCTTGTCTCTCTAATCTTGTCTTCACACTTTATTTCATTAAGTTGATCTTCAATCTCTGACATCCTTTCTTCTGCTTGATTGATTTGGCTGTTGATACTTGTGTATGCTTCGCGAAGTTCTTGTGCTGTGTTTTTCAGCTCTATCAGGTCATTTATGTTCTTCTCTAAACTGGTCATTCAAGTTAGCAATTCCTGTAACCTTTTTTCAAGGTTCTTAGCTTCCTTGCATTGGGTTAGAACATGCTCCTTTAGCTCAGAGGAGTTTGTTATTACCCACCTTCTGAAGCCTACTTCTGTCAATTCGTCAAACTCATTCTCCGTCCAGATTTGTTCACTTGCTGGCAAGGAGCTGTGATCCTTTGCAGGAGGCTTTTGGAATTTTCAGCCTTTTTGTGCTGGTTTTTCCTCATCTTCATGGATTTATCTACCTTTGGCCTTTTGTCTTGGTGACCTTCGGATGGGGTTTCTGTGTGGACATCGTGTTTCTTGATGTTGTTGCTATTCCTTTCTTTTACTTTCCTTCTAGTAGTCAGGCCCCTCTGCGGCAGGTCTGCTGGAGTTTGCTGGAGGTCCACTCAGACCCTGTTTGCCTGGGTATCGCCAACAGAGGCTGCAGAACAGCAAAGACTGCTGCCTGTTCTTTCCTCTGGAAGCTCTGTCCCAGAAGGGCACCCACCAGATGCCAGCTGGAGCTCTCCTGTATGAGGTGTCTGTCGACCCTGCTGGAAGGTGTCTCCCAGTCAGGAGGCACGGGGGTTAGGGAACCACTTGAGGAGGCAATGTGTCCCTTAGCAGAGCTTGGGAGCTCTGCTGGGAGATCCACTGCTTGCTTTAGAGCCGGTAGGCAGGAACGTTTACGTCTGCTGAAGCTGTGCCCACACTTGCCCCTTCCCCCAGGTGCTCTGTCTCAGGAAGACGGGCGTTTTATCTATAAGCCCCTGACTGGGGCTGGAGCCTTTCTTTCAGAGATGCCCTGCCCAGAGAGGAGGAATCTAGAGAGGTAGTCTGGCTACAGTGGCTTTGATGAGCTGCGGTGGGCTCTGCCCAGTTCCAGCTTCCTGGTGGCTTTGTTTACACTGCTCAGGGAAAACTACCTACTCAAGCCTCAGTAATGGCAGACGCCCCTCCCCCATCAAGCTTGAGTGTCCCAGGTGGACTTCAGACTGCTGTGCTGGCAGCGAGAATTTCAAGCCAGTGGATCTTAGCTTGCTGAGCTCTGTGGAGGTAGGATCCGCTGAGCTAGACCACTTGGCTCCCTGACTTCAGCCCCCTTTCCAGGGGAGTGAACGGTTCTGTCTTGCTGGCGTTCCAGGAGCCACTGGAATATGAAAAAAAGCTCTTGCAGCTAGCTCAGTGTCTGCCCAAATGCCTGCCCAGTTTTGTGCTTGAATCCCAGGGCCCTGGTGGTATAGGCACCGAAGGGAATCTCCTGGTCTGCGGGTTGCGAAGACTGTGGGAAAAGTGTGGTATCTGGGCCGGAATGCACTGTTCCTCATGGCACAGTCCCTCATGGCTTCCCTTGGCTAGGGGAGGGAGCTCCCCGACCCCTTTTGCTTCCTGGGTGAGGCGATGCCCCACCCTGCTTCAGCTCGCCCTCTGTGGGCTTGCCCTCTGTGGAAGAATCAAGTCTTACATACTGGAAACTTAAATTAACTAAAAAACGATAAGACTAGATTTTTGTCTTTGGATTACCCTGTGTAATGAAAACGACACATTTTCTAGAGATAATCTTCATCTTAAATTAAGATTAATAATAGTAGCCCACTAACCTCACATAATCCTTCCAGGAAGATTATTGTTAAAATTCATTAATTTATGTGACAACTATTTATGGGACACTTACTACATTTGAGTTACCACAAGAACACAAAAATAATTAAAAGGCAGTTCCTATCTTAAGGAACCTAAAATCCTGTAGGAGTAAAAATACATATGCAGTTGTCCCTTGGTATGCATGGGGGATTGGTTCCAGGACTTTCTGTGGATACCAAAATTTTCTAATGCTCAAGCCTCTGATATAAAACGGTGTAGTACTTGCTTATAACCTACAACACCCTCGGGTGTACTTTAAATCATCTCTAGATTATTTATCATACCTAATATAATGTAAATGCTGTGTAAATAGTTATATTGTATTAAGAAATGTGACAAGAAAGTCTGTACGTGTTCAGTATAGATGCAATTTTTTTTTTCAAATATTTTCAATCTGTGGTTGGTTGAATCCATAGATTTGGAACCTAAGGATATGAAGGGCTAACAGTACATAATTATATTAGGTGATATGTATTATAACCAAGAAGTGGTTCAATAACATGATCTAGGTAGGCCCTCAAGGATGGGTAGAATTTTAAAAGGCAGAAATGGAGAAATGAATAACATTCCTTAGATAACAGCATTAAGGAAACACCAAGTAAGCATGTGAGAAATGTTCGGCTACAAAAATGGACATAATTGAAAGTATCAAGAAAATGGTGCAAAGGCAAACCAGGACAGAACCGTGTAAAGCCTTAAATGTCAAGAAATCTAGACTTCATTGAGTGTACAAGCCGGCTACAGGCTCTTTATGACCAAAGAAATGCTATAGGAAGATTATCTCTGTGGCTTTTGGTCTAAAGATTACAGAACCTCAACTCGGATGATTATCTAATTTACAAATATTTACTGAGCTCCTACTATATGACAGGCTATATACTTGGCATTGAGGATATGAAGATAAGTAAGAGTCTTATATGATCTAGACTTCTTACTTCTTACCTCATTCCCTTCTATTCTCCCTTGATGAATCAGTCCAATCATACTGACCTCCTTGCTGTTCCCAGGCATGCTGTCATCTTAGCCACTTGCACTGGCCATTTCTGTCCAGAATCCTCTTTTCTCAGATAGATGCATAGCTAACCCCCACCTGTCCTTCAAGACTTGGCTCAAATCTTACCTGCCCAATGAGGCCTCTTCCGACCACTCTTGTAAAATATAACCAGCTCTAACACATTATAGGATTTTTTTTTTTTTTTGAGACGGAGTCTCACTCTGTCTCCCAGGCTGGAGTGCAATGGTGCGATCTCGGCTCACTGCAACCTCCGCCTCCCAGGTTCAAGCGATTCTCCTGCTTTAGCCTCCCTAGTAGCTGGGATTGCAGGCACCTGCTACCATGACCAGCTAATTTTTGTATTTTTTGTAGAGACAGGGTTTCACCAGGCTGGTCTCGAACTCCTGACCTCAGGTAATCCACCCGCCTTGGCCTCCCAAAGAGCTGGGATTACAGGCGTGAGCCACCATGCCCAGCAAACATTATAGAGTTTATCCACTTTTTATTTGCCTCTTCCCAGAAGAATATAAACCACAGAGCGGCATGAGTCTTTGCCTCTTTCAGTCATGGACATATTCCAAGCACTCAAGAGTGCCTGACATATATAAACACTCAATACATATTTGTGGAACACTGTTGAACATAGGAACTGTAAGAATTCATAGTCTCAGGAAAGAGAATTACACATTTCATAAGTTTATGAAAAGAGGAATATATATATTAATAATATGCCACGAAAGCCCAAAGGGAGAAGCACCTGGAAAGGCTCAGGGAAAACTGCTTTCAGAGCTCACGATGAAGTGAAATGAAAAGGATAGGAGTTTGCCACAAAAAATAAAACGAAAAGGTACTGTAAGATGAGAGAACAGCAGATAACCTAAGTGCACTGAAAGAACTTGTCTTAATCATCTTTTTATCACTAGCTCCCAATACAGAGCTCAGTACGTGGTGCCACTCAATAAATCATGAACTGAACTATGCTAGAGAACAGTCTTCATGTAAGAGAAGGAAGATCTGAGAAGGTGCAACAAAGAAGTAGAAAACAAAAATCAGGGCAGCATGATGTCAAGGAAATCTGTAGTAAATCTTATCAGTGGTACCAAATTTTTAGAGGTCAAAGAGGACCAGGCTGGAAAGCAGGACTTTGGATTTGGTACATAGCGGAAAGCAGTTTTAGTAGAGTAATATAGACAGAATGCAGACTATATTAAGGAGTCAGTGTGCTAAACAAAAGTAGAGATAGTTAGTAGAGACTACTCTGAAAAGCTTACAAGGTAATTTCAGTACGTGATCTCATCTCATAATGAAGGCACTGAGACTGAAGGAAGTTGATTTGCCCAAGACCATGCAGCCAGCAAAGGTTTGAAATAAGATATGGATTCAGCTTTTCTGAATCCATTCTAAATCTCATTCCATTCTCTCCTTCCCAGCACGCTCTTCTTTTGCTGTGGTTCATATGATGGTGTGCTTCACAGAGTGTGCAGAAAATCCACCCCAATATCCCACCACCAATATTCTGGCATAATCAGGGAGGAAGTAACAGAGGGCCTGAAGAAAAACTTCAAGTGTAAATTCAATGCTAGGGAGAGAAAATGATTATTTCCCAAAATAGATTGAGGCAAAGCGTGCAGACCATACGAAATCTCAGTAGTGGAAGATATTGAACACCTGCAGATTTTACAGTTTAATTCAGTTTGCCTGTGTTCATAAATTACTATACTTAAGGTCAGAGCTTCCCAGTCATTATGCATAAAAGGTTACAGGTGTATGGAGATACTGATTTTTTTTTTTTATTTCCCCCCCCCCCTCATCCCTCAGGGTTGCTAAACTCTTTTCTATTGAACACAATATGCCATGCAATTATCAACAGTGTCTGAGATTCATTGTATGAATAAAGTTGGAAGCATTGTCTTGGGTTACATCTAAGCAAATTTCTAAATTTAAAAATGTCAGTGTAGGCACCTTTACAACCTAAAATATTATTTTTATTTAGTCATATATTTAGGGAGACAAAACTCTAGAATGAATTTTCTTTTGTGACTTAACACCCAAAGACAAGGACAAATGATGAGTGCTGCCAATAAAAATTTTTCTTCCTTTCCAAATGTACTAAAATACTTGAAATAGATTTATGATAGATACACAACACTTGGTAAGCCTCAGTAATTAAATGGTTTTTTTAAATCAAAATCAAAGTCAAAGAGAATAACATTATCACTATTATACAAATATGAAAAGAAAAATAGCATAAAAACATACCTGTGGGGCATATCCAGGAGGCACATAGATAGGAGGCACAGAACCATTTGGGGACATCATTGGAACCTGAGCAGGACCTGAATGGGTCACATAAATGATGTATTAACCCATGATTGCTTATCAGGCTAAAGTTGAAAACAATTTGAATTACATTTTGAATACTTCATCTAAACACTCAAGCCAACAGTAACTACATTTTTATAAAAAGAAATTCAGATGATTGACTTGTTATAAAAATTTATCTTGTAAAGTGCACAAATTACCCTTTACCTACATTTGTGTTTTTTAAAGTTGCTGGGGTAGGGGTGGTGGGGGGCGGGGAGGTTGGAGGGCTTTTTAAAACATATTAACAGGCTCTCCTAGAGATTCTTAGTCAATGGGGTCTTGAATCATTATATTCACTTTACAAATATCCCAGGTGACTCTTATAATAGTGTAAGTTTAGAAACACTGACCTAGAGAAAAATCAAACTAAACTCTGCATATAAAATCAATGAAAAATACAAAAGGCAAAATTTTCAAAAGTTACAGGGACAAAATAAAAAAGCAAGAGTGAAAAGCAGCAAGAGGAAGAATAGTTAGAAATTTGGAACTTGCTTTGTTAGGGTTAAAATACTTGTGTAATGTGTGACTCATGTCTATGGGGGCTTAAGAACAAAGAGAAATGCCACACGTGTACTTACCCAAAGGAAAAAAAAATTTTTTTTTGTTTCTCACACTAAAAAGTTCTAAAAAAGAAAATTCAGCTTCTCTCACTCTACACTTCCTTTCACTTTTATAGTGTTAGGTTTTCCAATTAACTTTTATAACTATTATCTCTAGTTTACCTTCTCTTTTAACATTTCTGGGAACAAAAGAAGCATTTGGAGAAGGTGTGTTTTGTTCTTTCTAGGAACTAAAATCTTAGTTGCTTTATGTAACTTTTAAAAAAGTCTCTTACCCCCCTTCAGTTCCTTTCTTCCTGTAACTTTACACTGCAGTGTCCCCTCATGCCCACCAGTTTTTTATAACCTGAAATGAAACCTTTTCAAAGAAATTACTTATTTCTAAGGGAATAAGAACAAAGGTCTGATGAGGAATGTAAAGGGGGAAGGATCTCTTTTATATGCAGAATTATAATCTACCATTATATAATGGCTCTCAGCTATAAAAGAAATAAAGGAGGAAAAGCTCAAATGTAGGGTAGAAAACAAGTAACTCTGTTAATATTATACATACTTCAGAAAATCAGAATAAAGGACATGGAGGTCACAACAAATCCGGATTACAGCCATTCTGCCCTTTCTAGGGAAGGCAAGGGGTGAGGACAGAACCACACAGTGGTGATGAAATTAGGGCTAGGGAGATGAGAGAGCTAGGGAAGAGAAAAGAGAATACAAAAGAAAGGGGGTGTAAGAGGGAAACTACTAAACGGGGTGACGGAAAATACTAAACAGGGGTAAGGAAAGTGGGGAAAGTGGAGGAAAAAAGGGGGAAGCAAGCAAGGAGAGGAGAAAGGCAAGAGGGGAGAGAAGGAGAGAGGCGAGAGGTAAGAGAAGAAAAGGGAGGGATAAGAAAGGGGACAAGAGGCAGTAAAGGAGAGTGAAGAGAAGACAAGAAGGGAGGGAGAGGAGAAAACAGAAGGGTAAGGGGGAGGAGGAACGATGTGGAGAAATAGGAGAAAGGGGGAGGGGAGGGAAAGGACAGAAGAGGTGGGGAGGGGAAGAGAAAGTAGGGATAAGACTGAAGTGGTTGAGAGAAAGTAAGAAGTGTTTGTGTAGAACACTAAATTACACTATATAATATCTGGCTGTGAAAAGAACTTTTCAATAAGATACTCTTCCCATCCAAAACAAGACCACCACCAAATACATGAAGTTGTCCAGAATATTATTTTAATTATATATAGCTAATACTAACTTACTATGTGCCAGGCCTTTTACATATTTTTTCTCCTCATAATCATTCTATCAGGTAAATATCATCATCATCATCATCTCCATTTTCTAGATGTGGAAACTGAGGCACAGAGAGGTTAAGCTCCCCAAGTGGTAGAAGTGGGATTCAAAACCAGGTAGTTTTATTTCTAAGGACATATCCTTACCACATTTTTAGTAAACATTAAAATACTATGCAGTATTGGCAACTGATATAATTTGAGGCTTAAGAACAATGCTCTAAAGCCTCTAAGGAAAATTAAGGCCTTTGTTGTCTTTACATCCGTAAAAACATGAGAGAAAGAATAAAATTTTCTTAAGTTTAAGCAAACATTACCTATTAATTTACTGAATAAAACTTGTGAGCTGCTTTATACCTCTAGGCAGAAAAGCTTCATGCAAAACTCACCTTTTAGCTCCTATATTCTAGACTCAAGAGAAATGAGAACTGTTTTAAACTAATGCTGGTTTACTTCCATTAGCTAATTTATATAAAACTACAGTAAACTAACTTCCTGAATCCTTACAGGTGGCTTAGGTATTACTTACAATATGTGAAATTCAGCTGAGAACTTGACAGAGAATTCACTGAAAATCATATTTTATAATGTTAATAAAGGCCATTAGCATTGCACTTTTACTGTGGGTCCTTTTATATGCTGTCAAATTTAATCCTTACATCAAGTCATCAGAATAGGTTTTTCTTTTGCCATCAGAATAATAAGTTATTGCTAATTACATTTAAAATAGTAAAATCACACAATTGCTTCAAGTGGCCCTCCTTTTACCAGAAATACGAATATATATGTAGTTACAATTCAAACCATTTTATACTTTGATAGCCGCTAAAATAGTTTATAATTTGGTAATACAAGATTCTACTTTGTTTTTTAATTATATCTAAGTGTGATGCTGAAAAGAGAAATGTAAGCTAAAATAAACCAGTAGTAAATATATTACTAGATGTAGTCCAGGAAAAAGACTGATTAACTTACTTCTTTACGAAGTAATCCTTTCACTCTAGCAAAAAAATTTTTTTTTTATCCTGAGGCAGAAATTGTACATGGTTAGATTTTTTTTTTTTTTTTTTGAGACGGAGTTTTACTCTGTTGCCCAGGCTGGAGTGCAGTGGCGCTATCTCAGCTCAATGCAACCTCTTCCTCCTGGGTTCAAGTGATTCTTCTGCTTCAGCCTCCCGAGTAGCTGGGATTACATGCATGTGCCACCACGCCCGGCTAATTTTTGTATTTTTAGTAGAGACGGGGTTTCACCATGTTGGCCAGGCTGGTCTTGAACTCCTAACCTCAGGTGATCCACCTGCCTCGGGCTCCCAAAGTGCTAGGATTACAGGTGTGAGCCACCATGCCCGGCCAGATTTTCTTTTAAAAAGACAATTTATCGGTATCATATTTAATGCCTAAAATATTGCTGTGAAGTAACATTCAACACTGAATGCAAACCCCTATTGTATAAACATAATAAATACAAGTATCGATGTTTAGAACTACAACGTTTACAGCATCTCATGTCTGTTGTTACTCCTGTGTCTATAGTAGCGAAACCTTAAAGCCTTGCATATTTAATGATGTAAATGTTTGATTAGCTCCTTAGTTCCAACAATACTTTTTAATTTAGAAAGTAACAGAAAATTAACTACAAACTGACTTAAATTTGTATGCAATGAGGGAGATTTTGTCCCAAGGAAGAAACTCAGATCCTATTGACAAATGTATGCCTGGCACAAGAGTAGCAATACCTGACAACAACTGTGCATACACTTAGCAGCTCCTTTATAATCTATGTGATTTGAGCATGATTTACCCCAATCATGGAGCTATTAAGGATACATTTCCTATTTCAAAAACCTGCAGAAGAGTAAACAATTCTAACCAATTGTCTTAAGAAATTTGAGAAGCTCCCCACCCCTGCTTCTTAAAAAGTGCCATCACTGACTTAAAGAAGATATTTCAACTAGTATAACTTAAATTCTTCTTTATCTTTCCTTGTTAATATACATTCATATTTAAGAGGTTTTTTTTAAATAAAATTACAAATTTGTCCAGGAGTTTTAATTCTTAAAATGCAACGTGCTGCCGCTGTGCTACACATTCTCTATAAGCCAGCGTTCACAATGGCTTCCAAATAATCTGATGCCAATTTTCAGATTTTAGCTCTAGAAGAAAAACCTAGTAAAATAAAGATCCTAGAATGGAATATTCCGTGGAATACAAAATTACAAAATAACTCTACATAGTCTAACCTTTTTGTATTTACATGGCAACAATTTAAAATATTTTATGGCGATGATATTTAGCATCTATTTTTAAAAACACACGGCATGACTTTAGATTAATACAATGCTTTCTGTCTTAAAATAAAAGCAGAATGTTCGAAAACAGCAAATCTTACCACTCATTTCGTTTTTACAGTAGCAGCAGAGAACAAGAAAATCCAACAAGGAAACAGCGTAGTACACGTTAACAGCTTTAATTGGAGAACGGCTTTTTTTTTTTTTGCAAGGCTGTAAGAGGAAAAGATCCTTTGACCGAGTCACGTGACAGTCATCACGTGACCTGCAGTGACCCAGGAAAGGGCAAGGGGGAAAAAAAAGCAAACGTTCCCGCTTGCAGCATTTCTGATATAGGGGAAAAAAAAGATTAAATGATTTCTACTGCTGCTGCCCTGAATTTGACCATCTTTCAGACTTCCTTATGAACCAATTCAAAAGCTCATCAAAGTATACTTTTCAGAAATATATATTTGATGTACAATGATTCTCTTTGTGTTCAATAACACCACAGGTGCTATCTTCTAATTTTTTACTCATGCAGCCTGCCGCTAATTTTCATTTAGAACATTTGAGATAATATTAATTTAAAAGATTCAGTCTGAAATGTCATTGTATAACGTAATTCTCCATACTCAATCCTTAAGGAATATCCACAATACACAAATAATTGTGTATAGAATATAGGTTTGATAGACATGTGTCTCAAAGGTGGGATTTATGTTTCAGGCTGTTATTTGCCTCTTAAGAGAATAAAGACTACCACTTTCATTATTGGTTTTATTTTCTTTCTGATTTTTTTAAATTTAAGATTTAAATTAAAGTGCAGGTGCTCAGTAGATGGCATTCTTACTCATATCCACGAATCTGAAAAGACAGCCTCAGGTGCAGGTTCAGAGTTCTCTATCCAAGAACAAGTAGAGACCAGAAAGGAGACCAAAGATGTCCAGTTACAACAGGAAAGAATAAGAACTTTTGGAGATCTTTCATTACTTTATGGTGCTATGTAACTTCAGAGGAAATTTATTAACAGCTAACAAAAATATACAGGTAATGATAATGACAGTGGTTTGTAACAAGTTGTACAGTGGAAAGAAAGTGAATTTTGGTATTAAAAGATATATTTTAATAACAGCTTCAGTATTTATTAGCAAGGCAATTTACTGCTCTTCTCTGAAGTCTTAGCTTATTTCAGTGACAAGGTTAATCAACATCATAGCATTGTTGTGAGAATGAAATTAAATAAATTTAAAGTATCAAGTATATTGGTTGATGATACTCAGTAAATAGTTATAATATGTAAAAGTATGATCACCATGTTTTCAAAAATAACCACATAGTGCAGAGTACATACTAGGCATCATTTGGAGTGTTTTACTTGCGTTAACTCACTTAATCCTAACAAGTGAAGTGAGCATCATTTCCAGGTAAGAAAACTGAAGCAGAGTAACATGCCAAGGGCACAAAGCGAGGCAAAGGCAGGATTATCTAATAATAAGGCTATACTTTTCAAAAAGTGTAAACTATGTTCAAAGGCCCCATCTCACACAAAGGTGGAAAACAACTGGCAAAGGATAACCTAGAGAAATAGGTCTCAATAAATATATGTAAGACACCCCAGAGGAGATAAGACAGTAAGGGCCTATTCTTACAAGTGGGGAAAGGTAATTGTTAACTTCAAAATTCCTATGAAAAGGCAGGGTTGCCCTGAAAAACGAGACCAAAGGGCAAGGAGTCTCCTGGTCTCAACAGAATGTACTCATATACGTTAGACCCAGCCCCCCTGTAAATCCGACCATGTCTCTGATCTTCAGCCCCTAAACAAAAAGCAAGCCTCTGCAGCCCACCTTCTTATTTTGGCTCACATTTGCACACAGCCTGTATTTCTATTTCTTGACTATTTAACTTATCATCTCCTTTCAATCCTTTCCATTATGCTCACTAGAAAGTTTTTTTCCATTATAAATAAATTCTCCTATATCCTCAACCTTTTTACAGAACACTTGTTCCTGTGTTGCCTTGAAATGAAGCATGGATGTCCTGTAGAAAACTTTCCCCAGCATGCCCCAGGAGCAGAGACTTCCTATCCTCTCCTGAAGCAGTGTTGGTAGTCTGCAGATACTCCAAGGCTGCTTCCCTTCACCACTGTTGTTCCTGTTTCATGCTAAAGTTCCTTCTTCCTTGAGATCACGGCATATGTGCATACAACCCTCTACCCCTTCTCAATGCTTTAAGGCTGAGTCCTCATTTATTGAGAACTTTGGCGCTGTGATCAATTTTGTTCTCTATCCCAACTCTTGTCTATCAGCATGACTTTAATGTCCAAAATCTAGGCTTAAAATTCCTTGAACTCGTGTCTTTCATTCTATTTTTAGTAACCCATGTTCAAAGATACATCCTGGAACTTATTACTTAGAACTCCACTATCTCATCTTTGAAATATCAAACTTTCATGTGGCCATCATATCTTTCTTTCATCTCTCCAGTTCTCTTTCTTCTACATTTGTTCTTCATAGTGATCTCCCTTTTCTCCTGATCCAACACTGCCTTCATAGCCTGATTTCCTTTCTCATCCATGTCTTCCTTTGACTTCCCCATCTCCTGAAAATCTCCAAGTTCAATCCGTCTTCTCTTACACCTGAGCTGTAGAAATCAAGCAGTACTCAGACTGGCATGTTTATAAATTTAGTATCTTCAGCCTTAACTCAGCTGTCAGCACTGCTCAGGAATCCTTTCATGAATCTTTCCCTGGTCAATCCCTTACACTGTTTTCTAGGATGATTATCAGAGATTCTCGTTACACTTTAAGAGCCCTCCCCAACCTGACTTCAACCATATCTCGAAATTGAACTCTTCACATTATTTGACATGAAACTGAACTCTTGATGTTATGGAACTGAACTCAATATTACATACACACTTTTCTAATTCCTTTCCTCTATTTGCAGAAGAAGCATTGTTCCTTCACTAGATCAAAGGTATCTTTCCTCTTTTACTCTTGATCTGATCCTCCACTTGGACTTGGCTTCACTGGTCATTTCCGTCCTGTCAGGTATTTTTACCTTTTCCTTTGTTCAGTCTCTTTGAACCATTGCATCTGTGCCCATAAACATGGTAAAGTTTCACACATAAACCATGCATATCATCCATCTCTCACTGACACTTTTTTTCTGCCCCATCATACCATCCAGCTACCACTCTTTTCTCAAACTTCTCAAAATTAACAGTAACTCTATTTTCTAACATAACTCTATATAACTCTACTTTCTAACATAACTCTATATAACATTAACTCTATAACATGACTCTATTTTCTGACCTTACATTCACTTTCACATTTTAAATAAAATTTTGATTATGCAATATTTGATACATACAAAAGAAAATAGTGCAAGTCATTAAAGTGACTGTTTCAAATCCACCATCCAAGCCAAGAAACAGATCATACCAACACTGTTGCATCCATGTGCTCCTTCACCATCTAATCCATCACTTTGTGCCACTCATGTCTCCATTATCCTGAATTTTGAGTTTATTCTTACCTTTCTTTTAAAAATAATTTCCTACAAAAAAATCACATATATCCCTAAACAATATTATGATTTCTAGGACTTATCTATGTAGTTTCATATAGCTGTAGTTTCCTCATTTTCATTTATGTTTTTATGTAAATAACTATAATTTGTTTATTCTGTCATTAGCTTTTGGGCTCTTTTCAGTTTCTGTTGTTGTTGGTTTTTTTTTTTTTTTTTTTTGCTTTCATTCACTTAACAAACATATATAGATTATCTACAATGTGCCAGATAGTGTTCTGGGCACTAGAGGAAGAAAATAATAACATGGTAAATAAGTAAATCATATTCAAGTAAATCACGAAGTATATTTGAAAGTGATAAATGCTATAAAATAAAAAAGAGAGGCTGGGTGTGCTGCTTCGCGCCTGTAATGCCGGCACTTTGGGAAGCTGAGGTGGATCACTTGAGCCCAGGAGTTCAAGACTAGACTTGACAACATAGTGAGACCCCATCTCCATAAAAAATCTCAAAAACTGAGTTGGGTGTGGTGGTGCATGCCTGTGGTCCCAGTTATTCAGGAGGCTGAGGCGGGAATCTTGCTTGAGCCTAGGAAGCTGAGATAACAGCGAGCTGTGATCCTGCCACTGCACTCCAGCCTGGACAACAGAGTGAGACCCCATCTCAAAAGAAACAAATAAAACAGAGTAGGGTAAAAAGGATTTTAAGTACTAAGATAGGCTGATGGTGAGGGGGAAGATTGAATACTGCAATTTAAAATACAGACATCAGTTTAGGTTTCAATGAGAAGGTCACATTTGAACCAAGACTTGAAAGAAGTGTGGGAGTGGGCCATATGGATATCTGAGGGAAGAACATTCTACACAGAGGGAGCAACCAGTGTAAAGGCCCTAAGGGGGAACATGACTGGCATGTTTAAGACTTAACAAGGACACCACTGTCACCAGAGCAGCATGAGTGAAGGGGGAGAAAAGGAGTGAGGTTAGAGTGATTAAGAGGGAAATGAGCTACACTCTGTTAGGCCTCATAGGTTACTGTATGCTTTTACTTTGAGTAAAATAAGAGCCATTGCTGGATTTTAAAACATGATCTAAGTTATATTAAAAAAAATTCATCTGACTTATACATATTGCTGGTAAGTATATGGTACAACCATTTTGCAAAACTGGCAATATCTACTAAACTTGAACATATGCATACTCTATGATCTAGTAATTCTACTTTTAAGTATATGGGCAGTGGAAATGCTTACATATAACACCAACCGAAGGATGTAATTTAGAACATTCATAGCAGTACTAATTTTAATAGCACAAAAGTGGATGAAGCGTATTTGGGGATGATCAGGTATTCAGATTTGGACATGTTACGTTAGAAATGTCTATTAGTCATCCAAATGGAGATTTCAACTAGCAGGCAGTTCATTTTACTATTCTGGAGTTCAAGGAAATACTTACCTAGTCTAGAGATACAAATTCCAGAGTCTTTGGTAGATAGGCTTTAAATCCATGAGACTGGATGACATCAACAAAGGAATTAAAGTAGATAGAGAAGACAATCTAATGCTATCTCTTAGAGAGAAGCATGGATCAGAACACTGCTGCTATCTCTATGTCTCTCAGCTCACATGTGCAAATGTTTCTTTAAGGTATGTACCTAAGAGAGGAAATGCTGTGTCTTAGGGTTTTGTGAATGTTAGTTTTTATAGGATAGTGCCACATAGTTTTCCCGAGTATATTAATTTATATTCCTACCAGCCAGGCATGTATAAGAAGTTCCACTGATTCACATTCCCTCCATTACTTGGTATTTAGATTTTTAAATTTTTGCCAATCTCACTTTGATCTTATTTTGCATTACCCAGTCCATGTTTCCCACCTATTCTTCTACTGGGTAGTCTTTTTTAAAAAATAGATTGGGAAGAGTTTTTATGTATTCTGGATACTAATTCCTTACGGTTACATTGGTTGCAAATATACTCTTCCTAGTTTATGACTTATATTTTTCATATATTTTATGATGTACCAAAGTTCTTAATTGTAATGGAGTCAAATTTACTGATCATTTGATAGTTAGCATTTTGTGTGTTTGTATCCTAAAAAAACTTTCTCTACTCTGTAGTCATGAAGATACTCTCTCTTTATTATTATTTTTAAGTTTATCCTTTCACATAAGTCTTTAAGTCTTCAAGCATTAATTTTGGGGTAAGGTATGAGAAAAGGATCTGATTCCATTTTAATCCAAATGGATAACCAACTGTCCCAGCATTGTTTCTTGCTCCCTATCCCCTAGGACATGTCTCTTACTTTTTGTGGGCACAATAATGCAATTAAAATTCTTACAGAAGATCTTTTTTTAATAAGAGGATGGTACCTAGAGCAGAGCATCCATTCTACCAAATGACTTGAAATGGAAGTCTCCAAAATCACATTTCTTTTCTTTTCTTTTTTTTCTTTTCTTTTTGAGACGTAGTCTCACTCTGTCACCTGGGCCACCTGGGCTGGAGTGCAGTGGCGCGATCTCAGCTCACTGCAAGCTCTGCCTCCTGGGTTCACGCCATTCTCCTGCCTCAGCATCCCGAGTAGCTGGGACTACAGGCGCCCGCCACCATGCCTGCCTAATTTTTTGTATTTTTAGTAGAGATGGGATTTCAGTGTTAGCCAGGATGGTATGGATCTCCTGACCTCGTGATCAACCCACCTCGGCCTCCCAAAGTACTGGGATTACAGGCATGAGCCACTGCGCCCGGCCCCAAAATCACATTGCAACCCACCATAATCAGGCTTTTGTCCAGCCCACTCTACTGAAACTGCACTGGCAAAAGTCACTGAGATGAAATTCTTACTTACCAAATCCAATGAACATTGCTAACAACTCTCTTAAATATTCTTCCTTAACATCTGAAATATTAGTTTCTCCTAGTTTCCTTTCTACCTCCTGATCATACTTTTTCAATTTCTTTAATGGCTTCTTGTCTTCTGTTCTTCCTTAAGTGTTTATTTTCCTGGGAGTTTTGCTCTTGGTCCACTTCCCTTATTCTACATGATCTCTCAAGATGATCTTATTTACTACTCTCATGAAAGATTATCATTCTGTATCTCATCCAGACTTTTTCTTGAGCTCTAGATCTATAATACTTAATTTACATAAAACTCAAAACCAGTTATTTTTTCCATCAATAGTCACTCCGCCTCTGTGTTTCCCATGATAAGTTAATCTTAAGCCAGAAATGTGAGAATAATCCTAGACTCTATTTTCCCCCCATCTCAATTTCCACATCATCTATTTGGAAGTTCTGACAGTTTTATCTCCTAAATATCTCTCAAATCCATGTTCTCTTCTACTCCATTGCTATTGCCTTAGCAGCACTAGGCTCTTTCTAGAACTATTCCAGTATTCTCCTAATGGGTCTCCTTGCCCCCAGTCCCTAGCAATTGATACATCTCTCACACTAATGCTAACCTGATCTAAAAAACAAATTTCATTGTATCCTCCTCTGCTTATAACCCAGAGACCATTCTGTATTGTGATGAGATGAAGTCCAAATTCTTTACTGTAGCCTACTATGCTTCCACATGAACTGGGTGATGCCACTCAAACTGGTAAAATACCAGTCTATCCTTGTCAATACTGTGTGAACCACATTTGTTTTCACTGGGATCAAAATGTCTTCAAATGGAATTTTGTTACTATTTTGCTATTTTATCATTCATTTTATTATAATTTGTTATAGCTTAAACATAAGGCAGCATAAGGTAGTGATGAAGAACATGGACTCAGCTAGCCCATCTAATTCTAATGACAGCTTATAGCTGTGAGACCTTTCAAGTTACTTAACCTCTTTGTATCTTAGTTTTCTCACATGTAAACTGGAAATAATTATTCTATTTCATAGAGATATTATGCAGATTAAATAAGTTCATATTTGTACAGCACTTAGAACAGTGTTTGGTACACAGTAAGTGCTTAAGCAATGTCACCTAAGCACAGTGCTAGTGCTTGTATTGACAAGCCTACCTGAAAATCAATAGTTCAGGAATGGTAGTTAATATGTTAAAATATTATGAAGAAATCCAAACAACTGCTATGACATGCCATGCTATTAAGATAGCTCTCTGCAAAATATCTGAGATAATATTACAAAAATAAGCAGGTACATTTTTAAGTTTGCTAAAATTATCATATAATTAAACAAGAATGGAAAAATGAAAAATATGCTGGTCACTGCATAATGCATTCCTATAAACTGTAATCTCCTCAATGCATCCTCTGTGTTTATTCCTATAGAAAAATTGTTTGACACATATACTCAAATTAATGAGGTCTTTAGGGAACAAAAAATACAAGCATCCTGTATTGTCCTCACTATAACCAAAAGGTCCTTGAATGTAGTGACCACGTCACTAACACTGAGGATGAGAACTCTGTGGCAAATGGGAGAATAGTAAGGGTATGAAGTTAAGTCTTGTTAAGTTTTCTTAGAAGGGTTCTGAAGGTAGGAGTCAATATCGCCTAAAGCACACAAAAAGCACTGACATTTGGATGGAAAACCCAACACTATTATGCCCTAAGTATCTGCTAGTTACATATAATAAAGCAAAATGTACCTATATTTATCTCACTGAAACTATTGTGAAGAAAGATCCTAAACTGTTTCTAGTAAGTAAGGGATATTATATGGAAAACAATCAGTGAATTAGTAGCTCAACCCATTCCAAAAGACAATTTAAGGTGATTTAAGATATATGTAGCACCAAAACCAAACCAAAACACAAGCCATGATAAATTGAAGAAAAGGGAAAATTAATATAGAAAAAACAATAAGAATAAAGAGTAAGCTTAAAAAAATCAAGAAAAAAAAAGCTACGCTTGCTTCATGCCTGTAATCCCAGCATTTGGGGAGGCTGAGGTGGGAGGAATGCTTAAGCCCAAGAGTTAGAGACCAGCCTGGGCAAAACAGTGAGATAAATAAATACATAAAAATTTAAAAAGGAGGAAGGCTAGTCTTATGCTCTTACTAGAGGATGAGCAATAAAAGCTCTCTGCTTTGTGTAAGCTGAAACATGATTAAAATCAGGTACCAAGGACCACGCTGTTAAGTTGGTTAAGTTAGTTCTTCCCTTCTGCAGTTTAAGTATTGCCCACACTGCCATACAACATGATTCCAATGATTTGGCTTAAAAAAAAAAAAAAAAAAAAAACTAAAGCAGGTATAGTCCAAGATGACTTCTACCATATATAAAATTCAGTAAAGCATCCATAAATGTCCAACTTTTAGCAACATGTCCTCCAATATAGTTGCAAAATGAACAGCTACAACAGATGAATCAGTTGATTTGCAGAAAGAGATTGTCAGCTATGAGGCAAATTAAAAGAAGAGTTGATTTTGATTTTTTTTTTCCTGGCAAACCAGATCAGCTGTTTATTAAGGCTGCTGTTAGATTATAATAATCAGGGTCATTTGCATGTCCAAAAATTTAAAAGGTAGACTCGTTCAGCTAAACAAAGAGTGGTTTCAGGTCACTAAGATATAAAAGGATGGGATGTGAGGTACACTCTTGTACTCTTCTACCTATTTTTATCTGATATTTCAAAAGACTGACTCTGACCCTGACTCTGATTCTTGTGGCAGTATTAAAGTGCAGGTTCTGAATAAGCATCTAAATAATATGTGTTAAACTCATGCAGCTTAGAGCTTAATTGACACATGTCCACAGAGTCGAGGGACCAAGGAAAGATCAATGAAATCTGCAACTAACCAGGTGCTCCATGGGAAGGAGTCTATTGCCAGGGAGTGACTGACAATGAAATAAGCAAATAGTCTAAAGGGAGATAAGGGGAGTGAAGAATTAGAAACTATAATTTTGTCCTTGGGCACAAATCAAACCTTGTTTCTTCTCCTTTTAACTGTTTCTCATTTTCTCACCCAGGTTTTACCTCTTATCCCGTTCAGAGGCCTTAATCAACCTGCATATCTCACCAGATAGTCGCTGATTTCTTTCTCTATAATTTTCCCCTTTACTTATACTAAGATGTCGATTCAACAAAAGTTTTACTTTACATTATACATGCTAATAGGAAAGCAATGTGAGGATCAGTCTAAGGCCAAATATATTTTGGATTGATTTGAGGGGTGAGGGTGCCTGGATAAGGTTAGGAGGTTAGATATTAACCAGAAAATGGTCAATACAGAAGTTATCTGTGTTCTAAGTTAGTATTTCCCAAACATTTGGATTTATGTGACAGCAAAATTTCAAAACAAATTCTGGGGACTCATTAACCAGCTTTTCATTAGGCCAAGTAAAGACATTAAAAGTTAAGAAGAAATTAAGAACGGATAGAAGGAAGTCTATCCTATATTGTCACATCAATTCATAAAAAGAGGATACTGTAACTTCAAACATTATAAAAGATTTAACTTCAGAATTTTTAAAAAGTCTTAAGTAAATAAATTTAACTTAATGAAAAACCACTACATTATCTTTATTATTCCTATTTCCTAGACTGATGAAATATCCCTACATCTATGGAAAAGGGTTTGGGAATAACGCTTAGCGTAAGAGGGATAGGGATTTATCTTTCAGGCTGGCTGAGCTCTGGTGACAGGAAGAAGGAGGAAACAGAGCAGAGGTAGGATAATTATATTATCATCATCCAATCAAGAACACTTCTGAAAGTGAAAAAGGGGGCTAAAAATCATTAAAAATACATCATTTGGTATGTTTCTTTATTGACTGATATATTTTAATTACACTGAGGGAGATAAAGTTCTAACAAAATCTATCGAAAAATAAAATGCTTTATTAAAAAACATATGCAAGTACATTAAAGAGCATTTAAAGGTATTCTTCATATTGAGTATCTGAATATTGGAGTAATATAAATGGAACAATTATTCTTAGTATATATGTATTTTAATTTCTTAGCTATACCTGTCTTTAATTCCTTATCACTGGTATTTAATTGAAAAATTTCTTCTTTCAAATAGTCATCCTAATTTTTAAAATAAAATTGCTTACAATGTTGTATTTTATGGTTTATAAACTTAAAGCTGCTGATACCTTCAATTGACTCTTTTTTGTAATATTTTAAGACTACAACATTTATATTAAGAAAAACTGTTTCTAAGGTGCTATCTGGTAAGCTGGGAGCATATCTGCTAAGTGGAGGATACTCTCAGTTCTATTTTTTGTTTCTTATCGAGATGTGTAAATACTTCAAATATTTTTACAATATTAAGTACTATAAAAATGTTACATATTTTTACAAATCTCACTGAATCGTCTTTATTTTTCTTCTGCATGTTTCACCAAATTTAGACCTTGTTTTTGAGCTCATTATTGCTGAGAGAGTTTACTGCAAGATAAAAAAGTACTGCCAAGTAACAGTTATACACAATACAATAAGTGATAAAAATCATTCAAGCTATTTTTTATATATTCAGTGGCAGAAATATTTAATTTCCTCATATTTATTTATTTAACCTATATGCTTCCCACTGGTCCTTCCACTTGGTGCCCTGGTGACACCAAGTGGCCAGCAAAGACAGCAGCATCAAATACTTCTGCCACTACTACCAGGAAACTGAAAGGAGTTAGTTCCCAGTCCTTTAAATCTAAGCACACTTTCACTTACTGTTAATTAAGACTTGCTTCTGGCAAGGGTCAGGAAGAGAGAATGATTTATTTTGGGTTGTCTAAGATTTAACCACAAGTTTAAAGTGAAAAAGAGACAGATGAGCTACTTACTAGAGATCAAGGTGGAAGCTGGAAATTCAAAATGGTGGTCAACCAAATCTATCACAACTTATTTTAATGAACTACTAATAATATTGTTTTAAAAATGATAAATCCAAGACAAATGTCATACCAGTTAGATATCAAGATGAGGCAAAAACCAGAACTGTCTTAGACAAATTGGGATATAAGGTCCCCTTACTAATAAGGAATGCTTATTTATTAAGGCTATGAAACACCTAGCAACATTTATTCATATAAGGCAGGCAATTAGTGTAAGCCTTGATCTAGGAACTCACCAAATTGGTGAGTCAGAACTTGGGAACAGAATAAGGAAGTTACAGGAGAAAGAGAAAAGATCAAGGTCATTATTCATGCTTAGATGTTTAGAGACCTTTCTTTTCCTTGGAAATTTATTATTCTTTTTAAAGTTTGGATAAAGCAGAATGCTTAAATTAGGGGCCTAAGTATGATTCAGAATTGTGGATAATTTCATTATCTGTGTACAAGTAACTGAAAATTTCTATGATTAGATTTGCAGCACAATTAGATGTATCAGTGATAAACACTAAGTAGAGTACATTTGAAGAATGACTTATGGTTAGAATCTACCTTTAGCACTAAATTGAACTGCATATAAATAGAAAACTTGAAGGAGATGTGTTTACCAAGCACCTGTTTCTAAACAAGAAATTATTTTTAGTGCACTTGTTTAGAAAGCTGCAGAGGCTGTGATATTAATGTCCATGAATGCAGCAGGTTGTGAACATTACTATTTTTAGTATCAGCCTAATATGAACAATGATGAATCATTCTTTTGTTATTTTAGTAGGAAGGAGCACTTAGGATTTACTGCAGCACATTAGGTTAACTATGCCTCAATAACTGAACACCCACACTTTGACATCACACGGCAGTGATATGGATCAGTGACGCAAATCCTGTCAGGATCAAACATTAAGGCCACAGACTGAAAAAAACTGCTCAAGTGACAAAGCAGGCTAGTCATCTACCATGCAGACTGCATTAAATCAGTACTGCTAGTGTCAAAAAGGGTTGTGCTAGGTTCTCTTTTTACATAATATCTAAACTTTTTTATTTTAATTATAGATTGCCCATACAACAGAATCTATATGTTAGTTTCCTCACAGCTTCTGTGCTTTAAGGTCTGGGCCCTTAGAAACATGTCTTAAGGTTCTACTAGCCATCTGAATTATCTGTAAAAAGGCTTCTGTATCTAGGCTTTTTAGACTATCTTCTGCAGATATGTTGCCATTTATTAAGCATTTTATATAATATGCTGTGCTTGACAAAATATCACTTTGATTCAGATTTGGAGCACTACACTATGGCCTTACAATTTACTGTAATTTCAGGTCTTCTTCCCAATAGTCACTTCTTCTTTGGGCCTATAATTTTAAAACTTTATTAGTCTTTTCGGGCATCAAAATATCAATTTTTTAATGGTTACAGCTGGATGGCTTATGAGTAATCATATGTATAAGGTTTCGAAATATATTATCCCTGAAAACACACCCACACCTAATTGGAAATCTTCTCTTCTATAAAAGGAACAGAACTTACCCCTGGAGGCTTGGCACAGAATGTTCACATCCTGCTGTAGGTTCTCCCAAAAAGAAACTAGGCCTGTACACTTAAAGCATTACCCTTCCTGTTAGTTTATGTTGTAAGACTGGCACTTCCCAGGGGAACTGGAAAACCAAACAGAGATCAAAGCTGGAGGCACATCTAATAACCTTTCATTCTGTCATCATTACTCTGACATAGACTAACATGAAAACATGCCAAGGGCCTTTTCCCATACCCTCAGGCTTTTGCTTTGGTGGCGTTTCCTCAACCAGTGTTGTTTCTTAAGAAAAAGTGTTTAAAAAAAAAATGTAAAAAAGCAAGGGCTTTCCCTCATTCTAAGTTTTTTTTTTTTTTAACTGCTAATCATCTAAAAGAAATATTTGGAAAATATAAAAACTGCTGAGACAGTTGTTCTCATAGTTCTTCTTGTCTGTGAAATTTGTAAATCATCCTAGTTTCTTCTCACCCTCCACACTGAGCTTCCAGGTCTCATTCTTATTACTATAGTTTTGGTTATCCCCTGCTTAAAATCCTTCAATGGTTCCCTTTCCTTTCAGAATAAAATGTGAAATCTCTAGCGTGGCATATAACGGTACTTGCAAAGTAGCATATATTTTTAGTCTCATTTTCAGATACTCTCCCATGCAGTCTCTTCTCTAAGCTACCTCTCTAATCACAGTTTTTCCGTTTCCTCTAATCTGTGTGTGCTTGGGCTTTGCACATGCTGTTCCTTCTGTCTCGAAGATACTTTTCTATTTATTTTTTTCTTCTGGCTAACTTCTACTTCTTCAAGCATCATATTTTCCTAAGCACTCAATGACTTCCCTATGCTTGCTCAGGTATTCCTACCCTGGCCTCCCACATAAACTCCATCATAGCACTTAGCATGGCCTTCTTTGTTTTAACTGTGGGTTACTTTTCTGTCTGTTGTACTAGGCTGTGAGGCAAGGCCTAAGTCTTTCAAATAACTGTCAAGAATGAGTTGCCCCTCAGGACATGAAAAGGCACTTAAAACAAATTCTCTCTCTAGGGAAAAGAGCACACATTCAGTGACTGTGTTTTCTGTGTTCTAGCAAGTGGCTGAATACAGAAGACTGGACACAAAAGAAGTGAGAAACTTCAGCACATTAAGACTAAAAATAATATTAAAATATTGAAATATGATGGTATTTTACTGTAATGATGAAAGGATTTTCCAAAAATATCGAAGGATTACATGATAAAGCAAAAGGGAATGTCAAAGACAGAACTCTGTTAAACCATAAAGAATGGAAACTGGATTTGATTAAAATTCATTCTTTAAAAGTGAATGAACATCTTCAAACAATGGTATCACATGGGTTTTGGGATCAGAGAATCCAATGCTAACTCTACTCAACTCTGGTAGAGTCATAATTTTAACCTCTGGAGCCATAGAGAAAATAACATACCTGTAAAGAAATCCTGTCCTGCAACCATTATGTTATTTTGTGATTCTTATGGTTAATGGTGACATGTTTGGATGCACTTTAATCAAAGACCATAACCACAGTCAGGAGCACAAGTCACACTTCTCTAGATACAGGAAGAAACTTTCTGAAAAATGAAATTATGCTTAAAGTGTTTGTTGCCATAACAGAGGAAAACTTAGAGAATGAATCCTAGATAAGTTGGAGGAGAATGATTTTTCTATCTCTATATATCTAGGTAGTGTCTAAAAATCACATCCAACATGCTGCCATACAAACAAAGGAACCAGGAAAGATCTTTTCTGTTTCCTAGAACATTTTCTGCAGATGGTACAAAAGCATGTAAATGACAGTAGATAAATGCACGGTAGTTTCTTTATAACGTTATATAAGTATTCTCTGGACATCCTAGCCTCATCTCAGGTATGCTCCTGGAAAAAAATTACAAAGGTTTGCCCCTGGGTTAGAATGCTTAATTAGTACTTCCCTGAATCAAAAAATGTGGTAGAAGTTACTACAAGGCTAAACTAAGGTAAATCTCTGTGTTTGTGATTCAGTTGTCCTTCTCACCAGGATATCCTTCTAATGAAGCTAACTTTGGAGAGTATGGTTTTTATTTTTAATAAGGAAGGTGACCTTTCTAGACATTCTTTCATAGTGTTAAGAAAATAAATCCTCAAGGTATAAAGATTCTCTACCTTGAGTTTCCTTTATATTTTATTTTATTTTCTTAGGCTAGTCAAGTGAAGCAGTGGGAGTGGAAAGGAAACAAAGAAATCCATAACGGGATGTGATCAATTAGTTGTAAACACCACTGCATTTGGACCAGCGGGTTTCTTATCTATCCCGAGTGGCAGAATCCTTTAACCCAGTTCTATATTATGATATGAAATTTAGACATTTCTTTTCTTCCACTCCCTTGATTTTTAGAAAACTGATGGACTACAATGATGTGTTGATAACCTTCATATGTCTGATTTTTTAGTTTTTACTAGTTTAAAAATCCACTTATCTGCACCAAAAACACCATGGTATCTCACTTTCCTGAATGAGCTTAGGGTCTTAATTTAAAAAAATATATATACATTTTTAAATAAAGTTGGACTAAACAATTTAAAAGGGGTTAAAACTTCACTTGTATAATTATTTATGAAATTCATGTTGACATTATCAAATTATATGTAAAGTATAAAGAAGAAAAACCTCCTATAATCCTACCATATACTTGGAGGAAATATGCCACAATTATTTTCCATGGATCTGTATTTTCCATGCAAAAGTAATGTTTTTTCTTATTACAAAAGAGTTAATTTTGTTGAAATCCTTAATAATATATATCAAATAAATGGTCCTGATTAAAGCAAACACCTAATTAATAAAACTTTTTAATCTTCCATTTTTGAGAGAAAAAGAATAGAGTAGGCTCACCCTGTAAGTGTCCTCTTGGAAGTATTTTCTAGTCCCTGGATTGGTTTGAATGCTCTTGCTATATGCTTCCATAGTGCCTTTTCTTTTTCTTTTTCAATCACAACACTTCTCTCACTTCATCGAATTCCTTAAATCTTCTTTCCTAGGAAACTGTAAACTTCATGGGAGTCAGGGATACAGTCTATGTTGCTTATCACTACATCTCCAGTGTTTTGGAATAGTGATTGCAAATATTAGGTTAAGAATTATTTACATAAAGTAATGGGTTTAAAAAGCAACCCCCAGGCCATATTCTAATCTAGATTCAACTCTATCTTCTACATAATCTACAACTATATAGTACAATCAGTATTATTAATACTTACAATGATTTAGGGCACTGAAAGACTGAATTATTTTCAGTATATTCTGCTTACCATGGCTGAATTTGTTATTCTATAAATATTTTCAGTAAAATGAATTGGAAAAGCCTTCTGGTTTTCAGTTAATCAGAAAGGTATTTTACAAGGACACTCTGTGCTTAGGTTAAGGTTTAAAGCACACACCTTTTACGCCTATTGTTATTAACTCTAATAATATCATCTTTAGCAAAAATATCTTAAAACCAATTGATGAAGATTTCTTTCCAAAAAAGTAGAATCAAATGATATTAGTCACCCCACCCCACCTCTGCCATTTAGGGTAATCAAAATTAAGGTATTTCTTAGGTATAAATGAAGAAAGAGCCTTTTTCAAACTCTCATACTCAGTGTTTTGTTTAATATAAAATCTGTATCGTTCACTCTTTAAAATTATTTCAGTGAATCACTCCTCAAAACAGAGGATTAGTAAAGGAAATAAAACATGTTCTCTCAATGCTCTGAGGAAAAACTACATCTTGCAATTAAAACCAAAAGAGACTCTGTTTGCCCCAGCATCATGCAATATAAATCATGTAAAGCTAAATGGCACTTTTTGATAGAGATAGTCTTGAGGTTCAAAGATAAATTTATGAGTAGAGTATTTGGTATAATAATTTGGTTTCAGCATTCAATTTTGAAATATATTAAATATTTCAGGAAGCAAGTACATGGTTTGGAGGAACTAATCATTGTTGGACTATGAGTAGAGCACCATCTTAGGTACTCTATGTTTGAGAAGTCACTGTAAGGTAACTGTTAGAAGTATGCACTCTGCAGCCAGACTGCCTGAGTTCAGGTCGCAGCTGAGTCATTCAGTAACTGGTAACTACAGGCGAATTATTAACCTGTGTCTCAATTTCTTCGTATATAAAATGAAGATAATAGTTAGCTGAAAGGGTTGCTGGGAGGACTGAATAGGTTAGTCACATGTAGAGTGTTTACAACACTAACTGGTACAGGGATCGTTCGATAACCATTAGCTAATATATATGCTAATTAAATAACAAAGTCACTTTCTCTCCCTTTTTTCATTACTTGAGGATCTATAAGGCAATATCTGTGCAATTAGAAATGACTAAGTGCTGAAATAAAGACAATTCTATTGTTATATGCCTAAAATAAGTAAATAAACATTTACTGAATTTCTGTATGTATGGGGCAGTTGTAAGTGCTACGGGGAGGAGAGCGGAGGGGAATGTAGCCTACAAAGAGTATACTACCACTGTATCATGGTTTTGTATCATAAATCAGTTGAGAAAGGCTGATGTGGGCCTACACAACTGTATGTTTAAACTCCCCAGTTGATTCTAAGATATCTTGGTGCAGGTAAAAATTATTCTTTAGAAATCAAAAAGACTTTCATTTGGGTTCTAGATCCACCAATAACTAGGTATGAGGCTTTTTATGAATCTCAGGTTCCTCTCTTAAGATTTAAAGTTGATTAATGCAATCAATGCATACAACACAATCTTGGCAGACAATGAGCACCTAATTACATTATTAAAGATGGACTCTGAGACAGAAAAAAAAGACAAATAACAATATAGACCAATAAACAACATGCCAGATTAGAGATATAAGCCTGACAATATATATATTACAAGAAATTAAGGAGCACTTTTTTTTTTTTTTAACATTGGAGTGGTCAGAAAGAGTCTCAAAATAGATGTAACTAGTATTGGGTTTTGAAGGGCTGGAAAGATTCAGAAAGCTCTCACCTGTATGTATGCATGCTCCTGTGTGATTTTTATAAGAAGGAACAATGTGAACAAAGGTATGAAGGCGGTGTGATGATTAATACTGAGTGTCAACTTGATTGGATTGAAGGATACAAAGTACTGATCCTGGGTATGTCTGTGAGGGTTGCCAAAGGATTTGAGTTAGTGGGCTGGGAAAGGCAGACCTAACCTTAATCTGGATGGGCACAACCTAATCAGCTGCCAATACCGCTAGAAGATAAGAAGGCAGAAAAATGGAAAAAGAGAGACTGTTGAGACATTCCTCCTAAGGTGAAGGATAAGTTGCTGCATTTGGCCCCTCCTACAACCAAGAAAGAGGCACAATGCCTAGTGGGCCTAACTGGATTTTGGAGGCAACACATTCCTCATCTGGGTATGTTACTTCAGCCCATTTATCGAGTGACCTGAAAGGCTGCCAGTTTAAGTGGGCTCCAGAACAGGAGAAAGCTCTGCAACAGGTCCAGGCTGCTGTGCAAGCTGCTCTGTCACTTGGGGCATATGACCCAGCAGATCCAATGGTGCTTGAGGTGTCAGTGGCAGATAGGGATGCTGTTTGGAGCCTTTGGCAGGCCCCCATAGGTGAATCACAGCAAAGACCTCTAGGATTTTGGGGCAAGGCCCTGCCATCTTCCGCAGATAACAACTCTCCTTTGGAGAGACAGCTCTTGGCCCGTTACTGGGCTTTGGTGGAAACTGAATATTTGACTATGGGTCATCAAGTCACCATGTGACCTAACTGCCCATCATGAACTGGGTGCTTTCTGACCCATCTAGCCATAAAGTGGTTTATGCATGGCAGCATTCCATCATCAAATGGAAGTGATCGAGCTTGAGCAGGTCTTGCAGGCACAAGTAAGTTACATGAGGAAGTGGCTCAAATGCCCATAGTCTCCACTCCTGCCACCCTGCCTTCTCTCCCCCAGCCTGCACCTATGGCCTCATGGAGAGTTCCCTATGATCAGTTGACACAGGAAGAGAAGATAGGGCCTGGTTCACAAATGGATCTGCATGATATGCAGGCATCACCCAAAAGTGAACAGCTGCAGCACTACAGTCCCTTTCTAGGACATTCTTGAAGGACAACAGTGAAGGGAAATCTTCCCAGTGGGCAGAACTTCAAGCAGTGCAACTGGTTGTGTACTCTGCATGGAAGTAGAAATGGCCAGATGTGTGATTACATACAGATTCATGGGCTGTACCCAATGGTTTAGCTGGATGGTCAGGGACTTCATTCCTCTGAGCATCTTTAAGAGAGTTGTTTTAAAGTCTCTGTTTTCTTTCACAGCCCCAGGAGTTGTTTTTTTTTTTTTAAGTCTGTATTTAGTAGATCTACCACTGAGTCTTTTTTCATGAACAATTTCTGTTTATTTCTTTTTTTTTCCTTTGAATGGGCAATACTTTTCTGTTTCTTTGTATGCCTTGTAATCTTTTTTTGTTGAAAACTGGACATTTAAATCTAATCATGTAGAAACTCTGGAAATCAGTTTCTTCTCTTTCCCCAGAGTTGGCTGTTTTTTGTTATTGTTCTGATTTTTTTATTGTTGTAGACTATCTCTTTGCCAAGGATCAGCCTGAGATGTACATTTAAGGTCTTCTGAGAGCCTATGTCTTTCCCTGAGCATGTATGGTCATTTTCAGTTTTCCCTGTAAAAGCAGATTTGAGACAGAGTCTTGCTATGTTGCCCAGGCTGGAGTGCAACAGCACAAGCATAGCTCACTGCAACCTTGAACTCCTGGGCTCAAGCAATCCTGCTGCCTCAGCCTTCCGAGTAGCTGGGACTACAGGCATACACCACCATGCCTAATTTTTAAAAAATTTTCAGTAGTAGAGATGAGGTCTCACTGTGTTGTCTTGAACTCCTGGCCTCAAACGATCCTCCTACCTTGGCCTCCCAAAGTGTCGTGATTACAGGCATGAGCCACTGAGCCTGGCCTATGGTACATGTTGACTGACCTAATCTTTAATGCATGGCTCCCAGACGGGGGAAAACAAAGTGGGGGATAAAAGGGTGTTGTTCTTTAAATCCCCTGGAAGTCACAACAGCCAGGGGGTGGGGTGGGGGGGCACTTGCAATAGAGGGTCGTACAATAACAATGGCTGCCCACTTCTTTGTTTGCATGTCTGTGACAGAAGCAGCAGTCAGAGGTCAAAGCACAGACCCCAGTCAGAGGTCAAAGCACAGACCCCCGATCTGTGCAATCTCCTGGATGTGTTTGTTTTTTTGTTTTGTTTTGTTTTTGAGACGGAGTCTCGCTCTGTCACCCAGGCTGGAGTGCAGTGGCGTGATCTTGGCTCACTGCAACTTCTACCTCAAGTGATTCTCCTCTCTCAGCCTCCTGACTAGCTGGGACTACAGGCACATGCCACCATGCCCAGCTAATTTTTGTATATTTTAGTAGAGACAGGGTTTCACCATGTTGGTCAGGCTGGTCTCGAACCCCTGACTTCGTGATCTGCCCACCTCAGCCTCCCAAAGTGCTGGGATTACAGGTGTGAGCCAGCGCGTCTGGCCTCTGGGATATGTTCTTAAAGAAAGTGGGCAAATTTCTCATCTCTTTTTCTTCTCCTGCCCTTTTCCATTCTCTTTGGCACATGGACATGGTGGTGAGCCAACCTGGATCATGCATACATTGGCAGCAACCTAGGGATGGCAGGCCAAGGCAAAAGTAACCTAGGCCACTTGTATAACCTATGGAGCAGCACCTCCATACAAGCACTAACTGCCTATCTTTGTACCGTAATTTATGAGAAAAGAAAAAAGTTCATATTATTTGTCTTAGTTTTTTATTGCTGTGTAACAAACAGTGGTTTTAAAAAGTACCCATTCATTAGTTCAGTTTTGTACTTCAGAAGTCTGGGTATGGTGTAACTGGCTTCTCTGTTCGGGGTCTCATAAGGCAAAAAAAGAAGCGTGAACTAGGGTGTATTCTCATCTGGAGGTTGGAGACCTCTTACCAAAAGCTTATGGTGTGGCAGAATTAAGTTTTGTGATTGCAGGACTGAGGTCCCCATTTCTGGTGGGTAGCCAGGGACCACAGTCAGTTCCCAGAGCCCACCCACATTTCTTGCCATGTGGCCCTTTCCATCTTCAAAGCCAGCAAGAAAACTCTTTCACTTGCTGACTTCCATCTCATGCTTCAAATCTCTTCCAGAAAGGCCCTCTTTTCATAAGGACTCACTTGATTAGTGAGGTTTATTCCAGACAATCTCTCTTTCTTAAAAGTCATCTGTACCATGCAATACAATATAACCCAATTGTGAAAGTAACATTCATCATATTCATTGTCCTGGAAATTATGTAGGTTATGTACAAGAGAAGGCAACAACACTGGGGGCCATCCTAGAATTTTGCCTACCACATTATTTAAGCTCTGGCTTCAGGTATCTGCTGCTTTAAAAATGGTTTTTGATAAATATAAAAATTTACTAAATTAATTTTTTAAATTGTGGTAAAATACAGATAAAACTTGCCATTTTAACACATTTTAAGTGTATGGTTCAATATTAGGTACATTTACATTGTTGTGCAACTATCACCACTATCCAACTCCAGAACATTTTTCATCTTCCAAAACTAAAATTCTGTACCCATTAAATACTAACTCTCCACTCTTCCCTCCCTCTAGTCCCTAGCAACCACTATTCTATTTTCTCTCTCTATGAATTTGACTATTTTGGATACCTCACGTAAGTGGAATCACACAATATTTATCTTTTTGTGACTGATTTATTTCACTTAACTGCTACATACTTTTGAAATTAAATTTTAATACACATCAGAAAACACTGCTGTGTGCAGTGCCTCATGCCTGTAAATCCTAGCACTTTAGGAGGCCAAGGCAGGAGAATCACTTGAGGCTACGAGTTCAAGACCAGCCTGGGCAACATAGCGAGACCCTGTCTTTACTTAAAAAAGAAAAAAAAGAAAAAAAGACTGAGAAGGAAGTACTAGTGCGGTTGGAAAAAAAACAGGAGAATGCATAAACTGTAGAAGGGCAATCAAGAGAACAGTGTCCAAGAAGAAGGAAATAATACACTGGGTTAAATATACTGGGTCGAATGCTACTGGTTCAAATAATACACTGAGGTCAAGTATGATGAGAAGTGAGAATTGACCACTCATTCTGGCTACACAGAGGTTACTGGTGACCTTGACAAGAGTGTAACAATCATTCAATCTAGAAGTAGTAGTAGTATATGATCACAATAGTTACTACTGTTATGGATTATTTTCCCATAGTATGAGAATTTTGGAGTGAAGCTGAGTGAAATAAAACTGTGCCCAAACATGATCTCTTTGGTGTCAGTTTCCAAGTAATTTCATGATGAAGTGGAACTAAAAAAATATTTTGAGGAAAAACACACGTAGTAGAAAAAGATTCCCTGTATATTGTATGTAACTATCTACTGGGATCATTTACTCAATTAACAAATACTTATTGAGTGCCTACATAGTGCCAGGAATAAATTTTATTATAATTGAATGTTTCCTTAATTATTCATATATAAAAGGTTAAAAATGGTTAGATATTAGAAAAATTTGCAATGGTCCATAAAGATAATATGTCTATTGGGCTAATCTTAACCTAAGCAAATAAGTAATGAAGCTAATGCCAATCAAAGCCTTTAGAAAACTTCATTCTAATAAAAATCTGATCATAGCATTCTAAGGAGAAGCAAATATCTGAGAAATCAAAAGCAGATAGCAACACCTTTCTTCTACAGAAAAATAGGTTTCTAAATTTCTGTTACCTAGAATATAACAACTATTTTTACGTAAAAATAACCGACTGCATAAATGTTCATTTAATTTATAAAACCAACCAACTTCCCCTCTTATAAAAAACAAGTTACCATTTTATTTTACTTACACATATTTATTTTATAATTGGTATTAGATATTCAAAAGGCAGCTTTTAAAATCAAACTAAATGGAAACTGCCTTAGATACATAATTCTTAGGAATTAGCTTAAAATCTGCCTAAAGTGAAAATCTTCTCTAGCTCTTTTGACTGTAAATTTTTGACTCTTGTAAAACATCCAAATTCATTTTTCTTGTCTTTAAAATTATCTAATCTTTCCATTTTTTCCCTATTCCAAGTCAATTTGCTTCTCTAGCCTCATTTCCTAGCTCTTATCTACTATTAGTAAGTGGCTTTTTTCCTAAAAGGGAAAACAGGAAGAGAGAATGGCACACAAAACAAACATTTTATATTCATATTTCTACCTACGTAATAAAATAGCATTTTGTGAGGCCAGCTCAAAAGAAGGCTTAGATCCTTTTATGTCCATTTTAGTCACTAAACGATATCAAAAGTGCCAGAATGCAAAAGGTTTGTGAACATTTATTCAAAAGCTAATATAAGATATTTCACATACTCATCTTTCTGGATCCTAATTTCCTTTTGTCATCAGTCATTAAAAAATTTTTTTAATCAATATTTTTGTTGCTTATTTTAATAGCACTCACTAAACTGGCTTAGATTTTATACTTCCAAGAGACTAACTATAACAGTGATATTTTGCTTATTAGGAACATGAAGAATTGATGACAACTGAATTTCCCTATATTTTCCTTTCTAACAAAAATATTGCAATTTTCTCTTAAATAAGTCTTATATAACACACTTTCTCTTGAAAAGTAACATTTAATAGCTCTCTGGGACATCCTGAGACTATTACACAATGTACTCGGAATGAATCATAGTCATTCACTTAAATTGAAATGGGCTGAATTTATGAATGGATGATCTGTTATAATTCATTTTTACAAACATGACTCATTAATGTTTCAAAGCTACTATTTTGAGCGACTCTAATTAAACTGATGTTTTCATATTAAAAGGGGAAGTATAAAGAGCAAATTTTTAAATACAATCATGATTTCCACCAGTATGAAAAATAGTTACCTATGCTTCAAAAAATTTTCTAATGGAAGTTAAGGTTGTTTAAGTAATGTATAAAGAACAAACTTCTCCATGGTTTAGTTTGCTAATTATGAAAAAAGTAAATAGTCATATGGGAATAAAAATCTACTACATGTGGTTTTGACTTGAGTTACTTATAATTTCAGTAGAACTTGGTCTGATTTGCTGTAATGCAAAGTCAGTGGGCAAAAGATAACCAGTGATCTTATAAAAAATTCTTATAATATCAATCTCCGTATTATTAAAATACATTTAAGACATGGTATGTAATTAGTATAGTTATGAATATGTAACTATTTGAGAGCTGGTAGAAACTTGTAGAATCTAAATTGCCCTAGCCCACCCTCATTTCAGTATATGCACAATACCGGCCAGAATTTAAGTAAATTACCTACGGCTATAAATTAATAGCATTTTAGGCTTGTGATGAACCTTAAAAGGCATGAACAATCCCCTCAAAAGAAATAAACCATCTTCTATAAATAAACCACCATCAAGTGAAGAGCCAGCAGATGCATTACCACCTACAAAGATAGATGGGAGAGGCTGGGTGCAGTGGCTCATGCCTGTAATCCCAGAACTTTAGGAGGCTGAGGCGGGTGGATCACCTGAGATCAGGAGTTCAAGACCAGCCTGGCCAACATGGTGAAACCTTGTCTCTACAAAAATACAAAAATTAGCCGGGCATGATGGCAAGTGCCTGTAATCCCAGCTACTTGGGAGGTTGAAGCAGGAGAATCACTTGAACTCAGGAGGCAGAGGTTGCAGTGAGCCGAGATCGGGCCATTGCACTCCAGCCTGGGCAAGACAGTAAGACTTGGTCTCAAGGGGAAAAAAAAAAAAAAAAAAGGATGGATGGGAAACTGATCACTCCTAACCCTCCTTTGACATCTCCGTTTATTACAAAGTTCTTCTTCATGCTAAGCTAAACTCTGTTTTCTTTTAACTTCCACCCATTGGTTCTAGAACCCAGGTCAATTTACTCCCAGACCTGTGCCTTTAATAACACACCATTAATTCTGTCACATAGTCTGTTACTTCTTTAAAGTTTTATTGTGATTATAGGAAGAAATGGTATACGTGTAATATCTCATGCCTACTGTTATAGTAACTGCAGCAAAAGTTGTAGTGACTATGATCTACAACACAATAGACACAACTTCTGATAAATTTCAGAGGTATTTCTAATATCAAAGCCCTGAAGTATCAAGAGTCATGAGGCTGAGGTGTCTCAGAGATTCCAGGATATCAGAGCAGGTTACTAGGAGTCTTACTTGCATGAGGACTCTACATTCCTCTCTCCTCCCCAACAAAGACATCCTGAGAGAAGAGGGCTTTGCTTATGTCTTATGGGCATAAGGATTTACACTAGAACATGAGAGAAGGACAAGGCCAGGAGCTCCAACTTTTGCAAGGCAAATAACTTACCATGAGGTAACAGAGTTGTGATTAATGGGATAGAGGCTCAGGGTTTATAACTATTTAACAAAATACTGGCTTAGTCTAGGGACTTGCTAAAAAATGCTCTGCAAAGGAGATGGCAGGTATTTGAAAAAGCTGACTAATTGCAGGAATGAGGATGGACGTGTGGTTATAATCATCACGATCCCACAGCACAGAAAGGGAGAAAATGGTTACTAACTGGTTGGGACATACCATCCCTTATGTTCAAAAAGACCTGTAATGGCAGGAAGAAGCAGGATCAGGTACTTGAGGAAATGAGGTGAGAGTAGAAAAGCAATGAACAGCAGCAGCAACGAAAAAGAAAAGTCAGATAGAGGAGTTGACAATAACTGCCCCCAGAAGCACCGGGGCTGGTTACTTCTTTAATGAGGGGACAGTAGAAGCAAGAAAGGATAAACCCCTACTGGCAGAAAAAGCCATACCAGCAACAACGAGGAGAAAACATCAATAACTCCTGAGAAGCTGTTCTGAGCCACTTGAAACCAAAAGGTTAGCAATAGGACTTCTAGGTGGAGCCTGATCATACTAACTCTAGTAGGTGACGAGGTTCACAATCAACACACTCTAGTAGTGTTAATTAGGTTCTTGTCTTCCCCAAGCAGCGTGAGGTATGAGAAAACAAAGGTGATACCTCTCAGAAAACTTGAATTCACCTTGATACTTTTTCTACACAAAGAGTCAAATCATGAGAAAATAAGCATAAACCCAGAATTTTTGGTCAAATGATCATCACCCAGGTGATATCTGTGGCTCACCATTTACATATTTAAATCAATATTTTCATATAACTGTATAATCTTAAATGGTGCTCATATTGAAAACTCTGAGGCACTAAAATATCCCCAAGTATGAAAAGTATATTTTTGGTATATAACAGTTACCAAGGCAAGCAAGTACTGTACACAAATAAAAATATTTTAGCAGTTCTTTTTAACATATTGACAGAATGCCCACTAAGCAAAAGGCATTATTTTAGCACAGATGATAAAAGATGAAACAGGCAATTTCTGTTGTTAAAGAAACAAAATGGAAGATAATACTCCACTTCAGTTAAGTAGGGTTTTTGTACCAAAATAAAGACGGCATTATTGTTCCTGCCCCTATGAGATTCAGAATGTAGTGGAAGTTTCTCTCTCCTCAAGTATTTATTTCACCAGTAGTGGGTATTAATAAATTAACTAGTTGATATACTATTTATAGGTCTACCATGAGCAATAACCATTCACTAGCTCAATTACCTTATGTGCCTGTGCACAGATAGACTTGTTAAATTTAACACGCTCATTCAGAGTCCTCATTCCCAGAAGTAACTAAAGAGAACTCAGTTTAATAAACAGATTATTCTGGAATCAAAGCATCTTTAGTTACAATAACTGCTGGAATTCACCTAATCACAATTATCTTTCTATGCTGGAATTACTTTTATAATATCACCCAACCAGGGTATGAACACATATGAAGATGGGACACTGTTATAACAAACAACTCCATTTTTATACAGCCATAGCTGTTCTTCCCCGTGTCAAAATCTGCTTCCTTAGCCGGGCATGGTGGTGAATGCAACCGTAATCCCAGCACTTTGGGAGGCCGAGGCGGGTGGATCACGAGGTCAAGAGCTTGAGACCAAGTCACTGCCCTCTTTTCTAGGTTAAACATCCTTCACGCATTTCTATAGTGTTTTATAAAGGTGATTTCACGCTTCTATGATCTCCTGGTTATCTTCCTTGGGACAATCCCAGTTTGTCAATACTTCTTTTAAACATGTTAAAAGAATACCGTCTAACCAGCATACACCACCATCTGTTTTGAACTTGCATTTCTATTTTTGAAGTCCAAGATTTCATTTGTTTTCCCTTTTGCAAATGGGATTCAATAGATGACTCATATTTAGTTCTAGTTCCGCTAAAATAAGCAAGTTCTATTCATAAAGTTGTCTTCTCTTGCACTGCAGTGGACGCTGTCATTTGTTTTAGTGCATAGAATCTGAAGTCCCTTTGTGTGTTTGAGGAGTCTCCTTGGTGTGAGATAAAGACCATCACTCCTACAGGTGCTGATAATTTGGCAGGCAGTGGTGGGTGGCTACAAAATTCCTGTTGCAGAAGTGGTATCTGTGCTAGAAGCAAGTAATACTGAGTTCTTAGTGGAGGAGGGGAAGGGGTATAATCACAGCATTGATGATGACTTCCTAATTAGACCACCTCTGTGTGGATGCCCTTTTTACCCTAGTTGGGCTCTGACTCTTCACTCTAATACATCCCCAGATTGTGCACTATCTGACCATGCTGGGACTCCTACAACCCAGGTCAGGCTACCCCTCCACACAGATGGCCTCCTCACTCTTGTTTGAGCTCTGATTCCCCATGCTGGATCATTGCATTGCGTCAGTGACTGCCTCATCCTGCTCAAGTTCTTACATGCCACACTACATACCTTCTTGATGATATCCTCCTCAGCCTTATACTCTGACTCCCTATACCAGGCTGCCTTCTTGTGTGAATTCCCTCTTCAGTCTGCTTGGGCTCTAACTCCCTATACTTGGCTATTCTCTGATGTGATATGGTTCTCATTCAATTAGGGCTCTGACATCCTACTCTGGGGAACTGCAGCTCACCTCTCCCATTCCCACTAGTGCACTGCCTATATTGTTCTGCCTCACCTAAGAGCTTCAGGACTGAGCTATTAGGAAGGAAAAGGAATGAGGACAGGAGGAGTCTCAATATCATCTTAAACTCTTTTGTGTTTTATAGGCAAGATTAAGTTTCAAAAAAGGAACCCCAACTAATACACACTATACAGTACCTAGATTTTTAAAATCAAAACGTAGAACTTTATATTTACTCCTATTAAATTTTATCCTGTTGGGTTTTTTTGTTTTTGAGATGGAGTCTTACTCTGTCACCCAGGCTGGAGTGCAGTGGCAGGATCTCAGCTCACTGCAACCTCTGCTTCCCGGGTCCAAGTGATTCTCCTGCCTCTGCCTCCCGAATAGCTGGGATTACAGGTTTGCGCCACCACATCCAGCTAATTTTTGTATTTTTAATAGAGACAGGGTTTCATCATGTTGGTCCAACTGGTCTCGAACTCCTGACCACAGGTGATCCGCCCCACCTCGGCCTCCCAAAGTGCTGGGATTACAGGCGTGAGCCACCGTGCTGGGCCTATCCTACTGTTTTTGACCTATCATTTCAATATGTTCTGATCTTCTTGAGTTTGACATTTATTAACGTTAGCAACTTTCTGACACTTAAACATTTCATAAACATGTTTTTATTTTTGTTAAAAAAAAAAAAAAAGGTACTGATTTAACAGGCTCAAAAGAAAGCCCTAGAGAACAAAATCCTGAGTAACACAACGTGAGACAAAGTTGCAGACTGGCAACGGTCTGATGATCAAATTTTATTTCATCTTCCTATAAAGGTATATAAGAAAGTCTGACAAATAAGCTTGAGAAAATAAACAGTGCTTATTCATTTTTGTCCCTCACTGAATACTGAATAAGTGAATGGATGAAGAATATAAGGTCTTTGTTTTTGTAGAAGCCACTTTGCAGAAAAATTATAATGTAGATGTGGTTAATCCATGATCAATGTAATTAGAGACTATATATGATGTAGGTCTTGGGTTCTATGGTTCCACAGATATAAGTAATATATCCCAAAAGATACGGCCTAATAATAATCTTCTCTATGACAAAATTATGTTCTAAGTCCTACATGATGTGTATACACACGGACACACACTATTTACATAAACAAGTGTAAGACACAATATATACTGAATATAATCTGACTGATACAATAGTAAGTGGCAAAGTTTGAACTCAAACCCAAGTACCCTTCTGCTTAACTACTGCCCTATTAAAGTATTAAATAATCATCAATATTTTTGCTTGTCTGTCTAAAACATAATATTTGAAGGAGCCAGAGCATATAAAAATTATTCAAGCATAGCTCGTCTGTGTATTTTTTGCTTTTCATAATTTTCTCTCTTACATGTAGTGGCATGGAATCACACCAAAGTAGAAGTGCCATAACAATGCAAAACCCCTAGATAGTTAATAAATTCTTACTCGTTAGCCCCATTTATTCATTCTGAGGTATCACAGACGAAAAGAGAAAAAGCCATACCTGCCTCTCATAAGGAGGGTTTTTAGCTACAACTGTTGGCTATAACACATCTACTTGTTTGACACATATAAATGCTCAAGAAACATCTGTTGTTTTCTCTTCTTCACTCACCTTAAACGTTTATTGAGAGTCTCTATGTGCTGGGTGCCATACAAAGCATCAGGGCTATAAACATATGTAAAAATATCTGCCTTCAATTATTTCTGTATGTGTATCTACAGCTAAAAGAGGAGAGAAACTAAAGCAAGGGCTTCACAGAACAGATGATATCTAGAGGAACCAATTTGTCATCAGGAGAGCCAGCTCTACACAGGATTCTTAAGTGTTTACTACATATTCTCTATGAAATATGCTTCTATGACCTTCCCAGTAACCCAAATTTAGAAACCTTGCCTAATTCCCTATTTTTCATAACTCTTCACAACATAAAACTAAGAAGGTAGTCTTTAGCACATGCTACAAAGATCTATTAATATAAAACCTAAAATCTCCCCATTCAATAAATTTTTACATTTCTACATACCAGTTACTAGGCAAAATACTTAATTTTCACAGTATCTCTCAATATACAAGACAATCTGTTGACATGCTATCAAAGCACTTCACTATGAAAACGTAAGAACAAGTTAGATTGTTTCAAAATACCTCTCAACAGAAAAAACCTGAGACAGACTCAAACTAGCACTCATTTCAAAAGTAATCAAGAATTTAAGTTAAAACCAGTGAATAATGGTTAAAGAAGGGGGAAAAAATGAGGTATGGGTTCATATCAGGAAATATAAACAGATCTAACCAATGACCAAAATGGAAAACTAGCAAAACAGAAGACTACACTTTTAGATATTTAAGAGTGGTGCCTTATCCAAAAGGACATGAAATAAGGTAAAGAACTAAGGGAAGACAGACATCAAATTCTGAAGAGGACTCAGAAAAAATGGTATGGGACAATAGAAAATGATCAAATCAAAAGAACAATGTAGATATTTTTAATTCTTTTCATTAAAAATATGAAAACTGTATTTTTTGAAACAAATATTGGGCCAGGTACAATTGTCCATGCCTGTAATCACAGTGCTTTGGGAGGCTGAGATGGGACGATTGCTTGAGCCCAGGAGTTTGAGAGCATCCTGGGCAACACAGTGAGAACTCAACTCTATAAAAGCATGGTGGCATGCACCTGCAGTCCTAACTGCTCAGGAGGCTAAGGCAGGAGGATCACCTGAGCCCAGGAGTTTGAGGCTGCAATGAGCTATGACTGTGCTACTACACTCCAGCCTGGGTGACAAAGAGACCCTGTCTCTTAAAATAGAAGACAA
Organism: Homo sapiens; assembly: GCF_000001405.40. Lineage (NCBI taxonomy): Eukaryota > Metazoa > Chordata > Mammalia > Primates > Hominidae > Homo > Homo sapiens. The sequence continues at coordinate 49,079,818 of NC_000013.11, read as the reverse complement.
ATAAATGTGGAAAAGTCCTTGTTTCTGGCCCACAGTGATTCTTCCCCAGTCCCCACCTTTTTTTTCCTTTTTATAGGGTGAAGGGAAGAGAGAGAAGCTCAGGAGTGTATTTGAAAGATTACATGTTATTATTTTATTGAACATTTCCAATGATGTTTGTAGTAGGAAGACTTTTGGTTCAACAGGTACCACATATTTACACAACTTTTTAGCAATTCCAATCTCTTTGTGGTTATTCAAATAAGTCAAGTCATTCTTTCCTTCTGTTGCTTTTGAACACTTTCCCTCTGTCTAAAGTGCCTTGAGACCCTTTGTCCATCTGACCAACTGCCACTGTTCTTCGAGGAGGCTCATGTGTCATTTTCTCCTGGAATAATTTTTTCTTTACATACCACTGAATGTTATAGTAACCCTCCTTCTATGCTCCCATAACACCCTATGTGTATCTCTTTTTATACTGTAATACAACTGTTAATTTTCCCTTTTTTTCCCCCATGACACTGTTCTTGAATGTCAGGAACTTAGTTTTCAGATTTTGTTTGAATGTCCAGCAACTAGCACAGTATACCTCAGTAGATACTTAGAAAATTCATAGAAAAAAATAATTAGCAATTTGTCTTTCCAGAATGTATGCTATACAGTAGAAAAACTACTGTATTGAACTCTGCCCATAACTAGCTGTAACTCACAAAATCTGAGCCTCCAATAAAGTAAGGTAATTATTTAGATGTCTAAAGTTCTCTGTGATTCTCAACCTAGTTTTCATTTCTAAATATTCTGAACAAGTAATAAAGCTACTTTTAAAAGAATGGACTTTAATTCAAATGCTTATTAATTTACACAGCTCTTATCTCAATTCATTAGGTTTTAATATAGAGATTTTATTAGTATAGTGGCTGTCAGAGAACAGCTTTCCTAACTTGATGGCCTTAGGGCTATAATGATCTATGTTTCTCTCCACTTCGCTGGCATATGATTTTCTTCCCTTAATTTCTCTTTCTCCTTGTTATCTGTTGCCTCCACTTCTATTAATAATCTCACTTTTTGCCTAGATCCAGAGCTAGTCCACGAAGGGGCTTGCCATATGACAGAAACTAGTGATGGCTAAGTGGAAGAAAATGAACTCCAGAAGTCTTTTCTTGTCTTCTCTTGCTCAGAGTGAAGGCATGTTGATTTTACAAAGACTTCAACCCCAGTTCCCTTGCTCACTACTATTCCTTCCACCCATATTCCATCTTGTAATTTTGGACAGTCAAAAACATAAAGAGGGGAGAGCCTTCTTATTTTCTGTCTGGTTCCCTTTATCCTTTCCTGTGTTTTTAAAACCTCTACCCAATAATTTTAAAACAGTCTCCAATCTTACAATCTGTCATATAGAGAAAGGAATCCATTTCCCACTGAAGCAGAGAAATGTGTCCCTGCCTAAAAATATCTTCTCATGGTAGTTAGTTCCTATCACTAAGATACTGTTAGTATTACAGGCACATTATAAATTAGATAGGCTTTTTTGGTCCTGACCAAAGGGGTCACTGCCGCATATAAAATCAATTTAATTGATTTATGGAGGTGGGGTTTACAGATTGCAGTTACAAATTAACTTTTGAAATATAAGCTACTTATAATTCAGGGTCTGGTTATCCAATCATAAATAGCACTTTTTGTGTTCTGAGTCACACTAAAACAGTAATGAGTATCTTCCTCTGCAAATGTGTTAGAAAAGATCAATGCTGTATTAGTTAAAATGTACCCACCATAAACAGTATTTATTGAAAACAATTTGAAAAGAGATGTACAAACCTAGATGTGTGCTCTATTAGAAACTTACACTCTATGAAGTACACAGAATAAAATTATTTTCATAAAAACTTAACTGGCAAGTAAAGACAGGTAATGCTTATCACACTGCTTATAAATTCTACTGCCTGGTTTCTTTTAAGTATAATATGTGAACTCTTCCTATTTGTGAAATTGCCATAACTGCTGCACAAATGATTTAAATTAACTTAGAGAAATTTTTAAAAAATTTTTACTTTAAGTTGTGGGATACATGTGCAGAATGTGCAGGTTTGTTACATCGGTATACATGTGCCATGGTGGTTTGGTGCACCTATAAACCCATTACCTAGGTTTTAAGCCCTGCATGCATTAGGTATTTGTCCTAATGCTCTCCCTCCCCTTGGCCCGGGGCCTGTCGCAGGCCCTGGTGTGTGAGGTTCCCCTCTCTGTGTCCATGTGTTCAACTTAGAGAGAAATTTTTAACTCTCAGATATATAAGGTTTAAATGTCAGGCTAAAAGTTTTAATTTTAATTACTGAGCTGATTACTTCTCTGAAAAGAGTTAGGTCTATTTCTTCTTTGATTAAACAGATTGGACAGCCTAGGTAAAATGGGGGAAGACAGGAAGTTTGCCTGGGCTAGACAGTCTTGCTTTACATCAGTTGTCTTGAAGTAAGTGTTAGAGTTCTTTCACTGTATTCCAGTTTGAAAGATGACAAAGTATACAGACACCTCATCTCCAATGCTCTTTTTAAATTTAATTTTATTTTGAGACAGGGTCTCGCTTTATCGCCCAGGCTGGAGTGCACTGGTATGACCATAGCTCACTGCAGCCTCAAATTTTTGGGCTCAAGCAATCTTCCAACCTTATCTCTCGAGTAGTTAGGACAGCAGGCGTGCGCCACTATGCCTAATTTTTAAATTTTTTGTAGAGACAGGGTCTTGTTATGCTGCCCAGGCTGGTCTCGTATTCCTGGCCTCAAGAGGTCCTCCTGCCTCATTCTCTCAAAGCACTGGGATTACAGGTGTGACCCACTGCACTTGTCTTCCCTTTTTAAACTAAAGCAATAACTATTAGTTAAATACCCAACATATGGAAGGCCAAGAATTGAAGGGGATACAAAGAAATGTAAGAAATGGTATGTGTCCCCAAAGTGCTTAGACTTTAGCTGGGGAGACTGAATAAAAATTTTATGTTAAACAATACAAAATTTAAATAACTTTAAAAATACAACTAGAAGAAATATTACAAGATGGTGTAGTTATTTGGTAAATGAATGGTGCAATAATTGGTATGATGGGGTTTCACAGGTGACGGGGATCACTTTCTATTAACAATAACACTACAGCACTCACCACCACTTATTGAGTGCCTTGTATGTCCCAGGCTGGTTTAGAGTACATTACCCGTGTATCAGGAACCTTCACAATGATCCTATAAGGTGTACTATTATTGACAGGAATAAGAATTTTAATGATGAGAAATGTACTCACCGAGAGCTGGGTACAGAGGCTCACGTCTGTAATCCCAGCACTTTGGGAGGCTGAGGTGGGCGGATCACCTGAGGTCAGGAATTCAAGACCAGCCTGGCCAACATGGTGAAACCCCATCTCTACTAAAAGTACAAAAATTAGCCAGGCGTGGTGGCAGGCACCTGTAATCCCAGCCACTTGGGAGGCTGAGGCAGGAGAATCACTTGAACCCGGGAGGCAGAGGTTGCAATGAGCTAAGATTGAGCCACTGCACTCCAGCCTGGGTGACAGAGTGAGATTCTGTCTCAAAAAAAAAAAGTACTTACAGAGGTTAAGTAACATGTACAAGGTCATGTAGCTAGTAAACAGCAGAGGAGCTGGGATTTAATCCTAGGTTCTCTCTCTCTAATTCCAAAGCCAGTCATCTTTTTTATTGCTCTCATCTTCCCATAGGAAGATGGTTCTCAACTGGAGCCAATTTTGTCCCTCAGGGAATATTTGGGGATATCCAGAGACTTTTCTGTTTGTCATAAATGAATAAGTGAGGGTGAGTGGCTAGTAGGTATAAACTAGGAATTCCACTAAACACCCTACAGTTCACAGAACAGTCCCGCTGACCAAAGAACTGCCTGACCCAAAAGTCAACAGTACTAAGGAGATGCTCACTAAACAAAGACTTTCCAAAAAACCTGTTAAAGGTAGGACTGGAGCTCAGTCTTGAAGCACAGGTAGGATCTGAAAGGGGGGGTGGGGGTGGGGGTGGGGGGGGCAGTGGTGATAAGGGTGAATTCCAGATAAGGGAAACAGAACACATAGTACAAGATAGCTTCAAAAGACAGTGAATAAGCCTATTAGAAAAACTGAAGAAAAGCAATTTGAAGGGGAAGTGGGAACAAGACTAAAAAGCTGAAATGATCTTTCTGAAAAACTAAGACACCTGGACTAGATTTGATAAAGATTGCTGAACAGGAAAGAGACATGAACAATATAATATATCAAGAATAATCAACATAATCAGGAAACCAGGGCAAAGAGACTAGTTAGAATGACACTGCAATACTTAAATGCTAAGATATCAGAGTTTATGCTTTTGTGTGCTGGTAGTGAGAAAGAAGGAAGAAACCATAGGCATATACACTATTATGTATCATAAATTTTTGGGGTTTATTTGGTCTCAAATGATTATTCTCAATTACCATTCTTACCTGTAATGCACTGAAACTGTCCATCTTCTCTTCTTATTGTAAATGCTTCTCCTGGGTTAACTTGTACCAGAATAACCTTAAAAATGAGGGGAAGAAGTATTAATCAAAACAAAAAAAAGCAAATCAGAATATAAAAATAGTAACAGAGCAGATATAAGCTATTTAACCTTATGAAACTGGGAAGGAAAATGGGGATTACACATTTAAGATGCTGGTTTGCTAAAAAAAATGTGACATCACTTTTCTGGAGGTTAGACGTAAGCCAAAAGTAAAGGGAATAAAAAAAAGAAGAAAGTGACACACTTTCATTAGAAAGAAAAGTCAATAAACTTCACTCTGAAACAAAGATGGAGTCAAACCACAGAATATTTAGATCATCTAAGTGAGCTTATCAGTTGCTAAGTATCATGTTTTTCTAAAGTATAAACTGATAGGTAGAGCATGAGTTGAGCATATCTGAATTAGTATGACATCTGAAGTTATATTCGAGAATGTGTTAAATTAATCCCACCATTTTAAGTAGGCTTCCTTTTATTATAAAGGTAATACATACCAATTTTACGACATTTGAAAAACAGAGAAAAAACAGGAAACTGGGGAAAAAAACTAAAGTCCTGCTATCCTAAGATACACATTGTTAACATTCTAATAAACTTCTTATGCTGCACAGGATTAATTCTCCCTTAAATTCTAGATACAAGATATTCAATTCTCTACCTTTTTTAAAGTTCAATATTATTAAAAAAAAGACTTTCAAGTTATTACTGAAAATATTTCATCAAAAGATTATACCATAAACGACTTAACCATTCCCCTAACTTAAGGAATTTAGGTAGTTTTCAATTTTACCATTATTGTGAACAATGCTGAAGTGAGTGTCTTGGTATGCAGTTTTCACCTCTCTACAGCTAGTATTGTTTCCTCATGATAGATTCCCAAACACAGAATTTTGGTGCTTGTTGCTAAACTGCTTTTTAAAAGAGTTTTACTACTTCATGAAGTAACTCAGGAATGGAAAACCAAACATCACTATTTTCTCACTCATAAATGGGAGCTAGCTAAGCTATGAGGATGCAAAGGCATAAGAATGACACAATCAACTTTCGGGATGCGGGGAGGTGAGGAGAGGGGAGTGTGAGGGATAAAGGACTATAAATTGGGTACAGTGTATATTGCTCAGATGATGGGTGCACCCAAATCTCAGAAATCATCACTAAAGAACTTATTCATGTAACCAAACACCACCTGTTCCCCAAAAACCTATGGAAATAAAAAGTAACAGAAAGGGTTTTATAATACTACTTCGAATGCCCTCTCATAGTCTATGAGAACACCCTTTTACTACATTGTCTGCAACCCTGAAAATTACAGTTTTAAAATCTTTGCTGCCTTGACAGATGAAAATAGGATATTAAAATATGAGTATCCCTTAGCCAAAATGCTTGGACCAAAAATGTTTCCAATTTGGGATTTTTTTTTATTAAGGAATATGTATATATGTATGTGTGTGTGTATATACATATACACACATATATATAATATATACACATATATAATATATATACATATATATAATATATACACATATATATTATATACATATATATTATATATACACATATATTATATATACATATATATTATATATACACATATATATTATATATACATATATATTTTATATATGTGTGTATATATATATACATATGAAATGAGATATCTTGGGGATAAGACCCAAGTCTAAACACAAAAATCATTTATGTTTCATATATACCTTATACACACAGCATGAAGGTAATTTCATACAATATTATTGACTGTGTTTTGATTGTAACCTGTCATATGACCTGTCAGATGAGGTTGGGTGTGGAATTCTCCACTTGTGGCATCATGTTGGTGCTCAGAAAGTTTCCAATTTTGGAGCATTTCGGTTTGTCAGATTAGGGATGCCCAACCTGTACTATTGTTTTAATTTATCCTTCTTTGATTGTTATGTCTAAGTTTGTTACCAGCTCTTTTGTAAATTACCTGCTTGTGTCATCTTGCCTGTTAATCTTTTGGGTTTTTAAGTGTTTTTAATGATTTGTATGAACCCTTTGCATATTAAGAATAATAATATTGTACTATAATATGTTGCAAATATTTTTCTTTTTGTTTTCTGCCTTTTCTTTACTAAATTCTTTATTTTCCTGTAGCCAATGTTATTTATTGTTTTCCTTTGTGTTATCTTCTACTGCTTCTATATTTAACTTCATCTACAGCTGTGCTGTCCAATGATAGCCAAGAGCCATATGGCTATCAAGCACTTGAAATGTAGCTAGTTTGTATGGATATGCGCTGTAAGTGTGAAATAAACACTGGATTTCAAAGGCTTAGTACATCCAGCCAGAGAAATTAGGCAAGAGACAGAAATAAAGAGCATACAAAGAAGAAAAGAAGAAGTCAAATTATCCTTGTTTGCAGACAACATGATCTTATACTTAGAAAAACCTAAAGACTCCACCAAAATACTCTTAGAACTGACAAACAAATTTAGTAAAGGTGTAGGACACAAAATCAACATACAAAAATCAGTAGTATTAGCTGGGCATGGTGGCTCATGCCTGTAATCCCAATACTTTGGGAGGCTGAGGTGGGAGGATTGCTTGAACCCAGGAGTTTGAGACCAGCCTGGGCAATATAGCAAGACCCCATCTGCAATTAAATAATAATTATTATTTTTAAAACTCAGTAGTGTTTCTACACATGAACAATCAATATGAAAAAGAAATCAAGAAGGCAACCTAATTTATAATAGCTACAAAAAAGAAACCACCTAGGAATAAATTTAACCTAAGAAGTGAAAGATCTCTACCAGGAAAACTATAAAACTATAAAACAGCATGGTACTAGCATAAAAACAGACAGAGAGATCAACAGAATAGAGCAGAGAACCCAGAAATAAATCTATGCACTTAGAGCCAACTCATTTTCTTTTTTTTTAACTTTTTAACTCTCACTTTTTTCTATCTTTTCACCTAGCCTTGACATGAAACTCAACAACCAATTCATTTTCATCAAAGGAATCAAGAACATATAGTGGGGAAAGAACAGTCTTTTTAGTAAATAGTGCTCAGAAAACCGGTTTTCTATTAGGCAGAAGAATTAAACTACAGTTCCATATTTCAACATATACAAAATCAGCTCAAAATGGCTTAAAGATTTAAATGTAAGACCTAAAACTACAAAACTACTAGAAAAAAACATTGGGAAAATACTAAAGGACCATGGTCTGGGCAAATATTTTTTTGTTTAAGACATCAAAAGCACAGGCAACAAAAGCAAAAATAAAATGGGATTATGTCAAGCTAAAAAGCTTTTGCACAGCAAAGGAAACAATCAACAAGGTAGCTGGACATGGTAGCTCACACCTATAATCCCAGCACTTTGGGAAGCTGAGGCAGGAGAATCACTTGAGCCCAGGAGTTTGAGACCAGCCTGGGCGACATAGTGAGACCCTATCTTAAAAACAAATAGAAACAAAGTGAAGAGACAACCCATAGAATAGGAGAAAATATCTGCAAACTATCTATCTGGCAGGGCATTAATAACTGGAATATGTAAGGCTCTCAAATGACTCAATAGCAAAAAAAAAAAACCAAATAATCAGATTTAAAAATAGGCAAAAGATCTGAGTAGACATTTCTCAAAAGAAGACATACAAATGGCCAAGTATATAAAAAAATGCTCAACATTACTAATCATCAGGGAAATGCAAATCAAAACCAAAATGAGATATTATCTTAACCCAGTCAGAATGGCTATTACAAAAATGTCAAAAAAATAACAGATGTGGGGAGGATGCAGAGAAAGGAGAATGCTCTTACACTGTTGGTAGGAATGTAAATTATTATAGCCATTAGGGAAAACAGTATGGAGGTTCCTCAAAACACAAACAATAGAACTACCATATGACCCAGCAATCCTACTGCTGAGTATATGTCCAAAAGAAAGGAAATCAGTATATCAAAGAGATATTTGTATTCCCATGTTTATTGCAGCACTATTCACAGTAGCCAAGATATGGAATCAACCCAAGTGTCCATCAATGGATGAATGGATAAAGAAAATGTGGTATATATACACAATGAAATATTTTTCACCCATGAAAAAGAACAAAATCCTGGCTGGGGAACGGTGGCTCACTCCTGTAATCCCAGCACTTTGGGAGGCTGAGGTGGAAAGACTGCTTGAGCTCAGGAGCGCAAGGCCAACCTGGGCAACAGAGTGAGACCTCATCTCTACAAAAAAAAAAAAAAAAAAAGCCGGCATGGGGGTACATGCCTGTAGTTCCAGCTACTTGGGCGGCTGAGGCAGGAGGATTGCTTTATCTCAGGAGGTCAAGACTGTAGTGAGCTACGATGGCACCACTGCACTCCAACCTGGGCAATGAAGTGAGATCCTGTCTCAAAAAAAAGAAAAAAAACAAAACAAAAAAAAAAAAGAAATCCTGTTATCTGTGGCAAAATGGATGGAAATTGAGGTCGTTATGTTCAGTAAAATAAGCTAGGCATAGAAACATAAATATTGCATGTTCTCACTCACATGTGGGAGCTGAAAAAGTGGAACTAAAGGACGTAGAGAATAGAATCGTGGTTACTGGAGGCTGGGAAGGTGGGTGTGAGATTGAGAAGAAATCAGTTAATAGGTACAAAATTACAGTTAGAAAGAATACGTTCTAGTATTTGATAGTAAAGAACTTAACAGTTACTACTTTATTATGTATTTAAAAGTAGCTAGAAGATTGTTGTGTTTTCAAAACAAAGATAAATGTTTGAGATGACAGATATCCCAATTATCCTAATTTGATCATTGGACATTGTATACATGTATCAAAATATCACATGTATCTTTAAAAATACATTAAAAACCTTAAGGCTTAGTATTAAAAAACTCTGGTACTTCATATTTTTATATCAATTACATGTTGAAACAATATTCTGGACATACTGGGTTAAAATGTTATAATTAATTTTTCCTGTTTTTATTTTTTTAATGAGGCTACTAAAAAATTTTAACACTACTTATTAGCTGGGCGTGGTGGCGGGTGCCTGTAACCCCAGCTACTCAGGAGGCTGCGGCAGGAGAACTGCTTGAACCCAGGAGGCGGAGGTTGCAGTGAGCCGAGATCATGCCATTGTACTCCAGCCCGGGTGACAGTGCAAGACTCTGTCTCAAAAAAATAAATAAATAAAAATAAATTTTAAAAAAACACTACTTATGTGGCTTGTATTATATTTCTATTAGGCAACACTGATCCAGAGGTTTGGATTAGTACTAGTTCCTATTTTTCCTAGTTTTTATATAACTTAATTGCTTATATTTATTTCCTTGATGTATCTAAAATTTATCTGAAGACTCAAAAGTATTTTTTCCCTTGAGAGTTAACCAATACAATTTGCTAAATTTAGGATACTTTCTTTTGCTTATAATATACTATTCTGGCCTATCTCACTCATACTAGTATCTGCTCTAGCAAAAGTAGCTTTGGAAATATGCTTCATTTTAATAATTTTAAGCAGTGTAACTTTGGATTTCTGATGGTGTACCTCAATTATTACTCCTCTTGTCAAACACTTCTTTGATATTGACTGGTGAGAGAAGTGCTATAATAGGGGCAGTAAAATGCTATCAAACCACTGAAGATTGAGTATGTAAATTAGTCTGTTACCTGAGCACTTGTGTGTATGTGTATGTACATTTGTATGTTCAATGCCTTTTTAGAGTATGTAAAATTTAAGCTGTGTCTTGAAGACTCAGTAGGAATTGGCCAGGCAAGAAGAGTGGGAAGGCCTAGAGAAGAATAAGGGCAAAGCACAAGGATCGGAAATGACATTAAGTTTACTGTGTTCAACGAACCAAAAGAAATTCTGGAGTTCTATATGGTTGGAGCATGGGGGTGGGGGAACACGGGAAGGGTGAGAAATATAGTAAGCAGTGGATAGGAACCAGGTTATGAAGGGTCTAGTGAGCCATTTTAAGGACAATGAAGAGTTTTATTTAAGCAGGGTAGTGCCACAGAGGATTAACTCAGGAGGCCACCGTCATCTTTAAAGGTATTAAAGGTTTCTTTAAAGGTATTAATTTCTACTTTTAACTTTCATCATTTCCTTTGTTCTCCTTAGGCTTACTTTTTTGTTTTTTCTAATCTTTTCAGTTAAATACTCATTTCATTCTCTTCTTAATAATACCTACACTTAAGATTATGAGTTTTACTTAAATCAGCTTAACCATGTAGAGTATTTTCAGTACATTTTTTTTAACTTTTATTTTAGGTTCACGGTACACGTGTAGGTTTGTTATATAAGTAAACACTGATGTCACGGGGGTTTGTTGTATGTATTATTTTGCAACCCAGGTACTAAATCTAGTACCCAATAGTTATTTTTTCCTACTCCTCTTCGTCCTCCCACCCTCCACCTTCAGGTAAGCCCTAGTGTCTGTTGTTCCCCTCTTTATGTCCATGTGTTCTCATCATTTAGCTCCCACTTGTAAGTAAGAACATGTTGTATTTGTTTTCTGTTCCTGCGTTAGTTTGCTAAGGATAATGGCCTCCAGCTCCATCCATGTCCCTGCAAAGGACACAATCTCATTCCTTTTTATGGCTGCATAGTATTCCATGGTGTATATGTACCACATTTTCTTCATCCAGTCTGCCACTGAGAGGCATTTAGGTTGATTCCATGTCTTGGCTATTGTGAATAGTGTGGCAATGAATGGATGCATGCATGTATCTTCATGACATAACAGAACAATTTCTATTCTTTTGGGCATATATCCAGTAATGGAATTGCTGGGTCAAAAGGTAATTCTGTTTTCAGCCCTTTGAGGAATCGCCACAATGGTTGATTCCACAATGGTTGATTCACCACTATTAGATTTTCTGCTATTTTGTTCTTGATCTCCTTTGTGATCCAACAACTGTTTTTATTTAATTTAATTAATTAATTAATTTATTTTTTATAGACGGGTCTCACTCTGTTTCCTGGGCTGGAGTGCAATGGTGCCATCACAGTTCACTGCAGCCTTGACCTCCCGGGCTCAATCTATCCTCCCATCATTGCCTCTAGGGTAGCTGGGACTATAGGTGAACACCACCATGCCTGGCTAAATTACACACACACACACACTTACACACTTTTTTTTTTTTTTTAAATAAAGACGGGGTTTTGCCATGTTGCCCAGGCTGGTCTCAAACTCCTGGCCTCAAGCGATCCGCCCAGCTCGGCCTCCCAAAGTGCTGGGATTACAGGACAGCCACAATGCTTGGCCTGTAAAACATACTTAAAATTTTGAAAGTAGACTGAAGGATGTTCCTTTTGCTTTTATTTCCAACACATTTTTAATGATTCTAACAAATCTATGGTTCTTAAAATTTTTAAAGCATTCCATCTTTTCCACCCTTTTTCTAATTAGTGATAAAATTTTATAGTGGTGGTGAATTACTGTAGGATGTTACTTGAGACCAGCATGGAGATAAAGCACAAGAGTTCTTAACCTGGGTGTCATAGATAGGATTCAAAGGGTTTGTAAACAACCTGGATTGGTATATAAACTTTCTGTAGATATTACAATTTCTGAGCACTGTTTTCATCAGATTTTTAGAGGTCCAAGACCCAAAGTAGATTAAGAACTATTAGGACAGACGAAATCAATAAGAAATGATTAAATTAACCCATTTATGCTGGAGGTTATAAGGTTTTTTTGTGAAAAATCGGACCTTGGCGATGACCTTGAGCAGCAGGATACAAATAACTCCCACAAGCTTAGCGTTCCAATAATGGTACACTAGGCATAAATGGGTTAATAAAATAAATCATGGCTAAACTACCTAAATATCTTTGCTTTACATCCACCTTACCCTATGGATACAATGATTCCTCAAAATTCTGTGTTTTGACCAAGCTATTAATACTTGTTGGCTGAGGCTATCCAGACAGAATGCCAAACCAACAATCTGCACAGAGAGAAGGATAAACAGGGAAATTAGAGAGGGAATTAAGAAATGCGAAAGACACTGCTCTAATGTTATTAGTTGATAGACAAATCAGAGATATTTAAAGCATAAATGTAGGCACATCTTACATATCCTTGAAGAATAAAGAAAATATAATTAAAATCTACAAATAACCCAAAAGCTAATTTTTTTTAAAACTAAAAATTTTTAGTTCTTCCCTCATCTGACCTTTTAGTAGAATAGCCAATTAACAGCATGATACAATCCTTTGGCTTTCCAGGTTACAATTTATTACTTCTTTACCCATCTCGTCATGTCTATTATAAGCCACTCTAGTCTAGCCAAACATTCCTTCCTGCCTCTACACTTTTGCCCATAAAGTCTTCTCCGAGGTAATTAAAAAATAGACTGTTTTTTGAATAAACATGCAAGCATATACAGATGCAAAACAATGCTAGTCTCATATGAATGGGTTTGGTGGAGGGGCAAAAAGGAATAGTCATTAAGAATATAAGCTTTGAGGGCAGTGAGGGGAAAGTATTAGGAGAAATACCTAATGCAGATGACCAGTTGATGGGTGCAGCAAACCACCATGGCACGTGTATACCTATGTAACAAACCTGCATGTTCTGCACATGTATCCCAGAACTTAAAGTATATATTAAAAAAAAAAGAATGTTGTTAAAAAAAAAAAGAATATAAGCTTTGAAGTATCTCTGATCTTGACTTTCAATATGCTTCACCACTTAATAGCTATTTGTAACTTTGGGTATGTTACTTAAGTCTTTGTTGCCTAGTCTGAAAACTGAGATCTATAATGATTTTGCCACAGGGCTGTTGAAGGATTAACAGATAATATACATGTAAAACATACAGCACAGTGTGACATACACAGTAAGCAGCAGTAAGTGAAGCCTATTACATATATCTTCAATAAGTGTTTCTTGGGCACCATAAATGCCAGATACTCTTTAGGTTATCTAGCAATGAACTATAAGGGTGAGAGATCTACTCTAGAGAACTCAGAAGAACTAAAACTACTTTTTTCTAGATTGCCTTGAGAGTTAGTTCAGAAGTCACAAATGAAAAAGTCTTACTATTTTATTCTTTTGTCTCTGACTCAAAATCTTTACTATGCTTGGCTCCAAATGACTATTTTAATAACCAAAACGAATACAGGAATACAGTTTTTTAAGAATTTTCAAAGGTATTTTATAATTTGGCATTTTCCTATTCATCCAACCAGGTCTGCCAATTGAACTAATAGAACTCTGGAAGACAAAGAATCTTGTCACTGAGATACCCAAAACAATGTACTATAGTACTTATTATATACTCAAAAAATCTTTGTTGAGTAGGAGAATAAGTAAATGAATAACATTCATTTAGCATAAACTTGAATGTTTTTAAGAACTCTATCATACTGACCAGACAACTTTAAATCATTTTTACAAGCTGCTTGGCCTTGTACTCTAATTTTAGTATTTCTTATAAATGTCTAAGAAAATAATTTTTTTACAAATAAAGAATGATTCTCATATTTTACTATGTATTAAGTTATAAAACTGGGATACAGTCATGGAAATACACAATGTAAATGAAATAGAGTAAAAGGTCCCCTCTTGTCCCCTTATTCCTTTTCAAATCCAGAAACCATCATGTTTAATCATAAAACCATTATGTTTATCTTTCCAGAAGTTTATTATGCACACAGAAATACCAGCCTCCCCTAATACACACCATTTTCTTTAAACACAACATCTTACTAGACATATATATTCAGCAAAAATTTACTGAAATCCAACAATGTAGTATATCTTGTTCTAGGCTGATATAGGTGAACAAGATAAGCAGAACCCATCCTCTTGCAGATGATACATTCTAATGGAAGAGTGGCAATAAACAGATAAATAGGTATGTAACATAAATTAGGAAGTGTGGTTACACTGGTGGTCCCCAGTGAATCACACCTCTTGGTATTACATATTGTGTAGTCCTCAATACTAACTCTGGGCTTGGCCATGTGACTTGGTTTTCATAAGCACTTAGATACTGGGCCCTGTGACTCTTGGAAAGTTCCCTCCTGGGTTCCTGAGCTACCATGTAAAAAAGGTCCAGATACTCTGCTGAAGATGCCACAGAGATGGGGAGAGAGAGCTGCCTGACCAGCCCATTGCAGGTTTCCAGCTCTAGTTGACTCTATACGTCTTTAAGTAGGTGAGTGACTCTAGGCAAGACCAGTGCAAAGACTGCCCAGTTGAGCTCTGCCCAGAGAGCAGAAATGGAGCAAATAAATGTTTGCTGATTTGACGCACTAAGTTTTGAGTTGGTTTGTTACACAACAATAGATAACTGAATCAGGAATTGAAAAGTATGATGGATTTTTTCACTCATACAATTTTCCACAGCAGTATACAGACCTACTCATTCATTATAACATATTGTAAGCAGACACGGAAGGTCTCCAGGGACTATAAGAATTTAATAAACATGAACTGTGAGCTTGCTTTATACCCTCCTGCCTTGCAACCTGTTTTTTCCCAAACCCTGTATGTTATGTGGTCATCTAGTCAGTTGGAATCAGCTACTGACAGACCTCAGCAACTTACACATGAACCCAAGTGAACTTTCCGCCTCACCATGCTATAAAGTCTCCACCCCAGGAGGAGCTATAGCATCATTATCATTACATGCAACCTGTGTGCTGGCATAATGACTGACTGTGTCTGCGCCACTGGGGCCCCTCCTCTACATGTGATGACGTATCCTCTCCCTTCTCCACTGATCCATGAAACCTTCCTGTCACTTTCCCTCAGGGAGACACTGCTTTGGAGAATACTCTCAGTGATCTCTTTCCTTGTGATAGGTAATAAAACTTCTATTGGTCAAAACCTGTGTTTTTGTGGACACTTGTTTGTTGCTTGCTAGGTGAACAAACCCCTTGTTGTTTTTTTTTTGGGGGGGGGGCGGGGGGCAATATTTCTATATTTATCAGCAATCTTCTTTTTCCACAGACTACTTTTTTTTTGAGACGGAGTCTTGCTCTGTTGCCCAGGCTGTAGTGCAATGGCACGATCTTGGCTCACTGCAACCTCCACCTCCCAGGTTCAAGCGATTCTCCTGCCTCAGCCTCCCAAGTAGCTGGGATTACAGGCACCTGCCACCATGCCCGGCTAATTTTTGTATTTTTAGTAAAGACGGGGTTTCACCATGTTTGTCAGGCTGGTCTCAAACTCCTGACCTCGTGATCTGCCCACCTCGGCCTCCCAAAGTGCTGGGATTACAGGCATGAGCCACCACGCCTGGCCTCCACAGACTATTTATTGATGTCCTTTACCTGTTTTTCAATTGGGTTGTTTGAATTTCTTCCACTGATTTGTAATAGTCGTTTGTATGCCAAGGAAATGAGCCCTTTGCCATAACATGTAACACAGATACTTTCTCTTTTTTCAAATAAAAAAATTTGTTTTGCTACACTAGAGTTTTACATTTTTAAGTAGAAGAATTATTATATCAATATGTTTTCCTTTATAGCTTCTGGGTTTCATTTTATATTACTGAGAAAAGAAAAACAGCTCAGAGCAGTCTGAGCTATGTGAGGCATGTAAAATTTATCAGGCCCAGAGAGACGTGAGTATGGGACTTCAGTCACACCCTATGCACCCATGCCCAGGGGCAATTGTTTAAAGATATTTTGTTCCTGACTAACTGACTCACCCATTATCTTCATTTTCCTGGAATTTGTGATACAAGGAATAATGTATACCCAATCAATAGCTTGTTATATTAATGTAATTTCTTGGAAACAATTTAGGAATTGCTTCCTTTCATTTCAAAACCTACTTGTAACTGCTGCTAATTGGAGTCTACATTCAGGGCAACTTGAATCCATGCTCCTGGTTTACAATCCTCGACCCTGGCCCAAATAAGCTCTACTTCCATGAATTTTGCCTCAGCTTCTTCCTTTTAGGTCAGCACTATAAAGGACTTTATATTACATGATTATTTTAAAAAAAAAACTTACCTAAATGTTTTTAGTATATTTAGAGTTTCTTTCCTTTTAAAATCATATTTACATCTCTGCTAAATCCAGAAGTTTTATTTGTATAGAAAATGAGTTATAGATTTGGCTTTAATGTTAGGAAACATTAGCTCATTGTCTAAATTGCCAAAATGTCATCTCTATTATATTCTCCCACAGTGCTTAGCAATGTAGTACAGTTAAGCAAGAAATGTTCATACTTATTGGATCAAATCCTATCATGTACTAGTTGTGCTGCAGAATTCTATAAATTACTAATAATTTCTGTAACAAAATCATTCACTATATAAAGTTGAGAAAAAGAAATAAAACTAAGAAAACCAAACATGATATACACATAAAACTGATATTAAGTACAAATGAAGATAAACAGACCTATTTTAAGTTAAAATATCCAGGGAAATAGCAGGAGGTGAAATTTATTCATTTATGTAAAAATCTTTTCTTAAACAGCTACCGTGTGGCACACACTCTTGCAGGTACTGTGGACACCAAAAGAAGAAAAATAAATCACAGTCCAAGGCATCAAGGAGTTCCCAGTCTAGGAAGAAAACAGACAAGTACTCAGCCAATTAACTTATAGTGTAACAAGTGGTATAACAGGAATATGAGCAATGCATTATAAGCATCCACTCAACCTAGGATGATCAGGGAAGATTCCTGCAAGAAATGATAAACTACACAGAATTCAGCGAGACAAGCAGAAGTCTGCAAGATAAAGACAGGAAAAGGAAACTTCAAGGAGAGGGCACATATAATGTGTACGAAGTCATGAGGGTGAAAGAGAACATGAGCAATCTGAAAAATAGGAAGTAGTGTGGCATAGCTAACATTTAAACTAGTTTGAGAAATGTGATGGAAAAAGATAAGACTGGAAAGATAAACAGGGGCTGAATCATAAGGATCCTTAACTAGTAGGCTAAAGAGTTCAACTGTTAACCTTCAGGCAACACTATTAAACAGGAAAGGGTCATATCCAAATTTCATCTTTACCCCCACTTATTTTGAAAAATTTTAAACCTATAGAAAAAAATGCAAGAATAGTTCAATTAGCACCCATGTAAACTTCACCTACATTCACCAATTAACGTGTTGCCACTTTTGCTCACTCTCACTCTTTTTGGTAAATGGTTTTAGAGTACCTGGGTGGTGTAAGGTTTGATCATTTTGTTAAGGTAGTATCTGTCAGATGTCTCTATGAGAAAGGCACAGTTTCCCTTCAATAGTGATAATCAACATGGTGATACTTCGGGGCTTTGTGAATATTCTTGTCCCTGGCAATCCTTTACACAATGGTTTCCGCAATTACTAAATCAATTATTACTATGGGGACTGTAAAATGGTGATTTTAAAACATCATTCTTTCTACATGTATTAGTCACCATTCTTCTCCAAGAAGAGCCTTTCACTGGATGTGGTACCTCATGCCTGTAATCTCAGCCCACTGGAAGGCTGAGGCAGGAGGATCACTTGAGGCCAAGAGTTTGAGACCAGCTTGGGAGAGGAGAGGAGAGGAGAGGAGAGAAGAGGAGAGGAGAGGGAGAGGAGAGGAGAGGGAGAGGAGAGGAGAGGGAGAGGAGAGGGAGAGGAGAGGGAGAGGGGAGGGGAGGGGAGGGGAGGGGAGAGGGGAGGGGAGAGGGGAGGGGAGAGGGGAGGGGAGAGGGGAGGGGAGAGGGGAGGGGAGGGGAGAGGGGAAGGGAGAGGGGAGGGGAGAGGGGAGGGGAGGAGAGGGGAGGAGAGGAGAGGGGAGGGGAGGAGAGGGGAGGGGAGGAGAGGGGAGGGGAGAAGGGGAGGGGAGGGGAAGGGAGGGGAGAGGGGAGGGGAGGAGAGGGGAGGGGAGGAGAGGGGAGGGGAGGAGAGGGGAGGGGAGGGGAAGGGAGGGGAGAAGGGGAGGGGAGGGGAGGGGAGGGGAGGGGAGGGGAGGGAAGGGGAGGGAAGGGAAGGGAAGGGAAGGGAAGGGAAGGGAAGGTAAGGGAAGGGAAGGGAAGGGAAGGGAAGGGAAGGGAAGAGAAGAGAGGGAAAATGGAAAATGGAAAAGGAAAGAAAAGAAAAAGCCAAGCATGCTGGTGCAAGCCTGTAGTCTCAGCTACTTAGGAGGCTGGGAGAGTGGGATTACTTGAGTCCGGGAGTTTGAGGCTGCAGTGAGTTATGATCACGCCACTGCACTCCAGCCTGAGTGACAGAGTGAGATCTCATCTCTAAAACAAACACAAGCCCCCTCTTTCAATTTTAATTTTTTTTTAGTCTCAATATGGACTCATGGATTCTTTTAAAAATCAATATTATAATCAATTTCTGTAACTATTAACATTTTTATTGAAGTGAAATTCATATAACATAAAATTAACCATATTAAAGTGTAACCTTCAGTGGCATTTGGTACATTCACAATGTTGTGCAATCATCACCTCCATGTATACTTCCAAAACATTTTCATTACTCATAAGAAATTCCTATGCCTATTAAGCAGTCACTCTACATTCTACCCTATTCCGAGCCCCTGGTAATCACCAATCTGCTTTCTATCTCTATGTATTTACCTATTTTGGATGTTTAATATAAACAAAATCATACAATAGTGATCTTTTGTGACCTGGCTTCTTTTCACTCAGTACAGTGTTTTTAAGGTTTAATCAAGTTGTAGCATGCATCAGCACTTTTTTTTTTTTTTTTTTTTTTTTTTGAGACCGAGTCTCGTTCTGTCGCCCAGGCTGGAGTGCAGTGGCACAATCTCGGGTCACTGCAACCTCCGCCTCCTGGGTTCAAGCGATTCTCTTGCTTCAGCCTCCCGAGTAGCTGGGACCACTGGCATATGCCACCACACCTGGCTAATTTTTATATTTTTAATGGAGATGGGGTTTCACCATGTTGGCCAGGCTGGTCTCGAACTCCTGACTTCAGGTGATCCGCCCACCTTGGCCTTCCAAAGTGCTGGGATTACAGGCATGAGCCACCAGCCCCGCCTCAGCATTTCCTTTTTATGGCTAAATAACATTCCATTGTATGAATATATCACAATTTGTTTATCCATTCAAATGATGACAGACATTTAGGCTATTTCCACCTTCTGGCTATTTAGAATAGTGCTGCTATAAACATTCATGTACAAAAGTATTTCAGTACTTGTTTTCATTTCTTTTGGATATACACGTTCCTTTGGATATTCCACATAGTACTTGTGGAATAATTAGGTCATATGGTAATTCTTATGTTTAACTTTTTGAGGAACCACCAAACTTCTCCATTGTGGCTGCACCATTTTATGTGCCTAACAAAAATGTATAAGGATTCCACTTATTCTACATTCTTGCCAGTTTGTTATTCCATTTTTTAATTATATCTATCCTAGTGAGTATAATGTATCTCTTGGTTTTGATTTGCATTTCCCTAATGACTAATGATGTTGAGCATCTTTTCTTGTGTTTGCTGGCCACTCCATCTTCTTTGGAGAAAAGTTTTTCAAGTCATTTGCCCAGTTTTAATTGGACTGGCTTTTTCTGTGTAATAGTTCTTTATATATTGTGGATGCTAGACCCTTAAGAGATACATGATTCACAAATAGTTTCTATAGGCCAGGTGTGATGGCTCATGCCTGTAATCCCAGCACTTTGGGAGGCTGAGGTGGGAGGATCGCTTGAGGTCAGGAGTTTTGAGACCAGCCTGGCTAACATGGTGAAACCCTGTCTCTACTAAAAATACAAAAATTAGCCAGGCATGGTGGCAGGTGCCTGTAATCCCAGCCACTTGGGAGGCTGAGGCAGAAGAATCACTTGAACCCAGGAGGCTGAGGTTGCAGTGCGCCATGATCATACCACTGCACTCCAGCCTGAGCAACAGAGCGAGAGCTCCATCCCAAAACAAACAAACAACAAAAACAAAACAGTTTCTATCATTCTATAGACTGTCTTTCACATCTCTGACAATGTTCTTTGGTGCACAAAAATTTTTAATTTCAATGAAGTCAAATTTGTCTAATTTTGTTTCTTGCGTTTTCAGTGTCATATTTAAGAATCCACTGTCAAATCCAAGGCCATGAAGATTTACCCCTATGTTGTCTTCTAAGAGTTCTATAGTTTTAGCTTTTATATTCAGGTTGCTGATCCATTTAAGTTAATTTTTTTTGTATATGATGTGAGGCAGAGGCCCAACTTCATTGTTTTGCATGCGGATATCCAGTTGTCCTAGCATCATCATTTCTTGAAGACTATTCTTTTCCCATGGAATCATCTACAGGTACTTGTATCCTAACATGTATCTAACATTTTGTGAGTACTTTTTAACTTTCTGACATGACAAATTGTTCTGAGCTCACTTTGTACCTTACCTCTGGTCCTGTTAAGGGGTGCAGTATTTAGAAACTGGGAACTGAAAGCTAGGTACAAATTTCATTTTTGAAAGATGGCTCTGACAGCAGTATTGAAAGAATGAAGAGTGAACCATTTCAAAAGCAAAGCTACCAATTAGAAGACTGTTAATCTGAATGGTGTGAAATAAATATTAGCTTGAGGAAAAGAGTAAAGCCATAGACAACATACTAAAAGATGAATCCTGAAAAGTCAGCAGACACTTAAACTAGTTTGCTAGGAATGACGTAACAAAATACTACAGGTTGGGTGACTTAAACAATATAAATTCGTTTTCTCATAGTTCTGAAGCTAGAAATCCAAGATCAAGGTGTCAGCAGGTTTGGTTTCTTCTGGGTCCTTTCTGTTTGGCTTACGGAAGACCGCCATCTTGCTTTGTCCTTACCTATTTCCCTTGTGCAGGAATCCCTGGTGTCCCTTTGTGTGTCCAAATTTCCTCTTCTTACAAGGATATTAGTTAGATTGGATTAAGGGAGGAGACCACCCCTCATACTGTCTTATGCCCAATTTCTGCCTCCAAAGAAAGAAGTAAAAACTAAAAGGCAGAAATGAAATCCGCAAGCAGACAGCCCTGCACCACACCCTGGGCCTGGTAGTTAGATCGACCCCTGACCTAATCGGTTATTTGCATAAAAAAAGCACTGTGAAGATCCCTGTCCTGTTCTGTTCCTTTCTAATTACTGGTGTATGCAGTCCCCAGTCACATACCTCCTGCTTGCTCAATCGATCACGACCCTCTCATGCAGACCCCCTTAGAGTTGTGAGCCCTTAAAAGGGACAGGAATTGCTCACTCGGGGAGCTCGGTTGTTGGAGACGTGAATCTTGCTGAAGCTCCCAGCCGAATAAAGCCCTTCCTTCTTTAACTCGGTGTCTGAGGGGTTTGTCTGTGGCTTGTCCTGCTACAGGATTAGGGCCCACCCATATTACCTCATTTTACCTTAATTACTTCTTTAGAGATCTAATCTCTAAACTTAGGCACAGTCTGAGGTACTAGGGGTTAGGACTTCAACATATAAATTTTGGGGGGGAGATACAATTCAGTCCATAGTATTTGTGTTTAGGAAAAATACTACTCTACTAAAATCCTGTGTTTCTTTTCATTTTGCAGAGAATGGAGAGAACTGCTTAATCAGAAAGTGTGCTAGTTAACTAAAACAAAATGGAATTGACTAGTCACCAGATTTTCAATAAGTCATTCTAATTTTTAAAGCCAAGATACCATATATGCTTAGTTTGATATTGGTTGAGAACAAAAATTCTATTTAAAATTTCATTATTAGTATATTAAATAAGGTAGAAAACTAATGCATTAAAAGTATATTAGAACATGTTAGTGTGCTTTTTGGAAACTTCTATTAATGGCAACATGAATATTGGATATCCTAAAAATCATCCCCACAAAACAACCAAAAATGCAAGGTATAAGATAACAAATGCATAAATTTGTAAAAAAGAGCTAAGAACAAAGAGGAAATGAAAAATTAGAGCAGCAAGTAGAAGTTGAGAGTTTATCTGGCATAAGAGGGGTGGCTGATGGCTTTGGTAACTAAATGGCTGAGTTTCAAAACCCGTTAAGAAATAGGAGATAAAGCCAGTAGTCCAAAGTGAGCAGTGAGTTTACATTAATATGTTCTGTGTAAATCCAGCTCCCCTAAAGACTACGCATTTAGTAAAAGAATAATTAGAACCCTTCTACCTTCAACAGAAGGACGTAAGAAAGCTCCTACATCATAGCCTGGGCAAAAGTCTCTTCCAGGAATTCAAGACTACTGATTTACCTTCAAATGAATCTGGGGACTAAATCTATATTAGCTATATAATCTAGAAACCCCTAGACAAAAAAATAACCCCCAAGTTAGTTTCTGGTCCATCAAGCCTGAGTACCTGGAAAAAGCCAACACAAATGTCTTTGAAGACATATCCTTAAACCAAGTTATTGAGAATTCCCAGACAAAAAGATCACATGAAATGAATACACAATATCAAAATATAAATCATGAAGAATTAGTCCACTGTAAATCAATAAAAGACAAAACAAACTGTAGGTTTTGACCTCCTAAAATCAGATAACAAGGTTTTAGGAAAGAGACAACATTAAAATGTTTAAAATGTTTAAAAATGTCTAAATATCTGAAGACACAAAAAGGAATTTAAAATATAAGATAATAAACTATGAAAACAGACTGCAGATTTAAGAAGAACAATAAAAACTGCTTGAAATTCGAAAATGTGGTCACTGAAGTTAAAAGAAACAAAACAATGAAATAGTTAAACAGCATATTGAATCCCAGTAGAAAACAGGTGAACTGGAAAAACAAAATATGTAAAATATAGAAAGGAAGTTGAGATACAGAAGATAGAATAAGAAAGTCCAAAATACATTTTAATAGGAGTTGCAGGAGAAGAACAGAGAATGAAGAAAGGCAACATTTAAAGACAAACCAGCCAAGAATTTTTCTGCAGTGACTTAATGACATGAATTCTCAAAATCAGGAAGCACAAGTCTCTAGATGAATAAAGAAATCAAAATCCACTCCTAGACACACTATAGTACAACACCAAAAACAAAGAGATCTTAAAAGCTTCCAGAGAGAAAAAATACATGTTACTTATAAAGAAATAACAATTAGAACAGCAAATTTCTGGCCAGTTATGGTGGCTGATGCCCATAATCCCATCACTTTGGAAGGCTGAGGCAGGAGGATTGCTTGAGTCCAGGAGTTTGAGACCAGCCTAGTGTTGACAAAGAGTTAAACTGCACTTTTTTTTTTTTTTGAGGCAGGGTCTTGCTCTGATGCCCAGGCTGGAGTGCAGTGACATGGTCTTGGCTCACCTCATCCTCAACCTCCTGGGCTCAAAGCAACCTGCCCACCTCAGCCTCTGAGTAGCTGGGACTACAGGCGCGTGCCACTACACCCAGTTAATTTTTTTTATTTTTGTAGAGATGGGGTCTTGCCATGCTGCCTGGGCTGGTCTTGAACTTCTGGGCTCAAGTGATCGTCCTGCCTCAGCCTTCCAAAGTTCTGGGATTACAGGTGTGAGCCACCACACCCGGCCTCTGTAAAATATTTGAAAAGATATATTCTGAGCCAAATATGAGTAACTAGTGGCCCATGACACAGCCCTCAGGAGATCCTGAGAACATGTGTCCAAGGTAGTTGGGGCACAGCCTAGTTTTATACATTTCAGGGAGACATAAAACATCAATCAAATACATGTAAGATATATATTGGTTCGATCTGGAAAGGCAGGACAACTTGAAGGGGCAGGGGGCTTCCAGGTTATATGTAGATTTAAAAATATTCTGATTGGCAATTGGTTGAAAGAGCTATTATCAACAGAAAGGAATGTCTGGGTTATGATAAGGGGTTGTGGAGACCAAATTTTATCATGCAGATGACGCCAGGTAGCAGGCTTCAGAGAATAAAGATTATAAATGTTTCTTATCAAATTTAAGGTCTGTGTTGATGTTAAATGCTGGTTGGCTTCCCCTAAATTCCAAAAGGGAGGAGGGTATAAGGCATGTATTACCCTCCCTTCTCGTCATGCCCTGAACCCATTTTGCAGGTTAACTTTGGAGTGCCCTGGCCAAGAGGTGGGGGTCTATTCAGATGGTTGGGGGGCCTTAGGATTTTATTTTTGGTTTACACTGGGCAACACAGCAAGGCCCCATCTCTACAAAGAAATAAGACTAGCTGGGTGTAGTGGTGCATGCTTGTATTCCCAGCTACTCAGGAGGCTGAGGCAAGAGGATTCCTTGAGCCCAGGAGGCCAAGGCTGAAGTGAGCCACGAACGTGACACCGCACCCCAGCCTGGGCAACAGAGTGAGACCCTGTCTCTAAAAAAGAAAAAAAAAAAGAAGAGCAAATTTCCCAACTGCCACAGTGAAATACAATGTACTAGTATATTCAGAATTTTAAGAAAACAACTATCAACCTAGAAATTAATCATATTTCTAAACTGTAATTCAAAAAGAAAATGAAATGAAGATATCTCAGGTAAAAATTGAGTTTAGCATTAAAAGACCCTCACCACAAATGAAGTAGAAAAAGAGAAAAAAGTAGAGTGAATAGAAAAAAAAATAAAGTTAGAAATAAATCCAAATATAAATATAAAATATAAACAGGGTCCCTGGGAAGCAGGACCTCCGAGGGGCTCAGCATTGATCCTGGCTAGGGCCAGGCAACTGCCCTTCCACCTGAAGCAGGGCTTGAGCTCCTCTCTGCCCATGAGGGGACGCCGCTCTGGGAGAATAAGGCCACCTTGACCATGGCTATGTTGTATATATGTCATAGAGATGTGAGTCCATCTCTGCCTTCATGTCTTCCTGGGCTCTTACTGTTCTTCCTTCCAGACTGCCCATCCCATCTGGAGATGAGAAAGGTGAGAGTGCAGAAATATGCACTATGAGAACATGTGCCCAAGGTGGTTTGGGTACAGCCTGGAGCAGGGACATGCATGCTCAGTATGGCTCAATACTGATTACAAGATTATGTTGAATGAAGTTTGAGTTTACTATCCTCTGTGCAATGTGTGGGGCAGTAGTGGGTCTGATAGGAATAGTCCTGAATGTATCTTCTATCTCTGATGTCTCCTTTCAGGAATCTGGCATCAACCATTACATTCTTTTTAATGGAAATGAATTATGTTTTAATATACTACAGGTTGTATACTACAGATGAACTATTAAAGTTTATAATGTCAAAACTTTCTTAGACCAAAGGCATCTTTCTGTTAACTAAAAATAAAATTCTAAGTGCCCTACCTGACTAAGGACCCTCTTTTAGGCCAAGAGGACCCAACTGAACCTGAAAAACTAGTTCAGACCATGATGCGAAAGGAGTGGTTAGACATGCCTCATTATACTCTCCTCCCTTTGGAGTTCAGGCACACAACTGACCAGCATTAACATTAAAATAGAGATCCTAAGACTGACAGAACAGACTCTTTGCAGAAACAAGATACCAAACTCCAACCTGACTCTAGTGTAGCATCACATGACAGCAGAGCCCTGGAAGAAACCAAAGTATTTTACCTCAAAATATGTTTCTCTGACATATTTTGCAATGGCCCTACAATGCTGTCTGTTGTGGGGGAAATTTACATTCTAGAGAATCTTCTTCCCCTTCCAGGACTTTTCCTGATTCTGAAAAGATTGGCTGAGTGCTCTAGCACCTACTAAGGCTCTGAATAGGGAATATTTGCCATCTATTGCCTCTGGGGGTGGAGGCATATGAGACGTCATCTACATAATAAGAACGCTGGTCTCCACAACGCCTTAACCTAGACGCTTCTTTCTATTGATTCCAGGTCTTATAATAGCTCCTTCAACCACTAAGAAAATAGTTGAATCCACCTATGACCTATAAGCCACCCCCCAACACCCCTTGAGTTATTCCACCTTTCCAGACCAAACCACTGTATGCCTCACATGTACTGACTGATGTCTCATGTCTCCCTAAAACATGGAAAACCATGCTATAACCAAACCACCTTGGGCTCATGTTCACAGGACATCCTGAGGCTGTGTCATGAGTCATGATCTGTAACCCTAATGAAATAAATTTCTAAACTGTTTGAGACCTGTTTCAGGATTAACATGGCAAATAGGAGGCAGAACTAGCTTGCAGCTCCCACTCAGACAGAACAGTATGTGGAGACTCATGTCATAAACTTTTGCTTCAAGAACTACCACAGAAACATACTAAGAAAGCCGGGAGAATCCACAGACCCTCTAAAGCAACTGTATCACCACTGCAGGCTCCCCAAAATGCCGAAAAACTGTGAGTCTGCTTGCTTTCTGAATGGGGAGGCTCATGATCTGGGGCAAGTACTCAGCCCTAGTCACTAGCTGCCTAGAAATAGACTCGGTGCTGTTGGGGAGTTACAGTTGGAATGAGACTGGCCTTCAGGACTGCGGCCGAGTGGGAGCAGGGTGAGGCCTGTGAGTGCCGGCTTTCCCAGACTTCCCTGGTGACCTGTATGACTCAGTAGAGGCAGCTGTAAACCCCCTGGGAATATAACTTCATTGGACTGGGAACCACACCCTCATCTCCCACAGCAGCCACAGCAAGCCCTGCCCAAGGAGAGGCTAAGCTCGGACATACCTATCCCTGCTCCCACCTGGTGGTCTTTTTCCACCTGCCCTGGTAGCTGAAGACAATGGTCGTAATCTCTCAGGAGCTCTATGGCCCTGTCCACCACCTGAGACACCTGAAAACTTAACCAGGTGTCCCTAGGGCAAGTTTGCATCCTCCCTATAGGACCACAGCTGATGCACTCTTGAAAGTGCCACCTCCTGGCTGTAGGCCAACCAACACAAAACCAGCACACTAAACAAAAACACAACCAAAGACCTTCACAGAGTCCACTTTACTCCCCTGTTACCTCCAACGGAGCAGGTGCTGGTATCCACAGCTGCAAGATCTGAAGATGGATCATATCACAGGACTCTGCAGACACTCCCCAGTACCAGTCTGGAGCCCAGTACCTCCACTGAGTGGCTAGACCCAGAAGGTCAAAAAAAAAAGTTCAGCTCTCAGGAAGCCCCATTCATAAGACAACAGGGAGAATACCACATCAAAGGGAGGACCCCATGGGACAAAAGAATCTGAACAGCAACTCTTGAATCTCAGATCTTCCCTCTGACATAGTCTACCCCAATGGGAAGGAACCAGGAAAAATTCTGGTAACATGACAAAACAAGATTCTTTAACATCCCCAAAAGATCATACCAGCTCACCAGCAATGGATGCAAACCAAGACAAAAGCTCTGCATTGCCAGAAAAAGAATTCAGAAGGTAGATTATTAAGCAAATCAAGGAGGCATCAGAGAAGGGTGAAGTCCAACTTAAAGACATCAAAAACATGATACAGGATATGAAAGAAAAATTCTTCAGTGAAATAGATAGCATAAATATGAATAAAAAACAATAAAAACTTCTGGAAATCAAGGACACACTCAGAGAAATGCAAAATGCACTGGAAAGTCTCAGCAATAGAATCAAACAAGCAGAAGAAAGAACTTCAGAGCCTGAAGACAAGGCTTTTGAATTAACCCAATCCATCAAAGACAAAGAAAAAAGAATTTAAAAATATGAACAAAGCCTCCAAGAAGTTTGGGACTATGTTAAACGTACAAAGCTAAGAATAATTGGTGTTCCCAAAGAAGAAGAGAAACCTAAAAGTTTGGAAAACGTATTTGAGGGGATAGTCAAGGAAAACTTCTCCAGCCTTGCTAGAGATCTAGACAACCAAATACAAGAAGTACAAAGAGCACTGGGAAATTCATCACAAAAAGATTATCGTCTAAGCACATAGTCATCAACTCATCTAATGCCAAGACAAAGGAAAGAATCTTAAGAGCTGTGAGGCAAAAGCATCAGGTAACCTGTAAAAGGAAAACTTATCAGATTAACAGCAGATTTCTCAGCAGAATCCCTACAAGCTACAAGGGGTTGAGGTCCTATTTTAGCCTCCTTAAACAAAACAATTATCAGTCATGAATTTTGTATCCAGTAAAACTAAGTTTCATAAATGAAGGAAAGACACAGCCTTTTCCAGACAAACAAATGCTGAGAGAATTCATTCATTACCAAGCCAGCACTACAAGAACTGCTAAAAGGAGCTCTAAATCTTGAAACAAATCCGCAAAATACACCAAAATAGAACCTCCTTAAAGCATAAGGTTCACAGGACCCTATATAACAATAACACAATGAAAAAACAAAACAAAACAAAACAAAAACCCAAGATATTCAGGCAACAAATAGTGCAATGAAGAGAACAGTATCTCACATCTCAATACTATCATTGAATGTAAATGGCCTAAGTGCTCCACTTAAAAGATACAGAATGGCAGAATAGATAAGAATTTACCAACCAAGTTTCTGCTGTCTTCAGGAGACTCACCTAACATGTAAGGACTAACATAAACTTAAGGTAAAGGGGCTGAAAAAGACATTCCATGCAAATGTACACCAAAAGTAGGAGTAGGAGCAGCTATCCTTGTATCAGACAAAACAAACTTCAAAGCAACAGCAGTTAAAAAAAGACAAAGAGAGACATTATATAATGATAAAAGGACTACTCCAAAAGGAAAACATCACAATTCTAAATATATATGCACCTAACACTGGAGCCCCCACATTTATAAAACAATTACTACTGGACCTAAGAAATGAGATAGACGGCAACACAGTAATAGTGGAGAACTTTAATACTCCACTGACAGCATTAGACAGATCATCAAGACAGAAAGTCAACAAAGAAACAATGGACTTAAATTATACCCTACAACAAATGGACTTAACAGGTATTTACAGAACATTCTACCCAACAACTGCAGAATATACATTCTGTTCATCAGCATATGGAACATTCTTCAAGATGGACCATATGATAGGACACAAAACAAGTTTCAGTAAATTTAAGAAAATCGAAATTATACCAAGTACTCTCTCAGACCACAGTGGAATAAAATCAGAAATCAACTCCAAAAGGAATACTCAAAAGCATGCAAATACATGGAAATTAAATAACCTGCTCCTGAATGATCACTGGGTCAAAAATGAAATCAAGATGGAAATTAAAAACTTCTTTGAACTGAATGATAATAGTGACACAACCTATCAAAACCTCTGGGATACAGCAAAAGCAACACTAAGAGGAAAGTTCATCATATTAAATATCTACATCAAAAAGTCTGAAAGAGTACAAACAGACAATCTAAGTAAGTTCACACCTCATGGAACTGGAAAAACAAGAACAATCCAGATCCAAACTCAGAAGAAAAGAAATAACGAACATCAGAGTGGAACTAAATGAAATGGAAACAAACAAAAAAAATACAAAACATAAATGAAACAAAAAGCTGGTTCTTTGAAAAGATAAATAAAACTGATAGACCATTAGTGAGATTAACCAAGAAAAGAAGAGAGAAGGCTGTTCGCCGTGGCTCACGCCTATAATCTCAGCACTTTGGGAGGCCAAGAGGGGTGGATCACCTGAGGTCAGGAGTTCACGACCAGCCTGGCCAACATGGTGAAACCCTGTCTCTACTAAAAAAACAAAAATTAGCCGGGCATAGTGGCACATGCCTGTAAACTCAGCTACTCAGGAGGCCAAGGCAGATGAATCGCTTGAACATGGGAGGCAGAGGATGCAGTGAGCTGAGATCACGCCACTGCACTCCAACCTGAGCAACAGAGCAAGACTCCATCTCAAAAAAAGAAAAAAGAAAAAAGAAAAGAAAAGAAGAGAAGAGAGAAGATCCAAATAAGCTCAACTAGAAACACAACAGGAGCTATTACTACTGATACCACAGACATACAAAAGATTATTCAAGGCTACTATGAACACCTTTATGTGTATAAATTAGAAAACCTAGAGGAGATGGATAAATTCCTGGAAATATACAGCCTCCTAGATTAAACCAGGAAGATGAAGAATCTCTGAACAGACCAATAACAGGAAGAGAGGCTGAATTGGTAATGAAAAAAACTGCAAACAAAAAAAAAGGCCAGGACCAGATGGATTCACAGCTGAATTCTATCAGACATTCAAAGAAGAATTGGTACCAATCCTACTGACATGATTCCAAAAGAAAGAGAAAGGGGGAATCCTCCTGAAATCATTCTATGAAGCCAGTATCACCCTAATACCAAAACCAGGGAAGGACGAAACAAAAAAAGAAAACTACAGACCAATATCCCTGATAAACACAGAGACAAAAATTCTCAACAAAATACTAGCTAAACAAATCCAACATCATATTAAAAAGATAATCCACCATGATGAAGTGGGTGTCATACCAGGGATGCAGGGATGGCTTAACATACATAAGTCAATAAATGTGATACACCACATAAAATTAAAAACAAAAATCACATGATTATCTCAATAGATGCAAAAAAAGCATTTGACAAAATCCAGCACCCCTTTATGATTAAGACAGCAAAATCAGCATAGAAGGGACATACCTTAAGGTAATAAAAACCATCTATGACAAACCCACAGCCAACATTATACTGAACAAGAAAAAGTTGAAAGCATTCCCCCTGAGAACTGGAACGAGACAAGAACACCCACTTTTACCACTTCTATTCAGTGAATATTGGAAGTCCTAGCCAGAGCAATCAGACAAGAGAAAGAAATAAAGGGCATCCAAATTGGTGAAGAGGAAGTCAAAATGTTGTTGTTTGCTGATGATATGATCATATACCTAGAAAACCCTAATGACTCATCCAAAAAGCTCCTAGAACTGTAGATGAATTCAGCAAAATTTCAGGATACAAAATTAATATACACAAATCAGTAGGTCTGCTATAAACCAACAGCAACCAAGCGGAGAATCAAATCAAGAACTCAACTTCTTTCACAATAGCTGCAAAAATATAAAACACTTAGGAGTATACCTAACCAAGGAGGTGAAAGACGTCTACAAGAAAAGCTATAAAACACTGCTGAAAGAAATCACAGATGACACAAATAGAAACACATCCCATGCTCACGAATTAATATTAATTCATTAATATTACTATATAGAATATTGGGTAGAATTAATATTGTGAAAATGACCATACAGCCAATAGCAATCTACAAATTCAATGCAATTCCCATCAAAATACCACCATCATTCTTCACAGAACTTAAAAAAAAATCCTAAAATTCATACAGAACCAAAAGAGAGCCCACATAGCCAAAGCAAGACTATGCAAAAAGAACAAATCTGGGAAACTTCACATTACCCGATTTCAAACTATATTATAAAGTCACCAAAACAGCATGGTACTGGTATAAAAACAGGCACACAGATCATTGGAGTAGAATAGAAAACCCAGAAATAAAGCCAAATACAGCCAACTAATCTTCAAGAAAGCAAACAAAAATGTAAAGTGGGGAAATGACATCCTATTCAACAAATAGTGTTGGAATAATTGGCAAGCCACATGTAGAAGAATGGAACTGGATCCTCATCTCTCACTTTATACAGAAATCAGCTCAAGATAAATCGAAGTCTTAAATCTAAGACTTGAAACCATAAAAATTCTAGCAGATAACACTGAGAAAAAAACCCTTCTAGACATTGGCTTAAGCAAAGACTTCATGACCAAGAACCCAAAAGCAAATGCAATAAAAATAAGGGTTAATAGATGGGACTTAATTAAACTAAAAAGTTTCAGCACAGCAAAAGAAATAATCCACAGAGTTAGCAGACAACCCACAGAGTGGGAGAAAATCTTCACAAGCTATACATCCGACAAAGGACTATATCCAGAATCTACAAAGAACTCAAACAAATCAGCAAGAAAAAAACAAACAATCCCATCAAAAAGTGGGCTAAGGACATGAACAGACAATTCTCAAAGATATACAAATAGCCAAAAAGCCTATGGAAAAATGCTCAACATCACTAATGATCAGAGAAATGCGAATTAAAACCACAATGCAATACCAACTGACTCCAGCAAGAATGGCCATAACAAAAAAATCAAAAAATAATAGATGCTTTTACACTGTTGGTGGGAATGTAAACTGGTATACCTACTATGGCATGGAAAACAGCATGGAGATCCCCTAAAGAACTAAAAGTAAATCTGCTGTTTGATCTAGCAACTCCACTACTAGGTATCTACCCAGTGGAAAGGAAGTCATTGTACAAAAAAGATACCTGCACATGCATGTTTATAGCAGCACAATTCGCAACTGCAAAAATATGTAACCAGCCCAAATGTCCATCAATCAATGAGTGAATAAAGAAAATGTGGCATATATACACCATGGAATACTACTCAGGCATTAAAAAAAAAAAAATAATGGCACTTGCAGCAACCTGGATGGAACTGGAGACTATTATTCTAAGTGAAGTAACTCAGGAATGGAAAAGCAAACATATGTTTGGTTTAAGGCATAAGAATGATATATTGGATTTTGGGGACTCAGGGGACTGGATGGGGGGAGGTGAGGGATAAAAGACTACACATTGGGTACAGTGTACACTGCTCGGATGATGGGTGCACCACAATCTTAGAAATTACCATTAAAGAACGTATTCATGTAAGCAAACACCAACTGTTTCCCAAAAACCTACTGAAATAAAAAAAAAACTTTTTAACTTTTTAAAAAGAGACTTTCCTTAGATACTTTTTGGTTTACATTCCACAAAGGCGGAAGACTGGGTAGACTCATTATGTGATGATTTTTCAGAGAACAGTGAGAACACTATTACTACACCATTAGGTGTGAATCACTCATGTTATACAAGAAAAAAATGTTAGAAAGTAATAGATTTCCACATAGAAAAAAAGTTATCTTCCTTAGAACAGATTTAAGCTCTAAAAAATTTAAAAGAATATCTGTCTGAAAATGAATCATGGGTGTATAAATATAAACCAGAAACTCTGCATGAACTTGATGTGCAGAAGATAACTGAAGTTGAAACATGGATAAAAGTTCAAGTCTTAGAAAGGCAACCCAAACAGGGTATATCTATTTTATTCATAACAAGTCCTTTTAGATGTGGAAAGACAATTAGTATAAAAATACTATCAAAGAAGCATGGTATTCAAGTACAAGAGTGGATTGATTAATCCAGTTTTAACAGACTTCCAAAAAGATTGTTTCAAGATGTTTAATCCTGAATCAAGCTGCCTTATATTTCCCTAACAGTCTTAGATCTCAGTTTACAAAGAGTTGTTACTAAGGGCAACAAAGCATCGCAAGCTACAAATGCTTGGAAATGATCTGAGGACTGATAAGAACATAATTTTGGTTGAAGATTTATCTGATTAGTTCTGTTGAGATTCTGATACTTTACATGAAGTTCTAAGAAAGAATGTGCAGACTGCCCGATGTCCTCTTACATTTATAGTTTCTGACAGTCTCAATGGAAATAATCAAAGGTTATTGTTTCCCAGAGTAATTCAAGAAGAGTGTTCTATCTCAAATATTAGCTTCAACCCTGTGGCAACAACAATTATGATAAAATTTCTTAATTGAATACTGACTTTAGATGGTAACAAGAATGAAGGAAAAAGTATTGTCCCTGATAAAAACTTCTCTAGAATTGCTCTGTCAAGGATGTATCTAAAGTGTAAGAAACAGCCTCCAGTTTTCTCCTTCAAAAGAAAAGGACAATTTATTTGACAACGAAAAAAAAAAAAAAAAAAAGGACTGTCATTAAAATCAGATGCTATGCTGTCAAAATCAAAACAAAGAAAACATCCTGACAGGGTTTTTGAAAATCAAGAGGTCCAAGCTATTGGTGGCAAAGTTGTTTCTCTGTTTCTCTTCAGAGCTTTAGGAAAAAATGTATTGTAGAAGAGCATCCTTAACAGAACTAGACTCACCTTTGTTGCCTTCTCATTTAAGAGAGTATGGTATGGGATATATTACTTGTTCAAACTGAGGAAGTAGTAGAAATGTCACACATGCCAGGAGGGTTATTTATTTAATTTATATCTTCACCAAAACTACAGGGATTTTTTTTTAATGAAAGTAGATATCTTGGCTGGGTGTGGTGGCTCACACCTGCAATCCCAGCACTTTGGGAGGCTGAGGCAGGAGTATCCTTGAGGTCAGGAGTTTGAGACCAACCTGGGCAACATGGTGAAACCCCATCCCTACTAAAAATACAAAAATTAGCTGGCCGTGGTGGCACGCACTTGTAGTCCCAGCTACTCGGGAGACTGAGGCAGAAGAATTGCTTGAACCTGGGAGACAGAGGTTGCAGTTAGTCGAGATGGTACCACTACACTCGAGCATGAGTGACAGAGTGAGATTCCATTAAAAAAGAAGGAAAGGAAAGGGAAAGGGAAAGGAAAGGGAAAGGGAAAGGGAAAGAAAAAAGGAAAGGGAAAGGCAAAGGGAAAGGGAAAGGAAAGGGAAAGGGAAAGGAAAAGGGAAAGGGAAAGGAAAAGGGAAAGGAAAGGGAAAGGAGAAATCTTATGAGAGCCAGTGAATTTCTGAGTTTTGCAGATATCCCCATTTGTGAAAAGAATACATGCTCTTTACTCAGGGTAGTACATC
Source organism: Homo sapiens (assembly GCF_000001405.40). Taxonomy (NCBI): domain Eukaryota; kingdom Metazoa; phylum Chordata; class Mammalia; order Primates; family Hominidae; genus Homo; species Homo sapiens. The sequence continues at coordinate 49,044,932 of NC_000013.11, read as the reverse complement.
TACAGCTATGAAAGATGTGATACATTTCAACAAATCTTGAGGGTTTGCTCATTGCCAAGAACAATCAAGTTTTTGAACCTTGCACAAACCCCAGTAGTTTCTAACACACAAAAAGTATTGAAAAAATGGCCTGGCAACAAAAGCACTTTTCCTGACTTCTGCCTACCAGCTTTATGTCTCCAAACTTAGCTATTGCTATATCTTGTTCTGTTAACCATTCAAATGAGAAATCAAGCTCAGATTTTTCTTTCTTTTTTTTTTTTGAGACAGAGTCTCACTTTGTCGCCCAGGCTGGAGCGCAGTGACACGATCTCAGCTTACTGCAACCTCTGCCTGCCAGGTTCAAGTGATTCTCCTGCTTCAGCCTCCTGAGTAGCTGGGACTACAGGCACGTGCCACCACACCTGGCTAATTTTTGTATTTTTAGTAGAGACAGGGTTTTACCATGTTGGTCAGGCTGGTCTCAAACCCCTCACCTTGTGATCCACCTGCCTCGGCCTCCCAAAGTGTTAGGATTACAGGCGTGAGCCACCACGCCCGGCCTCAGACTTCTTTCATCCAAGACATTGGAAAGCTCCCTCTGGAGCAACACTTTGGAAGACTGAAAATGGAAGCCCTACCTTATGGGGAGCATGGAATAATAGACTCTGACAGCAGAGAGGAGGCACAGCTTAATGGAGGACAGCTTGTAGAGGAAGCTCTGGGTGAACTCACTCAAACCACTGAACCCAAAACCTGGTATCTTTGAGTCAGAATAGTGAGAATGAATTACCTGCCAACCAGCCTCAGCCCTTTTCATCCCAAGGAGACACGGAAGAAGACATGACAACAGAAGACTATGAGAATGATGAGATATGGAAACCAGTCTGCTAATTAGAATGCAACTTAAGGGATTCATTTTACTTTTATTCAGTGGTTTTTGAAAAGAGTTAATATGCTTTTCTGGTAAACTACAAACAATTTGTTAATTCTTCATTCTTACAGTATTTCATTACAAAGAACTGACTCTTCTGTCACATAGATGTAGATGATCAAGTCTTCAGGTCATCTCTTCATTTTTTCTACAGTATTTATTTAATCTTTTGAGTTGCTGAAGGAGAGGGGTCAATGTATATGAAGTATGCTTGATCATTATGCTGAATATTAGAAAATGTGAAGGAATAATCCAGAATACAAAAAGTTTATGGGGGGTTGTAAATATAAATTATAAAGCATTGTACAATGCAATCATTAGTATAAATAAACCTTAAGACTTAGAAAAAAAAATGGCCAAAGTTTTGCTTACTTAAAAAAACAGAAAATCAAATTGAATTAAAAAAATTACAAGGATCATATTCCAATTACACTATCATGACAGCATGTTTTAATACTTATCTCTGTAATTAACAGAACAAGGAGACAAAATATTAAAGGATACAGAATATCAGAACAACATTATCAATTAGTTTGACCTAAATGGTCTCGGAAAGAACACTGCACCTAACAATTTAAATCTATACTTTCATTTTAAGCACATAAAGAAGTGGAGCAAAAAAATTTAAGAATGGGCCACATAGAACAGCACAAATCAAGTTTCACAAATTTCAAAGAAATTAGTATTAACTGTCTTCAATGTACACAAAAGTTAAAAATAAAATAATTTTTTAACAGCTTAAAAATATGTTTGCAGGATGGGTCCAGTGGCTCACGCCTGTAATTCCAACACTTTGGGAGCCAAGATGGGAGGATACCTTGAGCCCAGGAGTTCAAGACCAGCCTAAGCAACACAGTAAGACCCTGTCTCTACAAAATATTAAAAAAAAAAAAAAAACTGGCTGGGTGTGGTGGCACACATTTATAGTCCCAGCTACTTGGGAGGCTGAGGTGGGAGGATTCTTTGAGCCCAGGAGGTCAAGGCTGAAGTGAGCCTTGATTGTACCACTGCATTCCAGTCTTGGTGACAGAATGAGACCCTGGCTCTCAAAAAACAAAAACAGAAAATGTCTGTAAAAGTTTCAATAATTCATAAGTCAAAGAAGAAATTATAATGAAAAATAGAAAAGGAACAGAAACGAACTGTAACCAAAACATTCTACAGTAAGACCTTAGGATGCAGACAACACTGTATTTATCAAAAAATACAGACCTCTAAATACTTACAACAACAATTAATTTTTTTTTGAGACAGGGTCTCTGTTGCCTAGGCTGGAGTACAGTGGCACAATCGCAGCTCACTGCAGTCTCAACATCTCTGACTCAAGCAATCCTCCCACCTCAGCCACCCAAGTATTACAGCTGGGACCACAGGCATGCAGCACCATACCTCATTATTTTTTTCTATTTTTTGACAGGGTCTCACTATCTTGCCTAGGCTGGTCTTAAATTTCTGGGCTCTAGCGATCCTCTCACCTTGGCCTCCCAAAGTGCTGGCATTACAGGTATGAGCCACTGTACCCAGCTGAAAATTAGTATGTTAAGTGTCCAACTCAGTAAGAAAAGGCATAGCTAATCCAACGAAAATAAAAGGAAGGAAACAAAAATATGAGCAGAAATAGCGAATCAGAAAATAAAGAAATGCTGGAAGATGATAAAATAGTTGTAAGAGTAATCAGAGTCACCAAAGATAACAAAGAGTAATCAAAGATAACCAGGAGAAAAAATACAAGAAAAAAAGTACTTACCTTTTCCAGCCTGGGGTTTTTCGTCCCAAGGACATACTCAAATCTTGGAGATTTGATGCAAGTAGATGGCTTTACAATGGATTTTATAAATATCTTTCTATTGATATATAAGTTGTATTTAGGGGAATATTAAAATTATGGCTCTTCTCCCAAGATCTTCATAAGGCTGGCTCCTTTTTACTCCCATATCTCAGATGTCATCTCCTCAGGAAGACGCTCCCTGACGACCAAATTGTAGGGTATATATACCCCTCACATATATTTTATTTTTTATCTAGTACTCATCACTATCTGAAATTATTTTGTGCAATTATTTGGTTTTATATTGAGTGGTTTCCACTCCACTAGAATAAAAGCTCACTATGAAACCAAACACTTCAACTTGTCTTATAAAATTCCACACCTTAGAGCCTGGCTGATAATAGGTTTTCTTTTTCTTTTCTTTTTTTTTTTTTTTTTGAGACAGAGTCTCGCTTTGTTGTTGCCCAGGCTGGGGTGCAGTGGCATGATCTTGGCTCATTGCAACCTCCGCATCCTGGGTTCAAGCAAATCTCCTGCCTTACCCTCCCGAGTAGCTGGGATTACAGGTGCCCACCACCACGCCCAGCCAATTTTAGTAGTTTTAGTAGACATGGGGTTTTGCCATGTTGGCCAGGCTGGTCTCAAACTCCTGACCTCAGGTGATCTGCCCGCCTCAGCCTCCCAAAGTGTTGGGATTACAGGCGTGAGCCACTGTGCCTAGCCAATAATAGGTTTTCAATAAACTTTCGTTCAATGAATAAACAACTGAAGAGTGGGGACTAGGAAGGGTGTGGAACTGATTAATTCATTCAACAATCAGTTACTAAGGTCTTGTAACGTGAGGTTTTGTGCTAGATAATTGGGATAGAGTAGTAAACAAAATAGACAAAACTAACCGCCTTCATGGTATGGCAGAGAAAGAGTCATAGGATTCAAGTTAGGCCACTGAGTAAATATCAACTGAAATAGTTATTTTAGGGAATTATTAAAAGACTAAATAGAAAATATGAGATTAGAAGAAATTAACATACACAGATGTATGTGTAGTATGTACTTTCGCCAACATGCCAGATTAAACCAGGGCTACTTTGGAATAAAGGTCCCTGTCTAAATGCTACGCCCACTCACAGGTTTCTGGCAAATAATCAAACTTTTGGCCAGCTCCAAAATGCAGGACTCATATATCTTCAAATTATCTGGATTCCTATGCTATTTTACATTCATCTGCCACAAATGCAGTGGAATTTTCCATAATCTCATTATAATAGTACAATATGATGAGCGGAGGGAAGAGTGAAAGAAGAACTACAAATTATAAACTAGTTATATTACCTGAGATAAAATATGTCAAAAAAACTGTTTCCAGAATAATCATAAATGAAATGACTACAAAAATCCTGTAAACCAAGTAACTCTTATAAGTGTGACAGGTGAGGAACCCTGGTAAATTATCCATCATTCTGTGATTCTTATCATTGATGTCTCTATTTGCACAGGGGTATATTACAGAGCACCTTTTACAAATATACTATCATAAAGTGGTTATAAAGTACTTTATTAGACTTTTAAAAACTAAATCCTTCAATATCTTTAAATTTCATAGAAACAAATAACCATACTCTTAAGTTTGCACTTATCTCAGATGCACTGCTGATCTTCCAACTCCCAACTATTTTAAAGATCAGAGTTCAGATCTGACAGTTTCATTACACCATTTGTAAAAATTCTGCACTATGTTTCTCTCCTCAGTTTCTTTCACTTCTTTCATTTCTAGCAATAGATTTGGTGGCATTTTGAAGACCTTGCTCTACTGGTGTGATACCTAGGAGTTTTCCTTTGCCATCCGTAAGTGCAAATGGTGGGAACTTCTAATATCTGGGTTGAGTTATTAGTGCCGATAATGGGTGAGTAGGCAATTGATAAAAATTATTGTCTGAATATATGCCAACAGTCCAACTTTAAGCATCTTAAACAGAGATAAATAGAATTAGTGAGCATTTTTAGTGTATCCTGAATTTACTTATTCAGTACTACTAATAATTACATTACTTCTTGAATAACAGATAAACATATGCTTAAAACATGTCTTTGGTAAGGCGGCTACTACCAAAGGGCAGATAAGAATTTATCATGACTGCAAATAATGCCATACCATGTAGACCTTTAAGTTATTCTTACAAGTGTCCTACGATGACATATGAAAATATGTACACAAAACTGTCACATTAAAAAATAACAGGGCCAGCACGGTGGCTCACGCCTGTAATCCCAGTACTTTGGGAGGCTGAGGCAGGCAGATCACCTGAGGTCAGGAGTTCAAGACCAGCCTGGCCAACATGATGAAACCTAGTCTTTACCAAAATTACAAAATTAGCGGGGTATGGTGGCGCATGCCTGTAATCCCAGCTACATGGGAGGCTGAAGCAGGAGGATCGCTTGAATCCGGGAGGCGAAGGTTGCAGTGAGCCGAGATTGCGCCATTGCACTCCAGCCTGGGCAAAAAGAGCGAAACTCCGTCTCAGAAAAAACAAAAAACAAAAAACAAAAACAGAAAAAGTATGATAATGAAAAGTCACTGATTAAAGTTATAAATATGCCCAGTATATATGTTAGTTAAAACTACAAAAATACAGCAAAATATGACTAAAATTTAATGCTCACTGCAATTCTTAATAAACGATAAAAAAGATACGATGGCTTGGAGAAGTTACAGAAGAGGATAGATAAGATTTAAGAGGTTCATATATAAAATTATTTACTTGGGGGAGAAAACTAAGTTTCAAAAAAGCAGGACAGCAGCAAAAGATATCTCTGGAGTGAGGAAGGACAAAGGAGCATTGATACCAGAGACAAGCAAGCCTGACGGGAACCTCTAAACAAACAGAGCCTACAGCTTGGGAAAAGTTAGAGCTAAGTGATGTCTGAGATACCATTTAGTACAATCCAGATTTTAAAAAATAAATTAACAGAAAATTATTGGTATTATTCAAAAGATTGGTATTATAGAAAAGATTATACCTATGCATAAATTATACCTTACTAACTTTGAAAAATATTAGTTTACATTCCAATGGTAATACACAATTCCTTGGTCCCCTACTTCAATTTTACTTAATATCTATCAGTCTAAGTTTCTTACATACAAAAGAGAACAGGAAAAATAACATTACATCTGACCCGCAGCACCACCAAAATCTATCAGATGAGAAGATGTGCACCAGATGGAAGGGATGATGTCTTAGAATTGTCCTGGGACTTTTTCAAAATACTGTATATGTATTCAGGTCCCTCTCTGGAGGGTGAAGAATCTGTATTTTTCCCCTAACTTCTTGTTCACCTATATTTTTGCAAAAAAAAATCTACAAAACCAAATTACAGAAAAAAATTAAAGAAAAATGTTTATGAATGGCATCAATTTTACAGATATAAGTTAACTTTCTCGCCTTATCCCAAAAGGAACATGACTTGCATTCTTCACAAACATTGTTAGGTCTGAGAACAACAAAGTAAACATCTCACATCTCTACTTCTAAAACTTGGTGAAGGATTTAGTAGATACAGTAAGAAAATCAACCCAGAATTCAAAAACATATATTCATGTTCCCAATATTTACAAATAAATTATCTTGGCTACCATATTAATTTGCTAGGTTTGCCATAAAAAAGAACCACAGAAATTTATTTTCTCACAATTTTGAAGGCTAGAGGTCTCAAAGCAAGGTGTTGGCAAGATTGTTTTCCTCCGTAGTCTTTCTCCATGACGTGTAGATGGCATCTTCTCCCCGTGTCTTCCCTCTGTATGTGTCTATGTCCTAATTTCCTGTTCTTATAAGGAAACCAGCCATATTGGATTAGGGCTCACCCTCTCTTTAGAGGGGGAAAATGATATGGACAGGAGACAGGGAAATAGTGGGTAGAAGAGGGCAGTTCCTTGGCAAAGGCCCCACCCTCAAGCCTGGATACCTGTGGCCCTAAGTGAGAACAGGCATTCCTGTTTTCATGCCCAAAAAGTTGTCTTTTGACCCACCGCACCCCCTATCCTGTACCCATATAAATCCCAAACCCAGGCTCCAGAAGGAGATGAGCAGACAAACGGCAGAACGTGTCACAGAGAAGGAGCGCCTGAACACCAAGAGTTCAGTGGGGACAATCAGAGAAGAGATCGGCCGCTGGATGGCCAAACTCCAGGGGAAGATAATCTTCCCACTTGGTCCCCTTCCAGCTCCCCATCCATCCTGCTGAGAGCCACTTCTACCACTCAATAAAGCCCCCACATTCACTCTTCAAGTCCTTATTCTTCCTGGACTCTGCACAAGAACCTGGGTGCCAAGAAGGCACTTAAGCCATCTGTGGACGGCAAAACTAAGAGTGCACTGTAGAATGCCCACTTGGGCTTTGGGAGTCACAGGCACCCATCTGTAGACACTATCATGGGGCCAGAGCACAAAGTGCTTGCTCTGGCTCCTGCACCTGCCCATCTGCGAGTTCCCGCTCCCATAAGGGGTTTGAGCTCTCAGTGGCTGAACAGAGAGGCATGCCTCTGTTGCATGTACTGTGAGGGGGGTGAGGCCAGGGAACTCTCCCGTTTCACCCTATCTCCAAATACAGTTACATTCTGAGGTACTGAAGATACTGAAGGTGAGGACTTCAACATATCAATTTTGGGTTGTGGCAGGGGGTAGGGGGTGGACATGACAATTCCTCCCATAACAACCCCCAAGTTACAGAAAGCACATAAATATTTGGAATGCCTAATCCTTCTATCTCCTCCTTATCCAACTGCTCCTTTACGTTTGCTGGTGGTTGATAGCAATAATAAAGGAGAAAATCCTCTGTGCCTTGTATCCTTGAATGACAGTTAATAACATACATTTAGCAATGGTTAGCTAAGCCAAACCATTCATTCCTCCAACCCATGGTTAAAGGCCTTCAAATTACTTCAGCATTCATGGGGTTCTTGTGATGATTAAATGAGTTAACATATAATAAGTGCATAGAACAGTGACTGGCATATAGTAAGCACTATCTATGCACATATTCGCTGTTACTGTAAGTGCTGTATGAGTAGCTCTTAGTAGTATTATTTTTTATCAATATAGATCTTTCAATTTAAGGACTTGCCTCTAGCCTAGCCAAGTGGACGCACATGAAAGAGAATATACCTAGAACACAATGCTTATGAGATTTCTCCTCAACTGGTCCAGGATCTGCATACTCTTTACTTTTCATATTTTCCTATACTGATCCTTTAGCTTTCCAGATATCCATCTGTTCTACTCCTTTCAGTGTAGTGTTCTAATGGTCAATAGCCTCACCTTCATTTTCTGGTCTGTGACTTACTTACTATTCTTTGGCATGACAATTAGTTCAGACTTGATTTCTGCTAATATTTTCCTAACAGGGCTTCTCAACCACTATGACTGTGAACATAGAATTTCTTCTTCAGAAAACTCTACTCATCCTTCAAGATTCTGCCATCCTAAAGCAAAGTTAGATTATTCCCATTCTAAGGTTCAAAGCACTCTGTACATCCTTCTATTATGACACTTAGCACTAAATTGTATTTAGTTGTTTACATGATGTCACCTCCACTACAACACAAGCCTTTCATAAGACTTCAATCTGTTTTTACAGTTACAGAGACTAGAGTGGTACATTTAGACATCGATCTGTTTTTATAGTTACAGAGACCACAGTAAATTTACAAAAACATAGGTTGAACAAATGTTTGCTCAATTAACTACCATCCATCTCCAAATGACTCCTAAATCCTTTCCTCCAGTTTCAACACCAGTGCTGTCTGACAGAACTCTCTGTGATGACAGAAATGTCCTATAGCATTTGTGCTGTCTGATATAACAGCCTCTAGTTGTATGTGGCTATTGAGCACTTGAAATGTGACTAGTAGGGATGAGAAACTGAATCTGTAATTTTATTTAACTCTAGTAGTTTAAATAGTCACATGTGGTTAATGGCTACTGTATTAGACAATATATCTCGGGATGCCCCAAACTTTAAAATTCCATTTTCAACTACTTTCTGGATTTATTCACCTTGATAAACTGCAGGTACCTCCATTTCACTATGTCTAAATTTGAACTAATTATCTGAGTTTCCTGAGAAGTTAAGCTAGGAAATTCATTTCATTTGAATATCCTATCAATTCACAAATGTCTAAATTATACATTAAAGTGCTATTAAATTAACTTGATCATATGAACTTTGCATTAAGCTTTATCTATACTTGGCTAGATCTTGTCAATCTGTAGACTGACAGGCTGATATAACATTTCAGCTGAAGTCAAAATAGAAATTAAGATTTGCAAATAAAAGATAAGAATATTATCAAACTAACGAATTTGAATTTGGATTTTAGTTCCATGATGGATAATAACTCAACCTAAGTAAGAATATATGCTTGATACCAGCATATAGACAAACAACTGAGAAGAGTCAACCAATTGCTCGTTTAATTCATTTATTTGGCAAACAATTAATGGGTAACTACTATATGTTAGGCACTCTTTGAAGAGCTGGGGATACAAGGATGAATCAGTAAGGGAGACAGTTACAGCCAATTAAAATACAAAACAGAATACATGGTATAATATGTGGTAATCAGAAAATTTTTTTTCCTGTTTAGGCTCATTTGTCTTCATAATTGTTTCTACAGAAATAAAGTCATTTTGACAGAAAAGATAAATGAATTTTGAGTCAGATTATTCTACATTCAAATTCTACTCTATTACTTAATAGGTATGCAGCTTTTAATTTAACTGTAAACTGTAGTGACTTTTCTACAAAGGTAAATTCTGTATATTCTGTATGTCAGCATACTGCCTGACATACAGGAGATTCTTAAAATATAATGAGGTATTATCCCACATATACACATTTATAGACAATGTCTGCATATATGTATATACAGTGTATACATATGCAACTAAGGATTTGTGTTCTCATTTATTTCAGAATGGCTTATAAGTAGATCTGTTCTTAATTCTCTTACCAATCCTACTAAAAAGTGTCATTACCTGCACATGGGTGCCATGTAGCTCATTGAACTTATACACATGTGTGGGTTGGCAATAATTAAATCTTTCTTTCTAAAGCCAGTTCTATCAAAAAGTCAGACTTAAAATGTTTTCCACTTACAATTATTTTAAAGAAAAAAATATAAGGACTTTACAGTAATTAGAATATCAGCATCAATTCCAATTTCCAGATGTCATTTGGGTTTGCATGTTTTTTAACCACTGTACCACTCTTTAAAAACTGATATTCAAAATAAGTCCAGGGTATCAAGATTACCCAAGGGGATAATTACAGTATCATAGCTTAAAGTTGTGTTTTACTTTATTGTTAATCAAGCACTTTCATGCTCATTTACTTTGTTCATTTTAGGATTGAGTTTAAAATATGAATTCACTGCTCACATGGCTTATATTTGAGCAATAACATGCACCCCCTTAACATGTAATGCTTCCAGTATAAACTGCCTGCATTTGAAAATAAACTAATTTATCTTTTTAATAAAATTTCTGCCTTATCTTTATGAAGTAAGTTTTATCTTAAATGCTGATAGTCTCTTCACAGAATAAGTTTTCTTACATAAACTGCATCAATATATCAAAAGCAATTCATTATGCTTATTAAAACTCAAAAACACAAGTTTTCATATTGCAATTTAGAATTAAAACAATTAGGACAGTATCTCACAACGTAATAGGATCAAGTCAAAATAAGTTATTGAAGTACCTCTAAGTTTCAGAAGTTTTGTGATGAAAGTTATATGGATAACAAATACTGTTATTTCTAACTCTGCAACAAATTACCCAAATGACAAGTGTGTGTACCTGTATGAAAGAGTCATTTCAATGATACTAACAAATTAACCAAAATATAATTACTTAGAACACTCTTTAAAGGTGAATGATAATTAGTGTCTGTAAAAGAGTTATGTTTCTTTCAGGTGTCTTACAGCAGTCTGTAATAGCTTTCTTCATAATACAGCTTCTGAAAATTTCCAGATTTATAATTTCACAAAGAGTGCAGCTGGACTGATCATTCTTAATAGATTCATAAACTCTGAAATTCTATATTCAAATTATAAAAACTCTAAATATACTAGAAAAACAGCATTTTAAAGACTCCGCATATTTTACCTTCATGGTAATATGCTAAAATATAATTATTTTAGCAATAAATATAAGTTATAAGCTAAAATAACTTCATTTATAAATAATTTACATATTTAAAGTAATAGTTTCCTAACAGTTTTAACTACAAAGTGGTTTTTACAATTTTTCATTTAAATCACAGTATTTTTTCAAAACTAATCTATAACTATTGATTTAATAAAATTATTCTATGGTAAAAGGTTAATAGTTTTAAGTTTACTCTAAAACTGGTAAATCTGTAGCTCTTAATACTCTATCAGCACCTACATTAAAAAACAGTAACATGATCTTACTCCTTGACCAATAAATACAAAAAATTTAAGTATAAATTATAAAATATGACTGATGTATTAAATCATAAACTTGCTTATCTAGTAAAGCCACTTCTAAAACCCACTTTACTTACTGTTGGTTGCATTCTCTGATTTTTTTTCATTCAACTGCTGCTTCCACAGGTACCAACAGCTGCTGTAAGATTCAACAGCTTCTTCTCCAGCAATCTATTCTAATTTGTTTCAATTCACTGAATACTAAGGTAATTTTCACTGGCAAGTTGGACCTCATATTGTCCTTAGTCTACCAAGTCACCCTTTACAAACTCTATTCTGGTGGCATCTTATGTCATTTTATACTTATCCAGTGAAAATACACGTAGAGACAGGATGTTAAAGGTACAACTGATTACCAGTACACTCATCAATACCTACCTCAAACCTCGTTTTCTATCAAATTATCCAATGTACGGTAGGCTTACTGTTGTACATGACTATATCACCATAGCAACCAAATCAACAAAGAAGTGCAGTAGCATCTGCTTCTAGATAATCCAGTATCAGTTAACAAGTCAGAATTTAAGAGTATGCTGTTTACAAATATATTTTATTTTAAAGCCACATTTTTAGTTATTTTGTTTTTGCTCTCATCTTGGAATATGTCAGTATATTTGCGGTTTATATATATGTATATATAAAAGAAACAAGCATCAGTGTACAAATCCCATACACCTAGAAATAACCTATTAATGCTTTAATTCTAAAACTGACTCCACAAATTTAACCCATTTATCAAAGAAAGATTGATAATACTTAGTCTTATAATAATAACTTATTTCTGGATTGTTAATCACATTTAAATTATATAAACATATATTTAAAATGCAAATAGGCTTTAAAAATATTTTTATTGATATAATCTATATGCAATAAAATTTACCCTGTAAAGAGTTATAATTTCATGGTTTTTAGTATACACAGAGAACTGTACAATCACTACCACAGTAAATTTTAGAACATTCTTATCACCTCAAAAAGAAATTTCCATAGACTTTTTTTTTTTTGAGACGGAGTCTCGCTCTGTCGCCCAGGCTGGAGTGCAGTGGCGCGGTCTCGGCTCACTGCAAGCTCCGCCTCCCGGGTTCACGCCATTCTCCTGCCTCAGCCTCCCGAGTAGCTGGGACCACAGGCGCCCTCCACCACACCCGGCTAATTTTTTGTATTTTTAGTAGAGATGGGGTTTCACCCTGTTAGCCAGTCTGTAGACTTTTAAGACTGGCTTCTTTCACTTAGCATAATGTTTTTGAGGTTCATCCACATTGCGGCATATACTGAAGTGCTTCATTCCAGTTTACAGCCAAATAATAATATTCCATTTTACTGATATACCATATTTTGTTTATCCATTTCTCTGTTGATGGACATTTGGAGTGTTTCCACTTTTTGGCTAATATAAATAATGCTGTTCATTTTTTTACATGGACATATGTTTTTGTTTCTCTTGGATATATACCTAGGAGTGAAATTACTGGGTCATAGGGTAACACTATGTTTAACTGTCTTAGGAACTGCCAGGCTATTTCCCAAAGTACATTTACCAGTTTACATTCCCACCAGCAGTGTATGAGGGTTCCAATTTTTCCATATCGTTGCTAACACTTGTTTTTATCTTTTTAATTCTACCCATTATAATGGGTGTGAAGCAGTATCTCATTGTGGTTTTGATTTGCATTTCCCTGATGACTGATGATGTTGTGAATCTTTCATATGCTTATAGTACATGTACATAACTTCTTTGAAGAAATGACTTTTCAAATCTTTTGCCCACCTTTTTATTAGGTTGTCTTTTTAGAAGAAGTAAGAGTTCTTCACACATTCTGAATACAAGCCCCTTATCAGATACAGTTTGCAGATATTTTCTCCAATTTTATGGATTTTTTCCTCCAATTTTGTGGATTTTTGTTTCCTGATAGTAACACAAAACTTACAACACAAAATTATTCAATTTTGATGAAGTATACTGTATCTCATTTTTCTTCTCCTACTTGTGCTTTTTAGTTTTTTATCTAGGAAATAATTCCATAATTCAAGATCACGGAGATTTATGCCTTTTTGTTCTAACGGTCTTACAATTTAGCTCTTATTTTAGGATTTTAATTGATTTTTGAGTTAGTTTTGTAGATGGTATGAAGTATAGGTCCTATTTCATACTTTTACATGTGGATATCTAGTTGTTTCAGCACCATTTGTTGAAATGACCATTCTTTCCCAGCAGAATCATCTAGGCACCTTTGTCAAAACCAAATGACCATAAATGTAAAGAGTTTATTTCAGGACCCTCAATTCTATTCCATTCTTAGGCCAGTACCACACTGTCTTATTACTGTAGCTTTGCAGTAAGTTTTATTTATTTATTTGAGATGGAGTCTCACTCCATTGCTCAGGCTGATCATGCAGTGGTGAGATCTCGGCTCACTGCAACCTCTGCTTCCCGGGTTCAAGCGATTCTCCTGCCTCAGCCTCCCGAGTAGCTGGAATTACAGGTGCACACCACCATGCTAATTTTTGTATTTTTAGTAGAGATGGAGTTTCACCATCTTGGCCAGGCTGGTCTCAAACTTCTGACCTCAAGTGATCTGCTCACTTCAGCCTCCCAAAGTGCTAAGATTACAGGCATGAGCCATTGCACCCAGTCTGCAGTAAGTTTTAAAATGGAGAAACACTGAATTCTCCCACTGTGCTCTTTTTCAAAATTATTTTGGCTATTCTGTGTTTCTTGCATTTCCATACAAATTTTAGGCTCAACTTGTTAATAGCTACAAAGAAGTAAGCTGGGAATTTGGGAGGCAACGTATTGGATATGTATAATTTGGCAGTATTTCACCTTAACAATATTAAGTCTTCTGATCTATGATCATCAGATGCTTTTCCACTTGTTTAAGTCTTCCTTAATTTCTTTCAGTGAGTTTTATGGTTTTCAGTGTATACATCTTATATTTCTTTCATTAAACATTCCTAAGTATTTTATTCTTTTTTATTCTGTTGTAAAAAGTTTTCTTAATTTCATTTTCAGATTGTTCATTGCCCGTATATAGAAATACAATTTATTGTTCTATATTGAACCTATATCCCACAACCTTGCTGAACTTGTTTATTAGTTCCAATAGTTTTTCAGTGGATTCTTTAAGATTTTCTTTTTACAAGATCATGTTCTCTTTGAATAGAGTTTTATTCCTTTTCCAACCTGGAGGCCTTTAATTCCTTTAGTTACTTATTTGCCCAGGCTAGGACTTCCAGTACAACGTTGAATAGAAGTGGTGACAGCAGGACATCCATATCTTGTTTCTCATCTTAGAGGAAAAGCATACTGTTTTTCACCATTCCATACAATGTTAATTGTGTTTTTTTTGCAGATGCCTTTTATGAGGTTGAGGACGTTCCCTTCTATTGCTTGTATACTGAGTGTTTTTATCATGAAAAGTGTTGAATTTTGTCAAATGCTTCTTTTGAGTCTACTGAGATGACCATGTGGTATATTACAATGATTGTTCTATGTATGTTGAACCAACTTCAACATTCCTACTACAAACCCCACTTAGTTGATGTACATAATGAAGTAAAATAGAATTGTATATGTTCATGGACTTGATTTGCTAGTACTTTGTTGAGGATTTTATATCTATATTCATAAGGGATATTGGTCTGTGGTTTTCTTGCAATGTCTCTGTCTGGTTTAGTTTTAGATTTGGTGTTAATTCTCCCTTAAACATTTGGTGGAATTCACCAAAAAAGCCATCTGGGTCTGGACTTTACCTTGGTGACAGTTTTTCTTTGTGGTACCAATTTAATCTCTTTACTTGTTATACGTGTATTCAGATTTTATATTTTTTTCTTGATTCGGTTTTGGTTGTTTTGTGTCTTTCTAGATATTTGTCTAGTTCACTTAGACTATTTGTTGGCATGCAACTGTTCACAGTACTCATTAATAATCCTTTCATTTCTGTAAGATCTGTAGTAATGTCTACTCTCTCATTCTTGATCATTCTTGATTTTAGTCATTTGAGTCTTTTTTGTTCTTGAAAAGCAGCTATGCTCACCACTGCACCACCAACAATTCATTCTTTCTTGTCTACTTAAAAGGGTTGGCAATTTTGTTGATCTTTTCAAAGAGCCAACTTTTGGTATTTTTGATTTTCTATATTTTTCTGTTCTTTATTTCATTTATTTCTACTCTAAGCTTTACTGTTTTCTTCTGCCAGCTCTGGGTTTAGTTTTATCTTCTTTTTATAGCTTTTTAAAGTAAAAGGTTAGATAATTGATTTGAGAGCTTTCTTTTTAAACACAGGCTTTTAAGGGTATACGTATTCCTTTAACCATTACTTCAGCAGTATTTCATAAATTTTAGTATGTTGTATCATGGTTTTCGTTCATACCAAAGTATTTTCTAATTTCCTTTGTGATTTATTCTTTGGCCTACTGGCTTTGTAGAAATATACTCTTTAATTTATACATATTTGTTATTTTCCCAAATTTCTCTGTTATTGATTTCTAATTTCATTTCATTGTGTTTGAAGAAAATACTTTGTATTATTTCTATCTCTTTAAATTTACTGAAGCCTGGGCAACAGAGGGAGACCCTGTCTCTACTAAAAAAAAACTTCAGCCTGGCATGGTGGTGCACATCTGTGGTCCTAGCTATTTGGGAGGTTAAGGTGGGAGGACCACTTGAGCTCAGGAGGCAAAGGCTGCAGTGGGCCATGATTATGTCACTGCACTCCAGCCTGGGTGACAAAGTAAAACCTTGTCTCAAGAAAAAAATTCTTACTATTGAAGCTTGCTAGTTTTATGACCTAGTATATACCCTATAATGGACAATGATCCATGTATACTTGAAAATATTATACATGCTGCTGTTGTTGGGTGGAATGTTCTACAGATGTCTATCAGGTTTACAGTGTCGTTCATACCTTCCATTTCCCTGTTAATATTCTACCTATTGAAGGCTCCAACTATTATTGTTCAATTGTCTATTTCTCCCATCAATTCTGTCAATCATTATTTCAGATATTTGGCAGCTTGATGGTTAGAGGCAGATTTACCCTTTTATCATTATAAAACATCCTTCTTTGTCTCTAGTAACTTTTCTGACTTAAAGTCAATTATTAGTATAGTCATTTCATTTCTCTTTGGGTTACAAGTTCTCTTATTCTATCTTTTACATTTCAACCTATTTGTGTCTTTGATTTCAAGAGTGTCCTGGGCTGGGCACAGTGTGGCTCATGTCTGTAATCTAGCACTTTGGGAAGATGAGGTTGGAGGATCACTTGAAGTCAGGAGTTTGAGACCAGCCTGGGCAACAAGCGAGATTCGGTTTCTACAAGAAATTAAAAAATTAGCTGGGTGTAACTGGATGCACCTGGAGTCCCAGCTACTTAGGAGGCTGAGGTAGGAGAATCACTTGAGCTCAGGGCTACAATGGCACCACTGCACTTCAGCCTGGTGATAGAGCAAGACCCTGTCTCTTAAAAAATAAAGAGTGTCTCTTATAGAGTGCACATAGTTAAATCATGAATTTTTTTTTTTTTAAGACAGAGTCTCACTCTGTTGCCCAGGCTAGAGTACAGTGGCGCAATCTCAGCACACTGCAACCTCTGCCTCCGGGGTTCAAGCGATTCTCCTGCCTCAGCCTCCTGAGTAGCTGGGACTACAGGTGGGTGACACCAGACACCTGGCTAATTTTTGTATTTTTAGTAGACACAGGATTTCGCCATGTTAGTCAGGCTGGTCTCAAACTCCTGACCTCAGGTGATTCACCAATCTTGGCCTTCCAAAGTGCTGGGATTACAAGTGTGAGCCATTGCACCTGAATTTTTATCCATTTGGTCAATAACTATCTTTTCACTGTTATGTTTGATCCATTTAGATGCAATGCACTTAATGATAAGGTAGGATTTGCCTTATCAGTTTGCTATTTTGCTCTGTTTTATGCATGATATTATATCTTTTTTGTTCCTCAATTCCTCCATTTTTGCCTTTTTTATGTTAAATATGTTCTGATGTTCTATTTTAATTCTCCTGTTGTTTCTTTTACAATATTCTTTTGAGTTATTTTTTCTTAGTAGATGCCCTGGGGATTATAATTAACCTCTTAACTCATAATAATGTTGATCCAATTAATTCCAATTGTATGTAAAAAACACTGCTTTTCTAACCTCAGTTCCCTCTCCTATCCTCTGTGCTATAACACTAATTACATTTTTATACCTTATAAGCCAACCAACAGTGTATAATTATTGCTTTCTGCAAATCACTTTTAAATCAGACAGAAAAAAATTTTTTAATACATTTATACTGTATTTACCTGGTTATGTTTACTGGTCCTCTTTATTTCTTCGTATCTACTCAACTGTCTTGTGAACATTCCTACTGAATGTAAGGAGACAGCGTTGGAAAAGCATTCACTAACCATTCCTATCGGTTTGGTGCTGCCATTTCTAACTGTTTTATTAGTATCAACTAGATCATTACTTACCTAGAACCAAGGGTTGTAGAATTTTGAGTTTAAACTCAACGTCCTTTCTTACTCCAAAGTGACTGAGACTGGGGGATCAGAAGATATTGAGTCTAGTCTCAAATCTGCCACTCAGTGTGTCAACTGGCTAACTATGAGCCTTTAGTTTGTCCATCTGTAAAAATGTGAATTGGACTGTTTTTTTCTGTACACTCTTTCAGTTTTGAATTTCCAAAATTTCATCATACTCATTCTTTCTCTAAAAAAAAAACTATCAGGTTTCCCCCTTTACTTTCTATTTCACAGTTGGTATCCTCTGGACTTTATGCTTGGTGGGGTGGATATATAAGCCAATCAATCCTTCCTCTGCTGTCTCCCCACTCCATTGCATTTAACTATATAGTTAACCAAATAATTTTCCTCAAGGATTATTCTCATCTTTTCATTGATCTACTTTAGAAACTTTATTGGCTACTTATATCTTATTACCTCAAATCTAAAACTTAGAATATAACACTCAAAACCTTCTATCGAGGCAGGAAGATCACTTGAGCCCAGGAGTTCAAGACCAGCCTGGGCAACATAGTGAGACTCTGTCTCTATAAAAAAATAACAGAATTAGCTGGGTGTGGTGGCATATGCCTGTAGTTCTAGCTACTCAGGAGGCTGAGGCAGGAGGATCACTTAAGCCCAGGAGACTGAGGCTGCAGTGAGCCATGATCACACCACTGCACTCTGGCCTGGGTGACAGAACAGGACCCTGTCTTAAAAAAACAATAAAACAAAACAAAATGAAACAAAACCTCTTAGCAACTACCCTGTCTGTAATGCCTAATGGCATGTCTTTAATATTTTTATCATATTTTAAACATACAGAAAAGTAGACAGTATTGTATCCTTTACTTTCCAGAATCAACTAGAATTTGTTGATGAATTTTCCTCAGATGCTCTTTTGAAAAAGAAATATAATTTTATTACAGATCATTTTTCCGAACTTGGAGTGTATCATTCTCATTTAGTATTCTTCATACGCATGCTTATATACATCCATTATTAGTATACACTGCTATTTTGTGAAATTTTTATTTTTATTCATTTATATCAGTGACTTCACATCTTACAAATCCCTAACCTGCTATTTTACTCAATACTGTATTTTTGAGATTTATCCATAGTATAGATTCACACAATAAAATACTGGTATATAGTATTCTAGTATTCCATTACATAAATCCTCTCAAATCTTCTCCATTTCCCTACTAGTAAACATTTATACTGTTTCCAGTTCTATCATTATTACAAAATGCAGAGAATAGTTTTGCACATGTGTGCCTTATATATAAGATTTTCTGTAAGAGAAATATTTAGAAGTATATATGTGTTGGATTTGGAAGATACATTTTTTCAGCTTTATTAAATACTGCTATTATCACTCTCCAAATTGACTGTGCCAGCAGTATCTGATGGATCCTATTGCTCCACAAGCCTTACTATACTGTCAGGTTCCTTAACATCTACAATCTCATTAAGGTTTTAATTTGCATTTTTTTTTCTTTAGAACATAACTCCAATCTCCTTTCTTCCCCCAAACTTTTAATAAGTCCAATTAATCACCTCAAGATAGGGTATTTCACATACAGGCCCTTTGTGGCCAACTTTATGACTAATGTTAAATTCTTTCCTTATACAATTAGCACTCATTAGTGTATCAGTTAAGTTTACCAGCTGTTTTAGCTGTAAATGCCAGTTTCTGTATTATATAGGTATATAGGCTATTAAGTGGTCAATAACATGTTTGAGGACACATATAAGACACTGAAATTAATGCTTACTATGCTTACTAGTTAAAGAACAGGTATTTTATTCAGACATTCTAAAGAATTACTTTAGAATGTAATAGATTACTCAGAGTCATGCTGAAATCTTGAAAAAAGAAAATATTAGAATATACATTTTTCAAGTATATCAAGTATTACCAAGTCAATAGTGATGAGAAAAGCTATCTAAATCACTTTTGTTCAAACTGCCATATATTGGTTTATAATGTTATAAACCAGTGTGCACAGGCACACTCATGTGCTAAATTATAAATCCTCAGGAACATAAATTATATCTAGTAGTAGTTACCTTAGTAAATACTTATGAAATGGAATTGTATTTCAATTCCAAAAAAGCAGTATTTGAAAACTAACCTATTTTAAATCTAATGATTTACGGTTTGTCCTACAGCCATGATTCCTCTATCTATCTATGTGGAGCAAGCACAAAAAAGCTATTTAGGAGATAATTTAAGACACTGAAGAAAATAACAGTAGTAGCAACAAAATATTTTTTTCTAATCACTTTTAGAAGCAGAGAGAAAAATAGGCAAAATATGAACTACTACTACTTAAAAATGATTATTGAAAGGAAAAACAACAGTATAAGTGGGTTGGCTAATTTGGGACTCATTAAAACCAATTATTTTTCAGTTCCTAGAGAAAAAGCTTTCGGCTTTTCCCCATTCAGCATGATATTAGTTGTGGGTTTGTCATATATGGCCTTTATTGCATTGAGGTACTTTCCTTCTGTACCTAATTTATTGAGGGTTTTTTTTTAAAATCATGAAGGGATGCTGAATTTATCAAATACTTTTTCTTCATCTAGTGAGAGGTTTTATGGTTCTTGTCCTTCATTATGTTGATGTCATGTATCACACTTACTGATTTACGTATGTTGAACAATTCTTACATTCCTGTGATAAATCTCACTTGATCATGGTGTATTATCTTTTTGATGAATTGTTGGATTCAGTTTGTTACATAGTATTTTGTTGAGGATTTTTGTGTCTATGTCCATCAGGGATATTGGTCTTTAGCTTTCTTTTTCTGTTGTGTCCTTGTACAGTTTCGGTATCAGGGTTATGTTTGCCTCATGGAAATGGTTAGGAACAGTTCTTTCTGCTTTAACTTTTTGGAATAATTTGAGGAAAACTGGTATTAATTATTCTTTAAAGGTTCCATAGAATTCAGCAGTGAGGCCATCTGGTCCTGGACTTTTCTTTCTTGGGAGACATTATTAAAAATTCAATCTCATTACTTGTTATTGGTCCGTTTAGGTTTTCTACTTCTTCTTGTTCCAATTTTGGTTGGTTGAATGTGTCCAGTAATTTATCGATTTCCTCTAGTTTTTCAAATTTATTGACATATAGTTGTTCATAGTAGTCTCTAATAATCCTTTGTATTTCTGTGGTATCCGTTGTGATGTCTCCTTTTAAATTTTTGATTTATTTATTTATCTCTTTTTCTTCTTAGCCTAGCTAATGGCTAGTCAATTTTGTTAATCTTTTCAAGAAACTCACTTTTGGTTTTGTAATCTTTTTTATTTTTATATGAAAGGAGAACGTTATGAGTTGAAAAAGCAGAACTCAATTTCTACTTCAACAACTATCTGTACACTTTTTGACAAAAATCATCTTGCTTTATATTAATCTAATGTAAGGACACTTGCAAAAGTGGGAAACATCTTTGTTTTTTAGTTGAATGCATTTCCCTATTTATACAGTGCTACTTTCAAGTCATTCTTTATTTCCTCCTTGCTTTAGTCCAAACTATATTACTTAAAAGTTAACAATTTCTACAGGATTCTGGGGCACAGGAGTTGACTAACTTTTGAGTCACTCTGAATCAGAGTTTGGAATTTAACTGTAGAATATGTAGGAGTTTAATAGAACATCAATTCTTTTTAGACCAAGAATCCCTCAAAATTCCAGGACCATTATGTTTCATTTCTGTAAGATGTTTATTTTAAGAGTTTGATGATTCTCTTTCATAACAGTTTTAAAAACATATTAAATATATAAAAATATATATTAAGATAGTATAAAAACGCTACAAAATATTTTAGTTTTGTCATATTAGCTTGAATTACATGAAAGTATTTTACTGTCCACTTTTAAAATGAAATAATTTTTCAACTAAATAAAATAATTTGCCCAATTTTTGTTTTATTGGAAATATATATAGTTTAAAAAATGAACAGATGAAATGGTATTGGTCTCAAGTCATTCAATAAGAATACAATTTTATTATTTTGTGCCAAATATAAAAACTAAATTCCAGTCTGCATTCTTTGTAACTCTGTTCCTGACTGATATTTTATGAACCTTTCTTCCCTTTAGACTATCTTAAAATTTACACCCAATTTGTAAATCTGATTTTATCATCTCTTAAAACAAGAACCAGTGCAATATTTTATACACAGACAGAACCTGAATATGTGTGAAGTTAATTTTTTTCCAGGACAACCTAGCTTAATATTTATCATAAATTTTTTAAAATGTGTGCTTACAAAAATGTGATAACTAAGCAAATTTTCAGATCTGAACCTTGAGCATAAGGCTTTTTATGTCTAAAGAAAAGTTAACGGTAATAGCACTAGAATTTTTCAAAAATATTTGATTTTCTAAGGAAATGTCACAGAAAGTGGCATGGTGCAGACGTGTGGGAGAAAAAAACTAATTGAAAAAGGAGAGTAATGTTTAAATTCTAGCCTTTCCAAAGCTTCTAAGAATGAGAAATTTAGCAAACCACTATTTATTTGCCAGGCAAAGCTGCATAGCAGTTAGAAGATGACTAATTTGGGCCATGAAATCTATGATTAATGGTTTGTATTAGAATTCTGAGGCACAAAATTATTGTCACAAAAGTATAAGCTTTATTTCAGTCTCAGTAGCCTCATTCCTAAGGTTTATGTTTATAGCTTAGCATGGAAGCTATCAGATTTTTAAATGCATATATTTACAAATTTGTAACTTTTTGAACTTAAAAATGTGAGCACTTTTTAAAGTTTTTACATTAGATTTTTGGCTATTGGTGAAAGTTTTCCTTCTTATTTCCATTTAAACCAAACACAACTTCCATGGAGATAAAAGTTTAACCCAAAGTAACATTATGTAAAAGCTAATCTCAGAAACAAACATGTAGAGCTTTGTTTTTAGGTTTGTTTTAGGTAATGTAAAAAGGGGGAAGCACCTTTACTCTACTACCTAGCTCTGCTTTTTCTGGTTTGTCTTTAGTTTCCTCTGGACAAAATGCTCTGAATGTTTTTGAGACAATTCTCGATGAAGGGTCTAACCAAAGGCCTGCTATGCATGAAAGCTTAACATGTATCAACAAAAATGATGAGGGCCCTCAAGTAAGGAAACTTACTGACCTGTGAAATGGTTTATTCATTGTAAATTTCTGAAGTAAGGGTCTGAGTCAGATGAAAAAAATACCTTTTTACAATTGTTCACCCAGCAGGCTTTGAACATAGTTTTATTCTATATATACAGTCATATGATGAAGAAATTTATTCATTGTACATGTTGGTAAATAATAAACACTGTTTTCCAAAGTTTAGATATCAATATAAAAATATAAAATGACACTAGAAAAAATGTTGTATTACATAGAGAACTGGCCCTACTCTGATCATACTGCATTTTTATTCCATAAAAACTCCATTTTGGAAGATATCATTAGGAATGACACAGTGTTAACCTCCAAAAATCCATTGCTCCATAACAGCAGTGAGAACACAGGCGTAAATCGTCAAAACTAATTTTTTTTGGAACTCTAGAAATTAACCAAAGGCTTGCAACAGTATGTTCAGGGAAAACAGCTAGATCCTGATATGGACAGTGAGCTTTGTGTCATTTTAATTTGCTCTATTCCCTACTCTGTCTCCCCAGCTTCACAAAAGCCTTGGAAAAGTCTCAGAATCACAGCAGCAGTAAAAACCAGCAGACTAGCAGCCACTGGAAGGGAAAGAATGGTTTGGAATACCGTAAAAGTCTCATCTCCAAAAGAACTGTCATATTTGACCTGTCTGGCAGTTCCCTGGAAACACCCAGTCCCAGGGCTTGTCTTGATTTGTCCTAACTCAGAGCTCCCTTATTGCAAATAGCTTTCCCCCTGGGGAGCATGTGTAAAACAATCAGTGGCAGTTGGTTTAACATCACAGTTGGCTTGTGGTGAGGATAACAATAGGGAAAACAAGAAGCTAACCAAAAACTTGGACAGGAAAAGCTGCAGAATAAGATGTTCATATAGGGGCTTTGAAAAGCTCTAGTGTGTTCAAGTTAAGGTGTAGTATTATATAAACCTACTTTCATTTTGGCAGTATATATTAATCATTTTAATACCAGTTACATAGGCCTACTCACTAGGGTGTTATATCAGAAATTACTAACATTTTTTTCCCATATCAAATTGAAATTCTCTCAGTATGAATAAACTCATTAATTCCTATGGCTTCACTACCCTGACTATTCTGATAATTTCTACATCTCTGGTTCGAATCAGATCTTTTTCCTGAAATTTAATCCATTAATTTACTATTTTTATAGTGATTAAGACCATGATAAATGATTAGGAATTTTAAAGACTTAGCTTTGAATCCTGGTTTTTGCCTTTCAGAAGCTATGTTACTTAACCTAGTAACAAGTTAACACCTTTCTGATTCTTAGTTTCTATAAAATGGAAATATTAAAGCTACTTCTAAGAACTGTTATGAAGATTAAATGAAATAATGCATTACTTGCCTCAGTGTCTGAACACAGGGTAAGGGCTCAAACAGTAGCTGCTATTATAACCCCCCAACACTGATGGCAAGTTTGGCCATGTGCCTTGTGTTGGTCCATAAAATGGAATGGAGATCAGCAAGTAGTTCACCAGGATACCAGCAACATTCTATTTAGGGGCTGGGTCTCAGGTGAAGACTATGTGGCGCACAGCCACAGCAAACCTGTGAAGGACGTGCAGTATGAGCAATAAACCTTTTGGTAAACTACAGAGATTAAGAAGCTGTTTGTTACCACAAAATAATCTTGCCTATTCTGACTGATAAGACTTAACTACTTAGTAAATGGTCTTGCTATCCACTTACATTTTCAAAGAAAATCCTGGGGAAATTTTTATCCCCTCTCTTAGTTTTGTTCTATGACTTGTTCACCAATTTTACCTCCTTAATATTTCTCAAATCGTGTATCATTAACATGACCTTAATTCAGGTTTTTTTAATCTGATATTACAATATTTTCCTTCCCTAGCTTCACTCTCCTTAAACATTTTAATCTGCATTAATAACATCAATAAATTTTATTTTAAATGCCTCAAATGCCTGATCATAAGTGCTTAAATAGTTCTTATTAAATTTATTTAAAAACTCAACTTTTCTTAACCATTTTAATACCACTTACATAACAAATATACACAGATTACCTCAGTATTATAAAAATGTACTTCCAAACTTAAGATGAAGTATTCACAGTATGCATCTGATTTGCTTCTTCATTTCTATACTTCAGTCAAAGAAACTTAGGTTCAGAAGATTTCACTGAACAAGTTATACCAAATGAGGAAGAAACAATTTTAAACAAACACAAATTTAACCAAAGAATAAGAAACAAAAGGGTAAACTCCACAGTTTAGTTCAGCACATCTTTGATACCAACTCAGGATATTAGGGAAATGCCCATTATAGGACAGTCTCACTCATGAACACAGACTAAAAATAAAATCCAAGAAAAAATATTAGCATACCCCAATCCAGCAATACATTAAAAGAACAATGTATCACAATGAAATTGGGTTTAGCCAGAAATATACTGTCAGTTAAACATTGAAAAATTAATGTAGGGGAGGAGCCAAGATGGCCGAATAGGAACAGCTCCGGTCTACAGCTCCCAGAGAGAGCGACGCAGAAGATGGGTGATTTCTGCATTTCCATCTGAGGTACCGGGTTCATCTCACTAGGGAGTGCCAGACAGTGGGCGCAGGTCAGTGGGTGCGCGCACCCTGCGTGAGCCGAAGCAGGGCGAGGCATTGCCTCACTCCGGAAGCACAAGGGGTCAGGGAGTTCCCTTTCCTAGTCAAAGAAAGGGGTGACAGACGGCACCTGGAAAATTGGGTCACTCCCACCCGCCTACTGCGCTTTTCCGACGGGCTTAAAAAACGGCGCACCAGAAGATTATATCCCGCACCTAGCTCAGAGGGTCCTACGCCCACGGAGTCTCGCTGATTGCTAGCACAGCAGTCTGAGATCAAACTGCAAGGCAGCAGCGAGGCTGGGGGAGGGGCGCCCGCCATTGCCCAGGCTTGCTCAGGTAAACAAAGCAGCCCAGAAGCTCGAACTGGGTGGAGCCCACCACAGCTCCAGGAGGCCTGCCTGCCGCTGTAGGCTCCACCTCTGGGGGCAGGGCACAGACAAACAAAAAGACAGCAGTAACCTCTGCAGACTTAAATGTCCCTGTCTGACAGCTTTGAAGAGAGCAGTGGTTCTCCCAGCACGCAGCTGGAGATCTGAGAACGGGCAGACTGCCTCCTCAAGTGGGTCCCTGACCCCTGACCCCCCAAGCAGCCCAACTGGGAGGCACCCCCAGCAGGGGCAGACTGACACCTCACACGGCCGGGTACTCCAACAGACCTGCAGCTGAGGGTCCTGTCTGTTAGAAGGAAAACTAACAAACAGAAAGGACATCCACACCAAAAACCCATCTGTACATCACCATCATCAAAGACCAAAAGTAGATAAAACCACAAAGATGGGGAAAGAACAGAGCAGAAAAACTGGAAACTCTAAAAAGCAGAGCACCTCTCCTCCTCCAAAGGAATGCAGTTCCTCACCAGCAAGGGAACAAAGCTGGACAGAGAATGACTTTGACGAGCTGAGAGAAGAAGGCTTCAGACGATCAAATTATTCCGAGCTACGGGAGGAAATTCAAACCAAAGGCAAAGAAGTTGAAAACTTTGAAAAAAGTTTAGAATAATGTATAACTAGAATAACCAATACAGAGAAGTGCTTAAAGGAGCTGATGGAGCTGAAAACCAACGCTCGAGAACTACGTGAAGAATGCAGAAGCCTCAGGAGCCGATGCGATCAACTGGAAGAAAGGGTATCAGCGATGGAAGATGAAGTGAATGAAATGAAGCGAGAAGGGAAGTTTAGAGAAAAAAGAATAAAAAGAAACGAATAAAGCCTCCAAGAAATATGCGACTATGTGAAAAGACCAAATCTACGTCTGATTGGTGTACCTGAAAGTGACGGGGAGAATAGAACCAAGTTGGAAAACACTCTGCAGGATATTATCCAGGAGAACTTCCCCAATCTAGCAAGACAGGCCAACGTTCAGATTCAGGAAATACAGAGAACGCCACAAAGATACTCCTCGAGAAGAGCAACTCCAAGACACATAATTGTCAGATTCACCAAAGTTGAAATGAAGGAAAAAATGTTAAGGGCAGCCAGAGAGAAGGGTCGGGTTACCCAAAAAGGGAAGCCCATCAGACTACCAGCGGATCTCTCGGCAGAAACTCTACAAGCCAGAAGAGAGTAGGGGCCAATATCCAACATTCTTAAAGAAAAGAATTTTCAACCCAGAATTTCATATCCAGCCAAACTAAGCTTCGTAAGTGAAGGAGAAATAAAATACTTTACAGACAAGCAAATGCTGAGAGATTTTGTCACCACCAGGCCTGCCCTAAAAGAGCTCCTGAAGGAAGCGCTAAACATGGAAAGGAACAACCAGGACCAGCTGCTGCAAAATCATGCCAAAATGTAAAGACCATCGAGAATAGGAAGAAACTGCATGAACTAATGAGCAAAATAACCAGCTAACATCATAATGACAGGATCAAATTCACACATAACAATATTAACTTTAAATGTAAATGGACTAAATGCTCCAACTAAAAGACACAGACTGGCAAATTTGATAAAAAGTCAGGACCCATCAGTGTGCTGTATTCAGGAAACCCATCTCATGTGCAGAGACACACATAGGCTCAAAATAAAAGGATGGAGGAAGATCTACCAAGCAAATGGAAAACAAAAAAAGGCAGGGGTTGCAATCCTAGTATCTAATAAAACGACTTTAAACCAACAAAGATCAAAAGAGACAAAGAAGGCCATTACATAATGGTAAAGGGATCAATTCAACAAGAAGAGCTAACTATCCTAAATATATGTGCACTCAATACAGGAGCACCAAGACTCATAAAGCAAGTCCTGAGTGACCTACAAAGAGACTTAGACTCCCACACATTAATAATGGGAGACTTTAACACCCCACTGTCAACATTAGACAGATCAACGAGACAGAAAGTCAGCAAGGATACCCAGGAATTGAACTCAGCTCTGCACCAAGCAGACCTAATAGACATCTGCAGAACTCTCCACCCCAAATCAACAGAATATACATTTTTTTCAGCACCACACCACACCTATTCCAAAATTGACCACATACTTGGAAGTAAAGCTCTCCTCAGCAAATGTAAAAGAACAGACATTATAACAAACTATCTCTCAGACCACAGTGCAATCAAACTAGAACTCAGGATTAAGAATCTCACTCAAAACCGCTCAACTACATGGAAACTGAACAACCTGCTCCTGAATGACTACTGGGTACATAACGAAATGAAGGCAGAAATAAAGATGTTCTTTGAAACCAACGAGAACAAAGACGCAACATACCAGAATCTCTGGGACGCATTCAAAGCAGTGTGTAGAGGGAAATTTATAGCACTAAATGCCCACAAGAGGAAGCAGGAAAGATCCAAAATTGACACCCTAACATCACAATTAAAAGAATTAGAAAAGCAAGAGCAAACACATTCAAAAGCTAGCAGAAGGCAAGAAATAACTAAAATCAGAGCAGAACTGAAGGAAATAGAGACACACAAAACCCTTCAAAAAATTAATGAATCCAGGAGCTGGTTTTTTGAAAGGATCAACAAGATTGATAGACCACTAGCAAGACTAATAAAGAAAAAAAGAGAGAAGAATCAAATAGATACAATAAAAAATGATAAAGGGGATATCACCAGATCCCACAGAAATACAAACTACCATCAGAGAATACTACAAACACCTCTACGCAAATAAACTAGAAAATCTAGAAGAAATGGATACATTCCTCGACACATACACTCTCCCAAGACTAAACCAGGAAGAAGTTGAATCTCTGAATAGACCAATAACAGGAGCTGAAATTGTGGCAATAATCAATAGCTTACCAACCAAAAAGAGTCCAGGACCAGATGGATTCACAGCTGAATTCTACCAGAGATAGAAGGAGGAACTGGTACCATTCCTTCTGAAACTATTCCAATCAACAGAAAAAGAGGGAATCCTCCCTAACTCATCTTATGAGGCCAGCATCATCCTGATACCAAAGCCAGGCAGAGACACAACAAAAAAAGAGAATTTTAGACCAATGTCCTTGATGAACATTGATGCAAAAATCCTCAATAAAATACTGGCAAACCGAATCCAGCAGCACATCAAAAAGCTTATCCACCATGATCAAGTGGGCTTCATCCCTGGGATGCAAGGCTGGTTCAATATACGCAAATCAATAAATGTAATCCAGCATATAAACAGAACCAAAGACAAAAACCACATGATTATCTCAATAGATGCAGAAAAGGCCTTTGACAAAATTCAACAACGCTTCATGCTAAAAACTCTCAATAAATTAGGTATTGATGGGACGTATTTCAAAATAATAAGAGCTATCTATGACAAACCCACAGCCAATATCATACTGAATGGGCAAAAACTGGAAGCATTCCCTTTGAAAACTGGCACAAGACAGGGATGCCCTCCTCTCTCACCACTCCTATTCAACATAGTGTTGGAAGTTCTGGCCAGGGCAATTAGGCAGGAGAAGGAAATAAAGGGTATTCAATTAGGAAAAGAGGAAGTCAAATTGTCCCCGTTTGCAGACGACATGATTGTATATCGAGAAAACCCCACTGTCTCAGCCCAAAATCTTCTTAAGCTGATAAGCAACTTCAGCAAAGTCTCAGGATACAAAATCAATGTACAAAAATCACAAGCATCCTTATACACCAACAACAGACAAACAGAGAGCCAAATCATGAGTGAACTCCCATTCACTATTGCTTCAAAGAGAATAAAATACCTAGGAATCCAACTTACAAGGGATGTGAAGGACCTCTTCAAGGAGAACTACAAACCATTGCTCAAGGAGATAAAAGAGGATACAAACAAATGGAAGAACATTCCATGCTAATGGGTAGGAAGAATCAGTATCGTGAAAATGGCCATACTGCCCAAGGTAATTTACAGATTCAATGCCATCCCCATCAAGCTACCAATGACTTTCTTCACAGAATTGGAAAAAACTACTTTAAAGTTCATATGGAACCTAAAAAGAGACCGCATCGCCAAGTCAATCCTAAGCCAAAAGAACAAAGCTGGAGGCATCACGCTACCTGACTTCAAACTATACTACAAGGCCACAGTAACCAAAACAGCATGGTACTGGTACCAAAACAGAGATATAGATCAATGGAACAGAACAGAGCCCTCAGAAATAACGCCACATATCTACAACTATCTGATCTTTGACAAACCTGAGAAAAACAAGCAATGGGGAAAGGATTCCCTATTTAATAAATGGTGCTGGGAAAACTGGCTAGCCATATGTAGAAAGCTGAAACTGGATCCCTTCCTTACACCTTATACAAAAATCAATTCAAGATGGATTAAAGACTTAAACGTTAGACCTAAAACCATAAAAACCCTAGAAGAAAACCTAGGCATTACCATTCAGGACATAGGCATGGGCAAGGACTTCATGTCTAAAACACCAAAAGCAATGGCAACAAAAGCCAAAATTGAGAAATGGGATCTAATGAAACTAAAGAGCTTCTGCACAGCAAAAGAAACTACCATCAGAGTGAACAGGCAACCTACAAAATGGGAGAAAATTTTCACAACCTACTCATCTGACAAAGGGCTAATATCCAGAATCTACAATGAACTCAAACAAATTTACAAGAAAAAAACAAACAACCCCATCAAAAAGTGGGTGAAGGACATGAACAGACACTTCTCAAAAGAAGACATTTATGCAGCCAAAAAACACATGAAAAAATGCTCACCATCACTGGCCATCAGAGAAATGCAAATCAAAACCACAATGAGATACCATCTCACACCAGTTAGAATGGCAATCATTAAAAAGTCAGGAAACAACAGGTGCTGGAGAGGATGTGGAGAAATAGGAACACTTTTACACTGTTGGTGGGACTGTAAACTAGTTCAACCATTGTGGAAGTCAGTGTGGCGATTCCTCAGGGATCTAGAAGTAGAAATACCATTTGACCCAGCCATCCCATTACTGGGTATATACCCAAAGGACTATAAATCATGCTGCTATAAAGACACATGCACACGTATGTTTACTGCGGCATTATTCACAATAGCAAAGACTTGGAACCAACCCAAATGTCCAACAATGATAGACTGGATTAAGAAAATGTGGCACATATACACCATGGAATACTATGCAGCTATAAAAAATGATGAGTTCATGTCCTTTGTGGGGACATGGATGAAATTGGAAATCATCATTCTCAGTAAACTACTGCAAGAACAAAAAACCAAACACCACATATTCTCACTCATAGGTGGGAATTGAACAAAGAGAACACATGGACACAGGAAGGGGAACATCACACTCTGGGGACTGTTGTGGGGTGGGGGGAGGGGGGAGGGATAGCATTGGGAGATATACCTAATGATAGATGACGAGTTAGTGGGTGCAGCGCACCAGCATGGCACATATGTACATGTATACATGTATACACATGTACATGTATACATGTATACACGTGTACACATGTATACACGTGTACATCTATACTTGCATACACATGTACATGTATACACGTGTACATATGTATACACATGTACACGTATATACATGTATACACGTGTACATATGTATACGCATGTACATGTATATACATGTATACACGTGTACATATGTATACACATGTACATGTATACATATGTAACTAACCTGCACATTGTGCACATGTACCCTAAAACTTAAAGTATAATAATAAAATTAATGTAAATTATGACATCAAAATTTGAAGGAAAAATATATCATTATCTTAGAAATGTTGAAAATATGAGACTGGGTCTCACTCTGTTGCCCAGACTGGAACACAGTTGCATAATCACAGCTTATTGCAGACTCAACCCCCCAGGCTCAAGTGATCCTCCCATCTCAGCCTCCTGAGTAGCTGGTACTACAGGTGTGTGCCACCACACCTGGCTAATTTTATTTTTAGTATATATGAAGTCTTACTATATGTTGCACAGGCTGGTCTCCAACTCCTGTGTTCAAGCAATCTGCCTGCCTCAGCCTCCCAAAATGCTGGGATTACTGGCGTCAGCCACTGCACCTGGCTTACCCTTTTAGATCTTAGAAAGAATATACATAAAAATGTATAATAAACATCATGCTTAATAATATGCTGAAAATACTCTCTTTGAGACTAAGAACAAGTCTCAAAATGAGTAAGAGTATAGCAAGGTTGCTGGATATTGAAGCAATATACAAAAATAAACTGTATTTCTAACTCACCAGGAACAGAAAATGATACACACACACACACACACACACACACACACACACATTTATAATTGCATATAAAAACCCAAGTGCCCAGGAATAAATTTAACAAAAGATAATCAAGACCTTTATGGGAAAAATTATAAAACTTCACTGTGACATTAAAAACCTACATAAATGCATGAATACACCAACTTCAACAATTGAAAAATTCAATATTGTAAAGATGCCACCAATTCTTCCCTCAATCAATCTATAGATTCAAGGCAATCTAAATCAAACTCAGCAGGTGTTGTGTGTGTGTGCATGTGTGTGTGTGTATTGATAAGCTAATTCTAAAATTTATATGTAAATGTAAAGGCCCAAGAATACCAAGACCTTCTCAAAGAATAAGGTGGGATGGTTTGCTTACCAGATACCAAGACTTGGTGTATTCTTGGCACAGGGATAATAAAACAGATCAATGAAAGAGAATTAAAAATCCATAAATACACTTTGGGAGGTGGAGGCGGGCAGATCACGAGGTCAGGAGATCAAGACCATCCTGGCTAACACAGTGAAACCCCATCTCTACTAAAAATACAAAAAATTAGCCGGGCATGGTGGCAGGCGCCTGTAGTCCCAGCTACTTGAGAGGCTGAGGCAGGAGAATGGCATGAACCCATGGCGGAGCTTGCAGCAAGCCGAGATCGCGCCACTGCACTCCAACCTGCGTGACAGAGCAAGACTCCGTCTCAAAAAAAAAAATCCATAAATAACCCTACAAATATGTGACAGATATTTGATCATATCTGTAACAATGTATCATAGATACATGACAAAAGTATCATTGTGGAGCAACAGGAAAACAACAGTTTTTTCAATAAACAGTGCTGAAATAATTAAGTTATACATACATGGAAAAACAGTCAAATTGGACCTATGCTTGATACAGTTCACAAAAATCAACTCCAGTAGATTTTGGAATAAAATGTTCAACGCGAAAGTATAGTTTTTAGAATATATTTTTAGAAATATTTTCATTGCCTCAGTATAGGGAATTCCTGTTCATAAATACCTTAAACATTTTTTTTGAGACACGGTCTTGCTCTGTTGCCCTGGCCAGAGTACAGTGGCATAATCATGACTTGCTGTAGCCTTGACCTCCTGGGCTTAAGTGATTCTCCCACCTCAGCCTCCTGAGTAGCTGGGACTATAGGCATATACTACCACACTCAGCTAAATTTTAAATTTTTTTGTAGAGAGAGAAGAAACACAACACTAACTCTAGAAGAAAAGAACTGGTAAATCTGACCATATTAAAATTAAAGACTGTCCATCAAAAGATACCAAAGATGCCAGCCGCCGGTGGCTCACGCATGTAATCCCAGCACTTTGGGGGACCGAGGTGGGTGGATCACTTGAGGTCAGGAGTTCGAGATCAGCTTGGCCAACATGGCAAAACCCCATCTCTACTAAAAATACAAAAATTAGCCTGGTGTGGTGGTGCACGCCTGTGATCTCCGCCACTTGGGAGGCTGAGGCAGGAGAATCACTTGAACCTGGGAGGCGGAGGTTGCAGTGAGCCGAGATCACGCCACTGCACTCCAGCCTGGGTGACAGAGCGAGACCCTGTCTCAAAAAAAAAAAGAAAGACATCAAAGAGAGTGAAAAGACAACCAGAACAGGGGAACAGGAGAGAATATTCACTACACTTATGACTGACTAAGAACTTTTGGCCAGAATATATATTAACAGTTTGATTAACAGTTTGATAAATCAAAGAAAAAAAGCATTCTTCATAATAATCCCAAACTAGAAACCCCCAAGATGGTCATCAAGAAGAGAACAGATAAATGAATACATTGAGTTATATTCACACATAATAGAATCTGATACTGAAAACTAAAAAGAACAAATTTCAACAACAGTAAGGAGGAATCTTTAAAACAATATTGAATAAGACCAGCAAGTCACAAAAGAATAGTTAAACCAAGTTTAATTTATGTAAATATCAAGAATTGGCAAAACTACAGTATTGTTGTATAGTGAAGTATATATAGATAAAACTACAGAGAAAAGTCAGTAAGCAATTATCATAAAAGTCAGGATAGTGGTAACCTTGAAGGAGAGAGGGTGTTATGATGTGGAAGAAACATACAAGCAATTTCTAGGGTATTGGCAGTATTATATCTCTTAGTGTGGCTTGTAGTTACAAGATTTATGCCTTATAATCATATGCTATATTTCATGCTTATTTTACGTACTTTTCTATAAATATATGTTATACTTCATGATTTAAAACAGGTTTTAAAAAGCTGAGGGCACATTCTGTGTTTTCTTAGATTCTTTATTTGTCCGTTGGCATCCATTCATCACAGGGCCAATTATATTAACCCTATTTTCTTATTTTCTGTATTCCTGATGTTCTGGCACCTGTGGCCTCACTTGCTGGGGAGAGATGGCCCCTTGTAGGGATAGCCAATTCTTACAGATAACAAAAGGCTTGGCCAGAGGCATACTTCTTATATGCAAACCATCCAATCCCAAGTCTATAGTGCCAACCACCTTATCTAACTTTTACACACCAAGCCAATATTTACCCTACCCTAAGCCATCCCAGGCCAGGTACCAGGCTACCAGGGATCACCCTTACAGCCCAAAGATGGTCAGAATTATTAAAACTAGCCAATCCAACACTATTTATTTCACCTTGCCTTTCCTGTGAAAACCCCAACAAAAGGTTTGGTCCAGGCTTTCTCCTCATGCCTTCTTCTGCCTCCTGACCAGAACATGCTGCTTCTCCTTTGGCCCTACCTGTATGACATGATACGTCCCCTTCTTTGGGAAATTTAAGTAATAAAAATCTTCTTTCAATGGCATTAGCCTCTTTGTGCCATCTCTTAAGTTACTTCCGTAAATTAAAATCCCATGGGTACAAATGAGACGGGAAGTTATAAAAATTATAATTTTAAGAGATTAATGCAATCAAGAAGGTACTAATAAAGACTGTATAATAGGCAGGCTAAGTTTTTAAAGGTCTTAACTGAAACTTTAAATGTATTCAATCCTTTTGGAAGGTAAGTAAGTAGAAATTAAGAGAAGACAAATTAGTAAACTGCTAAACCACACAAGAAACTAAAACATCTGAAATCTTCTTTAGATGGTGGCACTAGAGAACAGAACTGAGCATTCCACTTTTGCTTGAAGCTTATGTTCTATAAAACTGGTTTGGAGGTTCTAACAGGGCACACACATTCATGCAGGCTTTCCTTCTGCTATCAGGAAAAGATATCTCAAGTCAATCATGTGACAAAGAATGTACAATGGTACAGCCACCTTAGAAGACAGTTTGGTAGTTTCTCACAAAACTAAACACAGCCCTACCGCACAATCTAGCAATCATGTTCCTAGGTATTTATCCACGTGAATTAAAACTTATGTACACTCAAAAATCTGCACATGAATGTTTAAAGCAGCTTTATTTATAACAGCCTAAAGCTGGAAGTGACCAAGATGTCCTTCAACAGATGAATGAATAAACAAACTGGTCCATCTATACAATGAAGTATTATTCAATAATGAAAAAGAAATGAGCTATTAAGCCGTGGAAAGAAATTACCTACACCATACTGCTAAGTGGGAGAAGCCAGTCTGAAAGGGCTACATACTGTATTGCATTCTTAAAAATACAAAACTATAGTAGAGAGATAGTAAAAAGATCAGTGGTTGCCAAGGATTTGGGGGGAGTAAAGGAAGAATGAAAAGGTGAAGCACGGGATTTTTAGGGCGGTGAAATTATTCTGTATGATACTGTAATGATATATGACATTACCCATCTGTTAAGACCTGAAGAACTGTTGTACAACACTAAGAGTGAACCCTATGGACCTTACTTAATAATAACGCATCAATACTGGTTCATTAATTGTAACAAATATATCACACTAATAAATGAAGAAACTGTGGAGAAGAGGTGGTATGTGAGAACTTTGTACTGTCTGCTCAATTTTTCTTATAAGCCTAAAACTGCTCTAAAAATAAAATCTATTTTAATAATGAAAAAGGGAGGCAGATTCCATAACCACAAAAAAAGGTTCATAAGCTGCTTGTCAAAATGAATAATAAATGACTATTACAGCCTCCCTAAAGGCAACACTAGCAGTGATATCAGGAGCAATTCCCTCTATTATGATTCACAAGCCAAAGACCCACTGCGTGTAATATGATACAGTAGGAAATGTTTACTGTACTAAACCAGAAAATATTAATGAGGAGACAGATAATCTTAATAGCCAACTATAAGAAAATTAATTTGATCCCAAGAGTAGAAGAGAAATCATTTCATATAGCATAATATTCTGAAGAAAAGTCAAGACAAGGGACAAAATATGTCGTCTTGAATTTTTAACATCATGCTTGTGCACACTTCCATCTGTCAGGAACAGTTTTTTAGTCTGTGGTTAAACAGGCATCAACCAAGTTGTGTCATATCTCCATAGGTAAGCTATAACTTGGCGTATCAATAAGTTCTTGTGTTAAGACAAAGAAATGTCTGCTGTCAAGTTTATTGCGCTCCCACCTCTAATTATTATCTGCTTTGTATATAGTCCCTTACATTCTATCATAGCTATTGGTTCACTCTTTACACTTCATATGCATCCTTCATAACTATCTCCACGTTTTCTGATCCACTGCTTATTATAACTATCTCTATTTATTGAAATCCTGACTGGGATATCTAAAGTTTCTTCAGTCTTTTAAATATTTATTGAGTGCTTTACTTAGGATTCGGCAAACATTTACTGAGTTCCTTCAGGCTCATTTCACCCACATAGCTATAACTACTTTAAGATATTATTACCTCCATTTTCTAGAGAAGCAAACATACTCATAGAAGTTAAATAACTTGTCTTCGGCAACCAAAATCAAATCCAGATCTATCAGGCCAGTCCAGTGTTTTCTTCCACTCGTGTTTAGCTCTCTCCCTACCGAACTACACGCAACCTGCTAGTTAGAATTCAAGGCTTTACTCTACACTTCCTGAAATCTGTTTGTTTTTAAACTCTACCTAAAAACCTGTCCCTAGACCTCCTAACTCCACCTGCTCCTTTAAATCTTGCTAGTAGGTTCTTCTATTCCCAGATCCTTTCTCTATAGCCATCTACACCATTACTGTTACATGATAGCCATGGTGCCTTCAAGATTTCAAGAAAATTCTGCAATTTCCTTCTGGGGGAAGGAGAGAAAAGTCTTGAGATGGCATCATGGAGTTATTTCAGCCTGCTGTCTTCCCCTTAACAGAATATGCAACTCTATCAATGTACTGTAATTAACTGCTTAATAGATTCTTTTATACATTAGATTATCAACAAGTTGAAACTAGTGACTGGCCTGAGGCAACAAATGATAACTGAAGACACTTGGACAACCTCAAAAAGTAAATGAATACCTGCCACATCTACTATTTTTGTGAGTAGAAAATCTTAACAGACTTAAATTTGACCATGAAAAGCAAGTTTGTGGAATGAAATTGCTGGGATAAGAGCACGTAAAAAATTAAAACCAGGACACAACACTTTCTGCCATGTTTACACAGAACAGAAAAATTTAGAACCCAAGCCAATTGCTACTAATTTTTCAATAGTAGCCCTTTATCTTGTCAGCAAATCATAATTGCCTACTATAGATACTAAGTTTATAAAGTAAGAAAATCTGACTTTCTTGTTTTTAAGTTTTCCAAGGAGGCAGTATGAGTAACAGTTAGGAGCACAAGCTTTGTGTGATGCTGAGCAAGTTATTTAAGACTTTCTGAAACTCATTTTGCTTCATCTGCAAAATAAGGGCAGGTGTACCTACCTCATAGAATTGTTGAAAGAATTAAATGAGATCATAAAGCTCTTAGCACAATGTTTATTACATAATGGGCACCTAAACTGTTCCTTCCCTTCCTCATTAACATTTATTATGTTTTTAGTGTTTGTTTCCTCACCTACTGTTAAAATACCTACCATATAAGATAGTTATGAGAATGAAGCACATTGCCTGGCCCATAATAAGTACTTGTGAAAGCTTATTATTCCTATCCCTTTTTAGGATTACTGTGGGAATAGTGAAATCAGTGCAACCACAACATTTTAAATAAAGACCTGGGCTGGGGAAAAAAATCTATCAGCTTTTCAGGGATTGTGTATTTACTTTTGGAAGGGAGAAGAGAATGGGAGGGAAAAGACAACGTTTCATTATTATATAATGTAGGCAAAAATCATAATTTCATAATGATTTGAAATGATTTATAATAATCATTAAGGTACAAGGCTAAACTCAGGGACTAGCACACTATTTGTCTAAAGGAAAACAAAAACAACTTGAATGGCAACTAAATATACACATAAGAAATTTGACCATTAATTAGCAAGATATTTTAAAAGAGACTTCAAAAACAGTCTCATTATTTTTATCATCTTATAAAACTGAACAACATTTTGAATTGGGAATTTAAAACACGAATTAACAGGAACTCACTATTGTGATCTGTTTTAAATTTTGCATAAATACATGTGTATTAGACATAAAGAAATAAACATTTCAGTTTTCTTACCTGTTGTGTTCCATCTGCACTTACAATAGGGGCAGACAAAAGAGAAATATCACTACTTAAGATCTGAGTTGTATCCAGTAGTGGTGGATGTTCTGCCATTATCAATAAGACATTAATATACTGAATAACGCTCCAATTCTGAAAAACAAACATATATAGTCATTTGTAAGTATATCCTTAAAATACAGTAAAACATTGTACATTCAAGATGTTTCATTCTTTAACCTAAAGAGATATTCTTGTCAAAGGAAATTCTAGAATACTCTGTTGACTGCTTTTTTTTCCAATCAATAAGCCATTTAAGGAAATACATTTCTTACAATTCAAATTACTTTGTTTGTCAAAGTAGTCAGTAAGTTTATATGATATATTAAAGCGAATATCAGCAGGCTCTATTTAAATTCTATGTCTGTCTCTCCACCCCTTTCATCTCTATATAATATTTTATTTAATTTAACCACCACTACTTAATCTAAACACTGGGATAGGCACTAAGATACAGTGATTGAGTGAGGCAACTGTCACTAATTTTTTTCTATGGGCAGACAAGGTAATTATGAAGACTCAATCCCCCTCATCACCCTATCTGTCTCTAGGAACTACACAAGAAAAATTATGATTTTTCACTGATTCCTCAGACAAAACACAATGGTAAAAAAATTTGCTCAGGATTAGGGTAAGAACCTTCAAGTTTGAAGTTTCAAGCTCTTATATTACTTACTTATTTTGATTGTATTACTCTTTTCTAAGTGATACCTATTTACAATAAATCAATAATTTCAACAAAAAAACATATATTTACAAATCTTTAACTGTACACACAATATCACATACAAAAAGAAAAGTAAAAGATGATGTAAGCAATATTAGTCTATCATATACAATGTTAACCAATAAAACATCAGCAAATTACATTTCAAGATAAGCAAATTGAGTATAATCATAAATACACTGAATCTATATTGAAAAATAAAATAAACATTTTGGAATGTTTACAGCATTCTGCAATTCAGTAGTGTCAAGAGGGTTAACTTTTATAAGAGATTAAATTCATGTTATTTATTTAAAATCTTGACTGCTGAATCTCACAAGTTGATTTAGATTGAAAATAATTTTTCATGTAGCTATATAACAACTACTATGATGTTTTAAAAATTATTCAGTATTGGTATCTACTTGAAGATTTCATAGTTAATACCACAATAATGTAAAATGAGCCATTTTATATTATTTAATTATCTCATGAAAATGCATATTCTTTAAACATAATGTTTATATATAAAATAATGCAAATCTAACTTCTGGCATAACCTGTATTGCTATACTAAAGTCCAATAAAACCACTAAGTACTTTAAATATTGTCAAATAATGTTGCTCTGTGGAATATACAAAGAATTATGAGAAAGAATAAATGTATTATTTCTCCCACTTGCATATCACAAGAGTTAGTGTAAGAAACATTTCCAGGAAGCTAATTTGGGATTAACAAGATTTTGTAGGTAACTCAATTTTCTTAATAAATTAAAAAAAATAAAAACCACTGAGCCATTTAAATTTTGTCATTTTATTCTATTTGCAATATTCTATGTACTAGGTTTAGCTAAAACTGCAGGCCGCCATTATTATTTAAATTTTAGAATGTAACAATGAAAATACAACCACAGTTTGGTTTCAGGAGATGAACTGGTAATTTTACAAATAGAAATACAGATTTTCTTCTGAATCTTCAAGTTCATTCCAATACTAGTGCTATTAGAGACTGGGTATAGAGCCACATGCTATATTTCAATATTACCATTCCACTTAAGGTATTACCTTTTTAAAATTTTCAACCCATTGGTCAATTTGCCTAAGGTATTATCTTTAATTTTAGTATTTTTAAAACTAGAACACACTAAAGTTTCATTTATAAATTGGTTTATTGTATGGCCATATCTATCACACGCAAAGTAATTGGTTTTATTTAAGCTTGCAGATTCAAAACTTTTACCCTGCAACTCAAATGCTGGCATTTAGAAACCAGACATTCCTTTCTTTCCTTGTGTAGAGAATACTGTCAGCTTCTTCCTTCAATAAATTACTTCTAGTTTTGTTACTACTCACTTTCTACATTCTAGTCTTATCTTCTGACCTCAAATACCCTCTTAGTTTTAGTTATACACTTATTTTTAATTTTTATAATGTAACATTTGATGTATTTTTAAAAAGAATAGAAATAACTTACAGCATGTATTAACATCCATGGAGTAAATTCTTCCCTGCCACAGCCCACTTCAAACTACCAATGATTTAAAATTGACCTGCAAATTCCTGAATTTTAACAACCAACTTTTGTACACAAGTTAAGACAGCTCCAGCATATCACTGTTGATATATCAACATTTATTTATGTAGCAATAATGTGAAATATTAATGTTTGGATCAGTGCTCTATGTAGAAGCTTGTAAAATACATTAAATAAACAGTTGCAGACTCTGGGTGAAAAAAACCTGGACATCTTTGTACTATTCTTGCAACTTTTTTTTTGGTAGGTCTAATATTTTAATTAGTGTCAAATTAAACAATGTTGTTTTAAATGTCAGAGAGGTTGCAGATCTGAATATACAAGGTTAAACCAAAGAAAAGGTTCTAAAAGATAATGCAGAAGAATATCTTCATAACCTTGGGACAGAGAAAGATTTCTTAAACAGGATATAAAATATATTTCTTAAAACATAAACAAAAAAATATACTGGATTTCACTAGAATTAAGAATTGTAATTTCTTTTAAAAAGCTTTAAGAAAATGAAAAGGTATTTACAACATATACAACTAACAAAGAGCATATATTTTGAATATATACTGGCCTCCTACAAATTGATTTTTAAAAAAAGATAGAAAAATAACAAGAGACTTGAATATACTCTCCACAAAAGTAGAAATGTGGCCGGGTGCAGTGGTTC
The DNA here is from genome assembly GCF_000001405.40 of Homo sapiens. Classification (NCBI taxonomy): domain Eukaryota; kingdom Metazoa; phylum Chordata; class Mammalia; order Primates; family Hominidae; genus Homo; species Homo sapiens. The sequence continues at coordinate 49,003,346 of NC_000013.11, read as the reverse complement.
ATGCCTGTAATTCTAGGACTTTGGGAGGCTGAGGTAGGCACATCACTTGAGGTCAGGAGATCAAGACCAGCACGGCCAACATGTGAAACCTTGTCTCTACTAAACATACAAAAATTAACTGAGTGTGGTGGCAGGTGCCTGTAATTCCAGCTACTTGGGAGGCTGAGGCAGGAGAATCACTTGAACCTGGGAGGTGGAGGTTGCAGTGAGCTGAGATCATGCCACTGAACTCCAGCCTGGGTGACAGAGCGAGACTCTGTCTCGAAAATAAAAAAAGTGGAAAATGAAATGAAAAAGACTGACAATATCAAGTGGTAATGAAGTTATGGAGGCAAACTCATATGGAACAGAAATGAAAATTCGTAAATCACTTAGGAAAAGTTTGACATTATCTACCAAGGTTGAATATATGCATCCTCTAGGACCCAGTTATGATCCAGCTATTAGATTCCTGGTAGATACAAGACGGCTCATAGAAGCCATTACTTGTTAATGGCCCTAAATGTCCTTTGTAAATAAACTGTGGCTGTTTCATTCAATGGACTATATGCAGCAATGAAAATTAATGAACTAGTGATACAGAAAACAACATGGATAAATCTTACAAACACAACATGCATGAAAAACACACAAAAGAATACAGGCTACATAATTTTATTTGCAGGAGGTTCAAAAACAGATAAAACCAATTTATGGTGTTAAGAGTCAGGACAGTGGTTCCCTTTGACAAGGAAGAAAGGATGGAAACATGGGCAAAGCATGAAGGCAGTTCCTGGGGTTAGGGTACTGTTCTATGTCTTGACCTGGGGGGCTATTATGTGATGATTACCATTAAGTTATTTACTAAGCTGTATACTGATTATATATGCACTTCTTTATGTATATTATCCTTCAAAAATTATTTTTAAAAGTTAAAGGTACCACATGATCATTCTCAATTGCTGTAGAAAAAGCATTTGACAAATTTAACACCCTTTCATAATAAAAATAAACTCAATAAACTAATACTAGAAGAAATATACCTCAACATAATAAAGGCTATATATGAAAAACCTACAGGAAAGATCACACTCAATGGTGGAAGACTGAAAGCTTTTCCTTTAAGATCAGGAAAGGGCAAGGATGCTCACTTTTGCTATTTCTATTCAACACAGTGCTGGAAGTTCTACCCAGGGCAACTGAGCAAGAAAAAGAAATAAAAGATACTGGGGGAACCTGCCCCTGATAGTCACGTAGGTTCTTTTCTATTTTCCTTAAGTGTCAGCCGGTCTGAGAAATAAAAGGACAGAGTACAAAAGAGAGAAATTTTAAAGCTGGGTGTCTGGGGGAGACATGTCCGCAGGTTCTGTGATGCCCCCAAGCCGCAAAACCAGCCAAGTTTTTGTTAGTGATTTTCAAAAGGGGAGGGAGCGTACAAATAGGGTGTGGGTCACAGAGATCACACGCTTCACAAGGTAATAAGATATCACAAGGCAAATGGAGGCAGGGCAAGATCACAGGACCACAGGACTGGGGCGAAATTAAAATTGCTAATGAAGTTTCGGGCACGCACTGTCATTGATAACATCTTATCAGGAGACAGGGTTTGAAGCAGACAACCGGTCTGACCAAAATTTATTAGGTGAGAATTTCCTCATCCTAATAAGCCTGGGAGCTCTATGGGAGACTGGGGCTTATTTCATCCCACAGCTTTGACCGTAAAAGACAGCCGCCCCCAAAGCAGCCATTTCAGAGGCCTACCCTCAGGGATGCATTCTCTTTCTCAGGGATGTTCCTTGCTGAGAAAAAGAATTCAGTGATGTTTCTCCCATTTGCTTTTGAAAGAAGAGAAATATGGCTCTGTTCTGCCCAGCTCACTGGCAGTCAGAGTTTAAGGTTATCTCTCTTGTTCCCTGAACATTGCTGTTATCCTGTTTTATCAAGGTGCCCAGATTTCATATTGTTCAAACAGACATGCTCTACAAACAATTTGTGCAGTTAACCCAATCATCACAGGGTCCTGAGGCGACATACATCCTCCTCAGCTTACAAAGATGATGGGATTAAGAGATTAAAGACAGGCACAGGAAATCACAAGGGTATTGATTGGGGAAGTGATAAGTGTCTATGAAATCTTCACAATTTATGTTTGGAGATCGCAGTAAATACAGGCGTAAGAAATTATAAAAGTATTAATTTGGGGAACTAATAAATGTCCATGAAATCTTCACAATTTATGTTCTTCTGCCATGGCTTCAGCTGATCCCTCCATTCGGGGTCCCTGACTTCCCTCAACAAAAGGCATCTAAACTGGACAGGAAGAAATAAAATTACCTCTGTTCACAGACAATATAATCTTATAGGTAGAAAACCCTAAAGATTACACACACACACACACACACAAACACACAAAACCTGTTAGAACTAATAAGTGAATTCAGCAAAGTTGCAGAATACAAAATCAATACATAAAAATTCATTGTTTCTATATATAACAATGAAAATTTGAAAAAGAAATAAAAAAATTCCATTTACAATAGCAACCAAAAGAATAAAGTACTTAGGAATAAACCTAATCAAGGAGGTGAAAGCCATACACTGAAAACTACAAAACACTGCTGAAAGAAATTAAAAACACAAATAAATGCAGAAACACCCCAGGTTCACAAAGTGAAAGATTTCATATTGTTAAAATGTCCATACTATCCAAAGCAATCTGCAGATTCAATGCAATCCCTATCAAAATACCAATAGCTTATTTTGCAGGAAAAGAAAAATCCATTCTAAAATTCTAGTATCTCAGGGGATCCCAAATAGTCAAAGCAATTTTGAAAGAAAACAAAGTTGAAGGACTCACACTTCCTGATTTCAAAGCATATTACAAAGCCACAGGAATCAAAACAGTGTGGTACTGGCATAAAGGAAGACAACAGACTAGTGAAATAGAATAGAGAGCCTAGAAATAAGTCTTTAGCATATATGACCAAATAATCTTCAACGAGAGTGCCAAGATCATTCAATGAGGAAAGGACAGTCTCTTCAACAAATGATGTATGAAAAACTGGATAGCCACATGCAAAATAATGAATTTGGATTATCTTACACTATATACAAAAATTAACTCAAAATGGATTAAAGATCCAAATGTAAGAACCAAACTGTAGAACTTCTAGAAGAAAACATGGGGAAAAGCTTCATGATTTTAGATTTGGCAATTATTTCTTGGATATGACAGCAAAAACACACATAACAAAGGCAAAAACAGACAAATGGGACTTAATCAAACTTAGAAACTTTTGTGCATCAGAAAACACAATCAACAGAGTAAAGAGGTAATCTATGGAATGGAAGAAAACATTTACAAATTGTCTTAGCTTGGTCTGCTATTTTAAAAAAAACCACAAAAGTGTGCAACTGAAACAACAGACATTTATTTGTCACACTTCTGGAGGCTGGGAAGTTTAAGATCCAGATGCTGGCAAATTTGGTTCTTGGTAAGGATCCTCTCTTCCTGGCTTTCAGATGGCTATCTTCTTGCTGTTGCCTCACATGAGGGAGAGAGGATGCTCTGTGTCTCTTACTCTTCTTATATATGAACACTAATCACATCATGGGAGCTCCACCCTCATTACCTCATCTAAGTCTAACTATTTTCAGTAACTATCTCCCAAAGTCTCCACCTCTTAATACTATCATTTTGGGGGTTAGGGGTTCAATATATGAATTCCGGAGAGACACTAATATTCAGTCTATAATATTCGGCCCCTGACCTTCCAAAATTCATGTCATTTTCATTCTATCCCAACAGCCCCCAAAGTCTTAACTCACAGAAATATCAACTCTAAAGTCCAAGGTCTCATCTAAGTATCATCTAAATCAGATATGGGTGAAGGTAGAGGTACAATTCATCCTGAGGCAAAATTCCTTTCCAGCTTTTGTGAAACCAGATATGTTATGTATTTGCAAAAGACAATCGTGGGACAGGCACAGGACAGACATTCCCACTCCAAAAGGTAGAAATCAGATTAAAGAAAGGGGTGACATGTCCCAAGCAAGTCCAAAACCTACCAAGGCAAATACTGTTAGATCTTAAGGCTTGAGAATCATCATCTTTGATTCAATGCTCTGCTTTCCATATCCACTGGGGTGATGGTCCTGCCTTCCAGATACTGAAATGGCAGCATCACTCCCATGGCTCAGTGAGGTGACCTGTCCCTTCCGCTTGGTGGAGCCCTGACCATGCAGCACTCTCACAGGGACCTTCCCATGAGGCTCTGCTGCGGGGCAGTCCTGCCCTTTAAAGCTGAGGTGGAAGCAGCCTTGCCCTTTGGGCCCATGCACTTTGGATCTGTAGTGGGCGTAGCAGCCCTGATGACCTCTGAATTGCCTTTGGAGTCCTTCTCCCTTTTCTGAAATGATCATGCATGTTCACAGTCTTCCTTCATTCTATCCCATGTTCTCTATTTCCTTTAATCTCAGCTGGCAGTGTTTCTAATATAATTCAGTCTCTATTCCTGGCTTCGGTTGAGATGGCTATTAGGTCCATGGTTTACACCCATGCTAATCTTCTTAGCAAACGGTCAGCCAGCCACCCCTTTGATGTTCTCTTCCAAATGTTCTTTCTCATTTCTGTAATATGGACATGCTGAGAATTTTCCAGATCTTTAAGTTCTGGTGCCTTTTTGCTTCAATTCATTTCTCTTTCTTCAATTCATTTCTCTCTTCTTACATTTTACTACAGGTTGAGTATCCCTTATCCAAAATGCTTGGGACCAAAAGTGTTTAAGATTTCACATTTTTTTCAGATTTTGGAATATTTGCTTACTCATAATGAAATATCTTAGGGATGAAACTCAAGTCTAAACACGAAATTCATTTATGTTTTACATACATCTTACATAGCCAGAAGGTAATTTTACATAGTATTTTAAATAATTTTGTGCATGAGACAAAGTTTTGACTGTTTTAACTGCAACCCATCACATGATGGAATTTTCCACTTGTAGCATCATGCCAAAGCTCAGAAAGTTTCAGATTTTTGAGCTTTTTATATTTCGGATTTTTAATTTAGGGATGCTCAACCTGAATAAGCAGTGAAGAGAAAACAAACTGCTCCTTCAACACTTGGCTTAGAAATCTCTTTACCTAAACACCCAATTTAACAGTTCACAAGTTCTGCCTTCTAGAAAACACTGGAACATGAGCATAATTCAGTCAAATTCTTTGCCACTTTATTACAAGGATTGCCTTTTCTCCATTGTCCAAATCATGCTCCTCATTTCCATCTGAGACCTCATCAGAATGGCCTATCACCCATGTTTTCAAATGACATTCTGTTCATGATTATTTATGTGTCCTCCTTGAAGATGGAGGCTTTCTCTCCAGCTCTCCTTTTTTCTCTGTGAGCCCTCACTGGAATTGCCCCTAGCAGTCTGGTTGCAGCAATCTCAGCATTTTTTTTTTTTTTAATGCACACACCTCAAAACTTTTCCAGCCTCTACTCATTACACAGTTCCAAAGCTACTCCCACATTTTTAGGTACTTGTTATAGCAGTCACCCATTTCTTAGCACCAATTACCGTCTTACTGAACTTAGGCTACTACAGCAAAATAACATAGTCTGGTTGCTTTAAACAACAGACATAATTTTTAACAGTTACGGAGGCCAAGATGTCCAAGATCAGGGTGCTAGCATGGTTGGCTTTTTGGTAAGAACCCTCTTTCTGGCTCTCAGATGGCTACCTTCTCCTTTTGTCCTCAAGGCAGAGAGCATGCAAGCTCAAGTCTCTTCTTCTTCTAAGGACACTAATCTGATCATGGGGACCCCATGCTCATGCTCTCCTCTAAGCCAAATTATCTCCAAAGGCCCCAGCTCCACATACTGTCACATTGGTGGTTAGGGCTCAATGTATGAATTTTGAGGGGTATACAAACATTCAGTCCATAACACTATCAGGTGCTTTCTCACTCAGCCGCTGACACAATTCTGAATCTGTTCTTGTTTCCTTATACATGTATTCTGCTAGTTTTCTTCCTTAACCTTATTATTCATATCCGTTAATTCCACCCAGATTTGTTATCTATATGATGACAACAGCTTAGACCTAGAAACTAAGGTAGATAGCTCATGAGAATAAGCTTGGTCTGGGGTTTGAAACTTCAGCTCTTTTTGTCTAAAAAGCATGTGGAAAAATGCAAAGCAGGATTACATCTTGGATTACAGCAATACTATAACTGAAGTACTGATAGGAAAAATATGTACATTTAGATTGAGATATCCAATGTCTTTTTTTTTTTTTTTCTTGAGACGGAGTCTCGCTCTTGTTACCCAAGCTGGAGTGCAATGGTGCGATCTCCGCCCGCTGCAGCCTCTGCCTCCTGGGTTCAAGCAATTTTCCTGTCTCACCCTCCCGAGTAGCTGGGATTACATGCGCTTGCCACCATGCCCAGCTAATTTTTTGTGTTTTTAGTAGAGATGTGGTTTCACCATGTTGGTCAGGCTGGTCTCGAACTGCTGACCTCAAATGATCCACCCACCAAGGCCTCCCAAAGTGCTGGGATTACAGGTGTGAGCCACCATGCCCTGCCGAAATCCAATGTGTTTTGATGTGGTTTTTTGATGTGTCCAATTCAAACTAAAAACTGTATGTCTCCAGAGCCATATCTGAAACCACAAGACTATCATATGCAGTTGTTCCTTGGTTTCTACAGGGGATTGATTCCAGGATCCCCAAAGATGCCAAAATCCACAAAACCTTAAGCTCCTTATATAAATGTTGTAGTATTTGCATATAACCTATGCACATTCTCCTGTATACTTTAAATCATCTCTGTATGACTTATAATACCTAATACAATATAAATGCTACGTAAATAGTGACACTGTATTGTTTAGGGAATAATGAAAAAGAAAAGCTCTGTACATATTTAGTACAGATGCAACAATCCATTTTTTCCCAAATATTTTTGATCCACGGTTGATTGACTCCATGGATGTGAAACCCCCAAAAATGGAAGGCTGACTGTACTCCAAAGAGTTTTAGTCATTTAACTCTAGAATTTAGGAGTATTTTTAAACATACACATGAACAAAATGTTAGGTAAAAATATTAGAATTACAGTAGCAACTGTATCAAGATGGTGAGATTATGTAACTGTTTCTATTTCTCAAGTTTTTTTTTATAATATGGATATGGTTTATACCACCATCAAAATTTTGATTTAAAAGTTAATAGTCTTGAAGAGCCATAGGCAACTACACATATTTGGCTTCTCAACCATCTAAGTACCCTTTCAGGAGAATTTAAATAAGTTCTGCCACAACTTGGACTTTATCCAAAATACTAATTTATCTCATGAACTGATATCCTAAAATGTACTTTTCCAATTTAGACTTCTACTTCATTTTTAACGTTTGGATTTTTCATCTTCTAAACTTGACTATATTAGACTAAAAATAAGGTATTTGAAATCACCTGTGGTGGAATTTCCTGAGATGAAACTCATGGGAATCACTCTGCAAAACTATCCTATCATTTCTTATCAGAAACCAAAAACAAATATTTCATAGACTGTATTTAACAATAAGAACAGGATATTAGCTTATTTTATATTTTTGCCAAAACTAATTCTTTGAATTACCCTCTTTGATGTCAACTGTACTGCAGAAAAATGGCTCTTAAAAATATAATTACATGCATTATTTCAGTTCACCTTAAATGTCCATATGTTAATGTGAAATTTTATGAAGACATAATAAGCAATCTTGTTATCTTCTATATTTATAATAGAAATGTATATTGGTAGAGAAAGTGAGAAGGGAGGAGGATGGTAAGAAGACAGTGCTATTAATCATTTTCAATGACTGATATTAAATTTAAAAAAAGACAGCTTTTTATAATTCAAAAGATTTATGCTTAATCTAGTTCCTTGCTTTTCTTTCTCTCCCCATGCTCACTTTTTTCATATCTTTGGATACTGGAAGTATAAAACAGTACAAGATTTGGTACACAAAAAGGCTACAACTAAGATTGTTATGCTAAAAGAAAAAAAAAAAAGGCAGTCCTCAATCAAGAAATAGGCTCCCTTACAGTATTTTGTTAGAAGTCAGATATATCTGAAAATATTAAAAAAGAAATAAATAAAAAGGCCTTTCACTCTTACAGTGGCTCACGACTGTAATCTCAGCACTTTAAGAAGCTGAAGCAGGAGGACCACCTGAGTCCAGGAGTTTGAGACCAGCCTGGGCAACATAGAGACCTTATTAATATTATTATTAGTTGTTTTAAAGTCAGATATAATTGGAAAATATTTTCTCACTGAAACACCACAATAAGTGATGATTTCATTCTCAGATCATGATGTAAGAGTTAAATTTAACCTACATCTTTCTTAAAACCTTTTATTGTGGAAAACTTCAAACATACACCAATGTAAACATAATAGTATAATGAACCCCATGTACTCATTACCCAGCTTCAACTCATGACCAGTCTAGTTTCATCTATACCCCACTTCCTGTCTTGCAGTATTATGAAACACATCTAAGACATTCCAAAACTTCATTTGCAAATATTTCTTTTTTTTTTTTTGAGATGGAGTCTTGCTCTGTCACCCAGGCTGGAGAGCAGTGGCACATCTCGGCTCACTGCAACCCCCGCTTCCCAGGTTCAAGCAATTCTCCTGCCTCAGCCTCCGGAGTAGCTGGGATTACAGGCATGCGCCACCACGCCCAGCTAATTTTTGCATTTTTAGTAGAGATGGGGTTTCACCATGTTGGCCAGGCTTGGTCTCAAACTCCTGACCTTGTGATCTGCCCGCGTCGGCCTCCCAAAGTGCAGGCATTACAGGCGTGAGCCACTGCGCTCAACCACAGCAAATATTTCAGTATGTATCTCTGAAAGACAGGAACTCCTTTTTAAAACATAATTACAAAACCATTACCATACATACACTTCAATAATTCCTTAAATCATCAAATATGTAGTCAGTGTTCAAATTTTGCATTGTCTTGTTTTTATTAAAACTTGTTTGAATCAGGATTTGTATCAGATGTGCACACTACTATTTGCCATGTCTTTAAAAACCTCTTTTAATCTAAGTACCATCCATTTGACTGTCAAGCCTTTAATAATGTTTTAAAAGCAAGTAATTTTTTTTATTTCTGAAGACCACATTGGTCTACTTTTTTATTTTTGAAAAAATCAATAATTTATATCAGTCCTTAAAAGTGACTTTAACTAGATCATATATAGCTGATGATCTTTTCATCTGGATATATGAAGAGACAATCAATAGAGGTAATTTAAAGAACATTAGCAAGATTACACTTTCCATTTTAATTTGATTAGAAAAATCTCAAATAGTCAATTTCTAAGATTAACAAATGTAATATCATTCTAGTGAAACACAGTTTTCTATATCTTTATTCATAATTGCTGTTAAGATACTAAAACTTCATTACTATCTACCATTATTTTGCCTAAGAGCACATTCTGGGCACATTTCACTCTCTTGATCAAAAATTTAAAAAGGAGTCATGGAAGGATTTTATATTATGAGGATTTTTTTAACCCACAGAAAAGCTGAAATAACTGAACAGCAAACACCCATATACTTGCCACCTAGGTTCTAAAATTGACAGGATTTAATTGCATGTATTCCTCTAGCGATCTTTTTTAAATGCACTTCAAAGCAGCAGACATCAGTATACTTCACCCCTAAACACTTTTGCATGTGTTACTAGCATTCAAAATTTTTAGTTCCTTAAAAAAAAGTTCATGTATGGTAAAATGTACACATCTTCATTAAAAATTTTTTTGTCAAATTCCTTTTACCAGAAATGTACAAATCTTAAGTGTGCTATCATATGAGATTTTTAAAAATGAAACTACTATAAGTATCTAAGAATCTAAAGTCCTATTGTTGCTCTAAGATCACAGCTTTCAAATCCTGGTATGTATCAGAATGACCTGCAGGGATTATTAAAACAGATTCCTGGGCCACACATACAGAGTTTCTGACTCAACAGGTGTGTGGTGGGGCCCAGTAAATCACATCTCTAATAAGTTCCCAGGTTAGGCTGATGCTGCTAGTCTCTGGGCCATACAACTCTAAGACTAAGTAAGTTTTTACATTAAGTACTAACTGATAATAAGGATGTAAAGTTGATAACAATGTAAGGTGTATACCTCATTCTGGAAAGCCTCATCCCAGATGTGAATACATTATCCTTCAACGAGAAACAGATAAAAATACTGATCTAAGGATAAGAAAGTATTCGTAGAGGAATCAAGTTTAATGAAGAATTTTTAATTGCCTTTGGATATTATGGTCAAATCAATATACTAGGAGAGTATGATATACTATCCTTAGATTGAAGTTGCTATTTCCTGTAGATTAAACAAAGTTGAAACTTTCAAATACTCCTGGGAAATGGCAGAGTAATGAGTTAAATGTATTAAACAAACACGCATCAAGTAGTTGTTATAACTACTTGGTTGGTGCAAAAGTAATTGTGGTTTTTGCCATTACTTTTAATGGTACAAATGGTACTTTTAATTGAAAGCAATGGCAAAAACCAGTTACTTTCGCACCAACCTAATACAATGTGTCAACTACTCTTGATTTTTGAAATAGCTTTACTGAGGTATAACTGACATATATCAAATTGCACATGTTTAAAAGTGTACAATTTGATAAATTTTGACACATAAATACACCTGTGAAACTGTTACCATAATCAAGATAATGAACTTACCCGTCATCTCTCAAATTTTCCTACTAACCATTTGTAAACTGGAGACTTTGCATTTCCATGAACAATGATGTTGTTTTCATGTGCTTATCTGCCATCCAGGTATATTTTTGGTTGACTATTTGTTGGATTATTTTGTCCATTTAGTTACTAGACTGTTTTCTTATTATTTAGTTTTGATAGTGCTTTATATATTCTAGATAGCAGTCCTTTACCAGATAAGTGATTTACAAATATTTTTCTCCCAGTCTGTGGCTTGTTTTTATATTCTCTTACCAATGTCTTTTGAAGTTTTAAATTATGATAAAGTACAATTTATCGATTTGTCATTTTATGAATGGTGCTTTCAATGCTATACTTAAGAAATCACCTAATGCAAGGTCACAGAGATTTTCTCCTGTTTTAAGAAATTTCATAGTTTTAGGCTTTACATTCTTTCTACTTTCCATTGAGAGGGGTATTGAAATCTCTGCTAAAATTGCATTATTTGTATACAGACAATCCCCAACTTGTGATGGTTCAACTTACAATTTTTGGACTTTATGATGGAGCAAAAGAGATACACATTTAGTAGAAACCATACATCAAGTATCCATACAAGCATTCGGTTTTCCACTTTTCAGTATTCGATAAATTACACGAGACATTCAACACTTTATTATAAAATAGGCTTTGTGTTAGATGATTTTGTTCATCAACCATATGATAATGTAAGTGTTGTGAGCACATTTAAGATAGGCTAGGCTAAGCTACGATGTTCAGTAGGTTAGGTGAATTAAACTCATTTCTGACATATTTTAACCAGGTGGGTTTATTGAGACATAACCTCATCATGAATTAAAGAGCATCTGTATTTCTCTTTGCAGTTCCAGCATATATTCAGAAACATTCTCTCTCTTTTTTTTTTCCTTTTTTCTTTTTTTTGAGACAGGGTTTTGCTGTGTCACTCAGGCTGGAGTGCAGTGGTGTGAGCATAGCTCACTGCAGCCTCAACCTCCCAGGTTCAAGCAATCCTCCCACCTCAGCCTTCCTAGTAGCTGGGTCTACAGGCGTGTGCCACCACACCCAGCTAATTTTTGTATTTTTTTGTAGAGACGTAGTTTCACCACATTGCCCAGGCTGGTCTCGAACTCCTGGACTCAACTGATTCAACCCCCTCAGCCTCCCAAAGAGCTGGGATTACAAACATGAGCCACTGCCCCCAGGCCAGTTCCTATACTAGATGCATATTTATAATTGCATGCCCTCTTAATTAATCCCTTTACTAGTATGAAATAATCCTCTTTATCTCTGGTAAGAATTCTTTGTTCTGTAACCTAACTTCTGGTTTAACTTACTGATTTCAGTTTTCTTTTGGATAGTGTAAGCATGGCATATCTTTTTCCATCCTTTTAACTCACTTAAAGTGGATTTCTTGTAGATGTGAAATATTTGGGTCTTAATTTTAAAAAATTGTATCCAACAATCCCTGACTTTTAATTGTGGTGTTTAGGCCATTTATATGTAATGTGATTGTTGATACGACTGGATTTACATCACCATCTTGCTATTTGTTTCAAATGTTCTTTGTCCCCTTTTCCCTCTTCATCTGCTTCATTTTGAATTATTTCCTATTATACCATCCCCTCTCTCTTGTTGATTTATAGGCTACAACTCTTTGTTACTTGAGTGGTTTCTTTAAAATTTACAATACACATGTTTTACTTATTACTGTATACCTTCAAGTAATACACTACTTCAGGAATATGTATCAGAACCTTACAACAATAAATCTGCAATTTCTCTGGGATTTTTGCTATTATTGTATATTTTACTTTTACATGTTTTAAACCTCATGTTGTCATTTTTTAGGGGAGGGCAGGGTCTCTATTGCCCAGGCTAGAATGCAGTGGTGTGATCTCAGCTCACTGCAATCTCCGCCTCCTGGGTTCAAGCGATCCTCCCAACTTAGCCTTCCGAGCGGCTGTGACTACAAGCATGCACCACCATGCCTGGCTAATTTTTTTTTTTTTTTTTTTTTTTTGGAGAGACAGGATTTCACCATGTTGCCCAGGCTGGTCTCAAACTCCTGGGCTGAAGCAATCTGCCTGCCTTGGCCTCCGAAAGTGCTGGGATTACAGGCACGAGCCACCACACCTGGCAACTGTCATCATTTTTATATTAAACAGTCATTTGTCTTTTAAAGATATTCAAATAATAATTTTTTTTAAATCCTATATATTTGCCCAGATAGTTACCACTTCCAGTACTCTAAACTCCTTGTGGCCAAGTTTCCATGTGGTTTAATTTTCCTTCTGCTTGAAGGACTCTATTTAACATGTCTTTTAGTTCATAAATGAAAGTGATAAATTATTTCAGCTTTTGTATATTTGAAATCTTTATTTTGCCTTTATTTTGAAAGACAGTTTGGGTAAAAAGTCCCAGGTTGACAGTTTTTGCAAAAAAATGTTTTAAAGATATTGCTTCATTGTCTTCTAGCTTACATTGCTTCTAATGACAGATCTGATGTCACCCTTATCTTTGTTCTGTTTTTCTTTGGCTGCTTTTAAGATTTCCTTTATGGGCCAGGCACGGTGGTTCACGCCTATAATCCCAGCACTTTGGGAGGCGAAGGTGGGCGGATCACGAGGTCAAGAGATGGAGACCATCCTGGCCAACATGGTGAAACTCCATCTCTACTAAAAATACAAAAATTAGCTGGGCATGGTGGCATGCACCTGTAATCCCAGCTACTCGGGAGGCTGAAGCAGGAGAATCGCTTGAACCTGGGAGGCGAAGGTTACAGTGAGCCAAGATTGTGCCACTGCACTCTAGCCTGGCAAAAGAGCGAGACTTTGTCTCAAAAAAAAAAAAAAAAGTTATCTTTAAGTGATTTGATTATGATGTGTTTTAGCAGAGTTTTATTCATCTTTCTTATGCTTATTGTGCTTATTGGTTTATAGTTTATATCTATTTTGGAAAATAGCCATTATTTCTTCAAATACTTTTTCAGTTATTGTCTCCAAATTCTATTTTCTTCTGTGCTTCATTTTGGATAGTTTCTATTGCTGTATCTTCATGTACACTTATCTTTTCTTTGACAAAGTCTAACATGCCATTAATGTAGTATGTCTTTGACACGTAATTTTAATCAGACAGTATCTCTATTTAACATGTTCAATCTTTTTGTTAGCTTCTCCAACAGTCATAACTGTTTTAATGACTATCATCATCAGTATCATTTGAAGGCCAATTTCAAGTGATTAATTTTTCTCAATATGGTTTGTATTTTCCTGCTTCTTTGCAGACTCAGTAATTTGAACTGCATGTAAGATACTGTTAACTTTATCTTGTTGGCTGTTGGATATTTTTGTATTTCCATAAATAATCTGGAGATTTGTTATAACATGTGGCTAAGGGACTCGGACAAAGTTTGACTCTTTGGGACTTGCTTTTACGATGGATTAGGCAAGAACAGAGCTGCATTTAATATGTAATTAATTTTTCCCCACTACTAATGCAAAACCCTCCAGAGTACTCTACTGAATGCCTTGTGAATTATGAGGCTTTCTGTTCTAGCTAGTGGAAACAGGCACTTCTTCTGGCCCTGTGTGAGCTTGGATACTGTTCTATATACAATCTTTTTAGTTGGCTCTTTCTCCAGCCCTGTGTAGTTTCCTTAAATGTATATGTTTATCCATACTTTGCTGAACACTTAAGGTTTTCATGTCTGATAGCTTTAACTTATAAATTACTATAAGCTTTTTCTTATCTTTTTTTTTTTTTTTGAGACAAGTTCTCACTCTCTCACCCAGGCTGGAGTGCAGTGGCACAATCATGGCCCACTGCAGGCTCCTGGGCTTAAGCAATTCTCCCACCTCAGCCTCCAAAGTAGCTGGAACTACAGGCATGTGCCACCATGCCTGGCTTACTTACTTATTTACTTATTATTTAGTAAAAACAAGGTCTTGCTATGTTGCTCAGGCTGGTCTCAAACTCCTTATATCAAGCAATCCTCCCACCTCAGCCTCCCAAAGTCCTGGGACTATTAAGTGTGAGCCAAGCACCTGGCCATACTACAAGCTTTTAAATTATAAATTACTATATTATGGCTTTTATCATTCTCATATGCAATTTAGATTCTGGAGAAGGTTGTTTAACCCTTTAATGTATAATGATACATATCTGCAGTAACAATATTTTTGGCTTTACCTGTTGCTAAAGTAGGTGTATTCATGAACATTCCAATTTGGCTTGGATGTTGACATTTCATCAGTGATGTACTGTTTATGAATTTATGCTTTGGGGTGGAGAGTTCTGTAGATGTCTGTTAAGTCCACTTGATCCAGAGCTGAGTTCAAGTCCTTAATATCCTTGTTAATTTCCTGTCTCGTTGATCTAATACTGACAGTGGGGTGTTAAAAGTCTCCCACTATTACTGTGTGGGAGTCTAAGCTTCTTTGTAGGTCTCTAAAAACTTGCTTTATAAATCTGGGTGCTCCTGTATTGGGCACATACATATTTATGAGAGTTAGCTCTTCTTGTTGCATTCAGCCCTTTACTATTATGTAATGCCCTTCTTTGTCTTTTTTTATCTTTGTTGGTTTAGAGTCTGAAAAATACAGAACGCTTCATGAATTTGTGTGTCATCCTTGCACAGGGGCCATGCTAATCTTCTCTGCATCGTTCCAATTTTAGTATATGTGCTGCCAAAGCACGCACAAATTTATGCTATTTAAATAAGTTATAATGTATTTTTGTTTAAGTGCCATAACATTTTTATATACAGGGCAGTGATTATAGCCATAGTTTCATAATGCAATAGGTCAAACCATATGAAACTGCCACTGAGGTCAAAAACTTTAAAATATCAACAATTTAACCTAATGAAAGTGTTCATACACTTACAAAGAAATCAATAATTTACACAGATTGTTAGCAACAAATTTACTGTAACTTATTTATCTTATTCTTCTCCAATCCCACATCCACTGGAAAGAAGGAAAGAGTAGTGTTGGTCGGATGGATAAGCCTCACTCTTTCATGTCCCTTAAGTGAAGAAAGGTTTAAAAGGGAAGAGGGCATTCAAGCCACCATCCTCACCCTTCTTAGTCAGATATACTAAATTTAAATTTAATTAGACATTTAGGAGATACAGCCCCCATTCTCCCACTAAGAAATTATACCTTAATACTAACATGAAAATCCTGTTAAAATAGACTTCAAAGGAAATCTTGATCAAAAAGATACTTCCAGTCAGGAAACTATGGAAACAAGAGAGAAAGAACTGCTTCCAAGAAACGAACCCCAGTCCATTAAAGGACTGATAGTGTGCACATAGATCAGTTTTTCTTTCAAGTAACATCTTCTTAAGTTCCACATATAGCTCTAGCTGTCTAGTGTCTTTGGAGCACATAGGCTACCCTTTAGAGCCAAAAGGCAACTACACCTGGGACAATCCTATTTTCACTTCCAAATATTTTACTGTCCTTTTTAGAAGTATTATATAAAACTTTAGTTTTTATATTATAGATTGTTAACTTTGCTCTTGTAGAACTTCAAATCCATTGGTGTGATTTTTGGACTGAAGATTAAACCTGTAGTTTCTGAATATTTTCTGGCCACAGTAATACATTGGTAACTAAATTCACAACAGAAAGTTTGAGTTCCTGTGTAAAAGCTACTGTATTACTATAACTTAACCATATTAACATGTTTCCTTCACTAATTCCTCCAAAATAATTTTATCATAATAAAATCAAGTAACATTTCTTTATTTCCTATAAGTAGATTTGTCTGCAGAATCCAGTAGTCCTTAAAGTAGTCCTTTCTGAGATGACCAGATTCTTTGTTTATAAATCTACAACTATGCCTTGGTTAAAGATTGCCTCTAATCATACTCATCTTCCTTCAACTTCTTTTTAAAAAAACCTTCCGGGCCAGGCGCAGTGGCTCACGCCTGTAATCCCAGCACTTTGGGAGACTGAGGTGGGCGGATCATGAGGTCATGAGTTTGAGACCAGTCTGACCAACATGGTGAAACCCCGTTTCCACTAAAAAATACAAAAAATTAGCCGGGTGTGGTGGCACGTGCTTCTGGTCCCAGCTACTCAGGAGGCTGAGGCAGGAGAATCTCTTGAACCTGGGAGGCGGAGGTTGCAGTGAGCCGAGATCACGCCATTGCACTCCAGCCTGGGCGACAGAGCAAGACTCCGCCTCAAAAAAAAAAAAAAAAAAAAAAAAAAAACAACTTCCTTCTCCTTACTCTGTCTTCCTCTTAAGCTTCTGATTCCTCTCTTGACCTCTATCATTAACTGTCTTGAAATATTAGGTTTTAATATTAAAGGGGAGGATCAAAATATCCAGACATATGGGACTTTAAAAAAACTACATTCGAAATTATAACTTTATATTTAAAAAAGCAAAGTGTTTTTATAACAGAAACTCTGAAAATAAAAAGCACTTTATTTTGTCTTGGTTGGCAGTTGTAGTTATAGAGGTTAAGAATCACTGGTAGAATTCTCACTTCTTTAACCCACTTTAACACAGTTTCAGATCCAACACTATACAGAAATTGCTATTTCTAAAAACACCAATGACTTCAGACACCAACTGGGAAGCTTCTGCAAGTGAAAGGAAGTGCTATTAAAAATTACGCAGGGAAAACCGACATAAATCAAAGCTGTCCACCCAGGAGGAATGGTCCTAATCAGGACCAATCATAACAAAGCCTTGCATGTGTTGTTATGTTTGTTATATCACAAAGGCTGTACTTGCTTATACTTGAAAATACACATACAAACATTGTTTTTAACTCTTTCCTGATCCCTAATCCAACTCCTATTTCTATAGCTAACAACTGTGGTGTACCCTTCCAGTCTTTTTCTCTGTGCTTACCTGTGTGTTAGGTTTTCTGGGATTGGTTGTTATGTAAGTGAAATCACATACACTGCTTTTGTGTATTGTATTTTTTTTGTGTGTGTATGAATTGTGTCTTTGTGTATGTATTATATTGTATCTCGCCCTTTCATGTAAAATATCTTAAGAAGTACATCTATGTCTATTTCATGTTTTTTCATAAGTATCTAATATTATAGTGTAAGGGCACACCATAATTTAACTGTTCTAATGATGATCTTATTACTTCCAGTTTCCCATCATACATTTTCTCCTCTGCATGGAATAATCATGCAATACTCTCTATTAATGAATGATAGCATTTCTATATTACAGACATATAGAAATAAAACTTCTGGCTCAGGAGAACGTACATTTGAAATGGATAGATACTGCCAAACTTTTCTCCTAAAAAGATGAAGCTATTTATATTCGGTTCAATAGTATTCCTTCAAAACTTAACAGGCTACCTATATTTCTACCTCTATAAATTTCCTGCTTACATTCTTTCCCATTTTCTATCAGGTTATCTTTTTCATATTGATTTGTAGGTACACCTTATATACCTTGAATATTAATTTTGTCTATTACATGTCGAATATTTTATCCCAGTCTATTGCTTGCCTTCCTTTTTAAATGGCATCTAAGTTTGATGTCTCACTTAAAAGGCCTTCTCTACTCCAACGAGTTTTTAAATTAACTTTTAAAAGTTTTGTCATTTTATTTTTTATTTATCAACATTTAGTCCACTCGGGGCTGGGCACAGTGGCTCACGCCTGTAATCACAGCACTCTGGGAGGCTGAGGCGAGCAGATCACAAGCTCAAGAGATCGAGACCATCTGGACAACATGGTGAAACCCCGTCTCTACTAAAAATACAAAAATTAGCTGGGCGTGGTGGTGGGCACCTGTAATCCCAGCTACTTGGGAGGCTGAGGCAGGAGAATCGCTTGAACCTGGGAGGCGGAGGTTGCAGTGAGCCGAGATCACGCCACTGCACTCCAGCCTGGTGACAGAGCGAGACTCCATCTCAAAAATAAATAAATAAATAAAAATAAAAAACCATTTAGTCCACCTGGAACTTAGTTTTGAGAGTGTCACGAAGTGGGTACCTAACTATCTTTACTTCAATTAAACAGTTGATTGTCCCACACCCTTTATAGACCAGTTCTTCCATTACTCATTCATTTATCATACAATTCTTCTTTATCCATGTTTATCTATGGATCTTCTCCTGAATTTATTATTCTATTCCTTTGATCAATATGCCTA
Source organism: Homo sapiens (assembly GCF_000001405.40). Taxonomy (NCBI): domain Eukaryota; kingdom Metazoa; phylum Chordata; class Mammalia; order Primates; family Hominidae; genus Homo; species Homo sapiens. The sequence goes on along the minus strand of NC_000013.11, from coordinate 48,984,463 downwards.
TTCCTACTCCAAATTCTTATTTTAATAATTGTAATTTTATAATGTTTCGACCTTTGATGGGTCCCATTTATTATACTTCTTTTTGAAATTTACTTGGCCATTCTTGTGCATGCTCCCTTCTCAAAACTTGAACCATCAGTTTGTCAAATTCCATTTTAAAACTCCTGTTGAATTTCTGATTAGAACTGCATTGACTTTATAGAATAATTTAGTAAAAGCTGTCATTTTTATGGCATTAAGTTGACACATTCATGAATACTCCTCCATCCATTCACATCTTTTTGCAGTTTTCTTCACATAGCTATTACACATTTTAAAATCTTAAGTATTTTATAGTTTAGGCTGCTACTTCTTATTACTGTATTTCATAGTTGGTTATTGTTGATATATAAGAAGGCTAATGAATTTTCTAACTTTATCTTATAGCCAATCAGCTTACTGAAATTTTTTAATACAAATCTTTTTCTGTTATCTCATATTTTTTTGCTATTTGTATTTGTATTATATTTATTTGTATTTGTAAGCAGTCATATCAACTCTAAATAATAGTGATACATTTCCCCCCTTTATTTACAGGTTAATTATTTTTCTTGTTCTTAATGTATTGCCTAAGACTTTTGAACCAATGTTGTGTTCCTATCTATTAATGAAAGTGCTTCTATTATTACTCTATGACATTTGGTGATAATAGTATCTACCGCAGAGAGATGTTTTAAGGCTTAAGTAAACTGATACATATAAAGTTTTTTGCAATAGCACCCAGAATACAGAAAGTGTTTAATGCCTATTAATCATATTATTTACTAAGTGCCTTTTATTTGTCAAGCACAAATAAAAGTATATGCATGCACCATTGCAGAGGTTGGCAAACTAAAGCCTGTGGGCCAAATCTGGTCTGCTGCCTAGTTTCGTAAATGAAGTTTAATAGGAACACAGTCATGCCCATTGTTTATAATTTATCTATGGCTGTTTTTGTGCTCCTGTAGCACAGTTTAAGTAGTTGCAACTGAGCCCATATGGTCCACAATGCCTAAAATATTTACTACCTTCTCTTATATTAAAAAAGTTGCTGACTCCAGTAGTACTGGTCAAACTCAAGGAGTTCATAGTTGAATAGCTGATTTAGACAAGTAAAAAATATATATACATTACAGTATGATATATACAACCCAGATATTCTGTGGGTATTATGGAAACATTTTGCATTTAAATATTAAAAGACAGGAAGGACTCACACAAGTGAAAAGACACAAGATATTTTAATTATTTAAAAATATGTATTTATTTACATATCATTATCTCTCATCCCATTCTGTAAATTTCTAAAGGGGAGGGAGTGTGACATTCATTTTTGTGACATTCAACATTCATATTCTAAGTATCTAGGACATTTTAAATGTTCAACAAATGATAGGCAAATGAATAAATGAATGATATGCAGGATGCCTGAGTGACAATGATTAGGTATGTCTGTCAAAGTTCTAGATATAAATATCCTATGGCAAGCATTTTACTTGTCATGTTAAATAGGATCTTTTAATTCTTGTACAGTCTATATTAGGAGATAGCTACTATTATTACTACACTGTAAAATGAACGAACCAAGGCTCATACAGGTAAAGTAGCACACTCATGTTTCTATACAGCCAGTATGAGAAGTCAACTAACAATCCTGTGGCTGCCTAATGAGAAATATGTTCTCTACACTATATCACAAAGTTGTAAAGAGGTAAGAAATGATGACACAATAGGATATCAACAGAGTATGGACTCTCAAAGACAAAGGAAATTATAATTAATGCAGCAGGAATTGTATTGTGATTTCGATTTCTAAAACTGGGGAATGATCTGAATAAATTCATGTTTTTTAAATATCCTGGAAGCAGCCTAAAAGATGGTTAGAGGGGCAGTAGCCCCTACATTTTACCCAAAGGCTACTCTGTCACACACACTAGGCCAGTTTTAGTAAGGTTCAAGTGATTAAAACAAAAATGCGAACATACTATTTCAGGAATACCAATCTGAAGCATCAGGAAAAGCTGATCCTAATAGTTACTAAAGAAACAAAAAGGTACTTCATAAACTATGAAGGTACTATGCTAAAAATTTTTTTTAGGTATATATTACAAATGAAAATATTACATGGAAAAAAATCAAGTCATAAGAACAAAGACATAATTGAGAATGTCTGTCTTAAGAAAACAAAAAAAATTTAGAAAATTTAAACATAAAATCGCAAATTATGAATTTTCACTTTTTATTTAAGCAAATCTTAAGAAAAACTGATTTTAAAGTAAATGAAATGACTAATCCTTCAAGTTATGGCTCAACAAAAGTAGTTGCTGTATATGGCATATACTTCTATAAAGCAAAGCACGTAATTACTTTCTAATAAAAGTCTAAACTGTGATTTAAAGTGTACTTAAATATCTGTTTAGAACCCCTAGAGAAGTAAGATTTTTTTGCCTCCCAAATTATGTGTCTGTCGGTTTAGAATATACATAAACCAATTAAAGTAATCCCTCACTGAAGAAGTAGTGAAGCGAAATCATTTAAGTTTTTAAAAGTTCAAATATATATTAAAATATGGATTCTGAGGAAAGAAAACAGATACAACACTTTTTTTTCCCCCAGCATTTCTGATAGAGGCTGATTAACATACACAATCTAATTTACCAAACTTAGGTAACTTTTACACCAAGGCTTACTTCAAAGTATACATTGCACTTTGTATTTCTAGCAACTAGCACATAAGAGATCTCAAGAAGTGAAGGAGAAAGAGATATGGAAGTCAATCAGAAGTATAGTTCATCTGTAAAATGAGAATACCACCACATATCTGGCAGGTTTGTATAGGATTTTAAAAATAAGCAAGTATAGGTTCTAAAATTCAATGAGCTCAACTGAATGTTTACTGGAAACATACTATGTTTACAGAACTTTGGAGGATAAAGCTTGAACTCTGGTCTTAAAAAAAAAAAAAGGCTGCATTGCTTCCAATATAGTAGCATTAATGTAAGCACTTTTATGGTATGTATTTTAATGCTTTTATAGTTTCCAACATCTCTGTGGGTTCTCACAATATCTTTGAGGAAAACAGGATAGATATTATTCTCTATTTTAATGCTTAGAAAACCAAGATTGCAAGAAACTAACCCAAAATCATATAGGTAATAAGTGGTGAAGTTAGAACTAAGAACTAGACTTTTGAGTCACCATCCAAGGTACTTTAATTTACCTCTTGTTTAGCAAATGGAAACAGCTGGCATGGTGAAGCTGTTTCAAGCATTCACAAAAAAAGAGGGAGGGCATGAATTTCTCCTTAAACTAAAATTTAAAAAGTAAAAATTGTATTAAGTAGCAATTTATGAAGGCTGTTATTTAAATCAAAAGCTTTATATTGCCTTAAAATTACGGTACTGTATGTACTAAGTATGAAAAATGCTAATAATAAATTAAAGTACAAAAGTTAAGTTTCATGATTTTGTTTGGTTGGTTTTAATGTTTTTAACAGGAAGAAAGAAGCATCACTGATTCTGTCCAGGTTGCTTCCCATCTTATACATCTGTACTTTTTCCAGCACCTAATACTAACCCTGATATATGGAATGTACTGATGCCTGCTTAATGAAAAAATGCTCTCATGATGTATTCTTGCTCTCTTGATGCCACAAAAAATACAGTTGCCCCAGCCAATTGATTTGTGCAGCCACAGCGTGAGGCATCACTATTCACCTGGTAATGGCACATGAACCACAGTATACTGAAGGAAACAGAACTGCCTTAGAAATAGATATCTATAAATTTAGAAACTTCAGAGATGTTTCATGTAAATTACTTTTCAAAACAGCTGATACTTATATCCTTTAAATCACCATAACTTATCTTAAAAAAATCTTAATTATTTGTAAAGAGATCTCTAGGTCTTTCTTCCGTGCCTTAATGTGCACATGATATAATCTTTTCTTGATGACTCAAGCTCATCAATGTAAATATCAATTATTAGACTGTTCCATAACAGAGTGATTCTTTCTGGAGTACTGCAGAATGTCCAACTGCTTGTCCCTTTATTAACTCATCCTAGACTACTTCTAAAAACAAAGATCCCTACTGCCTGCTCCTCTGTTGTCACTTACAGACCACCAGCATCCTAGACAAGGTTTTTAACCTGCCAGCTGTTTTTAAAAATGTAAAACCAGCACAGGCAGTTGATACACCTAACCTTATACAAATTCTAAATCAAGCCACTGTGTAGCTATTTTCACTGTAGTAAGGCCTGACTCAAAGGCTTTTCGTCTTTCACTTCCTAATTCTGAGACCTATTCTAGGCTCTTGTTAGAAGTCTGGCCACAAAATAACAATTACAGAAGCACTTATTTCTACATACTTTTTTTTTAGGATAACATAAGGAAAAATATATACATGATAGTCATAAAACGCCCAAACCACCATATAGACAAGATGATGCAAGAAATTTCACAGTATGTGCTATATGGACAATTACTTTGCCAATTATTACCTAGCAGTCAGCAAACTAGGTCCCCTGGCCAAATCCAGTCCACAGATGGCTTGTTTTTGTTTGGCTCTTGAGACAACAATGTAAAAATTTTTACGTTTTTAAAAGATTATAAAAAACTAACAAACAAACAAGAACATTCAACCGAGACTGTAAATGGCCTGCAAAACCTAAAATATTTAATTATCTAGCACTCTACACAAAAAGTTGGCCGACCCCTGACCTAAGCCATACAAACAAACACATATAAGCTATCCATTATACATAAAGCTTAAGCTATTAATATGTCAAAGCTGAGGTATAGTTCTTTCAGTGATAGGTTCCTAATGATACAAACTGTCTTGTCCAGCTCTGCCTATTTTCCTCTTCTGATGCCCTGGTGCTTAAGCTAACATCTCGACCTAACTTTCTTTCTTTCTTCGTCCCAATTTCTGTCCTTGGATGCTCTTGGACTACTTATTCTACTACTACTTCCAACTCTGCCTGTGAATCTCTTTTGGAATGCCTTTCCTTTTGTTATCTAAATCATTTCTAAGTTTCCTCTGACTCCCTCCAAATGCCTTCCAGGATTGTTCTAGCTCTCACTGGCTTCACTTCCCTTTAAATTCCAGTTGGTGTCACACAACTTAATAATACCATATTATAATTTTTGCTAATGATACTATTAGTCTAGTACCCCCAACTAATTTGTAAACTACTTGAAGGAAGGAAGACATCACACTATGTTTGTATCCCCACTTTAATAACATTGCATCACCCTGCAAGCACATGACATCTCCCAGGTGTAGTTCTCAATCTTGGAGGAAAAAATAGCCCAAGGACTGGTAATGGGTGATAAGTGATTGGAAACATTGAAAGATGACACCCACAAAGGAACTTGATGGAAGACCACAGGTTACACAGAAAACTTGAAAGTATATATTAAAGACAAGCAAAACCACAACAGTGGGAAGACAGAAAGGTAAGAATAAAGATATAAAAAGAGACCACTGAATAATTATCTGAAATAAGACCAAAATATTAAGAAAATTATAAAAGCTCACAATACATGTAAAAGTACAAAATTTGCCTTTCAACATTAATGGCCACTAATTTCGTTTTAACAAGTAGTTTTTGACATTCACACATATGGGAGCCATATTTCTTGTTTTGCAATGTGATAAACTGAAGCAGTAAAAGGCTCAATGGAATAAATATGCACCATATTCTAAACCTTCGGAATTACAATATTGTGAGTTTATTTGAAGTCCGCTAGGCAATGCTAAAAACAAAACAAAAAAAACAAAAGCAAACAAAAAAAAACCAGAAACACTAATCACTTAGTTATCTGGCTAATAAAATTGGAAATCATGTGCATATCCCTACACCATTCTCAAAGACACGATCTAGATTCATTTTCATTCAAAAATGCACCAACAATGTTTCAAAAAAAAAACGTTTTTGGTTACTTCATCAAATTGTATTTTAAAAATACTGGCAGATTATAAAATACACAAGCCTTGGATGTCATGAACATCTTAAAAAATGCAAATGTTTTAAAACAGCGCAAATATTACTAAAAATTGATAAAGTATAAATTAAATGCTCTTTGCCTAAAACTACAAAAGACAATGAGAATATGAATCATGCATTCCCTCTTTTTTTCGGGGGGTTAAGGATGTCTCAGCCCTTAGCTATGTCTGGCTGGTCAGGGAAGAGGGAGAAATTTTTAAATTAGTAATAAAATATGCTTACTATTATATTGTAGAAATGTGACTAGTAAAGAGTAATCATTACATGTGTGTTAAAATAAATCAGGTCTCAATTACTCACACAGATAGAGGAAGTGAAGACACAGACGTCACCAAAAGAAGATAATCCTAGAATGTTTTTTTTAATGCTTATTATTAATTTGGGATAAATTAATTACCCTTATAACTATGCTTGACAGTGTTAACCAGGATTTTATTTTTCCGGAGCATTCAATGATTTGGAGGATTCAGACAAAAGGGAAAAAGAGGGAGTTAATTCAGAAGCATACAGGTGGCTAACGGTAGCCAGCCTGGGATAAAAAATTTTCCAGTTAACCTACACATAGAAAACTAACAGATGATCTATGAAATGAAACAAGACAATATAGTAAAATTTAATGTAGTAGTGCTAAAAAATTTAAATATAAGATTTAATATTAAAATTTTAACAAGATGTTTCTCCTGTCATCATCCCTTCTTCCCACTAACTGGTGTGATTAGAAAGCAAGATTAGTAGGCTACAAAGCTAAAAGCAACATTTCAGGTTATATTTCATAAAAGATGTGGTAAAAATCCTTCATCACTGTTTTCTGTTGGGCCACCATCTGTCTCAGTGAGTACTTCATCTCATTACTTAAGAAAAATTAATTCAACCAAGAAAATATCCAAAAGACAGGGGATTCAACTCACTTGAACATTTGTGGGTGACACAAGATGACAAGAGTTAGTAAATACGCAAAAACTAAATATTTATCCAAACATAAGATCAGAACCACAAAACTCAATTCGTTTCTGCCTAACATATGGCTCAAACTCCTGAGTGGCGTATGTTTAGTACTGGAGCTGGTAACAGCATGGTGATAAAATATTATAGTAAGAGTTCAACTGTTATTTCATTCCTACAATACAGAAGCATACACACTTTGGTTTCAAGAACTAAAAAACACAGACCACAGTAAGAAGCAAAATAATTACGTTGTTCGGTTTTAAAAACCCATAGTGAACACATAATGATTATACCGCAAAAAGAAAAAAAAAATCTCATCAGCCTGCGACTCTTATTTAATAGATGGTCAGACACAAAGGTGTCCAAAGGAACTTACGTAAAATCTCACAAAAGAAAATCTCGAATTCACAATCTCTAGCACCCCCAGCAAATCATCGCATTCCACCCTCTAAAATATCCCAAGGCTTGTAACGCTAACAGTTGAATAAAAGAACAATTAACGACCACATCCATTAAAACAGTCCCTCTTCTGCTCGCAATCTGACAGCGAAATTATCTGTTCATTTTCCTTTACCTAACACATGACGTCGTTTCCAAAGCCGTGTCAAAAGTTCGAAGATCCAGGTTGTTAAAACCGGGCGAGGACTGCAGCCTCGAGTCCACCTCCCGACTGAACAGGTGGTTAACTCGCCCGGGGAGAGGAACTGCCAGGTACTGGAAGCAGCCACGCAGGATCAAACAGAGGGCGGGTTTTCGAGGTTTTAACCCCAAGATGAGCGGGGAAAACTCTCTTCAGAAAAGCGTTCAAGTTCGGCGGCTGCCGGGCGGCCAAAGCCGAAGGCGCCGCGGGTGCTGGGCGATCCTCTCAGGAGGATTCCGCCCCAGCCCCCGCCCCCGCCCCCGCCCCCGAGCCCTCCGGAGCTACGCGGCTCGCCGCGGGGAGGAGGCGGGGGACAGAGAGAAGGGCCGCCCGCGCACCAGCGCCACCTCCCTCGGGCTAGATGCCGCCTCCTCTTGGGCTGGATGGCGCCCCCGGCCGCGCCCCCGCAAGCGTGTCCTGGCTAGGCTCGGCCCCGGCAGGTGCCCGACTAGTAGACCGGTCCTGTCCCCGGCCCCACTGCCCCTCTGCACCTCTGCCCACAGCGCGCCCACAGAAGGGGGTGGTCCGCGCCCCTCGACGGGGCCGAGCCCTGGAGAGTGCCCCGGCCCTCAGTCCCAGCCTAACGGTTTCCGCGGCGCCTCCTCCGGGGCGGGACGGGGTTGGGACGGCTCGGTGTCCCCCGCCTTTCGCGGAGGGAGTGCCCGCGCTCTCACCTCCGAGTCACGCCGTTCTGAGGCAGAAGGCGGCTCCTCTGGCGCCTCTTCTTAGGGTTCCTGATCGTTGTCTCTCTACCTCAGCTGCAGAGTCAGCTCTCAGGGCCGCCGCGGCCGCCGGCGCGCTGACTGTTGGGGTTGTTTCCTGGCAGTGACGCCGCCGCCTCAGCCCCGCTCTTCGCTCCCTCTCCGCGTAGCTCCCGCTTTCTGTTTCACCCGAGGGACCACGAACGCCGCCGCCGCCATGCTTACTACGGAGCCGGGAGGAGGAGCCCGAAGTCGGCGCGCCGAGTGCGGCTGCGCGGGCCCCGCCGACGGAGCCCGCGGCCGGGACCCCGAACCCCCGCCTCGAGCCCGCCGCGCCGGGGCTCTCTCACCGGAACGCGAGTCCCCGCGGGGCCACCGGCGCGTGGCGGCTGAGCGGCCGCGTTTGGCTCCCGGAGCGCCCACACCCTCTCGGGCTTCCGGCTTTCTCCCGAGGCCCGGCTGCGCCTGGCTTGTGGTAGCATCCGCTGTGGCCAGGCTCGGAGCTACACTCAGGAAAAGTGGAGTTAATGGAGGTTCCTAGAGACACTCACACAATTCTCAATCCACATTTCAAAAGGCTCCCCTGAGACGCACCCTGTCGGCCCCTTTCCGAAAGCACGCGAACTTAAGGCTGGCAGGTGCTTTAAAAGACACTCCTCCCAAGGACTAGGAAGCCTCTGAAATGGGCTTGGAAGTTTCTAATCCCAAAGACTTCGAACCCAGGATCTGGATAGCAAGCAAAAATATTTAGATATTTACTCAGTTGAAAACGTGGGGGGTGGCTTCGTGGTCTCTTCGCCAGCCAAATCGCGTGGAAAACCACGACCTCAATTTTTACAACAGCACGAAGACTTACAAGTGAGCGTAGCAGCGACTTCCTGGAACCTCAAACAATGTGGGACGCTGCAATAATGCCTGAGGGCTTTTGACTTACAGTTGCCGCCGGAGACCTGGGGAGGGGGTAGTACTTGGGCCGGTGAGTCCAGCCTCAGGAACTGTCCTTTCAAAAATGGTGATGGATGTAACAAGTTGCATGTCTGGGCTTTATTTCAGTGTATTAATTGTGCGATCTTTTAAAATAGCTGTATTTTTAAAACTGTTTTACAGAAATCTCTTTAAAATGTGATTATTCTCTATATTCTTAAAGAATACAATGGCTAATTAAATCCTTTGTTGATAACTGACTCTCAAACCGATATCTTGGCCATACGTTTAAGTCCCAGAGGATTGCTGCGGTGTATAGAATCCCTACTTTGGTGCTCTCTTTTTTTCCCTCTTTGGAATGTTCTCATCACCTCTTCTAAAATCCTTCACTGCTTTTCATCTCCTCATCTGCCTCTATCCACTCTGATCCTTCCTCTTATTCTTTCTGCTTTACTGTTTATTTTTCATTCTTCTCTCCTTTCTCGGCTGGTTTTCTCTGCGGCTCCAGGTGAAGATTGATGGGATGTTTATGTCCACAGCCAGCTAATGAGAGGTTTCTTTTCTTCTGGTTGTAAATAGGGCAGTGGTATCTTGAGATATTTTCATTGCTCTTCACTATCAGAAGTTCTTTCCCTGTGAGAGATGTTTCCTTTTCTTAACTTTTGGATTTGGCCCTCTTCGAGACAGCTGGCAAGTTGATCTTGGAATAATTGAAGTATAACTGTATATTGTTTCAAAGTATGAGGATTTTATCAGAGTGTGGGCGAATGGGGTGGCTTCCCCATCTTACTGCCCAACTATGCTTGGTCTGAGACTAAGATAGTGGTTTCCAAACTTACCGCTAAGCTAATACTTTCCTACTCTGCTTCCTACTCAGGAGCTTTTTGAAAATACAGAATCCTGCAATCTACCCCCTCAAGATTCTGATTCCTTTGTCCAGGGAGAGGCCAAGACATGGCACTTTTAAAAACTATATTTAAAAAAATATGTTTGGGACATGCCTACATGTAAAGGCAGAGTAAAGAAGATCAGCTGTTTTTGAAGGAGATTAACACATAATTTAAGAATGTTATTGAAGACCTAGAGATTGTAGTCAATAATATGCAATGCAGTAAGGTGAAGTAAAGTGAAGACCAAGGAATTTATGGCCTTTGGAGAGAAGAAAACCCACACATAAATGACCCTAGCATGTGCACCAGTATGAGTTCTCTGGGAACAGAGAGAGGGTCAAGAAATTATGTTGGCTTTGAACAAGTTCTCTTCTCAATGCTTCACTTTTTTTTTATCAATAAAATGGGAGCCATTTTCAATCCTCATCTTTCTTGGCCTCTCAACAATACTCAACACTTTGACCACTATTCTTTCTTAAACATTTCTTCTTCCTTTGACACTGCATTTTCTTGGTTTTCCTCCTTAGTTTCCTAGGCACTGCTTCTCTGATTCCTTTGCATATTCCTGCTGGTCTCCCTAACTATTAAATATAACAGTACCTTAAAATTCAGTTTTAGATTCTTTTCTGTTTTCATTGTAATCTCTTGGCCTAAGCAGCATCACCCACGCCAATGGCTTTAGTTATCATCTATATGCCAGTGATCTCCACATATATGCCTCCAGCCCAGACCTTTCCTCTAAATTCCAAATCTGATCCACTAGTCAAAGTTTGACCCTACCTCTAAATTCCAAGCTTCACTGACATGGCCACTTAATATCTCAAAGTTGCAAAGTTTAGTCCAACTGAGTTCATGAACACTTGTTTTCCTTATCCCCCATCTCTCTAGTTATTCAAATCAAATATCTAGTAGTCAGTAACCGCTGATGTCTCCCTCACCTCCATTCTTCCATTCTCCATATTTGTTGCAGCACTAACTCCTGGCAATTTTATTTCTAAAATCTAATTGGTCTACTTCTTTCCAATCACCACCAATCTAATTCGATCTCACTGTATACAATCTGGGATCCTCCATTCAGTCTCCATTTTGCAGCCAAAATTATCCTCTAAGAAAGCAAATGAGACTATGTCACTACTCCAAAAATCTCCTTAAACAGTTTCTCATTGCTTTAGGATAAGTCTAGAATTCTTAAGGCAGCCTAAAAGACCATACGAGGTCTGGCCTTACCTGCCTTTTCCAGCCTCATCTCACACCATTTTCACCTTGTTTCCTGGGCAGACTTCCTGGTCTTCTTTTAGTTTCTCAAAAATGCTATGATCCCAACAACCAAAGGCTCTATGTACATGCCATTCTCTCCTTTAGTTATCCTATCTCTTACTCATCCTTCAGGTCTCAGCTTGAAAGCGACATCCTTGGGAAAAACATTTCTGACCTCCCAGATACATTCAAGATACCTTGTTATGTCAGCTCTCTTACCACCATATACCCTCCCCTCTTATGACTTACCACAGCTTGTAACTACATTTTGGTATGTGTAACTACTAGGTTAATGTCTGTTGCTCCCCACATTAGGATAAAGACCATGTCTATTTGGGCCTGCACAGTGCCTGGCACATAGAAGCTACCCAATAAATATTTCTTGAATGATTATTGTCCTATGAGTTTATTTCTGGGATTCTAGAAGGTTGTTAGATCGGGAAATTAGATCACTGATCATTTTCAAGAGAGCAATCTTCTGTATGACTAGTGGGAAGAAATGCAGAAATGTGCTGGAAGACAATTCTCTGTGGGACTCTAGTATTTCTGCATGTCTTGTGAGCAGAGGCACTAACAGCTTTTGTTTTAGACTATATTTTCAAGGATTTTTTTTTTTTTTTGGTCAAACTGCCTTGGAAAATATACATAGTGTCCCCTGCCCTGCTCCCCCTCCCCGCCAAGAGCAGGGGCACATTTGTTTACCATCCAATATAGTGAAGATAATGTCTTTGGAGGTAAAGGTCAAGCAGGTTTTCTTGCAGCCTATTATAAAAAGATTGGGGATTTCCTAAGCTTAGATAGAGTTTCTCAGCTGTGAGGCAAACCCACTGCAGGTGCATCACTCACCTGAACCACACCATGTAGCTCCAGGTAAGACCTGGGGGCAAGGGAACTGACTGAACATGACACTGGCGCTGCTTGCTGTGCCATGAGTAATACAGCCCTTTGACTGCAAAGCCCCACGTCTTCTGCCAGCTTCCATGAAACTATAGCAGGTTAAGTGATTAGCTTGCAAGGAGGATGAAATCTCAGACCTTTCATAGTTCTTGACAAAGTACAGTGGGTTAAAGAGAAAGACGAAGATGAAGAAGTCAAACAGCAAGTGGAGACTATTTAGAAAGTTTGGAAAAAAAAGTTTGGTGATGAAGAGGAGAGATGGGACAGCAGATTGAGGTGGGAGGGGTGTGCTGACTGAATTCTCTGAACAATATTGGTGGCCTTAACTCTGAACAGATCCCGACAGAACACTATTGCTGTTGTTCCTCTCTTTGGTTAGGGAACAGGTGCAAATCTGAAAGAGGAGAAGGAGATGGAAGTGGTTGACCTGGAGGTACACCAGTTAAAGCAGCCAGAGCTTTTTTTTTTTTAATCTCTGAGAAGGGGTGTAGTATAATGTGGAGCAGGAAAGACAGGCTTTGGAGTCAGGTAGATCTGGGCTTCAGTCGCAGCTCTATTACTAACTGATTGATTGATCGATCTTAGGCTTGTTATCCAACCTTTCTGGCTTCAGTTCCTCAACTATAAACTAAGGATAAAATACCTACTTTGCAGGATTAAATTTCATAATGTATGAAGATGCCTGGTATATGCTTGATGCTCAATAAATAAATGTGAGCTACATGATTAGGATGTCCTGGCTAATTGTGATTTGGTGAGGTTGGGAAAATCCAGAACCTTCCTCCACATTTCCAAGGATTCTTGGAAAGGAACTTGGCCAGGGTGCACACTTGCTCTGATCCTGTTCCCGTTTCCATCCCACTCTGTGCTTTCCTATGGATGGAACAGCTCCTTCCCTAAAAGCAAAGGAAACAAGACACAGAATAGGAAGCGACTTCACATTTAATGTTGGCCATTCCCACCACAGGGAATTTCTCAGTAGCCATCATTCTTTTCGGATCACACCCTGCCACTATATTGCTGTGGGCCCCTCACCCTAACAAGAACCTTCTCTACATTTTTCTGAATTTCTGGGACTCCTAAAGCCACCTCTCTTTAAAACCACCAGGGGTGGGCCAAGCGCAGTGGCTCATACCTGTAATCCCAGCACTTTGGGAGGCCAAGGTGGGCAGATCATGAGGTCAGGAGTTTGAGACCAGCCTGACCAACATGGAGAAACTCTGTCTCTACTAAAAATACAAAAATTAGCCAGGCGTGGTGGCGCATGCCTGTAATGCCAGCTACTCGGGAGGCTAAGGCAGGAGAATCGTTTGAACCTGGGAGGCGGAGGTTGTGGTGTGCCGAGATCATGCCATTGCACTCCAGCCTGGGCAACAAGAGCGAAACTTCATCTTAAAAAAAAAAAAGAAGAAGAAGAAAAAACACACCAGGGCGGCAATTCCCAAATTCTTGTTAATTTATTCTTACTCAAAGCAATTTGGCTGTTTGTTTTCTGTCCTCACTTTTATACAGAATAGCCTTGGAACCTTAGCTTTATTTCAGAACTAAGATGTTTTATTAAAGTATTTTCCTAAACTAAAGAGTAACTGTCCTTGAGAAGTAGTTCTTAAACTTTGGCATGAATAAAAATCACCTGTGGCACTTGTTTAAGCTTTAGTGGTTCTACTACATACTCCCTTCTCACCCCAAGATTTGGATTCAAGAATCTGCATTTTATAAACACTCCAAGAGACTCTGATGAGGGTAGTCCATGGGTCATACCTTGAGCATCTTAGAGCAACCAGCTCAAACAAGAGTCAACTTTCACAAATAAGAATGTTTTTCCTCTCTGTAACATAGAGTTAAACTAGAGTTGGCTCAAGTGTTCAGGAAAACTGGTCATCTATGGTCCATGTCATTTATATTATTTATTCTCTATAGAGAAGGCAATTAGGAAAGACCAAGGAATTCCCTAATCACAAAATGATAATCCTAATAGTCCAAATTTGTCAATGTTAATGATATGGTTTCAAAGCAATGCCACTGGGGACAGTTACTTCCAAAGGGAAAAGACTTATCTGGTTACTGGCCAGGACTTCTTGAATAGCTTCCGGATCTGAAGGGGCTATACAATAATAGACAGATTATAAGGATTTTCTCTAGGTTGAAAAAATAAAGTTTCTATATTTCTCTTTTGGACTGTCAACAGCTCTTTGATGTTTTTTTTACCACTTTAGGATGCTTTGATAATAGCCCTGGGGTTGAACACACCACGATCATTATCCAGCATAACCAGATGACATATGAATCAATTTTAAAGACAGAAGAAGGAGATAGGCATCTATAAGAATAATGAGGCACAGGATGACTTGGAATTCTAAAAACACTCCCCAACTGCCTGGCTTTTATTTTCCCTCAAAAAAATCAAATTTCAAAACCAGAGCACTACTTTACCAAGATAACAATAAGACTTTAATCTGGACAAAATAAAAATAAAATTTAAATAAGTTAGGAAATGAAAATTCAGATACTCTAAATCCAGCTACAATTCACCAAACTTAAGAAAGATCGTCCTCAAATTTCAGAGGTAAATATTTAAACCAAATCACATTTTATGACTATCAGACAAATCAACAATCTATTCATGGTAGGTAAAGTAAAGATCAAGTTGCCTTTATTATTTTAAAATATAATGTAAAATTGAAGCAGGCATCTCTGAGATAAAGACAATGACATATAGTAATGGGAAACACTAGGAAAATCATTTATAAATAGAAGACTTTTAATGAAATAAAATACCAATTTTACTGATTTTAAATTTTTATCTATAAAGTTTTTAAAAATCAAGGCACATCTGAACTTGGCTTTTATTTTTTCTTTACACTGTACATATAAGACATAAACCCAGAATTATTATACCGAAAAAGAACAAAAGTCAAAATTAATTACTAATAATACTTAGCATTACTAAAAGAAGGTAAAATAAAGAGCCAACTCTAGTTTAACTCTATGTTACAGAGAGGAAAAACATTCTTATTTGTGAAAGTTGACTCTTGTTTGAGCTGGTTGCTCTAAGATGCTCAAATTATGACCCATGGACTACCCTCATCAGAGTCTCTTGGAGTGCTTATTTTCATTTAAAAATAATAAACTATGACTTTAACAAATAAATATTCAGCTTCAAATTAAAGAAGCTAATAGCTTAAAACAAAAGAAATTTGCCGGGCTTGGTGGCTTATGCCTGTAATCCCAGCACTATGAGAGGCCAAGGTGAGCGGATCACTTTAGGCCAGGAGTTTGAGACCAGTCCAGCCAACGTGGTGAAACCCTGTCTCTACTAAAAATACAAAAATTATCCCAGCCTGGTGGCGCCTGCCTGTAATCTCAGCTACTCAGGGAACTGAGGCACGAGAATTGCCTGAACCCGGGAGGCAGAGGTTGCAGTGAGCTGAGATTCCGCCACTGCACTTCAGCCTGGGTGACAGAGCAAGACCCTGTTTCCAAAAAAACAAAAACAAAAACAAAAACAAAAAAATAAAGAAGAAAAGAAAAAAAGAAAAAAACAAGGAAAAGAAAAACAAAAACAAACAAAAAAAGATATTCAAATATAGCCCGTTTTCCCAAGCTACACGAGACTAAGAGTAAAAATAGGGTTGTATGCCACTGCACTCCAGCCTGGGCGACAGAGTGAGACTCCATCTCAAAAAAAAAAAAAAAAAAAGGGTTGTAGTAAAAGTCTTAAAGAGTATTCATACGTTTCCCTATCCACATTCAGATTTCTTTCAGAAGATCCTAAGAACTCCCAGGGATTTGCTTTGTATTCTATGCCTTGTTTCCTTTGCTTTTAGGGAAGGAACACTTTAAGAAACAGTCCCCAGTCACCGTCTTCCTCCTCTGGCTCATTGAATTGTTTTCTCTTACTGCTTCCAAAGGCAACAATGCTCCCCAACTGCAATGCTGTTTGTGCTGAGGCTACCAAACCCTGATTTTTTTTTTTTTTTTTTTTGAGACAGAGCCTTGCTGTTGTTGGCCCAGGCTGGAGTGCAATGGCATGATCTTGGCTCACTGCAACATCTGCCTCCCGGGATCCAGCAATTCTCCTGCCTCAGCCTCCCGAGTAGCTGAGATTACAGGCGACCACCACCACGCCCGGCTGATATTTGTATTTTTAGTAGAGACGGGGTTTCACCATGTTGGCCAGGCTGGTCTCGAACTCCTGACCTCAGGTGATCTGCCCACCTTGGCCTCCCAAACTGCTGAGATTACAGGCAAGAGCTACCACGCCTGGCCGCAAACTCCTAATTTTAATGGCATTAATGCCTGTACCAAGACGCCATTTTTCACAGGCATCATCTCCTGTTGATATTGTCTTCAGTTCCAAAAGTCCCGTGTACATCACAGTGAAGCATTTAGTTATATTATTTGTTTGCTGCTCTAGGACTCAGGCATGAGTTCATGGGATAGATAACATGGTTCCATGAAGTCTTTTCCTCTAACCTTGGGCAATTGATCTTGAAGCAAACTTTTCATAGCTTTCTTCACTTAGGATGAATTTTTTCTTCCTTTGTTCTGCCAGTTCTGCAGATGTGCTGAAACATGCTCAAATTCTAGGGTAAAAAAACAGTGCTGGCCAGGCGCAGTGGCTCAGCCTGTAATCCCTGCACTCTAGGAGGCCAAGGCAGGTGGATCACGAGGTTAGGAGTTCAAGACCATCTTGGCCAAGATGGTGAAACTCCGTCTCTACTAAAAATACAAAAAAATTAGACAGGCGTTGTGGGGGTTGGGGGCACCTATAATCCCAGCTACTGGGGAGGCTAAGGCAGAGAATTGCTTGAACCCAGGAGGCAGAGGTTGTTGTGAGCCGAGATCATGCTGCTGCACTCCAGCCTGGGTGACAGAGCGAGAATCCATCTCAAAAAACAAACAAACAAACAAAAACAAAAAACAGTGCCACATTTCTTCAAGGCTACCAGGACCAGTCAGCCACGCCCTCTTGTCAGCATAAGTACCAACCACAGGACATCTCCCTCAAGACCTGAGTGCTAACTATATGAGGGCCCCTCTCCTTCATACTCCTAGATTTTCCCATTTGGTCCCCTGGCCCTGCTGCCCTGCAGGTGATAGCCACCTTTTCCAGCATCCCTCATTTGCTCTTTCAGTCTTCCAACATCTATGTGACTAATTTCTTAAATGAAATTCCTCTGTCTGAAATACGTAGCATGGTTTCTAATTTCTGAAGTCCTAGCCAGGACTTTGACTAATAGATTTTAACCAGAGAGACTTAAAATACCTGGTTATGGAGACAAAATACATTCATGCAAAAATATATTCAGTGATATAACATTTGACATGAAAAGCTCAGCTAACATTTGCCATAGAGCTCAAAGACAAGCAATCAGTTGCTATGAGATGATCGAAGATAGCCATTGTGCTTTTAAATTTTAACTGATTTTATTTAATGTTCAAAACAACATTGTGATCAAAGTACCATTAGTCTCACTCTTTAGACGAGAAACATTGCTGTGAGTGGTTAAACTTACATTCACATATGTACAGCTAAGAAAGTGACAGAGCTGGGATTCATACTTAGGCCTGTATGACTCCGACAAAGCGTCTTTGGGGCCAAGCCTTAGTCAGACTTCTGGGTCTTCTGCTAAGCCCCTCTGTGCACTTCCTTGTAAAATTCTGTTTTAGCAAAGAACCCTGCTAATTGACTTTAGCAAGAACTCCTATTCTCGATAGCTGATCATCCTTGATATCTGATCAAGTTTCTCATCTCTTGGGTGACGTCTAAACACTCTGGCCTGTCTTCAGCAAGAATCCTGTTAGGTCAGTTTAGCCAGAATCACTCTTACCCCTGATGTTATCTATAAAGTTTTTAAAAGTCAAGGCACACCTGCTGACCCCCACACTGCTCTGTGGCTCCAAATTCTTACTTGCCCATGCTCTACTGGGAATTGTGCCCAATCTCTCTCCCTGGCTACAAGGCCCCATTGCAGTGGTCCCTCTACCTATTATGATCATGCTGAATAAAATCCTCCTTATCATACTTTGACAAATATTATTCGATAACTTTGTCTTTAACAACTCTTAACACATTCATTCCGTTATTTCATGTTAGCTCAGAAGAGGTGAAATTTAAAATGAACCTTGAAGAATAGGCTTCAAATAGAATGATCAGAGTAGAGCACTCTTACAGGAAATATAGCTAACAAAGGTATGAAAGTGAGAAAATGCCAAGTATGCCTGGGGGTAAGAAATGAGCCAGCACAAACGTTTGTGATGGAAGGCATGGAGATACAGGGCAAAAAAAGAAGTTTGGCCTAAATTGAGGAGAACTTTGATTGGCACATGAGAAATTTTGGAACCACTTATTTTTAATCAGGAGTCAGAGGAGTAAAATGGCAAAAGTGGGAAAGATTTGATATTGTTGTTTACAGTCCCTTTTCATTATTACTTGTCAAGCCACAGTTGTTATCAAAGGCATTTTAAATAAGCAACACATTAAAACAAAACAAACAGGAAAAAAAATCTTTATAGATTACTGCCATTAGAAAAGGAATTTTAACTTTGTATAAATTAAAAAAAAACAGACATCAAACAAACAAAAACCTTATAAGAAAATTGTTTTTTTTTTTTTTGAGATGGAGTCTCACTCTGTTGTCCAGGCTGGAGTGCAGTGGCAGAATCTCAGCTCACTGCAAACTCTGCCTCCTGGGTTCAAGCGATTCTCCTGCCTCAGCCTCCTGAGTAGCTGGGATTACAGGTGCCCACCACCATGCCTGGCTAATTTTTGTATTTTTAGTAGAGACAGGGTTTCGCCATGTTGGCCAGGGTGGTCTTGAACTCCTGACCTCCTGATCCGCACACCTTGGCCTCCCAAGGTGCTGGGATTACAGGTGTGAGCCACCGCGCCTAGTCAGGAAATTGATTTTTATCACAGGAAAAAAAGGATATCTATTTATTCCTTGCTTTAAGATAAAGACCTAAAATAATTTACACAACTATGAGAAATGAAATAAGTACTTTTTAAAGAAAAGTATTATTATTCGACTAATATATCTTTAGGGAATAAAATGAAGAAATATTAAAACGACAAGCCAACAACGCTAAATTGAGAGATACTGATAAAGTGGGCCACCAATCAGCCTGTCAGTAAACTATTATGTTCTGTTACAAACCTCTCCTTGAAGCAATTGGATTCAGACACATTATGGGTTAGATAGACTTTTGTGGGCTAGCCTAGAAATTCAACTGTCATTTAGAACTTTGTTTCCGTGGCAAAATATCTCTACAAGTTCTAAACAGCAGACTTTCAAATTAACTTTTGGAATATAACCCATTTGCAACTTGGGGACTGCCTGTGCTTTGAATGTAGATTGTCTATTATAACCAGGGCTTTAACTCCACTGAATCTCAGAGGATTTCAAACTAGTTAGTTTGAAACCTTTCTTTCCAAATCCAATACCTTATTTGGGAAAGGGGCATTTTTAAAAGTAACCTATCTGGTGTGAAGAAAAGGCAAATACAATAACTTTTTTCCAGTAAGGGGCTAATTAAAATTATAAGGAAAAAATACTTTGTTTCTAAGAAGAGACATTTTGTCTGTAAGAATTTTAAAAATTTAAGTATTTATAAAATTATGTAATGGAAGACAAGATTTGTTTTCACTCTTTTTGCATGTAGTTTGTCTCTACAATGCAAAAGTAACAAAAAGTAAGCATTTGAATCAATTATCTTTAGAATGACTGTTTAGTACTCTTCTTAATAATAACATTTGAGCAGGGCGCAGTGGCTCACGCCTGTAATCCCAGCACTTTGGGAGGACGAGGTGGGCGGATCACCTGAGGTCAGGAGTTCAAGACCAGCCTGGCCAACATGGTGAAACCCCACCTCTACTAAAAATACAAAAATTAGCCGAGCATGGTGGCGCATACCCGTAATCCCAGCCGCTCTGAAAGCTGAGGCGGGAGAATCACTTGAACCCGAAAGGTGGAGGTTGCAGTGAGCAGAGATCATGCCATTACACTCCACCCTGGGCAACAGAGCAAGACTCCATCTCAAAAAATAATAATAGTAATGACATTTGGATATTTTAGGTAAAATTTTTCTAGAATAGAACTGTAAAAATTGTTTTAGTAATTTTCCATTGGACAATACATGAACAGTTTCAGGCAAAGACCTATAAGTGATGCCTGGTATTAAAAATGGTCTATTTTCAAGATAACGAAATGCTTATTGATCAGGAAAAGGATATAAAATACTTTATTGGATTTCCAGTTAATTTTATGCTTTAAGTAACTTCTTGTTTCCTCTTTAACAAGAGAATAATTGAGGTAGATTCAGCATAATAAGAAATATCTCTCTCTTCCATCAACTCATACTTTATTGAAGAATTTAGTTAAGCTGATAATTCAGAGCTGATAGATTTGGGAGGTACTCTATACCTCATGGCCTCTAATGGCCAATAGCATCTCCTCAGTTATTTTGATTATCGAAATTACCCCCTCACATTTCTCAAATGCACCACAGGGGACAGCATTGCCCCACTTGCGGACCTCTCTATTAGATGATCTCCTTGTTGGGGTTCTTAATGTGGGGTCCACAGAGACCCATATGCTTTCAGAAGGCCTATGAACTTGGAAGGAAAAAACAAAACATGTGCCTTCATGTTCAATATGGCATACCTGTTACTTTGTCAAATACTACTATTTAATACTTTTTTTTTTTGAGACGGAGTCTCGCTCTGTCACAGGCTGGAGTGCAGTGGCACAATCTCGGCTCACTGCAATCTCTGCCTCCCGGGTTCAAGTGATTCTCCTACCTCAGCCTGCCAAGTAGCTGGGACTACAGGCGTGCGCCAACACGCCCGACTAATTTTTGTAGTCTTAGTAGAGACGGAGTTTCACCATGTTGGCCAGGATGGGCTTGGTCTCTTGCCTCGTGATTCATCCGCCTTGGCCTCCCAAAGTGCTGAGATTACAGGTGTGAGCCACCATGCGCGGCCTTATTTAATACTCTTATTCAAGTTAAGCAACAATAACCCTCACATTAATATTTCTTTGCCTATAATTTATATGTATTTGCTTGCTATTTAGAGCATTAGTAAAGAAGCACATTTCTTTTTAAAAAATGTTAACTGTATGTCAATATAATTGTTTTATTTTGTTTTGTGTATTTCATTTTATGCACATAAAAACATTATTTTTAGAAGTGGGGTCCATGGGCTTTACTAGATAGCTAAAGGGGTCTATCATACTAAAAGAAGTCTAAAATTCTAGGACTAGGGCCTCAACATCTTGGTATTGTTCTGCCCAAGTTAGCTCCTTAGGATAGGGTTAAATTAAAGGGTATGATTATGGATCAGAACCAGGACCTCAGTGAGGAAGTGTCCAAGAGAAGCATATGAAGGAAAAAAATCAACATAACTCAGAAATATAGTTAGACCATATTTGTAGCAATATAGTTAGACAAGCATAAGACAGGAATGAAAGAAGGTATTGACAGAGTGCTGGACAGAGTCTCTTTGACCCATTTTCTCTTTTCATCAGGTTAAACCCTGGGTTCTCAAACTTTGGTGTGCGTGCCAATTCTGAAGAGTTTGTTAGGTATTATTGCTTCAACTGAATTGGAATCACTGGAGGTGGAGCATCATACTTGTAGTGTATATGACTCATAGACCAAACTCTGAGAAACCTGGGCTACACATGTACCTCTTGTACAACGTTTTAAAGGCACTAGTCAGCACGTGATTGCACTTTACTGCTCCATTGCTCTGAAAAGTCCTTCTCTTATTTCATTTCCTTGGTACGTTTTTCTTATCTGTTAAGCCTAGAGCACAAGTAGACTCCTCCACATTTATGCCTTCCCAAAGCCTGCCCACTCTTTCCACAGTCCTTTATACATTTCTCAGTGCAATAGAGATTTTTTTGTATGAAATTATAATTATTTGTTCAAATGTTGACATCACTACACTGAAATCCTCAAGGACGGTGGCTATTTCTATTCATTGTAGTTTTCTTCCCACCTACATCTCAGGTAGTTAACTTGAACTGAAAATGAAGAAATTCTCTTTTCATTGAGAATTCTCACAGACTTATTTTAAAATGAATCTCTTGTAGATTCAGACTTCTTAGTTAAATAAGAGTGTTACTCATTTTACCTTTTCTTCTCTTAGGTCAAATTTCTTGGGAATATAAACATGTATATGCACCTACATATTATAAGAAATGTCCTATGTTAATTAATGTGGCAGAGATAGTTGCCACCCCATATGCATTTTCCCCTTCTTACATACGAGCCATAAAAACAAAACAAAGCAAAACAAAAACCTATATTTCCCAGTCTTCTTGCAAATAAGGGCAACCTTGTCACCCAGCTCTGAGCTGTGAACAGAAATTACTGGATAGGCCTTCCAGGAAGACCTCTTAGAAGGAGTACTGATTTAGCTGGTTTGCGCATTTTTGTCCTTTTCCCTTTCACCTTCCCCTTCCTATCTGGAACATGGACACAATGTTGGGATGTGAAGTGGCCACACTGGGGCCACAAGATGATGTGCAACGTAGGATGGTTGAGTGAAAAGATACAAGGAGTCTGAGTCCTGACCCCATTGTGGAGCTGCTGACCAACCCTGAACTTTTTACTTCCCTATTTCTTGTAACTAGATGAAAATGAAACACTGATTCATTTAAGTTACCCTTCCTTCCTTTCTTTTTTTTAAATTAAAAAAAAATTTTAGCACTCAGATTCTGACAGACCCCCCTTCCTTTCTTCCTTCTTCCCTCCTTTCTTTCCTTCCTTCTCTCCTTTTCCCCTCTTCCTCCTTCTTCTTCTCTTTATCCTCCTCCTCTTCTCCCTCTCATTCCCTCTGTCAGGTTTCACAGTATAATGCAAACGTTGACTGATAGTTATTTTGCCTCATCAATGTCTAGGGTATTAGTTAACCTACGTTAGTATAGCAGAAAACAAACTAAAGAACTGCCTATTATTTGGTTGCCTATTTGACTAAAACAGACTATTCTATCTGGCTTCTCCATCCCTAAACTTACTTAAAACCTCATCACACTTTAGCCATGTAACTTATTTGATAAAATAAAATAAATGGCTGTATTTTGACTGGGTTTTCTCTGAAATACTTGATGCCCAAAAATATTTCATTAAAAGAAATTA
This sequence comes from Homo sapiens, assembly GCF_000001405.40. Taxonomy (NCBI): domain Eukaryota; kingdom Metazoa; phylum Chordata; class Mammalia; order Primates; family Hominidae; genus Homo; species Homo sapiens. The sequence continues at coordinate 48,961,034 of NC_000013.11, read as the reverse complement.
CGTCTTATATCTGCAAATAGGAGATTGATTAGATAAATTATTTTATATTACATAGTAATATATGAATATTAAAAAGGATGCTGTTTGTCTACCTTGATTGGCACCAAAAGAGCACCATGACATATCGTTAAGTGAAAAACGGTTATAAAATAGCATATAAATTAATGTCTCACTTATAAAAGTCATTCATATATGTATGTATGTGTATATATATATATTTATACACATATACAGCTGCCTAAACAATGTTTACTATAGCCTCCAATAACTAACTGTGGTAGGATTTAAGATGACTTTTACTATGTGTCATGTAATTTTATATATTGCTTGCATTTCCAAATGACTGTGAATGTATGATCTTTACGATATCAAAAATAAAAACAGTACTTTTTTTTTTAAAAGTAGAGTAATAGTAAGAATGTTCTTACTAAACATAAAACATTTTTCCTAAGAATTTTATTTAATCAAGTAACAATTTGAGAGGATAAAGCAAAGGACAGGATTTTAAGTCATCAGAAAGCACTTGAGCTCTTGGACTACTCCCTGGAGCTCTAAGTTGCCATGGTAAGGTCTTACTGGACCATGATGCTGTGAAGGCCACATATAGGTGCATACCAAACCTGCGTCTAGCCTTCCAGTCACCCCACCGATGTACAGGTCAGTAATGGAAGCCATCTTGGACTCTCGAAACCAGCCTCTTGGCCAGCAGACTGCCACCAAATGATCTCTGTCAACTCTACATGGGACAGATGAATGACCCACCTAAATCCTGACATACAACATCATGATACACAATAAAGTGATTGTTGTTAGGGTAAAACGACTTGAATTCTCATCATTCTCCTGTCTTGGTTTAGTGGTTCTACCTACCCAGGTACCCTCTTCTAAGGCTGGAGCTTTAGGGTAGCTCTCTTGTTTGGTATCTAGAGCCTGTCTGAAACTGAGGGATCCCTGGCAGAATTTCTCTCTCTTGTTCCATCTATTTTACAAGTGTCCATTTTTAAACCTTTCTACTGTTAAACACAGAAAGCCACAATATTATCAATATGTTTAAGAAGAAAGGGACAGGCCGGGCGCAGTGTCTCACGCCTGTGGTCCCAGCACTTTGGGAGGCCGAGGCGGGCGGATCACGAGGTCGAGACCATCCTGGATAAAACAGTGAAACCCCGTCTGTACTAAAAATACAAAAAATTAGCCGGGCGTGGTGGCAGGCGCCTGTAGTCCCAGCTACTCGGGAGGCTGAGGCAGGAGAATGGCGTGAACCCGGGAGGCGGAGCTTGCAGTGAGCCGAGATCGCGCCACTGCACTCCAGCCTGGGCGACAGAGCGAAACTCCGTCTGAAAAAAAAAAAAAAAAAAAAAAAGAAGAAGAAGAAGAAAGGGACACTGATTAAAGAATCAATGACAATGTAGTTCTAAAGAAAACATGTACTGAAATATACAGTAATCACTGTGAAGATCAGCAGGGCTACTGCAATGCAACCTCTTTGGGTTTTAGGGAAATGGAACTCCCTGAAGTTACATAACAACAGTGGATTGGGAGACACTTTGGGAAAATTCAATGAAATGTAAGCGATACAGCCCTCGAAGTATTTATAATCTAGCTTGGGGGGGGGGCAAATATAGTCAGAGAGCAAGATGAAGATAACCAACAAAACTTTTGTCTTTTTTTTTCTGAGACAGAGGCTCACTCTGTCCCCCAGGTTGGAGTGCAGTGGCACTATCTCGGCTTACTGCAACCTCTGCCTCCCGGGTTCAAGCGATTCTCCTGCCTCAGCCTCCCTAGTAGCTGGGATCACAGGCACACACCACCACACCTAGGTAATTTTTGTATTTTTCGTAGAGACGGGGTTTCACCATGTTGGCCAGGCTGGTCTCGAACTCCTGACCTCAAGTGATCCTCCTGCCTTAGCCTCCCAAAGTGCTGGGATTACAGATGTGAGCCGCCGCACCCAGCCTAAAACTTCTTTCTTGTATGCATGTCTCATACACAATACATGTACAAGTGCCATAGGATTTAAAAAATGGAAGAGATTCATTGTAGGCTAGCATGACCTAGAAAGTTCCTGGAAAGGGTGATATCCATTTGATCCTTGCAGGTAAAGACGGAGTCTTATAGGCACACAAGAGGGAAAAATGCCTTCCCTGTTTCAAAGGAGTTCATTGAACTAGAACACCTTTACCTATTATGCCCTTGAAGAATTTTTTTTTCCTACCTCATCATTTAAATACTTTCTCTTAGAGGAAAAACTTACATTATACAAAGTATTATATACGAGGTATTGTAACTAGCTTCTCAAGAGAGTAGAAAGGCTCAACTAGTGTGAAAAACAAATCCTTAAATTAACTTTATCTGGAATCTGTTGTGAAATGTTACATTTATAAATGAAACAAGAGAAATCTGAGATCCTAAAAGGTTTTTATTTTCTTAGTACTTATTTAAGTCCTTCATATATTGGTATTAGTTTCTTATAATGTTAGAAATTAGATAAATCCAACTCAGGGAATAGGAGCAGGATTCTCAGGCTTTTATTTTATTGTACCTCTTCTGCTCACAGCACAAGGCTGTTCGCACATCATATTCTCAGCTCATAGTTGCTGAATGAAGAAATACATGAATAAAGAACAAGGAAGATTCAGAGGAAGAAAATAGCAAAATCTGGTTAGCACATTCTAGTAAATATTTAGGCTGCTAAAATTGAAACCAAATTACCTTGTTTATGAACAGATTACTTCAACTTTTTAAAAAGCAAGTTGCATAATTTAAATGTCTCTTGCTAGTTCTCATTTCTTGATAGATTCCCTGCATTTCTCTAGTTATGCTAAAACTGCTTTTGGCTTTTAACCTCCAATATTTCACTGTGACTCAATTTACTTTTTAAAAACAAAGAACTGATTAAAGTTATGAGGTTGAACTGGTAGAAGTTATGAGGTCACTATCACAACCTTTAAAATTGATTCGTAATTCAGTAAATATTTTCTTTGTTTTCATTTTTGAGGGGTTTTTTGCAATGAACATATATTTGTTTTGTAATAAAGGGAAAGGAACATTAAATTTTATTGAAAAATATAGTAGATCTTAAAGGATATTAAAAGGTTCAGGGTTTTAACCAGTTACTCACTGTCCATGGTTCAGGGTGATTGTAGAGCAATTATTTTCTCCCTATTTTCCACTGTCACTGTACTGTAACATGTGACATTCAACAATTTAATTGGATTCAAGTTAAGGGGCTCTCCTGCCCTGCTTGGAACAGATCTTAATAGGTAGTTACTGTATTTAAAACTCTTTGAAGAAGAAAGGTGTTATTTAAGTATTAAGCATTGTTATGAACATCCTGCCTTTTAAAAGCTCAAAGGGAAAGACAAAAGGGCCTGTCTTTATTAGTATTTCAAATTAAACTGGGAAGAATAAATTATTTTCATACCATCTAATCTTTCCTACATGCCCCCACCACCTCCATCGTAGATTTGATTTCAGTCCAATCTACAGTAGGAGAGAGATGTAAACCCAACCTCTAATTTTCCTTTTAGTACTAATAAAAACGTTTACTACATATTTTTCCTGAATGTTTGTTTGTATGCACAACCTTGTAGGAATCAGTTTCTGCTAATGAGGTTTAACAATATTCTCATAAGCAGCTCTACTTGCCCCCCAAAATAAATAAGTAATACAAGGACATGTGGCATTCAGTTTGTGTCTTATAAAGCATTTTGCCAAGTCCTTTAACTGTGATATGATAGTGTAGATTTGTCTGAGTATAATCGTCATTCCTGGAAGAGTCATCAAAGATACCTTTAGAGGTTAGTTACTGGGAAGTTTTTTATTCTTTTTCAGGGAATGAGCAACAGCCTTAATACTATTGCCAGTTAAATTAATTGAATGATCAGACCGTTTGCATGAAGTCAATTTTTATGACTGTTATGTGTGATGCTTATGGGGATCCAGCCAGACCCCATAGCTTTTCAACCTCCTGAGTTACAATTCCAAAGGCATTAAGTTAGCCAAAGAGCTCATGATTTGATATAACTGATATTTTGAGGGGTTCAAGTTAAATTTCAAAATGATGTTAAAGTCCCAAATAACAACTTTGAATAACTATCAAAAGTACAATGATTCAAAAAAGAGCATGTCTAAGCAGATTAGAGACTCAACTGAGATGACCATAAATTTAGACTGGATAATTAGAAGATATAATTTTTGGCTCAGTGGGATGTGCTTTTAATTCAACACCAGTTATTTTTGGTAGAAGATAGAGTCCTAATATTTCAAATGAAGCAGCACCATGTTAAATTACCTGTTCTAAAATGAAGACTTCTTTCTCTTCATGAGATTCCCATTTAGAAGTATGGTGTGATAAAGTAAAATTTAGACTGTGTACCAAATTGAAAGTATGAAATTCCATCTTTAATTACTTGAGGAATTAAGTACTTGCAAAGCCATGGTTATTCAGAGGGCTATTTTGCCTCCATCTAGGTAAATGTATAGATTTCAGAAAACCAAACTTCTTATTGCCTCATTACAAGAGTAGAATTTCAGTTCAAAATATAATTTCCTTCTCAACACATGAGAGCTGACAAAGCAGGAATTTAAGTTAAAAGCCTGAACTTATTGTATGCTGGTATTCTTGCAGTTATAACATAGCAGCCTCAAATTAAATGTTTACTATGTCCCTCAAAATGGATGATCCAGAACCTGATGACATCATTTGGGCTATCTAGAGAGTTCATTGCATGATGTTAATATCAGCTAGGAGCCCTATTAAGAGGTTTGGGACAATCATCTTGAGTCATTGAGCTTAGTTTATTAATCATGGAATATAAATGTAAGCTAAGTATAAAAGAGTGGGAAGCCTAGTCTTAAAAATAACTTTAACCGGGCATGGTGGCTCACGCCTGTAATCTCAGCCCTTTGGGAGGCTGAGGAGGGTGGATCATTTGAGGTCAGGAGTTTGAGACCGGCCTGGCCAACATGGTGAAATCCCGTCTCTACTAAAATTACAAAAATTAGCCAGGCATGGTGGTGCACACCTGTAATCCCAACTACTTGGGAGGCTGAGGCTGGAGAATCGCTTGAACCTGGAAGGTGGAGGTTGCAGTGAGCTGAGATTGTACCACTGCACTCCATCCAGCCTGGGTGACAGAGTGAGACTCTGTCTCAGAAAAAAAAGAAAAACAAAAAAAGAAACTTGAGAGTTCAACGTTCAACTTCATATTAACAGGTGCTCTCCTTACCTTGCACTTGTACTTTGGTCCACTTTCAGATTCTCTCTTCTCTTGGAATAACACCTCCACCATCCCCCAGCTGCTGGGCATATTGGCTGCTTTCAGCTCACAGTGTTTCTCACTGGAAATAACCTGCTGCCACAGAGAGCCGCCTTAATCAAAGAACCACTCCCTCTAAGGCAGCTTATGGTCAATGACTGGCTGATATGGGAATAAGAGGCCTCTTGAGGGGTCATCCCAGCCCTAGAGCTCCTTGTAGGTTTGGATGAGGTCTCAATTGCAACAGCTTTGAGGGTTAGCTCCTCTGCTCCCAACTGCATTCCTCACTTTTTTACAGGTCTATCTTCTGAGAGCATTCTCCATGTGAATGTTTTGCAATCAACACCTGATCTATTCCAATCAACACCTCATCTCTTCCCATTTTCAGGGAAGCCAATTTAAGACAGAGGCTGTCATCATGTACTGGCCTATTGTATTGGCACAACATGTGGATTCATAGGTTGAACTTCTGGTCAAAAATATTAATACTGCCACCCTGCCTAAGGGGTTTTCAATATTATCTTCACCAAGCCATCTCCTTGAATTAGTCCTGAAAGCATATGATATGTAGGAAATTTATACCTTTAATTAATATATGAGTTTCCTAGCAGAAAACTGGATAGAAGTTGTTCTGCTGTCTAGGTAAGATTGGATGAGCTATAGAAAAAGGAGAGGAGAGAAAAAGGCTTTATGAGGCCTAACTGGGAGGAAAAGTTCATAGTGGGGTTCCCTGGTGCTTTATGTATGTGTGACTCAGGGAGGAATGGGAGAAGGATCACATCAGGACAGTGGGTACCTGGAGTCAGGGATGCTGAAAAGGAGGCTGTGGAAGGGAGCTAATTGACAATTTTTGCTTTAAGATGACTCTAAAATGAAGCTACTTTAGACCATTACTGTCCACACAGACACATTTTTCTTCTGAACTCCTTTTCCCACTCATTTTGGTGCTCCATCTTATTTTGTCAAGTGTCATTTAAATATTTGATAGGATATAGGAGTATACTTTTTCTCATACTTCTTTTGAATGCCTTATAATATTAACATAAAACTATGCAGGGAATAGGGGTTCAATAAGTAGTTGTTAAATGAATGAATGAATAAATGAATGAATGGATAAATGTAAGATGGAAGGAATACCAAGTTAGAAAAGAAAAAAGCATTAGTGGTCCAAAGGTCCTAAAATGTGGATTTAACACAACATTTTTTTTTGTAAGAATCAATGCATAGATATATTTTGATGTTGACTGAATCCAAATGATATTTTTGAGATGGCACTTATGATCCTAAATTGCAGGTGATCTAAACATCTTGTTATAAGAGATAATGGGCTTCATGTAATTTCAGTACATATCACGACTCAGTGAGAGTGAAGAGACCTACTGGATAGTTACATGCATTATGTAAACTCTGAGTCATGAACGGCTTCTTTTTGTTCCGGGGAGCCAAGTTACAGAAGCCCCCACTCCTTCTGCTGAACACAGGGTTCTGCCCTGTCACCGAGAACAAAGATGCAGACTGCAGAACACTTTTGTGTCTAGAGGCCTAAATGGCTGTAAAATGACTCCATTTCCGGATGAAATAACCAGGCTCCTATTTCTCTTGGACAAAGTCTCGGTACATTCCTTTCTTCCCCTTAATCCAACTGACCAAAATATTCAGGTAAAACATTTCTAGGAATAGTTTGAAATGAGGATAATAACCATTCCCTTTTACCACACTCCATTTTTCCAGAAAAGATAATTTCTTTTTTAACTGATGCTTATTAAGAACACTCTGCAGTTACTCCTTCCTCCAAATCAAATATCTAACTAAAAATATTAAAAATCAGTCTGCCTGTATTCATAAAGTAAAACCTGTGAGTGTAATCCTTTGCATAAGATTACCCAAAACAGATGTAAATGTGAGTGGGTGTAATATTGAACCAAATAATGATCTCTTTCTAAAAGGTTAAATCATTTATGTTCATAAGACCAAAATAAACAAAGCTCCCTCCTTGCTTTGGTCTTGCCATAACCCTTAAGGTGGTCTGCTATGACATTATTCGTTTGAAATGTGACAAGCTATTCTTAAAGTGACACATTTAAAACCACATTCAATAAATGGAATCTATGCTGAAAGTTATTAATAATTTACAATAGAAAGAACTTAATTACTTAGAAATAGTAGTTAACCTGAAATGCATTTGTTGCAGTCTGTAGTTAGGAAAAACAGAAACAGCTGGTGATGACAATGACTTACTAGCAAAAGCAGCTTCTAGAGAAAAAGGTTTTTCCTCAAGAAAGAGTGAGTCCTGGCCGGGCACAGTGGCTCATGCCTGTAATCCCAGCACTTTGGGAGGCAGAGGAGGGCAGATCAAGAGGTTAGGGGTTCAAGACCAGCCTGGCCAAGATGGTGAAACCCTGTCTCTACTAAAAATACAAAAATTAGCTGGGCATGGTGGTGCGTTCCTGTAATCCCAGCTACTCAGGAGGTTGAGGCAGGAGAACTGCTTGAACCGGGACCTGGGAGGTGGAGGTTGCAGTGAGCTGAGATCGTGCCACTGCACTCCAGCCTGGGCTACAGAGCAAGACTCCGTCTGAAAAAAAAAAAAAAAAGAAAGAAAGGGTGAGTCCTCTCTAACCCATGAACAAATATGGCTGAATTATTGAATTTCCTAAGTTTTCCCCCATCAAACGTTACTGAAATAATTTGGCCAAGAAAAACCTTGACGATGCTTCCATGAAATATATATTTTTTAAGACAAAATGGCTTTCTGATGAACTCACAATATAATTCAAGTTACTAAATGGATTAATGTTTTGTTTGGAATTAGAAAATATAGCCAATTGTCTTTTGGAGGACGCTTTAAAGATAATTTTAGTTTCAAAGATTATCTGAAGACTTTTTTTCTCTGAAGATAATTAGATACTATAACATATAAGTAAAATAAGTAAACAAGAATAAAATGAAACAAAACAAAAATATCATTAGTATTGGAGAATAATTTTGTCTTAAAACATGGGAGATAGAAAGTAGATGCCATACATCCAAATAATTGAAATAGAAATTGGATACTTTTGTCTAAACTGTAAGGGGACTTGGAATTTGACTGGTAGTATTAAAATGCATGTTAAATATGGGGATCAATAACTGGAATTGTGTTTATGTTGCATTGTTCCTAACCAGCTTTCGTTCTCAAGCTTATGCAAAGTAAAGTCAACAAAAGGTTTACAATTTGTGCTATTCTTGACAGATTTCACCACAGGGCAAATAATATGACAATAATCAGTGAATGTCTAATTGTACCTTAGTGATTTTGCTCCTTGAACAAGATAATGAACTGAGAAGCCCAGGTCTGCAGTTTAAGAAGCGATGCTGATCTAAGATTTTGACAGAATGACTAACAAACTGATAGATTTAAATTTTTGAGGGAATAGAAAATTTCCCCTTTGAAAAAAGGAGAGACCACATTTGCATCCTTAGATATGAGATTATACCTGTGAAGATAATTGGAGTAAATAGGTAGGTCAGTATTGACGGTGCATTAATTAGAGCAGGCTTTGAACGGTTCTGAGTGACAGAAGTCTTCAGTATGTATGCCACTTAATTTTAAATTTTTAATCAAATAAGCAATTAAGATGGCTCTATCCTAGAACTTAATTCTTATTATTTGCCAAAATTCTCCACTTTTGCTTATGTGATTGTTCAGAGTTTACGTATGTCTTTTTAATGATAAGTAAAAGAAGTTGCTTTCCTTATTTATGATCTATAAAATGTTTTCCACTACTTATTAGTTGTTACCTGGAAATAGTTTCCTTCTTTGAGTGGCTTTCTACATTTTCTGTCTTTAATCTAATTGCTCTGGCCAGCTGCTGTAATCTACAGCATTGTGGGGATAGATGGAATAATTTCTCCAGTGGGGTCTGGATTGAAAATTAGGGAGAAACAAGGGTGCCACATCAACTTCTGGGACAGATTATTAAACACAACTGTGGCTACCCAGGGACATCTATGGTTATTCCCTTTCATGTTCAATGTTATTCACAAGGTGAGTTTGTCAAGAACCTTTCTTTTTGAAGATATATTCTGAATTATAATATCTCCAAATCTGTGTTATTATTTCTGATGGTCAGAACCAGGACCATCAACAATGACCTGCTACATCTTATTATCACCTTTGCAGATAATAATAAGATTTAAACCTTATTCACTTATTAAACATGAGCAGTGTGTATATGCTTATTCTATACAAGAAGCAGGGAACATAAAGATGGTAAGGTGTGTCATGAGTTGTCTCTTTCAATTCTCATTTTACATACCATGTTGCTAACCTGACTTTCAGCAGGGTTTATAAAATGAAGTAATAGGTCTGCAAGCCTGATGTTTGGGGATGAAGAGGGAAGCCTCTCTCTCTTAAGGCAAGCAAAAGGAACCCTCAAAAAAGGCACCACTGAACTCATAAACTTACAAATTACTGATGGAGTTAGAAAGCTCTTCATCTCAAGATGATAATTGTAAGGTATTGTAAGACAATCAGTAAAATATTCAATTACACGTCTGGTACTCTATTTACTCAGAAAATCATATACATGTAAAATACCAAGACATTATCTTCTCTCAAACCTGACCTTTCTCCCATAATTCTAATTTAGATAACAACAGCATGTGTAGTACCCAAGTCACCACCTCCAGTATTGGTCTTCAAGTTTTGTCGAGTCCACCACCCAAACATCTTTTGCAATCTGCTGGCTCCTTTCTACCCTCACTGCCACTGCAGTGGTTTGGGTCTTCACCATCTCTTTTCTGGACTACTGCACAGTCTCAGGATTTTCTAACTGGCTCCATTTGTCTCCAATCCCTCCCCAGTTTGGCCCACTCTCCATGCAGAGTTGTCTTTTCAAAGCATAAATGTGACTGTGTCCTTCCCTGTTTTAGATCCTTCCTTGATTCCTCATTGATGATAGAACGTAGCCCTTCACAAGTGCATCTCATTCTGTCTTTCCATTTTTATTTCCCATCTGTATTCAATGTACCCAGGTCACATAATATCCTCTTTGTACTTCTCTGCCCTTAGATGTATGACTCTATCTGTGTGGAATGCCTTTCACCTTGTTTTGCTTAAAGATGTTGCTCAGATTTTACATCATCTAATTATTTGGCTGTTTTCTCCAGGCAGAGCACATTGCACTCTTCTCTGTACTACCAAGGTACTTTGTATGTGTTTCTAATTTAATTAATTAATTTTATCTTTTAATTATTTGGTTACATTTTGTTTTTCTATTCTACATACTAAACTAATGGAAGGTAGGGGCTATCTTATTTATCATTATATCTCCAGGCTTAGCACACTGACTGACCCAGAATTGTCACTCAATAGATGTTTGCTGAATGAAGAAATCAGAGTTGATATGTTCCTGAAATGTATTTATTAGGTTTGTATGGGATATGGCATCATCAGAAATGTGCTGATTATGCACAATATTGACAGCAACAACAAAACCAGAATTTTCTTAGTGCTTTGTACTCCGCAGAGGAAAACCATGGGTATACATCTGATTTGCTTGAATTCTGGAGATGAAGTAGTATAATTCCCCAAAATACTAGATGAGAAAATTGTACATGGCTCAGGAGAACAATGTATTCTTTGACATGAGCCATGAAAGCTTTCAAAACAAAAATATAAATTCTCCTTGCCTCTGGGCTGTTCTCCCTAGTCTCTTTCCTACAAAAGATTACATTTTTTCCTTCTGTACACATATTTTTAGAGCACTCTGTTGTTAGGAAGCATGCTGCAACCTCTACTTAACCTATTTAGATCTCAGTGTTCTTATCTGTATAATGAGGCTAATGGTACTAAGCTGTTCTCCCAGGGATGTTTGATTAAATATGTTTCTTGACATTGCACAGGCCCCGCATACATCAGCAAGTATTTTGAAAATAAAATGTTCTATATGCACAGAAAATTGTTTCATTTGGCATTGTTTTAAAAGCAAGCACATTTCCAAGAGGGAACGTTTGCACCATCGGCAAACATTTCAAAATGGATCTAAGGTAAAAATTGTTATGATTGCAGAGAATGTTTTATTTGGGATTGATAAGATAGGCAAGTATTTCAAAACATCTCCACCCATAATTTTTAATGGGAAAAGCAAGGCTTGGTGGAATGTAAGCTAATTTTTTCTGTGCTCAGAATGCTAGGTATTATAGGAGATTTTCTAATATTTTTCATTCCCAGACAGCCCTCTGTTGTACTGTATATTCTTAGAATGCCTTCTTTCTTTGCCACTTCAAGCAGAAATAGAGCCCAAAATTCCTGATGTAATGCTTTGCCCCGGTGTACTTTCCTGTCATTTCTTTTTGTTTTCTTTTTTTTTTTTGGAGATGAAGTCTTGCTCTGTCGCCCAGGCTGGAGTGCAGTGGCACAATCTTGACTCACTGCAACCTCCGCCTCCCAGGTTCAAGCTATTCTACTCTCTCAGCCTCCTTAGTAGCTGGGATTACAGGCGCATGCTGCTGTGACAGGGTTTCACTGTATTGCCCAGGCTGGTCTTGAACTCCTGAGCTCAGGCAATCTGCCTGCCTCGGCCTCCCAAAGTGCTGGGATTACAGGTGTGAGCCACTGGGCCCACCAGGCCTCTTTCCTTCAGTTCATACACCGACAAGGACTGCATTGATCTCCCTCACATGCACAACTACACTGGCTTGGGTGGACAGGATCTCTTTTTCCACAACTGGAATTTTTCTGTCCATCTGATCTTTGCATTACTTCCATCACCTTTTATGACAACCATAAGTTTCTTTCTCAGCAATAGGTGGACTCAGACAGGCAAAAGGGAGAAGCCAGTAGACAGAGGGGGAAATAAATGGAAACCAAGAGAAAAATTTAAACAAAATATATCCTGGAATGCTTCTCAGATGCTGAAAATGGTAGAATAAATTTATATATTTTTTACTTTTTTGAGGCGGAGTTTCACTCTTGTTACCCAGGCTGGAGTGCGATGGCATGATCTCAGCTCACCGCGACCTCTGCCTCCTGGGTTCAAGTGATTATCCTGCCTCAGCCACCCGAGTAGCTGGGATTACAGGCATGTGCCACCACACCCGGCTAATTTTGTATTTTTAGTAGAGACGAGGTTTCTCCAAGTTGGTCAGACTGGTCTCCAACTCCCAAGCTCTGGTGATCTGCCGGTCTCAGCCTCCCAAAGTGCTGGGATTACAGGTGAAATTTAGACTTTTTTTTTTAGATGGAGTTTCACTCTGTCGCCCAGGCTGGAGTGCAGTGGCGCCATCTCGCCTCATTACAACCTCTGCCTCCTGGGTTCACGCAATTCTCCTGCCTCAGCCTCCCAAGTAGCTAGGATTACAGGTGTGTGCCACCTCACCCGGCTAATTTTTTGTATTTCTAGTAGAGATGGGGTTTCACCGTGTTAGCCAGGATGGTCTCGATCTCCTGACCTCGTGATCCACCTGCCTTGGCCTCCCAAAGTGCTGGGAGTACAGGCATGAGCCACCAAGTCAGGCCAAAATTTAGACTTTTTAAAATGAAATTATGGGATAATATTTTATCTCACACCTTCCTTCTTATCTTTTCTACACTTGGATTTAGTTGTTGGTAGGTGAATAAATGAATGCTTCCTTCAGTAAAGTCGATGTTAAAAATAACTGCAGTCTAGCCAGGGCAAATAGCACATGCAAAAGTTCTGACTCCAGGAACTAGAGTTTAGGTTCCTTATGGGATTTCATACCACCTCTGTAATACCAATTCTGAACTTTTAACAGAATAACATATTTTGTGTTTTGGCTACTGTTAATTTGACTTTTCTAATTTTACCATGGAACTGAATCCTAACTGATACAGATGATTTCTTTCTTCTCTATATTTATGTCTGGGCTGGGTGTGGTGGCTCACTTTTGTAATCCCAGCACTTTGGTAGGCTGAGGTGGGAGGATTGCTTGAGGCCAGGAGTTTGAGGCTGTGGGTGCTGTGATTGTGCCACTGCACTCTTGTCTGGACAGCAGAGCGGGGCCTCTTCTCTAAAATACTTTATGTCTGAAGGATCCCAGTAAGAGGTGGTGATCTCTCAAGAACATGGCATTCTATTATTTACTTGCTTTTTTTTTCCCTATCAAATGAGTGAGAATGAGTTTGGATTTTGATAATCAACTTCTTAAACAAGATAAACTTCTTCAGCTTTGTACAGTAGGAACAGATATTTATGTGGTTGGCCTCTTTCCATAGGTTTCATCTGGACCAGGTCTAATTTGGTATCTGGAGCACTTTGGTAGGATTCTCCAGAGAATGCCTTGCTCTGAGCCGATGAGTGTCAGCCTCATCATGTCATAGTTGTAAGGGAATTTTGTGGGTTAGGGGGCAAGTTCCCAGACAGCACTTTGAGTACTAGGTTCAGCTCCTACAGAGATAAAGGTGGCGTGGGCTGTGTGTATTGTCAGGTCTTAAGCCAAGATAGGCAGAAATGGGCTGTCACTACAGCTCCCATGCCAGAGGGAGAACTAAGACATAAACCGGTTATTGGAACAGGGCTGAGGCAGAGGTTAAAGAAGAGAAGCAGGTCAGAGGGCATCAGAATACCAGGGCTAAATGACTTTGGTCTGCAGCAAGACCAACTCCAAGGCCCTAATGCATGTATACTGTCTACATGGGGTTCCTAATGCACATATACTGTCTACCTTCATCAGAAACCTGACAGGGATGAAGCTACTGGCAAAAGATCATCACTTTCTGAAGCAAAAATGGGTAAAAGAAAGTCTTTTGTACCTCAATTTTTTCATCTGTAAAACTGGGACTAATAATAACTAGCTTATAGGTGTTCCATCATAGGTTAAAGTTTAAAAATTTATGTGCAAGGAATTTGCAAACTGTAGTGAGTTATGCAAATGTAAACTATTGTGACTATCTGGGGAGAATGATGGCAGCAATTTAACTGTGCAGTGCAAATCTCCGTAACATTTAAGATGAGATGAATATAATTCATTCACTTGAAATTAAAGGGGGTAGATTTAAGGAATCAAGATGTAATTAGTAGATTTGTAATCTGGTCAGGAAACTTGTGTCGGAGAGATCCCATGTTCTTATTTGAGAAAAATGCGTCTTTCTAAAGAGATCATGTTGTCATAGCTTTGTTTACTTTTTAATCATTTCATGGGTAATATGGCTTATCTTAGGGAAGCCACAATTCATAATGCACAGTTTATGATCCACTAGAATCAAGAGTGGCCAAATTGGGAATTATTGAACATTGTGTGTTGTTCAAGACAACCATTAGTGATCAAATACCAGAGTCAGGGTTGCTTGCTTTTTGCCATAAAAGCAGCATTGGGGTATATAGGTTTACAATTGTGTTTGTTGTAATAAACCGCATTTTATAGGCAACAGGTGTAGCTGACATATCCTAGATTGTGTGAGGCTGTGCTCTCAGGCTGGCTGTAAAGGGATTTGGAAAGATTTATGAGATTGAGAGACAGCCAAGGCGATTCTTGAAATTGACTTTTTAAGATGTCATTTTGGTGAATGACAGGTTATAGTTACTAAAAAAATTTCTTATAACAGTGAGGAGCTTGTCTTTAACTGACAGTGAGGCTGTTTAGTGGGGAAAAAAATGCATTATTTAACTAGCGATTGCTAAATTTTGGACATTGAGTGAATCTAATTGGCTCTGAACATGTGGCCTGACTTCCTCAGCCATTCAGAATCACTTCTTCCCCTAGCCAAAGGCCACAGGTTTCTTCAAACAGGGTTGCAATCTACTCACACTGTTTAAAACAGAATTTGTTCTTAATTAATGTCTTCTAACTATAACAATTACTTTGAAGAAAAAGAAATCAGCTATGCCTCAAAGGAAAAGAGAGAGGTGGGGGAAAAAAAGAAAGAGAGTTTATTACATGCTTTTGGCAAGTGAGCTTCTTTTTCTCTGGCCTCCCCTTTACCAATCATTCTGCCCAGGGGCCCCCATGGCCGCTCCTCTCCCCTTGGTAAATCATTTAATCTCTGCCCTCCTCTCATGTTTCAGACCAGTCAGCTACTCTCACAAAGGCTGTCAACATTCAAATTGAGCATTTTCAGGAGGAATAAGGAGTATTTTTTCTTTGATTTTTATTTGCTGTTAAGTACAATATTGTAATAACTTTAAATAAAAAATTTGGAGGAAAATGATCTATAATTCTCCTTAAAGTAATTGTTTCTTTTATTTCATTGTTATTCATTCATTTATTTATTTGACAAATATTAATATGTATTGAGAGGCTCCTATAGAATAGGCTGTATTCTAAACACTGGGGATATATCAGGGAACAAACAACCCTTATCTCATGGAGTTTTTCTTTGAGTATAGGGAGAGAGAAAATAAAGAAATAAGTAAATAAATAAATAAATAAATATATCAGATGATACCAGGTTCTAAGGAGAAGAATAAAACAGGGTAAGTGTTGAAATGTAGGGGTTGGGTGAGGAAGCTGTAATTTTCTTTCTATCTTCTTCCAAACACACATGTCATTACTCTGTACTTTATAAGACCATTCATTCTTTCCCCTGAAAAAAATGTAAAAACCAAACCAAAACAAAACAAAAAAACCTCAACGAAACCCAATAAATAAAAACCCCAACTCATAAATGTATATTTGGTGATACGGTCTGAACTTTATATTTTTTCATTGCATTCATGTGACATTCAATGCAACTAACACTAGCAAGAGGCTTGTGCTAACTCTTAAATGGAGAAAATTGGAGGAAATAGGCATAGAATGATAATAAAGCATCAAATAAGAGAGGAAACTGGCAAGGAACAGAGGAGAAAAATTCTAGTTATTAAAATGTTTGCACTTATACATCCAACTCTGAGAATTTTTGGCAAGACCGGATTAGGGTAGAGAAACCCTGAGATAAAATTAGAAATGAATCAAGTAAGATTAAAAGCAGTTTGTTATTTCAAAGTTAACAGTCTTAGCCAACTTGTGCATCATTGATTGTTTCTGTTTTGGATAAAGTTCCTGGGTTCCCTCTTTCATTCTCTTGTCATGGAAAACAGGCAAGGATTTATAAATGGGAAGTCCTGCCTACCTAGAGATGACAATACTATTAGCAACGTGAGAGATAGAGAAACACCTTAACTGAAGTCTAAAATAGAGGATACTAAGCTCTGATTTTAGCTCTGCCAAGAATCCACTCCAGTTTGGAAATGGGTGCTCCAATTCTCCCTTCCCCTTTTGAAAAAAAGTACACTCGTATATGGCTACTTTTCATGGAAATAATGGTCGTAATTGCTGCATGAGAAATTCAAGAGCCTCATTTTCTATGGGAGCCCATGTGGACAAACCGAATGAGCTCAGCATTTTCAGTAGAGAGATTTGGATTTGAATTCCAGTTCTATGAGGTACTCATTGTGTAACCTTAGGCAATTCAATCCCCTTGGGCCTGGCTCCTAGCTGGTGGGACATTTCAGTTGCTTTAAAATATATACATTCAAGGGCTTAACCTTGAATTAGATTAAACTATATGAAATTGCCATTTTGTAGCTCAAAGATGTTCAAATACCAGCAATTTCATGTGGTACAGATTGGTATATGATGGATGCTCAATTAATAGTAGCCATCATTATCACCATCTTCATTCAATATTTTAAAGATTTATTTACTTGAAAGTACAAAAACTTTTTTAACTTAAAAAAAATTTTTTTAGAGACAGGGTCTTGCTCTGCCACCCAGTTTGGAGTGGAGTGGTAAGATCATAGTTCACTATAGCCTCAAATTCCTGGGTTCAAGTGATTCTCCTGCCTCAGCCTCCTAAGTAGCAATTAGCAGGGACTACAATTGTGCACCACCATGTCTGGGTAACTTTTTGTTTTTGTAGAGATAGAGTCTCACTTTGTTGCCTAGGCTGGTCTTGAAATCCTGGCCTTAAGCAATCCTCCTACCCTGGCCTCCCAAAGCACTGGAATAACAAGCATGAACAATCTCGGCTCACTGCAACCTCTGCTTCCAAGGTTCAAGCGATTCTCCTGCCTCAGCATCCCGAGTAGCTGGGATCACAGGTGTGCACCACCATGCCCAGCCAATTTTGTATTTTTAGTAGAGATGGGGTTTCACCATGTTGGTCAGGCTGGTCTAGAATTCCTGACCTCAGGTGAACCACCCACCTCAGTCTCCCAAGTGCTGGGATTACAGACGTGAGCCACCACACCCAGCCAAAACATTTATATATCGATGAAGACCTTCAGACATCCAAATAACAATCATATAACATACTTTATTATTTTTTAAATAACAGCTTTATTGAGATATAATTCACATTTTGTAAAGCATGCCATGCAATGCTATATTTACAGAATTGTGCTACTATCTAATTTTATAATATTTTTATCACTCCAAAAGAAACCCTGTACCTATTAGCAGTCACTCGCTGTTCCCTCCTCCTCCTAGTTCCTGAAAATTACTAATCTATTTTCTGTGTCTATGGATTTGCCTATTCTGGACATTTAATGTAAATGGAATTAGACAATATGTGACCTTTGTGACAGACTTCTTTCACTTAGCATAATGTTTTCAAGGTTTCTACATGTTGTAGCATGCATTGGTATTTCGTTCCTTTTTATGGAGAAATAATATTCCATTATATAAGTATACCACATTTTGTTTATTTGTTAGTTGGTGGGTATTCGAATTGTTTCCACTTTTGGCTATTGTAATAATGCTTCTGTGAACATTCATATACCAATTTTTGTGTAGATGTATGTTTTCAATTCTTTTGAGAATGGAATTGCTGGGCCATAAGATAACTATATGTTTAACATTTTAAGCAACTGCTAAACTATTTTCTTTATTCTAAATGGCAAAAATGTGGGTAATTCCTGGGAGAAAATGTAAGAAGTGCTTGAGGCTTGTTCCTTGTGTGTTTGTGTGTGTGTGTGTGTGTGTGCTTTCTTGCCAGAAAGCATCCCTCAGTTTTGCACTAATGTGTTTTCATGCAGTTATTACCATTATTTTCATGAAAAGTAGCCATATACAAGTATACTTGTTTTCAAAAGGGGGAGGGAGAATTGGACTACCCATTTCCAACTTGGAGTGGATTCTTGGCAGAGCTAAAATCAGAGCTTAGTATCCTCTATCTTAGACTTCAATTAAGGTGTTTCTCCGTCTCTCACATTGCTAATACACACATACACACACACACATACACATACGCAAGGAACATGTCAAAGGTCAAAGGCACACAGGAGGCAACTGAAAGAACGACTGATGGCCACACCTATAATAATTTGAACAGCAAAGGAAATAGCCTAGTAATGGATTGCAAACCAAAATATAAAACAAATATATATTGGCCCATAGTGATCTAGATAAATGGTGGAATAAACAAACACGTGGAGAAGAAGAGACAAATCTTCTTTAAAGAATTCCCTCCTCACTCAGATACTCCCTCCTCCAGGAGGTGGAGCTTGATTTCCTTGAGCGTGGGCTGGACTTAATGACTCACTTCCAAAGAATAGAGTAAGGAAAGGGAAAAAAAGTAACTTTATGGAGAAACTTGGCAATGCTACCTTAACCAAATAGTCAAGATTAACATCACCAGTTACATGTCATTTTGATATTGTGTATCCTTTGATATAACTTGATGAGGAGGGCACTTCACACATGTGATGTTCTTCCCCAAGACCCATAATCCCAATTTAATAATGAGAAAATATAAATGCAAATTGAAGGATATTCTACAAAATATCCCACCAGTATTCTTCAAAACTGTTAAGGTTATGAAAAATAAGGAAAGACTGAGAAACTGAGAAGACTAAGGACACTCTGACTAAATGCATTGTGGCATCCTGGGTAGGCATCCTGGAATATTAAAAGGATATTAGTGGAAAAACTTATTAAATCTAAATAAAATCTGGAGTGTACTTAATAGTAATGGACCAGTGTTGATTTCTAAATTTTGACAAATGTACTACTGTAATGTAAGGTGTTAACATTAGTGCAAACTGAGGGATATTCAGACACTCTCTGTACTATCTTTGCAATTTTACTGTAAATCTAAAATTATTCCAAAATAAAAAGTTTATTTAAAAATAAACCAATTACATACAAATGTAAATAATACATCTTAATTGAACACTATTTGCCAAAATAAAATTATTTAATAAAAAATGTAGTAAGGATAAGAATGGTTATTCAGGTAATTTAGATAAAAGAATTTGTTATTGACAATGAATGATGAGATTTTTCTAAACTGGTGGTCCACATGGATTAAATTTACCAAAGAATTTCTTATCTTTCTATCAAATCATCTAAAGTTACAAGATTGATTGGCTAAAGCAACAGCCGCTACTGCAGCAACGAAGGTTTTTAGCATTTGATCCCCAGCACTGAGCACTTAGGGCACAGTTCTCTTGTCTTCTTCTGTGGATTACCTTATCTCTTTTCTTAAGCAGTATCAGCATTTACCAAATTAGTGAGTTAGTGTTACATCCAGGAAGATATTAATTTACCCTGGCCCCCTTTACCTGGAGTTGCTAAAATATACTTTACGACTGCTTGCTGGTTGATCTCATTCCTAGTCTAGGACTCAGCTAACACAGGAACAGTGATGATTCCCAGATCTCTATCCTTACCCTCCTCTTGAGTTTCAGCCTCGTACATCTGACTCTTTTCTGGACATAAATTGGCTGTCCCATTGGTACCACAATGAAAACATTCCCAAAGTCAAGCATTATCTTTCTACCCTTCATTCCTGTTAAAATTGTTTCCCCACCTATATTCTTTTCCTCAGTTTTAACAATTATCCATCATTCAGGGCCAAAAAGAAACCTGGGAATAGTCCAAGTGACTTCCAGTGGCATCTTGCTATAGACACTTGTTGCTCAATCTCAGCCGTGATTTTTAGGTGAAGGACTGAACTCACTGCCTGCTATTGATTTTTTACCTCAACCTTACCTTTTGTTTCTGCCCAGTCTTCCATCCAGCTAGGTGCAATTATTGAAGTTGAAATCATCTATGTAGAAGTGATTGTTTAAGCCAAGGGTCAACAAATGTTTTCTCTAATGGGCCAGATAGTAAATAGTCTAGGCTTTGCAGGCCATATGGTCTGTCTAACCACTCAACTCTACTGTTGGTGAGTCGTAGAAACAGCTGTAGACAATATTTAAATAAAGGAGTGTAGCTGTGTTTCAATAAAACTTTACAAAAACAGGCAGTGAGCAGACCAGATTTGGCCAGTGGGCTATCCTTTACCAATGCCTGATTTAAGCCATTGCATTGAATGAGATTTCCTGTGACAGAAGCCTGAGAAAGCCAGGGGGCACAGAATCCAGAGGAAAATCAGCATTAAAGGAGTTGTCTAGGGAAGATAATTCAATGAAGGAGAATGTGTAGACAAAGAGGTTGGGAGAAAATTAGGGTATAGATTTCTCCTAGAAGTCAAAGTAGCAACGTACATTAAAGA
This sequence comes from Homo sapiens, assembly GCF_000001405.40. Lineage (NCBI taxonomy): Eukaryota > Metazoa > Chordata > Mammalia > Primates > Hominidae > Homo > Homo sapiens. The sequence continues at coordinate 48,940,349 of NC_000013.11, read as the reverse complement.
GAGATGAAGTAGGATAAGCTGAAATTTGGGTGAATTTGGACATAAGCCACCCTGAGATCATGGCACTTTGTGATGAGGATGAATAGGAAGCTGGAACTAGGGTAACTTAAACTGAAGCCCAATCCCAGGATCCAGGCCATTCAAAGACAATTAGGGGCAGAAGAGGAAGAGTGAAGGTCTCAGGCTAAGTAAGAACTAGGGCTTGCTCAGGATGCATGAAGTGTCACCATTACTGGATAGCAAATTTTCTGTGTTCTGGGATGGTGAGATTGTGAAATTAGTGACCTTATTTTCTAACCCAAAAATGTGAATACGGTGCTAAAAAACATATGGGCTTCGACTTCTCTATAGGTCTTGACAGCTTCAGAGATGAAGTGGCAAGTTAGTGACACCTTTGTAGAAGGAATAGTAGCTATACACAGTGTGATTACTCAGAAGTAGTCTTCTGAGAAGTGATGGGCTGGGCACAGTGGCAAACACCTTTAATCTCAGCATTTCAGAGGCAAGGTAGGAGGATTGCTTGAGCCCAGGAGTTCAAGATCAGCCTGGGCAACATAGTGAAAACCCATCTCTACAAAAAATATTTTTAAAAAATTAGCTGGACATGGTGGCTTTTGCCTGTAGTCCTTGCTACTTGGGAGGCTGAGGTGGAAGGATCAACTGAGCCCTGGAGACTGAGGCTGCAGTGAGCCAAGATCACACCACTGCACTTTAGCCTGGGTGACAAGAGTAAGACCTTGCCTCAAAAAAAAAAAAAAAGTGATTATAAAATAAATCCCAATAAAAAGACTGTTCAAATATTGTATTTATTCTTTAATTCTCATTCTGTAAGTTAGAGATCACTGTTTACCTTCCAGTGAGAAAATTGGAAATAGAAAGTTTCTGGAAAGTTTGACATAATAGATAAAACCAACCAACCAACACCTAACTCTGCCCTCTACTTCCTTCCCCAGCCCTGCTTTTGTGGGAATGAAGAGGGTAATCAGACAATTTTTAAGAATTTAATTCCATGCAATATATGGGAAAAAAATCCTTTTTCTGTTGTCATTATTTAAGAACACAATCATATTTGGCATATTAAAATTAGATAGTTTACTGTAACAAATAGTCACTGAATTTACTTTTAAATTGTCTTACTTTTTTGACTATGAGAATACACTGTTCATCATCCAGTATAGAAACTGAAATAATCTCACATGATTAATGGTTTTTGTATATAAATCTCTCAGCATCGATTTTAGAAATAATTTTTAAAAGAAAGAGCCAATAGCATTTACTGAAAGTCTTATCTCAAATATTTTATTTACCATTCATATCACCACATTTTTCAATTAAAAAATACTTGGGATGGAAAACTCATTTTTTCCTTCCCATTCTTTTTCCATACCCTTATACTTCTGGGACACAGACTTGAAAGACAAGCCACTTCAGAAACATCCTGGGGCTCAAATCATGTTAAATGACAACAACAACAACAGCAGCAACTAAAACTAAAAACAACCTATGACCCTGCTATCTTCTTGTTCTAGGAATTCTGCAAATAGAGTTCTTGGAAAACATGAGAAGCAGATTAGCATTACAGTCCAAGGTTTACTTAAGAGTTAAGAACAGAGACATTGAGAGAGGCCTGTGACTGGTAATTTTGCCTTTTGATCAAGGAGAGTGAGCCTGGTACTAACTGATTTCACATCATTAGTGGGGCTCTCTGACCACACCTCTCTCTTTAATTCTTTCCTGAGTGAATTTGTAATTTGCCTTTGATTTCTGCTGCTAAAACAACAGATTGTGAGGGATCAAAGAGGATAATCACAAGGAGGAAGTGGCAAGTTAGTGACATCTTTGTAGAAGGAATAGTAAGTATACACAGTGTGATTACTCAGAAGTAGTTTTCTAAGAAGTGACTATAAGATAAATTCCAGTATAACACACTCCAAAAGACTGTCCAACTATTGTATTTAATCTTTAATTCTCATTCAGCCATTAATCTGTTATTGAGTATTTACTATTCATGAGATTTGGTAAAAAGAGAAGTCCAGAATAATGGATGAGATTGAGATCTGGAAGCCAAACAGACCTGTGTTTGAATCCCTGGTCCTACTACTCACTATCTACAGTGGGTTAAATTGTGGCACCAAAAGATAATGTCCACCCAACACCTCAGAATGTGTGACCTTACTTGGAATAAGTGTTTCTAGATGTAATTAAGGTAAGGCTTTTGAGATAAGACCATCTTGGATTAGGGTGGGTCCTAAATCCAAGGGCAAATGTCTTTATAAGAGATGAAAAAGGGACGGACAGGAGACATAGAACATATTCATGTGAACATGGAGGCAGAGACTGCAGTTACATACCCTCAAGCCAAGGAAAGCCAAGGGCTGCGGACAGCTGTCAGAAGCTAGAAGAGAGGTGTGGAGCCGATTGGCCCTCATACCCTCCGGAGAAAACCAATATTTCTGCTAATATTTTGATTTTGGATTTCTAACCCCCAGGACCGTGAGAGAGTAAATTTTTTGTTTGCTTGTTTTAAGCTCTCAAGGTTTTGGTAATTCGTTACGATGGCCCTGAAAGACTAATACACTAGCTGTGTGACTTTGAGTTAACTGGCTCTTTCTTTTTTACATTTTAAAATTTTTATTTATTTTATTTTTCGCTGACTCCTGTGTTGTTCAAATTAACTAGTTCTTTCTCTATCTCAGTTTCCACCCTCTGTAAAATGAAGAGAATGAATATTACTTACAGTTATTTTGAAGACTCGATGATATAATACATGTAAAGTGCTAAGAGCTCAATAAATGTTAGCAATTATTATTAAGGTAGTATGTACAGTACTTATGGGTCAGGTTGAATTTCTAACTTATCAATACTATAATTACTTGAATAATTACCTCCGCTGACTTTTTTGTTTGTTTGTTTCAGAGATCTTTTCACATTTAAAAGGGAAGAAGAATGAAAGAGAAGGGACATCAGGCATAATTAAATAATTGCTCCTCCAATATGTCTCATTACAAAAACCACATGGGTCCCAGAATCTCTGCTCCTATGGCAAGAGCATGGTATACATTCCTTGAGGGGCTGCCAAAGACTTAGTTAGAGCAGTAAGGACTTGCAAAATGTTTACCGATGCTAATGCACTTTTACCAAACTGGGTCATTTCTGCGTCTCCAAATTTATGAGAATGTCAACAGTCCTCCAGGGTGAAAATATATACTGGGAAAGGAAAACAAAAACAAAAACAAAAACCTCAACATATTTAGTCTTAAGATTGTGCTTGAGGAACTACTTCTTCCTTTACTTAGGCCTTTTGTATTATTGTCACTAATAAGTTACAATTTTCTCCTTAAAGTTCTTACAGATTTTTGTTAGATTTATTCCTAAATATTTTATTCTTTGTCATTGTAGGTTGTTTCTATTTTCAAATTATTTTCTAGTTTGCTAAGAAGTATTTTTTTAAATGAATGGTTAATGGATTTTATCAAATGCTTTTACTGCATCTATTAATGTCTTAATAAATAATACATATGTGTATTATTTAATCAATCAATGTGGTGCAATAATTTCTGGATTTACTATTGCTAAACCACCCTTGAAGTCCTGGATATACTTAATTTGGTCATTCATCATTCAAATAATAATACTGGATGCCTATGATGTTTCAGGCAGTGTTTAAGGTGTTGGGATACAGTAATGATAAGCCTAGAAATCACTACCTTCATGGAGCTTACATGTAGCACTTTACGCACTACTGGGTTCAGTTTGCTCAATTTTGTTTATAATTTCTGCATCCAGGCTCTTGAATAAAATTGGCCCATAACTTCATTGTCTTGTATTTCCCCCGTCTGTAGGGTGGAATACTATTGTAAATGCTGGGTGATGAAACCCAACTGGAAGAGCAACTTGCACTCCAGTCTAGATCTGCTTTAGAGCTTTTCCTCCTCTGCTCTCCACTCAAAGTGGACAGACTTAACATACTTGGTAAATGAGTTGAAGTAGCACACTGAAAAGTGAGAAATAGTTGCTTCTAAAATCTAAAAAAAAGGCCCATCGAGTGTTATGCCACATTTTTAGTGTTAGGTGGTACAAGATACAACAACTCATTTTTCTCTTCAGAGGGACTGTCTCGACATATTCTAGATGAGAAATTTTGTGGGGCTTATCTTCCATTTCCTAGTTTGCATTCTCACACATTTGCTCCAGGTTTATGTTAATATAGTTAGCAAGTCTTTACTCGGTACAGTGGGTCACGCCTGTAATCCTAGCACTTTGGGAGGCTGAGGTGGGTGGATCACTTGAGCCCAGGAGTTCAAGACCAGCCTGGGCAACATGGTAAAACCCCATCTCTACAAAAAATACAAAAATTAGCCAGGAGTGGTGGCAGGCGCCTATAGTCCTAGCTACTCAGGAGGCTGAGGTGGGAGAATTACCTGACCCCAGGAGGTCGAGGCTGTGGTGAGCCGTGATTGTGCTACTGCACTCTAGCCTGGGTAACAGAATGAGATCCTGTCTCAAAAAAAAAAAAAAGAAAAGCAAATCTTGCCTTCTTTTTGGTTTATAAGTCATTTTCTCTCAGGTCAGACTATGTCCTTTACCCCTTTGAGCATGATGATATCTGATCTTCATTATGAGCCCAGTGGCAACGAGGGGTATTAAGGTAAGTCTTCAGGACAATGAGTGTCCCCTTATAAGGCACTGCCTCAGATGAGGTTATTACAGGGTATTTAAGCAAGGAACATGTAGTCTACTTAGACATGCAAAAGGTAAGCTCCTCCCACTGGCAAGAGAATCTCAGAATGATGACAGGGTGGCAGGGAAGGTGTAAAATTCTCAAGGTCTTCTGAACCCAAGCAGATGTTCCTATTCTAAGTTTCAAGACTTGTTCCTATCCTAAGTTTCAAGGCTCACTCCTATCCAATCAACGCCCCAACTCACTTGAGAGACTTAGAGAGGCTGTGAATTCAATTTATATTGTATTTCTGCAGCCTGTACAGTTAAATTTCGTGTTTGGCTTTCAACAATATTGGTCCTGTGGCTGCAAGAAATAAGAGATTTTCTTAGGGCTATCATAGAAATTCTTTGAAATCTGTTGCTTAAGCTGAGCGTGTAAAGCCCTGAGCTTGTAATTTTCATTCTATGAGTGTCCAGTGCACTCAGAAGAATCTATTCAATGCCATAGTCCTTGTAATTAACATTATTTCATTAACAGTTAAGGGAAGCCTCTGAAAACTGGAACAAGACAAGGATGCCCACTCTCACCAGTCCTCTTCAAAATAGTACTGGAAGTCCTAGCCAGAGCAATCAGACAAGAGAAAGAAATAAAGGGCATCCAAATCAGTAAAGAGGAAGTCAAACTGTCACTATTTGCTGATGATATGATTGCTTACCTTGAAAACCCTAAAGACTCCTCCAGAAAGCTCCTAGAACTGATAAAATAATTCAGCAAAGTTTCTGGACACAAGATTAATATACACAAATCAATAGTTCTTCTATACACAAACAGCAGCCAAGCAGAGAATCAAATCAAGAACTCAACCCCTTTTACAGTAGCTGTGAAAAAGTAAAATACTTAGGAATATACCTAACCAAGGTGGCAAAAGACCTCTACAAGGAAAACTACAAAAACCTGCTGAAAGAAATCATAGACAACACCAACAAATGAAAAGACATCCCATACTCATGGATGGGTAGAATCAATATTGTGAAAATGACCATACTGCCAAAAGCAATCTACAAATTCAATTTAATCTCCATAAAAATACCACCATAATTCTTCACAGAATTAGAAAAACAATTCTAAAATTCGTATGGAATCAAAAAAGAGCCCGCATAGCCAAACAAAGACTAAGCAAAAAGAACAAATCTGGAGGTATCACACTACCTGATTTCAAACTATGCTATAAGGCCATAGTCACCAAATCAGCATGGTACTGGTATAAAAATAGACATAGACACATAGACCAATGCAACAGAATAGAGAACCCAGAAATAAATCCAAATACTTACAGCCAACTGATCTTCGACAAAGCAAACAAAAACATGAAGTGGGGAAAGGACACTCTTTTCAACAAATGGTGCTGGGATAATTGGCAAGCCACATGTGGAAGAATGAAACTGGATCCTCATTGCTCACCTTGTATAAAAATCAACTGAAGATGGATTAAGGACTTAAATCTAAGACCTGAAACTATAAAAATTCTAGAAGATAACATTTGAAAAACCCTTCTAGACATTGGCTTAGGCAAGGATTCCATAACCAAGAACCCAAAAGCAAATACAATAACAACAAAGATAATAAATAGCTGGGACTTAATTAAACTAAAGAGCTTTTGCATGGCAAAAGGAACCGTCAGCACAGTAAACAGACAACCCACAGGGTGAGAGAAAATCTTCACAACCTATACATCTGACAAAGGACTAATATCCAGAATCTACAATGAACTCAAACAAATCAGTAAGAAAAACCCAACAATTCCATCAAAAAGTGGGCTAAGGACATGAATAGACAATTCTCAAACGAAGATATACAAATGGCTAACAAACATATGAAAAAATGCTTAACATCACTAATGATCAGGGAATTGCAAATCAAAACCACAATGTGATATCATCTTACTCCTGCAAGAATGGCTATAATCAAAAAATCAAAAACGGTAGATGCTGGCATGGATGTAGTGAAGAGGGGACACTTCTACACTGCTGGTGGGAATGCAAACTAGTACAACCACTATGGAAAACAGTGTGGAGATTCCTTAAATAAATAAAGTAGAACTACCATTTGATCCAGCAGTCCCACTACTGGGTACCTACCCAAAGGAAAAGAAGTCATTGTACGAAAAAGATACTTGCACACATATGTTTACAGCAGCAAAATCATGGGACTAACCCAAATGCCCATCAATCAATGAGTGGATAAATAAACTGTGGTATATTCATGTGATGGAATACTACTCAGCCATAAAAAGGAATGAATTAATGGCATTTGCAGCAACCTGGATGAGACTGGAGACTTATTCTAAGTGAAGTAACTCAGGAATAGAAAACCAAACATCGTATGTTCTCATTGATATGTGGGAGCTAAGCTATGAGGACACAAAGGCATAAGAATGATACAATGGACTTTGGGGACTTGTGGGGAGGGGGGCGAGGGACAAAAGACTACAAATATGGTGCAGTGTATACTGTTGGGTGATGGGTACACCAAAATATTACAAATAACCACTAAAGAACTTACTCATGTAACCAAATACCACTTGTGCCCCAATAACTTACGGAAAAATAAAAAATAATAATAATGGGAAATGGTAGATGTTTCTTTAAAGACAGCCAGCTACAATGATTACAGGACAAGCCAAAATAATAAAAGAAAACTAAACACTGAAGAAAAAAGAAACGATTAAAGGAAGCAATCCCTTGTTTCCCCCAAAGTACTTAATTCATTAAGAATGTCATTATAACCAACCACAGGTGTAATTTGATGAATTGTAATGCCAGTGTATGGATCACTAGTCCCCATGCTCCATTGTCAGGGAGTTTAGCACCACATTCAAGCCCAAGGACATAACAAACCAATCTCCAAATCACATTTTTAAATGTTTTTTGTTCCTAGAACTATTCCTGGGACAAATTCACGTATAGTTGGTGTCCACTCACCAGATGGAAGTCACCTACTTATTTTAACAGATACAATTTAACATAAAGAATTATGAACCAAGTCTTAAATTGCTAAATAGGTAACTGAAGAGACAAAAAGGAAACACTGATACATCATGAAGGTACCAACTGCAGGAAGAGCTACCATCCCTATGGCTGGGAGATCAAAGGGAAGAAGCTGGAATTATTAAAAGATAAATTTGGTGGAAAAGCCCCCACGCCCTCTTACCCCCAGGGCTGGAATTCAGTTCTTTGGGAAGGGGCCAGAGCTTGACTCATGATGATGTCTCTGAACTTGAAGGAGAAGCTCTGTGTGGTTGAGACCCAGACCTCTGAGGAGGGGACACTGACACTTGTGTCTCTGATGGGATATAACCAGGATGGTTCTGCAAATTTTGGAAGAATTGCAGACTGGGTTCAACTGCTGCTAAAGGAAGGGACCTATGTTGCCAAGGTGCTAGAGTGATGCTCACAGGAACAGGAAGTAGACAAGAAGCAAAGAAGAAGCGAACAGAAAGTGTGAATTCTTTCTTCATCTCTAGCCTTTCAATCTCCTTCGAGTCCAAAATCATATGGCAAAGTCTAACAGAGAGGCAGCTGGAAAAGCAGAAATGTGGTTTGCAGGGTCCCGGCATCAGCATCGCAATGCAGAGAATGGAAGGGTGGGTTTGGAGCCGTGGAACAATCACACAGACCCCTCTTTGACTCTTTCCTTCAATTTTCTTATTATTCTGAGTCTATGAGAAAGGAAAACAATGAGAAAATGAAAGAAACATTTATTTGGAAACCATTAGAAATAAGTATTACGTTGGTAGGGGTAGCCATTTATTCAGGAATTCAATGTTAATAAACAAAAGTCTTTAAAGAATTGTGTTTACTACTTGTGAGAACTGGAATTCATGTTCCAATGATAGAAATAATGAAATATAAAAACGTGGGATTAAATGGTTTAATTAGAAGGGAAAATAATAGACAAAAATGCAAGCTGGAATTTCATTTAAATGTAGAATTTATTTTTGTCCTTACTCTTTACTTTACAGGCATTTGACATGCTACTGATTCCATATAAAATCTTACTGTGATAAAACTCTTTTAAAAGGCAAAATTCAAATTTAATTGATACCTCATTAATTACAAGAGGCTGTCTTTCTTTTTATTTAGGATACATTTGTTGCAATGCAGTGATTCATAATAGATTCATAGCTGACGAAGTAGACCTTAAAAATAAAGAACAAAATATAGAAACACTTCAGTCAGGGATAAGTTTTCTACAGGGTCTAATTGCTAGGATTCTCTGTAATTAAAATGTTCTGAATGTTGGCTGAAGTTTTTAATAAGCTGATGTCTAACTTTTCCATGAATATCCTCATTCAAAACAAATCAGATTTAAGGAAAATATTTTTTCCTCTGAAACTGCAAGGCATTTCAGAGGAAGATATACTTAAAATGAATTCATATAATAAAATGCAATACCAAATGCTGCATTTAGCCCTTAATATGTTTAGTATTTGCAAAGCAGTCTAACAGCCTCTTTCCTTAGCATTGTCATAAATCATAACACAGATGGTGTGTCTTGATATCTTTCAGTCAGATTTCAGTCCTGTGCCACAGAGGCATCCTGCATCAATATGGCTTTTTGGTAAATGGCTTCATTTTGCTGTTGACAAGGCTGATATAAACAAGTTGTGTAATTTACTCTGCTACCAAATAAATCACACATGAATATTTAAGTTTAACTGTGCTAGCCTGATAGTCTGGCAAGTGTTTTTGTCTACACGGAGAATATTTGACATTTAAACTCCACTCAGAAAAACAAAAACAAAAGCCCAGGTTTATTCTTCTGTGTCTGAGAAGAGGCTTTGTGCAAGCAAAAGGTGATTTGACTATGCCAATTAGGAGGGTTAAAAGGCATCCTAAGGGTTTTCTAAGCAAGCTGTTTTTAAAGAAATCCTGAGACTTCTGTTAACTAGTAAAGTAAATGAAATTATGGGGTGATTTTGATATAAGCCAGATCCTACGACCAAAACCTAAAAATGTTTGTTCCATATTGGTAAATGCATCAGTTTTGAACTGCTAGGAGTTAAGCACCTTCTTGGTGTACAAGAGACACAGGACTTTGTATGCCCAGAGTTTCCTACATAATTGAGGAGATGCTTTTATCTCCCTCATTTCTTTAGATTCCAAGATGATGGGTGGTGGTGAGTAATTCAGGGCACATGGAAAGATGCTCAGCATCATTAGTAATTAGGAAAATGCAAATTAAAACTATGATGTGAGAACACTTCACACTAACTAGGTTGGCTATAGTGAAAAAGATGGAAAATAGCAAGTGTTGATGAGGAAGTGGAGAAACTGGAACCCTCATATATTCCTGGTGGTAAAGTGAAATGGTGCAGCTGCTTTGCAATACTTTGGCAGTTCTTCAAAAGCTAAACCTAGAGTTACTATATGACCCAGCAGTTCTACTCCTAGGTATATACACAAGAGAGCTATTTAAGTTGGTGCAAAAGTAATTGCTGTTTTTTGCCACTAAAAGTAATGGCAGAAACTGCAATTACTTTTGCATCAACCTAATAAAAACTAATGTCCATATGAAAACTTGTCCATGAATGTTCGTGTAGCAGTATTCATAATAGCCACAAGTAGAGACAACCCAAACGTCTACTTACTGATGAATGGATAAACAAAAGATATATCTATACAGTGGAACATTATTCAGCATAAACAGGAAGGAAGTATTGATACATGCTTCAACATGGATGAACCTTGAAAACATTTTGCTAAGTGAAAGAAGCCAGACATATTGTCTGAATTCATTTATATGAAATGTCCAGATAGGCAAATCCATAGAGACAGAAAATAGATTAGTGGTTGTCAGAGATATAGGGAGAGTGTGGGAGGGATAATGGAAATGTTGTGAAGTTATCTAGTGGTGATGGATGTGAATTTATCAAAAATTGAAATTCACATTTTAAATGGATGAATTATGTGGCATATGAATTACATCTTAATAAAACTATTATTTAAAATAAAACTGAGGCTGGGCACAGTGGCTTTCAGCTGTAATCCCAGCATTTTGGGAGGCTGAGACAAGCAGATCGCTTGAGCCCAGGAGTTTGAAACAAGCTGGGCCAAAATGGCAAAACCCTGTCTCTACAAAAAATACAAAAATTAACCAGGCACGGTGGCACATGCCTCCAGCTACCTGGGAGGCTGAGATGGGAGGATCATTTGAGCCTGAGAAGTTGAGGCTGCAGTGAGCCTTGATGGTGCCACTGTACTCTCTCCTGGGCAACAGAGTGAGATGCTGTCTCTACAATTAAAATTAAAAAAAGAATAATATAAGGAGGTACTCATTCTCAGGCATCAATCCTGCACTTGCATGAGCCTAAGAGTGAGCACCTCATTACATTTTGACCCCTGGGAACCTTACTTGCCTTACCCTAGTCCAGGCCCTGCTGATACACTGTGGAGCTCTGCCTTTGGTTGAGTCTTTTGATTCATTTACTCACATGGCTTCATTTTCTCACATGGCTTCATTTTTGTAACCTGCAGTTCTCCACATTAGTATCTACTGATTGGCCCTGCTCCAAAACCTATGTTTCCTGCTCGCCAATCCCGATTGAAGCAGGAAGGCGGGGTCTGTGTCTGTCCTGTTCTGAGGTAGCCACAGAGTGACTAGGATGTTGTATGTACTCCAATACTTGTTGAGTAAATGTTTTCTCAGAAGCTATCAGTCAATGACTTCCCATTGCTTTCAGGTTAAAATTCAAACTCTTTCCTGGATGGCATGTAAAGCCTTTTGTAACGGTGCCCTTACTGACCTGTTCAATCTCCTCCTACCTCGCTATTTAGAGCTCCCTGCATGATGCTCCTGCTATACTGAAACCTTTGCATGTCATGAAATGTTTCATAAGCCCTCTCTCCTCTCTGGCTTTGTATTTGCTCCTCTTTGTCCTGGAACATTCTTCCTAAATAATAGTTTGGATCCTACTCAGTCCCTCCTTCCCCCTTTTCAAAGTGTCAGCCTGCATCATAGGCTCAAGGTTCTCCTGACTTTCTGGGACTCCCTCCCTTTTACCCTTCTTTGGCATTTTCCCTAACAGGGAGGATTGCATTTCTAGTCCTGTCTTGGCATCTTCTTCTCTGTGGACTTGAACTAACAGTTACACAATCATATCTATTTCTGTGTTTTTCACTCCAGAAAGCACACCATGAATCCTAATGTATTTAAATCTAAAGTTAACATCCTTGGGGCCGGGCACGGTGGCTCACGCCTATAATCCCAGCACTTTGGGAGGCCGAGTCGGGCGGATCACGAGGTCAGGAGATCGAGACCATCCTGGCTAACACGGTGAAACCCCGTCTCTACCAAAAATACAAAAAATTAGCCGTGCGTGGTGGCGGGCGCCTGTAAGCCCAGCTACTCGGCTGAGGCAGGAGAATGGCGTGAACCAGGGAGGTGGAGCTTGCAGTGAGGGGAGATCGCGCCACTGCACTCCAGCCTGGAGGACAGAGCAAGACTCCGTCTCAAAAAAACAAAAATAAATAAATAAATAAAAATAAAGTTAACATCTTTCTTTCTTAACTATATGAAGACTTTAGATTTTTAAACTGCGTTCATTAACTCTCCTAACCAATATGTTACTGGTGACAAATATTTCAATCCTTTTTTGTTTTGTTTAAAACATCATATGATAATATTACTATAGTTTTTTATGATGTTCTTTTCAATTTACCGCATATTTACCATTTTCCTTGGTCTTCATTTCTTCCATTGGCAATCACTTTCCTTTGACATGAAGTACAGCCTTTAGAATTTATTTTAATGAGTCCCCTGGTGGCAAACTCTCCCAGTTTTTGTTTGTGTGAAAGTGTCTTCACTTTCACTTCATTCTTGATGGATAATTTTGCTGGGTGAAGAATTCTAAGATGGCAGTTATTTTCAGTGACACAAATGTGGTAGTATTGGAAAGCTAGTGTATTAGGGTTCTCCAGAGGGACAGAACTCGTAGGCTATATTGTGTGTATATATACAAACGCATATATTTATATATGAGTTTATCAGGGAGAATTGGCTCACATGATTACAAGGCAAAGTCCCACTATAGGCCTTCTGAAAGCTGGGGAAGAGAGAAACCGGTAGTGGCTCCGTCTGAGTTCAAAAGCCTCACATCAGGGAAACTGACAGTGCAGCCTTCAGTCTGTGGCCAAAGGCCTGAGGACCCCCAGCAAGTCCCAGAGCCAAAAGGCCAAAGAACCTGGAGTCTAATGTCCAAGAGCAGGAGGAGCGGAAGGGAGCATCCAGAACCAGAGAAAGATGAAAGCCAGAAGACCCAGTAAGCCAGTTTATCCCACCTTCCTCCCTCTGCTTTGTTCTAACCATGCTGGCAGCCGACTGGATGGTGCCCACCCACACTGAGGGTGGCTTTTCCTCTCCCAGTCCACTGATTCAAATGCCAATCTCCCCTGGCAACACCTTCACAGACACACCCAGAAACAATACTTTACCAGCCATCTTCACATCCTTCAATCCAAGCAAGTTGACATCTTATATTAACCATCACAGCTAGAAATGTGCATGTGTAGGTATTCTTCAACCTCAATTTTCACCTTCTTGAACCCCTAGTTTATCTAATAGACAAACTAATAGTGTTATTCAAGTGCATTAAAGAGGCAAATGGTAAATTTGTTAACCTAATAAAAGTACATGTAGGAGAATACCCTTGTGATTCAAAAACACCTACACCATGAAGTAAAAATCAGATAGATTTGACTAGGTAAAAATTAAACATTTCTGTTTAACACAGCACACTTTGATAGATTTAACGGACTCATGCCAAACCAGGAGAAAGAAGTTGCAGTGTCAAAAATCATGAATGTGTTATTATTTGCTAGTCAAAAGGAAAGACAATTTAAAATGAACAAAGGATATAAATAGAAGTGGGAATGCAAATGGATGACAAATACATGAAGAAGGGCTCAATTTCCTCAGTAATCACAAAAATGCAAGTTAAAACAATAAGATAACACTTTTCATTTGCTCTTTTGGCAAAAATTAAAAACATGGGTGGGTGAACAAATTTCAGTAAGAGACTCCCATCTATTCTTAGGGTGGGAAGATAAGAGCCCCACTGGAACTCCTGTCTAAGGCCAACCTACCACCTGCACACAGACCTCCTCCCCTCAATCCTAGTCAGGAATATTGTCCAGAAATTTTCCTTCTCCTCTCATGCATCATCAATTTTCTCCTCTCCACTGGATCATTCTCATTAGTGCTCAAGGAAATTACGGTGTCTTCCATCCTGAAATGATCCTCCCAGAACCTCCAGCTCCCCCTCCAACTACTAGTACATTTCCTGCTTTCATTTTCAGCAAAACTGTTTGACAGAGTTTCTTATTCCATCCCATCATCTCTTCTTCTGTCTCTTCCCATTCTCTCTTGAATCCATTCCAATCAGCCTTTCACCCTATCACTCCATTGGAATAATTCTAATCAATGGTTCTCATGACCTTACAATGAACATTTAAAGTTCTTATAATGACCCATAAATTGCCAATCTAAAGCTCACTTTCATTTCTTATTTGACTGACTCTTTCAACAACATTTGAAAACAGCACCTCTTCTTTCTTCAGTTTTTAACGACTTCTGGCAGGCTGCTGTCTTGTTGCTTCTACTCAATATCTCCCCTTGAATGGCTAACTGGGCATTTCACACTTAACATTTACCAAACTTAACTTCTAAATTTTCCACTCCCAAATTTGATCCTTTCTCCATCCTTCCTGCTGCTCATGCCCCAAATATGAAGTCATTCTTGAGTTTTTCTTCATCTCACACCCCACATCCAATCAATTCACCAGCAAATCCAATTGGTGCCACATTCCAAACAAATCCAGAATCTAACCACTTCACATCACCTCACTGCTGTCGCTGTGGTCCAAGCCACCATGATCTCTTCCTGGGTTATTGCAAGTGTCCCCTAACTAGTTTTCCTGCTATTAGCCTTGTCACCTCCTCCCAGCCCCCTGTCTCTTGGTTGTTCCTTGACCTAGCCAAGCCCGCTTTTGCCTCAGAACCTTTGCATTTGCTGTTCTCTGCCTAGGAAAGTTTATTGCCCCCGATAGCCTTATGGCTTACTACCTCACACATTCAGCTGTCTGCGATAATATCACATTGTCAGAGATATCTTTAGTCCTAACCCTTTCTGAAGTAGCATCTCCTCCTTCATTATCATACATTGCTCCATATTTGTTTGTAGCACTACCATTGCATGTTATCTGACTCCCCTTTCTGCTATGAGTTTTTCTTATTCATTGTTGTGTCTTCAAAGCCTAAGAAGGCTCTAAATGTAGTTGCTGAATACATAAATGATTCCCTAATTTATGAGGAAGTCAACATTGCAAAGAGTGTTGAGGTTCCTCTGGATTCACTATCCATGGAAACATCTGTGGTGAGAGCTTTTTCAACTGTGGCCAAGGACTTAGAATCTAGCAAGAAGAAATAAGGGCATTGGGCCAAAAAGTAGTGGGCTGGACAAGTGATGGTTAAATAGGTTAAAACTAAACCAGATGAGCCTCATGCCAGCCTGCCTGTCTGTGTTCTGCGTATTGGGTGTGACTTCTGAGATTCTTCCCTGCACAACCATGTTGCTGTAACTGTGACCCAGGAGTGTTTGATTGCCGGTAACTTTTTGTGGAGAACTTGGGAGTGCAGCACAGTGGGTGGAGTTGAATTGTCCCCAATAATAGACTCTTCCATATTCCTCTGGTGATGAGATAAAGGAAGGACCAGCAGGGAAAGTGAAAAAGGTAGTTCCTTCTTATCGAATAAAGATGTTGAGCCATCTGTCCTTGTTTTTAAACCATTCAGTGCCATATCTGGGTGCCATTTAGAATGATGAAATGTTGTTGTAATTCAATAGCTTAAGCAATTAATATTTATGGAGCAGAATAATTAACCATATATTTGGATATTATGGGAGTAGGGATCCAATCAATCAAAATCAATAAATATTGTCTTGAACAAAGCAATATGGTGTCTTAAAAAACTAAAACAGGGCCGGGCGCGGTGGCTCATGCCTGTAATCCCAGCACTTTGGGAGGCCGAGTCGGGCGGATCACGAGGTCAGGAGATCGAGACCCTCCTGTGAATGGTGAAACCCTGTCTCTACTAAAAATACAAAAAATTAGCTGAGCGTGGTGGTGGGCGCCTGTAGTCCCAGCTACTCGGGAGGGAGGCTGAGGTGGGAGAATGGCGTGAACCTGGGAGGCGGAGCTTTCAGTGAGCCGAGATCGTGCCACTGCACTCCAGCCTGGGCAACAGAGCAAGACTCTGTCTCAAAAAAAAAAAAAAAAAAACTAAAACAGAACCTGGGTCATTGATTCACACAGCACTTAGCCATTGGGAGTCCTTTGTGAAGATCTTTGAAAGGCAGGCTATTGCATTTTTGTGTTTCTTATGCTAAGTACAGAGCCTTAAATATAGCAGAAGCTCTGTAATTGTGGGATTGTTTTTCTGGTCTCCCCTGCTGGTAAGGAGTCTATTAAACACTGAAGCAGATCTGTGCAGTGGAGAATGGCTATCTCTCTGGAATTTTGTAATCTTGAAAAGACAAATCATTACACAAAACTTTCCTTCCATTTCTCTGTGATTCTTTCAGAAATCTACCAACATGCCATTTTGATCTACTATAACCATTCAATGTATTTCTGAAAAAATATTTTTCAGAAACATCAATATAATTTCCAGAGATTCTACCAAATTCTTTATTGAGGCTGTTCATGAGTAGTAAATAATAAAAATAATAAATAATGAAAAAGTAACAACATAAACAAACCACATCTCTATCCCATTCAACTCCCAGAGAGATATTTAAAGAACTATAGAATAGACAAAATCTGGTCTAGTGAAGGGAGACAGAGGCAAAGAAAGGAGGTTGGTTAAGCCACGAATGCAAAAATGGGAGACTTCCAGCAGGGCAGTAGCTAGCACCTGAATTTTAAAAAGTGTGCCCTGGGTGGGCCACTTAGAAAAAAGGCACTATCCTCCAGGCTGATGGAGCCCAGACCAGAGCACATAGCTTGATGAGTAGAGCCAGATCCAGATTTTGTATCACTTCCTACCCTCTCTGGGTTCCCTTGAGATTCTCCTGGCTGGGTGCCATCACATGAAGCTGAAAGTTTGAGTAGACCTAGAGAAATCCCTGATAGTGAGTAGATACTGAAAGTTTGAGTAGACCTAGAGAAATCCCTGATAGTGAGCAGATACTGAAGTTGAAGCTCCCTTGCAGCATTTCCCTCCTAGGAATACTGTACCTGGAGTGGGTAGACTTCAAGTTTCGGCATATCAGTGTGTCTAACTCAAGAGATTTAAAAAAGGATTTCAGCTACTGTCTCCTCTTGATCTTTCTTACCATGTCTTTCCATTAAACTCTTTCATTTAATGCCCAACCACATTGTTTGTGCATTTTTCCAGTTTCCTTATATGACTGAACAGGTAGATCTCAATTGACAAACACATGGTTTACCGATGATTGCTCACATACTGAATGAGGAGGCTTTTCCCAATCCAATCCACAAAAATAGGTGTCCTTGGGTGTCTTATGCAGAATATTAAGAACTGTTTGACCCAGGAGCCTGAGTTCTTCATGAGACAGACCGGAGTTCAAGTCTTGGGTTTTCTCCTTACTAACTGTATCACCTTAGGAAGTTGCTTAACTACTGGAACATCACTTTCTTTATCCTGAAGTTTAAATAAAAATGCAGACAAATGCTTAGCCCAGGGCTTTGTGCACAGCAGGCATCCAAACGTTAGAAGCTCTTACTGGCATTATCATTATTAGGTTGGTGCAAAAGTAATTGTGGGTTTTGCTGTTACTTTCAATGACAAAAATTGCAATTACTTTTAAACCAATCTAAAAGTACCTTGCCCATAGCAGGTCTTGTCTATCAGTCATGGTATGCATTGCACCCTTCCCTCAGAATACTTTCCCAAACTGGGTTTCAAGCAGCCAGTACTAAGTGGATGACATTGTCACATGACAGTGCTCCCATTGTTATCCTTGGCTTGGAGAGTTATCTGCAGTTATGCAAATATGAGACATGTTGTAGGGACAACGGGATAGGGGTGGGCAAGCCAGGAGGGGTCGGAGCTGGGAGCCTGCTCAGGGATAAGGAAGTCCACTGGGACGAGCAGGAGGAGATGAAGTCAGTCATGTGAATCAGGAGTGTGACGCCATGATCAGAACCCAAACCGGAGGAAACAGAGAATCAGAGAAGGAAAGCCAGAAAGGAGTTCAAAGCATTCTGTGACCAAGAGGAGCCTGAATATCTGGAGTTGATCTAGGCCCACGGGAAAAGAAGCAGGATGAAATCCAGATAAAGAAGCCCAGGAATAGTGATCCAAGGATGGTGACACAAAAGTGAAACCTCCTAACAGTGTCTCAAGTTGTGACTTGACTTGAAGATAGATGTTGTCAGTCCGCTGACATGGTTTCTGAGCAGCCTCCTAAGGCTCTACAACATAAATCAGGACTGTATTAGTTTTAACCCGTTTTCTCAGACATAGATGAAGGTGGTGTTTATCTAAGGCAAGTGTTCTTTTATCTGTCCTGATCCTCGGTTCCAAAGGGAAACTACACCTGATGAAGAAATCCATGGTGAATTTCCTACGGGCTAGAGATGTGTTTTATTGGTGTTTTGAGTTGGACTGTAATGTCTATAGGACATGCTCTATTTATAGACACATGCTGTACTTAGACATCAGGAACAAGTGTAACATTGGTGCAAGGATCTGAAATTTAAAAATTTTAAGGACTGCATCCCTATGGGCAAATTTAAAAAAATAAAAAAAATTAAGAACTGTATAATTTCAAATATTTAGTCTCATTGTCCTTGAGAGTTCTAATATTTTTAGTATTCCATCTTGTTTTAAATCCTGAAGAGGTATGAAATTCCTTTGAAAGATCCCATGCTTTGGAAAATATAGTTAGTATATAATATGATTCAAAATGGCTTCTGAATGTTTACTTGGCAATGAACAATTACATAATATTGTTTCTTGGAAAGAATAATTACAAAGTCTTGAGCTACTGACTTTTGAAGAAGCATTGTAAAGACAATCTGTTCAGGCTAGGCCCTGTGGCTTGTGCCTGTAATCCCAGCACTTTGGGAGGCCAAGATGGGAGGATCACTTGAGGCCAAGAGTTTGAGACCAGCCTGGGCAACATAGCAAGGCCTCATCTCAAGAAAAAATTTTTAAAAAGATCAGGGTGTGGTGGTGTGCACTTGTAGTTCTAGCTACTTGGGAGGATGAGGCAGGAGGATTACTTGATCACAGGAGTTAGAAGTTGCAGTGAGCCATGATCACGCTACTATGCTCCAGCCTAGGCAATAGAACGAGATCCTGCCTCAAAAAATATATACAATCTGTTCACATAGAGCACATGAACTGTTTATATATGTCCTTTTATGGCTACATAACTTTATCTGAATCCAGCTTATTGAAAATGCAGCTTTGACACATGAGGAAGAAAGTTCCCACCTGTGTGTCCTTTCTGTCTACTGGACAATCCCTTCGTTCACAAATAATTTCCTTCCCTTATAAGCTAATTAGATGGTATATTCTTTGGGGTCCTCCTGAGAAACAGGATACAATATATGTAAATACATAAGAGGAGATTTATTATGGGAATTGCCTCGGTCAACTATGGTGGCTGAGAAGTTCCATAATCATTCTTCAAGCTGGAGAACCCGGAAAGTTGATGATGCAATTCAGTCTGAGTTTGAAGGCCTGAGATTCAGGGGAGCTGGAGAACCAGGAGCTATGATGTCTGAGGCCAGGAGAAGACGAATGTCTGAGCTCAAGAAGAGAGAGTGAATTTATCCTTCCTCTGTATTTTTGTTCTATTTATGCCATCAGTGGACTGGATGGTGCCCACTCACATTGACGAGGGCAGTTCTTCTCATTTAGTCGCCTGATGCAACTGCTAACCTCTTCTGGAAACAACTTCACAGACACCCAGAAATAATGTTTGAACAGCTATCTGGGCATCCTTTAGCCCAGTCAGGTTGACATATAAAATTAACCATCACAGATGGCTCTTGGGAGTTGGGCAGAACAAGTGGCTTGAGTGTGTCCTGGACTTGTTTGTCCTGCCCTTTCTCAGTCCTTCTCTGTAGTGCAGGGGGCTGACTCCTGAAGTCTGCATTTCCTGAGCCTTCTTGTCAGCTGGTTTCTAGCTAGGTCTGGCCAGTGGGAGGCTTTGGAGGAAGATAGAAGAGCAAGAGAGAGAAGCGATGATATTTCTCCCTTGCCTCTTTGTCTTGACTGTGTTTCTACCAGTGTTCGTAGCTGTCCAGCTTCACAGGACAGGTTTTGAATGGCCCTAGTTGCACTAGGCTCCAAGCTCTAGGAATACTTTCTCTTCCTTTTGTCCTTCCAACCTAGGGGTGGTAGCAACTTACTGTTGTTGCTCATCTCTGGTTGTAGTTTCACTGTTCTCTCATTTGATTCTCAGCCACCTTCATTACTTGTTAACAAGTTTGATGCATTAAATTCCCTCTATTTTTAATTCTATGTTTCCTGGTTGGACCCTGACTGACATATTGTTGTATTCTCTTCTATTTTGTCTGTTTTACCAATAAAGATTAAGTGCCCAGGTGGTGCTGCCCAAGTAGGACAGGAGTGACATGCAAAGGAATATTTTAAGATGTGAGAAGAGGTTGTAGCAAATAAGAACAAAGGTAAAACAGTCAAGTCAGCATTTCTTTTTTTCTCTCCATCCCCCTCAGTTTTTCCCCTTTTTCTATATCCTTTTTCATCATCTCCCATCCCAATGACTTTGAATACCTTGGCTATTATCTCTCCATTCACCTCTCTTGCTGCTTCCCCCACTGTCCCCCAACCCCACCTTGGCTTATCTCATTCTCCAGTTACCCCTGGATCCTGAAACGCAGGGGAAGGGGAAAAGGCTGTGCTGCTAGTTGATGGGGAAATCACCAGTAAAACCCAACCCTTTAACCTCTTTTCTATTTGTTTCCTGATCTGTCTTCTGATGTATCACTGTGTACTTTACTATTTCCTCTGAAGTCTCTCCATGATTTTAAGGTTAGCATTTTAAAAGAGGAGCTTGTCTACAGAGCTCAACTGGGTAAATGTATATACTGAGCACCTAAGCTACAAGGCCATCTTCAAAGTACAGTGAGGTTGTAAAAGAAAGGATATGTCTTACCTGTAGAGAATGTGCTAGAGGTGGGACAGACCACTCCCTCCCTCTCTTTCCCCCAGGTGGCACTTCTATCTAGCCTCCTTTCTGAATTTGCCATTCTGTAAGGGCACTATTTTAAACTGATTGTCCATAAAATCTTACACTGGCAGACCATTTTTAGTTTATAGTTTATTCATATTCTGAGTATTTCATCCCCTCCTCAAATCCTCTTTAGAATAAGCTGGGCATAAACACATACTTACCAGGAGCCCCTTCAGCCCTGCAGCCTCCTGAGTCTTGGGATGGAGTGAAGAAGACAGTTTGTGCAGCTCAGAGATCTTCAGGGGAGCACTTTTCCCTCATGATGCTCATGGCATTATGGGAACAAGCACTATAACAGGCCCAGCTCAAATATAATAAGTACATTTGACCAAGTAAAAAATTCCTTCATCTGTTGCAATATTTTCAGTTTCTTCTCCTTCCCGCCACTGCTCTTCATTACCACACAATGTCGAGGGAAGTTTCTGAGACAAAGCCATTTAAGAAGGATATAAACTTACTTTCAAAGAATCTCACAAAGAAGATTCTAGAAGAATGGCTCATCAATTAACAACAACAAAAAAAACAACAGAAGCGTTTAAGGGAAAAAAGCCTCATTATTACTAAGATTTTACACATTATAGTCGGTCTCTGAAAGGTTGTGGATAAGAAAATTTCTCTCATAATTATCATATCCATAAAGGTGGTGACCTATCCTGGCCCTCATGGAGGTGTGCTGCTCAGATCTCTTTTTCAGAAAGAACCTGTTATACAAAAGGTAGTGGATGGCGTCCAGCTTTGCCACACCTTTGCGTCGGCATTCACACCACAGCCATGTTCCCTTGGGTTGCTCCAGGCCAAAGACTGAGCGTCGTGGGGAAATAGAGCTTGGCCCTCCTTGAAAGAGCACGCTTTTCTCTGGAGCTCCCCACTAGCCTGGCTGTGACTTTCCCAAAGCTGTACTGAAGCCAGAGCCTCTTTCTAGACAACCTTCCACAGATATCAGACCTGTGCCTTGGTCTGAAGGCTCTCCCAGCCTCCTCTTGTTCCCTTGCCAGTTAATCCTTCATAGGCCTTTTCCTCAATAAGTGTTTTCACCCCTAATTCTGTCTTCACACCCGCTTCCCAGAATATACAAACTGACCCTGATATCTTCAGATACCAGCATGGAAAATGTCAAGGCTGAACTTTTCGCCGGGAAAAATAAAACGTTAACAACATTGTTTTGTTAAAAAGAAAGGCTTTAAGTTTTCATTTTTTGGGCAGGGAAGCAGGGGGCACCTGAAACTGGATAAGGTGACCCGTTCTTTTATTTTTGGTTGATCTCAGGTCCCAGAGGGTTTTGTTGATTTTTTCCTCCAACTGCAGCTTGTGTTGTACCCTTGTATGCATAGAGCCCTTAGGCATGGGTTCAGTTCTGCTTTTGCTCAGATTGCAAAAGGTTAAGTTATGAGGAGGCATTAGAGGAGAAAGCTTGCCAGGTAAGTGCTTTTTGCCTTGAATGTCTCTGTGGTAGACAGGAAAAAGAGCCTCTCAAAGATGTCCATGTACTAATTCCAGAAATCTGTGAATATTACTTACCTGGTAAAAGGGATTTTGCAGATGCGACTAGGTTAAGGCTCTTGCGATGTGGAGACGGTCCTGGATGATTCAGGTGGGCCTAACGTAATCCCTAGGGTCCTTATCAGGGGAGGAAGAAGGATCAGTCGGAAGAGAGATTAGAAGGTGCTATGCTGTTGAATTTGGAGATGGAGGAAGCGGCCACAGCCAAGGAGTGCAGGTGGCCTCCAGAAGTAGAAAAGGCAAGGAAATGAATTTTCCCAGAGAGCCTCATGAAGGAATGCAGTTCTGCCAACACCTTGATTTCAGCACAGTCAGAGTGATTTTGAACTTCTGACCTCCAGAACTTTAAGAGAATAAATTTATGTTGTTTTAAACCACTAAGTTTGTGGCACTGTGTTACAGCAGCAATAGGAAACTAATACAGTCTTGTTCAGGATTGTAATTGTTTTTTCTTGGCACATTCTGACACTTAGCATCTGCCCATGGGCTTTGAAAAAAATCGTACCAAAGATATCACTTGGGTCTGTCTCTATGTCATCATTTCATTCATTTACTCAAAAATATCAATGTAGCGTGGTGATGAGGAGTCAGACTTAAGATCTGGATTGGAACCCTGGCTCTGCCATTCACCAGCTCTGTGTTCTTGGGCAAGCTACCTGGGTTTCAGTTTTCCCATCTTCAAAATAAAATAGCAGTCAGCAAACTATGGGCTTTAAGTCAAACATATTCTGCTGCCTGTTTTTGCAAATAAAGTTTAATTGGAACGCAGCCATGTCATTTATTTGCATGTTATCTATGGATGCTTTTGCACTATAAGAGCAGAGTTATGTAGTTGTGACACAGACTTTGGTCCTCAAAGTCTAAAATATTCACTATCTTTCCCTTTACACAAGTAGTCTGTAGACCCCTGAAATAGGATAATAACCTACTTCATGGCACTAAATTTGGTCTTTTTTTTTTTTTTTTGAGACGGAGTCTCGCTCTGTCACCCAGGTTGGAGTGCAGTGGCGTGATCTCGGCTCACTGCAACCTTCGTCTCCCGGGTTCAAGCGATTCTCCTGCCTCAGCCTCCCAAGTAGCTGGGATTACAGGCATGAACCACCATGCCTGGCTAATTTTTGTATTTTTAGTAGAGACGGGGTTTCACCATGTTGGTCAGGCTGGTCTTGAACTCCTGACCTCATGATCCACCCACCTTGGCCTCCCAAAGTGCTGGGATTACAGGCGTGAGCCACTGTGCCCGGCCTAAAATTTTTTTTAAGAGACAGGGTCTTGCTATGTTTTCCAGGCTAAATTTGAGCTCTCAGGATTAAGCGATCCTCCAGCATCAGCTTCACCAGTAGCTGGGACTACAAGTGTACGCTACCATGCCCAGCTTCATGGCATTTTTATGAATATAAGCAAAGTGCTCAGATGTGAGATTGGCACATAGCAGGGACTTAATAAATGTTAGTTATTATTGTCATCATTAGTATGTAATTTGTTATTATCATTACGATTAGTCAATTAATCACCAACTATATACCAGGCACTGTGGGCCCCATTACCTCTGCTGTCACTTCTAGGAGACCCCTGGCCTCTCATTGAGCCTAAACTGCAGATCTTCCCCTGGAGCCTCTCTGCTTATACCAATGCCCACTTCTGGATTTGGTCCAGGCCAGGGAAAACTCTTCCTCCTTATGGGGGAAAGACTGACAAACTCACTGAAGGTATGAGGGTACTCTGAATGTAGTCCTCAAACAGCTGCCCATGCGTTCTGTAGCTGCATTCATTGGGAGAGATAGGAGAAGTGTGCTTACTCCATCTTACCTGGAACTGGAACCTCTCAATGTGTTTAAATATTATAAATTTCAAGGAAGGATGCTAATTACTGTGAAAAAAATGTGATTTGGTCTTTGCCTTAAATAAGCTTGGTAGAAAGTATGAGAGGTCAGGATGATCCCCGCACATCAGGATTTGATTTTGTTTCCTCTGTATATGTTGGAGCGGGCAAATGGTAGACTAACACTCCAGGCATATTGGGATCTCAGTGAAATGGCGCTGGCAGGGAGGAGCTTGAAGCAGGAGCGGAAGAGGATGGGGGCTACAGATCTGACAGAGAAGTTTTTTTGGGGAAGTCGGGGAGCACATTAAGGAGAGTTTGGGGGATTTAGTCTCAGATCTAAAGATGGTGTCCTGGAATCTTGAGTAACAAGTATGTGTCAGCCCAGGAGAAATTCATGAAATGATGTAACGTTTGGGCATCAGGCAGACTGTGTGGTATGGTTCTGAGAGATCTGTTTATCGGATCCAGCATGCCACGTAGGGAGCAGGATCTGATCCCCAAGAGAGTTGGGATTCAGAGTTATGCCCCCATGCTAGAATGGAGTGGAGTATAAGACAGAGCAAGAAGGGGCACCAAGAGGAGAGGAGTTTGGTTAAGAAGTCCAGGCTTGGCCAGGCGCAGTGGCTCACGCCTGTAATCCCAGCACTTTGGGAGGCCAAGGTGGGTACATCACTTGAGGTCAGGAGTTCAAGACCAGCCTGGCCAACATGGTGAAACCCCATCTCTACTAAAAATACAAAAAATTAGCTGTGCATGGTGGTAGCCACCTGTAATCCTAGCTACTTGGGAGGCTGAGGCAGGAGAATTGCTTGAACCCGGGAGACAGAGGTGGCAGTGAACCGAGATCGCGCCACTGCACTCCAGCCTGGGCGACAGAGAAAGACTCCATCAAAAAAAAAAAAAAAAAAGTAAGTCTTTTAAGTAAACTTTCCCTGGTGGTAGAGAATCCTGCAAGTTGGGCAGCTATGTAAATAACATGGAATATCTCAGACCGGTTAGCAGAAAGGAGGATAGGCTGAGGAGACCTGAGGTCCCACACAACTCCGACTGGACCATCTGTTTCAGAAAAAGGAAATCTGCACTTTTAGATGGTTCTGATGTGGCTGATCTACAGGTTATACAATGAATTTTCCCTCTCTGTCAGGGTTGGCTGATCCGTCTGAACCACAGGAGAGGATGAGCACATGACTGTGAACGGATGAGAAAAAAGGTGGCAAAGGAGTGATTATGTGTCTTCTCAAGGATGTTGACATTTGGAACCTGATTTCCCCCTTCCACACATTTCTTCCCCAGGAGCATGCATTTCCCAAGCAATTTCCCAAAATATTGCTTATTAACCATGGGGTAAGTACTCAACACCCTCCAAAGCAGAGTTCTTCAGTAAAAAGCTGTATTTTCAAATGTGGGAGGCCCCAACAAGGCGTTTGATTCATTTCTGCTGGAAAATAGAATGGATAGAATGGAGAAATCTTTGACTATTTGGAATAGAAAAGAACAGATCTGAGTGAGACCTTGTCCTGCATGCCCCAGAGGCAAACCATACAGGCTAGTTCATACCAAGGGACAGCAAGGGCAGAAGGAAGCAGGGCATGGCCCTATGTCTTTGATAGGGCACAGTAAGCCTGCCCAGTAGCAAAACACAGCCCAGTCAGTATTTAGTCTCTAATCAGATTAACAATACTCCTTCCTTTTGGGGAGGAGCTTATAATATACTAAAGAGAAGAATAAGAAATGTGATTGGACACTTCTTCAACTATGGGAGAATTTGCCTTCCCCAAAGGGAAGAAAGTGATTTTTGTATATTTGAATGGAGGAACTCGAAAGGATATTAAGCCATGTTAATACATTATGGCTTTATAGCAGTAAACACACAGATGAATGTCTTGTCTTCCAGGCACCTTTGAACAGAACCCAAGAACTTCATATCTAATACCTGTGCTTGCTACAGGAAATTTTTAAAGTGAGTAAGAGAATGACAAGACACATTCTTTGATCAGCTTGCTTAAAGCCCTCAAGTAGCCTTAGGTGTCCCCTGTAGGTTTCCTCAGAGGCAGCTGTGAAACCCTCAAGCTTTTCTGCCCGCCCCTGCCAAATCTGGAAGAATCTGAGCAAAAAAATAAATAATAATAGTAATGAATTATAGCCTATAAAATAAAATAATTATCCAAGAGTCCACATTGGTGTAAATAAATAACTGAATAAAGAATAAATGGGAGAGAAGGGGCCATTCGGCCTTACAGTAGAATATCAATAAAACATGTAGAAAGAATGATGGAAACAGAAAAGTTACTCTTTGGCAAATACCACTGTAATAATTGTTTTAGGTGGGTACTATCAATGGATGCTAACAGTAGGTGAAGGTATCATGAGAAACAGTTATTAGTATAATTTTTAAATATATACCCTTTCAAGATATTCATAATTACAAAGGGAAAACAGTCATTTTTTAGCGAGAAATCCAGCAGGTATCTTCTTAATCAATCAAGTGACCAAAGTTTACATCACCATAGTAAGACATATTGGAATTATCTGTCTCCTGGTGTGATGCCTGAAGGTTTTACTTCTGTAATGTTCTTACCAGAAAGCATAACCTCAACCTAATAGTTAGAAAATCCAGACTGAGGGACATTTTACAAAATATTGGCTTATAGTCTTCTTAAAAGACTGAATAACTGTTCCAAATTGGAAAGACTAGGAGATGTGGCAATTCAATGCAATGTAGGATCCTGGATTGAATCCTGGACCAGAAAAGAAACAAGTGATGAAATTCAAATAAGGTCTAAAAATTAGTTAATTTCATAGTATGAAATTAAATTTTCTGGTTTTAATAACTGCACTATGGTGATGTAAGATGTTAACATTAGAGGAAACCAGATGAGGGCATATGGAACTCCAGATAGTATTTCTGCAACTTTTTTGTAAGTCTCAAATGGCTTCTGAATAAAATGTTAGGAAAGAAGAGAAGAGCCCTTCTGAATTCCGTGAAGGTATTCCTTCATCTTCAGATTTCTGTAATGAGCTAAGGCAGAAATTATGCAGAATATAAAAACGTGGCATATGGCATTAAATATTTGTAGTATATATTAGGTATATAATTCTTAATCAACTAAATATAGTCTTTAGGTACACTTTAATAAAAAGTTGGACATTGAACATTTGATCAGGAATTTAATGCCCTAATAGGACTTTAAATCTGTGGAAAAATAATTTTTAACTTACATAATTTTGATATATGGTAACTTTTCTAGAAAAGCAATTCTCCACAAAAGTGAGAATGGACCACAAACGAATCACACTTACCAGAGAGACTGAATAGATTGATAGAATCTGACATTCAGGTAGGTGTTCTTACTATTTTGCTTTTTTTCCTGATTATAAGTTATCATTGATTTAAATGGATACATTTAATTGTTGCTAAAATGTAGCCATCATAATGAAGGGCTTTTTGGCGTATATCATTATTCAAGAATACACTGATTAAAAATAATAGAAAAGAAAGACATGGCCTAATTCAATTCTAGATTCTGAGAATAGCTTTCAATCCTAAAGTCTGAGAATCAACGGGGATACTCTTTGGGCAAATTCATTACCTGGAAGGACACTTTTGTTCATTCAGAAGCCTGTATGAGAATGTTTCCTACATTCTGACAAAGATTTTTCAGAAAATTATAGCAGCTTTACATCTACGATAATACCAACTGGTTCATGCATCAGAACCAATTATAATTTTCCAAGTGGTCACCTGTGCTATTAGTCCAGGATCTAATCATTCTGAGAACAACTGTTGCCTAGCAATATTTTGGTTCATTAGTTTATGAACAGAAATATTGCTATTCATTCAACTGCGGTTTCCCAATGATCTGTGTAACTTTAATAATGCTTCACTAAAAATTATGTGGCAGAATAGTATTTAATGACACAGAAGGAAAAATGTTCATGATATTTTTTAAGTGAAAAAAATGCCTTACAACATGATAATGTGTGGTCCCTGTCTTAGGATTGTACATCTTATTATATTGAGTAATTACAGATTTTTATTTCCTCTTTTTTGTTGTTTCTCTTCATTTATAATATTTTTATCCAATTAATATGTATTTACTTTATTAAAACTTTTCAAAAATAAAAGTGAAATAGGTAGTTATTATAGGCTGCTCAAACAACTAAAACTCCAGAGTGTAGTGGTGTAAAGAACCAGAGATTTAGTTCTTACTCACTTAACAGAAAACAGTGTAGGTTCCAGGTTGGTTGGTAGTGGCTCTATTCCATGCAGTCATTCAGGGACCTAGGCTAACAAAGGACTTGCCATATTGAACAAGTAGCTCCCAAGTCACCATGGTAATCTTCATTCCCACTAGCAGAAATGAAGAAAGATCATAGAATAACATGCATGGCAGGTATTTTAGATTCAGGCCTGGAAGCGGTGCATACAACTCATACTTCACTGGCAAGAACTCAATATTGCCACAGTTAATGGCACATCATCATTATTAACCTATGGAGTAATACCATTGTTCCCAGCTATTCATTCAGGCTAAACAAATGATTGAAATATATATTTTATTTTTAATTCTTAGACTATTTTTTAGTTCACTCTTGGCGCTTCTAAGGGAAGTCTATCAGCTTTCCTGTCAAGCATTTTTTCTCCATAAAGAGCAGGGAATTGAAAATTTCCTTTCCCCAAAGATCCAGGACTTAGCCTGTTTTTGTGTGTGTGTGTGTGTGTGTGTTTTTTAGCTTTGTAACAATCATATTGATTCACTTTGTTATTATGCTCTAACTAAGTTTCATTTCTAAGCAAGTGGCACCTATTATTTATAGGTCAGGAAAAGAGTTAACATTCAATCTTGTCTCCTGGGTGAAGCTAATGAATTGCAAGATTAGTTCACGGTGAATAAATTAGTTTTGAAACCATGGAATTCAGAAGTTGGTATTTTCTTTCTTTAAATCCCAGATTGCTACCTGTGACTCCCTGCTGTTTGCCTTTTGATTTTATAGATCATATGAAATAAGCTCTTTGCATCCTCTTCTTCACCCTTTTTCTTTCTATCTTTTGTTAACTAAAGGAGTAACTTGTTAAATAGTGGGTACAGTCCAAAGAATTATGTGATACTTGTTTCCTCTGGTGATGGTGACAACACATGTCTTCTCATCACAAGTCCTTAAACAACAGCTCCCTCCCATTCAATGTGAAATATTCTGATGACGAAAGTGTTTCCTGCATTCTGACTATATTATTCTGATAACATAGCGGGAGCAGGCTAAGAAACTTGAAGTTCTATATCAAGAGAGTAGGAGTGATGGGTGAATAACTTTGAAGTTTTAAGGTTTAAGGTTAAGAAAAATGAAAGATTATGAGCCAGTTTTGAAAGCTAATTAGCATCTCAGAGGAACGAGGTAAGAAAGGAAACCAGAGTCTGAAATGTATGGCTTAAACAGAAAAGTTGGCAAGGGTGGGTAATCCAACATTCCAGAGCCTATCAAATCTCACTGTCCTCAACATGTCTGTTATTCACATATTCTCTTTCTCTTCCCCTACTTTCCTTCCCCCTTCTCTGATTTTCACTTTCCTATCTGTTCTTCTTTATCATCTGTTTTTTTTTTTCTTGTACCGCCCTTAACTATTTATATACCTTTCCCACTCCATGAGATGGCCACATATTCTAAAATATATACGTTTATTCACAAATATTTTAAGCACCAAATGTCAGTCCCAGTGTTAGGTCCTGGGTATGTAAGGATGAACAAGAGGCTCATAGTCTATTTGGTGAGACACTTCCACTCTTTGGGAGTATGAAAGGTAGAAAAGATAATTTTGCTAGGGAGAGTCAGGGATGATATCCCAAGAAGGGAGCCCTGGGCTTGAGTCTTCAAAGGTAAGTAGGATTTGCCACGTAGAGAAGGAGGAAAGAGGCTTTTGGGCAGAGGAAAGAGCATGTAAACTTATTTTTTTCTTTAAAAAACAAAGATTTCTTGATACTAAATGAACATGAATTATCAACTAGAATGTTTCTTCTTCCTTACGTATCATGAGATACGCTAAACTGACTAAGATATCAACATAAGCTTTTTCTAGCCAGAATCCAGTTAGCTAAAATTCCCATTATTTGAGAACATAGCCGAGCACCAGGTAATAATCTATCAAAGGTCTCTGAGTAAAAAGTTTTGTTGCAAAGTTCCTTTGCTTATTGAAGACCCGTTCAGCCTCTCAGTCAGAGCCTCTTTATGTGTACTATAGACATCATTCTAGCAAAGCAAATTGAAGGCAACCATGGAGCACAGCAGTAGGGAAGACTTGAGAATTTGGAGCTATTTCAGACAGGCTTGCTTGGGGTAGTTAAGAAGTAATGGCTAGAATCCTAAGGGTGTGGAAGGCATCAGAAAAACTACAAGTGGGCTTAGAAGCTCCAGTCATAGCAGCCTGGGAACATTGAGAGAAAAGGCAAAGAGGTTGGTACATTTTGGTCATCTCCACAGAGTAAACTAATTGCACTGATGTCCACAATGATGAGAATGGGTCATTTGCAAAGGAGATTAAATTCAGTTCCGTGTGTTCTGTCTTAGAGGGCAGTTTATAATTAATTTTAGAAAGATTGCCACCTAAAGTAGTTGCAATTTTCTTTTGGAAGGTACTACTATAACCCAAAATAGTCTGCTATCCAGCTCTGTTAATTCCTTGCAAGGTTTTATGGTTTTACTAAATGTCACTTAAAAATTACTACTTACATTTTGGCCTTTTTTAAAACTTAAAAAAAAAAAAAATCCAACACTCTTTTAACTGCCTTTACTTCTTAACACAAGCAGTTAGCTGGCAGGACCAGGAAAAGATACAGACACTCAAACCTTGTTCCTGCCCATCTGAGCCATTGCCAAGCCTGGGGCAGTTGTGAACACAGCGGTGAGCTAGGTATGCTGCCTAGGAGTTGGACATTGTTCAAGGGGACGGATCCCATTAAACCAGACAGTTCTACCTTTAACTTCAAATAAAAATTTAAAGCATTTTCAAAGCCCTGTTTACTCTGCCCCCAACTACCATTTGCTTATATAAAAGAATCATTGCTAATGTGAAATATCACACTGGCAAGCAGCATCTTAAATCAGAGTGAGTCACTGAAGCCTTGGCATGGCCAACTGAACAAGTCGTAGTAAAACCTGATTTTTACAGAGTTACATTTTACAAAATGCTTTCAGTTGGGTAATGCCAAGTGGGTGTATGAAAACCTTGCTGATGGGAGAGTAGATTGGTAAAGACTGTTCTGGTGGAGCAGAGGTTCTCAACAGTGGGTGCCTATTAGGATTTTCCGGAGCTTTTAAGATCCTGTTGCTCAAGCCACACTCAGACCAATTACATCAGAATCCCTGGGAGTTGACCCCAGGCAGCAGTATTTTTTTAAAGCTCCCCAAATGATTCCAATATGCAAAGTTGATCACTATTGCTGAAGGGAAGCTGGCAGTACTTACTCCAATTAGGTAGCATGTCCTTTGCCTAGGATGACTCAGCAGTGAGTGTTATTAACTATTCATGGACCATCCTGGGTAAGCTGGGGTGTATGAGCCCCCTACCTAAAATGCAGATGCTATGTTCCCAGGTGTATCTCAGAGAAATTTTTACATAAGTTCATCAAGAAACATGAATAGGAATACTCTCTGTGGCAATATTTTTGATAAATTGCAAGGCACCTAGCACTTAATGATGGGTAAGATGAATCAAATACATACAAAACAATATGGATTGATGTTAAAACAGGGTGCTAAGTGAGAAAAAGTAGGAAATAGAATGCAATATTTAGCACACTACCACTTGAGTAAATTAAAAATACATGAATACAAAACAAATACAGATTTTTTAAGGAGGTACAAAAAATATGGGGGCAAAGAGAGGAGGAAGAATAGGAAATGGGGATACATGAGAATTAATACATAATTAATAAATATGAGAATGGCCTGGCAGCAACCAATGATAATAGCATGCCATGGACTAAGAAATGTGATGAGGTCAACACCTCTGCCCCTACAGTCTAGAACAACACCCCCTTGCCCCGTATAACAAAGGTCTGAAGAATGCTCATTTAACAAACATCCCCCAAGTTGCAGGCAACTCAAAGGGCACATGAACCCCGCCCCCACCCCACCTAGAGTCATAGATGACAAAAGTTCACACTTGGGCTAGTTCACCTAGACTCTATGCTTCATCTTGGCTCCCCAGCACTCAAAGAGGTGCTTCTATGTCTATTTCACAAGGAAGAAACTGAGATCCAAAAAGTTTAAACAATTTGGTCAAAATAACAGAGCTAGGAAGCAGTACAGCTGACTCTAGCCGGTGACTTCCACCCTCAGGCCTATGGAATTTCCCTGCCATTTTCATTGTTGATTACACCTTTGTCACCTCTTTCTTGGTGGTCCTCCATTGCTCAGTGTCTTACCTTGACTAATTTAGGGCCACATAACAAATATTTACTTAGTACTTTTTGGTAGAAACATGCTAGGAAATTGAGGGCAGGGATGTGAAAGGCATTTTCTTGTCCCTCAAAGAATTTGGTGGGGAGAAAGGGGCATTCATGAGAATTCAGTATAGAGTATAATATGAAGAGTGATATAAGCTACAAACAAAGTGCTATTGGGATAATTGGTGGAGTGAGATTATTTTCAACCAGGCAGCCAGTGGTTTAGGAGTTGGGTCAGGGAAGATTTTGTAAAGATAGAATATCGAAGGTGGGATTTGAGGATAAGTGTGGTCTCCACAGGGAAAGACGGCAAGGAAGGCTCTTCTGGGTAGAGAGGACAGTGACAGTGAAAGCATAGGGTGCAGAAAGCACAGGGTAGGTTTTAAGGATCTGGTTTTGAAGTACACAAGCATTAAGAGGCATGTCGTTGAGAAGAACATCTGGACGGGCAGATGGGGGCAAGGCCACTGAGGCTCTTTAGCACTGTGTTTAGGGCTTCAAGTGTGGGCAGTGAGGTCTGAGGGATAACCAACTTGTCGCTCCTGAATTAGATCCTGTGTTGCAGCCTAAAGCAGAAAAGCATCTGGTAATTCTTTCCACGTGGAAGAAGAGAGGAGAGCCAGGAGTCAGAGGCCCTGCAGCAAATTCCCTCCTGTCTCTGGAGGTGACGGGCCAGGACCTGCGGCTGTAGGCCCTGGTGGTCTCAGTGACCCAGCATGGCCTGTGCTCGGCTGCCATGATGCCCCTTCTCTATCACAATCTTCCCTCCTGCTCCATGGGACATGTTACCTTCATTCTTGAGCCTTGGTGGCACTGGCCACCTGAACCACTCCTTTGGGGTATTTTGCTTAATGAATGAATGTTTCCAGCCCCCTGACCTAGGCTATAGATATCTAGAAGGCATGAATCAGTTCTTACTCTCCTTTTGTTTACTCTCCTGTACAGTGATAGACACACAGTAAGCTTGCAAGGAAAAAGCCTTCCTTGTTAATTATACCAGCCTACTTTCTTCTCCACAAAATGGCTGAAGGAAGAATATTAATACAGCAAGCTACTTAATCCTTTAAAGATTCCTAAGAAGAAAGCGCTAAGTACTCAAATACTTAGATGTTTTCTTGAAATTAGCGTAATTGGTTACATGAGTATTTTTAGCCGCTAACAAGGTACAGAAATCTCCAGAGTGCTAGCGGCTGCTTACACCCACTTCTTGGCCAATATTTTACCAAGCCCTGAGTCATAGCCCTGAAATCAATTCTGTCCTTTACTGCAAAATCATTACAGGGCCGGGGAAAATGATCCTTGTTGTTTAACCAGTGGGGGTGCTGGAAAATCAGGGGACATTGATACTGAGCTTCTGTGATAAGGGTTTGAATGGAGTACGCCAAACAGAGATGTGGAGAACATGATCATGTTCAATTCCAGCCTGGCTCAGAAATAAACTCAAGGGGAAGGATGCTGTCCATAATTCACAGACTTATATGCACTCTCTATAATTCACAGACTCACAAAATTTTTGCACATTCAATTTCTCACAGAGTCTTTTCAATCTTTCTTCCAAAATGAACATTCTAAAGATAAAACATTTATGATATAAGAAACTGAATCTGGGTATAAAATGACGTTAATCTATTGCCAAGTTTTTTGTGCCATCCTCCTTTCTTGAAAAAAAAAAGTCTGAGTTCAAGAAAATGATGACAGAGAAAATATTTGTCATGCAATTAGAAAACGCGCAGAACAGAGGCGACTCCAGTGGGAAGATGTCGCTATTCTCCTTGCCATATCACATATTCCAAAAAATGTTAAGATTGTGGCAACCAGAAAGAAGGGAATTCAACAATTGTAGGGTGGAAATGGGTCTTTTCTTCCCCCCTACACACCTTAAAAGTGGTGCCTTTAGTGGAGGCTCCAACGAAAGGCTCACTTCCCTGCTCATTTGTATATCCTCAGGCTTGGTCATGAATTCCCAGGTCTGGTCTGGTATGTCTGAGCCAACACTGCATGACCCAAAACCTGATGGTTTAAATAAGAAGCTGCTTCTGGCTTTTTTGTTTATGGACAGTCTGGGGGCGCTGGAATACCCAGAACCTCTGTGCCCATGACTCCTTCAGGCTTACAGGATTCCCATGCCACTTTCATTGTGAATTACTGAGTCCAGAGCCTGCTTTATCACCTCTTTCTGGATTGTTCCCCATGGTTCGGTCTCTTGCCTTGACTAATTTAGGGCCATCAAAAAATATTCATCTAGTACTCTATGGGACACACATGCTAGGGAGCTAGGGACTATGGAGGAACAGAGGTCAATCATGGCCCCTGGATATGTTGAGGAGGGAGAGAAGAATGTTCACAAATAATTCAGTACAAGGACCTCTGTAACTCACGTTCCTACCATATGTATCTTCTCTTGCTGGCCAGTACCTTAGTAGGTATCCAGGAGGGAAAATTTGGCCCAAGAGGGATACTTTGTTAAATGAGCTTGTGCATGAAGCACATGGAGAGTGACACAGAGTAAGGTGGCCCAGCAGCTTGTTTATGTCCCCTGCTGGACTGTGAGCTCCTTGTTTTGCTTATCTTTTTTGACCCAGCTCTGCAGACAGTGACTGCGTATAATGGTCACTCAGTAACAAGAGTTGCACATTGATGATGATGAGGATGATAATAATAATAATAGCCATTTAATGAAAATTTACTATGTGTTGAGAGCTTTGCATACATTGTTTCAGTAAGTTACTTTCACAACTATCTGAGGTGGATACCCTTACTTTCATTTTTCAGATGAGTCTCTGAGGAGGCAGGCACACAACAGAGTATATGAATAGTATGTTCTCCATAAATACCTGTTAGTTGCTGGTTGTGATTATTGTGTAAATGTTAAGAAACTTGCCCAAGGTCATACAGACTCTAACCAGGAGAATGGGATTTGAACCCACCTGCACTGGAGGCTAAAGTCCATGTTCATGAAAGGTCTCAAGAAAGGACAGACCATGCAGTTGTTCTATCCAAAGTGCTCAAGTGGACAATGCTATCGAAGGGTCAATTTCCTCCCCTATTGCTACATGTTAACAGAAGAACAATGGCTGAGACAGTCCCCAGACATTTATTGCACATTATGGACAAACCAAGGGCTTGCTTTACAGAATAAAAAAACATTTTTTCTATGTTATTTCATCCATCCATCCATCCATCCATCCACCCATCAATCCATCTGTCCGTCTATCCATCCATTTAGCAAAATTCACTGGGCACCTACTATGTGCTAGGAGGCTCTGAGGTAGGCACTAGAGCGAGAACAAAATGTTAGACATGGTTTTTTGTTCTGAGAAATTGAGAAATTTCCTTTCTTGCAAAGGAGACAGAGGCATGAATCAACAATTTTATTTCAAAGCCCTAACAAGACTATTGATTAGTACTGTCTAATTAAGAAGTTATGAGGACACAGTACTCTTAAAACATGTGGGATGCTAATTATGAGACTGTTTACAAAAGTCTTTAAAAATGGTTTCAGATGTAAGGAGGTGATAAGTTTATATTTTAACAAGAAATGTTTTTGCTATGGCATTTCCTAAGATGATGGTATCACTGTTGCTGTTTAGTTCCTCACAATGTTTTTGGTTTGGAGAAAGAATTTTATGGGAACCCAATATTCTACCTCGACACTTACTATTTAAAATTTCTTGTTGTCATTCCCTTCCAAATACTATCTCTCAGCACATTTATTCCTTCAGATATCTTACACTCAGCGTTTTAGAGACAGCTTCCTTTTCAGCTTGGATCTTGGCACCTTGGAAAGAGTGGCTTGATCAAGAAAAACGCTACATTCCTTTCTCCTATTTTGAAATGCCTTTGACTGCCCTCTTAATAATACTTCACATTTATCTTAGCACTTAAGAGTTTTCAGAGTGCCTTCCTATACATTATCTTAATTAATTCTCTTAATTACCTGATAAGATAGGTCAGAAAGTATTCTTGTTGTCATTTTTATTAGTTCTACTAAAGTAATACATGTGGACAGACAAAAAATCCCATAATAAGAAGTTTACAAAATTAAAAAGAAAAGTTTACTGTTTCCTCACTCCTCTCTATAACACCCTTCAGAGGTAGTCATTTTCAACTGTTTCTAACTTTACCTCTTTTGGCATTTATCTCCATAACATCAAATAATATCATTATGTGTCCATTTCTTGATTTATCAGCCTCAGGTAGAATCTATTGATTCCTTTCCATGAAAGATGAGAAATGTAGCTTATTTATATTATCTTTCTCTCTCCTTCTAATTTTTGTTTCTATATATTTATTTTATAGTTCTTTCATTAGAAATCTTTATAATATTAAGTAACATAGAACTTAAATCTGTATTTCTTGATGTCTCAACTTTAGAAAATACATATATTAACTCCATTTATGGAAGATGAATAATTTTTATTCTTATACTTTCCTCCATCTCATATCTCCCCTTTTTATTTCCAACTTCTTTCAACTCTACCATTACTTTGATATTGTTAAGGTTTTTAAATTTTGCCTTCTGTCCTATAACTATGATTAAGTCTTACATGCTCTTTTTACAAGTTGATTTTACAAACTTAAAACATGCTTATGTTAATGTGATTATGAAATTATTATTTACTATAAGTCTAATTAGTGATTCATGGAGGAAATGTATGTTATAACTGAACCTATGAAATTCAAAGGAGAATATTTTAATCATCAAAATCAAATGAGATAAACTTTCTCATGTAATATTGATTGTTCAAAATTATGCTACAATTTGCCTCACATTTGGACCTCTGGATTTCTGATATAGCTTTTTGTTTTACCTGGTATTTTAAATTGCCTGGCTTTTCTTTGTTGTTGTAATGAATGCTGTTGTTTCACTTTGCAGGCACGCCTCACTGCAGTTAAATGTTGGCATCTGATAGCTTACAGCTGACTAGTTTTCCAAAGAATTACCTTTGGGCTAATGGAAACTGCCTCACTAGGGAAGTTACTCCCTCCCATACAAGCCTGCTGCTGGCTGACTGACTGACATGTGGTGCAATAGAGCAGCTTGCCTCAAGATGGGACCTTTTCTCTGGAGCAATTTGTGATCCCTAGTGCCCTGTGGAGTCAGAGTACAGCTAATATTCAGTTGAGCCACATTCCTGCTTAGCATTTTCCCTGTTCTTTATTGTTTCCATCATCCCCCTTTTTTCAAAGAGCACTTCCTCAATAAATCACTTGTAAAAGAATCCTCTTCTTGAACTCTGCTAGGGAACCCAACATAAGATACTTGTTGATAAATAGAATATCATGTCTTCATCAAAACACTAATGATTATATTAAATATTTGTGTATTACATTTAATCATATACAGAGATATATTTAATAAAGTGTTATTAGTATTAGTACATATTAGTACATACATATTAGTATTTATGTATATAGATATATATATTAACCTTTCTGTGTTTTTAAAAGGAATATTCTATCTTCTTGAATGCATTTTTTATTGTTTTTAGAATCCTCTGATTTCCTGATGAATTTTGTATCAATTGCTCCTTAGGTATACTATGCATCTAAAATATTGAGATTTCCTTGATTACCTCACTCTTGGGTTAGATTGACAAACATATTCTATATCTTCCTCTTTCTTGGGTTCCTTTTTGTGTTAACAACATGTAAGTGAAATTTCAAGCAATTTTCACAAAAATTGTGAAATTGGGGCAGATTTTTTGAGTCATAATGTGTCTGAAAATCTGTTTACAGTAACTTTATGATATAACTTGGCCAAACATATAATTGTAGCCTCAAAATAATTTACCCTCATTCCTCAAAAGCAATTCCCTATTGTATTTTAGTTTCTAAGATTGCTGATGGCAAATCCAATGTCAGTCTGATGCTTTTGAGAGGTGAAATAATCAGATTCTTTTGAGCAGTGAGGTAAATAGGGAATCTATTATTTTTCCCTAGAAGCTTTTAGCTTTTTTTACTTTGGGGTGTTTTGAAATTTCATCCATAGGGGCACTCAGTAACCTCTTTCAATCTGACAACTCCATGTTTTCTTCAGCTCTAGGACGTTTTCTTCAATTATATCTTTAATTGTTAAAGCTCCTGTGTTCTCCTTCCAGAATTCCTATTAGATATACAACATCTCTCCTAGATTTATCTTCCATATTCCTTAACTTTTTGTTCTCTTGGTTTTCTTTAAACATTTAAAAAAAATTATACTCTGCTTTCTGGAAGGTTTTTACAATTTTACCTCTATTTTGGTCCCTCTCTTTTGAGCCATTGAAGTATTTTTACACAAATGGAAGGAATCCTTGGCTTTCCATTTATATTTACGAATACAGTGCTAGATCATTATCTTGGGGAGCTAGTATGACTTTCCTCTGCCAACTCCATTTTTGCCAGGTTCTTTGGGCATGTGGGGTTCATAAAGAGGGAGAAAATCTGGTATAGTTATTTCAATAGAGGATGTTTAATTAATTGTGCTTACTGTCATCCTCAGCCCACTACTGCTCTCGGAATATGCTATCTCTGGGCTTGGATCAATCCTGGGTCCCAGAGGGAAGAAAAATTCCAACTCCTATCTCTATTGCCATCGTCTGTAAGCATCCTGGGTTATGACTTTCTGCCTCAACAAGAACTCACTTTAACAACTTCAGTGCTCACTACTATTATGGATGTGTCCCCTGTCATACACCTTTATTGTTAACCCATGTGATGTTAGTCGGCTTTCCTGAACCAAAGCTCTATCACTGCCATTTTATAATTCCTGAAATTTGGGCACAGAGAAATTAAGTGCTTTGTCAAATGACTATTAAGTGGTGGAACTAGAATACTGGTTTTCTGCTTTCTAGTCTAGTGGTCTTACCATTTGTCCCCACTTCTTCATCACCTCATGTCCTCTCAGTTTTATCAGTGGAATTCAATACAGCTGAACAGAAATGTTTACAAGCAGAATTTTGAGCATGTACCTATGCTCATTAGAGTCAGATGTAAGGAAGGACAATGCATTTGTATTTGCACTGAATATTTTCCCTAACTCAATGTCACTTTTATCTTTGGTTTTCATGGAAATGTCAGAGGTAAAAATATTTTGAAACTTTTTAGTTTAAAACCTAGTATAAATCATTTTCAGGAAGAGCTTTAAAATAAATTGGTTGAGTGGAGAAAGCAGCACTTTATAAACATTGTCATTGTGACCTATGAACATCACATTTATTAGTTCCTAGTTTGGTTCCAATTTCTGAAACCTAGTGTTGGGTGGGATGAAGGAAAGACATATAAATGACTTCTTTCTGCTGTGGAGTCAAAACATGTACTTTCCTTAACCTCATTTACACCCACCTATATTTTCCCTCTCTTTGCCAGTTTTTGTACCCATTAATACTTTTTTGAAACAGAAGCTGAAGCCTGGAATTATGGCTGTTGTTATACACATAGGACTTGTTCAACAAAGTGGGTTAAAATTTCTCACTTTTATTTTCAGAAAACCATAGTTAATATTACCAGAAAGAAATAGGTATAAGGAAGGAGTTCCTTTTTACTTAGGAAATCTGAGGGCAGAGAATAACAATTCACCCACTGAATGAACAGATATCTATTAGGTAACTTTTACTATGTCCAGACATTGCTGGAAATTTGGAACAAAAGCTTAGACAAAATGATGAGCATATCAGATACAGCCTTTTTCTTCATGGAACATTTAATCTAGTGGGGGAGACAGACATGAATCAAGTAATAGAAATATATAGTAAAATACAGATGGTCCCCAATTTATGATGATTAAACTTATGAATTTTTTTACTTTAGGATGGTGCTAAAGTGATAGCCATTCAGTAGAAACTGTACTCAGAGTACCCATATAATAATTTTCTTTTTCAGTATCGGTACAGTATTCAACAACTTACATGAAATATTCAACACTTTATTTTAAAATTGGCTTTCTGTTAGAATATTTTGTAACATAATATACATTTTCTGAGTACCTTTAAGGTAGGCTAGGCAAAGCTATGATGTTCAATAAGTTAGATGTATTAAGTGCATTTTCAACTTATGGCATTTTCAATTTAGGATGGGTTTATTGGGACATAACCCCATTGTAAGTCTCTAGCTATCATCTGTAATTAACTGAGAGAATTGCCATGAAGGGAAAGTACACACACAGTATCATTGACAGCTGGGGGAATATAGGCATGGAAGGCTTTTCAAAAGGAGGAATATTTGAGATGTGTTCTGAAGGCTAGGAGAGCAGAGTGGAAGGAGAGAATTTTAGGCAGAGAGAACAGAAGGTATAAGTGTCCCATAGTAGGAATGGGCATGGTGCTGACTGAGAAAAAGCTGAGGATGGGCATAGTGGCTCATGTCTGTAATCCCAGTGCTTTGGGAGGCTTAGGCAGGAGGATCACCTGAGACCAGGAGTTCGAAACCAGCCTGCACAACATAGTGAGACCCCATCGCTACTGAAAATAATAAAAAATAGCTGGGCATGGCATTGCCTGAAGTCTTAGCTACTCAGGAGGCTGAGGTGAGATGATCACTTGAGCCCAGAAGTTTGAGGCTGCAATAAGCTATGCTCCCACCACCATACTTCAGACAGAGAAAGATGCTGTCTTTAAAAAAAATGCTGAAGAGGCTGAAGATGCAGGCAGAATCCAGTGTACCAAGGGCTTGAGGGTTTGGGCACTATGGGGAGGCACTGAAGGGGTGGCCCGACTTGAGTCATGTTCTAAAAACATGTATTGTATGGCACAAACTGGAGACGGGCAAAAGAGGACCCAGGAGGTCAGCCAGAAGGCCATGTTAGTAGCCTAGGTGAAAACAGTAGTGACTTGGACAAAAGTATTGTAAAGGAGATAAAGGAAAATGGATAGATTTAAGAAGCATTAAGGAAGTAGAATTTCCGGGGCAGGAGGTAGACTAACTTGGAGAGTGAGAGAGAAGGCATTTGGACAGGAAATTACATCTTCTCTCATAGGTGGCTGCACACTGGAGGAAACTTACCATTTCTGGGCGTATGTTACTTGAGATGGGTCTGAGAATGGGTCCTATCTTATCAGTTAGAGATGAGAAATGCTCTTTAAGGGGAAGGGAAAGATATTGGAATGAAAGAGAAAAGAGTAATATAATCCAAGGTACAACACAAGTGGAAGAGTAGGGTGAAAGGATTAGGGTAGGAGGGAAGACAGAAATGTGAGTGGTGAGGCAAGAAAGAGAGGTTGGGACTGGATTAAGTGTAAAGATAGGGGTAGGAAAGATAGATGTAGAGCTGTGAATTCATCTAAGAAGTTGATACTATTCTCCACACAGTGAACTCAGGAGATTAAAATTACAACGAATGGTGCCATGGCTCTAAGGTTCCAAGTCTGGATGGGTAGAATCGTGGATGGTCTATTGTCAACAATAAAAAAGTCTTGTTTTTAAGTTAGAGGTGCTGGTAGCACTTTTCAGTAGAATTATTTATCAGGCATTAGAAAATGTATATGACTTGAAGTTCAGGACTGAAGATGTGGATTTGGAAGTCATCCTCAAATAGTTAAAGCTGGGTTGGGGCAAGGGCGAAATTGATGAGATCACCAAGGAATTAAGTGTAAGAATTTTAGAAAATAGACCCAATGCAACAGCCTTGGGAAATGTCCTATAGAAAGGGCATAAAGAATGGTTGTTGATGACAGGAGCAGAGAAGAGCCATCAGAAAGGCAGGAAATGAGCAAGAGGAATGTAGTATCAGAGAAAGCGGGGTGGTTGAGAGTTGCAGGAGAAATAAAGGTATTAACAATGATAAATTTCTCACCCTTTGGGTCTTAGGTTAATATTGAAAGGTCTGGGGAGCTGGGTGCTGTGGCTCATGCCTATAATCCCAGCACTTTGGGAGGTGGGAGGATCATGAGGTCAGGAGATCGAGACCATCCTGGCTAACATGGTGAAACCCTATCTTTACTAAAAATACAAAAATTAGCTGGGTGTGATGGTGGGCACCTGTAATCCCAACTACTCAGGAGGCTGAGGCAGGAGACTCACTTGAACCCAGGAGCTGGAGATTGCAGTGAGCCAAGATCATGCCACTGCATTCCAGCCTG
The DNA here is from genome assembly GCF_000001405.40 of Homo sapiens. Classification (NCBI taxonomy): domain Eukaryota; kingdom Metazoa; phylum Chordata; class Mammalia; order Primates; family Hominidae; genus Homo; species Homo sapiens. The sequence continues at coordinate 48,897,574 of NC_000013.11, read as the reverse complement.
AGCAACAGAGCAAGACTCCATCTAAAATAAAATAAAATAAAATAAAATAAAATAAAATAAAATAAAGGTCTGGGGAAAAGCTCCTTAGGCTTGAAGCAAAGACACAGAAAAGAGAGGACCAAAAGACTATAGGGAGGGAAGGCAAGCATCAGAGAAGGTGCTCAGGAAATCCTTTTTGAACAAGGAAGGGTGAACAGTGGACCAACCATTACGTACCTGGGAAGTTCTTGGTGGTATCCCCAAAGTTTTTAATTAATAGCTGTGGAGCTTCCATTGTTTTCCATTGTGTCCTAAAAACCATAAAATAATGCAGCTGAAACGAGTAATTCACTCTTAGGTGTTTTCTGGTCTTTGTTTGATACTCAGTATAGAGTTATCTTAAAAGCTCTCAATCCACTTGCTCAGCAACTTCAGAAATTGCTACAGAAATCACTGGTTGGGCTTCCAGTCTTGGTGCAATGGACATGCTGATGTCTGCTGCTTCCTTCCACACAGTCTTCTTGGGTAGCACAGTCAGGAGTCACCAGGTTCCTATAAAAGAAATCATCAGTTGATAGCTAAAGATAGGCCCAATTACAGTACCTGGCAGGCATCTTGCACTCTTTTGGTTAGATTACAGGACCCAGAAGGGACTATCTGGAAGGCATTATGAGATTTCTCTCAGCTTTACAGAGTTTCTTGTTGGAATCATATCCAAAGGACAAGGGTGAGTGGCTGGTTGCCTGTCAGTAGGCAATTTGTTGGCTGCATAAGCTGCAAAATGTGTATAGCCACCCACATTAGACATATTTATGTTTAGCTATATATTAGAAATAGAAATATGCAATTGAAATTAAAAGAGCATTGCTCTGCTGTAACACCTTCCTACCACTCCTCATCAGAGCACATAGTCATATCAGCAAGCCCTCTTGGAAGGGGCACAGACATGGGAGTCAGGAAGACTAGGTTCTAAATCCCTGCTCTGTACCTACTAATATGGCCCCAGTCAAGTTACATCACATTTCTGGGTCTCAGATTCATAATGTAAAAACAGGAAGTATTGTAATTGGACCTATCTTCAGCTGTACACTGATGACTCATGAATCCACATCTTTGCTGAGATCTTGCTCCTAAGTTATTTACCCTTATGTCCAATAGCTTCCTGGGCAATCTCTATGTAGATGTTTCACAGGCAACTCAAACTCAATTCTTCTACAGATCAGGGCATTTTACCTGCTGAGAGTGGGAAGTAGGGGTGGAGCATTCCCAGAATTCAGGATGGAGAGGCCCTCGTTCACCTTATATGAAGCCGAGGCTGTACGGGAAGTAAGGGAACACCCCTATCACCTCTTCTTCCCATTGGTGTGTGAGGGTGCCACTTAGCTATTGACTGTGTACCTTTGAGAAGTTGCCTAATTTCTTTGTGCCTTGGTTTGTGCATGTATAACCTGAGGGGGTCGGACAGGACCATCTCTAAGGTCTCTTCCAACTCTAATGTGATTTGATTTTTTTTTTTAATTGAGACGGAGTCTCACTCTGTTGCCCAAGGTGGAGTTCAGTGGCACCATCACAGCTCACTACAACATCTACTTCCCAGGCTCAAGGGGTCCTCCCACCTCAGCCTCCCCAATAGCTGTGTCTCCAGATGCATGCTACCATACCTGGCTAATTTTTTGTACTTTTTGTACAGATGGGCTTTCCCTATGTTGCCCAAGCTTGTTTCTAACTCTTGGGCTCAAGCAATCTGCCCGCCTCAGCCTTCCAGATTTGATTTTACTTTGTAGTTACTCCTTTCCTCCTTAAGTCTTTTATGTTTCATTTATTTCTCTTTCTTGACACCCCTTCCCCTCCTTTCTAAGTGTATAGGTTGGTGGTGAAAAGAAGGTTGAAAAATCTTAGGGAAACTAGACAAGAATGCATATGTTATCTGTTCTATACTTGGGTCCTCTATGTATTGACTTCTGTTTTCAACTTAAGCCCATGAAAAATAGGCTTAAGTTGATCCTTCAGATATTCTAGGATATTTTCAAAGTGGCCCAGATTGAACTGGTTTTTAACTTGGAGGCATTGGTCTCAGTCACACCATCTATCAGCAATTCCATTGTTTTTTGTCAGAAATATTGTCTCTAATCAGCAACTTTAGCCAAATGTCTCTATGAAGATGCATCATCAAAGGGAAAGAAGTCTATTCAGAATATCTTTCAAACCAAATTTCAGTAACTTTAGTAAATAGTAAGATTTCCATTGGAATGAGGTCACCTGATGGCTCAGGCTTCCCAAGGTGCCATGTTAGTACATATCTAGGAATTCCTCTGTCAATTGCTGATATGGCTGATTCCTTGTCATTGTTCAAAATTCAGCTCAAATGTCATCTTCTTGTAGAACACTGCCTTGACCATCCTAGCTAAACCAGTCTTCCAACTGCTTGGTCACTTTACCACATCATTGCTTTTCATTATTATAGCATTTATCACTGCCTGAAATTACAGTGTTCATTTATTTGTTTATTCCTTGTCTTTTCCTTCACAAAATGAGAGCTCAATGGAAACTGGAAGTTTATTCACCTTGTTCACTAATATATAGCCAGCAGTTAGACAAGGGCACATAGAAAGTAAGTGCTTGAGTACATACCATGGTGAATAAATCAACTTTTGGAATGTGCAAGAGTTTACCTAATACATTCACCCAACAACCTCAAATGTCAGGTCTTCCATCTGACTGCTGTGGAAATGGGTTAATAGCCTTAAGGGTTTTAACACTGGACTAGGTGGTCTTTTATACAATCTGATATTCTCTGCTTTCCAGCCATACTATATCACTAATTAGCTAGGTAATGCTATCTATATGGAAATTATAAAGATACATTCACACATTTATCTTTACTAAAATTCTTACTGCTTGAAATAAATAATGATCAATAACACTTTTATTTTTTAAATGTAGTTTTCTTTTTTAAAAAGCTGAATAATCCTTTCTTCAAATGAAAAGCTTATGAGGAAGCCTAATACATATGAGACAAAATGAAGTCAACTGAAAGAAATAAGAATGAGGCAGAAGACGGGGAAGATTTACAGTTTTATCTACTCCCCGGAAGTAAAACCCTTTTCCTCATTGCAGCCCCTGGAATAGTTTGATTATTACTGGATTATAATAATAATAATAAGTAATTTTTTTGAGTAATTAGTAGGTACCAAGTACTTTACATGTATCATCTTGTCAATTCTCATAACACCCCTATGAAATAAGTATATTGTTATTGTCTGTATTTCGCGAATAAGGAGACTAAGGTTTAAAGAGCTAAAAGTAGCTCGCTCAATATCTTTGTGGTAGTCATTTTCCAAGATAGCTGCCAGTGATTTTCACATTCTGGTGTCAGTGCCTTGAGTAGTCCCCTTTCACATTAAATCTGGGGTGGACAGTGTGACCAGTAGAACATGGCAGAGTTGATGGGATATAAATTGCAAGGTGAAGCCATAAAGGCATTGGAGCTGCTTTGCTTTCCTGGGTCACTGTGGGGTAAGCCAGTTGCCATGTCATCAGAACATTCAAGCAACCAGTGGAGAGGTCCATGTGAAAGGAAATTAATCTCCCTGCCCATAACCTCCACCAACTTGTCATGTGAGTAAGCTGCCTTAAATGTAGATCTTCCAACCCCAGTCTAATTTTCAGATGACTGTAGCCCTAGCCAATATCTGACTGCAACCTCATGAGAAACCTTGTGTCCAAGACCACCCAGCCAAGCTGCTCCCCAAATCTGACCTACAGAAACTGTGGAAGACAAAAAAAATGATTATTGCTGTCATAAGCCAGAAAGTTTTGGGGGTGATTTGCTATACAGAATAAGGTAACTGGTTCAGCCTTGCAGACAGTTAAATGGCAGAACCAACATATTTAACCCCAAATGTCATTCTAGAACCTATTCTCTTAACCATGAATGCTCTGTTTGCTTACACACTCATTTTTAACACAAAGTTAAAAGTTATTCAAGCATCTCACAAACTCCATGTCACAGATAAGAAAACTGAGGCATGAAGAGGTTAAAAACATAATTGGTGATGACCAAGTGTGGTGGCTCACTCCTGTAATCCCAGCATTTTGGGAGGCTGAGGCAGATGGATCACCTGAGGTCAGGAGTTTGAGACCAGCCTGGCCAACATGGTGAAACTCCATCTCTACTAAAACTACAAAAATCAGCCAGGTGTGGGGGCAGGTGCCTGTAGTCCCAGCTACTTGGGAAGCTGAGGCAGGAGAATCGCTTGAACCTGGGGAGGCGGAGGTTGCAGTGAGCCAAGATTGCACCACTGCACTCTAGCCTGGGCAACAGAGAGAGACTCCATCTCAAAAAAAAAAAAAAAAAAAAAAAGAAAGAAAGAAAAAAAAATTAATTGGTGGCCGGGTGGCCTAATTCCAAGACCTATTCTCTTAGTCACTATGCTACGTTGATGTCATTATCAGAATTATCCTTCAATAATATTAAACTGGAGATGGAATGCCAAGAATAGAATGAAAAGGAAAGAGCCTAGAGGTGTGCACTTTCACTGGGAGGCTTTTGCAATTATTGAGGAAAACAGTTATTTGAAAGAAACAAGGCCTCTGTCGTGGAGAGTAACTACTGAAATATTTCTCAAAATATCCTTGATACCACTATCAGCTACTGAAGATTTGGATGAGCAGGCTCTTGGTGTGACACAATACGATATTTCTTGTATTGCAACAACCTCTTCTCATTGGTCAATCTTCCAGAAGAAACTTAACCATGGTCATTGCCCAACCCATTCTCCCAAATGATGAGAGTTGAACCAATTGAAGATTGCTTTCAGCATTCGCTATTATGTTTAGTCTCTGTTTTCCTGTAGCACCCTAATAATTGTCTTTATATTAAAATATACATGACTGTTTTTGAAAGAGGAAAGATAATGGACCAAGATTTTCTGTCTTTGAAGTAAGCTAACGAATCAGTATAATTGGAACGAGAAATCCTGGCACAGGAAGAGAGAACTGATTGTGCTCTGTCCTTGGTAGAATTTTGAGTCATTCATGCAGTATAGTGTCTGGAGAGTTCTAGTGAGTCATGCATTGCTAACTATGGAAGAAAAATGTATTTTCTAAAGTTGTCTGTTATTACTCATGTCTTTCAGTCAGGATCAGCAGATGCTGGTATCCTATTGACTGGTGATCTAATAGAAAGTTTCTCATAGACAGGTCTGACACAATTTCCCTCTAACTCTGATAAATTTGGCACAAGTCCTTTTATTTGCTTGCAAGATGTTTGCATTAACATTGTGACTTATTTTTGGCTTGGTGTTAGAAGGAGTGTTTAGTAACAAAATGGAGCATTTGGATTTTGTGGCAGCCAGGAGGAATGCTCTTATTTTATAATGAAACAACTGAACAAATGTTCCTTACAGTGATTCATTCCTCATGTGGGAAAAATTTCATTTTATATATACTCTTTCTCTCTCTATTGGACACATAAAGCTGTTTTACCTTCAATATTTAGGCAGAATTTTCAGTGAGCAATTTGGGAACAATATCTGTAAATTACAAAGATAGGCACCTCTGCAAAAGTAACCATAGGATTGAATGTCAGGAACCACTTGGGTTCTATTCCTAACTGGGCCAGAGTTTGCATATGACCTTGAGCTATTCACTTAATCTTTTTTAAACTTAGGTTTTCTGTCTGAAATGGGCAGAAAATTGCCTACCTATTTAGCTAAGGCAGAAACAATTTCCTGATAGGGAGATGACTCAGCGGCCCAGGGCAGCTGTGTAGCCTTTTGTCCTGGGCATCTTCAGGGAGACAGAGACAGCCAGAAGACTGGAGACCAGACCACGCAAATGAATCCTGACATTCAGGAAGCATAAAGAGGCCGAGTCATCATGGCCTGCTATTTGTCAGGCACTGTGCTAAGACCTGAGAGATGATGGCCAACCAGACACAACCAGGGTCTCTGTCCTCATGAAGTTTACTGCCTAGTTTGCTTTTTACATGTTTGAGGTTATTCAGCAAGAGCTTCTATCATTTTATTATCTGGATCTGAGTCTTTTTTTAAGCACAAGATTATTCAGAATCACTGCCCAAAAAATACAACCCTAGGAGTCTTGTGGGAGAGGAGTTTGATATTTTATGAAGTATTGATAAGATGGGCATGAAAAGAAGTGCAATGTCTGATGGTGTTATTCCAAAGTTTGACTCACTAGTCTTAATGGGAGCAATAGGTTCATCTTGACATCAGGTAATGACACCATTACCTGAGATGAGAATGTGGAGAGAGCTTTTTAAATGTCTTGCATGGACTTTCACATCAGAGTTAATACCCCTCATCTCCACTGCCTGCAGTGAAGCTTCTTCTTATCAATCTAATGTAGTCCAACTTGGATGATGGGTGATTGGTCTTTAGCAGTTGAATGATGGGTTCTAAACGGGAGAACTGATCCTGATCTTCTGTGGTCAGGGGCGCACCCAATGATGGTGACATGGCATCCTTCGTCTTGCACCACGTTTTTGGTCTCAGCACAGAAGTGTTCTTCCCACAAAAGGAAGTTTAAAATGCCCCTCCTCTTGCCACTGTGAGTGTTGCTTTCCACTGAGGAATGCAGCCACAGGTGCCGAGATTAGGAAGGTGGGAAGAGAGCTGCACCATCACACAGTGGGTCCATCTGCTTCAGCTGATGTCAACTGTCTGGGAGTTCCTAAGTCCTCCAGCATTAGTGGCTCATCTGTTTCATTATAATTTTCAAATTAAAATGGTTCAAAATCCTCTTCTACTTATGATGGGTGTCCCAGAAGCCTTGAAATATCTCTCATGGTTTAGGGAGTTTATATTTCAAGTCATTTCTGAATCAAAACTTCTGCTTCATCTGAATTCTTTTTCACCTCTCTTCTTATTATCCCCTACATATGTTGTCCACCTCTTCCCCCTAGCATTACACCCTATTAGGAACTGCCCGATTCCTTCATCCTCTGAAGCCCCACTGATCTGAGTCGGTGGAGGGGGGTTACATCACAGCAAACAACTTAAAACAGATGTTGAGCGCTCCTGATCTTACAAGTTCTTTGGCCATTCCTGCTCAAGTAAATTTCTCACTGGCTCTGTCCTTCACAGACCTCTTTTTCACTATCTTATTGAACTCTCTTCTTATTCCTAAAGCTCAACTTCTCTCTCACTATATTACTGTAGGGAATTTGGTTCTTTTTTGCCTCTGTCTCAAAACTCAGCTCTGGACTTCATACCAGACAGCTGGTTTTTGGAAGGAAATATGACAAAGTATAGCATTTTAAAAAATGTTTTCAGGACAACCATATATTCAACGTTCTCTTTCCAATGACGTATAAAAATTTTACTATTTTTCTGCTATCATATAGAGTTTAAGTTCTTTGGAAGAATGGACAGAGATGAAATATGAGGAGGCACAAATGTTGGAGTAATGGTATGTTTCATGGCCCTTTCCATAGGCAGTTCAGTTCACAGCATGGCTGTTTATTTCCTTCTGGGCCAGCAATAGAGCATCTTTCTGCTGCTTCACCTTTTAAAGGGCTCACCAGATTAGGTAGGCCCACCCAGGTTAGTTTCCCTTTTGATTAACTCAAAGTCAACTGAATAGGAACCTGATCATGGGAGTGATATCTCATCATAGTCACTGGTCCTGCCCACATTCAAGAGGATGGAACTATGGCAGGGCCTATTTATTAGGAGGTGGGAATCTTGGAGGCCATCTTAGAATCCTGCCTACCATAAATGATGACTGTCTTTCATCTTTCAGAACATATTAGGATATGATAATAAATATTAAAAATCAAATGCCTCACCAGAGATCCAATATCAAACTGGTACTAAGTCTTTTCTCTATAATGTCTTCCTGATTTTCTTTCTACAATTTGAAACATTGAACTGTTTTCTGTATATGATATAGGCTTCCCCAAAATTGAACATAAGGCTGTATTAGAAAAAGTCAATCTGACACCAGCCATCTGCAGAACCAAAGCATTTTAAGCAATGATTTATAAATGGGAGCCTGGAGAGTTTGAGGAATACCTAAAACTAAATTAAAGTATTCGAGCTATCAACTCAGAGGAGTATGGCTATATATTAGTCTAAAGATACAGCTGACTTAGTTGGTTTTTGTCCTAATGCAAGATGGATTACACAGGGAAATAAACTACAGTGAACTTGGAAAATGGTGAGGCAGAGTTGTTGGGTTTCATGATGACAGCCACCAAAATAGTTTTGTTTTTCACCCTGGCTTTGGTTTCCAGATAACTAAGCAACCTTCTCATTCAAATTTGGCTTTGTAAGTATCATGCAGAGAATTTACTGATGCATGGGCATGGGAATTCTGGTACTCTTGATTATATTTTGTGATTCTTGATTATATTTTATATATAAATATGTTTTATAACGGAAAATGATGAACATTCTAGTTTATGTATTATTCTTGCATTAATTTGATTAATGTTAATCAGCACCCTAGAGCCCAGCTCTCCCTACATATACCCACAGAACTGACCTTCTGGCTGTGAAGTTGAGGATTAGACTCTAAATGAGATGACCAAGGACGTTGTCATCCCCTAAGACCCTGACTGGCTCCTGGCCTAGACAACAATTCTGTCTCAACTTTCTCTTACTGCAGCAGGTTCAATTGATAACATGCGTTGAGAAGGCAATGTCAGTGACCTTAATGTTCTGAGCCAAAATCAGCTAGTGGCACAGGCTGACAACCTGAATATGTTTTTTAGCTGAAATGAGCAAGTGGTTGCAGCAGTCACCACAGCAACGGCGTGGCTGGAACACTTGGGAGCTTTCAGCAGAGTAATAAGGGCAGCTGTGAGGATGGCTTCAACTGGAATTAATAGCGACTAACTTTTAGTACTAGCCTTCTGGGAATCCTTTATATTTTTCCTAGTAAACAAAAGTACGCACTGTGATTGTTCTTCAACATGAAACCCTTCTCTTGGCTTTTATGCAATACTTCTACTCTTATTGCTCTTCTAGATTTTATAAATGCTAAGTAAATCTTCATAACAGCCTGCAATTTAAAGGGTGGGAGAAATGGAAAAAAAAGGAATTGGAGAATTCGTTTTAGGCTACAGAAAACCATAGCTTTTATCTAATTTTCAATTTTGCATTCCTGAATTTTTCATTTATAATCTTACTCACCAGGCTGCACTTATGTCCAAATTAAAAGAAAAGCAAAGTAAAATGATAAGGAGAGAAGAAAAGTGAACTCAGAGAGTTGTTTTGAGTCTATTCTATGAAGTCAGAGTTTTGGCCACTTGCTTAGTGATTGCATTTAAAAGTCAATCACAGCTTCACCTGCTTGGTTGTTAAGATGGGGCGATATTGCAGTTATCACTTTGGTAAATGTGAATAAAACATGCTTGACTGGTAATGTGAATAAAACATCCTTGACTGGTACTCTGGAAATTGTGCAAATTGTTAGGACTTTTATTAATAGGAGGACAGGTCTGAGGATGACAGAAAAGGAAATCTAGAAACAAGGTTTATTGATGGTATTTATCACCATCAGCAGAGACTAAAGCGAGGTACCGTATTGGTGAAATAGCCAGTGGCCGAGAGGATAGAGCCAAAGGTGATGACTGATTTAAGATTCTAGTGGTTTAGCACGAATACTAGTGTTTTTTATGGAAAATCCACCAAACTTCAAAAAAAATTTCATAAAGAAATATGTGTGGATGATACTGAGTTAAAGTTAAACTGATTTCTTTGCATCAGTCCTCTCTCTTTCCTTTGTGTTGTGGACTAAATGTTTGTGTCCTTCTAAAATTTATATGTTGAAGTTCTTACTCCCTATATGATGGTATTTGGAAGTGGAGCCTTTGCAATGTGATCCAGTTTAGATGCAGTCATGAGGGTGGGGCCCCCATGATGAGTTTAGTGTTCTTATAAGAAGAGAAAGAGAGACCAGAGCTCTCTCTTTGCCATGTGAAGACATAGTGAAAAGGTGGCCATCTACAAGCCAGGAGGAGAGCCCTCATCAGGAACCAAATCAGCCAGCACCTGCCTAGCCCCCAGAATGGTGAGAAATAAACGTCTGTTCTTTAAGCCACCCAATTGATGATATTTTGTTATGGCAGCCCAAGCTAAGACATCATACTAATTTAACTATAAATTTCCAAGAAGGCTGTGCAATATCCAGTGTTTCTCAAACTTATTTGAATAGGAGTTGTTTTTCTCGGTGATTCTGAGGGAGGGTGGGCGCAGAACTACCCTTAGGTAAGGCAAGAAAGGCACCTGCCTTGGGATCCATGCTTTAGAGGCCCCAGTAGGGCCCTGCTCTGGCTATGTCCCTTCCCACAGGACCATGGGGATAGTCTCACTCAGAAACATAGTGCCCCTTGAAACATCATGCTCTGGGCCTGCATGAGTTTCTATTCTAGTTTGTCCTCCAAAGAGTAGACTCCCCTTTCATCCAGGCCTGGGGGGTAACCAAGGGCCAGTTGTTTGCAGGGGTTTGGAGACAGAGCTGGATGTAGACTGCCGTATCCACACATCAACACATGAGGCGTTCTTGGTGGGGTCTGCAGCTGAGGATAGGCAGAGAAATGGAATGGCTGGGAAAAATTTCACCTTCACCATCAAGTTCCAATGCAGAATGCTATGGAGCCTAAGAATCCTACATTTGAACTTGGACTTCCAAGTTGTTATGAAGGTGTATTTACCAAGGTAGGAGGTTACTTTAACAGTTTGCTAGTTTGCTCAATAACTTTAAAATATTTAGATATATGAAACGTGGGCCTCTATTGGTACTATATACAACTTCAAGCTCTTCAAACATTAGGAGGGAGCCTGGACTACTGTACCTGAGGACCCAGGTCTGAAGAGCTTGCTTTAAAGTTCACTCTGCTGATATTTTCATACACCACTCTACACTCTATTTAATTGTGGCAGCCAGAATTTAGAGAGGCTACGCTTGTACTACAGGTCATCGATGTAGGGAAGTGGGTAGAGGGACAGCCAGATGTCAGGACAAAGGTGCTATGCTTCATGGCTGGCACTACAGATGAATGTGGTGGGCTTCCCAGCTTAGCCTAGGAACATGGCTTTCAAGTCTCTTGTGTATTTGATGTTTGATGATTGCTGCTCTGGACACGTAGTAGGTGCTCAATTAACATTTGCTGAATCAAGTACTGTTCAAATGAGATTTCCAGAGATCAAGAGGTTTTCACAACTACAAAATGAATAGACATATCTAGCAAAAAGTTAATTTATCTGGCACATCCAGAGAGTGTGATGGGTTTTTCAAATAACTAAAGTCTGGATCTTTTAAAGCATGAGGGGTCTTGGGCAACACTATTAGTGCAAACTCCTAAGATAATCACACTTGAAAGGAATCACCCTGTCAGCATCCTTTATAGGCTCCCTTGGGTTATCTTTATTCAAGAGAGAAATTTGAAAATTGAATTTTAATAATGCTCCAAATTAGAAGTATAAGGTGCAGCATCAATATCACCATGGGGCCTAGGGCACTGCCCTCCCCAAAGCATAGATCTAACTACAAGTTACCGTTCCAAATACCAACCTCATTTTACTTTAGCCTTTTAGGGCTTCACAAAATAGACAGTTATTTTATGCTCACTTAAGAGTACAGCACAGTTGTAGGTCAAGTGGAGGTGGTGGTGGTGGTAGTACATATGTATGTGTCTGTGTGTGTGTTTGCTGTGGGAGCAGGGGAAGTGCTCCGCTCGACACAATCATTCAGAGACGAAATCAGATGGAGGCTCTGCCATCTTCAGTGAGAGGCTTCCAAGGTTGCCCTGAATGTCAACATTCACGTAGCAGAGGAATAAAGAACACTAAGGATTGTGGCGGGGACCTCATGCTGGTGAACATCCCTTCCTTTGCTAAGATTTAATTGCAAGACTGCATCAAGCTGCAAAGGTGGGGGAGGAGCTGGCAGAAATAGAGTCCCTAGCTGCTCACCCACTTTTTAGCAGCAACTCTACCCTGTATGAAAGAGGAGCATGGACTTTTGATATACAGCCAGGTATGTCTGATAGGGATGGAAACCTTCCTGAAATGCATGAGTACTGCTCCTGAATGATGCAGAGAACATAATCCTTTCTTGAAAACTTAGTGCAGTTGTTTCCCAGTGTGTGTTCCTAGTTAACCTAATCCTGTGAGGTGCTCCCAAAACAAAACTAAACAAGACAAAAGTCTTGTGGTCAGAACGCCATAATTACAATTTCCACAAAGGGAACATTTTTGGATGTGAATTGCATTTTAACATATGTGACTCTTTTAATTCATTTCAGATTACTTAAATGGATGGATTTTTTTTTTAAACTGTCACTCTTCTACCTGTTTCTCTTCATCTTTCCCAGGTGCCTTTACAGCTGTGAAGTCAGAGAATGAAACATTTTGTGGGTGATGACTTGTAGTTCTGTGCTTCCTTTTTATCTGGCCCAAGTTTTCAATCAAAGAATCAAAAAAGAAGCTTCAAGGGAAAGAAGAACCTGTGTTTGTTTTAGGTATTTAATAGTTCTTTGTTGGTTTGCATTCTGCAGGATATCTAACACTATGTATACATATATATATATATAGAGAGAGAGAGAGAGTGTGTGTGTGTGTGTGTGTGTGTGTGTGTGTGTGTGTGTGACGGACATTCATTCCTGTTGCCCAAGCTGGAGTACAATAGCGTGATCTTGACTCACTGCAACCTCCACCTCCCAGGTTCAAGTGATTCTCCTGCTCAGCCTCCCGAGTAGCTGGGATTACAGGCATGCACCAGCACTCCTGGCTAATTTTTGTATTTTTAGTAGAGACGGGGTTTTACCATGTTACCCAGGCTAATCTCGAACTCCTGACCTCAGGTGATCTGCCCGCCTCGGTCTCCTAAAGTACTGGGATTACAAGCGTGAGACACTGCACCCGGCCCTAACACTGTTATATTTTTCTAGAGAAAATTTCTTCAGAGTTAGAGAAACTATCTGATACCACGAAGAAAAAAAAAAAGACAAACCCTGCTATGGCAGGTGCTTCTGAGCTTGAGTACGTATTTTAGCTTCCTACACATTGCACTGTCTATGATTTAAGAGTTTCAGATGACAGGAAGAGAAAGAAAAACTTCTGTTCTTTTCTAACAAGTATTCTTAGAAATGCCAACTCATTTTTCTGGAGTATATATAGCACAAGTTAACAAGAAAATGAATCACTTCCAGTACTATGTGGGAACTGTGACACTGTAGTAACACAGCTTACTTTCAAACGAGTGGCTTGAAAGCAGCATTCTCTATTTTTAAAGTTACAATTGGATTACCAAAGTGGGTGAGCAAGACTCTGAAGAGGGCTCTCACCTCAACTGAGTTTAGGGTTGTCCTCAAAGTTAACTGAACACATTTAATAGTAATATATGTAATTGTCATTGTGCTGTGTATTAGTCCATTTTCACATTGCTGATAAAGATGTACCTGAGACTGGGTAATTTATAAAGAAAAAGAGGTTTAATGGACTCACAGTTCCACATGGCTGAGGAGGCCTCACAATCATGGCAGAAGGTGAAAGGCACATCTTACATGGCAGCAGACAACAGAGAAAATGAGAGCCAAGTGAAAGGAGTTTCCCCTTATAAACCCATCAGATCTCATGAGACTTATTCACTACCACAAGAATAGTGTGGGGGAAACTGCTCCCATGATTCAAGTATCTCCTACCAGGTCCCTCCTGCAACATATTGGAATTATGGGAGCTACAATTCAAGATGAGATTTGGGTAGAGACACAGCCAAACCATATCGTGCTGGATGATAATTGGGTATAAGTGGTATTCAGTCCCACATATGAGTCTGTTTTGTCACAGCAAACCAAGCATTTCTAGAATTCTGGTGGGTATCATGTCCTGCCTGCCCTTTGTTAAAGAGAATCAACTCTGGGATCTAATTAAAGATAAATTTTATTTTTAAAAAACCAAATATTGCAATAGAGGAAAAGAGGCTCACTATTGAACTGAGCTCAATTCCAAATACAGTGTGGACAAGTAGGGATTTATAGCCAAGGACAAGGGTGGGGACCAGTGGATGGAAAAATTACTAAGAGGAAATATCAGGGGTAAGGGGGATTTTAGCTAAACTGATGGTAGTATTCTTATTGAAGGCAGGCTGGAGAGATCAGATTCTAAGAGTGAGGATAAGGAATTATTAGATATCAAAGATGGGGATTCTTGCTAAACTCACCTAACAGAATTTTTTTTTGTTAAGTCTTGGCATTGTAAAGATGGACACAGGAGTCTGAAGGTTGGAGCATGTTGAGAAGTAGCCTCAGAGGAGCCTGACCAAAGCTGGTCAAGGAGTGTCTTAGTCATCCCTGTATTCCACCTTTCCCCTGCCACAGTTCTCTTTTCTCCAAGCCTTATAACCTATACCTGCTGGCAGTTCTCAGGCCCTGCATCAATCCCAACTTAGGGCAAAAGGAATTGGAAAGATGACAAGTAGATTTCAGTGGATGCCTGCTCTGTTTGATTGGTAGTGGCTGCTAGAAGCTCAGAGTGAACAGAGTCTGGGTCTGGGCTCGCTCAGTGGGACAGAATGGCATGGGGCAGGAAAGACTGCAGCCAGCAGCACCTGGGATGGAACCAGGATTTAAGAAGCCTAAGATTTATACAATTTATACAAATGTATTACCATATGAACAGATTGCCAAGGCCTTGGAAAACACCTGTGGAAAGGAGAGGCCCTAAAGCTTAAGGTTTTTTAGCTTCCCAGTAAATTTGCCTTTGATCAAGTCACAAGCGTGTCATTCCTACTCTGGTCCTTTCTGGTCATATGTTTAATGCACAGAGAAAGAACTGGCTGATCATATAAAATGCGCTAAACCTACATTCCCAAGAATTGTAATTACAGATTATTATTGTCTTCATTTTAATTTTTTTTTACAATGATCTTATGTAAGTTTTATAACTATAAGAAAATGGAATCAGCTTTCTACTGTACATAAGTAGCCAAGGGGCTGTTTGGGCAAGAGCAAAGACAGCAGCACTTCTTGGAGACTCAGCGATTGTAATTCTGCTCCTACTGGGTAAATCCTTGTCTATGTTTATCTCATCTAGATGCTTTCATGTGGAATTCTGAAAGATGTTAGGGGCACATAGACACACAAAAACCTTTTTGGGAAATTTTTAACTTTTAGGATTTTGGAAATGTTCAGAAAAGTTGACAGCCAGACTCCAGTGTCATTAATATTTACTATGTCCCTTCTTTATTCATGGACATTCCAGCATCATTTATATCATCTTTGTGAACCAGTTCAAATGAAAAAGTCCCAAGATAGAACTCTCAATCATCCATGCGTGAAACAATATGTAATTAAAACTGACAATTGAAATATACAAATAATTCCATATTTTATGTAACTATTGTCATATGTTTCCCTACTTATCATTTACCAGAACTGGAATTTTCCAAGGAGGGGAAAAAATCATAACAGTTAACATTCACTGAGCACTTAAATTCGGTGCCAGCCACAATTCTAAGCACTCAGCTAAACTTCACAAAACCCTAGGTCATCGATAATATTGTCCCCATTTTATAGATGGGGGCAACTGAGGTACACGGGATCAGGAATTTGGCCATAGTTAAACATCTAGTAAGTAGCAGAGCCTGGATTTGAAATCAGGGAGTCCAGGGCCATCCTCTTTAATGCTGAATTATGCCACAGTGGAGTGATATGTAGAGAACCAGAATTCTAGAGCTGGGAAGTCAGATCTTGGATTGGGTATGCTGGGAAAGGAGACATGGCCTAAGACTCATGTGGGGATTTCAGGCTAGAACAGGAATCCCTGAGGGGCTGTGAGTGGGCCAGAGAAGGGCTGATGGGTCTGGTAGAAGCTTTAGAATGTGCTGGACTCTTCTGGTGACAGAGGCAGAGTGACTGGGCTGTTTGGTAACACATCATTTCCTGGTAGGGAAATTTGCACTTGTCTCATAAACCATTATACTTCAGGTATCCAGCTTTGCTGCCTTTTAAGGAACCCCAATGCTCTACCCTCATCTTCCTAACCTGTGGCTGCCCAGCTTGCTGCAGATTCCTTGATTTCTAGCTGGAATGCAAGATATGAATTAAGTAAAAATTCTCTTAAGCCCCTATCACTCAAGTTCTTCCCTTCCTCCTCTCCATTCTCCTTTCTCTTCTCCAGTAATCAAGGTATCTAATTATCATCATCATCATCCTCCTCCTCCTCATCATCATGCCAATGTTTATTGAGCCCTTACTGTACACCTGGTGAGGCATTAAGCACTTTGAACACATCTTCTCATTTAGCCCTCACAGCCACCTTAAATGGCAAATACTATTATTACCATTCTCACTGGACAGAGGAGTGTACTGGATCTTAATGTGGCCACTTGCTCAAAGTCACCTTGCTCTAGCTCAAAGAGCTTGTAAGAGGCAGAGACAGGTTTTAAACCCAGAACTGTGTGAGCTGAAGCCCAAGTTCTTAACCCCGTATCTTGTATTGTTAAAAGAATTAGTCTGTAAAGAGTTTGAGGCAAGAGTTGAAAAGGAGAAGACATGATAAGTCTAAAATCTTTTCTTACCACTATACAGGTGGCTGCTTCCTTAGAAAACAGTTTGTCCACACTTGAAGTCCAGAGTGCCTTCCTACCATTTGCCTCAGTTATGGCTTCATCATTTAGGATTATAGCCTCAGTTTCTGTCTGTCCCCCTTTATAGGTCTTGAGCTCCTTGAAAAAAAAAAAGATCTATGCCTTTTTTCTTTCAATCCTCTTTTATCTAGTGAAAGATCTGGCCCACAGTAATACTGAGTAAAATTTTGTTGTAAGCTAGCAATGTGAAAGTTCACAAGTATTAAAAGAAAAACGTCAGGCAAATTAAATTTAAAGGAGTTAAACTGAGCAATGAACGATTTGTGAATCGGGTAGCCCCCAGAATCACAGCAGATTCAGAGAGACTCCAGGGATGACTCGTGGTCAGAACAAATTTATAGACAAAAAAAGGAAAGTGACATACAGAAATCAGAGGTGAGGTGCAGAAACAGCTGGATTGGTTACAGCTATGCATTTGCCTTATTTGAACACAGTTTGAACACTCAGCAGTGTAGGAGTGGTTGAAGTATGGCTGCTGGGATTGGCCAAGACTCAGCGATTATTACAGGAGCATACCTCTAAGTTAGGGTTTCAATACCCTAACTTGTCTACCTGTTAGGTTGCAGTTCATCCACAAGGACTCAAATATAGAAGTACAGAGTCCTTCTCAGGCCATATTTAGTTTGCTTTAACACAAGTATTGCAATTAGAATACCTGGCTTTGATAGTTCATCTTGCTGCTCACAGGCTTCGCAATACTGGGCAAAGCATTTAACCTCTCTAGGGTCTGTGCCTCTGTCTGTGGGTCATGGGTGATTATATCTTTATAGTGTTTGGCGGTTTAAATGATCGTATGGATGTAAAGGCTCTTTGAAATTTGTAGAATACACGACCTAAGTCTGAGGTATATTGTGAGTATAGCCACTGCTTCCCATGTCAGCGGCTGATACAGCACCTTCTCTGATGCAGTCTTCTCACAGCATCCTGGGGCCGGCTGGCAGCTGTCTCAGTTGATTGGTCTCTGCAGCATCCAGCTGTGTTCCTTCAGGGGAGTAGGTGCTACTCATCAGTATTGCCCATGTTGTACGGATAATCTGCTCCATTTAGGGTTGACTGTAACAAAATCGATAGATCTGAGGTTGATATTCTTTCATGTCATCTGCCCACATTTGCACTAGGTCCTAAGGAGATGTTAAATGATCATAAATCTGGGTAACTATTAGGAAAAGGAAAGAAAGTAAGTGTCTACACAGGTTAGGGAGCAGATAATTGGCTCCCACACCATTGAAGCTTAAGTGTAGTAACTCATCAAAGCACTGTGTTCTTCCTGACAGTCTGTACCATCCACAATTAACCTGGTCTGCTAAACGCAGCAGAGAACATAAAAACCTCAGGAAGCTGACATCTTTAAAGGCTTTTAGAAAGCAATGAGTCAAGCATTCAAGAATCTCTTCAAGTTTCACATTCACTTCAAATTCAACATTCTCTTGCTTTCATTTTTTATTATTATGAAATTCCTCATTTTAGGGAAAAATCTTTCTTTTTCTATTCCTGAAGACCTTGTCTTCAATCGTAACAAATTTTCTCAAGGTTTTCTGAAGCCTTCAAACACCTAATACCATGTAAAGGTGGAAATGATTTCCAGCTGTTTTCTTTTTTCTTTTCTTTTCTTTTCTTTCTTTTTTTTTTAAGATTTGTTCATCAGAGTCAATGTGATAATTTTACCAAGAGGCCTTTAGCTATAAGAAGGTAACAAGGAGATATTTGGCATAAGCTCAACATTTTCTTTGGCCAGTCATATAAAGAACTATACTCATACTTAGAACCATTGTATTGTATACAGGGAAAAAACGCTTTTACAATTTTTTTTTTTTTTTTTTTGAGACAGAGTCTCACTCTGTTGCCCAGGCTGGAGTGTAATGGCGCAATCTCGGCTCACTGCAACATCTGCCTCCTGGGTTCAAGCAATTCTCCTGCCTCAGCCTCCGGAGTAGCTGGGATTACAGGTGCACACCACCACGCCCGGCTAATTTTTGTATTTTTTTTTTTTTTTTTTTTTTTGAGACGGAGTCCCTCGCTCTGTTGCCCAGGCTGGACTGCAGTGGCGCGATCTTGGCTCACTGAAAGCTCTGCCTCCCTGGTTCACGCCATTCTCCTATCTCAGCCTCTGGAGTAGCGGGGCTACAGGGGCCCGCCACCATGCCCGGCTAATTTTTTGTATTTTTAGTAGAGACGAGGTTTCACTGTGTTAGCCAGGATGGTCTCGATCTCCTGACCTCGTGATTTGCCTGCCTCGGCCTCCCAAAGTGCTGGGATTACAGGCGTGAGCCACCGCGCCCGGCCAATTTTTGTATTTTTAGTAGAGACGGGGTCTCACCATGTTGGTCAGGCTGGTCTCGAACTCCTGACCTTATGATCTGCCCACTTCAGCCTCCCAAAGTGCAGAGATTACAGGCGTGAGGCAACGCGCCCAGCTGCTTTTACAATTTTTAAAGGTTTGGTTTTTTTTTTTGTTGTTTTTTTTTTGAGACGGAGTCTCACTCTGTTGCCCAGGCTGGAGTGCAGTGGCACGATCTCATCTCACTGCAACCTCTGCCTCCCAGGTTCAAGTGATTCTTCTGCCTCAGCCTCCTGAGTAGCTGGGATGACTGGTGCACGCCACCACACCCGGCTAATTTTTGTATTTTTAGTAAAGGTGGGGTTTCACCATGTTGGCCAGGCTGGTCTCAAACTCCTGACCTCAAGTGATCTGCCCTCCTTGGCCTCCCAAAGTGCCGCGATTACAGGCATGAGCCACCGTGCCCGGCTGCAATTTTTAAAGGTTCTTTTTGACATAGTGATTCCATTTCTAGTAAACAATCTTGAGGAAATAATGAGAGAGATGGCATTTCTTGTAATAGTGAAAACTTGGGGAAAATGCAAAGGTCTAACATTGGAGAGATGGTTAAATAAATTCTTGCTTATTAAATAATTTACTGCTATTAAAAATGACATTTTCAAAAAATTTAATTACATGGAAACATGCTGGCTAACATAATATTTAGTGAAAACTCAGGTATAAATATTTGTATATCATGGACATCCCTACTACGAAAATACGTACATATTTATATAGAAAGGAGGCTGGAAGGAAATCCACCAATATGTTAATTGAGGCTACCTATGGGTGATGGGAATATATGTAAGACATATTTTTGTTTTAATTATTTTGTATTTTAAAAATTTGCTGCAGTAAGGATATGTGAATTTTACAAGAAAAAATTACAACCTTAGAAATGCCTAGCACAATATTTAGAGTTATTATACTGGCAATTGATTACCTTATGATGGCATATTGAAAGCATTATATTTTTACTAACTTAATTTAACTTAATTTTTAAAAATATTTGAGGCCGGGCACAGTGGCTCATGCCTGTAATCCCAGCACTTTGGGAGGCCGAGGTGGGCTGATCACAAGTTCAGAAGTTCAAGGCCAGCCTGACCAACATGTTGAAACCCTGTCTCTACTAAAAATACAAAATTAGCTGGATGTGGTGGCGCATGCCTGTAATCCCAGCGACTTGGGAGGCTGAGACAGGAGAATCGCTTGAACCCGGGAGGCGGAGGTTGCAGTGAGCCGAGATTGCACCATTGAACTCCAGCCTGTGCAATAGGAGCAAAACTCCATCTCAAAATATAAATAAATAAATACTTGAGACAGGGTGTCACTCTGTTGCCCAGGCTGAAGTGCAGTGGTGGTATCTCTGCTCACTGCAGCCCTGTACTTTTGGGCTCAGGTAATCCTCCCACCTCAGCCTCCAGAGTAACTGGGACTACAGGCATGTGCTAAAATGCTCAGCTAATTTTTGTATTTTTTTGTAGATACAGTGTCTCACTATGCTATCCAGGCTGGTCTCAAACTCCTGAGCTTAAGCAATCCTCCTGCCTCAGCCTCTCAAAGTGTCAGGATTACAGGCATGAGTCACCGTGCCTGGTCTTTACTAAATTTAAAGAATAAAAATAAAGGAATCTAGCAGTGGTGCTCCACAGTCTGTAACCTGCCCTGGACCTCTTCCTAGGCATTTTTATTTCTTTGATTTTGTAGGTCCATACAATCACTTGATTAGGCAGATGACAGAACTTTCTAGAAGAGTTCCCTAAATCCTTCAGACTAGTAAAATGCCTTTGATGTCCCTCATCATTGGATCCTGCTTAATTCCAAATAGAATAGCCTGGGAATTGGGGCAGGGAGGGCAGGGAGGACTAGTGACCTGTTTAGGGCAAAATTTAATGTAGTTATGGTTATGGGTCAAGCACAGGTGTCAATCACAGCTGCTACCTTTCTGCTCCTTAGTTTCCATATGTGGATTAACTGACATAACCAAGGTTAGCACCCTGGCTGACCCCATAGTCAGCACTCAATAAAAGTTAGCTCTTACTGAACTTCAAAAGGAGTAGAGCCCTTTCATCAACTCTGCAGGCATAAGTTAGAACAATGTCAGCAGGTGTAGCCAACAAGCTAACTTCTTGTTAGGAAGGAAGCAATTAACAGGCTGAGTCTTGTGTTTTGTTATTGGTGAGGGTAGGGAGGGGGTAGGGGCTCAGAAAGCCCCAGAGGGCTGTGCCAGGGAAACAGAGCTGGAGGCACCAGATCAAGGGTTGTGAGACAGGGAGAGTTCAATGATGGAGCAGCAGTTTGAGCACAGAGGTGGACAGAGCCAGGTGATAACTGTCTTGGGGCAGTTGATTGGGGGTTGTGGGAGCTGCTGTTGATGGACAAGGAGAGGAGGCCACCACTGTTCCTGTCACCGGGCACCTCCTCTCCAGCCCAGCAGTCAAATGCCCCCTTCTCCTGAACTACCACCCAGGGAAGGGTGAGGAATGGACAGTTTTGGCAATACTGATGAACTTAATCTAAGGAAAAAGCAGGACCCCCGCCACTCCTCCCCCAGGGTGGGGTGCCAGGGGCAAGCAGTGGAAAGAGACTCTTCCCACACTCCCGACTCCTCCACTTCTTGCTGCCAAGGATAACAGATGCTATCATATAGGTTCAAACAGGTGCTCACATGCACTCTGGTGAAATGAAACAGGAAAACCTGTCCAGGGTGACAGAAGAAAAATCAAGAATTCGACATTTTGGGCTTTGAATGGCTTAGAAAGAAATTAGTTCCCTGAGTGTCCTGTAAAAGAGAATCCTTGTCCTGTCAGATGGGGGAGTTTGAATTAAAAAGAAAATCGAGGTGCTTTGGTATTACAAGATCGGAGAGCGATTTTTAAAGAAACACAGGAGAGAATATCCGTTTCAAAGATGCAGGCAGTTCCCTGGTTATCAGCAAGATGTGACTGCCAAAACGAAGCTAAAATCACTTCTAATCCTCTGGTACCTGACTGGCAAATGAACAGGAGAGGAAAAGGTTGGTAGGTCAAGGCCGGCATTTGGCTTGGTCCACATGGGGTGGGGTAGAAACAGATTTTAGCATGGGTTGGCTTTAAATAGCCCCTGTTGTAGCTGCCGAGCACTAATTCACTCATTCTCTTTTCCAAGCTGAATGTAGATGTAGTACTCTTCTGTCTCTGTCCATCAACACCAATTGTTTTTCCAATAAGAATCCAATATCGTGGGCCAGGATAATAATCCAGGAAAAGCTTGTGATGGAAATGGTGGATAAAAGGCAGAGGAGAGTGCCTCTACTTAAAATGCATACCCTCCTTTCAGAGGTTTGCGAATTTAGAGACAGGTAAAGTCTCCTTACTCCCGGCCTCCCAGCTCTCCTGCAAGCCTTTCTTTTCATCTAGAACTCCCCCTCTGGCTTGCAATAAAATACTTTGCATTTGAAAAAAAAAATGCATCCTATTAGAGACAAACTTCTTTGAGCCTTAAAGGCTTTTTCCAGCTTTAAGAATCCTCTACTAAAATGCAAATATTCAGGGAAGGAGTAAAATCTGCAGCTTTGACAGCCGGATACCTTATCACTACCCATCACTATCACTTTAGCAAACATTTACTGAGCCCTTACTATCTGCTTAGGAATTTATTTATTTGTTCCTTCATTTTTTTTAAATTTAAAGTCAGGCTTATTGAGGTGTAATTTACATGGAGTCAAATTTATGCTTTTTAGTGTAGTTTCATGCCTTTTGAAAAAAAAATGGCAGTCTAGTAACCACCCCCACAATCAAGTTCTAGAACATTTCTATCACCCCCCTGCAAAGTTCTCTTGGGTTGTCTTCCCTCCACCTTCAGTCCCTAGCAACAGTGAATCTCTTTTCTGTCCCCATAGTTTTGCCTTTTCCAGCCCTTACTACTTATACAAATAAAACGCTTCCTCCTCAAAAAATGACCCCAAACTTTATTTAGCTTGGTTTAAAATCTGGTTAACCATTTCCCTTGGGGAGGGGATGGTCTTTTCAGACATGTTTTTAGATTCAGCCACTAGCCAAGCACCTGATAATTTAGAAGCCAGACTGGAGCTGGGAAATTGGGAAGAGAATCAGCTGGATGGGGAAGAAGCTGGCATTGCAGTGGGTGGGGCAGGAGTATACCTAGCATTCATCGCTATGCAAGCCCCCAAGGTGGGCAAGCCACAAAATACCTTAAACCTGGGCTCCTGTCTGCCCACTCCTTCAACAAACAAACAACAACAAACACTCAGGCCAGAGGGAAACTGTGAACTCCTTGAGGACTGTTTCCCTTTTCTGGTCTCTGTCTTCCCCTCGCCTCACTCAGTGTCATCAGCTCTGGGTGTGGAGGATAAAGGGCACTAGAGATAAGAATTACTGCCACATTTCTGGCCTCAGTTACTGAGTAAGTGACGGTGCCAGTAATAAGAGAGAACAGGGAAGGGAAATAATATAATTTGAGCTTCTACCATATACCAGGCATATAGTATTTCATTTTGTCCTCTTAATAATCGGATGAGCCTCTGAGCCAGGGACCCAGAAGTCCTGTTCTCCAGCTTCCTCTAGTCCCTCATCAGTCACAACTGTCAGAATTACCCTTTAACACCCTCCTAAAACTTTCCCTTTCTTTCCTTCTCACTGCTCTGTCTTAATTAACTCATTGCTCCTGCTTAGAATGTTCACAGTTGTCTATTAGGATTCTCTCCACCTCCAGTCTGGTCTTAATTTATCCCCCTTGTGGCTACCAAAGTTATGTTTCTCAAATGCAAATCCAATCATATAAGTCCCCTGCTTAAGTTCTCTGTGACTCACTTGTAGCCTCAGGATAAATTCTGGCTCTGGGTAAGCGAGGTCCTGCATTATCCCTGATCAGATGCAAGCTCCTCTCCCAAACTCCTCTGTTGTGCTCTGAAACCTGTTGGTGGTCTCAGGTGACCATGCTAATTCTTGCTAATGCTCCTCTCTCCTCCACTCCTAGCCATGCCCTGGGCTACTTAAGTCATTCTTATTCTAGATAAAGCTCTACTATTACTGTCTGTGAGAAGTCTCTCCACCTCACCGAATACATTCTTGACTCCTCCTTTTCTTGTTCCTCACTATATCCTGACAAGCTTCTGTCACAGCCCCTACCAGGGTTTACTGCCTTTGAGTGCTTACATCTCTGGTTGGTAAGGACTCTTTCCCTTGCCTTCCCGAAATGTAATTATTAGTAAATGACAAAGTCCCATTTAAAATTCTTATTTCCCACAAAATGGCTAACTCAAAGAGTTGAAATTTGAACCTAAAAAACTGGCTGATGCTCAAGCTTATTCCATTTTTACTGCATAAACTCTAGAGGACATTTGAGAAGAAAGATGATTTTATTTAGGGATGTGTTGTGTTTGAGATTCCTGTGGTCATTGAGGTGACTGTGTGTAGTAGGCAATTGTAAAGAAGAGTACAGAGCTCAGGAAGAAGTTTTAGCTTGGATTTTCAGTAAATAAGTGTTTGATAGGCTCTAATCATGGTTACTTTTGGAAGCTCTTCCATACATCATATAAAAATATACTGAAATATGTTATATACAATATATCAGATAATCATACACGAGTCAAGCTGACATTTGATATGAATTGTAGGCAGTTGATTAAACATCTATTAATTTCATTTTGCAGTTTTCCTCTTTCTCTTCTCTCTCCTTTCCTCCTTCCTTGCTTTTGTCTTTCTTTTCCTCCTTCCTTTCTTTCTTTTCTTAAATATTTTCTTTTACTTTGAAAAGATACTGTGCCTTTAGTACTTATTGGGTAAAACAACCCCACATGTAGGTGGCAGTTGAAGCTCTGGCAGCAGAGAAACAAGGGGTGATGAGATGGGGGAGGATTAAGTCCCCCTGTAATCTACATCACCACTTAACAAGCTGCTCCAAACATAGAGAATGTAAGTAGAAGAAGTTAGCCTACTCAGCAAACTCAGCATCAAGACAAATCACCTATCTCTTCCTGTATGAAAATTCTGGAGTCCCTGCTGGCATTGGATAAGTGATATTCCTTTGTCAAATGAAAAAAAGGCTGAGAAAACCCAACAAGCACCAACATTTGAAGTGTCAGGCAGAGGAACAGGAGTCCAGGGAATGGACCAGAAGTCCAGCCCAGGGATAGAGGTACACGATATAGTAAAGGGTAAAGGGTTTCTAGAAAGGAAAGCAGTCAATAGTCAGAGGGGTTTGTCAGGCCTCTGAGCCCAAGCTAAGCCATCATATCCCCTGTGACCTGCACATGTACATCCAGATGGCCTGAAACAACTAAAGATCCACAAAAGAAGTGAAAATAGCCTTAACTGATGACATTCCACCATTGTGATTTGTTTCTGCCCCACCCTAACTGATCAATGTACTTTGTAATCTCCCCCACCCTTAAGAAGATTCTTTGTAATTCTCCCCACCCTTGAGAATGTACTTTGTGAGATCCACCCCCTGTGCACAAAACATTGCTCCTAACTCCACCGCCTACCCAAAACCTGTAAGAACTAATGATAATCCCATCACCCTTTGCTGACTCCTTTTTTAGACTCAGCCTGCCTGCACCCAGGTGAAATAAACAGCCTTGTTGCTCACATAAAGCCTGTTTTGTTGTCTCTTCACACAGATGTGTGAGACATTTGGTGCCAAAGACCCGGGTCAGAGGGACTCCTTTGGGAGACCAGTCCCCTGTCCTCACCCTCACTCTGTGAAGAGATCCACCTATGACCTCGGGTCCTCAGACCTAACAGCCCAAGGAACATCTCACCAATTTCAAATCACGTAAGCGGTCTTTTCACTCTCTTCTCCAGCCTCTCTTGCTACCCTTCAATCTCC
This sequence comes from Homo sapiens, assembly GCF_000001405.40. Taxonomy (NCBI): domain Eukaryota; kingdom Metazoa; phylum Chordata; class Mammalia; order Primates; family Hominidae; genus Homo; species Homo sapiens. Next base: position 48,871,830 of record NC_000013.11, on the reverse strand, counting down.
CTGTCCTTCCAATTCCAGTTCTTTTTCCTCTCTAGTAGAGACAAAGGAAACACATTTTATCCATGGACCCAAAACTCTGGTGCCAGTCACGGACTTGGGAAGACAGCCTTCCCTTGGTGTTTAATCATTGTGGGGATGCGTGTCTGATTATTCACCCACATTCGATTGGTGTCTGATCTCCACGGGGATGCCTGCCTTGGTCATTCACCCATGTTCCCTTGGTGGCAAGTCAATTGCAGGGATGCCTGCTTTGGCTGCTCACCCACATTGCAGTCCAGGGCTGCTCCCCACCCCCCTTCTCTGTGTCTCTACCCTTCTCTTTAAACTTGCCTCCTTCACTATGGGCAAACTTCCACCCTCCATTCCTCCTTCTTCTCCCTTAGCCTGTGTTCTCAAGAACTTAAAACCTCTTCAACTCACACCTGCCCTAAAATTTAAATGCCTTATTTTCTTCTGCAATACCGCTTGGCCCCAATACCAACTTGACAGTAGTTCCAAGTGACAAGAGAATGGCACTGTCTTTCTCTCCTGTCTGTTCCTTCAGTCTTCACCCCAAGCTCTGAGTCCTTGAATCCTTTTCTACAGACTCATCTGACATCTCCCCTTCACCCCAGGCTGCTCCTCGCCAGGCCGAGCCAGGTCTCAATTCTTCCTCAGCCTCTGCTCCCCGACCCTATAATCTTTCTATCACCTCCCCTCCTCACACCTGGTCTGGCTTACAGTTTCGTTCCATGACTAGCCCTCCCCCACCTGCCCAACAATTTCCGCTTAAAGAGGTGGCTGGAGCTAAAGGCATAGTCAAAGTTAATGCTGCTTTTTTCTTTATCCGACCTCTCCCCAGTCAGCTAGCATTTAGGCTCTTTTTCATCAAATATAAAAACCCAGCCCAGTTTATGGCCTGTTTGGCAACAGCCCTTAGACGCTTTACTGTCCTAGACCCAGAGAGGCCAGAAGGCCAGATTATTCTCAATATGCATTTTATTACCCAATCCACTCCCGATATTAGAAAAAGCTCCAAAAATTAGTTTCTGGCCCTCAAACCCTACAACAGGACCTAATTCACCTCACCTTCAAGGTGTACAATAATAGAGTAGAGGCAGCCAAGTAGCAACGTATTTCTGAGTTGCAATTCCTTGCCTCCTCTGTGAGACAAACCCCAGCCACATCTCCAGCACACAAGAACTCCAAACACCTGAACCGCAGCAGCCAGGGATTCCTCCAGGACCGCCTGCCCCAGGATCTTGCTCCAAGTGCCAGAAATCTGGCCACTGGGCCAAGGAATGCCTGCAGCCCAGGATTCCTCTTAAGCCATGTCCCATCTGTGTGGCACCCCACTGGAAATCAGACTGTTCATCTCACCTGGCAGCCACTCCCAGGGTCCCTGGAACTCTGGCCCAAGCCTCTCTGACTGACTCCTTCCCAGATCTTCTCGTCTTAGCGGCTGAGGACTGATGCAGCCCAATTGCCTTGGAAGCCCCCTAGACCATCACGGACACTGAGCTTCGGGTAACTCTCACAGGGGAGGGTAAGTCCATCCCCTTCTTAATCAATATAGAGGCTACTCCACATTACCTTCTTTTCAAGGACCTGTTTCCCTTGCCTCCATAACTGTTGTGGGTACTGATGGCCAGGCTTCCAGACCCCTTAAAACTCCCCAAATGATGCCAACTTGGACAATATTCTTTTATGCACTCCTTTTTAGTTATCCCCACCTGCCTATCTCCCTTATAAGGTCTAGACATTTTAACTAAATTATCTGCTTCCCTGACTATCCTGGGCTACAGCCATACCTCATTGCCACCTTTTCCCCCAGTTCAAAGCCTCCTTCACATCCTCTCCTTGTATCTCCCCACCTTAATCCACAAGTATAGGACACCTCTACTCCCTCCTTGGTGATGGATGATGCACCCCTTACCATCCCATTAAAACCTAATCACCCTTACCCCAGTCAGTGCCAATATCCCATCCCACAGCATGCTTTAAAAGGATTAAAGCCTGTTATCACTTGCCTGTTACAGCATGGCCTTTTAAAGCCTGTAAACTCTCCTTACAATTCCCCCATTTTACCTGTCCAAAAACCGGACAAGTCTTACAGGCTAGTTCAGGATCTGTGCTTTATCAACCAAATTGTCTTGCCTATCCACCCTGTGGTGCCAAAGCCATATACTCTTCCATCCTCAATACCTTCCCTCCACAACCCTCCATAACCCATAATTCTGTTCTGGATCTCAAACATGCTTTCTTTACTATTCCTTTGCACCTTTTATCCCAGCCTCTCTTCGCTTTCACTTGGACTGGCCCTGACACCCATCAAGCTCAGCAAATTACCTGGGCTGTACTGCCACAAGACTTTGCGGACAGCCCCCATTACTTCAGTCAAGCCCAAATTTCTTCCTCATCTGTTACCTATCTCGGCATAATTCTTCATGAAAACACACATGCTCTCCCCGCTGATCGTGTCTGGCTAATCTCCCAAACCCCAACCTCTTCTACAAAACAACAACTCCTTTCCTTCCTAAGCATGGTTAGGTACTTCTGCCTTTGGATACCTAGTTTTACCATCCTGACTAGTCCATTGTATAAACTCACAAAAGCAAACCTAATTGACCCCATAGATCCTAAATCCTTTTGCCACTCCTCTTTCCATTCCTTAAAAACAGCCCTAGAAGCTGCCCCCACACTAGTTCTCCCTAACTCATCCTAACCATTTTCATTACGCATAGCTGAAGTGCAGGGCTATGCACTCGGAATTCTTACACAAAGACCGGGACTGCGCCCTGTAGCCTTTCTGTCCAAACAACTTGACCTTAATGTTTTAGCATAGCCCTTGTGTCTCCGTGTAGCACCTGCTGCTGCCCTAATAGTTTTAGAGGCCCCCCAAATCACAAACTGTGCTCAACTCACTCTCTACAGTTCTCATAACTTCCAAAATCTATTTTCTTACTCACACCTGACACATATAATTTCTGCTTCCCGGCTCCTTCAGCTGTATTCACTCTTTGTTGAGTCTCCCACAGTTACCATTGTTCCTTCCCTGGACTTCAATCCGTACTCCCACATTATTCCTGATACCACACCTGACCCCCATGACTGTATCTCTCTGATACACCTGACATTCACTCCATTTCCCCATATTTCCTTCTTTCCTGTTCCTCACCGTGATCACACTTGGATTATTGACGGCAGTTCTACCAGGCCTAATCGCCACTCATAAGTAAAGGCAGGCTATGCTATAGTACCTTCCACATCTATCATTGAGGCTACTGCTCTGTCCCCCCTCTACTACCTCTCAGCAAGCCAAACTCATTGCCTTAACTCGAGCCCTCACTCTTGCAAAGGAATTGCATGTCAATATTTATGCTGACTGTAAATATGCCTTCCATATCCTGCACCAGCATGATGTTATATGGGCTGAAAGAGGTTTCCTCACTGTGCAAGGGTCCTCCTCCATCATTAATGCCTCTTTAATAAAAACTCTTCTCAAGGCCACTTTACTTCCAAAGGAAGCTGGAGTCATACACTACAAGGGCCATCAAAAGGCATCAGCTCCCATCGCTTAGGGCAATGCTTATGCTGATAAAGTAGCTAAAAAAGCAGCTAGCATTCCAACTTCTATCCCTCATGGCAGTTTTTCTCCTTCTCATCTGGTCACTCCCACCTACTCCCCAACTGAACACAAGGCAAATGGTTCATGGACCAAGGAAAATATCTCCTTCCAGTCTCACAGGCCCATTCTAATTCTGTCGCCATTTCATAACCTCTTCCATGTAGGTTACAAGCTGCTAGCCCACCTCTTACAACCTCTCATTTCCTTTCCATCGTGGAAATCTATCCTCAAGGAAATCACTTCTCAGTGTTCCATCTGCTATTCTACCACTCCTCAGGGATTATTCAGGCCTCCTCCCTTCCCTACACATCAAGCTCAGGGATTTGCCCCTGCCCAGGACTGGCAAATTGACTTTACTCACATGCCTAGAGTCAGGAAACTAAAATATCTCTTGGTCTGGGTAGATACTTTCACTGGGTGGGTAAAGGCCTTTCCCACAGGGTCTGAGAAGGCCACTGCAGTCATTTCTTCCCTTCTGTCAGACATAATTCCTCGGTTTGGCCTTCCCACCTCTATATAACCTGATAACGGACCAGCCTTTACCAGTCAAATCACCCAAGAAGTTTGTCAGGCTCTTGGTATTCAGTGAAACCTTCATACCCCTTACTGTCCTCAATCTTCAGGAAACATAGAACGGACTAATGGTCTTTTAAAAACAAACCTCACCAAGCTCAGCCTCCAACCTAAAAAAGAGGACTCTGTCAAGGATAGAGCTCAAAAACTCACCAACCAAGCAAGTAATTACGCGGAACCCCTTTGGGCACTCTCTACTTGGATGTCCTGGGTCCTCCCAATTCTTAGTCCTTTAATACCCATTTTTCTCCTTCTTTTATTCAGACCTTGTGTATTCCATTTAGTTTCTCAATTCATACAAAACTGTATCCAGGCCATCACCAATCATTCTATAAGACCAATGTTTCTCTAACAACCCCACAATATCACCCCTTACCCCAAAATCTTTCTTCAGTTGAATCTCTCCCACTGCAGGTTCCCACACTGCCCCTAATTCCGCTTGAAGCAGCCCTGAGAAACATCACTCGTTATCTCTCCATACCACCCCCAAAATTTTTTGCTGCTCCAACACTTCACTATTTTGTTTTGCTTTTCTTATTAATATAAGAAGATAAGAATGTCAGGCCTCTGAGCCCAAGCTAAGCCATCATATCCCCTGTGACCTGCACATATACATCCAGATGGCCTGAAGCAACTGAAGATCCACAAAAGAAGTGAAAATAGCCTTAACTGATGATATTTCACTATTGTGATTTGTTTCTGCCCCACCCTAACTGATCAATGTACTTTGTAATCTCCCCCACCTTTAAGAAGGTTCTTTGTAATTCTCCTCACCCTTGAGAATGTACTTTGTGAGATCCACCCCCTGCCCACAAAACATTGCTCCTAACTCCACCGCCTATCCCAAAACCTGTAAGAACTAACGATAATCCCACCACCCTTTGCTAAACAGCCCTGTTGCTCACACAAAGCCTGTTTGGTGGTCTCTTCGCACAGACACTTGAGAAAGGGTTCAGTAAAAAAAGAAAAAACAAAAAAAACAAAAAACAGTCCCTGGAAATAGGCAATTCCAGAGCCACTGGTGCGCAGAAGCTGGGCTATCTCGTGCCAACAAACGAAAGGGAACCACAGGAGCAGAGCAAATGTGGGCAATGTTTTGAAGACAACAGACTATAAAGAGAAGGAAGCAGAGCTATAGAGCATAGTTAGACGCAACTGAAGATTGCTTACTGCCCTAGTCTGTTCACACTGCTCTAATAGGATACCATTGGCTTGTAAAACAACAGACGCTTATCTCTCACAGTCCCGCAGGCTAGGAAGTCCAAGATTAGGGTGGCTGCAGATTTGGTGTCTGGTGAAGGCTCACTTCCTGGTTCATACATGGCCACTTTTTGCTGTGTTCTCACATGGTTGAGGGGGCAAGGGAATCTCTCTGGGCTCTCTTTTGTAAAGGCACTAATTCCATTCATGAAGGCATCACCCTAATTACCTCCCTAAAGCCACACCTCCAAGTACCATCAAATTAGGATTAGATTTCAACATATGAATTTTGAGGGATGCAAACAGCCTGTTGCTCTTAGTTTTGCAACAGGGAAGCCAAAAGATGCTAAAAGAGGCTGAGAGGAAGGATGAGTGGAAAACATGGATCATTGTCCATATTCCTAACTAAAGCCAATCCCTTCCCCAACCTTTTTTTTTTTTTTTTTTTTAAGACGGGGTTTCTCTTCCCTCTCATTTGATCCCATCACTTCTTTCTGCTCAAGGCCACTGCTTCAGAATTCTCTTTTCTCTTGACTTAACCGTTTTTTTTCCCTTTTGCATCAGCATGCAAACCCACTAAGATTTCTTTCATTTTAAAAACAAAAAGTCTTGAACTCCCATTTCACTCTCAAGCCATTGTCTGTTTCTCCCCTTCCATTCTCAGCAAAACACCTCAAAAGAAGTTTCTTTATTAGTTGTCTCCAAGTTTTCATCTTTCTTCTTCTTCTGAATTAACTTCCATGAGCAGTGGTGGAGTGTAGGAATGTGCCCACCATTCTATTGTAACTTCCCTGTCAAAGTCATCAAAGACTTTCTGATGGCTAAATTCAATGGTCAATGAAAAGTCCTCATTTTCCATGACCCATCTGTGGCATTTGACCCATCAGTCCCTTCTCATGACATATTCTCTTCCCTTGGCCTCTAGGACATCACATTTGCCTAGTTTTTCTACTTCTTTGGCTGCTCCTTCTCCTCTTTTGCAGGTTCCTCTCCACGTCCACAACCTCTAAAAATTGGACTGTGCCAGAGACCAGTTCATCCTCTTGCCTTTTTAACTCTATATTTCCTCCCATGGTGGTTTTTCCCTAGTGTCATGACTTTAAATACCAGGCTGAACCTCTCCCCAAAACTATAGACTATATATCCACTGCCTATTTTAACATCTCACTTGGATGTCTAGTTAGCATTTAAAATTGAGCTCCTGATATTCTACCCCTGTGCCTAATCCTTCCAAAATCTTCCCCATCCCAGGAAACAGCAGCTCCATTTTTCCTGTTGCTCAGGCCCAAAGCCTCTGAGTTATCCTTCACTCTTATTTTATTCTCATACCTTACATCTGATTTTTTAGCAAATACTATTGGCCCCAACTTCAAAATATGTTCAGAATCTGATCACTTCATACCACGTCCACTGCTAACTCCCTAATGACTAAGGCCTCGTTCAGGCCACTTTCTTCTTTCTTACCCGGATTTGTTGCATCAGCCTCCTAAAAGGACTCTCTGCTTCCATCCTTGTGCCCTCCAGTTTGTTCTCAATGCAGCGGCTGAACGATCCTATTAAAATGTAATTCAGATCATATCACTCCTCTGCTCAAAATACGCCAGTAGTTTCCCATCTCACTCAGAGCAAAAGCCAATTGCCATGACCTTTAAGATCTCAGTGACTTCATTTTACTGGCTTCCTTGGTGACCCTCTCTTTCATGCACATTCTGTCCCAGGGATATCAGACCTCAGGGCCATTGCACTTGTGTCTCCTGCCTGGAATGCATGCTCCTTCACCTCCTTCAAGTTTTTGTTTAAATATCACCTTCTTATAGAAGATTTCCCTGACCACCCTATTTAAAATTTCAGCATTCTCCCCTTGACCCCTAATTATCTCTTGACTGCTTTATCTTTTCTCTTAGGGCAAGGATTTTTGTCTGTTTTGTCCATCCCCAGTGTCTAGGATATGCTTAGCAATGAGGATGCTGAATGAATGAGATTAGTAATATTGGAAGGCAGAGGGATCATTGATGGATCAAAGTTCAGAGGAGGGTGGAATCCAGGGAACATGAGCAAGGACAGATGCAAAAACTACTAAATTCTTGTTTTAAGAGTCTGAGTAGAGGAGGGAGTTGAGAAAGTTTCTGATACCATCATTTGCACATTGACTGAATCAAATCAATACCAGTGTGTCACCTTTCCTATACATTTACATTTTTAAGCCTTTTTATCTCTAATTGTGTTGGGGAAAATCTTTGTCCCTGTGTTAAAAGAATTGCATGCACTGTCAAGAAGCTCAGTGGAGATTTATTCAGAAAGCCCAGAAAGCCTTCTTGTTGGCCTTGAAATCATCTTACACCTGAGGCACACCTGATTTACTCTTGAACACATATCATTTCTGAAGCATCAAACAGATATTATTGTTGTTGTTGTTAGTATTATTATAATTACTACTGGCATGCCTGGCTGTGAGGCTGGATTAGAAGCACTGGTCTCATTGAATCCTCTTCCATCCCTTAGATTCAATACTTCATATCCTAAGGATCCAGAGCCAAAATTGTTGAGTCCTTTTTCCTCCCTGAGTGTACCTTTATCCCCCTTCAACATGAGAATCCTGCTGAGAATCCCAATAAATAATTCCAAACCCCAATCACAGATTCTCCTTGGCCTTGGGTCTTTAACACTTAAACCAAGGGAAGGGAGCAATTACATAACTGCTCAAGGACAAGTACAGGGAAGAAGGGTGGCAAAGATGGAAGAAGAGAGGATCAGGAAGAGGGCTGGATGCCTTGGGGTATAGGCAGGAACACAGGAAGTTTGGCTGTACTTCGGACAAGTGCACTTACTGGTCTCAATGGTGTTACTGATTCCATGGTGAAAAGGTCAGGACTGCATTGCTGCATATCGATCCTGAATTCTGGAAAATACGCAAAATAGTAGGAGGAAGAAATCAAACTTTGACTTGGTTATGTGGAAACATTTATGAAGGCACTACATCTTATTCATGGTACTCTTTAATAGTCAATATATTGTGGTTTAACTGTTTATTTGAATGTCTCTCTCTTCATTCATTAGACTGAAAACTCCTCAAGGTCAGGGACTTTTTCTTACTATCCCTGAAGCCTGACACATTATGTTTATGGAATGAAAAAATGAATAATTTGTAGCAATTTCTGTATATTACTCACCAATTATGGCTTATTACCATACTGTACATGAGTAATTATGTAAATTATTAGATTTTGGAAGATCTGGTATGCTCTTTCCTTATGGCAAACATGAATTTTGTAAGTGGTCATGTTTCTCTTTCAGCTTTGGTTTCCAGGAGACTCAGGGCCAATTTCTGAACAAATTTTAGTAACTGTGTAGGTCCCTATTGCTTCCACATGTGTACCAATCTTCCTCAATCATATATATATATATATACACACACACACACACACACACACATACACATATATTTATATAGTTTATAATAATATATGTTTTTGAATATATATTCAAATATTACAAATATTTTCTAGAACAGGATTAGATATAAATATACTAATGTTTCAAATACTATTTGTCAGATTAATTTTGTTTGAAGTTTTATATAAGTGTAGCCATGACCCTTTATAGGAACTAAGTACATGTGAGCCACACATGACAGTTGGTTTCATTATTTTGTGGTCATCTTTCATATACTCGAGTCTGCATGGCTTTCGCAACTTGAAAATAAACAGGAAACATTTGGAGGAAACCAAAAAGAAGTAAGCCTGTGTCTGCCATGGATAAGGTCAATTCAAGAAGTTCCAGGGGCTTTTAGACGCCATTCTGAATTCATCAATAGGTTACTGGATATTTAGCAGGTTTCTGCAGTGTCTGACTTGCTTTGTCACATAAGTGACACAAGGTAAATATTCTGGACAACTTCATGCTTCAGTTTGTTTGAATACAGGGGTGACAAACAAGAATAATCTAGATGTGTGAAGTAATGGTGGTAGAATAAAACAAGAGATATTAATAGGCATCCAGGATGAGGTTAGAGAGGATTGAGATAATGCAACAACAAAGTTCTCATGTTTTCATTGTATTTTATTGATGCACCATAGGGATCTAAATTAAAGGACTTTTTAATGGACCTGGTTTGGAGTCCGCTGATACGGTTTGGCTCTGTGTCCCTACCCAAATCTCATCTCAGATTGTAATCCCCACGTGTCAACGGAGGGAGGTGGGGGCAGTTTCCCCCATGCTGTTCTTGTGATAGTTTTCACGAGATCTGATGTTTTATAAGGCAGTTTTTCCTGCTTTTGCTCACTTCTCTCTCCTGCCACCTTGTGAAGAAGGTGCCTGCTTCCCCTTCACCTTCTGCCATGATTATAAGTTTCCTGAGGCCTCCCCAACCACATGGAACTGTGAGTCAATTAAATAGCTTTCCTTTACAAATTACCCAGTCTCAGGGAAGCTCTTTATAGCAGTGCGAAAACTGACTAATACATCTACTCTAGTAGCTTTTGATGCCAAGTAGATTTTGGCCTCGAGGAGTATCCATTTCAGAGAAGAGAATTCTTAGGGTAAGAAGAGGTGCCCTTGAAGAGGTCATTCAGATAACTTAGGCTCCACAAAGCTTTCTATGGATGTCACTGGGACACCCTGTGATTGCTATTGTTTATCTAAAATCTGCCCAGTGGACCTAAGCAGATTGTATACCTATAATAAATAAGTGTTCTTTGATGTGGCCATCCTAATAAAATCCCTTGAAAACATCCCAGATAGGATTTTTATGTAACTGACAATTTATTACTCCATGCTGCTTCTTTTATGAAAAATAAATTTATCTAAACATCTCCTATGTATAAGCAATTATAGTTTCTATATTTCAGTTTTGAACACTTGGATTTTAACCTGTAAAGATGGAACCCAGAACAATGGTCTAAAATCCATAATTGCATAAAATAGAGACGTATTAAAGACTAATCTCATTTTCCTTACTTCTTGTGACCCGTATTTTATTTCTAATAGCCTCTCTTATTTAGATGTGCTGAAAATATTCTACAGCATGTAGCTGTAAGACCCAAGTATCATTTGTGCTGGTTGTGGGTGGCTGTGCATTGCTTCGTACTTATGTGTAAGCTGTATTGTTAATGTAAGGAGGATATGGGGTCAAACACACACATTTAATGTTGGATTTGGATCTTGGGAGTCTTCACAAAAATTGAAATATGAAATTTAATCTTTTAGTATTCTACAAAGAAAAAACAATATTGTTTCTAGTAAAAATACAGCCTGAATAAAATTTGAAACCTCAGCTCCCCACCATAAAGTTTCCTCCCTCCATTAAAACATGGTTTCTGATCAAAAGAAATAAACTTTGAGAAGTCAATTTAGCTCTAAAGATATCCTGTGGTTTCTTCTTATATTGTATACATGTTGAAGAAGGGCACTTATTGAAAGGTATTAGACCTAAAATAACAAAAGAAAAATGGAAGATAATTTATTATCTCTGATATTATCTTTAGCTCTTCTTTCCAAAAGAGTTGGAGAAAGAAGCAGTACCTCTGTATCACACAGAAAACCAAATAGGTGAGTTAGCTGCACCTACTTGCTACATTAAAGTAGCCCTAAAGTCCAGGTTTCCCTGGGGCAATTCCCAAGTGAGTGCGTATTCCAGAGAATATACTAGGATTCCAGAGACTCTTCAGATAAAATAACCTGGGGATGTCCTTCTAATGGCTTTGGCCACATGAGATTCAGAAACAAGAGAATGAGAAGCCACCTTTTATCCCATTTTCCTAGTGGCTAAGTGAAGCCTTAATTATTTCTTATTTCTAGCTCTGTGCATAGCACTAGCATTGAAGTGGTAGCTTCACTTTGCAGTTTGCCCTCTCACTCCCTGAAGCTAGGGCCCTAGACTTGGTACCTCCCCCTAAATAAATGTTTGAGATTGAGGAGTTAATGTATCAAGGAAATTGACTTTCCAGTGAAAAGGCAGGGATATCTCCTTACAAATGAATTTGCATTTCCTTTCTTCTCCCTGGTGCTTACCCCGCCCCATCATTAACTGTTTAGAAATATGTTTAATTTATTTTAAGAAACTAATACAGTTATATGCCACTAACAATGACTTCTCTTTTTAGACTTGAGAAATGCTTGTGTCCCACATTTTAAAGAAAAATCAGTGTCAATTCTCAATTATTCTGGGAATAACGATTTAGTGCAGCGGTTCTCTGCCTTCTCAGGCCCAAAGCCTCCCTTTATGTAACACATATTTTGAGATACCCCTTTACCATTCTAAAATGAAATTTGCAGGTAATATAACCTAACTAGCCACATAATCACACAAAAAATATAAAATATAAATTGCAATATAAAATAGAAATTTAAAAAATGTAACTGAAAATAATGTTTCAATAGGTAAATGACAAAACTGAAGATAAATTCTACAACTTTCCAAAATATTTCACAGGGAGTGGAACTAATCTGGATGAGAACCCACTTAGCACCCTGCCTTCTCCAGTGTTAGGTGGTGCAGTAAGTGAGTTTAGAAGTAAGCTCTTTGTGAATTAGGGCAAGTTACTTCTCTTTTCTGAGCCTTAGCTTCCTCATATTTAAAGAGGACATGGTTTCACAGGGATGCAATTTGTATAAATGGAATATTATCACTAAAGCACCTAGTACAATGTCTAGTTCATAGTAGGGTTTCAGTGAATGCTAATTCTCAACATTTTCTCTATGAGAGAAGTCAAAGTTACTGTGAGTCTAAGGCTTATTTGTCCCCTTTGCAAGGTTTACCCAGTTAGGCGTAGTGTCTTTCTACCAGGGGAAATGAGAAGTGGGAGTAATTCAGAGACTGAGCTGTTAAAGAAATGACTGCTCTTTATTGCTTTCTTCCTCCTCCCCCTTCCCAAGCAGATAAAATAAATAGGGTCAAATTTCCATTTCTTCTCCTAGGCTGAGTCTTTTCATGCTAGTGACCTTGTAGTTATTCTGACTACCTGTCACTAGAGAAAAGGGCACTTTGCAAGCTGTTGTTAGGTGTGTTGAGAATGAGATTGTGATTTGGAAAAGCAAGAGCTTGTGCCGGGCAATGTTTATCAGGGACAATGGTTTATGAGGGCTGGGGAGGTGATGGGCAGAAAGGTGACGCATTTGTAGAGGTAGGTGGAGCTTAGGGGGAAGGACAGAGTGGTAAATTGTCCTTCATTCTATGCTAATCGTGAAGTGGAAACCAAGCAGATTTTTCTTTTTTCTTTTCCCCGCCCCCTCCTGTCCTGATTTTTCTTTTTAATCTCTAAAAAGAATTTACCAGTTTTTCTTTTAAACTGGTAACCTCCAAATAAAATCCTCTAACATTTTTTGGAGGAGATAAATGCAGCTTTCTTAAGAAAGCAACTCAACCTATATACTAAGTTTGTAGTTTGGGAAAATAATTTTTATTTTTATTGCATTGGGAGGAAATTTTAAAGGTACATTTTTTTTTCCTGTTCACTTAGAGATTCTCATGAACAATGATGGGTTAGCCATCGTGTTTTCATGTTTTAGAAAGCACAGCAGAATGAAGTACTTATTCTGCATAGCAAAATATGCTCCTTTAAAAATTATCTACAGCAGCAAAATGTCATCTTTTATTTTATACCCTCATAAACAACCTCAATTGGATGAAAAGCCCATGTGGAAGTACAGGCCTCCCTGGTTACTGCCTTTCCCAGGTTTCCCTTCCCTGCTTGATTCTCCTTTTTGATAAGAGATCAGGTAACCATGACAACACTGCACGGTGGAAGTCCTTTCATTTTTGTGCTTTACATAATCCTGAAAATAAGTCTGCTATCTGTTTGACACTTGCTTCCCTTCCTTACAAACTTTTTTCTTTAATCTTAGCACAGTATATCCTGAAAGAAACTTGCCACTTCAGAGGATTTGCTGCCACCGATGTCACTTCCTATTAGTAGTGAGTTGACTTTGCATTCTCTGAGGCTCAGATTCCCACCATGAATTCTCCCCATACGCACTTCAAACTAAATTATAGCTCTATTCTCCAGTTATTGAAGACTAGCAAGACTGTGATGGTTCACTGGAGTCTTTTCTGATTTGAGATTTATACACTCCAAGTCTATGTCACCTAAAATGGCAGCCATTGTTATTATGTGGGCCTTTGAGGTTTGGCCTCAAAGAGCTGATTTCACAGTGATCATGCTGGCAGGAAACTTGCTATGGTTTATGGTAGATATAATGCAGTGATTTTGCAATTAGCCAAATTTTGGTGGTGTAATAAGATAGCTTGACTTACTAGTTCTTGAAAAAAATCAAGACTCTAATATAATACATGAATATTGACAATCTGCTTTAGAAATGAGAATATGTATTGTACCCACCTGGAAATGTTGGCATTTTGAACCATACCAAATGATTAGCTTTTTTGTTGTTGTTCTCTCAGTGAAAGATTCGATTCCCTGCTGTAAATTCTAGAGACTACCACAGTGACGTGTTCTGTGGGCTTCCCTTAGAACAAAGGAAACCACTCATTTTCCAACATTAATGGCTATCTGAAGATTCAGACAAGTTGAACACAGCATAGTTCTTGATTGGATAGGAAGAAAGTTATCAACAGGGTTAGAATCAGACCATTGTTTTGAAAGCAGACCTAGTTCTTATCTTACCCACTGGCTTGGACTATGTTTGGGGAAACTGTTATTGATTCGATTTATTTCCATAATGGTTGCGTTCTGCTTCCTCTCAGGAACGCTAATGTATAAGACACATGGAGCTTCCTCCTGTGTGTCTGCCAATTAAGGGCTATCGAGTTTAATGAGTCTATTCAACAGCACCCAACTCTCTAGTCTTTATTCAGTCTCCTGGGAGTTGAGGCTCAGAGAGAGGAGTACAGAAACAAGCCTACAAATTTGTTGAATAACCTGTTGTGTGTGTGTGTGTGTATATATATATATATATACACACACATATATATATATACACATATATATTTATAATAATAATTATTATTTTTTTGAGACGGAGTCTCCAACTGTCACCCAGGCTAGTGTGCAGTGGTGCACACTCGGCTCGCTGCAACCTCTGCCTTCCAGGTTCAAGTGATTCTCCTACCTCAGCCTGCTGAGTAGGTGGGATTACAGGCGCCCACCATCAGGCCCAGCTAATTTTTTGTATTCTTAATAAAGACGGGGTTTCACTGTGTTGGCCAGGCTGGTCTTGAACTCCTGACCTCGTGATCTGCCCACCTTAGCCTCTCAAAGTGCTGGGATTACAGGTGTGAGCCACCACACCCAGCCCCTTTTGTGTGTGTGTGTATATATATATATATATGTGTGTATATATATATATATATATTTTTTTTTGAGACTTCGTCTCGCTCTTGTCCACCAGGCTGGAATGCAATGGTGCAATCACGTGATCTCAGCTCACTGCAACCTCCACCTCCTGGGTCTGAGTGATTCTCCTGCCTCAGCCTCCTGAGTAGCTGGGATTACAGGTGCCTGCCACCACGCCCGGGTAATTTTTGTATTTTTAGTAGACACAGGGTTTCACATTGTTGGCCAGGCTGGTCTTGAACCCCTGACCTCGTGATTCACTGGCCTCGGCCTCCCAAAGTGCTGGGATTACAGGCGTGAGCCACCGCGTCTGGCCCCCTTTTGTATATTTTTAAGGACATATTTGTCCTCTCTAGAACACATGATAGTCCACATGTAATCACGTGAAGTGTCATCATATCGCTGTCATTTAAAAGTACTGGACATTCAAATGACCATTATTCAAAATGACTAGGATGAGCTCAGGACTTTGGCATATACTGCAGAGGTTGTGCCCAGCCAAAGGGTGTCCAGCAAAGAGTGGGAGCAAAACCTTCCTGTTCTGCAACAGCTCAAAGGAGAGTGCCTTTTGTTATAATAATTCCCACAAAGACCCTGGTCAATGGTGGCCTTGGATAAAATGCTTTCCATATATCACCATCCATACTCGACCACCTGAATGAACAATGTCTCTGCATCAGGATGCTCTAAGGATGGGCAATATGGGGAAATAAGAAGATATGGGGCAGAGGTAAAGAGAAAAACAGACATCTCATTATCTGATGTCGAGATTGGCTTTGAATTCCAGATTTGGTGTGACCTAGAGGGCGAGTTTTTACCTCTTTGTGATTTTGTATTCTCATGTTGAAATGGGATAATCCTACCTCATAGAACTGTTGTGAAGAATCATTAAGATAATGAACATAAAGCACTTGGCAAAGTGCCCAGCAAATAGGAAGTGCTTAAACAATGTTAGCTATAATTATTATGTTTGTCACTCTCCTGTCCCAACCCTTGGCCCTAATCCTTAGTGTTTACTTACCTGCTACATTGTAGGAGCTGTTGATGAGTTCCATGGCACTGCAGGAGGAGAGGGTTTAGAGGAAGGAAAACTACAGAGTGGGTAATGAATAAGCCACATTGGGATGGGACTCAAAGCATTAAGGGCGATACAAAGATTTAATTTTACCAAAAAGATTCTTTCTAACCCAAACCAGATTGACTTAGGTTTTTATTTTATTTGTTTTGCCTATCACATCTTGTGTTTTCAAAGACAGATTTTTCTGAAGGTGGTTTAGAGCTTGCTTACAATAATTACTACTTGTGAATTCAAAAACTAGAGGGCAGGTTGTATTTACTTCTCTGTCAACAATTACCAAGATTGTTGTTCACATCAAAGGAGGAGCAAGACTTTTGACTTCTCTCCAGTGTGATCATCTGATTCCTGTATCCATTATGGGCACAGAACTTTAAATACTCAGGAAAGAGGCAGGACCTAGGCCTTCCTCTGTTCATACTTAAATAAAGCATATTATTTTTCCCTCTTTTACAAACTTTTAACTGGAAACCAGCTGACTTTACAAATAGACATTTAGCTGCAATGGTTTTGCATGAATACTCTCTATGCTGTATTTATAATCTATTTAAGCTCTCTAGTGATTGGAGAAAATTCTAGGCTCAGAAAATATGTTTACTTGCTTAAAACAAAATGCCACAATGCCATTTTTCAAAGCCTCTGAGAGCCATTTGCAGCAAATGTGTCTAATTTGGTCATTCTTTGAACTTGCTGAACTGATTTTTTTTTTTTTTTTTTTTTTTGAAACAGAGTTTCACTCTGTCACCCAGGGTGGAGTACAGTGGTGTGATAGCTCACTGCAACCTCTGCCTCCCAGGTTCAGGTGATTCTCCTGCCTCAGCCTCCCGAGCAGCTGGAATTACAGGCACCCACCACCATGCCCGGCCAATTTTTTTATATTTAGTAGAGACAGGGTTTCACCATCTTGGCCAGGCTGGTCTTGAACTCCTGACTTCATGTGATCTGCCCACCTTGGTCTCCCAAAGTGTTGAGATTACAGGTGTGAGCCACCGTGCCCAGCCTTGAAATATTATTCTTATAGGAATCTCTAGTTTTAAACCAACTTGTTGTTTTGGACTACAAGAATGGTAGAAGGACCAGTGGCCTGGGAGTAGGTCCTGGGCTATAGAGCCGGGTCTGCTTCTAACTGTGATCTTGGGCAAGTTATGCAATCTCTTCCAACCTCAGTTAGGAGGTTGAACACTTACATTTTTTTTTTTTTTTTTTTTTCTGAGACGGGGGTCTCTCTCAGTTGCCCAGGCTGGAGTGCAGTGGTGTGATCACAGCTCACGTGCAGTGGCACGATCTCGGCTCACTGCAACCTCTGCCTCCTGGGCTCAAGCAGTTCTCCTGTCTCAGCCTCCCAAGTAGATGGGACTACAGGCACCTGCCACCACGCCCGGCTAATTTTTGTATTTTTAGTAGAGACAGGGTTTCACCATATTGGTCAAGCTGGTCTTGAACTCCTGACTTCAGGTGAAAACCTGCCTCGGCCTCCCAAAGTGTTGGGATTACAGGCATGAGCCACCGTGCCCAGCTCAACACTTATCTTTAAAAGGGCTGCTTCAGAATTTGTGAAGCCTGGTGCAAAATGAGAGCGTGGGACCCACTGTTCAAAATGCAGGAAAGAAGTGCTATTACAGGTACTATAACACATTTTCCTTTCTTCCTTAGTCTCTTGGCTTGTCATAGCGTTTTTAAAAAATCTGCTATTTAATGCCATTCTAAGTGAAGAAAAAATAAAATTTTAAATTAGCATGAGTTTTAGCATTCATCTTTATACTGTGTGATGACAGCCTTAATGCTAATGTAAGAGCATTTAATTCCCACGGAATTACTGACATAAGATTTGTGTTTTGTAGCTCTCATGTATGTATCTCATTCTTAGAACAGTGGAAATGCTGCACAAAACGGACTCAACTGTTTTAATTCATTTTTTGATATGGGCACATTCTACCAACGCTCTCCACCTTCAGTGTATTGATAAATAAGGAAAGGCTGGAAGGAAAAGGAATTATGGGTTGCTCTATCTTTCCTTTCCTCTGATGTCATCATTTTCAGGGTGAATGGTTCACTCATGCAAGGAATTAACAAGAGTCACGAAGGAAATGTTATGGTTTCTGGGTCATTCGCCTTTCTTAGAAAGCTTTCTGTCTGCATTTGAAGCATGTTCCGCTTCAAACAGAAAGTGTGGCCTCTTGGGGGCTGTCATTCCCCTCTTTGCTCATACTTAGTCATGGAAGTAATATGCTTGTTTTGACTGGCTTTAAATGTCACGGAATTCCCACACATTGTGGGTCACTAGAATTCTGTGTTCATGGGACACGTTGAGTGCTATATTTCATAAGCTAAAGGGGTGGCAAGGTGTGGACACATGTTGCAGGTATCTCCTCTGCACATCCACGGGCCTCATTGTCCTGTTGGTCTTCACTTATAAAGCACACGTTCAAAAATGAAATCATTAAGAATATCAAGACGGACAGAAACCACAAGTCATAAAGCCTAGGGCAGAGTCTTTCTGAGCTTAGGGCTCTGTGTGACTGTGTAGGTCTCCGAAGCCCATGAAGCCCTGGTCTTTGAGTCTTTAGATCCCATACACTTATCTAATCTTATCACGACATTATTCATTCTTGGACATGCTTTATCTTTATAGAGTGACTTTACAGAATGACTCCAACTTAAGGAGTTGCTGATCTGATCATGGTATTTAAAAAATCAGCTTTATTGAAGTACAATTTACATACAATTCACTCACTGTAAGTGGATAGTTGGATTTTTATTAAGTTTCACTGCATTCCAGTTTTAGACACTTTCACAGAACCTCAGTAACTTACTTCATGCCCACTTTCAGTTACTTCCCACTCGATCCCAGCCCAGGCAACGCTGTAGACCATGACACATTCTGCAGCAACCCCTATGGACAAAATGCATGAGCTATAATATTTCTTGTTCTATTAGGCAACTGGCCATTCAGACACAGGACAAAATTCCAAGAATATCGGCTCCTTGTAGTTAAAATTCTCAAGGCATGGAAACTAGTTGGGAAAGGAGTTGGGCCACCACTGGCTCATAAAAGTGTCTGTGTGGATTTTAAAAGGTTGCCTCCTCCAGAAAAAGGCAGCCCCATAGCTTGGTAAGGAAACTATGGGCTACATTTCAGCCTTCACATTTCCCCACCCTCTCTACCCCCAGCCTGGGGCTCCTTTGCAGATACAACCCATAGAAATGTACCCAGTGATCTTGGGAGAAGTATTAGTAATAAGAGCTGAGGAGGATATCCTAGATCCATCCCACATATGAACCTGGGCAACTTATTAATCTCTCTGTCTCTGTTTCAACATCTTTTTTTTTTTTTTTTTTTTTTTTGAGACAGAGTTTTGATCTTGTTGCCCAGGCTGGAGTGCAATGGTGCAATCTTAGCTCACAGCAACCTCCGCCTCCTGGGTTCAAGCCATTCTCCTGCCTCAGCCTCCAGAGTAGATGGGACTACAGGCATGCGCCACCACACCCGGCTAATTTTGCATTTTTAGTAGAGATGGGGTTTCTCCGTGTTGGTCAGGCTGGTCTCGAACTCCAGACCTCAGGTGATCCACCCACCTCGGGCTCCCAAAGTGCTGGGATTAGAGGCGTGAGCCACTGCATCCGGCCCTCTGTTTCCACATCTATACAATGAGGAGATCTGTAGAATTTACCTTGCAGAGTTGTCACGGGGACTAAGTGTGGAATAGAGAAAACAGCATTTAGTCTCCAGTGCCTAGTGCTCACAAATGTTGGTAATTGTTATTGACTGAAAAGCGCCCCAAGTACTATTGCTTCCAACACTGTAGCTCAACAGCAGCAACATTCCATGGGTGTTTGGCTCCCTCTTTAACTCTTAAATTAGCAAATTTTTTCAACTGAGTCCATCGATAGACTACACCCCTATCTGTATTTCCAATTTTAGAACAAAAATCAACTGGTACATAGAATTTTATTTAAAAATTTCACTGTATGGGCAACTTTCCTGAAAGCAGCTCTTCTGTTAGTCAATCCTCTCTCCCTCCCTTCTTTCCTTTTTCACTTTTATTTTACTAGAAACTTTTGAAAGTGCAGGTAAGTTTCTGGCAGTAGCTAGTTTTTTCACTGTGGCCATGTCATCTGACTTATCTGGGTATCAGTTTCCTCATTTGGTAAGTGGATGGGAGAGATCATAGAGATTCTGAGGATTTTTTCTGGTTCCAAAATGCGGTGGTTACCTCGGTGGTTACCTCACTGGGGAGAAGGTATCAATGGTTACCTCATGGGGAGGAGGAAACACCTTCATACAAAGAAAAGTCACTATTTAGATAAAATTTATTCTCATTACACCTTTCTTTTCCCTTTTTGAGTATCTGTAATTGTTAGTGGACAGAGTCAAACTCTGTAAAATATTTGAAGAGATATATTCTGAGACAAATATGAGTGACCATGGCCCATGACACAGCCCTCAGGAGGTCCTGAGAACATGTGTCCAAAGTGGTTGGGGTGCAGCTTGATTTTTTACATTTTAGGGAGGCATGAGACATCAATCAAATATATTTGAGAAATACATTGGCTTGGTCCAGTAAGGCAGGACAATTTTAAGTGGAGTGGGGCTGGGGGGCTTCCCATATTTTGGTTTACAATTGGTTGAGTTTGTCTAAAGACCTGGGATCAATAGCAAGGAAATGTTCAGGTTAAGATAAAAAGTTGTGGAGATTGAGGTTCTTTTGAAGTCTCATTGTGGCTGCCCTTAGAGACAATAGATGACAAATGTTTCCTATTCAGATCTATAAAAGGTGCTAACTCTCAGTTAATTTCTTCAGGATTGGGAGGGCCTGGAAGAAAAAGATCTAGCTATGTTAATAGAGATTCTTTACAGGTGCAAATTTTCCCCCACAAAGGATGGCTTTGCAGGGACATTTCAATATATGGCAAAGAAACATATTTTGGGGTAAAATATTTTGATTTTCTTCTCTGTCATGTAATATTATGCCAGAGTCAGATTGGAAAGTAAGTCATGATATATAGGGTTAAATAAAACACATCTGATGAGATTTTATGGTTTGTAGGGCATGACTCCCCAGACCCCTTAGATAGGAATTTAGGCAAGATAAAAAAATCAGAGTTTAGTCCTCATAATAAATGGGTAGGTATTTGTAACTCTGACTAAATCCCAACTTTGATGATTTTGATTTATTATTATTATTATTATTGTTATTGAGACAGAGTCTTGCTCTTTTGCCCAAGCTGGAGTGCAGTGGCTTGATCTCGGCTCACTGCAACTTCCACTGCTCGGGTTCAAGTGATTTTCCCGCCTCAGCCTCCCGAGTAGCTGGGATCACAGGCGTCTGCCACCATGCCCTGCTAATTTTTGTATTTTCAGTAGAGACGGGGTTTCACCATGTTGGTTGGTCTTGAACTCCTGACCTCAAGTGATCTGCTGGCCTTGGCCTCCCAAAGTGCTGGGACTACAGGCATGAGCCACTGCCCCCAGCCTTGATGATTTTGTAGAAGGGAACATCAGAATTTGGGTCCCCTCCGCCAGTCTTTGAAAATTGATGGGAAACCACCTTCTGGGTGTTTCTGGGTCTAGGTGTTATTATCACCTTCTGGGTCTAGATGTTATCATTGAATAGGACAGGTTTGCTGTGGAGGAAAGAAAAATGGTGAGAAAGAGAAAGGGCAGTGTCTGCACTGGGCAGGTGATGCTCCCACATGCATACTGGCAGATGGAAGTGCTGGAACCATTTGTTATCCTTGACATCTGAGTTACAAAGGGATTGATTGAATTTACAGCCTTTCCTGGTTAAAAAAATAATTAATGAAAGCTTTGCCCTTTTTATGAATGATGCCTCTGCCTTTCTTTCTATAATGAGAAGTGATTAAAAAAGAAAGATGACTTGTTTCTAGAGGTGTGAAGTGGATATTTAAAATAATTTGGGTTTAATTCTTCCTTTTTAACACTTTTAAATATGGAATACACAAAAGTAGAATAACATAAGAAGGCCCCCTGTACCCCTCACCCGTATTTAACAATTATCACTCTGCCCAATCTAGTTTCATTTGTAGTATCCCCACTACTTACCACCATGCCGCAGATGATTTTGCAGTAAATTACAGACATTGTATCATTTCATCTGTAATGTCTTAGAATACATCTTTAAAATTGTATGAGTACATTCTGACATTGCTATAAAGAAATACCTGAGACTGGGTAATTTACAAAGAAAAGAGGTTTAATTGGCTCATGGTTCCACAGGCTGTATAGGAAGCATGTTGGCTTCTGCTTCTGGGGAGGCCTCAGGAATTTAGAATCACAGTGGGAGGTGAAGGGGAAGCAGGCACGTCTTATATGGCCAGAGCAGGAGGAAGCCAGCAAGGGGGGATGTGCCGCACATTTTCAAACAACCAGATCTCCTGAGAACTCTGTCACAAGAACAGCGCTAGGCAGATGACGCTAAACCATGAGAAACCACCCCCACGATCAAATCACCTCCCACCAGGCCCCACCTCCAACACTGGGGATAACAATTTCACATGAGATTTGGGCTGGGACACAGATCCAACCCATATTGGAAATGTAAATGCCTTTCAACAAAAACACAACTAGAATACGATTATCATGAGCAGCTGTATCACCTGGGAACTTATTCCTAAATGCAAATTATCTGGCAGTAGCGCAACCAACTGATTAAAAAAATCTGCGGGTGGGACTCCACATGCAGCCCCCCGGGTGATTCTGATGTGTAATAAAGTTTGGAAAGCACTGCTTTAGGTTCACCTCCTCCTTCCACCTCTCTCTTTCTCTGTCACCCTGGAAATGTATTTGTTGAAGAAATAGATCGTATGTCCTGTACAGTTTACTATAGTCTGGATCTTGCTGATTGCATTCCTATAATAATGTTTTTTTTTTTTTTTTTTTTTTGAGATGGAGTCTTTCTCTGTCACCCAGGCTGGAGTACAGTGGCATAACCTCGGCTCACTGAAACCTCTGCCTCCTGGGTTCTAGCGATTCTCCTGCCTCAGCCTACTGAGTAGCTGGGATTACAGGCATGCACCATCATGCCTGGCTAATTTTTGTATTTTTAGTAAAGGTGGGGTTTCACCATGTTGGCCAGGCTGGTCTCGAACTCCTGACCTCAAGTGATCTGCCCGCCTCAGCCTCCCAAAGTGCTGGGATTACGGGTGTGAGTTACCATGCCCAGCCTTATTCCTATAATAATATGACAATTATTTATAAAAGAAAATAAATAGTACATATGCTCACTCCATGTAGACCAATTAGATATTGAAAAGTCAGTATGACGGACTACCATCAATTGACAATATTGGTTACTGTTTGTTCTGTTCTTTTGAAAATGTGATTAAGAAACTTATGTATATTTTGCTACATATTGGGTACAATGTACACTACTTGGGTGATGGGTGCACTAAAATCTCTGACTTCACCACAATACAGTTCATCCATGTAACCAAAAACCACTTGTACCCCTAAAGCTATTGAAATTTAAAAAAAGAGAAGCTAATGTATGTTTTAAAACTTTTGAAATTTTATTTTTGTTACTAAAATTAGAAATATTCCATTTTCCGACTTGACATCATGCCTACTAAATGGAATTATAGACTTTTTAACACGTTGTTGAAAAACTGACAGGTCTGGTGGCGTGATGGTAAGCCAGAAATTCAAGGGACCTCACCCCTGATTTATAGCATCTTTGTGGTGTAAGGACTGCCCCATGGCCAATTTCCGGGCACAAACGTGATGCCATTTGAATGCAGACTTGGGAAGAATCAGGCATAATTTGCAATCAGCAGCTAGAAGGAGCCAGCGCCAGCACAACACTGACACAGCCTGTTTAGGATCTGGTCTTAATGGCCACAATAACTTCAGTTGTGTAGGCAAAGCCCACTATTTTTCTCTGGTTCTGTGAATCTAAACTGAGGGGCATGTGATGGTTAATGTTATGTGTCACCTTGGCTGGGCCATGGGGACAGATTTGATCAAACATTATTCTGGATGTGTCTGTGCAGGTGTTTTTGGATGAGATTAACATTCCTTATTTATTTATTTATTTGCCAGCCATTTCCAAGGCCGGAAGGAATTGTCCAGCCAGTCCCTTCTCTGCAGTGCTGCTCAAATAGGAAATATTACCATTTAAATCACTTGACTGTGAGTAAAGCAGATACCCGTCATAGTGGGAGTGGGCCTCAAACAGTCCGTTGAAGGCCTTAGACTGACTCTGATGAGGGAGAAAGGATTCTGCCTGTAGTTTGCCTTTGGCCTGGAACTGCAGGTCTTCCCTGGGTCTCCAGCCTATGCTGAAGATTTTGGACTTGCCAAGTCTCCACAACTGAGAGCCAGTTCCTTAAAGGAATCTCAATCTCTCTACCTTTCTCGCCTTGAGATATTAATTGACATTTGTCTCCTTGAGACAAAAACATTAACAGGTTTTTGTGCACCATAGTAGTCAGGGTTTTCTAGAGAAACAGAACCAATAGGATTTGTGTGTGTTTGTGTATACACACATGTATAGACAGACACACATAGATTGTATATATACAATCTCTCTCCCTCTCTCTCTGGAGATATGTGTGTGTGTGTGTGTATATATACATATGTGTGTGTGTGTGTGTGTGTGTGTGTGTATATATATATATATATATATATATATATATATATATATATATATATATACACACCCACACAAATCCTATTGGTTCGGTTTCTCTAGAAAACCCTGACTAATATGGTGCACAAAAACGTATTAATGAGAAGTCATCAATGAGAAAACATTCTGTTGGGAAAGTGAGTATTTGCTATGTGGAATTTTGTTTGTGTGGTACAGTTTCTGAGTGAGGATTGAGTCTGACCATTTACTATATTAGTCCATTCTCACATTGCTACAAAGAAATACCTGACACTGGATAATTTATAAAGAAAAGAGATTTAATTGACTCACAGTTTGCATGGCTGGGGAGTCCTCAAGAAACTTCCAATCATGGCAGAAGATACCTCTTCACAGGGCAGCAGGAAAGAGAATGAGTGCAAGCAGGGGAAATGCCACATGCTTATAAAACCATCAGATCTCTTGAGACTCACTCACTATCACAAGAACGGCATGGCAGAAACTGCCCCCATGATCCAATTACCTCTACCCAGTCCTGCCCTTGACATGTGGGGATTGTTACAATTCAAGGTGAGATTTGGATGGGGACACAGAGCCAAACCATATCAAGGCCCAAGGCCTGTTTTATGTATAGATAGAATAGGCACACCCTTATGTGATATTATTTAAGGAAGTTTTCATAATCCATACTAAGAAATATGTTTTTATTGTGACCCAGCAGACACACACACCAAAGTTTTATGAATAAATCCTTACCCTCACTCCATGCAATGCACTCTGTTGTTTATGTTATACTTATTTTCCACAAGACTACACTTCCATAAAACCTTGAAATTTTTCAAGAAAAAAATGTTAGTTATAACCCTAATTTTACAATCCTCTAATAGATTGGGATCTGCAGTTGGACAAACCCTAATTTAGTGGCCCTTCTCCCCTACATACCGTTCTCCTGGCTTTGCTATGGCACTTGAAATTCTCACCTTATTCGTATAAAGTGAGGCGTTGGTGGCTCCTGTTAAAGTACAGACCAGGACAACACTCAGACCGTACCAGCAGCTAGCATATTAATGGGATACATGATGCCGATTTTCTCTCCAGTCAGCACCGGGAAATCTGTGCAGATGAGTCCTAGATATGTGAGTGGGTCCCCTGGGCAGCGAGGGGTCCTCGTGAAGCTATATCTAGGTCACAGGTGGTCCTCCATTGACTAATTTATGTACTTAAGTACATCCCTGCTGGCACTGGAAAGGATTTAAGATAGCTTACAAAGGAGTATGTAGTACAACAAGGTCAAACAGGTAAAAAAATAAATAAATAAAATAAGGCAAAGGGAAAACGGTAGAAGCACAGGATGGAGCCAGGAGCATGGTGAATACACAAATCACATTTCTTGAAATTTTATGTGCATGTTAGAGATGAGCTGAGTTAAAAATTTCAAGGAGATTTATGAAGAGGAAGGGTAAAATTATTCCCATCATAAAGAAGATAAAATACAAATCCACTGCTTAGACAAGTCCAAATTCTTCTGCTACTGAGACCAGAGTGGGATTTCTCCAGTAGGTCTTCTAAGAGAGAAGGCCAGGTAATGCAAAAAATAATGTCTTTGTGACAGCTTTGGACTAAATGAAGTGACAAGCTTCAAAGGACATTTCTGTAACACTCTTCATTAATCAAGGTCCCATCGAAGTGTGTGATTTGGTAGAAATCCTTCTGCAGGTACTCACAATGATGCATCTCAGGTGCGAAGTCACTAGTGATTGGGTTTCATCTAGGGATAAGTTATAAATTATCTCCGTGTTCTCAAGTGCCAGTCTGGTAGTCAGAGATAAAATTTTCATGGGTTC
This sequence comes from Homo sapiens, assembly GCF_000001405.40. NCBI lineage: Eukaryota > Metazoa > Chordata > Mammalia > Primates > Hominidae > Homo > Homo sapiens. The sequence continues at coordinate 48,845,635 of NC_000013.11, read as the reverse complement.
ATGGTAAAAAGAAAAAAAACAATCAGTGAGTAGTGAATTTTCCATAACATTAAATTTCCATAAAACGTCAATTTAAAAGACTCTCTTTTTGTTACAGCCTTATTGGTAAAAGAAGTTAGCAGCCTATATCAGTAACCATCATTAAAAAAATACTTTTTAAAAACTGGCCTGTGAAATATAAAAATTTGGAAAATCACTGACCTAGGAGAATGGAAACACACACAAAATCTTCCATGAATATTATTTTTCTCAGCAGGACTTTTGATATCTTTAGAACCTGCAGCAATATGCTAGAGATTATACTCTTTGAACAAATATCTGAAGTGCAGCTCTTTTGTGTTACAGATTTAATACAAAACCATCTATTTTTAAAAATCAGTGAGTCTTGGGTAGAATTGCTATATTGTTATAAAAATTTAGCAACAAGACAAGGACAATATGGACATAGAAGTCACCCCACGGTCCCTCTGAGTTGAGCCAAGGGAAGATAGGACCGTCCTCAGGAACGGTTTTGTATGTCCACTAACTCACAGACAAATGGATGAGAGATTCCCAAGTTTTACACTATTAAGCACTGCCACAATAATTCTTACCTGGAAGCATTTTAAACAGCTATAATTAAGTGTTCATGTTGAACATTAAACAACAACAATAGTCAAAAACTCCAAACAAAAACAATACAGTAATAATGCCTACAGAATGCTTAACACTGAGTAATTGAACTGTCTTGGATTTCTTGAAAGATTAACAACTACATCTCGGGAATAGATGACATCATCTGGTGGACAGGATTAGAAGCCATGTATCAATAGTTAACATTTATTGGACACTGTTCTAAGCATTTTACATGTAAACACATTTGTTCTTCACAACAACCTTACGAGGTAAGAACTATTATTATTATTAACCCATTTTACAAATGAAAAACTGAGGCCAGGAATTGTTAAATAAATGTTACCCAACTGCTAAGAGTTGGAAACAAACCTCATGTCATGGCAGAGCCACCCCAGAGACCATACTCATGACAAGAAGCTCCACTGATTCCTTACCTGGGTATAAACCTGGACAAAGTTGGAAGGTGGCTGCCAGAAATGGTGCCCTTGGTCATAGAATAGTTAATTTTTGACCACTCTTTCCTAAGCAGATCACAAAGACCATTTTCTTGGAAGGCCACTTTCAACCTGTAAGAATAAAATCATACCATCTTCAGATAAGAAAGTGCTTATTGTTCTGTTTTCCAGAGTCCTTGGCCTCTAACTCATCTAGAAGTGGCATCAAATTGTTTCAATATGAGTAAAAACAAGGGGAATGGGATGTGGAGTGTGACTGGTGCTCAGAACACATTGTCATTCTATATACAAAATTTTATTGGGTTGGTCTGGAGGTCAGTCCTGGATCCCTGGCTCATAGAAGGCAGTGTGCAGCGGTATCTATGGTGTCTTGGTCCATATCAGCCTCTATTCCACTGAGTCAGAGACCTAGAAAGAGAAAACAAGCTGCAAACTGTCTTTTATTATGCCTACCAGATTTCTTCTAGGTCAATAGGAGCATGAGAATGGTCAACTGTGTTAGCTGTGCCAAAAGCCAGCCTTCTGGGCTGGGGGTAGCAGCAGCAGTTGACTCATCATTAATCTCCTCCCCAGAGCTTAGGCCTCTTGGTTGGGCTTTCAGCTTAGAAGCCCTTCAATCTCTCACTCAACCCCCAACTATAATTTGTGTCACTTTCATGGTTAAATTGTCACCATGGTGACACCCCATGGCCTTTTGGGTCTCTGGTTTGTAGTAATATGGGTTTTCTCCAGCAGCGAATCAATAGAAGTTCAAAGTATTTACAAGTTAGGAAATCACAGGTGTCCAGAGCTGATAAGGGTCCAGCTTCGGAGACTATTCTCACCAATTTCCCTGAGCCCACATATTGCACTTCTATCCCCAACCTTCAGGGTAGAGTTTAATCTCTTGGTTTTAGGCTGCTCAGAAAAAAACTCTGTACTTTTCTACTTTCAGATACTTCTTTCTCAGCTCAAACTCTTCTCTGATTGTCTAGCCTTTCCTTCTTTCTAACCTGCAGTCTGCAGTCTTTGTTCTTTTTGTACTGCAAATCTTTTGAAGTCTCTTAATTTCTCCTGGGGAAAACAACCTTGTTTATATACAATTACCTGTCCTGTCATTGACATTTCTACATGCAATGGATTATCCACAAGAGGCCAGTGCAAATAGTGAAGGCATCTCACCACAGAGGGGCAGACAGAGCTACAGGGGCACAGAGGACAAAATTGTCAGTCATCATTTTTCGTACTCCAAAAAATGTTACTCTTTACTTGGCAGAGGAACATTAAATATTCATGCATAGACTCATTCAACAAATGGTTATTGGCAAAGCACTGTGCTAAAGCAAGTTATAGAGTTACTTGGGTCCTGCCTTTAAGTACTTTTTGAACTAGTAGGAAAGCTATGGCATGCATGATACAATAGAAATGATTGTATTATAGGTACAAGAGTGACACAGCTATAAGAGATGTACAAATAAAGTGCTGTGGGAGTTCAGATTGTTTTGCTACTGAGAAATCAGACATGAATCAAAATAAAATAAGCAGAAATAAGAATTTTAGAGTAGGAGTGAATTTAAAGGTCAACTAGTCCATCTGATTCACTTTACAGATGAAACAAACAGACCCAAATAAGTTTTAAAAAATAAACAAGAAGTTATGTAGTTTGATTGTGACAAAATTGGGTCTAAAACACAGGTCTCTGGATTTCTAGCCTGAAGCTATTTTCTCTATAAGAGTAATTTTCCCCAATAATCCAAGAACATGGGGACCACTTATTGAAAATACGTTAGCAATGGCCAGCAAAGCTGTTTTTAAAAAACTAGATTCGTCATTTTAATTGAAGACATAGAGAAAACAGGAAAGGATTCTTTGGTTATATTTGGCATTGATTCATTTCTTACTGGAAGAACTACATCCAAAGGAGAGCTATGAAAATAAAGGACTAAGAAATGAGACCATAAAAAAGGTTATGGAAATCAGAGTTATTTTGTCTGGAAAAAAAATGTTAATGGGAGAATTCTTTAGCTTCAGGGATCAGGAGGTCCCCAAGCAGCTGTTCTCCATATCTCCAGAGAGTAGAAAGCTGGGGAAACAGACTTGAATATTAAGAGGAAAAGATGAAGTCAGATGTAAGGAAAAGGTCTCTGATCTGAAGGTCTGATCACAGAGATGATGGAAGCTGCAGAGTGCTTTAGGTTGCCTTTCTCACTCAGGCCTGGTCCTGAGGAACTAGTCACTCTCCCAGAAGTTCCATCTCTCCTCCAGGAAGTGAGGATGGAGCCCAAGGCCCTTTGAGGATTTCTCCCAGGAATTCAGAAGATTATTCCAACCCCCATACCCATGTTCCATTGATCTTATAAATTAGGGGAAAACAAAAGGATATAAATAAAATGTGACACAATATTTCCTGATGATTAGAAAGAGAATGAGATCAGACATTTCCATAAGGCAAGGGTAATGAAATATTGTATATTGTTTTACAAATGGCCATTTTTTAGTCAAGGCGAAACAAGGCTGAGAAGAAACCATGCTTGTCCTTTTGAGCCTTTCCATAAAGTTTCCAGAACCTTCCCATTCCTGCTCTCTCCTTTTCTGTCTCCCAAATCATCATCCCTCAAAACACCTCTGAGTTGCTGAAGAATCTCTGAACTAACTGAGAATGTCCTAAGTCCCTGGTTCCCAAACCCAGGCATGGAATTATTTAGAAAGCTGAAAATAAAATAGAAAATCCCAGGTCCCATTTCAGATATTCTGACTTAGTACATGGAGAGAATGAGGCCCAAGCATTTGTGTTTTTGAAAAATCTCTCCAGGTGATTCCAAAGGCCCAGGTTTGAGGATAATTAGCTTGTGATATTTTTCTCTCCCAGAGTTATTTTCATCTTAACGGGGACATCTTGAAGACTTTGGAAACTTTGAAATCCCCAGATACTGCATCTGAGATGGTGAAATTTCTGAAGCAGGTGGTCAGATAAATAATTTTGGGGGTTTTACCCCCTAGGATGTTCCATATGGACTTCAGCTACATGGCAGACTTGACAGTGTCATTGACTTTGCAAAGGGAAGTGTTGCCATTGCATGGGAATGACTCTAAGGAAAGGAGCAGAACCCCAAATACCTAGGACCTGTGGCAGCATCCTTAGGAAAGGATGAAGTGAAATGCAGGGCTGGTAACCAACACATCTGCTGTCAGGGCCCTCTGTTCGGTTGTATATATATCATCTGCTTTTGATTGAGTTCCTACCGAACATTAGAAAGAGAAGATTTTGAGTTGCATATTTCCTATGTAAAGATTGGTTTCCTATTAAGCCTTTTTTTTTTAACTGTACCCCATGGACTTGTCCTCATAGCACACACTGATGCAGTTGAAGTTGCATAAAATTAAGATCTGCCAGTTTTCTTCTCCTATTTAACCATTTTTTAAAAAAAAATTAGTGAAGGAACATGAATGACAGTAAGTGAGCTGCAGAGGATACTGACTATTAATTGTTTACTGACCCCTGCACCTCCCCTGATTTGCTGCACTGATCCTCCAGCCCTGACAGATAACCAGAGCTCTTCTGAGAACTTCCATGCTTCATAAGTTGGAGTACTTGAGTATCACACTGACAGGAAGTCAATATTTTTCTAGAAAGGATTTGGTCAGTCGGAACTGGCTGTTCATTAGTAAATGTTAGTAATGACCAAGTAATGATTATCAACTGGTGTTTGTCCCAACAACAGTGTGGCAGAGTCTTAGTTGTTCTTCCAAAATCTCTTTTCCCCTTTTTCTTGTGCACATAACTGCCTGGCTTAAGAATGGACTTCCCAACCAACTCTATACCTAGGTTTGGCCATGTGATTAAATTGTCCCCAATGAAATGTGAGCAAATTGAAGTAAGTAACTTCAGCCTTACTTAATTAAAAGAAAAAAGTTACTTGCCTGGGACTCCCTTTTACTGTGAAGTGAAAAGCAGGCACACTAGTGAGCTGGCTGAGCTGCGTAGAGGAAGACAATGCCCTGGGGAGCAGACCAAGGAGGTGGAGGGAACCTGGGACCCTGATGGAGCTCACAGAGGGGAGTGGAGCCAACCTGCTGACCTGAAATGCTCCCCTGAGGAGTTTTACATAAGAAATAAACTTCCATTTTATTTAAACCATTGTATTGTGTGTCTCTTTGTTATAACTGCTGAGACTTTACCTAATTAATATACATAGTTGCAAGATGCCACTTGTATGAAATAGGGCAAAAACAACTAAATGAACTGGCTCTCTTCTTCTACTACAGTCTCAACACAGCAGATGTGTGGGGTTGTTTCCCCAGATACCAAGTAATTCTCCAGTGGATACTGACAGAGTGTCCTACAATTTAACTCATTTCTGATATTAACCTATGGAGCAGACTCCATAGGTTAAGGGCTCAGTCCCATGAAACTGCCGCCCTCCCACCCTGGTCACCTGGCCCACTTCAGATGCCAATCGAAAGCCACTGGTTGCCACCTGTGCTTCTGACCAAGCAGATATAAATTGGAGATTCCCACTACCCTGTCTTTGGGTTCAATCATTTGCTAGAATGACTCACAGAACTCAGGGAAACACTTACATTTACTTGCATTATTATAAAGGATACAGATTAATAGCCAGATGGAAAAGGTGCATAGGGCAAGGTATGGGGGAAGGGGTTGTGGAGCTTCCATGCCCTCCCCAGGTGTGCCACCCTCCTAGCACCTCTGCATGTTTAGCAACCTGGAAGGTCTCTCAACTCCCATCCCTTTGGGTTTGTGTGGAGGCTTTGTTTTATAGGAGTGATTAATTAAATCAATGGCCATTGGTGATGGATTCAACCCTTAGCTCCTCTCCTCTTCCAGGAGGTCTGGGGATGGGACTTAAATTTCCAACATTCTAATGACATGGTTGGTTTCCCTGGGAACCAGCCCCCACTTCCTGAGGCTATCCAGGAGCCCCTAGCCACCAGTCATCTCTTGTTAGCCTACAAGAAGACACATTAGTTTGGAGATTCTAAGGGTTCTAGGAGCTGTGTGTCAGGCAACAGGACAAAGACTAAATATACATTTCTTATTATAAATAGCAGTTTCACACCACTTTTTGTTTATTTGCTTTTCTAAAAGGGATTATGGTTTTCATAGAAACAAAGAATCTTAGCATGTGAAAAAAGTTAAAGGTCATCTTGTCCAACTTCTTTCCCATGTAGCAATCTCCTCTACAATATCTCTTCAGGAAGTCAATCACGCTCTGTGCCAAATCTTTTGTGATGGGATCTATACTGCATCACTAGGAGGGTTGGTCCATGGGGCTGCTTTGATTACATTTTTATACCTTTCCGCTTATGACCAATGATGCAGCATTTTTCTATAAAACGAATTGGCCTATAAAGCATCTAATTCATTCTTTCCCAAAACATGGCCTAAATAACACCCATTCCAGAAGATAATCCTCAGTGTTCTGAAGCCAAATAAGTTTGGAAAATACTTATACCTCCTCTTGAAGATTCACACTACGTACTAAATATTTTAAGGTTAGAAAAGTTTAAAACTAGACATTTGTTTCACTCGGTTTAATGCACAGTTTATTAAACATATTTTACTATGAACCAACCCCAGATACCTACTTTTTTTCCTGAATAATAGCTATTAATATGTAGAACTAGTATGTTCTGGAAAACACATTTAGGAAATGAAGACCTAACCAATGACGTAGACTTAACTGTACTATTTTGTAAACCACTGAGCAAGTCAACCAGAGATATACGGGCTCTAACCCTACATGAGATAGAAAAATGTTGGAATTTGTTTACATTGCTTGGTTATTGGATGTTAGCCCAGTCAGTAGTAAACAGGAAATGTTTTTATTTGAGAATATACCAGGAATTCCAGAGACAAAGGAAACACACACCCAACATAAAATCCTTACCCAACAAATCATAAACGTGTAACTAAACTCTTGCTTCTTTCTTCAGCACCTCTTTTGCAGGGCTTCCTAATAGAGCATCTAGTCTTCACTGATAAGAATACCGGGTTTCTCTTCTGTTTAATCTCAGCCTGGTTTACTAGAAAGAACACAGGTTCTAGAGTCAAACAGAGGTAAATTTGAATCCCACTTACTATCTGTACGATGTTTGGGAAGTCATTATTTTTTACTGAGCCTCAATTTCCTCTTGTAAAATTGGAGATAAAAATACCTTATTGTGTTTGCAGGGATTAAGTAAGATAATGCCAGCAAAGCCCCAAGCACAGCACTTAGCACATAGAAGTTTAACAAATGACAGTGTTATCTCAACTTCTCTGCTCTCACCTCACCTCTCTCCTAGTTTTTACTGTTTATACCAATTTCAGGTTGACCTTACCATATATTTCATTACTATAGGATGCATGTCCTATTTCTTAGCCAAATGCAAGAAATGTATTTAGCAACCACTTAAAATTAATGGGTGTAATTTGACCATCCTTCTGCCACATAATATCTTTCTCTTACTGAGAATTGTCAGATATAAATAGTTGAATCCTCCTTCTTTCATCCAGTGAAATTTTTGAGTCCCATCATTGAGAATGCTACAGTGTTCCTTACTGTAATTATACAGCAATTACTTAATATATTACTAATTAATTAATATAGCAATTAATTAATACTTGAAAAAGATCACAGACTTGGCCACATTAACATTTTCCAACTAAATTCCTTTTTTTCTTCACTTTAAAGGGATAAAATATTATGATTGTAATTAAATTGTATTTATTTTCCTACAACTGTTTTAACAGATTAGGGCACTAAATGGCACTGAAAGTCAAAACTATACTTTTGGCAACCCAAGAATTTTTCAGGAACTGAACCAGGTCAGAAGATTAACTAAAAGTTATATATTTGTTTGAAGTTTCATTTGCTTATCAGGTTTGCAAAAGGCAAAAGTTTTGTTTCTGGCTATGCATGACTAGCTTGTATCACACAAACACTACCCTGAGAATAATTATAAAACTCGATAGCATTAAAAAAAAATCTAGCTATCAGAAGACATCAGAGAGCAACCAAAGCGGTCAGGATTTTAAGGGCCAAGCTTCCAGAGATATCCCTTGATATAAAAATCTGATAAAATTAGGATAAGAAAGAAATATTACAGTTTATTCACATTCATTGTCACAGATGCAAAAACAATATGCAAAGTATTTACAAACAGAATTCGGCATTATATATAAAACACATCATGATCAAGTTGAATTTATTCTAGGAATGCAAGGTTGCTTAATATTGGAAAAATTATCAGTGCAATTTTCTACCTTAACAGAATAAAATGGAAAAATTATATAGTCCTCTCAAAAGATGCAGAATAATTACTTGGTAACATTCAGCACTTTAAGGAATTGTAAGAATCTAGAAATAGAAGAGGATTTCTTAAATCTGAAATTTAAAAAATTTTCTGCAAAAACCTAGAGCAGACATTATACTTAATTTAAAAATATTGAAAGTTTTTCTCCTGAGATGAGCAATGAGACAGCAACGTCTGCTATCACCAGGACTAATCAACATTGTCCTAGACACGCCAGCCAATAAAATAAGACAGAAAATAAAAGAAATATGATAAAGATTGGAAAAAAAAACCAAAGTCATTATAATTTGCAGATGATGTGGTTGAGAACATGGAAAAGCCTTAAAGAGAAATTACTGTAATTAAAATAGTAATTCTACAAGGTCTCTGGTCACAAGGTGAACGTACAAAAATCAACTGTACATCTATATAATAGAAACAAACAACTAGAAATAGAATTTGATAACACCATTTATATGAACATAAAACATTAAATATTTATCTTACACATAAAATATGTGTAAGGCTTCTACACTGAAAAACCACAAAACATTATAGAAAGAAATTAAAAAAAAACTAAATAACAGAGAAATATATCACATTCATGGATTGGGAGACTCAATATTGAAAAGTTGTCGCCAGGCACGGTGGCTTATGCCTGTAATCTCAGCACTTTGGGAGGCTGAAGTGGGTGGTTCACCTGAGGTCAGGAGTTCAAGACAAGCCTGGCCAACGTGGCGAAACCCCGTCTCTACTAAAAAATACAAACATTATCTGGGCGTGGTCGTGGGAGCCTGTAATCTCAGCTACTTGGGAGGCTGAGGCCAGAGAATTGCTGGAACCCGGGAGGCAGAGGTTGTAGTGAGCCGAGATCGCACCGTTGCATTCCAGCCCAGGCTGACAACAGCTAGACTCTGTCTCAAAAAAACAAAAAAAAAGAAAAGTTGTCAACTCTCCTAAATTGATTCATCAATTTAATGCAATTCCAATCAAAACCACACAGTGTGTGTGTGTAAAATGACAGGTTGCTTCTAAATTTTATGTGGAACAACTAAGGGTCAAGAGTACTCAAGAAAATCTTGAAGAACAAAGTTGGAAACTTACATTGACAGATATCAAGATTTATACAATGCTGCAGTAATTAACAGTAAAGGTGCAAAGAGAGACAAATAGATCAATGGCAAAAAAAAAGATCATGAAAATGTGTTCAATAAAACTAGTCTCAGATAAACACAAATTAGAACCATGATAAGATCACACTATGGCTGGGCACAGTGGCTCACACCTCTAATCCCAGCACTTTGGGAGGCCAAGGCAGGCAGATCAGGAGGTCAAGAGATCGAGATCATCCTGGGCAACATGGTGAAACTTCATCTCTACTAAAAATATAAAAATTAGGCCGGGCATGGTGGCTCACGCCTGTAATCCCAGCACTTTGGGAGGCCAAGGCGGGTGGATCACCTGAGGTCAGGAGTTCAAGACCAGCCTGGCCAACATGGTGAAATCCTGTCTCTACTAATAATACAAAAACTAGCCAGGCGTGGTGGCAGGCGCCTGTAATTCCAGCTACTTGGGAGGCTGAGGCAGGAGAATCACTTGAACCTGGGAGGCAGAGGTTGCAGTGAGCCAAGCTTGTGCCATCACACTCCAGCCTGGAGACTTCATCTCCAAAAAAAAAAAAAAAAACCAAAAACACCCAACTGGGCGTGGTGGCATGCTACTCAGGAGGCTGAGTCAGGAGAATCGCTTGAATCCAGGAGGCAGAGGTTGCAGTGAGCCAAGATTGCGCCACCGCACTCCACCCTGGCAACAGAGTGAGACTCTGTCTCAAAAAAATAAAAGATCACACGACATGCTTACCAGAATGCCTAAGATTTTAAAAATTGACAATACCAAGTGTTGATAAGGATGTGGAGAAACTGGAATCACAAACACTGCTGGTAAAAATATAAATTTGTATAGTCCTTTATAAAATTGTTAAGCAGTATCTACTAAAATTGAACATATGTATATACTCTAATTTCATTACTGGAATTAGCAGTATTACTACTGGGTATATGCAGGAATGCATACATATGTCCTTGAAAATGTTGGATATTGGTACATAAATGTTCATTTTAGGAATATTTATAATAATCTCACACTGGGAACAGCCCAATATCCTCAGTGGTACAACAGACAAAGAACTTTTATTCACAAAGTGGATACTATGCAGCAATAAAAATAACAACTTACTGCTACAGGCAATATAGATAAATCTTACAAACATAATGTTAAGCAAAGAAGCCAGAAATAAAAGGGGGTAGTGAATGGGGGAGTTATTGGATTACTCATTCAATTTCTTATTGAGGATTCACTCGCTTTCTATTTCTTCTTATGTGAATTTTATTAATTTCAAGTTTATTAGCATAAAGTTAACTATAATCATTTCTTAAGGGTTTTACGGTTGTATTGTAGTTGCAGTTTTCACCTGATTTCTTACCTCCAAGAATTCTTTTATACTCTGGGCCACTGTTGGTAGCCTCCTTGTGTCCTCCAGTGACATTATAATTTATTCCTCTTCTGTCCTCTTAAAAGTTTTTTTTTGTTGTTATTTCAAGGGATTTTGGGAAAGAGGAAAATATGTATTTGCCTTTTTCTTCAATTCTCTCAACCAGCATCATTTTTGGGTATGTGGTATTTACATATATTAAAACAATGTAAAAGACTCTAACCAATAGATAGTATTTTAGTGCTATTAATATATCCTCAATGAAAACTCTTATTGGAAAATTGTTATCATTAGCTATTTGTTACTTTTTATTAAAGTTCTTGTGAAGGAAGTCAGTGGGAATTAGGGAAAAATATTCTGTCATATTTTTGTGAGAGTCCAAATACTATTTATCAAGCAAATATTATTTATCAAGCAAATGCCTCAGGGCATGCTTGTTATTTCATTCAAATTCATATCACCGTGAAAGTAGTAAGTCTATGTGGCAGTCATAATTTTATTGTAGATGAATCTGAAGAAAAATAGAAACCAAGAGCCCTATGACAAATAAGCAGTCAATGGCAGTTGTAGGAAAAGTTGCAAATGAGTCAAGGTGACACATGCAAAATATTCTCGTGATCTCTAAGAGACCCTGTGAACCTCTGCATCAAGTCAGAGAGTATTTGTTTACAAATAATTAAAGAGCAGTATCCATCTCAACAGCACCACCGGATCATATTAACAGGCACAAGTGCTTTCACAATTCTGTGGGCAAAAAATAATTTTATATCTAGAATTCCATACCCAGAAAAACTATCAACCTTCTGTGAGGATAGAATAAAAACATTTCAGACATGCAAGACCTCAAAAAATTTATCCCCCATGTACGTTTTCTTAGGAACTTGCTGGAGGAAGTGTTTTGCCAAAATTAAGGATTAAACCAAGAAAGAAGAAGGTGTAGGATCCAACAAACTGAACACTCAACATAAGAGGGAGGTGAAAGGTACTCCCAGGAGAATAATCAACAGAGAGCTCACGTTGACCACTGTAGAACAGACTTTGAGAACACTGGTCCAGCCTGTAACAGATCAGAAGGTCCTGGGAGATACACCTTCAAGAAGATAAAGCTTGTACCACACCTATATGTGTTTAAACATACAGGCATACCTCGAAGATATTGTGGGTTTGGTTCCAGACCACTGCAATAAAGCAAATATTGCAATAATATGAGTCACATAAGTTTTTGGTTTCCCAGTTCATACACTTATACCGTATTGTAGTCTTTAAAGTGTGCAATAGCATTATGTCTAATTAAAAATATTTTATTGCTAAAAAAATGCCAACAACAATCTGAGCCTTCAGTGAGTCACAATTTTGCTGATGGAGGGCCTTGCCTTGGTGTTGATGGATACTGACTGACCAAGGTGGTGGTTACTGAAGGTTGGGGTGACTATGGCAATTTCTTAAAGTACAACAATAATTACGTTTGCTGTATCAATTGACTCTTCCTTTCATGAAAGTTATCTCTCTAGCATGCAATGCTGTTTGAAAGCATTTTACCCACAGTGGAACTTTTTTCAAAATTAGAGTCAAATCTTCTCAAACCTTGCCACTGCTTCATCAGCTAAGTTTATGTAATATTCTAAATTCTTTGTTATCATTTCAACAATGTTCACAGTATCTCCACCAGAAGTAGATGCCATCTCAAGAAACCACTTTCTTTCCTTTTTTTTTTTTTTTTTTGAGATGGAGTCTCTGTTGCCCAGGCTGGAGTGCAGTGGTATGGTCTCAGCTCACTGCAAGGTCTGCCTCCCGGGTTCACGCCATTCTCCTGCCTCGGCCTCCTGAGTAGCTGGGACTACAGGTGCCCGCCACCATGCCCGGCTAATTTTTTGTATTTTTAGTACAGAAGGGGTTTCACCGTGTTAGCCAGGATGGTCTCAATCTCCTGACCTCGAGATCCACCCACCTCGGCCTCCTAAAGTTCTGGGATTACAGGCATGAGACACCGCACCCAGCAAAGAAACCACTTTCTTTGCTCATCTGTAAGAAGCAATTCCTCATCTGTTCAAGTTTTATCCTGAGATTGCAGCAATACAGTCAAATCTTCAGGCTCCACTTCTAATTCTAATTCTCTTGTTATTTCTATCACATCTGCAGTTACTTCCTTCACTGAAGTCTTGAACTACTCAGAGTCATCCATAAGAGTTGGAATCAACTTTTTCTGGACTTCTGTTCATGTTGATATTTTGACCTCCTCTTATGAATTAAAAGTGTTCTTAATGGTATCTAGAATGGTGAATCCTTTCCAGAAGGTTTTCAGTTTACTTTGCTCAGATCCATTAGAGGAATCACTGTTTATGGCAGCCACAGCCTTATGAAATGTATTCCTTCGATAATAAGACTTGAATGACAAAATTACTCCTTGATCCATGGGCTATAGAATAAATATTGTATTAACAGGCATGAAAAAAACATTAATCTTTTTGTACATCTCCATCAGAGCTCTTTGGTAATCAGGTGCGTTGTCAAAGGAATCTTTTTTTCTGAAGAGTAGGTCTCAACAGTGGGCTTGAAACAGTGAGCTTCCTTGCATCTCTCAGCCTGTAAGCAGATGTGCTGTCATTCAGGCTTTCTTGTTCTATTTATAGAGCATGGGCAGAGTCAATTTAGCATAATTCTTAAGGCCCTAGGATTTTCAGAATAGTATATGAGCCTTGACTTCAACTTAAAATCACCAGCTGCACTGGCCCCCAGTGAGAGAGTTAGCCTGTCCTTTCAAGCTTTGAAGCTAGGCATTGACTTCTCCTCTCTAGCTATGAAAATCCTAGATTGCATCTCCTTCCAGTAGAAGACTATTTCAGCTACATTGAAAATCCGTTGTTTAGTGTAGCCACCTTGATTAATTATCTTAGCTAGATCTTCTGAAAAACTTGCCACAGCTTCTCAATCAGCACCTGTTGCTTCTCCTCTCACGTTCAAGTTATAGGGACAGCTTCTTTCCTTAAACTTCATGAATCAACCTCTTCTAGCTTCAAACTTTTCTTCAGCAGCTTTCTCACCTGTCTCAGCCTTCACAGAATTGAAAAGAGTTAGACTTTACGCTGGATTAGACTTTGGCTTAAGGGAATGTTGTGGCTGGTTTGATCTTCTATCCAGACCACTCAAACTTTCTCCATATCAGCAATAAGGCTGATTTTCTTTCTTATTATTTGTGTGGTCACTGGAGTGGCACTTTTAATTTCCTTCAAAAATTTTTCCTTTGCATTTGTAACTTGGCTGACTGGCGCAAGAGGCCTAGCTTTCGGCCTTGTGTCAGCTTTCAACATGCCTTCCTCACTAAGCTTAGTCATTTCTAGCTCTTGACTTAAAGTGAAAGGCATGCAACTCTTCCTTTCACTTGAACACTTAGAGGTCATTTTAGGATTATTAACTGGCCTAATTTCAATATTGTGGTGTCTCTTAAGATAGGGAGGCCCGGCGAGCTCGGTGGCTCATGCCTGTAATACTAGCACTTTGGGAGGCCGAGGTGGGCATATCACTTGAGGTTAGGAGTTCGAAACCAGCCTGACCAATATGGTGAAACCCCATCTCTACTAAAAATACAAAAAAAAATTAGCCTGCCGTGGTGGTGGGCACCTGTAATCCCAGCTACTCAGGAGGCTGAGGCAGGAGAATTGCTTGAACCCGGGAGACGGAGGTTGCAGTATGCTGAGATCACACCACTGCACTCCAGCCTGGATGACAGAGCGAGACTCCATCTAAAATAAATAAATAAATAAAAGGGTAAGGAGGCCCACGGAGGAGAGGGAGAGAGACAGGGGAGTGGCCAGTGAGCGGAGCAGTCGGTACACATGCAACATCTATTGATTAAACTCACTGTCATTTGCGGGCATGGTTTGTGGGCCCCCAAAACAATTACAATAGTAACACCTAAGATCACTGATCACAGATCACCACAACAGACACAATAATAATGAAAAACTTTGAAAGATTGTGAGAATGACCAAAATGTGCCACAGAGACACAAAATGAGCACATGCTGTTAGAAAAATGGCACCAATAGACTTGTTCAATGCAGGTTGCCACAAAATTTCAATTTGCAGAAAGCAAAATATCTGTGAAGCACAACATCTGTGAAGCACAACAAAAATGAAAAGCAATAAAATGAGTTAAGCCTTTATAAGACACAACTATAGGGAGTTTGGGTTGAATTTGTGATTATTCATAGAAAATTAAGCAAAATGAAAATGTGATAATTATTAACTCCAGGGAAAAGAAAACAGAAAGGGAAATTAATCATAATATTCTGCATAGCTCAACTGTGAATAATATTTATGTCATCAAATAAATACCAGTAACTGAACTAAATAAAATTATGATACAGCTACACAGGGAGAAGGGGGGGATAAAAACTTTATGTTTTGTTGTTGAGGTCATTCCTAAAGTTGAAACAATATAATGTTTAGAGATATTGAGGTAAATAACCAAAAGAATCAGCTAAAACCTGCTTTAAAGTAGCTGCCTTTGGGACATAAAAGCAGATTGGGAACCACTATTTTTCATAACAAGTCTGGTAGAGCTATTTGACTGCAACAATAGCACGTTGCATTATAATAAAAACAGAAACCAAATAAATAAGTGTGTGAAGATACTTGAATTTTATGTGATCTTAGGCAAGTAACTTCATCTCTCTGGACGTCGTTTGTAAAATAAAGAAAAGAATAGTAACTTTTCATTTTGGATGATCTCTGACCCAATAAGTTTAAGTGTTAAGCTACTTTAAGCTACTCAGAAAACAGAGTTCCAATTTCATAATTGGAAGGGATAATATTGTCATGTAGTTGGATCCCTCAGTTTCCAGGAGGAAACACAGAGAATCTAAGTGATTTATTCACAGGTACTGGCTCATTTATGGCTGAGAACGTATTGAGACATGGGTCTCCAGCTCTTGATCCAAATATCTTTTAAAAATGTTACCACAATGACAATAAGAGAGGGCATTTTATCTCTCTTGTGAAAAAGAGAACTAAAACCACATAGAACCACATAAACCCAACTTTTGAAATATTACTACTTCCTGTGCTAAAGCCAGATAAGTGGTTTAATTGAACCTCTCTTCTTCTACCCTTTTCACCTCTCTCTTGATAGAGTTGTGTGCCTGCCTCCTATTGCAGCAAAGGTTTAAGCCAAGAAAGACACATTTTTAATATACAGATGGATACAGAATATCACCAGTATTCATTTCTATTGTATGTCACCAAACCTTCCCTGAGGCCATTAGTAATTTTCCAGACTTATCTCTGCACTCTGAGTTTGCGACTGAATCAATGCTGGGGTTATAACAGAGACACAAAATGAGTACATAAAGCACGAGATGGTTGGAAAACAGTGTTACAGGTGACATTCTGCCCAGAGCACATTCTGTATGCTGTGAACCTCTTCCCTTCCCCCAGTCAATTTGCTATGCTCGCCTGCATGCAAATACAAGAGGGAAATCTAAGAGACCAGTTACTAAGGAGACAAAACAGGTGCTTATGTGAGTCATCCTCTCTGTGGAGGGAATCGGGCAAATTTTCTATGATGGAAGCTTTGGTGATGATTAATTCACTTTTGACATCCACATTTCAATGCAAAAGGGCTTAAGAATTAATTTCAAATTAAACCTTTTCTCCCCCCCTACAACACTCAGAACCAGGATGGAAGAGGTTTAGGCAGCAGACTGTCAGGTAACAGCAGAAAATGATTCACTGCCTTATTATGTGGGCTGGGGTTACAGGAGAATCCCTGCATTCTTCTTAGGGAAGGAATGAGAGAAGCAGAAGCTTCTTCCAAATGAATAGGCAACTCTGCCTCTGGACCAAGAAAAGCTTGGGTGACAAATCAGTCATTTGCTCCAGTAGAAAGAGCTAGAAAAGGGACTGAATGCTGAAGTGATCCTCTCTTGTTGTGCTAAATTCTGCAGAACAGCCAGTCCCATCCAGGCAGTCAGCCCTGATAACATAAAGGACTTGGGGAGCATGAAGGGGAATGATAAAACAAGAGGGAATGTTTAATTTTTTCTTGACCTTCTTTCTGGGAGGCAACAACATGGTAGAAATATCATGGATTTAGCAATCAGACTGATGGTGATTATACCAGCAATGCCACTTAATAGCTCTGAAGTCTTAGACAATGACCGTGGACCCTTCAGAGCATCAGCAATATGTGAATAGTGCCTCCTCACAAGATTGTTGTGAGGACTTGTATACAGTAGGCACCTAAGAAATTTTGGGATTTCCTTTTCTTACCCTATGACCCATAAACACAAGTTTAGATAGAATCACAGAATCTCTGTGCTGAAAGACAGCATTAGTGATCTAACTTGGCCATTCAGAATGCTTGAAGAAATGCTAAAACCCCTAAAGGAAGTACAAAGGTCTTCCAGTTTCTGCTAAAAATTCTCTAGCAAGGGGAATTTCCACTCTAGAAGGAGGTCCTTTTATATTATGATATTAATATATTAGAAAGCCCTTTTCCTATTTGTCTTAATTCAATCCCCTAGAGCCACATAGAACTAGTCTAATCACTTCCATGGCAAACACAATACTTATTTTCTTCTGATGTGATTTCTTCCTTACATGATATACAACTTTCTTACATCATTCTGATTGCTGTTTCTCCAAGAGGTTATGCCAAAGACTGTGCTCTAGCCACCCAAATCATTCATTCTTCTTTTTTTTTTTTTTGTTCTTATGGTTGGGTAGACTCATCTTTAGTAAAGATAGCTGAAATACCTTTCCCAGCCTCCCATGCAGTTAGATATGAGTATATTGTGGGTTACAGTGGAATGTGAGCGGAAATTATGATTGTCAATTCCTGGCCAGCATCTAAAGCAGTAGATAAGTATTCTACATGCCCTTCCTTCATTCTGTCAGTAGTAACCTGGTCACAGTGGTGCCCCTGTTTCACCCCTATGGTAGGTGACAACGCTCTGTTGAATGATGAGGCAATGGTAATGGAAAGAACCTGGTTCCCTGAAGGACTTCATCAAAGAGAGCTGCCTGTCAGCCTAGGACATCACCTGGGACTGTTATACAAAAGAGAAAGCAACTTCTTTGTTCCTTAAGCCATTGTATCAATGTCTCTCATTGTATCAGCAGCCTAGACTTACCCTAAGTAACGTGGTTTGGCTGTGTCCCCTCCCAAATCTCATATTGAATTCTAATACCCAGTGTTGGGGTAGGGACCTGGCAGGCGCTGATTGAATCATGGGGCAGATTTCCCACTTGCTATTCTTGTGATAGTGAATGAGTTCTCATGAAATCTGGTTGTTTAAAAGTGTGTAGCACTTCCCTCTTTGCCCTCTCTCTCCTGCTCCACCATGATAAGATGTACTTGCTTCCCCTTCTCCTTCCACCATGACTGTAAGTTTTCTGAGGCCTCCCAGCCACGCTTCCTGTATAGCCTGTGGAACTGTGAGTCAGTTAAACCTCTTTTTTTCATAAATTATCCAGTCTCAGGTAGTTCTTTATAGCAGTGTGAGAATGGACTCATTTAGAAAATTGGTACCAGAAGTGGGGTATTGCTATAAAGATACTTGAAAATGTGGAAACGACTTTGGAACTGGATAATAGGCAGAGACTGGAACAGTTTGGAGAGCTCAGAAGAAGACAGGAAGATACAGCAAAGTCTGAAACTTCCTAGACACCTGTTGAATGGTTGTGACCAAAATGCTGATTGTGATATGGATAGTGAAGTCCAGGCTGAGGTTGTCTCAGATGGAGATGAGGAACTTGTTGGGAACTGGAATAAAGGTCACTCTTGCTATACTTTAGAAAAGAGATTAGCAGCTCTGCTCTAGGGATCTATGGAACTTTGAACTTGAGAGAGATGATTTAGGATATCTGGCAGAATAAATTTCTAAGCAACAAAGCATTCAAGCAGTGGCCTGGCTGCTTCTAAAAGCCTATTCTCATTTGCATAAACAAAAAATGACCTGAAATTAGAACTTATATTTAAAAGGGAAGCAGAGCATAAAAGTTTAGAAAATTTGCAGCCCAACCATGTGGTGGAAAGGAACAATCCGTTTTCTTGGGAGGAATTCAAGGCTACAGAAACTTGCATAAGAAGAGCCAAATGTTAATAGCCAACACAATGGGGAAAATGCCTCCAAGGCATTTCAGAGACTCTAGTGGCAGCCCCTACCATCACAGGCCTGGAGGCCTAGTAGAGAAAAATGGTTTTATGGACCAGGCACAGGGCCCTGCTACTCTGTGCTGCCTTGGAACATGGCATCCTGCATCCCAGCCACCTCAGCTCCAGCTGTGGTTAAAAGGGACCAAGGTAGAGCTCAGGCCATTACTTCAGATAGTGCAAGCCCCAAGCTTCCAACCCTTGGTGGCTTCCATGTGGTGTTTGGCCTGCAGATGTGCAGAAGGCAAGAGCTGCGGTTTGGAAGCCTCAACCTAGATTTCAGATGATGTATGGAAATGCTTGGATGTCCAGGCAGATCTGCTGCAGGGGTAGAGCCACCATGGAGAATCTTTACTAGGGCAGTGTGGCGGGAAAAATGTGGGGTTAGAGCCCCCACACAGAATCCTTACTGGGGCACCACCTAGTGGAGCTGTGAGAAGAGGGCCACTGTTCTCCAGACCCCAGAATGGTAGATTCCCCAACAGCTTGCACTATGTGTCTGGAAAGGCTGCAGGCACTCAAAGCTGGCCCATGAAAGCATCTGTGGGGGTTGTACCCTGCAGAGCCACAGGGGCAGGTGGAGCTGCCCAAGTCCTTGGCACCTACCCCATGGTATCAGCATGCCCTGGATGCGAGACATGGAGCCTAAGGAGATTATTTTGGAGCTTTAAGATTTAATGACTGCCCTGCTGGGTTTTGGACTTACAAGGTACCTGTAGCCCCTTTGTTTTGGCCAGTTTCTCCAGTTTGGAATGGGAGCATTTACCCTCATTGTATCTTGGATGTAGCTAACTTGTTTTTGATTTTACAGACTGGTAAAATCCAAAGACTTTGGATTTGTACTTTTAATGCTGGAATGAGTTCAGACTTTGGGGGACTGCTTGGAAGGCATTATTGTGTTTTGAAATGTGA
This sequence comes from Homo sapiens, assembly GCF_000001405.40. Taxonomy (NCBI): domain Eukaryota; kingdom Metazoa; phylum Chordata; class Mammalia; order Primates; family Hominidae; genus Homo; species Homo sapiens. The sequence continues at coordinate 48,825,733 of NC_000013.11, read as the reverse complement.
GGACATGAGATTTAGGAGGGCCCAGGGGCAGAATGATATAGTTTGTCTCTCTGTCTTCACCCAAATCTCATGTTGAATTGTAATTCCCAGTGTCGGGGGAGGGACCTGGTGGGAGGTGATTGGATCATGGGGCAAATTTCTCCCTAGCTGTTCTCATGATAGTGAGTGAGTTCTCACAAGATCTGGTTATTTAAAAGTGTGTAGCATTTCCCCCTTCACTCTCTGTCTCCTGCTCCACCATGCTAAGACATGCTTGCTTCCCCTTCATCTCCACCAGGATTGTAAGTTTTCTGAGGCCTCTCAGCCATGCTTCCTGTACAGCCTGTGGAACTGTGAGCCAATTGAACCTCTTTTCTTCATAAATTACCCCGTTTCAGGTAGTTCTCTATAGTAGTGAGAAAATGAACTGATACGCTAACTAAAACAGGTCCTTCTAAGGTGTTCCTCAGAAATGGGTACAATGATAAAATTGTGTTGTGGTTTCACTGGAGCTGAACACTTACCTTTTGCTAGACACTATCATATTTTATAAATGGAATTCAAGACTAATTATTCTTATGTAGCCGTATCATATTGAATTTCAAATAATCTAAAATCCTGATACTTTTTTCTGTGTTGTGCTAAACCATATATCTTCCAACCTCTGCTTGTGGAATTTGTTTCTCCATGTAAAGGAAATTTCTTATATTTATCTTTATTAAACATCAACTTGATAGATTTAATCAATCATTCTAGTTTGCCAAGATCGTTTTGTTTGCTAAATCTGTCATCCACTCTCTTGGCACTCCTCCTGACCTCCAATGATCCATAGTTTTCAGTATCATGCCAGATATCACTTAAATTTAGCTTAATGTCACCCTTTAATGCTTGCATTAAGAAATAAAATACTATATATATATATTTTTTGCTAAAATGATCCTAGAGTTCTCAGTGTTAAAGGAAAAACTTTAGAAAAATTAAATGTAGTAGTGTTTAATTGAGCAAAGAATGATTTGCCAGTTAGGCAGCCCTCAAAATCAGAAGAGGTTCAGAGCTCTGCTGCACAATGTGGGCAGGCAGCATTTATGGACAGAAAACAGAAGTGAGGTGTAGAAGCAGCTTGATTGGTTACAGCTTAGCGTTTGCCTCATTGGAACATGATCTGATAAATTGGCTATCTGCAATTGATGACAGCTTAGCTGCTGTGATTGGCTGAGACTCAGCTACCTGTTACAAAATATACTACTAAGTTAAACATTCAGTTTAACTTAGTATAAAAGTATACGAAAGTATACTACTTTTACAAAAGTATACCATTACAAAAATATACTAAGTAAATATACTACTAAGTATACTACTAAGTCCACTTTTACAAAAGCATACTACTAAGTAAGTATACTTTTTACAAAAGCATACTACTAAGTCAGTATACTTTTTACAAAAGCATACTACTAAGTCAGTATACTTTTTACAAAAGCATACTGTTACAAAAGTATACTACTAAGTTAAACATTCAGTTAAACCAAAGTATACTACTAAGTTAAACATTCAGTAACTACTAAGTTAAACATTCAGTTAGTTATGCACTTAGTTAGGCTGCAGTTCATTACATAAGGACTCAAGTATGGAGGCATCCTCATGCCAAATGTAGTTTAATTTAACATCAGTCTACAGCTGAACAGCATCATGGCCCCTGTAGTGCAGGCAGGAGTTATAGGGTTGCCCCTCACATTGATGCAGTAGGAGGAACAGTGTGAAAAGGGCAGAGTTAGCACTAACATACCAGGAACCATATTTAGTCCAATGCCTGTCTTCTCTAGCCTGCAGCCCATGTCAAAACCTTGTCCACTTACAAGATTGTACTGCTTGTCACTAAAGAAAAAAAGAACAGTCCTTCTGCTTCTCAGCGAATGAGTTGATTTTATTCCTTCTCATTTGCAGATATATATATGCAAACACAAACATATAAACAAATGTGTTACTCTTTCAATGATCTGTCATCTGTAAACAGGCACACTAATGTTGCAAACCAATTAAAAATTAACAATGCGGCCGGGCGCGGTGGCTCATGCATATAATCCTAGTGCTTTGGGAGGCTGAGGTGGGCGGATCATGAGGTCAAGAGATTGAGACCGTCCTGGCCAACATGGTGAAATCCCGTCTGTACTAAAAATACAAAAAATTAGCTGGGCATGGTGGCGTGTGCCTGTAGTCCTAGCTACTTAGGAGGCTGAGGCAGGAGGATTGCTTGAACCCAGGAAGTGGAGGTTGCAGTGAGCAGAGATCGCACAACTGCACTCCAGCCTGGTGACAGAGTGAGGCTCCATTAAAAAAAAAAAATTAACAATGCAGCATCACTTTGAAGGCAAAACCAAGTTTTACCTTCTAGTAACTATTTGAAATCAGAGTATAATCACTCAATAAAAATAACTCAACTCTGATTAATTTTAGTAAAAGTGAAGGGGCTAATAATATAATACTTGCTAGAAATAGTTGGAATTGTTGCCCCGCAAATTACCTTAAATTTCTGTATGTTTCTGCTGCCAGACATACAGTGCTGACTGAACAACTGGAATGGGAGGGCAGAGCCTTAGGCTGGGACCTGTGGTGCAGCTCCAGCTGTGTGCTGTATTGCTGCAGCATCCCTTCCTTCTCTTCCCTTTTGTTACACCATCACCTCTCGAATTCCTCAGTTTTACTAGGAAATTTCCAGCTGGATATGCCCAGGACTCCAATTTTACACCAACTTAAGCAAGTGGCCTTAAGAAGGAAGATGTGATACACACTTGCTAGACCAAAAACGTACTGAGCCATCAGAGATGTTCTGACGCCCGGTGTTTTGAGTCCTGTTTGGAGTAAATTCAGTGTCATCAAATTTCAGGAGTGGAACAGACCTCAGAGACGCTAGAGGGGGTTTGGTGCATACCCACAAAATAAGAATTAACCATCCCTGGAGCAATGCTCCTCTGAGCAAGGCTCTGTGGAGCCTGACCTCTGAACACCAGCTGTTGTCATCTGTTAGGGTCCCCTAGTTTCTCTGCCTTACTTGGCTTCAGAGCAAAAATGTTAAAAATTGATCAATGGCCGGGTATAGTGGCTCACTATAATCTCAGTACTTTGGGAGGCTGAGGCGGGAGGATTGCTTGAGCTCAGGAATTTGAGACCAGCCTGAGCAATACAGTGGGACCCTGCCTTTGTTTTTTATTAAAATAAATTGAAATAAATAGATAAATAAATAAATTGATCAATGATGAATACATGAGAATTCCATTTAGCACCTCTTCCATGTTTATCTGTATAGCTTCTTTTTTTTTTTTTTTTTGAGACAGAGTCTCACTCTGTTACCGAGGCTGGAGTGCAGTGGTGCAATCACAGCTCACTGCAGCTCTGACTTCCCCAGGCTCAGCTGATCCTCCCACCTCAGCCTCCTGAGTAGCTGGGACTACAGGCATGCCCCACCATACCTGGCTAATTTTTATATTTTTGTAGAGATGGGGTTTGCTCAGGCTGGTCTTGAGCTCCTGGGCTCCAGTGATCCACCTGCTTCAGCCTCCAAAAGTCCTGGGATTACAGGTGTAAGGCACCATGACCAGCCTACATAGCTTCTTTATGTGCATTACTCTGTAGTTGTTATAAAATTGTGTTTTAATACAATTTATTCAATATCATTAAATTATTAAGTAAACAGTTATTTAAAATAACTACCTGTGGCTTCTACTGCAGCTTTGTTTTTCCTCACCGGCTCAGCCTCTTCCCACTCAGTTTCCCCATTCAGTTTCTACATACTTCTCTCTACTGTTGACACAACTGCCATGATTATTTATCAGCATGAAAAAATTTCACCTTTAAAAGATTTTTCTTTTGATGATGCATGTACCCAGGACCAAATCTTGTCCTCTTCCCATGTCCCCTATTCTTGAGAATAACACTGTTATGAGTTTTTAATGAGTTTGGGGACTTCATCTAGTTGTGTGAATCATAAGCCTAGAATCTCATTTCTATATCAGCTACCAAGCTCTGTTTACATTTATACTCCTAAATGTCCCTTGACTCTGTGCACTTTGTCGCTTTCATTTCCACACTGGTTTAAGCCACAATCACCTCCTAATTGGTTTCATCATCCACATTGTGAGCCCCCTCTAATCTGTCCTACACACTGGAGCCAGAGTGGTGCTTTCAATACAAAAATCTTTTTATATTACGAACCCTTTTTCTAAATCCTTGTGCTTCTGCAATCAGCCAGCCTGCCTGCCAGCAACAGCCAGGCCTGCTGATGGAAAGCCCCTAAAAGGACGTAACAGAGAAATCCTAGGTTCTGCAACAGAGACTCAGAGAATCCTCAACATAATCCAGCAACAATTTCACCATTCAGATATTGGACTTCAGGCCTGGGCCATGAGGGCTGCTGAGTGGCAGAACTGCTGACCTCATGTGGGGTGGGAGAAGAAATCCTGGATACCCCACGGTACAGTGACTTTCACATTTAAAGACTTGGTCACTCTGACAAGTGCTGGCCATGGCTGACACCCCAAGACACAGGAGAAACAGAAGGGACACCTGGAAGGCCTTGCACCCCCAATGGTGTCTTTCATCCATGCTATTCCCATGTCTACTCTAAGGCTCCAAAAAGCTTGTGAGGGAAAATGACTGGTGCCCACAGTTTTCACGCTTCCCATTCTCAAACCCAGTCCTGACCTTCTTGTTTCAATCTAAGAGATCTTTCAATCCATAGTTCTTAGGAGAAGACAAACTCCTTGGCAAGATGTGTAGCTAGGTTTTCAGGCTCCTGTCCAGCCCACTTCCCCTCACTCACTCTGTGCAGGCACAAAGACCTTCCAGTTCTTTGTGCTTGCCATCAAAGCTTCCTCCTACCCCAAGGCTATTTTCTTAGCCTTGGGTGCTCTTCTCTGTTCAGCTAAATATCCTCCCTTCATTTTTCTGATCTCAGTTCAAGTACCATTTCTTCAGGGAGACTCTCCTGACCTGCTTAACTAATCAGCTCCCATTCGTAGTCTTGTGTGGCCTTTTGCATCTCCTCCTAACATTGGTCATCACTGCAGTTTGTCTTATCTGTGTAGTTCTTATTAATATTTGTTGTTCCAGGAGAGCAGGGGAATGATTTGTGTATTATTATTTCCCCTGTGTCTAGCCCAGTGCTTGGCATGGTGGCACTCAATAAATTTAGTGAGTGAATTAATGAATGCCCTTGTATTTGTTATAAAGAGGAATCATTGCACAATTGGCATTTCTTCTGTTTTTGGATAGAGTTTGGCAGTCTGTCAACAAGTATTTATTGAGCTTGAATGGGGCAGAATATACTTTGTTTTTGTATTTTTTAACAGTCCCATGGTATGTGATATGTGAATGCTGTGTTGTGATTCTAAGGACGACAAATAAGGCATAACAAATAGAATCTGATCTCTTTTATCTCCTAATGAGATATGCTACAGTAAGATAAGTAGCCAGAGACCAACAAGCCAGGAATAAAACTACTTCCAAAAAATAACATAGGACAAGTTATGTGATGTGGCTCCAAATGATGGAAAGAAAGTTATCAACAGCTTCCTCTTCCATCAGCAACTTTGCGCATTTTTGTTAAGGATTTATTTGGTATAGACAAGTGCAAAATGACATGGTGACTCACCACAGGTAATACAGAGTAAGCATTACATAATACATCCCAGATCGTTGCAGGAGCTGGTGTAAGTTTTTGTCTCCAGGAGACAGAAAGGCTATACCTATTCTGCAGCAGGGCTCTGGAGAGGGAGGGTCAGCGTTTGTAGGCGTGTGGCACAAAAGAAGTGAGAGTCCTATTCCTATTCTGCAGGTTGATGCTGGCTCAGAGAAATGCCACTCTTTTTACCACTCTTCTGTGTGGACTCCATTACCATGACCAAATGATTGTGTAAAAGGAAAAGTGATTTGAGGGGAATTGAAGGCAGCAGACTTGTTTACCAAATGTTAACTTTGGTCCTAATACCAAGTCACTGATAGGTGCCATGTGCCACGATGTGGCTTTGTTTGCCACAGCAGGCACTGTGAAGAGTAACCTCAGTGAAGACTCCTGGCAAGGAGGTTTGCCTGGCACGGAAGAGCCAGGAATGAAGGCTGGACTTTGAAGCCTTTCCTGAACAGCAATGGGGCAACAGTGAAGTGAATGAATTGTCACCTTATAAATATCTGATGACTATTAAATGGCATGTTTGTCTCACTAGAGAAATACCATGCATCTTAAGAGCATTTTTGCAGAGAACATGCTGTTTTGTTGACCTATAAATCAGAAGCTTAAGAAAAAAACAAAACCTTTATTTGTCCCAGATGTGTACTAGAAACCCAATGTCCTAATCTGAGGAACCAACTCGGTGCCTGGGAAGGTAATGTCTCATTTAGACTTCTTCTGCAGGGGATGGTGATAGACTGTCTTCACACTTCACATCCGTGAAATATTTTGCAGGTTATGAAATTGATTTGAAAAATAGTTTTAAAAATCCCAAACCATTGGTGATTTAGCCCCAAATTAATATCTTTTCAAAAGATGTGGATTAAAGGTGAATAAAGGTAAGCTGGGGGGTTATGAGATATAATAAAAATGTGGGGTTACGAGAATGGTGATATCAAAAGGATTAGTCATGGATTTTGAAACACAAGATAATGGGTAGGAAATGGTGGTCATCTGTTGTGTTTGGCAGCCCTACATCAATCTCCTTTCCATAGCATCCTGATTTCATTTAAGGGGATTAGCTTTCTCCCACATGTGTCTTCTTAATGGCAGAGAGAGTACATCCCTGCCTCTAAGGAAATGGAAAAGAATCCATGCTCTTTTGCCGTGGGGGATGGGCACATGATCTGGGCTCAACCAATTGGATTCACCATCTCAGGAACTTGAGTCTTGAGCAAGTGCTGAAAGGATGGAAGAAACAGGCCATTTGTATCAGGGATGGGGCAGTGTTTGACCAGTCCATTCTGCTGTGTGGCTGTAGCTGTGTTCTTACTGCCTGGTCCTCCAGTGCCATTAGTTCCAGCTGGTTTTAGTTGCTTAATGCCTGTTACTCCAGCCTCCTGTTGATTTTCTGAGCCCTTATGTTTCTCCAACAAATTCCTTTGGCTTAAGACAGCTAGAGTTGGTGACTAATATACAGATGATAAATTCCCATAAAGGAGGCTGTTAAAGTGGTAAGAAAATAAAAACTTTGTCCTTCAATGACTCAGAAATAATCCCTTTGGATTTGTTCATGCCTCAGCCCTGCATTCTGACCTCAGATCTCTGCCCAATAAGCAATCTCTGGCTGCCTGAGATAATGATCCTATAGTGGCCACCATTAAGGTGGTAACTTCAACTCACCTAAGATATGAAATATAAGATAGGAAGAACTGAAGATAGAGATGATAAAATATAACCAACACATAGTATTGATACTTGTGTGTCAAGTGTAATGATATTTAATAAATGCTTGCTAGTAAAAGCTCGTGTCATGTCACAGAGAATTTGTTACATTGGAGAAACTGACATGTAAGTCTTATGCATTTGATTTAAAATGTGTATTTGAATTTAGGCTTCTCATATAAGCAAAAACAGCATAAGAAAAATGGACTTGGCCTATAACCAGTATTAGACTGTTTAAAAGAGCTTAACATTTTAATTCATTCATTTTACAAAACCTTCTAAGTATTTGAAGAAGCTATTGCTTCTTCTGGTTGTAAGCCAGAAGCCATTTAGGCATTTGAAGGGCTGAAAAAATGAAATGCATTATTTTTATTAATGAGGCTTAAAGTGTTAAAAGGTATTTGATTAACTAATTTTGAAAGGGGAGTTCCTTGTTACAGATGCTTAGAATGTTTGATGTGAATGGATCAGATATAATAGCCCAATAACATTTTTAAGTTAAACCTCAAGTCCTTAAAGTAAACAAGGTTTTAAATTTGTATTTAATCAACTAATTTGATTTCTATCTGATAACGATAGTGTTTTCTGTGTACAAGTCCCCTCTGATATCAGAATACTCATGTTGACAGCTCACAAACCTACATGTGAAAGCTCTGGACTGGATTAGGCTAGAGTTCTCCCCAAGAGACATCAGTTTAGGATCACATAGATGGAGGCTTGGAGAAGGCTGCCCAAAACACAACTTTTCATGTAGGAGACACCTGGCATGCTGAAAGTTGTGCATCTACTCCTAAGCTGGCCTTTATCCTGACGATTGTCACCTCTGCATAAAGTTCCATACCTCTCTCTTCCAAATCAATTTGTTTGGTTGGTTTTCTGGCTACTCCCAAAATTAGGCTCTGAAATTCTCCACTTTCCCAATGACATAGCCTGTCATTCCTTTCACCACACATGCGCTCCACTTTGCAGGTTTGGAATCATTGTTTGCTGCTCAGGTTTGCTATGAAATAGAGATGGTTTCACTTTCACATCTGGTATCTTCAATTTTGCAGCTTGCTCCTGGCTCTCTTCTTAGCATCTATTATAGTGTTGTCTCTTTTTCTCATCTCCTCTCCAAACCTTGACATTTTGCTAAATTTTGGAATCAATTTCTTCAGAAGTACGTTGTGAGATTGCGTGTTGATGGCATTAGATAAAAGAGCACTGCATTTTGTGTTGCATAGCAAAAAAAGGATGGCATTTGTGTATTTTGGAGTATTGTGAGATGAATGAGCTTCCATATAATTGCAGAACTGAAGTGACAGGGACTCTTCTAATTTTTAAGGCAGGAGGGAAAACAAATTTGGACTAAAATAGGCAGACTGGAGCTGAAAGGCATCCTATTACCTGTGCATTAAGGCAGCCAACTAATCAATCTCAGACAGTCCCGCCAGCTCACATCTTCCAGGTCATCTCTGTCTTATCACTCCATTGTGTAACTCAGGACAATTTATAGCCTGCCTGTGGTTGCTTTGTGTTTATGTTTTTCGGAGTGTGTGCTGAAAAGCTCTAATTCAGCTCTTTTTGTTGAGTTCCTCATGTGTGCATTTGTTTTTTGTTTTTTGCTTTGATTATTTTGCTATAGGGAATTTACTCTGATCTTGTAACATAGGCAGATTATAGTTGCAATTTCATTTGAAATTGATACAAATATGCAAACGTAGAGTGAATGAGGAAGTATTAGATGTATTTGCTTCATCCTGCTTCTCCACCTAGGGAAAATCAATCCATGTTATTTCCACACACTCAAGATACTCTTACATATATTACAGTACCTCTCAAAATGAACTGCCTTTTCACTGAGAGCTTTTGTTTACATAGGGGACATGAATAGTTCAAAAGCCATACTAATAAAATTATACTGCAAGGACTTAGGATAATGTATTCTTTGGGAAAATCATATAATTTTGGTATAAAATTTAAGAATTATAACCAGTGAATTATTTACAATCTTGACAGTGGTAATCTGTATTAAAAAAAAATTGGCCAAGCACAGTGGCTCACACCTGTAATCCCAGCACTTTGGGAGGCCGAGGCAGGTGAATCACCTGAGGTCGGGAATTCAAGACCAGCCTGGCCAACATGGTGAAACCTCATCTCTACTTATATTATTTTTCCCCTTTATTTATGATACCCCACCATTATGTTTAGTATGTATATGATATATAAAAATATGTATATATGTTTTTAGTTTTATAATTGACATTATGCTATAGATCTCACTGTCTGTAGTGCGATCAGAATTTTACTTTTTTGTTGTTGTTGTTGAGATGGAGTTTTGCTCTTGTTGCCCAGGCTGGAGTTCAACGGCATGATCTTGGCTCACTGCAACCTCCACCTCCCGTGTTCATGCAATTCTCCTGCCTCAGCGTCCATGTAGCTGGGGTTACAGGCATGTGCCACCACACCTGGCTAATTTTGTATTTTTAGTAGAGGTAGGATTTCTCCATGTTGGCCAAGCTGGTCTCGAACCTCTGACCTCATGTGATCTGCCTGCCTCGGCCTCCCAAACTGCTGGGATTACAGGTGTGAGCCACTGAGCCTGGCCCAGAATTTTACTTTTTTTACTTAACACTAGTTTCAGGAGCTCTATTCATGTTGCTTTATGTACCTCCAGTTTATTGTTTCTGGCTGCTGTATAGTATTCCATATGAGCTTCAGCTGTATTTTATTTATCCATCCCTTGGTTGCTGATGAGCAGCTATTTTGCCTCCCAGTATCCCTTCCCTACCATGAAATAAAATGCTGTGATGAACTTCTTTGTACCTGTCATCTTTGGATCTATGGATACTTTCCTCTGGGTTTAGACTCAAGAGTGAAACTAGATGTACTAAATTTCACTAAGTTTTGCCAATTTTTTTCTCCAGAATGGTTGCACTGGTTTTATGCTTTCACAAGCAGTGCATGAGAAAAGCCATTTTCCTACACACTTGCTAATATTGGCTATTATCTAATTTTAAAAATATTTGCCAACTTATGCATAGTATAAAGGAGTATTTTATTCTTTTTTCAATTTGCATTCCTACAATTGCTAATGCAGCTAAACATATATTTGTTAGCCATTCTGATTTCCCCTTTTATACATTGCTTATTGACATCATTTACCTGCATTTCTTTTAGAGTCCCAATCTTTTTCTTATTAATTGACAAAATTTCCTTGAAATATTAATCTTTTATGGTTTTTAACATTGCAAATATTTTCTCCCAATCTTTTATGCAATTGTTAAGTTTTTCTGTCATGCTATTTGTTGAACAGAAATCCTTAATATTGATGTAGTCAAATTCATAATTTTTGCCTAGTGCTTAATTTTTTTGGAATCTTGCTTGGGAATATAGTCATACTCCAAGGCCACAGAGATAGTCTCTGGTACTTTTTCTATTTATGTCTTTAAGCCATTTGGAGTGTTTCTTTATATAGTAGGGATAAATTTTATTATTCTCTCTATATAAAAAAGGTCAGAATTTTCCAAAGTATTTTCCATGGAAAACTAATTATGTGAGATATGAAATGGTTAAGAGAAAAAGAGTTTTCTGGTCCAATAAGTTTGGGATAAATCTGGTTAAACAGATTTTTATCTTACAGATCTTTTCAGAGTCTTTACTGTGCTAATATATATTTCGAATATTAAGGAGTGGGCAAACTACCAGTCCATGGGCCAAACATGGCCCACAGCCTGTTTTTGTACAGCTTCCAAGCTAAGAATATTCATTATATTTTTAAAGGGTTGTGAAGAAGTGGAAGGAGGAGGAGGGAGAGAAGGTGAAGGGAGAAGAGGAAGAGGAGAAGAAGACCCTATATAACCCACAAAGCCTAAAATATTTACTATCTGGTCCTTCACGGGACAAATTTGCTGATCCCTAATCTATAGTATGCCAAATGGCCAAAAATATATTTATCCCAGAATCCTTTGGTAGAAGAAGTTCTCATGGTCTTCAGCTTTCTTTTTTTTCCTTCCTTCTTTCTTTCTTTCTTTTTTTCTTTCTTCCTTTCTTTCTTTCTTCTTTCTTTCCTTTCCTTTTTTTTTTTTTTTTTTTTTTTTTGATGGAGTCACACTCTGTCACCCAGGCTGGAGTGCAGTGGCACAATCTCAGCTCACTGCAACCTCCATCTCCCAAGCAATCCTCCTGCCTCAGCCTCCCAAGTAGCTGGGATTACAGGCACGCACCACCACACCTGGCTAATTTTTGTATTTTTAGTAGAGATTGGGTTTTGCCATGTTGGCCAGGCTGGTCTCAAGCTCCTCACCTCAGGTGATCCACCCTCCTCGGCCTCCCAAAGTGCTGGGATTACAGGGTGAGCCTCCGTGCCTGGCCGATCTTTGTGTTCTGCAAGGTAAACACCAGGAAAAATTAGTCTGGGCAAGATGGACACAGTATCAACAAAAGCATTAATCTGGTAAATTTCCAGTTAATTTGAAAGCTGTAGAATCACGAAATTATTAAAGTTAGATTAATTGATCTTAGTGGCCAGTCTGTTCCAACCTTCTACTCAATGCCAATCCAATCATGACAATGTCTGATGTTTCTTTTCACTTACACAACCATAGAAGGGAAACTCCTTTGAAAACAGAACTCCGCATTTTGCATTTCTCTCCCTGTGACTGTTCTGCCACCTACACTTCAGTATGTTTGTGCCCCTGCTTCAACCCACTCATTCGGAACTTTAAATTCCATTTTAATTTTTCCATTGCGTCAGTGTTGCTAAAAATACTTCATTAATGCGTCTTATATTTCACAGCCTGGGTCTCTTATTATTATTTTTTTTCCTGATGTTTCTTAAAAGATCTAAGATCATTTTCTTGTCCTATGTTTTAAAATATACTTTGAGAAAAAGAGATCAGAAAATATTTATGATGTGAATTTCTAATAGCTGAAAAGAATTATGGAGTGGAATAGCCTAAGAAGAAAAAGAACAATTGACCAGGGTATAATATGCAGAAGTTTAAAAACTGTGTATTCTGAAAAAGCTTCTGCACAGCAAACAATGAACAAAGTGAAGAGGCATCCTACAGAATGGGAGAAATTATTTGTGAACTTTCTGTCCTATAAGGGATTAGTAACAGAATATATAAGAAACTCAAACAATTCAATAGCAAAAAACCAAATAATTCAATTTAAAAAATGGGCAAAAGACCTGATTAGACATTTCTCAAGCAAAGACATACAAATGGCCAATAAGTATATGAAAAAATGCTCAGTATCACTAACCATCAGAGAAATGCATATCAAAATCACAATGAGATATTATCTCACCCCAGTCAGAATGGCTATTAGAGAAAAGTCAAAAAGTAACAAATATTGGTGAGGAGATGGAGAAAGGGAAACGCTCCTACACTGTTGGTGGGAATGTAAATTAGTGCAGCCACTATGGAAAATAGTATGAAGATTCCTGAAAACACTAAAAACAGAACTACCGTATGATCCAGCAATCCCACTGCTGGGCATATATCCAAAAGAAAAGAAATCAATATATTGAAGAGATAGCTACACTCCCATGTTTATTGCAGCACTATTTGCAATAGCCAATATGTAGAGTCAACCTAAGTGTCCATCAGTGGTGAATGGATAAAGAAAATGTGGTATATACACACAATGGAATATTATTCAGCCATTAAAAGAATTTCCTGTCATTTCCAGCAAAATGGATGGAACTGGAGGTTGTATGTTAAATGAAATAAGCTAGGCACAGAAAGATAAATATTGCTCTCACTCATATGTGGGAGCTAAAAAAGTGGATCTTGTGGCAGTAGAGAGTACAGTGGTGATTACCAGAGGCTGGGAAAGGAAAGAGGTGAGGGGAAGAAGAAAACTTGGTTAAAGGGCATGAAAATACATTTAGATAGAAGGAATAAGTTCTAGTGTTCAGTGGTATAGTAGGAAAATTACAGTTGACAATAATTTATTGTATATTTCAAAATAGCTAGGAGAATTGTAATCATTCCAACACAAAGAAAAAAATGTTTGAGGTGATGGATATCCCAGTTACCCTGATTTGATCATTACACATTGTATACATGTATCACAATATCACATGTACCCCAAAGTATGTACAGTATAGCAATTAAATATTATAATATAGCAATTAAATATAGCAATTAAAAATTTAAAAATAATAATATATTTATTCTGTTGATCAAATCCATGTATTATGGACTGAATGTGTGTGTCCCCACCAAAATTCATATGTTGAAGTCCTAATCCACAGTGTGATGGTATTAGGAGGTGGGGCCTTTGGGAGGTGAGTGGGTCATAAGGGTGGAGCCCTCATGAAAGGAATTAGTGCCCTTATAAAAGAGACCCTAGGAGCTCTCTTGCTCTCTTTCCATCATGTGAGAATACTATGAGAAGACAATAGTCTGCAACCCGGAAGAGGGGCCTCAGTAGAACCCAACCCTGCTGACACCCTGATCTCAGACTTCTAGCCTCCAGAACTCTAAGAAATACATTTCTGTTGTTTATAAACCATCTGTTTGTAGCACTTTGTTATAGCAACCTGAACTGACTAAGACACCATATGAAAGTATTATATTCCTTTTACAGACAAACTTTGGGAAGAGATATGGGGAATACAGGAAGGTCCCCCCAAAATTGCAGCCAAACTAATTAGATGGTTAAAAAGAAGTATGTGTGTTGTGGGGGTAGGGAGTGTATGTGAGTGTGGGGTAGGCACAGTGACTTGCTTTCAGAGAACAGAGTATGGAAAGGGAAAAATAGAAACTTTACAATGGAGAAACCGGGTGAACATGACCTTAACCAGGTGACCAAGCTTAAGGCAAGGTTAAGGTAATAGGTGATACCATATGGCTGCCGTGTACTCCAGATATGATGTGATGGGAAGGGTACTTCATCTTTGTGATATTCTTTCCTAAGACCTGTAACCTCAGTCTTATAAGAAAAGGAACAGGTCAACCCAGGTTAGGGGACATAGTACAAAATACTTGACTAATACTCCTCACAATTGTCAAGGTCAAGGTGATGAAAAAACAAAGAAAAGCTGAGAAACTCTCACCAGAAGTTTCTTAGTTTCTAAGTGTCTTAATGAGAAGATGCTAAGGGAACATGCTGCATGCAGTCCGTAAGATACGGATTTGATCAGCAGAAAAAAAACACTTCTAAAACTTCTGCACATTATACCCTAGCCAATTGTTCTTTTTCTTGCTACTGCAGCTGTTATTGCATTGTTCTTTTTCTTATTTGGTTATGGTAAGGAAGGCTTAAATTAGACATGATGCAGTGCCTTTTTACTGAGAAGCCATTAAGGCTTAGAATATTCCATGAAGGCTGTTGTAGAATTTCTTCCAATAAAGAGACTATAAAACCAGGCAGGAGGGTTGGCATGCATTCTCCGTAGGATAATGCTCTACTCCAGGTTTCTAACAGATCTATGGCTCTATGATTTGAAAAACATTTTTTAAGCCTGAGGTCATGGCTGCTTCTAAAAAAATCAATGACTGTATAGGACTCTCTCATTTAGCTTTTTATTTGTACATTCTTAGGTCAAGCTAGTGAGTATAACATTCAGAAAAACGATAGACTGCCCTTCTCAGAGCCATAGGGAGGTAAAAGAGAAATATGGTGCATGTTCTCTTTCTTGGCTGACCCCTTGGCCTTGGGCTTGACCTGCAATACTCTTGCTAACCTGTAACAGCCTCACCATCTTCCAATGCCATTGGAGTCCAGTGATTCTAAATCTGAATGTGTTCTTTGTCGTAGTCACTCTCAGCAGTGTGCAGCCTGTTACAAAGAGCGAGAGCAGGCTCTTAGGCAGAAGGGTAGAGAAGTTTCCACTTGAAACTCAGGTCATTTGCTGAGTCTCATGAACTTCCTTTCCGTGATGAAGGACATCATTTCTAAATCACAGCCTCTGTGATGATTTGTATTAATCATAAATCAAGAACTGTCCTGGGAGCTTATTCCCCTGGTACATTTTCAAGAAAGGTGGATAAAATTCTCTCATTATCGTGACTTAATTTTCTGTTAAAAACATGTTTCTGCTGAGAATGTGCAATAGCCTTGGTTCCTATGGATGGAAAAAGCCCTCGACAGGACTGGAGAACTCTGGGTAAGAGCGGATGTGTGTTTACATAATGGGGGTGTTGGACTGTCAGGGGCTTGTGGCTATACATGACACAGCCTGACTTTTATACGCTGCACTGAGATCTCCTCTCCTGCCAAAACAGCATCCCCTGACTATGATGGAAGGCTGATTACAACGCTACTTTGCCTCTAATCAGAGTGCTTTCCCATGGGCTCCTTGGGAAGCAAGATCTATCTTTACATTTTGTCGTGGTGGCTGAGGGGGATGTCTAGGAGGTAGAATTGGGATCAGCATGCTCTGCTGCTTCCACATGCTCCAACTTGGAAGAGAGACTGGGGCTTACCATTTCCTGTGGCTCTTAATAGACAATAACAAAATGGAAAGTAAAATCAGCACCTACACTCTCATCACCGCATCTGATTCATTGCATTATTTTACTTAGAATGGACTGAGAACAGCACAGACACTCCAATTACTTAAATGGAGGGTGGCATTTCAGGGTTTGGTTTCACCTCTGATTTTTCTGCCACCCTCCACTCCAGCCCCATTGCCCGATGACATTCTTCCCCCCTCCCCCCACCTTTTTTTAATCACAGATGTCCTCACAAAGTCTGTGGACATTTGTGGCCCCCAGAGGCTGAATTGACCACACAACAATGATCATGAACAAGGCAATTTAGTGCCTCTGCTTCTTTTTATAGCTGCATATTCCAAATTCATTCTCAGCTTATACATTTATAGCATTCATTGAATACCTACTATATGACAGACACTTTCTAAATGTTACCTCTAATCCTCACAATAGCCCTGCAAGGTAGGTGCTCTTTTTCCCTTGCTGAAGATGAAAAATGTCTCCAAGAGGTGAAGCAAGGCCCATCACCTATAAGCCATGACTCCCACCCACGTGCCCACTCTCTTTCCACAAAACCATCTTGCATGTAGTTTGAGGATGACAAAAGTATTGTGAAACATGCAGATGTGAATGGACCCTCCAAGGTGAACCAGCTAAGACAGGGATATCAGCAGCATAACCATGTCTTCCCGGTGAGGAGTAGGCCAGGGCACAGTCTGCTGGTCAGCAAGGCTGCCAGGCTAGTTTCCTGTCGGTTGGAAGTTTCTGATAAATCAACACAGGTTATTTATCAAGCCTCTGCAAGACCTCAAGACTCCAGAGCAAAACTAGTCTTAAATATAATATTCACTTCATTAATTATAGATTCATTAAATCCAGTCTTCATTTCATCTAAACCAGGGATAGCAATTAGGTATCATCTTGCTTGCAAGTGATGATCATTGGTAATGGTTCTCCAGGACACTGTGTTGAGAAAGATCCTGAGGCCTTATCTGGACTTTACTGACAAAGTGCGATAAAGAAGAGCAGTGTATCTCATAGCCACAGGATTGGGTGAGCAGGACACAGGAATGTGCCCTTCTGCTCTGCACAGTGTCTGAGTCATTGCTCAATATATTGAATAAAATGGACTCTCCATGAGAAAAGAGATCTTTTTAAGATACAGCCATAGAACTCAAAATCTTGAAGTAAATGGAACAAAATATCAGTACATGAAACCAGAATGCTATTATATTAGGATTCATTCAAATATCTGTGTATTTTATCTTTAAGAGTTTTTTTTTTTGTGTGACTCTCCCCAAAGACTCACCGTCTAGAAACAAAATATTGGACATTTTTACTCCCTTCATGTTTTATTTCCACCTCATTATCTACCAGCATTATTGAACATTAAAATAGGACATACAAATTCTGCAAGCAGAGATGAATGAGTTAAATAAAAATGGCACCACCAGGTGCCAAAATAGTGTCAAAGTATATCAGGTTTGAGAGGCAGCAACAGGAAGTAAACTCATGTAACCAGAACCTGGAGGACTCAACTCTCTTAATGTGGGTCTGTCTTCCACATTTTTTTATATGTTCAATAAATGTATATCAGCTTGTTCTATGTTCTCTTCTAGGCACCAGGGATACAGCTGTGAACAAAGCCAGCAACGTCCCTTCTTTTGGAGCTTAAATTCTAGTGGAAGGGGACAGGTGATAGACAAATAGCTGATATAAGAAGTAGAAGGGTGACTGTTAAATATTTATTAATTTTTTTGAGACAGAGTCTCACTTTTTGCCCAAGCTGGAGTGCAATGGCACAATCTTGGCTCACTGCAACCTCCGCCTCCTGGGTTCAAGCAATTCTCCTGCCTCAGCCTCCCAAGTAGCTGGGATTATAGGCGTGTGCTACCACGCCCAGCTAATTTTTGTATTTTTAGTAGAGACGGGGTTTCACCATGTTGGCCAGCCTGGTCTGGAACTCCTGACCTCAGGTGATCCACCCCCCTTGGCCTCCCAAAGTCCTGGGATTACAGGCATGAGCCACCTCACCTGACCTAATATTTATTAATTTTATATTATATAAGATATTTAATATTTTGTAATAGTAAGTAGATAAATATTTTATAATGTTAAAATAGAGCAACAGACAAGAAATACCTGGGTGACAACTTTTGATAGGGTGTTCATGAAGACACCTCTGAAGAGGTGACATTTAATTTGAGATCTGAGTGAAAAGGAGCCAGCCATGCAAAAAGAAGAGGGATGAACATTACACCCAGAGGAAGCTGCTTGTGCAGAGGCAGAGGCGAATCTGTACATTTGAGAACAGAACAAAGGCTGGTGTGGCTGGAGAGAAGCGGGAGAGGGAGATGAGGTCAATGAGGATGGAGCACTTGGGGCAGACTCAGGATGGGTTTTGGCGATAGAGTCAATAAGACTTGCTGATGGGCTGGGGATGGGGAGAAAGCACAAGAGGAGAAGCAAGGAAAATCCTAGTTTCTGGCTTGAGTATCAAGACAGGGAACTTAGGGCAGGTGCAGGCTTCAGTGGGGGGTGGAACAGGAGGTCTGTTTTGGCCATGTTAAATCTGATATGCTTGTAAATGAAGTAAGTAGAGGCTGAGTGCATTGGGTCATGCCAGTAATCCCAATATTTTGGGAGGCCGAGGCAGAAGTGTCACTTGAGCCCAAGAGTTCTAGACCAGCCTGGTAACGTAGTGAGACGCTCTGTCTCTATAAAAATAAAAAATAAAATAAAAAATTAGCTAGGCTTGGTGGCATGTGACTGTAGTCCCAGCTACTCAAGAGGCTGAGGTGGGAGGATCACTTGAACCTGGAGGTCAAGGCTGCAGTGAACCACGATCGAGTCACTGCACTCCAGCCTGAGTGACAAAGTAAGACCCTGTCTCAAAAAAAAAAAAAAAAAAAAAAAAAGAAGAAGAAGAAGAAGTAAGAAAGAAAAAAGAAAAAAAGAAAAATAAGTAGAAATGTCAATAGTAGTTGGATACATAGTTCTGGAGTACAGAAGAAAGTCAGTGTTGGTGATATGTAATCACTAGATATAGTTATGAATCCATAGATCGAGAGAGAGAGACAGAACCAAATATAGTGTAACCAGATAATTACAGCCATGATACAGGATGAAGTCACTCAAGAAGAGTGTTTAGGTAGAGAAGGAAGCCCAAGACAGATGCCAGGGCTATGCCTGCATTAAAGGTTTACAAGAGGATGAGAAACCAGCAAATAAGACTGCAGTGACCAGTAAGACAGACAGAAAAGTATGAGATCATGGTGTTAGGGAAGTTAACAAAAATAAACCAACCTCCTTTCTAGAAGGAGAAAGTAGTTAATTATTTCAAATGATGATGCGATAAGACCAGAGATGTCACCAATTGATTTGAGAAAGCGAAGGACACTGGGGGCCTGGCCAAGAGCTGCCTCAAGAAGGTGGTGGGGAGAGATTCCCAACCAATTCGGTTTGAGGAGGGGCAAGTGTGTTAAGGAAATGGAGGCAGCGACCACAGGCAAGTGTTGTAAGAAGTTTAGCTGCAAAAGAGAATAGGCTCAAGAGAGGGTTTATGGTGGGAGCTATTAAAGCATGTCTGTGTGCTAATGTTGATTCTGTGTGCTGATCCAAAAGAAAGACTGATGGATTCATTTATCTCTTTCCCTTGCTCCTAAAAGCAGAGTCCTCTGAAAATGATTCTATTTTATTTTAGGGCCACTTCCTTTTCTGCTAGTTTATAACTACTTCAGGGTGGAAAATACATCTAGTTTGTTCTTTGATTGCAAAAAATGGTCTGATGTAAGATCCACAGGGCAGGAATTGAGGACTGCCTTTATCTGTATAGTATCCACGGTGGCTAGCACAGTGGTTAGAGCACAGTAAGTGCTCAAGAAACAGTTGTGGAATTGAACGACTGCTTCTTGAATGAGTGCAGAAACATGTGAATGAATGAATCCAAGTTTCTGTAGGAAACTTGGAATCATAAGCTCTTTCCTTTTTTGTCCTTCCTCATTCTAAAAACTTGTTCTTAAAACACAGAAGCATACTCAAGAAATGCTAATTTAATATTCGCCTAAAAGAACAGATTTGTTGCAAAGGAACCCACCTACTCCCTTCTAGTTCCTGGTAGGAGTGATATTGGGGTTTTTCTCTGTCTTAGAATATCTTTCAGTTTACGGTTTTCTTTAGAGTTTTGGAGGGCTTTTACATTTATCATCTCATCCTTGTATCAGTCCTGGAGGGACAGTAGGACAGAAATTATTATTCCCATTTTAGAGGTGAGAAAACGAGGCCCCGATTTCATGATCTGCTCAAGTTCATGCAGCTCATTGGTGAAGAGCAGGATCTTGACCTCAAATTTCCTGGTTTTCAGGTCAGTGAATTAGTACTTAGGTTCTTAATTTGATTTAAGATCTTCACCCACATCCTGTGACTCATATGATCCACTCCTGTTTTTATTCCACTTGTTTCATTTCTGTGCAAAGCAATAACAGATCTGTATTTCTCAGGGCAGGACATGGTTCATTAAGCTTCTGCAAAATTTTAACCTTTTCCAAGACTAGAGGCAGATGGAATGAACCATAATGAGGTTGACTTTGCTTGGTGGGAATTGCAGAGTTGGACAGGATAAAGAGCATCCAGCCTGGAGGCCGAATCCTCAAGTGGCATTTAGGGTTTTGTGATATGCAGCCTCCTGCAGCAGGCAGGCAGGGTATGAAGCATTACTGTTTACCAAATCATAGCAAATGTTCTACTCTTTCAAAGATGAGCAGGAGGCCCCTCCCGCCTTAGAAGGATTGTTGAAATTGAGTTCTGTTTCAAAGTGGGTAGAACTGGGAAGTGTTGGCACCAGTCAAATACGCCATGTGACCATGTTATGAGGCAGTCTTGACAAGCAGAGGCCATGCTTCCAAACCAAAAGTGGACACAAGAGGTTATTGTATTTCCTTGTAAATGAAATAAACATAGGGATAAACTGATGACTTAAATAATGCATATCACAGATGCTAAGATTGGATTCATTTGTACACATGTCCAGAAAGTACTCTGTCATGTGCTGGGTGCTTGGCAGGGCCACCATATGAGCATAGCAAATTCAATTGCACAAGCTATACGTGTTTACAGACCAGCAGATTAATTAGGAGACTCAAAATGTGAGCAACTGGGTTCTATTGCTGCATTGTATCAACTCTGGAAGGGATATGTGGTTCTGTTTTTAATCTTTAAACAGACCATTATAATATGCAGTAAACCCAAACGTTTGAATTTATTTTGATTTGATTGTTTAAATGGACTATTTCAGTGAAATAATGATATTGTCTTACAGTGAATTGGAAAAATGTGTATACACTTCGATCTATATTTTTTTACTTAATCATAAAGGAGTTAAACAGAAGAGCTGATTATTACTGAGTTTTGATGGACTGACTGACTCCTTTCTTCCTTCCTTCCTTCCCTCCCTCCCTCCCTCACTGAGCACATGCTGTACTCTGTGTCAGAACCTGCTCTAGGTATTGAGTATACAGTAGTGAACAAGGCAGGCATGGTCCTTGGCCTCATGGAGATTACAGTTGAGATGAGGGGATTGTGGTGGATGGGATAATTTGAGAGACAGGTAGTATAAACAACTAATTATGGAAACAGTTAATTATAATGTTTATAAGTGATGTGTAGAAAAATAAGGTGCTTGGGCATGAAAGACAGAGAGAAGTAGATATATTCAAAATACATTTACAATAGGAGCTATTAAAGCAAATTGAATCAAGTGATTTATTAGATATGGGATGGTAGTGGGGATGAGTGAGGAGTCAAGGACAAGGGACAGGTGGATGGATAGTAATCTATCTGGTTGGGGAAGATGGAGGAGGAACAAGTTTGTAAGTTAAATCCAAGTGAAATGTCTGAGTAAAATTACTATAAATTGACCTCTCTTTTTCTCTTTCTCCCACCCCGCCAAAGAAAAGGAAATATCTGAAAGTCCTCTGGGCTCGCCAAAAGATAATTATCATCCTACTGAGCTGTGCAGCCAGGCTTCTCCATACCTGACTGTGATAAGCATTCTAATCTTACCCCCTTTAGGAGCTGTGGAGGTGATCCACTTTGACACTGAAGTGCATGCTATCTGCATGCTTGTCTTTTCCTTATTATATCTTATACTGTGAGCTTCCTGAGAGTGAGAGTAGTTTTGTATTCATTTCTTGTCTCTCTAAGTCTAGTATAGTTTATGGCATATAATAGATAACAGCCATTATTTGTTGAATCAAATTATAAGACAATTGTATGAATGCTGGCTATCATGAACTTGTGCTTTTTCGCACTTGCCTAGTCTTCACATGCTCTTCCGTAGCAGTGTTTATTTCCATCTGTGACTCCTTTTAGGGAAGGGGCTATGTTTGTCTCACCAATGTCAGTGTCGATGTCAAAGCACTTCAGTGTCAAAGTGGATCATCTCCACAGCTCCTAAAGGGGGTGAGATTAGAACGTTCATCACAATCAGCTGTGGAGAAGCCTGGCTGCGCAGCTCTGTAAGATGATAATTACCTTTTGGGGAACCCAAAGGACTTCCAGATATTTTCTTTTCTTTGTTGGGGGGTGTGTGGAAGAAAGAGAAGAGAGAGAGAGAGAGAGAGAGAGGTCAATTTATGATAATTTCACTCAGACATTTCACTTGGATTTAACTTACAAACCTGCTTCTCCTCTGTCTTCCTCACTGCATCTCCAGTCATGATACATGGTGAAGTTTCAAAATATTTGTTTGATTTTTGAGAAGAGGAGGGTAAAATTACTCAAAGTTTCTGAAAGCATTCTGCATATTATACAGATGAAGAAACAACAATAACAAAATAACATGGTGATAAACCTGCAGAGCTGTGGAAGCCTTGCTGAGGCGTATATTGATAGAGTATTCTTACTTACCCACAAGCAGATCACTTTTAGATCAGTCAGATTTGATTCAGTTATTAGACTGTAAGTTAATGTTCACAGTTAACAAAAATTTGACTAGTTCGACACATTGATGCTTGAACTTGAAAGAATGGTGACTCTTCTTTATTGGTTTTCAACAGTGTTACAAGGAGCCTTAGAAATTTTGTGGAAGCCCCAGCAAGCCAATCAGATGGGGCTCTAATTTATCACATCTGCTTTCATTTATAATTATTTTATTTCAATATCTGTAAGATTTTCTTTGACAGATTGAGATTGGTGATGGCATGATAGTTGTCTTTGGGAAACAACAGTTTCATCTCATAGAAAGTACTAAAACCTTTATCAGTTCAAATATCAAGAAGCTACAGATACGTTTGCAAAAAGCAACACATTTCTAATCATTGGATGTATTATTCTCTTAAAAAAAATCTGCCATTTTTATTGTATTTGTCAACCAAACTGTGACCTCTCTGAAAGCAGTAACATTAATTGTGTCTTTATTGTGTTTAGCACAGTGCCTAGAATGATACTGAATGAATAAATGGATGGATGGATGACTTTAACTATTAGAAGAGTGACTGTCACACAACACTAAGACCTGGCACTTAGTAATTGTGTTCTAGTCTTGTTTCAGTAATTCTGTTTTGTAAGACCCTGAATAAATTAATTTTGTATCTCATTATATTAAATATAAAATTAAAAAATAAAGTGTGTTTTGCAGATTAAAAATAATGAGTCACTGTTTCTTGGGAATAGAGGGTGCAAGAGTGAAATTAATTACAAAGTCTTATGTGATTATAATTATAGTGTTAATTATAAGACATTGCTGCTGTAGATGAAACTAGTCCAGAAAAGGAATTTAATATGAGTTGCTGGTTCAAATCTTGGGCCAATATTCTGGGTAGACAAAATTATTATTCATTACTCAGAGGACTTTGGACCAAAGTTTGATGCAATATTGGCTGTGTTAGATTTCTTCAAATCCAGTAACAGCAATGACTTAGTAGCCAAAGGAGACATTGAAAACCAAGGCAAGTTTGAAGAGGAAAAGCAAACACAATTGTAAGAAATAAAGGTTTATACCCTCATCCATTGCCATGCTGGATGAATGTGCGTGTAAATACATTCAATAGAACTTATCGAGTTGGTTTTAAAGGTCTGGTGCTGAAGGAAATTAGAAATGAGTTACCAAACCAACGGAGATGGGACATATACAAAGAACAAAAAAAGTATTAAGGACCACAAGAAAACTAGTGTTCAAGCGATACGAGAATTCATGAGGAAGAGAATAATCTTTCCCAAAATATTGCTCATTACTTGAATTACTTCTGCCTTGGCTTTTCAAATAATACAGCCTTTAGTATACATACATATGTAGAGAGCATTTCTGGCAAAAGTACGCATTCCCTGAAGAAGGAAGCCATTCCCATAAACATGAGCTTCCCCTCATTTGTTTGTGGCAGTCAGCTCCACTTTGTTTTCATCCTGGAGCATGAGGACACTGGAAGATGCTTAACTGTCTCTGATTCGGGGCTAAAGTTGAATCATCAGAGTGACTGACCTCACCAAACCATGTGTTTTGTATTAAATGAGTGTGTGTGTGTGTGTGTGTGTGTGTGTGTTTAGTAATGAGGACTCCTCGGATCCTCCATTCTTTGTTATCCCTACACCTACATTTCACAGCATTTTGCAATATTGAGAATATAATGTGTCTCTGATATATTAAAAGTACCACATTTTTAAAATGTAGGATATTAATATAATCTAGAAAAGGCTAAGAATAAAATTGGTATGTATATCCCACCTTAAAAATAACATTTAGCTTTCATGTAAATCTTTTAAAAATGTAGACATGCTAGTTCAATTTTCTTTAAACATCTGTACATATGATACGTCTATTTTATACGTGTAATTTATATATAAGATGTTTATGTATACATATACTTACATACATAATCTCATCTAACTTAGTATACAACTTTATATTTTTATATATTTCCTTCATGAGTTTTTATATTGATGCCCTTACCTTCTACTCTTTCCTAACCCACCCTAGTCTGCATTCTACTCTTGCCACTGAAATTGCTCATTTTAAGGCCACCAATGACCTCAGGTGTTTTGTCTGTTTGCTCTACTACCACAGGCATGGACACAGCTGAGGCCTGTGGCATCCCCCTCTTCATTCTTCATGTTCCAGGCACACTGGGTTTGACTTATTTTTTGTGCACACTGTGTTATTTCCCTCCTCGGGCCTTTCGTATGTTCTGTACCTCCTCCTTGGCATGCCCTTCCTCCCAGTTCCCTCCCTGCTCCTTCCCCCAGTTAACCCCTTCTCTTCTTTTAAGTCTTAATACAAATGTCACAGGCAAAGTTGCATTAGATTACTGCAGCTCTGCTCTAAAATACTCATCAGGCATGTAACCACTAGCTCTTTCTATTCCTCCCTCCCTCCTTTTCTGTAAGTCCCTTGAATGCAGAGGCCATAATTGTCTTCACCATTGAAACTCAGTACTTAGAACAGTGCCTGGCACATAGGAGATGCTGCAAGTTTTTGTTGTTGGATGAATTTATTAATAGTTGCAGTCATGGCATATATACAATTTCATATCCTGCTTCTTCATAACAAATGCCTATCTCCATGTTGTTGCACTGTAATTTTTAATTTCATCACAATTATACATGCATACATGTATAAGAATGTTCAAATTAGAAATAAACTAAAGGTCTATCATTGGGAGAATGAATAAATTGCAGTGTTTTCATTAAATGGAACACTGCAGAGTAATACTGTAAATCTTGCTACATACAACAGCATGAATGAATCTCACAAACGTGTGAGTAAATGAAGCCAGTAACAAAAGTATTTGCATGCATGCATGTGTGTATATGTATAAATGATATAATATATATTAGTATATTATTAGGTCAGTGAAAAAGTAATTGTGTTTTTTGCCATTACTTTTAATGCCATTACTTTTAAAAATTAATTTTGCACTGACTTAATATATTTTGTATTGTATTTATTATATTACTGTTGTAATTACTATTGTATATAATTATGAATATTATTTACATATAATTCCATTTATGCATATTCCAAAATTTATGTCACAAGTTAGATACTGGTAATCCTTAGTGGGACGTTGGTGACTGGGAGAGGCCACAAAGGAGCCTTTCTGGGTATGGGTAAAGTTTTATTTCTTGGCTGGGTGCTGTGGCTCACGCCTGTAATCCCAACACTTTGGGAGGCTGAGACAGGTGGATCTCTTGAGGCCAAGAGTTCGAGGCCAGCCTAGCCAACATGGCGAAACCCCATCTCTACTAAAAATACAAAAATTAGCCAGGCTTCGTGGCACGTGCCTGTAATCCCAGCTACTCAGGAGGTTGAGGCAGGAGGATTGCTTGAACCTGGGAGGCAGATATTGCAGTGAGCCGAGATCACGCCACTGAACTCCAGCTTGGGTGACAGAGTGAGACCCCATCTCAAAAAAAAAAAAGTTTTATTTCATGATTTGGGTGCTGTTATATGAAGTGTTCACCTTGTACTTATGATTTGTACACTTCTGTCTATTTACATAATACATCAATCAAAAGTTTACTTAAAAATAAAAAAGGCCGGGCGCGGTGGCTCACGCCTGTAATCCCAGCACTTTGGGAGGCCGAGGCGGGTGGATCACGAGGTCAGGAGATCGAGACCATCCCGGCTAAAACGGTGAAACCCCGTCTCTACTAAAAATACAAAAAAAATTAGCCGGGCGTGGTGGCGGGCGCCTGTAGTCCCAGCTACTCGGGAGGCTGAGGCAGGAGAATAGCGTGAACCCGAGAGGCGGAGCTTGCAGTGAGCCGAGATCCCGCCACTGCACTCCAGCCTGGGCGACAGAGCGAGACTCCGTCTCAAAAAAAAAAATAAATAAATAAAAAAAAATAAAAATAAAAATAAAAAAATCAGTATTTGCAGATGTTTTAAAGAGTCAAATAGTTCTACAAGGTTTAAAACAGCATTTCTCTGCTTTCCATTCCTTCACCCTCACCCCATAATATCTATCTCTCCAGAGATAATCTCTTTCAACTTCTAAAAAGTCAGTTCTTTTGCTTTTGACCCTTATATCTCTGAATAACATGCTTATTTTCATGTCTTAATTTTTCAGTTTTAAGAATTCTTTATTGACTTCCAATATGGAAGCTGGAAACGTAGCTCTTTCTCCTTTGCCCACTCACTGTGCACAGAAATGTCTTCCCTACCTCCATATCCTCCCTATGTAAATTATTCCTGATTTTGGTTTTATTTGTGTTCAATGTGTATAAGATATTTTCTATATCAGAGCTATTTACAGCTGAGCCAGGAAATACTTTATGATCAATACTGTTTTTCTGGACAACTTTTTATTTTCCCTTTTATCTTTTGTTTCTTTGCTTTTCAGAGAATTTCAATCCCAAACGATCTGCTGGTTGCTTAAATCTTCTTTCAAGACAATCAGACTTACTTGTTAAACTATCAATTTCATCTTGAAGAAATATATTCCAGAATCTTGTGATCCACTGTAGTCTGGGACGGTTGCTCTCTAGATCTGATTCATAGCTCTTATCCTGAGACCTCCTTTCAAAATTACACTGAGGATTCACGTCACCTTCTGTGTTTGCTTTCTGTTTTCTATATTTCATGTTATCTTTCTTTTCTTAGTTTATTTCCCTGGTTTTAGTAGAGAACATCCTTCAGTAACTTTTTGAGAAAAGTATACAGGAGAAGTGAAAATGTTGGAGCCTTTCATACATAAAAATGTTTTAATTCTACACTTGATTAATGCTTTGGCTGGTAAATAATTCTGTCTCTAATATAATTTTCCTTCAGAATTTTGAAAGCATTTCTCCGTTGTTATAGAACTTTCTGAATAAATACCTGGAAGTCTTTAGCCATTCTTATTTCTTTTTTTGTGTGTATGTGACTTGATTTTTCTTTCTTTCTTGTAGGAGCTTCTCTATGTACCTAATGATCTGAAATTTCATATTGCTGTGTTTTGTTATGTGTGTATCTAATTTCACCTATTATACTGGTCACTGAGTGGGTTCTTTCAGTCTCAAAATGCAACTCTTTCAGCTCTAAAAAATGTTCTTGAATTATTTCACTAATGAATCATCTCTTCTGTGTTCTCTGTTCTCTCTTACTAGAACTCCTACCACAAAATCTCCTAGATTAATTCCCTAATTGTTTTACCTTTAATCTCCAATTTCCTGTTCCTTTTCATGTTTATAATATTCTCTTATCTCTCTGAGAATATCAGTGATTTTTCTCCCTCTCCATACATAGTCTTTGTTTTCTGCAAGTTGCTTTTTACTGGGTATTTGTTTCAGTCTCAGCCTTTCAGGCTAATAGCTTTGCTCAGATGTCTGGTAATCTTGGTCATACCTGAGTAAGTTTCATCATTGCTGAGTGATTGGGAACTCTGAGCATGTGGGTGGGGCTTATTGATTATGGAAGGGTGACCAACAACCCTGGTTTGCCTGAGACTATCCCAGTTTTAGCACTGAAAGTCCCATGCACCAGGAAACCCTGTAGTCCTGGGTTGAGGTCACCCTAGTTGTGATCATCTTTATAGGGCAAACTGCCTGGAAGTTTTCATTGGGATCCCTATGTGAGTGCCTTTAATTCTTTTCCCTTGCGCTGACAGATTCCCTAGAGAACGCAATTCCATTTTCCTGCATGGAAGTCACAGCCTTGCTTGTGAACATTCCTGGGCTAGGATTAGGAATGGCAGAATTCTCATCCTGTAATCCTACTTTAATCATGACTGGTTTTCCTCATTCACTCATTATTTACTGAGTGCCTGTCATGTGTCAAGCACTGTTTTAAATACTTTCGAGGCAGGAGTGAATGAAACATAAACAATTCTGCCTTGGTGAAGCACGTAGGAAGGCCTACAAAAAATACTTTAGGCCAGGCGTGGTAGCTCACACCCATAATCCCAGCACTTTGGGAGGCTGAGGTGGGGGATCACGTGAGGTCAGGAGTTTGAGACCAGCCTCGCCAACATGGTGAAATCCCATCTCTACTAAATATACAAAGATTAGCCGGGTGTGGTGCCAGGCATCTATAATCCCAGCTACTTGGGAGGCTGAGGCTAGAGAACTCAGGAGGCGGAGGTTGCAGTGAGCCAAGATCGCACCATTGCACTCTAGCCTGTGTGACAAGAGCAAAACTCCATCTCAAAAAAACAAACAAACGAACAAACATGCAAAATATTTTACATAGAGTGGTCCAAGAAGACCTTACTGACAAGGTGGAATTGGACAAATACCTGATGGACATAGGAGAGCTAGTGAGAGGGGAAATCCTCCAAAGCAAAGGGAATAGGCAAAGTCCCTGAGGCACGAATGTGCCTGATAGTTTTGGAGACGATCAAGAAGGGTATGGATGTAGCTTAGTGATCTAGGAAGGACAGGAGAGAAGAGCCATTCAAATTGCTTTGTGGAGAAAAGACTGAAGGGGAAGGAAGAAAGCTGAGTGAACATTTAGGAGGTGATTGAAACAATCCATTCAAGTCATGGTGATGTCTTGGACCAGGGTGGAGCCAAATTGGTACTGATATATGGTTACATTCTGGATATATTTTTTGGATTTGCTAACACATTGATTATGGGATGACAGAGACAGAGAGGAATCAAGGATGACTCCAAGGCTTTGGAAGAATAGAATTGCCATTTTACAAGATGGAGAAGATTGTGGAGGAAGCAGGTTTGGTTTTGCACACATTCAGTGTGAGACACCCATGGAATGTATGTGTAAAGTGGTGGGTGGATATATGAGAGTGGTATTTAGGGAAGAGGCTGGAGATGTAAATGCAGGAGATACTATTTATAGTTATAAGGTTGAGAGAGATTGCCTAGGGAATAATGTAGATGGAGAAGTGACTCAAGGATGGAATCCTGTGGTACTCCAACATCTAGAGGTTGAGGAGATGAGGAAGAAACAGCAAAGGGGACTGCAAAGGAGGCCTCGGTGAGGAAGGCAGAGAATCAAGAGGGAGAACTATGTGGAAACCAACCAGAAAAATATTTCAAGGAAGACAGAGTGATCAAGTACATCAAGTGTTGCTGAAAGAGTACTCTAATTGAGACCCTTCCATTCATGCAGCACAAAGAGTGTGAATTCGTGAGTCTGGAGAGTATCTGTCTTAACCTCTCCAGGAGTAAACTCTCTGTCTTTTGTTAAGATTGAGCAAAAGATAGTCTCCTGATTGTACAGAATAGGAGAGGAGACAATGGAGTATCCAATTGCTTCTTAGACTTTCAGCCTCTTCCCCTTATTTTTGTCCCCCTCCCTTCATTCTGCTTTGACACCACCAATCTCTGAGCCTTTAAAGAATCCTAAGATATAAATTAGATTGATTCATGCCTTTTCCCACTGCCAGGTTAGGAGTCAGCCTTCTCATATCTGTTAAGTCACATATTATTTGAGAATCTATACATTTTTCAAGCTTTGAAATTAAAACTGCTGTTGTCTCTTCTTGTTCCAGTCTTTGTGGCTTTAAGCCTTAAAAGAAAACAATCGTCTCACTGTCATTTAGAGAGGGAGTAATCATAGATGCAAGTATTCAATCCACTTCCTTTACCCAGAAGCCATGACCATCATTTTTAATGGCACATAATGTTCAACTGCTTGAATGTAGAGCATTTTTCTAACTGCTCCTCAATGTTTGGATGTTTGGGTTGGTTCCAATGACATATAATATTATGATATAAATTTTCTTGCATATAGCATTGTCCATGATTAGGATTTTGTTGTTGTTGTTGCTGTTGTGGAAGTCCAGAAGTGCAGTAACTATGTTGAAAAGTATTAGCATTTGGTACAATAGAAGGCAGTGTAGCGTATGGTTCAGAGTGTAGTCTTTGGCATTGGAGGCAGAGAGCTTTTGTTTGGATCCCTGCTCTGCCATTTCCTAGTTGTTTAAGAAAACTTAAAGAAGTTTTCTTAAGCTCTCTGTGTTCCAGTTTCCTCACCTGTCAAATAGAGTTACTAATAGTAGTGTTACAGAATGGAGGAGTGTGGATTAATACATGCACAGTGACTGAAGCACAATAAATTAGCAGTCAATAAATATTTTCATTATCATAATCACTATCATGATTGCCAAGTTGCTTTTTAAAAGGGGCTCAAGTTCAACGCCATCAGCAACTCATGAGGGTGCCCATGTAAATACTGCTTTGCCAATCAAACCTAGCTACTTGTTTTAAAAGGCTCTTAAACAATACTCCATTGAATGTTGCTATAGTTTTTGCAATAAAAACATGGACTACAGGACTCCATTGTTAATGTTCCAGCCTATGCAAAGAAAATCTTAGAAAATTATTGGCACATTATGATATAAGAGCTCCAAATGGGAGAGTCACATCATACATGTATTCAACTTGAGCAAAATCAATTATACCCTTTGGAAGGTGGGAAGGGGGAAAATGAGAGAGAAAAATAGCTGTATCTAAATCTACAGTGTTTTTTTTCCTCACCATCCCACCCAATGAATGTATGCTTGTTGGAGACGGAAAGTTGAACTGCTTTTCCTTAGCTGGTCTGACTTTTAGTGTGACTTTTCTGGTGTGAATGTCTCATGCTGATTGTGGTGCTAGGTTTTAGCATGATTTTCTTTCTTTTTTTTTTCTTTTGAGACAGAGTCTTGCTCTGTTGCCCAGGCTGGAGTGCAGAGGCACAATCTCGGCTCACTGCAACCTCTGCCTCCCAGGTTCAAGCGATTCTCCAGCCTTAGCTTCTTGAGTAGCTGGGATTACAGGCTTGTGCCACCACACCCAGCTAATTTTTGTATTTTTAGTAGAGATGGGATTTCACCATGTTGGCCAGGCTGGTCTTGAACTCCCAACCTCAGGTGATCCATCCTCCTCGGCCTCCCAAAGTGTTGGGATTACAGGTGTGTGCCACAGCAACTGGCTTGTTTTAGCATGATTTTCATACCTCATGTCTCCTAGACCCAAGACAACACTGATACTGTGGGCCATTATGAGAGCTGTTACATCTGCATTTATAAGTGATGTTCGAGGATGATTTCGGTCATGTGTGAGATTGCCTTCCTATCCAAAAGTTTGTGGAGAAAAATGACCACATCAAGTTTGGTCTGAGATAGCATCAAATGATATTGCCCAAATTTTTTTCTGTTGAGGCTTGTGGTGTTGCTATTAATTAAATGGTTTTCACTGATACTGCACATGGTGCTCTCTCTGATCAGGACACCTTTCCTTCTGTTTGCCTGGCAAATGTAGGCCCCTCCTTCAATGCTGAGCTCAAACCTGAAGACTTCCCAGATTCTCGTTGGCACATTAGGCCATTGTGTCCAAACCACAGTTGTACAGTTCTCTACTGCAGCAGTTATTGAGATTTGTATATCTGTCTCCCTACTAGACTATGAGCTCCTGTAAGTAGATGCTGTGATTATTAATTTTTGTAAGCCCAGTGCCTAGTAAAATGCTTGGCATATAGCCAACACTTCATAAATACTGTTGAGTGGATGAATGAGGGATGGAAAGTGAGGTAGAAAGATTAGTATGGCGTAGATGTGTCACAATATGCCAAAAAAATAGTTTAAGAATGAAAACTGGCCAGGAAGAGTGGCTCACGCCTGTAATCCCGGCACTTTGGGAGGTCAAGGTGGGCGAGTGATTTGAGCTCAGGAGTTCAAAACCAGCCTGGCCAACATGGTGAAACCTCCTCTCTACTTGGTTGACTGGTGCAAGAGGCCTAGCTCTTGGCCTATGTCAGCTTTCAACATGCCTTCCTCACTAAGCTTAATCATTTCTAGCTCTTGATTTTAAGTGAAAGGCATGCAACTCTTCCTTTCACTTGAACACTTAGAGGCCATTGTAGAGTTATTAACTGGCCTAACTTTAATATTTTTGTGTCTCTTAAGATAGGGAGGTCTGGCAGGAGTGGTGGCTCATGCCTGTAATTCTAGCACTTTGGGAGGCCGAGGCGGGCAGATCACCTGAGGTCAGGTGTTCGAAACCAGCCTGGCCAACATGGTGAAACCCCGCCTCTACTAAAAATACAAAACAATTAGCCGAGTGTGTTTGCAGGTGCCTGTAATCCCAGCTAGTTGGGAGGCTGAGGCAGGAAAATCACTTGAACCCAGAAGGCAAGGTTGCAGTGAGCTGAGATCATGCCACTTCACTCCAGCCTGGGCAACAGAGCAAGACTCCATCTCAAAAAAAAGAAAGAAAGAAAGAAAGAAAACTGGTAAATAAGAATAACTATTAGTTATTGAAGACCCACTATATTCCAATAGCTTTGTATACATTATAATACTCAGAAATGCATAAGAGATCTTATGCATCATTTTACATAATTTACTGAAGAGGAAAAGTTAGGCTCAGCGAAGTTTAATAACTTGCCCAGGGTCCCATGGCAAGTAAGAGGTGAACAAAGGTTTGAACTCAATTTGCATATTTCCACTACTCTCTTCTGCTTCCCTGATTCGACCCTGCCAGAGGTAGAAGAGAGATCGAGTGGGATAATTAAGAAGCATCCCCTGAATTTGACTCTTAGGAGGTTATTGTGAACCATGCAGATTTCGAGGGGGTGCATCCCTGTGTGTCCAGTTTATCTCTAATAATGGTGGCAAAATTCCTGATCACAAAGTGTTTTGTCAGTACATAACTCTTCATTAAGAGAAGTGCCAGTGAGTATCCTTTAAAAAGACCACCAGGACCCCTAAAGAAAGTCCATGTTCACTATGGAGAAGTGGGTCGCAGTGTTGTTAAGGGCATTCAGGCCCGGGACTCATTATTGGGAGAGCTTGGGGATATGTCCTCATGTCAGACTGAATATGAACCTCTAGAGCCAGGCCCCTGAATAGAACTTTTGGTGTGTGGGGGAGGTGTGGAAGAAGAATGTGTATGTCATCTTTTGCGATGAGCTCCCAAGGATTGATGAGAGCAGGAAAAACTGATCTCTGAGCTAGCGAGGATGCATCTATTTACGTAGCATTGGAACAATGACTAAAGTCCACTTCCTTGCTATATTAAAATATTATGCTGATGCAGTGCTAAATGGAGGCTTGCTAAGTGTGAGTCATGATGACAAACCACTGTAACAAGATATATTGAAATACCTTCCCATCCTCAAAGTCATTGTTGACCACATTGGTTCCAAAATTTAAACCTCTCCAGTTCCTTTATTTATAACTTCACTAAATCAAATGTAGCAGGTGGTCTTGGCCAAACCTGCATGGTAATTGAACCTGTGGCAACAGAGAGTGCCTCCCTGGATGCCCACCCAGCCATAGGATGATAGGATGAAGAATTCCTTCCTGGCTGAGGAGGAAAAGGAAAGGCTGGAGATTGGCAAGTTCTCCATTTCTTTCTATGGGGAAAGAAATGGACAGAAGGGACCACAAAAGGTAGTTGGTGCTCAGGTCCCAGACCAGCCCACACCAGGGACCATGTTTCATCCTCCTAAAGAGGGACTCCAGGCAGAAACCAAGGAAGCTTGATCAAAGGCACTTTGTGTAACTTGGGGCCCTTACAGTTCTCCTTCAGGGTCCAGATGATAAAGAACAATGCACAGCTGGGGAGAGGGGCACCAATGCCACAAACTCAGTTATCCTGAGGCTCTGTGCAGCCTCCATGGAGAGGTGCAGTGCCCAGGGAGGCAGAGGGAGATGCCAGGGCACTGAGTCCTATTCTCCTGAAGACCCAGCAGCTGTGATGGGGGAAGGAGGCCCCATTGCAGGCAGCAGATTCTGATGAGGAGGCTGGATGGAACAGCATAAAGGACTGTCATTGAGCACATGTAAGATACACTGGAAGAATCCCAAATAGATGGCAAGACTGTGTGGGACGCAGTGTGGGGAAAGAGAGCCTACAGTTATGCAATGGATGTTAATGTAATTCCATTTGAAGGCATAAGCTAGTGAGATCTGGAAACACTGGGTGGCATCAATATGCAGAGGAGGGCTTCAGAATATTTATGAGCCCTTCAGTGAACACTGGAGCTATTCTGGTAAATAAAAATAATAGTAAGACCCTATATTTCTGTAGTGCTATATATTTTAGAATGAACTTGCACATTCTTACTCTTATTTGAGCCCCTTACAAGAGGTAGACGAGATTTCCATTTTGCAGATGAAGAAACTGAGGCATAAAGTAATGAAAGGATGTGTCTAAATCCACCCAGGTTGCATGCACCAGTGCTTGGGCTCAAACCTCAGTCTGTATCCCTCCATATCCAGTGCTCTTTCCACTAGGTGAAGCCGTTGCACTGCACAACTGAAATGGCGCCCCTGGAGTTGTGCAGTGCCCAGCTGCTGTGCCTAAACAAGAAAGCCCTGCCACCAGGCCGCATGATGCAACAAGAATGGAATAACTAGAGTGTGCTTTGAGAAAGGCCTCCCACTGATATGGACTTTGTGAATGTAGGTTGAAGCCCTTTATCTTTTCATGTTAGAATTCACATTTATTGAAGTAGGAAAATCAGTGATTCCTTCTGGCTTGTATCAGTTTCCTGGCTACGACATAACACCTCATCTGATACATTTTGGATATTTGTCCCTGCCAAATCTTATGTTGAAATGTAACACTCAGTGTTGGAGGTGGGGCCTGGTGGGAGGTGTTTGGGTCGTGGGGGCAGATTCTTCACAGCTTGGTGTCCTCACACCATGTGAGACACTGGCTTCTCCCTTCACCTTCTGCCATGACTGAGAGCTCCCTGACGTTTCAGCAGAAGCCAAGCAGATGCCAGCACCATGCTTCCTGTAAAGCCTGCAGAACCATAAGCCAACTAAACCTCTCTTCTTTATAAATTACCCAGCCTCTGGTACTTCTTTACAGCAAGCTTTTCCAACCTACAGCTCACATGCTGCATGAGGCCCAGGACAGATTTGAATGCAGCCTGACACAAATCCTTAAACTTTCTTACAACATTATGAGACTTTATTTTGCCGTTTTTTTCTTTAGTACATCAGCTATTGTTGGTGTTAGTGTATTTTATGTATGGCCCAAGACATACTTCTTCTTCCAACGTGGGCTAGGGAAGCTGAAAGGTTGGACACCCCTGCTTTATAGCGATGCAAGAACGGCATAAAACTTCATCTTATTTTCAGAGCAGGAGAATATGTGTTTCAGAAGACAAGCTTGGTCACTAGTTCTTTAACCCGAGCGCTTAGCATGCAGGCAGGAATTTAGGTAACACCTTCCCTTCCTAGCATAATTCTGCCTTTCAGCCTATCCTAGATGGAAATGTATTCCTTCCTCCTTCTTCCTGCCCTCCCTGGTGCTCCATGGTGATTTGTGCCTTTGGGATGATGCTTTCTGTTGTATCTGAGAGACATCTGCACGCTCGCCATCTCTCTCCTGGATCCCAACTTTTTGGGGATGCATCTCATTCATCTCTGAATCCCCCACAGTCTGTGCAATCCCCATAGCAGGTGCTTATTCAATAAGTGTGAGTTGACCTGAACAGGGATGTGGAATCCATAGCACAGATATCACTTCAGCCTGACCCTCATCACTGAGAGGCAGGTGACAGCAACTGAGGTTCCTGCCCTGCCAGGGAAAGAGCTGGGCTTCTACTGAACCCTACCTCTCCCATGCTTCCATCCAGCCCACTGCTCTCCATACTGGGGAAAATGACTGGGTTCATGAGGATTGACTTCTGCTCTCCTGCCCCCTTTAGGACTCTTTCAGTTTTTGTATTGCTGCCTTCTCCTCCCCTTCAATCCCCTCAGCTTATAGGGCTCTGGGACCTTCTGAGGATACTCTCTGCAGGCCCAGGTCTGCTTTTCCCGTCTGGTACATGTACTGCACTTTGGGCCCCTGGTTCTCTGTTTACCATTCCCCCTTAACATGCAGAATCTCTCCCAGGTTGCACCTCAGCAAGACTAGACTAGCGCTTCTCAACCTTGACACCACTGACATTTTGGGCTAGATAATTCTTTATTGTGGGGTTGCCCTGTGCATTATAGTATGCTCAACAGCATCCGTGGCCTCTAGTCAGTAGGGTCTGCACCATACCCCAGCCCCCCGTCAATTTAAGACAACTAAAGTTGTCTTCAGACATTGACAATTTTCCCCTTGGCAGCAATATTGTACCCAGTTGAGAACTGCTGGATCAGATAATCCTCCTGGACTTTTAAGATGACAACTTCCTACTCTGTTGAACTAATCTGTGCTGACATCCTATTCAAGGAAACTAGAGGACATCCCCAAGGCCGAATGTAGTAGACATCATTGCAGGGAAGACATAGGGTCGAGCTTGAGGCAACCTGGCAGGCCGAAGAAATAAAATCAATACTTGATAGGTAAGACTGCTTGTCTGTAGAAGTCATCTACAAGAATCGATTGCATTCCAAAGCCCAAAACAGGAAGAGAAGGGCTTCTTTCTAGCCCAGAATTTCTCAACTTTGGCATCACTGACATTTGGGGCTGGATAATTCTGTATTGTAAGGTGCTCTCCTATTCATTGCAGGATATGAAGCAGTATCCCTGGCCTCAATTCACTAGATGCCAGTAGCACTTACCCCTGCCACTTATGACAACCAAAAACATTGCCAAATATCCTCAGGGCAGCATAGTTGCTCCCAGGTAAGAAGCAATCCAGTCTAATTGATGCTTCATTAAAGACAGATGAATAGCATAAAACCTGGAAATGGAAAGTCCAAAGAGCAGCATTGGGTAGTTTTCATCCAGCATCGGGCAGAATGAACTTGCAAAGTTCATCCATCTCTACTCTCAGATTACTACAGTGAGGATCAGGGCAGGAGACCCCTGAGGCATAAAGTAATGAAAGGATGTGTCTAAATCCACCCAGGCTGCATGCACCAGTGCTTGGGCTCAAACCTCAGTCTGTATCCCTCCACATCCAGTGCTCTTTCCACTAGATGAAGCCGTTGCACTGCACAACTGAAATGGCGCCCCTGGAGTTGTGCAGTGACCAGCTGCTGTGCCTAAACAAGAAAGCCCTGCCACCAGGCTGCATGATGCAACAAGAATGGAGTAACTAGAGTGTGCTTTGAGAAAGACCTCCCAGGGCATCAGGAGATGCCCTGATCCTCACTATAGTAATCTGAGAGTAGAGATGGATGCTTCAGACATCACAGACCACTGTCATTGGCTATTGTTATCCTCTTGCCTTTTTTCTTTTTTTTTTTTATTTGAGACAGAGTCTCGCTCTGTCGCCCAGGCTGGAGTGCAGTGGCGCGATGTCTGCTCACTGCAAGCTCCCCTCCCGGGTTCACGCCATTCTCCTGCCTCAGCCTCCTGAGTAGCTGGGACTGCAGGCGCCCGCCACCACGCCCGGCTAATTTTTTTGTATTTTTTTTTTTTTTTAGCAGAGTCGGGGTTTCACCGTGTTAGCCAGATGGTCTCCATCTCCTGACCTCGTGATCCGCCCGCCTCGGCCTTCCAAAGTGCTGGGATTACAGGCGTGAGCCACCGCGCCCGGCCTCCTCTTGCTCTTTTGTTATTGGCTATTGTTATCCTTGCTGCTTACTGTAGTGGACATTTACATTTATTTTGGCTGTCTAGGATCTGAAACCCCTTTCTAGGGGTGAGTTGGAGAAATTCATCTATTTGATGAAGGTATCTTTCCCTGAAGAGCTGAAAATACCAGACACCCACTTTTCCAGCCTCCCTTACAGCTAGGGACCAGGTATATGACCTAGGCTCAGCAGACCAGATGCATCTATGACTCATGAGCATCACAGGGAACTCTCTTTGGGGACAGAGCAGCAGTAGTATTTTCAGAAAAATCAAGTTTTTCAGGCAGCAGTGGCATGACGAGTGACAGCATGTCATAGAGAGGGACAGCAGTGTGGAGGGTACAAGTGCCAGCATCTAGTGCTCAGCAGTGTTGCCCATGTGAACTCACAGGGCCCCCTCTGAAGTGTGATTTGGGGTATTGTTCTTGCCTGAGTAGTCCTGAACGTTGTTTTCCAGCCCTCATGATAAGTTGGAGAGTTGCCAAATAACTTTTTTTCTTTTTTCATTTTTTTTTAGTAGTAGAGGCGGGGTTTCACCGTGTTAGTCAGGATGGTCTCAATCTCCTGACCTCGTGATCCGCCCTCCTCGGCCTCCCAAAGTGTTGGGATTACAGGCGTGAGCCACCATGCCCGGCCGCCAAATAACTTTTTAATAAACTATTTCTTTGCTCCAATTAGCTAGAGTTGGATTATGTTGCTTGCAATCAAGAACTCTGAATGGTATGAAAATCAGCGCTAGGAATGGGAGGCTTGTTTCCCATGGTCTGGACACTTACAAAGAGAAACTAACAAGTTCCAATTCCTGATCTTCAGTCCATGCTTTAAGCCAGTAATTTAGAACCGAAAAAAATAAAAAAAATAAAAACAAAAAGAATAAACCAACAAACCAAATCAATGAACAAACAAAAGCCCTCAAAATTTGACACCAAAGGGTTTTTGAATTATAACATGAGTTGAAGTCACAGTTTTGCCAGGTTTCTTGTATGAGAATTCAGGCATTGTTTGGGAAAGACTGGAACCCTGAAATCTGGAATGAAGGAATGTTGGAGCACACTGTAAAAAAGTGAATATGTTCCCCCATATTTAGAGTACACTCCACAGCAAAACCCCACTGGCACTCTCTTGTCAGTGGAAGCAGGCTGTCTTTACAGTCTTATGAGGCTATGGTTATTTTGCTTGAAACTTTAAAATGACCTTATCTAAGCTAATTACCTGGAAAGGGTTGACCAATTCTCCTCAAACCCCATCTTCCCTCCTTCTCATTATTTTTACACTTCAAACCAGGGTCAGAACCCAGCGTGACCGGGAATCCAATTACAAAGTCAAACCCAGAAGGAAAAGACTTCATAACTAAACAATTGCAAAAGGTTACCAGTTTATATCAGCAAATATTTTGAATACTTGTGGAAATAGATGTGGAGGTACTAAACCAAAGAGTAAAGAATATAACTTTAGATCAAGCTGCATTGATCCATGCATTTCATTTGGCAGAAACACTGGGTTCAATCTACCGGTTAAACAACAAACACACAGCCACAAAAAGCCAGACAGAGGAAAGGGGAGAGAGAGAGAGAGAGAGAGAGAGAGAGAGAGAGAGAGAGAGAGAGAGAATCTTCCTTTTCTTATAAGGCCACAGTTCTGCAACATTAGGACTCTATTTTTAGGACCTCACTTAACCTTAATAATCTGCTAAAGACTCTATCTCCAAATAAAATCACACTGGGGGTTAGGGCTTTAACATATGAATTTTGGGGGAACACAATTCAATCCATAGTATTTGGTAAAATTAACAACATAAATTCCATCATTATGGACCTGAAAAGATATACAGTCAGCCCTCTATATCTGTGGATTCTGTATCCATGGATTCAACTGGCCACAAATAAAAAATATTTGAGAAAAAATTGCATCTGTACCAAACATGTACAGATGTTTTTTCTTGTCATTATTCTCTAAACAATACAGTATGACAACTATTTACATGGCACTTATATTGTATTAGGTATCATAAGTAATCTAGAGATGATTTAAAGTATATGGGAGGATGTGTATATGTTGTATGCAAATACTATGCCATTTGCCTATATCAGGGACTTGAACATTCATGGATTTTGGTATCTGTGGGAGGTTCTGGAACCAATCCCTCACAGATACCAAGGGATGACTGTACTTTCACATACCTTTTTGACATTTTGGCCAGTATTAAAAATGAACAGGCTTTGGATAATGACAGAAAGTTATTGTAACCTCAATCAGGGAGTGATTCCAATTGCAATTACTCTTGTAGATATGGTCTCTTTACTGAGACATGTATAGACATCTCATGGCATGTGGTGGTATGTAGCTATTGATCTCTACCCCCAAAAGCAGAAAACACCAGAGGTAATCTGCTTTTACTTAGTGGGAAGACAGCATACCTTCACGGTATTGCCTCTGGGTTACATCAATTTTCTGACCTTGTGCCACAAGTTAGTTTGCAGGGAACTTGATTATCTCATCATCTCATAGAAAAGCATGGTGTCCCATGACATAGATGAGATAGACGTCGGGGGAGCAAAAAGTTGCTGTAACCCAATATGTGTTGCTATGTTGGAGGATGCCAGCTGTTAGGAGATAAAACCTATAAAACATTAGGCTTGATACCTCAGAGAAGTTTTTTGAGGCTAAGTAGTCTGAGGCACATTGGGATAACCTTCAAAGTCAAAGACTAGTTGCTACATCTTGTAACTACTACCAATGGGACAAAAGAAACTACTTGGTGAAAATGTTTGAATTTTATAGTAAACATATACCATGTTTG
This sequence comes from Homo sapiens, assembly GCF_000001405.40. Taxonomy (NCBI): domain Eukaryota; kingdom Metazoa; phylum Chordata; class Mammalia; order Primates; family Hominidae; genus Homo; species Homo sapiens. The sequence continues at coordinate 48,784,753 of NC_000013.11, read as the reverse complement.
GGTATTCTGCTTCTACCTATTACTAGTTGAAAGATAAGCACTTTGAGTGGAACCTGGAACAAGAGAATTGTCACTGGTCAAGGATGTAATGGCAGAGTAACAGTGCCCAAAGTATTTGTGACAGATTATGATGTCCATTGAGGCCTGTAGAAAGTTGCAGTGGTGTTTTTACAGGGGATTCCCCTAAGGTTTTGAAGCAAGTAAAGGAGCAATTCACCTTTGAAAAATATCTCTTGGCTTGCTAGTAGGCCCTCTTAGAGACTGACGGTGGGACCCCCAAGTAAGCATCCGGACTGAGTTTTTGGGGTAATTATGCATTATCTGCTCATTCTAGCTGTGAAACAAAGAACAGGAAGCTGACCTAACTTGTGCATGTCATCAGCCCCTTTTTCAGCCATCCTAAATTTTGTTCAGTGGGCTCATAAACATAGTGGTTGGGGGTGGGGGTGCACTCCCATATTCCAGTAAGGATAAAGGGAAGCCATTCCTCATCCTATCTCATAGGTGACCTCATGGAAGTCTGCCAGCTAACTTGAGCTGCAGTCTCAGGTTGAGAGATGCTCCCAAATAATATTTGTGAAATAATCTTGGGTGAGTACTAACCCTGTTGGCCAGAACCAAGGGGCGAGTGGGAAGTGTGCTATCATCATGGGTGTAAAAGCTGGATGCCCCACTTCATGGGTGGACCAGGAGGGCATGGCCTGACAGCTGCAGTTTCTGTCTTTATGGGGAAGGCTTATGGCCTGGGGCAATTTTGAGTTCTGAGTGCAGGCTGCCTGGAACCCAGCTAGCTGCTGTAAGCAGAACACTGTGTGTGAAACCTGCCTTGCCAAGTGCATGGGAGCTGAGTGGGGCTTACTGTACCCTGCTACCCCTTGCTCCTTTTGTGGATATTTTTTGTGGAACAGAGGCAGCTGCGCTCCTCCCTGGAACATTACCCTAGCGGCTAGAGAACTGCTACCTGACCCCCTTTGGGGCTGCAGCTTGTGCCTGTACGTGGAGAGCCAGAATGTTGACTTATCTAACCCAGCCTCAAGCCATCTTTGCCCCTCCACCCCTCCCCGCAGCCCCCCAATAATGTAACCCCATGGACAGGCACATTTGGGAGCTCCATGGCCCCACCCCTTGCCTGAGACACCAGAGTACCTTCACTGGCTAACATAAAACAAACACAAATTCCACCACTACCACTGCAGATGGTGCTCTTTCGCAAACACTACTTCCTGGCTGGAGGCCAACGGGTACAGCCCATTACAACATCTGCAGGCACAATAACATAGCACTCAGGAAGGAGAAAACTTTTGCGTAAATTCAGCTATCGTCATTGCCTGCATCACCCTGGCTAACCAGGAGGTCTTGAGTTGGTTCACGTGTCCAGCACATTACTATTGCAGCTGGCATTTGAGAAAGCTAACACACCAAAGCTATTTATAACCAAGGAAATATCAGAGTCTGCGTCACTCACCTATCACTCTCATCAGCTGCTGCTGGTACCCACCGCTGGAAGACTAGAGGACAGGTCACATCACTAGATCCCTTGCAAACATTCTCCAGCACCAGCATGGAGTCTGGCAGCTCCAGTGGGTAACTAGATCCAGAAAAGCAGCAGGATTCACAGTAGTCTGGCCCTGAGGGACTGCCATTCCTAGGGGAAGGGGGAGGGTACCACATTAAGGGAGCACCATGTGGGACAAAATAAACCAAAGTACAGGCCTTGAGTCCCTGAACTTTCCACTCATGGGAAGTTTCTTTCAGCAGAGACACAGGTACAGTGTTGGGATCGGTGAGGAAAGTGTGTAGCTTTAACCCAACAGTCAGGCAGCCCTGGTGCTTGTAAAGGGTATTGGAGAAGAGGACTTCTCCCTCTCACCCACCACTGCAGACAAAGCTCTGACTTCTCCCATGGGAGTTCTGCCTGGGTGCATCTGTAGACAGCCTTTCTGGAACACTGCATCCCCACAGGATGGGTGCCCTCCAGGTTCAGGCTTGCATAAGAGGTAAAGTCACAACCCCTCTCTACGCAGAACATCAGAATTCTTGGAGAGGAAAAGAGGTGACTGTCCAATCAAAATAGCCAGGACGCTGTGTCAGGAGTGTGACTGGGAAGCAGATTGTTTTCCTGCTAGCCTGGAGGGAGAACTGTGGTAGCTTCCTCCCTTCCCTCAGAAAAGACCTTAGTGCATTTCACTGAGAGCTCCCCCAACCACCTCTGTCAAGGCTGGGACCTCTGCCAACCACTGGAGTATTGCATTTACCTATTTACTTTAGCCACAGCTAGTTTTTACCCATGGGCACTTTCTACTGTCCCGAAGCCTGAATTGTTCAACCCAGTTAATAAAAGACAGAGGGAAAAAAATTTTTTAAGTGCACACCACTGGGGTATGAAATAAGCTTCTTGAGATTTCTGCCTTTCCAACCTCACAGGAGATGTGAAACTGCTCACACACCCAGCACATCACTGCTGCGACCAGCATGTGAGAAAGCTGTCACATAAAGATTTTTTTTTTTTTTTGGAAACAGAGTCTCACTCTGTCACCCAGGCTGGAGTGCAGTGGCATAATCTCAGCTCACTGCAACCTCTGCCTTCTGGATTCAAGTGATTCTCCTGCCTCAGCCTTCCAAGTAGCTGGGATTACAGGTATGTGCTACCATGCTCAGCTAACATGGTGTTTCACCATGTTAGCCAGGCTCGTCTTGAACTTCTGACCTCAGGTGACCCACCTGCCTTGGTCTCCCAAAGTGTTGGGATTACAGGTATGAGCCAAGATTCTTTATAACCAAGGAACTCATCCAGAGTCTTCATCACTGAAAGCACTCAGAGCTGAAGCTAGGTGACAATAAACTATAAACATTAAAGTCACATCTTCAAGGGGGCAAAAAAGAAATTAAAGTCTAATAAAAAAATTTAAAAAATTAGAAGAAAGAGTCCACCAAATGAGAAAGAGCCAGAAAAATAATTCTGGAACTATGAAAAAATGAGATTCTATAAAACCTCCAAAAGATCACACTAACTCTCCAGCGGTGGATCCAAAACAAGATGAAATGCTTGAAATACTAGATAAAACATTCAAAAGATTATTAAGTTACTCAAGCAGATACAAGAGAAAGGTGAAAACTAATATAAAGAAATTTAAAAAAGATTCAGGATATAAATGAAAATTTTTCTAAAAAGATAGATATTTTAAAGAAAAACCAATCAGAACATCTGGAAATGAAATATACATTTAGGGAACTACAAAATGCAGTGGAAAGTTTTTAACAATAGACTAGACCAAATAGAAGAAAGAATTTCAGAGCTTAAAGACAAGGCTTTTGATTTAACTCAATCAGACAAAAATAAAGAAAAAGAATGAAAAAAAATCCAAGAAATATGGGATTATATAAAACAGCCAAATCTAATAATTATAAGTGTTCTTTGTTCTTTGGTACAAAGTAAATAGCTACTGTTTAAACAAATTTGGATTTATTTAAACAGTTTGGAAAAGCAAACAGTTTGGGAAACCTATTTGAGGGAATAACAGAGGAAAATTTCCTGGCCCTGCTAGAGATTTAGACATTCAAATATAAGAAGCTCAAAGAACTCCTGGGATTCCTTGCAAAAAGGACATCATCAAGGCGTATAGTCATCAGGCTACCTAAAGTCAACATAAAGGAAATAATTCTAAGAGGAGTTAGACAAAAACATCAGGTAACCTGTAAAGGAAAACCTATCAGACTAACAGCAGGCTTCTCAGCAGAAATCTTATAAGCCCGAAGGGATTGGGGTTCTATCTTTAGTCTCCTTAAACAGAATTACTTTCAGCCAAGAATTTTGTATCCAGCAAAACTAAGTTTCAGAAATGAAGGAGAAATAAAGTCTTTCTCAGACAAGCAAATGCTGAGGGAATTTATCAATAGTGGACCAGCCCTATAAGAAATGCTAAAAGGACCTCTAAATCTTGAAACAAAAAGTTAATACAAACCAGAATAGAAACTCCTGAAAGCATAAAATTCATATGTATTATAAAAAATAACACAATGAAGATAACAAATTCACTAGGTAACAATCAACATAATGACTGGAACAGTACCTCACATCTCAATACTAATGTTGACTGTAAATGGTTTAAATGTTCCACTTAAAAGGTGCAGATTGGCAGAATGGATAAAAAAAAATCACAAACTAAATAGCTACTGTTTAAATAAATTTGGATTTTTTTTTCCATATCTGCCATTGTTTCTCCGTCACCCCATCCATGGTCTTACTGAATGTCTTTTTGTCCATCATGATATCCCATACAACCTTGATTTGGAGCAAGGAACTCATTTTACCACAAAAGAAAGAAGATTAAGTGGTTGAATTCCATGTGGTTTTGTTTTACTTATTTTTACCATGTATCTAATTGCTTAGAAGTAGCCAGATTTAGAGAAAGGCAGAAAGATCTATTGAAGACTCAGTTATTTTGGCAGCAGGGAAGCAACATTTTGCAAGGATGTAGTACTTTCTTACAGGATGCAATATATGTTCTGGCCATTTATCCCAGGCAGAAATAAATATGGAACAATATGTGTGTTCATAAATCTCACTACTATGCCCGCTGACCAACTAACAGATTTTTTGCTTCTTGTCCCAACAAGTCTGGGCTTTTCTGGTTTAGAAGTATTGACCTCCAAAGCAGGAATGCTTACACAGAATAACACAATAGCTCCTTTGAACTGAAAACTGAGATTGCCACATGGTCATTGCAGGTGTCTCATATCACTGGAAGAGTAAGTAAAAAAGGAGGATTAATATGTTAGCTGGGGTGATTGATCCTGACTATAAAGAGGAAATCGGTTGCTACTACACAATGGGGCAAGGATCAATATTACTAGGATGCATCAACCCAATGAACGTCTCTTAGAACTGCCAAGTTCAATGGTAAAAGGTAAAGAAAGAGTTTATCAATGCCATATATACAGGACCACCAAGGAATCAGATCTTTCAGGAAAGCAGGTTTGCATAACACCATGGCAAAGAGAAGGTGGAGTGGATAGTAGAGAAAAGCCATAAATACCTATTATACTTTGGGACAAATTGTACAAAAAAAGGGCAACAACCTCTGATTATGTTTTCTTATAGTGTCATGTTTATATTTTAATAATTTTTCCTCTTTTCTTTTTCTCCCATTGTCATACACAGAATGAGTTAATGGTAGTTTCAAGTTTAACATAGAATGTTATAGAAATTGTAGAACGTGAAAACAAGAAGACATACAAATGGATAATAAATATAGGAAAAAATGCTAAACATCACTAATCATTAGGAAAATGCAAATTAAAAGCACAGTGAGATATAATTTCACATTTGTTGGAATGGCTATTATAAAAAAGATGAAAGATGTTATCTTTTTATGAAAAACTTACTTTTATTGACTTGCTAAGTGTTGGTGAGGATGTGGAGAAAAGGGAACACTTGTATGCTGTTGGTAGGAATGTACATTATAACAGCCCCTGTGGAAATCTGTATGGAGGGTCCTCAAAAAACTAAAAGTAGAATTTTATATGATTTGGCCATCCCACTTCTGGGTATTCACCCCAAAGATTTGAAATCAGTTTCTTGAAGAGAGGTCTGCACTCCAATGTTTATTGCAGCACTGTTCACAATAGCCAAGACATGGAATCAATCTATGAGTCCATGAACAGATGAATGAGTAAAGAAAATGTGGCATGTGTACACAATGGAATACTATTCAGTGTTTTAAAAAAGAAATATATTTTGTGATTTGTAACAACATGTGGCAACATAGATTGGAGAACATTATGCTAAGTGAAATAAGCCAGGCACAGAAAGACAAATGCCACATGTTATCACTTCTATGTGGAATCTAAAATAGTCAAACTCAAATAAGCCAAAGAGTAGAGTGATGATTACAGAGGGAAGGGCGGGGGTGGTGGTGGTGGGAGAATGAGATGAGAGCCAAAGGATACAAAGCCTCATTTAGACAGGAGGAATAAGGTTTTTCTTTGAGCTCTATTGCATAGCATGGTGACCATCGTAAATAATAAATATATGGTGCATTTCAAAATCACTCAGAGTAAATGCCCGATGGTCTCACCACAAAAATGACAAGTATTTGAGGTAATGAATGTGTCAATTAGCTTGGTTTAACTATTACACATTGTATTCATAAATCATATCACTTTGCATCTCATAAATATATGCAACTATAATTTGTCAGTTTATAATTTTATGTTTTTGTTTTTTAGTTCATAATTTTAAAAATTAAAAAAAAGAGTATTAATACTCTTATAGGAAGAGAAAAGGGGCTCATTGAGAGATCTAGGACATGAAGCTGGGTGCAGTATCTGATGAGATTTGTGGTTGTTGCCTTTTTGAGAAGGGGGTGAGAAATTGCATAATTTTAGGAGAGTTGATTGCATTTTGTTAGGCAGGAGCATTTAAAGTATGAAGAAAAGTGTTAATGCTGGACAGAAAAGGGGGTGGACTGTGGTGGGCATTCACCATCTGTACTGACCAGACAGTATTGCAGACTCCTCACACATTCTGGAGCACTTGCAGTACCTAACGTCCAGCGGCTGAAGCACAGCGTCTTCACCACACCAGTCCTGAGGCATGATGTGGGGACTTGCTCTTGGCTAAGTTCTCAAACTTGTTTCTACAGCCATTCATGATTCCAAATATTGTAAATATAATTTTAATGAATTCATTTTCTACTTAAATCCACCATAGTTGTTTTCTACTCTACGTAACAAAGAATCCTAGCCAATCATCTCATTAAAACTATTACCTTCTGGCCATCATCATAAAGGAAGAGGATTCCTTGGGTAGTAGATAGAAGAATTGCTATCACTGTAAAGAGATATCTTCCACTATATATTAATAAATTGACATTCTGATTCAAGCATCGATCTCTTGTAAGTTTTGTTAGCATGAATCCATCCCTGCCAAGACTAGTGCCCCCTGGTTACACTAATACAATTCAGTAACTTTTTAACAGCTACCTACGAGGTTCTGGCTTAGTGGTTATCATTGATCCTCCATCTCTTCCCTCCTCATCTCAAAAATCCTGCCATTGTCCACCTCAAGGACTTCATATGTCTACAGTATATTCACATGCATTTCCTCATTTATTTTCCTACAAAAAATGAGGTAGGCAGGCATTTTTGTCTTCAACCCAAAAATAAAAGAACTAAAGAGAGAAGATACAGTCAACCAGCTAGTAAGAAGTGAATGAGAAACCAAAACCCAGGTCTGTGGACTCATAGACTAGCCAGCTTCAGAGTTCTCTGCCTCATTACCTAATCCAGAGGAACCACTTACACCGGGGATGCCTGTGTGTGAAGCCTGGTGCAATTGCGCCCATCAGCAAACACCTGTGGAAATCCTGGGAGAGACCCAAGTGGGTGAAATTCGTTTCTAGAATTGAGGGTTGAGGGTTTCTACGCTTTGTGTCTTCTGCTTGTTCGTGTTAGTGAACATTGTGTTTACTCCGGTGTCTGGTGTCTGGTATCTTTAATTCTCATTCTCATGTAACTTCAGGGCTGTCCTCCTCTTAGCCAGATTCAGACATATGTGAACGCAGTGTTCACACTGAGCCTATGTGTAATATGGGCGATTTAACTCTTTCCAGAACATGGGGTAGTGAGGCATACAGCCAGTTGGTTCAATGGGGTTTGTGTCAGCTGGTGAGAAAATTTTATTTGTTCACATATATAATGTATATTGCCAAGTAGATATTAGCAAGTTTTGCAGATCACTACAGGGACAAAATTCTCAGGAAAATAAACGTTTTATTGAAAAGCTCATTTTCTGAGAGGTACACAGAAAAGGGGCCTCAACCTTTTAGGCTGTTCATTTGTATGCTGTGCACATATGTAGTTTCATCTCTTTTAAGTCTGCTTTTTAATTCCTACTCTATGACTTTGTTCTGGGACCCAATTTGGTCTTCTAACCTGAAATTATCACTTAATTGACCTTTCCACCTCATCTGGAATTTACTGACAGACCCTACTGCTGATGGTGCCCTTTCAGAAACTTAGAAATCCAAAATATTTCATTTCTTATTTTGCTCTTTTCACAGCAAGTAAAAATCATTTCCAGGGTTTTGTATATTGTTGATACTTCAAAACCAAAATAAATAGGCTTCTACAATGCCTGAACTGTTAGTCATCCACTAAAGAGGACAAATCAAGGAATTGTAGTAACTTTTAACCCTTGTCACTCCCCTCACAATGGCAATGCTATGTATTCACTCATTCATTCATTCATTCATTCATTGAATAAGCATATATTAATCTACCGTCAAGTACTCAATCTGATATAAATGGCATTAATTATGTTTAAAAAGTAGACAACATGACCCCTTCTAATCAGGAGCTTGGGTTGTGAGAGACAGCTAGAGTTTATACATAATATAATGTAATTATAGAAACATGTCCGTATGTGTCCGGAGAAATACAAATTGTCTGTGGATGCTGTTTTATTATTTATTAGGTACACACTTTTTTTAGAAAAATGTAGAATTTCCTTACTTAGCAGAATTCTTGAAAGTCTAGAATAGGCTCAATTCTCTGAGCTGCATGCTGATCACTGACAACACTTGTAGTTATTATGGCCGTAAATTCTCTATCTACATGCCTGGGGATCCAAGACTTCCTTACTCAGCCGGTGATCTCTTCACATTCCTGCTAACTACTCTGTCTCTTTTCTCTTCAACTCGAATTAGTTGGGCAAACTTCCCAATGATGTGGCTGCAGATGACAGGAGAGAAAACCACAGAACCTCATCCCCATGAAATGCAGCAAAACCACATGGCTGTCTTGTTTCCAATTAGAGGGGAGTAATTTTATTTTTCCGAAAAGGAAAGGAATCATCTTTGTGAAGGAATGTACTAAAGATCTTTTTGATATCTTCTGGATGAACTGCTTTTCTCATTTACATTAAATATTAGCATTTCTCTTAGCAGCAAAAGTTACAACCTGCATTTTAGATGAACTTGATCGAGGAACACACTCTGTTAATTTGAAATCTCTGAAATCGACATGGGTGGAAGTGGAAAAACTGTGTATTCACATCTGAGGATTTTATACCACACACTTTAGGCAGAAAATTTACTAGCTTAAACAGAGCCTTAAAGAACCCTAGTACATTCTCCTCTAATATTATGGGTAATATGTTACTTTTATTTATGAGCTCATCAACCCATCTTTCCTCTCCTTAAAGTAAAAGTCAAACCATGGGGTATGTAAATGGCCTGCGGTTTACCACCTGAGTCTGTTTCTTTCCAAGGGTTGACTCATGTAGGAAGATTAAATTGTTTCAGACTTGGAATCTATGTTTTTCAAGTAAGAAAGTCTTCTGTTCATTTTTATAGTCTCCCTAAAAATGATGATCGAAGCCAGAAATCCTGGGCCTCTGCTACCAGATTTTCCATGCAGCTGTTAGAGGCTGTTATATACTACCTGGGAGAATCTCACAGCACATGCCTCAGTTCCAGCAAAGGTGAAGTCTGTCTGTCTGTCTGTCTCTATCTATCTATCTGTCTATCTATCTATCCATCCATCCATCTCCATCTTTTCATTCTCCGCTCAAACACTTACTTGCCAAGCATAGTGCTAGGCACAAAGATACATAGACGAAAACAGACGTAATAGTGTCATGTGGGAGACAGTGGTTTAAGTAGACTAATTACAATACGGCATAGGTGTATGTTTTTGGTTATATCTTCACCATTATATTTCTAGTCCTGAGAGTGGTGCCTAGCACAGAATAGGCACTCAAATACTTACTGACCAAACTGAACGAATAAACCACAGAGACCAGCATGGCTGAAGCAGAGTGAGTGAGAGAGAGAGCAGTGGATGAGGTCAACGAGATTTCAGAGTTGGGGCTGGGCAGGTGGGGTATGGACTGTGAGGCCCTGTGAGGACTGTGGCTTTTACTCTGAGAAAGATGGGAAGCCATAGGAAAGTTTGGGCAGGGAAGCGTCATGATCTGACCGAAATTTGAAAAGGATCCCCTGGCTGTGGTGGGGAGAGACCCAGCAGGGGGTACAGGCAGAAGCAGCCAGAAGTTAGGAGGCTACTGCAATCACGCAGAGGGAGATGATGAGGCTTGGACCAGAGGAGGAGGAGGAGGCAGTGAGCAGTGGTCAAATCGGGACCATTATAAAGGTCTAGCCAATGGGATTTGCTGATGGGTTGTACGTGGGTTGTGAAAGGCAGAGAAAGCGTCAAGGATGACCCTAAGCTGTTTGGGATGGGAAGCCAGAGAAATGAGTCCCATCTTCTATCTACCAGCTAACTCCTCACTCTCTCGAGGTTTCTGTTCAAATGTCTCTTTATCAGAAAGGACTTCCTTGATTATGTGTATAGCAATCATTAGGGCTATTCATACACGTTTGGTTCTCTTGCCTCTCGGGAAAATAGTAGAATTGCTCTTCCATGTCCTATTGAATGCAGGTGTGGCCATGTAACTCATTTTGGCTAAAGAAATGTGAGCAGATGTGATGTGCCATTTTCAGGTAAAACCTTTAACAGCTGGTGCATGCTTTGCTTCATTTTCTTTAGTCTCTGCTGGGGCAACTAGAAATGTTTGCTCAGGCCTATTTCTCGAGTGGGGCTAAGCCTCAGCTGACCTTCAGTGGTCATGAAGCATGAGCTAGAGGCAAATCTTTGTTGTTATAAACTACTTAGATTTTAGAGAATTGTTTGCTATTGCAACATAACCTAGTCTATTCTGCTAATACATCATAGTTTACATAAATGAGATGGCTCCCTCATCCTCTTCCCCAGATTTCCATCCTCTTCATTTTTGCCATTCCCTAACATCGTATATATTGTCTTTCTTTCATTTTTAGTCCCCTCCATTAGAATAAATACTCCATGAGGGAAGAGACTTAGTCTGATTTGTTCACTGCTATGTCCAGGACCTAGAACAGGGTCTAATTCATAGTGGGTGCAAAGGAAATACTTGTTCTATGAATAAATGCCTGGGGACATCAGGGAACACTTTCACAGCAGGAAGCATTGATGCTATACCCTGAAAGATGCATAGAACTTTTCCAGGGAGAGGAAACAGCTAGTGAAAAGACCTAGCATATCTCAGGGACTCTAAGAAGTTCAGCACCATTAGAAGATAGGATAAGTTAAGACAACTGTGGAAGAACTGGGGTTTGGGGAGATGGTGTAATGGGAGATGAGACCAGAGAGAAAGGTTGGATCCAGCTTATGAAGGACTTTCTATGCCCTACTAATGTGCTTGGGTTTTATTTTTGAGTGATGAAGAGCCTCAGAGTTTTAAAATCAGGAAGTGTCAAGATGAGTTTTGATTCTGCCTGAACAAATTACTTCCAGAGAACAATCTCTGCTCAACTAATATTCTTGTTTCTCTCTAGCTGCTGTAGCTCTGTCACCCTTCATCAAATCATTCATTCATTTTTTTCCCCCAACAAATGTTTACTGCTTGCTATAAACAATATACCATGTAGTGTGTGTGTGGGGGGAAAAAAAGCAAAAGACAGTCCTTGCCTTAGATGGATTTCTCTAATCTGCAGTTCAAAACTAACACACATAAAGGATAACTAATTACACAAGCCATGTGAGCAAAATCCTGCTTTGGGGCCTCTCTTCTGTGCACTCTTTTTTTCCTGTCAGCACAGATACCCCTGTTCCACAGCTGAACATCTGTAAAGTTCACTCACCACTTCAAACCATTTTTTCTAAAAGAAACCCGTCATTATCATTGTTATCTTTGTCATCACCATCATCAAAAAAACAGCAAAGGCTAACATTTATTATAGCACTCCACAGTTTACAAATCACTTCAATATATATTATCTCATTTAATCTTTTCAAGAACCAGATAAGTATAATCTTCACCTTTCAGATGAAAACAAAACTAAATAAAATGAAAACCAAAAAAAAAAGTTCTGAGAAGTTGTAAATTATCCAAAGTCACATACTCAGAAAGGCCTGGAATCTGGATCACACAGAATAGAGGTAAGTAAGACATGGTCCATGCTCACTTGCAGATTTTCTACCCTGTAGTTTTCCACTCCATTTGTTTCTCCTGCAGGACAACTAATATTTTCTGAGTATCTGTAATGTTTCAGATACTGTCTTGGGACTGCAGACACAGTGGTTAAACACACACACACACACACACACACACACACACACACACACACACACACACAGTCTCTGCTTTCTGGGAACTTAATAGTAGGCAGTAGAGCTTTTAGTCTAGTCTGTACCACAAGTGAGCCCTTCCTCTCCAATGTTTCATGGACAGAAGGGGTGCCTGCCACAGTGACTCTACCTCTGCAGCAGCCCCTTCTTGAGCTGATGTGTTTTCTTCTGGTTGAGCACAAACATGTCGGGCTCAGTTATTCCTGCCCAGGTCCTGCAGTTGGCCTGCCTCACTAGCTGCTGGATAGTAGCCCTTCCTTGCTGGCAGGGGACATTAAGCTGACAACCTTCAGATGTCCTGACTGTTCCAGGCAACAGACAGAAGCTCCTCAGAAAGTCTGTGTTAATTCTCCCTTTCTTCAACACAGCTTCCTCTCTGTGGTCTTGGCAACCTCCAGGGCTAATATGCATCTAGTTAAGGTGCTAAGCTCAGACAGGGACTAGAAGCACCACAGGCAGCCGATAGGCTTACTATTCACACTGGGCGCCCACCTGAATGCATGTGGCAGTTTTTACCTTACAAGTGCCTCCCTGTCAGGGCTCAATGCCTCATGTGTTCTCATTTGTAAACTCAATATGTCTTGTTCCTTAGTGTGCTTGTCCTCCTGCTCTTTCCATCTGGGCCTAGGCTTCCAGAGGGTGCTACATTCTGTAGCTGCCCAATCAACAATTCCTTGTCACTAACAGGGGTATTCTTTTTTTTTTTTTTCTGACACAACATATAGATCATTTATTTTCCTTCTAGTCCTGGGTTCAGTACATAGATGGCTTCTTTTCACCCTTTGGGTTGACAATTTTCTCCAGGTTGCTGTTGATGATATGATAAAGCTCAGCATAGAAGGCCCTCAGGTCCAGCACCATGGCCCTGAGCTCCCCATAGGCTGCCTCATCTCGCTCATGCACCAAGGCCCGGTAATCCATTACATGAGTCTCCTCGGAGGCCTTGGCCGCAGCATCCCCACGTTCTGAGAATTACTTGGAAATGGTTGTCTGGAAAGCTTCCACTTTGGTCTTGACAGCATTCACCCTCTCCAGCACCTTCTCCTGGATTGCTACCCCAAAATCATTTCCATCTTCAATCTTGGGGATTAGGTGCTGGATCCATGTAATCACCAGAATGAATTTCTCTTTGAGAGTCCAGAATTCTGGCTTAACCAGGGCAAGCAGGGACAGGACTTTCTTATTCCCAGGGAGAAATCCACACTTAGGGACTTCTTTCTTCTCCTACTTATCTGTTTCCATCTCATCATCCTTGGGTGGAGGGTCTGGGTTGGGGATGTCCAGTGGGGCCCGGAGGGAAGTCAGGTCAGCCACACTGAGGGAGCCCTCTCGCAAGAGCTGATTCAGGTATGTGATTTTCTGTGGCAAGAATCTGTAGAGGAATTCCTCAGCCTCCTGGAAAAGGAAGGAAGACCTCCACCTGTTTGCGCTCAGGCGCACCCTACATGGCTTGGCCGTGCTGCTTCAGTTGCTAGATCTCTGGTCTCTAACAGGGGTATTCTTGATACCCCTGGAGATGTCTGCCAGTGACAACACATCCTTCTGACTCTAGTTTGCAAGGAGCTCACTGCTCTGGTACTAGGATACTATAATATTTGTATTCATCAGGGTTCTCCAGAAAAACAGAACCAATAAGATATATATCTATAGATATATAGATAGATAAATAGACATAAATATAAGAGGAGATTTATCATAGGAATAGGCTCACAAAGTTATGGAGGCAGAGAATTCCTACAATCTATTGTCTGCAAGCTAGAGAACAAGGAAAGCCAGTGTGTAATTCAGTCTGGGTTCAAAGGCCTGAGAACCAGTGTGAAGTGGGGTGATGATGTAAGTCCTAACCTGAATCCAAAAACTTGAGAACCAGGAGCACTGACAGGAGAAGATGGATGTCTCAGCTCAAGCAGAGGGTGATTTTTTTCCTCCTTCCACCTTTCTGATGATTCAGGCCCTCAGTGGTTTGGATCTGCTTTACTTGGTTCATCAGTTCAAATATGAAACTCTTCTGGAAATACCCTCACACATATACCCAGAAATAATGTTTACCAGCTCTCTGGGCATCCTTTGGCTCAGTCAAGTTAATACCTAAAATTAATCGTCAAACTATGTAAACTCAAAATAGGAACACAAAATGTCTAACTATGAACTGGGATTTTGATTCAGAAAGGTCAAATTCACAATGACCAAGTAGGCATGAATTCCCAGATCGCAGTGGATCTGTCCTAGTGAACTTAAATGATAGTAGCAGAGTAGACCTGGGGGTAATAGGGGGATCCATGAGTATCCTTGAGGGGAGGCAGTCTCATAGTGATCCCAGCTCATACCATCTCACTATTTGATCTACTTAATGACTCTTGGGTGGCCTTTGAAGCTAGGAATTGGGAACTCAGCTGGATAGCACTGGATATCTCCTGACAGGGAAGGTGACATAGGTATCTGTGGGGTTCAGACCATGCTTCTGCATACAGCTCTGCTCCAAATATGCCCTCCCACCACCCACCCATGGCCTTTGGCAGTGGGGTTAACGTTGAGCACCTGAAAACCTTCCATCTCAAAGTTCTAACAGCCTGATCGTTCCCTGGTGCAGGGGTGAGGAGTGGGAGGGAAGAATCAAGCTACCCTCAACAGAAGCAAAATGACTTCAGATGTGAAGAACAAGATGGAAACAGGTAGTTGGTAACATAAATTTTTGTCTTAAAAAAGAAATCAAACTCAAACCATTGGCGTCAAAAGTAGTGGAAGATGAGGATCATGAGAAAGAAAAAGTGTGTGTGTTTCTTTTTTTTTTTTTTTTTTACTGTGCTTCTGATTATAAAAATCAGAGGAGAAACATCAGGAAAAGGGCAGGACGGAAAGCCTTAGTCTCTTCTTCTCCCACGGGACACAAAATTAGCAACAACAGTCAGACCAAATGCCTCTGTAAGAAAACCAAAAGTCAGTTAAAAGGTTCTTATACTGATCACGAAGCCAACCACATTGAAGCCCAGTAGAAAAACCTGTGGCATTCTCCATTCTTTCTCATCAGAACATCCCTCCCACTCCAACATGTGATTGGGAGGAAACCCTCAACTCTTGTCTTCTCCTTGAGGTGAGAAAGGAGTGGAAGGGGTATCAGACCTCCTGATTTTTAGAGATGCTGCCCAAGGGACTTTTGTGTGCCTGAGACTGCACTGACTGGAATAGGTCACCTAAGGATTGCCAAGAACAATGATCAACTATGCACCAGAGTCAGTAGTACCAAAGATAGACACTGGGTGGAGCTCCAGTACCACTATTTACTACAGCACCAGAGAGGCTGCAGTATCACAGACAAACACCAGGGAGAGCTCCTGAATAGATGTTGGGAAACGTCTTCAAACAGATTACACCCACAAGCCGAGGAAAGACTTATACCCAGAAAATGCTTGAGAAGTTTCCAGAATTTCTAGCCTGGCTGACTGGAGAAATTCCTGTATGTATAAAACCAGATAATAGGAGAGTTGGCTGATTCTTAAAATGCTGAAACTGCAGCAACAAAACAACAAAACATGCAAAGACAGAGAACCATGACACTTTTAAAGGAACAAGTTAAATCTCCAGAAACTGACTTTAAAGAAACAGAGATATGTAAATTACCAGACAATTCAAAATTACTATCTTCAGGATGCTCAATGAATAAAAAGAGAGCACGGACTGACAACTAAACAAACTTAGAAAAGAAATGCATGAACAATGTGAAAATATCAATAAAGAGAATTTATGAAGAAGAATAAAACAGAAATCCTGGAATACAATAATTGAATTGAAAAATTTACTAGATGGTCTCAACAGCAGGCTTGACTAGGCAGAAGAAACAATCAACAAACTTGAAGATAGAAAACTTTTAAAAGGCAGAACAACAACAACAACAACAAAAGAACAATGAAGAGAGTCTAAGAGATTTCTGAGACACCATCAGGTAGAATAACATGTGCATTATGGGAGTTCCAAAAGGATAAGAAAAAGAAAAAGGGGTAGAGAATCTATTTGAAAAAATAATGGCACCCTGTTTTCCAAATCTATGAGAGAAATGAATGTGCAAATTCAAGAAGCTCAGAGAACTCCAAACAGAATAAATCTACACTGACATGCATCACAATCAAATTTTCAAAAGTCACAGATAAAGAGAGAATTTTGAAAGCATCAGGGGAAAAGTACTCATGATGTACAAGGGAGCACCAATATTATCAGCAGATTTCCCAGCGGAAACCTTGCAAACTAGAAGAGAGTGGGGTAATATATTCAACGTACCAAAAGAAAAAAACCCTGCCAACTAAAAATACTATGTCTGGCCAAGCTGTCCTTCAAAACTGAAGGAGAAATAAAGACCTTCTCAGATAAACAAAAGCTGAGGGAATCCGTAACCACTTGCCTTACCCTATAAAAAATGCAAAAGGAAGTCCTACAAATTGATACAAAAGAGTGATAAACAGCTGCAAAAAGCCCTATGAAAATGTTAAATTCCCTGGTAATGGTAAATATATAGAGATATATAGAATCCCGTAGTATTATTATACAGTTGAGTAAATCACTTATAAATCTGGTGTGAAAGCAAACTAAATATAGCCTGAGAAGGACTCTGTACTTTACATTTGAGTCCTTGTGGATGAACTATAACCTAGCTTAATAGACAGAAACAATTGTAAACCTAAGTTAGTGGTATGTAGTTGTAACAATAGCTAAGTCTTGGCCAATCCCAGTGGCCATACTTCAGCCATTCATATACTACTGAGTGTTCAAACTGTGTTCAAATAAGGCATACGCTGAGCTGTAACAAATCCAGCCACTCTGTACCTCACTGCTGATTTCTGTACATCATTTCCTTCTTTTTTTTTGGTCTATAAATCTTCTTACACCACATGGCTGCACTGGAGTCTCTGTGAATCTCCTATGATTCTGAAAGCTGCCCAATTCACGAACTGTTCATTGCTCAATTAAACTCCTTCAAATTTAATTTGGCTGAAGTTTTTATTTTATCACTGGTATAGAATAATTTTTAGCAAGCAAAAATATAATTATAAATATGTTAATGGATATATAATATAAAAAGGTATTTTGTGTCATCCACAACATAAAAGGGGACAGAAATGTAATGCAGTAATGTTTTTTTACATGATCATATATGCAAATGAGTTTATCAATGTAAAATAGATTGTTATAACTTTAAGATGTTTTATGTAATTGCATTTGTAACCACAAAGAAAATATTTATAGAGTATACACAAAAGGTAATGAGAAGGGACTCAAACATGACACTACAGTATGAAAGGAAAATAAATCTTAAGACCCCAAAAATCACCAAGCCAAGGGAAAAGTCAAGCTGGGAATTATGTCAGGCAAACCTGCCTCCTATTTTATTTCTAAATAAGATAGCTACAAAGGTAAGAAGCTACATACCTCTCTCACAATTTGCCCATAAGGAAATTCCTTATGGACAAAGGACAGAACTCAAAGTCATCCCTCCAAGGCTCACCTGAGGCAAATGCATATCCGATTGCTTCCTCTGCCCTATTGTTTATGTAAAAATGCAGATTCACTGAGCCAGACTAAATTGGATATTCAGTGGAAGGCTGATCAAGGACTCAAAAGAATACAACCTTTTGTCTCTTATCTACATGTGACCTAGAAGCTCCCACTTCTAGTTGTCCTGCCCTAGTGGAATGAACCAATGTACATCTTATACATATTGATTGATGTCTCATGTCTCCCTGAAATGTATAAAAGCAAGTTGTACCCTGAACACCTTGGGCACTTGTCATTAGGACCTCCTGAGGCTGTGTCACAGGCACATCCTTAACCTTGGCAAAATAAACTTTCTAAATTGACTGAGACCTGTCTCAGATATTTTGGGTTAACAACAACAACAAATCAACAAAATGCAAAGGAAATAAGCAAGAGATGAAAAGAAGTACAAAAAAGCTATAAGACAGACAGAAAATGATTTAACAAAATGGTAATAGCATATCCTTCCCTATCAGTAATTACTTTAAATGTAAGCAGATTAAATGCACCGATTAAAAGACATTGACAGGCTTAATGGATAAAAAACAAGATCCCACCATATGCTGTCTAAAAGAGACTCACTTTAGATCTAAGAACACACATAGGCTAAAAGAGTGGGAAAAGATATTCCATATAATGAGAACCTAGAGAGAGCAGAGGTGGCCATACTTACACTAGACAAAATAGACTTTAAGAAAAAACTCACAAGAGATGAAGAAGGACATTATATAAAGATTAAAGGGCTGATTCACCCAGAAGATATAACAATTATTAATGTATATCCACCTAGCAGCGGAGAACCCATATGAAGCAAACATCCACAGAAATAAAGACATAAAATTATACAAAGTATTTTTCTCTTACCACAATGAAATAAAATTAATCAATAGCAGAAGGAAAACAGAAAAATCTATAAATGTGGAAATTTGGCAATACACTCTCAAACAACCAATAGATCAAAGAATAAATCAGAGGAGAATTTAGAAAATATCTGGAGCCAAATAAAAATGAAAATACAACATGCCAAAACTTACAGGATGCAGCAAAAGCTCTACTAAGAAGGGAGTTTATAGTGATAAATGTTTACATTAAAAAAAAGAGTTCAAGTTAATAACCTAAACTTCCACCTCATGAAACTAGAAAAAGAACAAACTAAACCTAAGTTAGAAGAAAGGAGATAATAAGATTACAGTAGAGATAAATGAGATAGAGAATAGCAAAACAATAGAGAAACCAATGAAACTGAGTTTTTTTAAGATCAACAAAATTGACAAATGATTAGTTGACTAAGAGAAAAGACTCAAATAGATACAACTAGAAATGAAAGAGAAGGCATTACAACTGATATTGCAAAAGTTAAAAGGATTACAAAAGACTACTATGAACAATTACACCCAATAAGTTGTATAACCTAGCAGAAATGGATAAATTGCTAGACACAACCTACCAAGACTGAATCCTGAAGAAATAAAATATCTGGACAGGCTTATAACTAGCAAGGAGATTGAAGCACTAGTCAAAAACCTCCAAACCTCCAAACAAACAAACAAACCCAGGACTAGTGGCTTCACTGAAGAATTCTACCATACATTCTTTAAAACTTATCAATCCTTCTCAAACTCTTCTAAAGAATTGAAGAGGAGGTAACACTTCCAAACTCATTATATTAGGCTAATATTACTCTGACACCGTGGACAAAGATATTAAAAACAAGAAAAGAAAATTACAGACTAACATTCTTGATGAATATCAGTGCAAAAATCCTCAAAGAAATACCGGTAAACTGAATTCAACAGCACATTAAAAGGGTCATGCACCATGACTAAGTGGCACTTATACCTGGAATGCAAGGATGGTTCACCATATAAAAATCAATCAATGAAATATACCACATTAACAAATTGAAGGACAAAATCACATTATCATCTCAATCAATTCAGAAAAAGCATTTGACAAAATTCAATGCCCTTTTATGATAATAACACTGAACAAACTAGGAAGAGAAGAAAACTACCTTCAATATATATAATAAACAATATAATAAAATCCATATATGAAAAGCCCACAGCTAACATTATACTCCCATCCAAGTACTAACCAGGCCCGACCTTTCTTAGCTTCTGAGATCAGATGAGGTCAGGCATGTTCAGGGTGGTATGGCTGTAGACCATCATACTCAATAGGAAAAGACTGAAGGCTTTTCATCTAAGATAAAGAATAAGACAAGGATACCCACTCTCACCATTACTATTCAACATAATACTGGGAGTTCTAGTCAGAGCAATTAGACAAAAATTAAATTAAACTGAAGGCATACAAATTGGAAGGAAGAAGTCACATGATCTATTCACAGATGATATAATTTTATCTGTAGAAATCCCAAAAGATTCCACCAAAAAACTGCTAGGGCTAATAAACGATTTCAAGAAAGTGGCAGGATACAAAGCTGATGCACAAAAATCAGTTGCATTTCTAGATACATTTTTAAATAACTTAAATGAATTATGAAAACAATTCACTTATAATAGCACCAAATAGATGCTTCTTTCATGGGGCTGTCTTTCAACAGGTTAGATAGAGGAGTAGCACCCTGGGGAGGATAACAGAAATGTCAGAGTTCATAAAAGTTCAAGATCTTTTGCATGGCTTCTTTCTCTTGTGTGCTTATACCATTGCAGTTTCAGATTATAGTTGACTTCATAGAGAAAGAAGTTATATAAAAATCCATGTGATTCACAATTCTATCATTTTCCTTTAACCTGATTTTATTTGGAAATTTGGCCAAAGTATTTATTGCCTGAATTATTATTGTGTGTATTGAGAGCTCAGCATGCAGCCCAACCCTTTTCTATGATAGCAAGGGGAGGGTAGAAAGCTAAAACTGACATTTCCAGACTTCCTTGTAGTTAGGCTTCTGGATATGGGTTAGAGTCTGCCAATCAGATATGCTCATGGTAGAATGAGGTTTGAAACTGAACCAGGAAGAAGAGAGGGAGAAAAGGAGGAAGGAAGCATTCATTTTGCATTACAAATAAGGCTCAAATTCCCTTTGCCCACTCCCTGCAATCCTGGTCCATTTCCTACCCCAACAATGAAGGTAACCACTGCTATTAGATTGGTCTGTATCCTTCCATTCTCTTTCCATCAATTTTGCAAATATACATATATGCATATATGCTAATGTTTTAAGATGTGGATTTTGTGTAGTATTTTATTGTATCATACTACCATCTGCTACCTCTACAGCAACATTATGTCTTTGAGAACTTGACAGGTATGCATTATTCCATAGCATGGATACAGTATCACTTTTTAAAGTGATTTTCCTTTGGAAGGACATAAACCTAAAAATTGTTTCCAGTTTTCTGCTATCACAAACAATTTTGTACACATGTGCAAGAATTTTTCTTGAGCTAACACTAAGAAGTAGAATTTTTGAGTTGTAGGGTATGCACATTTAAATTTTCATAGATGCTGACAATGTATTTTAAAAGGGCTGTCACAGTTAACACCCCCACTATTTTTACTGTCTTTTGGTGTTAGTAGAGAAGCTTAAATTTTGGTGTCAGTCTAAGACTGCAAGAGTCATTTACAAGCAGTGGGACTAAGAGAAGTCATTTAACCTCCCTAAACCCCTGCTTCTTTATACTCAAAATGAGGATAAGTGTCTATGTCATGGAGTTCTTGCAGGGAATCGAGCTGAGGCCAGTAATACTTAGCACAGTCCCTGGCATATAGTAAGTGCTGATGAAAGGTGACTCCTACTCCTCCTCACCTTCCTTCTCTAAGATCTAAGCTTATCTATAAATGGGGCTATTCTATTATAATCTTTGCTAGGTTGAGATCACTTTGTTATTATTACTGTAGGATGTTTCTCCTTTTGAGAGGTACTGACACATCCTGGGCTGCATTTCTAAACTGGTCCTCTGAAAGAAACTTACCATGACATGGATTCCTATGTAATGAAACCACTTAATACTTTTAATTTAATGATGACACTGAATATGTGCATGGGCCATACTCAAATTTTTCCTGAAAGAACCACTTCCCTGTGCACTTAAGGATACTTACACTCTTCAAAAGTTTTGCATATGAGAGACTAAAATTAAGTTAATATCTTCAGAATGGCAATTTCCAAATGAAGTGATTTGTGCTCGTTAGCATGTTCTATTTAAGGCAAATGAATATATTGTTCTTTTTTACAGGAAGCTTTTAAGGTAACTCAGCTTACCGTGGAGTGGAGAGAGAATGTGATTGGGAGTCAAAGAGATCCAGGTTTGACTTTCAGCCCTGTCTCTTATTACCTAAGGGTCTTATTAAGATCCTTACTACTTCTGAGTCCCAATAATCATATTTATATTTATCTTGGAAGGTTGTTGAGAAGATTTAATGAGATAATATGTGCAAGTGCTGGACACATGGGGCATCCTTAAGAAATGCTGATTCCTGTCTATCCCCCCAGTGTTATTTACATAGGCTTCTGAATTCACCATCTATTGATTGAGTACAAGCTATGTGTCATCAGGAACTTCTATAGGCTGTGAGAGAGGGACAAATAAGAGAGACAGTCTCACCTTAAGGGGTTTTTAGTCTAGTGAGAAAGCTAGGCCATGGCTAAGTGACCTCAAGAGAACAATAAACACAATAACATTATGTCCAGGGCTCTCATCTCCCGATATGAGAAGTCAGAGGAACCTTCACAGAAGTATCTCTTGAGCTGGACCTTGAAGGATGAGGATGAGTTCACCAGGCAGGGAAGAAGAGCAGGTGGAAAAGCAAAGATAGAAAGAGCTGGGAGTGTTCTAACACTGGTGAGCATTAATCTTTCATCTCTAAAATATTTGGCCCGACATTCTTACAGTCTCTCCTGTGGCTGACATCTCCTGTGGTTCAAATGGACATTGGACTCACTAAAGAAGGGCACTGGACTCACTAAAGAAATCAAGAATTATTAATGTTCATTGCAGACTGGAACTTGGAACGCTGTAAATAACCCCAGCTCTACAAATCTGTCTGGAAAATGCTTAGTTCATGTTTGCTCTTTGTTACTTTTTCAAGGGAGTACTGAGGAAATCACAATTGTGGTTTCTGGCTGGAAATAGGTCCTATCTGTCACTATTGATCCTAAACAATTTGTCTCTCTGGAATCAGATTAAAATAGGTCCTATCTGTCACTATTGACCCTAAACGATTTGTCTCTCCGGAATCAGATTATTTAACCTCATTTCTAAAAGTTGTACTCAGGTGCTGGGTTAGGTGGATACTGCTAATAACAGCAGATGATCAATGATTCTTCCAGCAAACAGAGGAGTAAGTCACCTAGTGGGCAGAAAAGCCTGTTCCTCTGTGCCCATTTAATAAAAAAAATTATCCAGAGCACAAATTAATTTGTCATTAAAAGTGGCCATTCTCAGATATAGTTCTTACATCTTTTGTACTATTTTATAAACTATAGGCATCTGCCAGCAGCTGCTGGAACAGGAAAGTTTATATCCAGGCAGAGGGAAAAAAACATGGTAGAAAATGAGCAGGCTGAAACCAATATGAAGAAATGCCAGAAGAAAAAATGCACAATCAACTTTTGTCGTGTATTTTAAAATAAACTCTCTGGTCCAGTTGTAGCCGAGAATGACTCATCCCATCCACAGAAGCACCAAAGGGAATGGGGCAGGAAGGATGAACAGAAACAAGATTCTGTTTTACATAATTCTTATTTTCATGCAAAAAGGTATTCAAATAGCACATGAAATTGGCCAGTAATGTACCTCACTATTTACCTCACTATTTACAATGTCAGACAAAATGCAGGAGAGTTTGCTAGATAAGAATTATGACAGCCAGTCAATTAAAAGACTGTCATAGATCATATCCTACCATCCAGAACACCACAGTGTAAGGTTCTTGTATCGGTTTGAACCCCAAGAGCACGCCAAAAGATAACACGAGGCGGTGTGGGGTAACATGCTGTTTTAATGAGCGCCTGGGTGCAGGGGGGCTGACTAGGCCTCAGCCCCAAGTGAGGACAGGGCAAAGGCTTTAGAGTCTCCTGTAAACAGGAAGTGTCCTAGTCTGAAGTAACTGCTACGTTGTACCCGGATGGCCTCTTTTTCGATCTTCAGGTGTACGTGTCTTTCCACCTGGGTAAGTGTCTTCCAGCGGCTCTTTTCCTGCTTCTGCTATCTTGCTGGGGCACGCTACTGGCAAAAGTAGCCTTGCGGCTTGGGACTGGGCCTGAGAAAGGAGGAGTTATTTATCTCTTTAAGCTTTCAGGCTCCGGGGAAAATCTTACACACAGAAGTGTCAAAGTCCCTTTGGGAAGAGTGATGCATAAGGATCTACTGGTTGCAACAGAGACCTGCTCAAATGACTTCCAAAAACGGGGAAAGGACTATCAGTGATTTTCAAACTTGGTGACACATTGACCTCACCTGAGGAGTTTCTTAAAAAACTACTGAGATCCAGTTGTCACCCCAGAGATTCTGAATTAATCAGTCTGGAATGTGACTTGGAAATCAAGACTTTTGAAAACATTCTAATGCCCAGCAAAGTTTAGCCACTGATAGAGATATATAGCAATTGGAACTGGAACAGAAAGATGCCAGGAAGCAAGACGATCAGGGCTACTGCATTGCACTGCTTCAGGACGCGCCAGTCACAGGTGTCCTATGTGAATGGCCCCCCCCTGCAGCACAACTCCAGATGTGCAATCCTGTGGCGCTGTCGATGACTGCTATTTTCTCCAACTCCTTCCATTGGGGGAACTCACAGATTGTTACTTAAATTTTAAATGCTGCCTCGTACCCTTTCATTATAGCTACGTTCCTAACCATCCAAGTGTCTTGATTTCCCAAGTTCAAATTCTTGAGAGAAGAATTTAATAGATCTAGCTCATCTTTTTGAGAGATATGAAAAAAATCTTCTGTAGTTGATTATGAATGGGTATACCTGAGGTCGGTGGCCACTGGTGGGGGCACTGATGGTCTTGACCATGGAGGGATAAGAGCTCTCAGCATGGTATATCCCCTCAGGAAGTGTGAGTAGGAAGGTGATATGGTTTGGATTTGTGTCCCTGCCCAAATCTCATGTTGAATTGTAATCCCCAGTGTTGGGGGAAGGGCCTGGTAGAAGGTGATTGGATCATAGGGGCAGACATCCCCCTTGCTGTTCTCATGATAGTGAGTGAGTTCTCCTGAGAGGTGGTTGTATAAAAGTGTATGACCCCTCCCCCAACTCACTCTTTTTTCCTCCTGCTCTAGCCTTGTAAGAAGTGCCTGCCTCCTCTTTGCCTTCTGCCATGATTGTAAGCTTCCTGAGTCCTCCCCAGTCATGCCTCCTGTACACCCTGCAAAACTGTCAGCCAATTAAACCTCTTTTCTTTAAAAATTATCCAGTCTCAGGTATTTCTTTATAGCAGTACAAGAACAAACTAATACAGAAGGTGATGACTGACATCTTAAACACAGTGAGTTTGGCAAGAGGCTGACCAAATTCATTAACAGAAGTGATCATAGAATTAATTGTCCAAATCAGGACATTTATGATAGTGAGAAGTGGGCTATTAATAAGAGCATTAGGACAGTAGGTGCAAACTGGAAGAGTCCCAGGCCAAGTGGCACATATGTCCACCCTGGACCAGCGAATTTTGATAGAAAAAGAGAGAAAAGGGCCTAGGTGAATTTCAAAACCTGATGACATGAAAATTAATCACATGTTATAGATATGGAGAGAAGAACCATAGTGAAGGTGGCTTTGAAGAAATGCACTCAGGCAACTTCTCCTACGTAGGATAGAAGTCCGTGGAGATGAGAGTCCCCTTGTCCTGGCAGTTCTACATATGCAAATTGCCAGCCTAAGACAAGTGTATTTGTTTCCTAGGGTTTCTATAAAAAATTACCACAAACTTAGTGGCTTAAAACAACAGAAATTTATTCTATCACAGTTCTGGAAGCTAGAAGTCCAAAAATCAAAGTGTCCTTCAGGCCACACTCTCTCCAGAGGCCCTGGTGGAGAAACTTTCCTTCCATCTCTTGCATCTTTTGGAGGCTGCAGGCGTTCCATGGGACATGGCTGCATAACTATAATATCTGCCTCCATTTTCATACAGAATTCCTCTCTTCTCATCCATGTCTTAACCTCTTCTGTCTCTTATAGGACATTCATCATTGGATTTAGGGTTCATCTGGTTAATTCCATATGATCTCATCTTAATTACTTAATTACCTCTGCAAAGACCCTTTTTTCCAAAGAAGGTCATATTCACAGGTTTTGGATGGACGTATCTTTTGGTGAACAATATTCAACCCACTATAATAGGTAACAATCTTAGAGCCGGCTTCACTTAGAACAATATGACCTGAAGAAGAGGGGGTGCTCAAGAATCCACTTTCAGATCCTGTGTGTTAGACTGTATGTTACAAATAACAGAAAACCTAAACTCTAAATAATAGAGGAAATGGATAGGTTCATAAGAAGTTAAGATACTGGTCTAGCTTTAGGTAAGGCTTGAGCCATCAGCTCAAGCATGTCACCAAGGATCAGATCCACTCCAGCCTCCACTGTGACCTCCACAGAATTGTTTCACTTATGGTCCTACACTGGCAATCTGTGGGCTGCAAATATTCTTGATCATGACCTTCAGGGAAAGAGTCTACTTGCCAATGATGCAAACAGAACCAATGAAATCAAAACTATTGTCTCTCATTGGTCTGACTTGGCTATGGGGATGGGATACTATGGTGGGTTTAAGTCAATTGGGACTCATTCTCAGAGCTGGTGTGGAGTCAATCCAACCCAAACCACATGCCTAGGATTTAAGATACTATTAAGAAACAAAGTGATAAGTATGCTAGAGACACAACCAACATGAGAGAACCACTGCAGCTATCATCAAATAATGAAAATGAGAAACCAATACTAGAAGTAATATTAACAGAGACTGTCCATCATGCACCTTGTGCTATGCATGAATTATCTTACATGTTTGCAGCAGCTATAAGTGATACTGGGATTATCCCATTTTACAGATCAGGAAACAGAGGCACAAGATGTTAAATAGTTTACCAAAGACACACAGCTAGCAAGTGGGATACCTGGGATTTAATTTAAACAATTTTTTTGTACTCCTAAGACTATACTGACGTGTGTGTGTGTCTGATGGAAGGGGCAGCAGTGTCTGGGGAGAAGGAGTGAGGAAAGTAGAAACATGGTTCATGGAAATAGTGGATAGTTGAGTGTGATTAGAACAAAGAGGATGCTGAGAAACCAAGCTCAAGGCTGGAGAGGTGAGCTGTGGTGGGGGAAGGGGGGCAAGAAAGACAAATATATTAACAAATCACTGTGTTTTTCTAAGGGCAATGAGGACTGTCACAATCACATTTATTTTAGAAATTTCATTCTGGCAATACCATGGAGAAAGAATCAGAAGAGAACAGGAGTACTGCCAGGAGGCCAGTAATCCAGATGAGCACTGAAGAGGACCTGAGCCCAGGCATGGGCAGCAGGGACAGGGAGAAATAACAGGAGTAAGAAATATCAAGGAAGCAGAATCAGTGGGCTTGGTGACTGCATATGGAAGGATAATATAGAAATCAATGATGAGCCCCAGGTCTCCCACTTGAATGACTCAGCTCATTAACTGCCATTAACTAAAATTGCAATAATAGCTTGCCTATGTAGAGTACTTGCTTTCTACCAAGCACTTCACAGGGACATGGTCATTTAATCTGCACAATATCTTTATAATGCTACATAGGAAACAACTACAAAAATCTCAGTAGTACTCATCAATAAGAATTTATTTAGCTAGTGTACATGTGCAACTGGGAGGCAGAAGTCAGCTGAGGAGGGCTGGCTCTGTCCCACACATCTCTCATACTCCTCTTGAAACCAGCAGGAAAAAGAGACCTGCCTTGCCAGATAACAACACTTCTTGCAAAGATGCATCTAATCTAAGAAAATGTGATATTGGCTGAGGGATAGATAAATAAATCAGTGGAATTTTTCCCCCAAAAGTGTTGGTGAGTGTATTAGTTCATTTTCATGCTGCTGAGAAGGACATACTCAAGACTGGATAATTTACAACGAAAAAGAGGTTTAATGGACTCACAGTTCCACATGGCTGGGAAGTCATCACAATCATGGTGGAAGGTGAAAGGCACATCTCACATGGTGGCAAACAAGAGAAGAGAATGTGTGCAGGGAAACTCCCCTTTATAAAACCATCAGATCTCATGAGATTTATTCACTATCATGAGAACAGCATGGGAAAGATCTGCCCCCATGATTCAATAACCTCCCACTGGGTACCTCCCACAACACGTGGGAATTATGGGAGTTATAATTCAAGTTGAGATTTGGGTGGGGACACAGCCAAACTATGTCATTCTGCTCCTGGCCCCTCCCAAATCTCATGTCCTTACATTTCAAAACAAATCATGCTTTCTCAACAGTCCCCCAAAGTCTTAACTCATTTCAGCATTAACTCAAAAATCCACAGTCCAAAGTCTCATCTTAGACAAGGCAAGTCCTTTCTGCCTATAAGCCTGTAAAATCAAAAGCAAGTTAGCTACTTCCTAGATACAATGGGGGTACAGACATTGGGTAAATATAGCCATTCCAAATGGGAAAAATTGGCCAAAACAATGGGGTTACTGGTCCCATGCAAGTCCAAAATACAGAAGGGCAGTCAAATCTTAAAGCTCCAAAATGATCTCCTTTGACTCCATGTCTCACTTCCAGGTCACACTGATGCAAGAGGTGGGTTCCTATGGTCTTGGGCAGTTCCATTCCTGTGGGTTTGCAGGGTACAGCCTCCCTCCTGGCTGCTTTCATGGGCTGGCATTGAGTGTCTGTGGCTTTTCGAGGTGCATGGTGCAAGCTGTTGGTGGAGCTACCTTTCTGGGGTCTGGAGGACAGTGGCCCTCTTCTCACAGCTCCACTAAGGCAGTGCCCCAGTGGGAACTCTGTGTGGGAGCTTCAATCCCACATTTCCCTTCCACACTGCCTTAACAGGGGCTCTCTATGAGCACCCCACCCCTGAAGCACACTTCTGCCTGAACATCAAAGCATTTCCATAAATCCTCTGAAATCTACGTGGAGGTTCCCAAACCTCAATTCTTGACTTCCATGCACCTGCAAGCTCAACACAATGTGAAGCTGCCAAGGCTTGGGGCTTGCACCCTCTGAAGCCACAGCCTGAGTTGTACCTTGGCCCCTTTTAGTCACAGCTGGAGCAACTGGGACACAGGGTACCAAGTCCCTAGACTGCACACAGCAGAGGGACCCTGGGTCTGGCCCACAAAACCATTTTTTCCTCCTAGGCTCCAGGATCTGTGATGGGAGGGGCTGCTGTGAAGACCTGAGGACATTTTCCCCATTGTCTTGGGGATTAACATTTGGCTCTTCATTACTTATGCAAATTTCTGTAGCCGGCTTGAATTTCTCCTCAGAAAATGGGATTTTCCTTTCTATCCATTGTCAGGCTGCAAATTTTCTGAACTTTTATGCTCTGCTTCCCTTATAAAACTGAATGCCTTTAACAGCACCCAAGTCACCTCTTGAATGATTTGCTGCTTAGAAATTTCTTCTGCCAGATATTCTAAATCATCTCTTTCAAGTTCAAAGTTTCACAAATCTCTAGAGCAGGGGCAAAATGCCACCAGTCTCTTTGCTAAAACATAACAAGAGTCACCTTTGCTCCAGTTCCCAACAAGTTCCTCATTTCCATCTGAGACCACCTCAGCCTGGATTTTATTGTCCATACCATTATCAGCATTTTGGTCAAAGCCATTCAACAAGTCTCTAGGGAGTTCCAAACTTTCCCACGTTTTCCTGTCTCCTTCTGAGCCCTCCGAACTGTTCCAACCTGTGCCTGTTACCCAGTTCTAAAGTCACTTCTGCATTTTCAGATATCTTTTCAGCAGCGCCCCACTCTACTAGTACCAATTTACTGTATTAGTCCATTTTCATGCTGCTGATAAAGACATACCCAAGACTGGATAATTTATAAGGAAAAAGAGGTTTAATGGACTCACAGTTCCACATGGCTAGGGAGGCCTCACAAACATGGTGGAAGGTGAAAGGCACATCTTACATGGTGACAGACAAGAGAAGAAAACTTGTGCAGGGAAACTCCCCTTTATAAACCATCAGATCTAGTGAGACTTATTCACTATCATGAGAATAGCATGGGAAAGACCCGTCCCCATGATTAAATTATCTCCCACTGGGTCCCTCCCACAACACATGGGAATTGTGGGAGCTACAATTCAAGGTGAGATTTGAATGGGGACACAGCCAAACCATATCAGTGAAGGTATGAAGAAATGGAAACTTTGTTATTGTTATTGGCAATATAAATAAATATGAACACTTTTGAGAGCAATTTGGCAATATTTAGTAAAGTTAAAGATGTCTGTAAGCTATGATCCACCAATTCCACTCTTGAGTCGAATGAGCAGAATGCTAGAATAAATATAGAAACTCAATATATGACAGAGATGGCATTATGAATCAGTGGGGAAAGAACAAACTCTTGGATAAATGGCACTAGGATATTACATATGGAAAAAGCTTAACTAGAACCCTATCACACACTATCACAAAAATAGATTTCAAGTATATTCAAGATTTAAATTATATTTATCTTTATGAGAATATCTTATGACCTTAGGGTGGAGAAGGATTTCTTACAAAGATTACAAATTATTAAGGGAAAATTAGATATATTTGAATATCAAATTAAACACCTCTGCTGTGTAGCCAAACATTACAGCTAAAATTGCCTTTAACTGGCAATTGTTTAGTATCCAGAATATATCTAGAGCTTTTATATACCTATAAAAATTGTAAACAATATAATAATAAAGCAGGCAAAAGATATTAAAGAGAAAATTTTTAAGAAGGAAATTTTAATTGCCAATATGCATATGAAAAACATCTCAACTTCACTAGTAATCAAAGGAAAACAAATTAAAGCCACGATGAGATGTTATTTCACCCTGATCAATTTGGCAAAGATTAAAATGTCTGACATTATCAAGAGATGGCAAGGATAACAAATGTCAATGTTATGAAACATTCTTTTAAAAGACTGGGGAATTTTCTAGATTAAAGAAGATTAAAGGAGACTAAAGATACATGACAATTAAATGCAACACAGTATTTGATCCCTGATTGAATTCTGGACTGGGGAAAAATCTATAAAAGGCATTATTAGGTCAGTGGAAAAATTTGAAACTGGCCTGCATAATAGTAGAATTGTATCAATGTTCAATTTCTGAGTGTGATGACTGCATTATTTTATGTAGGAGAATGTCCTTGTTTTAGGATATATATTTAATTATATATTTTATTATATGTATACATGTTGAAATATGGGATACCAAAGGCCAAGAAAATTTTTGAGAGAATAAAAAAGCAAATGTAGCAAAAGGTTAATAACATTGAATCTAGATGAAGTATATACATGTGTTCATTGTACCTTTCTGGCAACTTTTCTGTAAATTTGAAATGTTTCTCATAAAGAAGAGGCAAGAGCATGGAAAAATTAAAACTTTACCATTGTTACTGATGGTATAAATTGATACAACCATGTTAGAGAACAATTTGACAGCGTCTAGTACATTTCAAAGGTGTCTAATCCTGTAACCCACCAGGTCTACTCTTGAGACAGTTCTCAAAAGTGCACAAGTGGACATGTATAATTCTCTGTGGCATTGTTTCTACAGAGAAAAAATGGAGAATAACTAAATGTCTACCAACTACAAAATAGATAAAGAAAGCATTTACTACCATAAAGTGAATGAACTAGATCTATGTGTATCAATATTTTAAAATCTCAACAATAATACTGTTGAGTGAGGAAAAACAACGGAAGGATCAGTATAGTAGGATATCATCTCTATACTATTAAAATAGTTCAAAGCAATAACATATCTGTTTAGGAATGTATACATATGTAGTGAGTATTTTAAAATATTGGTGATGATAGGCTGGGTGCGGTGGCTCACACCTGTAATCCCAGCACTTAGGGAGGCCGAGGCAGGTGGATTACCTGAGGTCAGGAGTTCGAGACCAGCCTGGCAAACATGGTGAAACCCCATCTCTACTAAAAATACAAAAATTAGCCGGGCGTGGTGGCACACACTGTAGTCCCAGCTACTCGGGAGGCTGAAGCAGGAGAATTGCTTGAGCCCGGGAGACGGAGGTTGCAGTGAGCTCAGATCATGCCACTGCACTCCAGCCTGACTGACAGAGCAAGACTCTGTCTCAAAAAAAAAAAAAAAAAAATTGGGGATGGTAAACATCAAAATTCAATAGAGTGAAGAGAGAGAGAGAAATGTGATTGTGGGCCCCTCCCTACCCCCAACTGCAGGCATCAACTGTGCCTATGATTTACCCCTTTAAAAAAGAATCTGGGAACAATATAGCAAAATTTTCACATGTGACAAATCTGGGTGGAGAAGAACAGATTTTTGTGATATTATTCTCTCTGCTTCACTGTAAGCATAAAATATTGACAATATATATTTGAAATTTTTGGCAAGACAAGACCTGGAAATATGCATTTCACTTTAGTTTTACAGGAAGCATGCTCTAAAGTCAGGGGCTGCAGCTCTCAGCGGAGGCTGACTGCAGAAGGTATTTCTTGCAAAACAGCAAGAGCACTGCTGTGGTTTTGTGCCCAAGGAGGGCACTAAATTGACACTGTGAACATTGAGTTGACATGAAAATGCTACAGCTCTATAGTTTGAAAAATGTGTGCACCTGTATCTGCAAGGGACTTAAGACAGTGAATGCAAGCTCTAGCCTTGTAGCTGCACAGCTAAAGGAAAACAGCCCAAAAGTTCATTGTGAAAAAAAATAAAATGTGCTGTGGCCTGGTGTCCTCTTGGGAAGAACCCCTTGCTATTAGGTTGCTGCAAAAGTAATTGTGGGTTTTGCCATTAAAAGTAATGGCAAAACCACAATTAGAACCAGAGGAAGCACCAAGGCAGGGGCTGGAGGGACTGCTCCCCTGGTTCCTTGCTATAAACAGGGATCTTGAGTCAGGCACCCACAGGCTCTTGAGGAAACCCCACGGGTAATGTTTGAAGACTTCCTTTTATTTTCTATTTATTTATTTTTAAGAGACAGGGTCTCACTCTATTATCCAGGCTGGAGTGCAGTGCTGCAATCATGGCTCACTACAACCCCAAACTCCTGGGCTCAAGTGATCCTCCTGCCTTGGCCTCTCGAGCAACTAGAACTACAGGCCTGCCTAATTAAAAAAAAATTTCAGAGACCGTGTCTCGCTTTGTTGCCTAGGCTGGTCTCAAACTCCTGGCCTCAAGCGATCCTCCTGCCTCAGCCTCCCAAAGCACTGGGATCACGGGCAAGAGTCACCACGCCGGGCCAGGGCCGCAGACTTCCTTTTAATAGCCTCAGTAGTAGTGTGTCCCAGACTCTTGTCTAGCCTTGGAACATAGCTGCTCAGATTCTGACTCTAACTGGGAGTGCATAGAGCCTGCTCCTGCTTTTAAGCAGGAACTAATTTTATGGCCTAAGGTGTTGCACTGCGTAACCAGAGAGCAGACAGGGTATTTCAGAATCCATTCATTTGGTAAACATGAAATGGACCTCTCTTTCATTCCAGGCACTGGGCTGGACTGAGCAGCTAAAGGTGAACAAGAGTGAGTCCGGCCCTCAGGGAGCTCATAGTCTAGTGCTGAAGTCTGACAAATAGGTGAACAACAGTAAGAGAAGTGCTCCGTGCTGGCTTTTACAGAGTCCTCTGAGGGTGAAGAGAGCACATGGAACTCTGAGTGTGGCCGGTGTGGTTCTGCAAAGGAAGCAATGTCTGAGCTAAGTTTAAAAGGCATATCTGCCATGATAACACTGCCAAGAAGGCACGTGCCAGGCCTCAGAGTAAGAGAGAGTGTGGGGAACGCAGGGCCCTGCCCTTGAAAGAAGAAAGCTGGAGAAGAGAGATTCCCAAAGCTTTCAAGGCAAGGAGGACTGCATTTTATTAATAATAACCATGGGCTGAAGCCTGTTTAGGCTGGGAATTTCTATCTGTGGAGGCTTCTATCTTGGAATAGTGAAAGTCTTGGCTGGTACTCAGCCATGGAGGGCCCAGGGACGAATGCCTGTTTGATGGTGCTGTTTATCCTTTGGTCTCTTCTTGGTTCAGTGGAACCTCTCAGCTTCAGGAATGTTCAGCTCAACCCAGAAAGCTGCTTTTCTGCAGCTCTTTAGCTCACCAAGCGTCCAGTTGGGAGGAGTGAAGGCAAAAAGGAAGGAACATACCAGAGCACTCAGGAGTCCTGCCAAGCTCCTCGGATGTCCTTGTGATCGCTCCAATGTCAGACTGCTGAGGTCTGAATCCTGTCTCTGGATTCTAGCTATGTGCCTTTAGACAAATCATTTAATCTCTCTGAGCCTCAGTTTCCCTAGTTGTCAAGTGGGAATATTAATAATTCCTACCTCATGGGCTGATTTTAAGGACTAAATGAGATAAAGCCCGTAAGGTAGATAGCACAGTGCATATCAGGTACTTAATACATGTTAATTAACATTATTGTTATTAGTATGCCCATGTTTCTGATGCCTTTTTGAAAATCCATGTCCTTTCCATGCCTTTTCACTCTATCATCTGCATATTAGCACCAGATAGAGTCCATCAAGCTTTACTCTCTGCAGTTTGTATTATGAAAATAGGAGGTGTATTGAATGTTTCTTTTTTTATGCTCCCCTGTAGAGTCTGACACCGGTCTTACCCCCCGTGCAACCCACACAGGCAGTGATTGAGAAACCCGGTGGGGCAGTGAAGGCTTTTAAGCAGGAGAGACACACGACTAGATGAGGCTGCTCACAATATCACTTAATTATCTTGGGATCAAATTTATTACAAGCACCTAAAATGGTTTAGAAGCTTTTGTCTTCATTTGTCAACAGCCCTAATTCTTTTATTTCTGGGGAGATTACTCTTGGGCTTACTGGGTCTATTGTACTCCTCTGGGCATGGGGATGTGATATTTTACACGTTGTTGAATTAAGCCCTTGTCATTTCTGGGCTAACACTCCCCAGATGAGTCAGATGTTCGCTTCTCAGCGGTGTGGCCTCTGGTAGCGGCTCTGCCTTCAAAGGTCAGTTCGCTCTTTTCTCTGAGGGCCCCCGGCTCGGCTGCCACCTAATGGTGAGTTTTGTGATGAGTAAGAAATGACTCTTAAGAAACAGTTCGAATGCGCCCTTGGACATGAGACCCTCTGATGCTGTGAGTCATTCTGGATGACAGCGTGAGAGATATTACTCATCGTTGTGAAAGATGATTGTCTTAAGTGCTTCTGCTGGATGGGAATCTGCCTTTGAAAAACAATTCCATTTTATTTTCATCAAATCTAATAATTTTTTCTCTTCAAAATGGACTCTAGCAGAAGAACCTGGCATCGGGGGAGGAGAGGTGTATTGCTAATAGTCGCCCAGCCTTTGGAATGTGCTAAGGTCTATTTTAAGCACTTAGAATATCTCACTTAATCCTTATTTAAATCCTGAGGTAGGTAGTGCAATCATAACAAAATTAGTAAGTATTATCATTGTTGTGGTTGTTATTTTACGAATGAGAGAATTCAGCTTTGGGCTGGTCTAACAACACTTAGCTACTAAGTGGCAGAACTAGAATTGTAGCCCAGGCCTGTCTGACATCAGTAACTGTTCTTGAGCACACTGCTCCTGAATGATGCACGAGTCTGCACACCCGCTAGGTTCCAGCATGAGCTCATCCCACAAGGCATTTGTTGAGGCCCAGAATTGGGCACTGGTTATCAGCCATGACCTAGACACAGTCCCTTTCCTCCGGAGTGTACAGTCTAGTAGGAGAGAAAATAAAAGTAAACAAGCAATTGCAATAGAGCTTGATAAATCCTATAGTGAAGTGAACAGGAGGTGCTGAGGGACCACATATGTATAAATGGCCTACCCTGTAACCTTGAGGCAGGCAGACAGACTTCCCAAGGAAGGTCACCAAGGTAATTCCTATGGGATGAATGGGAATCAGGCAGGTCCAAGGAAGGAGGGGGTTAGAGCAGAGGGCAGGACATGTCCCACAGAACAAGCAGCAGGTGTGAGGGGCCAGAGGTCCCAGATGGGTGCTGAGTTCTGGGAAAACACTCTCATGACTGAATGGTGTCATGAAGGGACCATGGAGTTGACTCATTTGGCTGCTGACTTTTGCCCTCTATCCCTGGCAGGGCGCTGGCTATCCCATTTTGAAAAAAACACTGCTTTGCAGAGAAAAGGCTCTGAGAAGGAGGAGAGAAGACAGATTTTTTTTTTTATCATCCTTTCTGTGGCCTGAAACGGGCATATGACAGCTGTCCTGGGCCCTGGGGGGAAGCCTGGGTATGCAATCTGTTTTAGCTCCAGGCTCAGCCCTGCCTGGCCTGGTGAACTGGCCAGGGTGGCATGGTCAGGACATCGCAGCACCACATGTTAGATCCTGGTGCAATCTCAAAGCTAAAATTTCAGAGGATACATTGCATTTTCCTATTAAACATAACAGCAGAGAAGAAGGAAACCACTGTAATGGAACAGACTGAAGAGAAGGCTACCAGTTGTGTGCTTGCTAGTACCTTCCACAGGCGGTATGAAGGAATTAGGGGCTCTTCTCTAACCTCTATGACCTTGGGAGGGCCTCCTTTCCCTTTGCTTCTCTGAGACATTGCCCCTCTAATGGTCTTCAGTACAACTCTGTTAGTTGGGTGCTTAATGGGCAAAGCCATTTTACCAAAGGAGTAAACCATGAAGAAGGTAACTCACAGGGATGCAGCATATTTTTGTTAACTGGACTTGGCTTCATACCATGATTGGTCTATGGCCTGATCATTTTTGTTTCTTCTGTTCATTACCAGCCTAACAGGGTCACTTCACCTGGGCCCTTGGAGACACTTTGGACATTCTTGTTAGACTTTTCAGACCTAACCCTTTGGTTCAGGTTGAAATGATTGTTCCAGAGCTTCCTGAATCTCAGCCTGTTGTTTCTTCAGTATTCTGTTGTGCCTCTTAATCAAGTCTCCACTCCCAGGCTCTTTCTCTCCTCAGAAAAATTCTCCCTCAGTGATTGCATGCCTTTCTTTAGGTCTTTGTGACAAGTTAATACCACGGGAGTCTTCTAGTCTTGATGGCAGTGATGAGGACCATCTTGCAAGTCTAATACATGGGACATTGTTGTGGCACTTGCTATGGAAAGTGGAAGGACTTAGCACCAATTTTTCTATTCCCTGCCTGATGTGTAGCATTCTATTAAACCTCTTTCATAGTGTGGTAGTTACCACCTGTAATCCCAGCACCTTGGGAGGCCAAGGGGGGTGGATAACGAAGTCAGGAGTTCCAGACCAGCCTGACCAACATGATGAAACCCCATCTCTACTAAAAATACAAAAATTAGCTGGGCGTGGTGGCACGTGCCTGTAATCCCAGCTACTCAGGAGGCTGAGGAAGGAGAATTGCTTGAACCCGGGAGGCGGAGCTTGCAGTGAGAGGAGATTGCACCACTGCACTCCAGCCTGGCAACTGAGCTAGACTCCATCTCAAAAAAAAAAAAAAAAAATGTAAGAACCTGGACTCCAGTCCTACCATTGGCTAATCTGAATAATATTAGATAATTTATCTCACATCCTTGTGCCTCATTTTCTTCATGTATAAAACGGCATCATGATAATAATTAGTTCATGGGATTGTCCTCAGGGTTAATGGGTTGGCACCTGTACAGCACTGAGACCTGTGACTGGCCCAGAGCAAGTACTATCGAGCATTTGCTTTCTTTGGTCAGCAGCTGTTCTCTTTGCAGACCACTTCCTGTGGTCCCCCTAACCATGATCAAATCACCATTCATTTCTCCCATGTCTTATTTAGATAAGATTTGCTTCAGAAATGAATTGCCAAGACATTCACAATGTTCATTTGGGAAGTGGCATTTCTTCACAGTGACTTCCCCAAGACTTGAGAAAGCCCATATGGAGTAGGAAAGACTCTGGATACACCAGATCCCAGCTCATTCCTTTTACTCAACAAAATCACAGCTTTTTCCTACTGCCTCATTCCAAAAGCCCAGCTGTGGAATGTTCTGGCTGCTGTGCCCATTTCTTCCTCTAATATTAGTTCTGAATTCTCTCGAGTAGGCTCAAGTAATAGGTATAGTAAATTTATTTTCAATAACTTTCCATTAAAATTTGTAATGTATGCTTATGGAGATCAATGTTCTATTGCGTGCTATTTTATACTTTTTAGTCTTGGAGTCTGCTCCATCTATTTGAATGAGGTTTGGATAGATGTTTGCCTTGGTGTTTCTTAATATATTCCTTAAGCCTGAACAAAAGCCTGACATGACAATGCCCACTCATCATTTTCTTCTCTTCAGGAATTGTTTTGTGCAATAATAAAATGCTATTGCTTCTTAGTGATTTGTATGTGGCAAAAGAGCCAAAAATTATATCTGCTGGATCTTGTTTGCCTTAAAAACAAAATTCCGTTTCTTTCAGGTATGATATAATTTGACTTGTCTTATTCTTCATGGATATTACATTTTCATCTTTGTTTTTCTGAATTCTGACATAGTTGTCTCTGTTGCATCATGGGAAAGGTGAGAACTTAAAACAAAAATTCTTACTATTTGAGTTCAGTTTTATCTTCGCAAACATTACAAGACATAAAATGACCTTTGCTGATACTGGCTCCTGTGGCTCAATGCCGCATGGAAGGGACCACAATATATTTAACTGGGAGACATGCCCTACTGACTTTGCAGTTGGAAAAATGGTAAATAATCAAATTCTCTCTTTGTCTTTGTTCACCATCATGATTTTCTGGCAGCAAGGAGAAGTACTCTGAGATGGTTAAGAAGAACATATTAACACAGTGGGTGTGATAGGTGAACAGATTGGGATGAGCACACTTTCTATGATTGAATTTCTTTCTAAGTTGTTGGATAATTTTAAATTTATGTGTATCACCTTTCCATAGTTGAGTGGGAAACTGGGATCTCATATAGGGTCTTTTTGGTTAAAGGATTTGTGGGTTTCCTGCTTAAGAGATCACAAGCCTCTATTCCTCCCCTGAGCTGTTACTGGCCCTGGGTGTTCCTTGGCAATACTATGAAGTAGGGGAAGACCATCTGGGATATCCCCGCTACATCCCTTTCACAGACCCTTCACCCTCTTCTGGGCTCCCTTCTCTGTGGAGTATCTGGCTGCCCAGAGTCCTGTGCTGTCAAACCTCACCCTTGGCAGCTCTCACTTGTTTCCCTTCTTGTTGCCCTGGGGCAGGGGGAAAGATAAAATGTGCAGCATTGCTTTCGGTACCTAGATCCATTTCAAATCATTTGTTTTTTGTACCTGGTCCCATTTAAAAAGTTACAGATATATCTCTATACTTATCACCTATATCAATGACTTAAAATTACTTTA
This sequence comes from Homo sapiens, assembly GCF_000001405.40. NCBI lineage: Eukaryota > Metazoa > Chordata > Mammalia > Primates > Hominidae > Homo > Homo sapiens. The sequence goes on along the minus strand of NC_000013.11, from coordinate 48,745,618 downwards.
TTCGATTTTTCAAGTAAAACGTGTACAAGATTTGTATACTGAAAACTACAAAATGCTGATGAAAGAAATCAAAGAAGCTCTAAATAAATGGAAAGACTTACATATTCACAGATTGGAAGACTCAACATAATAAAGATGTCAGTTTTCCCCGTACAGATTTATAGATTTAATGCAGTTTCTATCAAAATCCCAGTGAGAATTTTTTTATAGTTATAGACTAGTTTATTCTAAAATTCATATGGAAAGACAAATGAATTAGCATAGCTAAAACAATTTTGAAAAAGAATAAATTGGAAGGAATCACTCTACTTTATTTTAAGACCATGTACACTACAGTAATCTTGACAGTGTGGTGTAGGTGAAGGAATAGAAACAAACATAGATCAATGGAACAGAATAAAGCTTCAAGAAATAAACTCGCATAAATATGCTCAACTTATTTTTTATTGTTCTAAGTAAAGTACATATAACATAAAATTTACTATATAAACCATTTTTAAATGTACAGTTTAGCAGTATTAAATACATTCATAATGTACAAATATCACCACCATTCATCTCCATAACTATTTTCATAGTATAAAACTGGAACCCTATACCCATTAAATAATTAATAATTATTTAATAATAATTAGTTATTAAATAATAACTCCCTCCCCTCAGTCTGTAGCATCCACCCTTTTACTTTCTGTCTCTATGATTTTGACTACTCATATTCCTTCATATAAGTTGAATCATATAGTACTTGTATTTTTGTGACTGACTTATTTCACTGAACATAAGGTTCATCCATGTTATAGCATATTGGAGAATTTCTTTCCTTTTAAAGGGCAATATTCCATTGGATAGTGTTTTAGTCAAATTTATGCTACTATCACAAAATATCACAGACTAGGTAAATTATAATGAACTGAAATTTATTTGACGTACAGTTATGGAGGCTGGGAAGTCCCAGAACATGGCACTGGCATTTGGTGAAGGCCTTTGTGTTGTGTCATTCCATCACAGAAGGCAGAAAAACAAGAGAGAGTGAGAGTGAGGGAAAGAGGGCTCATACTTTACCTGGGAACCCTAATTGGATGATCATGCGATTACTCAATTGGTTATTGGATAATCCTGCAATACGCCAATCCTTATTATAACAGCATAAATCTATTTATGATGGCTGGCAGAGTCTTCATGACCTAATCATCTCTTTAAAAGTCCCACCTTTCAACACCGTTGCATTGGGGATTAAATTCCCAACACATGAACTTTGGGGGGCACAGTCAAACCATAGCATGTGGGTATACCACATTTTGCTTTTCCATTCATTCATTGATGTACATTTGGGTTACTTCAACATTTTAGCTACTGTAAATAATGCTGCTATGAGAATGGGTGTACAAATACCTCTTTGAGACCCTGCTTTCAGTTCTTTTTGGTATATACCAAGAAGTGGAATTGCTAGATCATACGGCAATCCTATTTTTCACTTTTTGAGGAAATACTATACTGTTTTTCACAGCGGCTGTGCCATTTTATATTCCCACAAACAGTGCACAAGTGTTCCTATTTTTCCACGTCTTCACCAATCCTTGCTATTTTTGATATTTTTGATAGGAGTCATCCTAATGTGTGTGAGGTGGTATCTTATTGTAGTTTGATTTGCATCTCATATTGACCATTTTTACATGTACTTTGGTGAAATGTCTATTCAAGTCCTTTGCCCAGTTTTGAATCAGTCTGTGTTATTGTTGCTGAGTTTTAGGAGTTCTCTATATATTCTGGATTTTTATCTCTTGTAAGCTATGTGATTTCCAAATGCTTTCTCCCATTCTGTGGTGTATTAAGCCGTTCTTGTATTGCTATAAAGAAATACCTGAGGTTGTGTAATTTATAAGGTAAAGAGGTTTAATTGGCTCATAGTTCTGCAGGCTGTACAGGAAGCATGACATCGGCAACTGGTCAGCTTCTGGGGAGGTTTCAGGAAGCTTACAATCATGGCAGAAGGTGACGGGGGAGCAGACAGTCACATGGTGAGAGTGGAAGCAAGAGGTGGGGAGGGGGGAGGTGCCACACACTTAAACAACCAGATCTCATAATTGCTTGCTATCTTGACGACACCTCCAAACCATAAAGGATCTGTCCCCATGACCCAAACACCCATCCCCGTCTCCAACAGGGGATTATAATTAGACATGAGATTTAGAGGGGACAACATCAAAACTGTATCATGTAGGCTGCCTATTTATTCTGTTAGTAGTGTCTTTTGATGCACAAATTAACTGATTTTTGACAGATCCAAAAGCAATTCAATGGAGGAAGAATAATCTTTTCAGCAAATGGTACTGAAGTAGTTACACCCATAGGCCAATAAAAAGAACTTTAAAATAAACCTCACGTTTTTAAATGAAAAAATAACTCAGAATGAATTTATATACTTAAATATAAAGCACAAAGTTATAAAAAATTCAAAAGAAAACATAGGAGAAAATCTTCAGGACCTAGGGTTAGTGAAAAGTTCTTAAATGTGATATGAAAAACCATGATTTATGGAAGAAAATCAATAAGTTGGACATCATCAAAATGAAAAACTTTTGCTCTACAATGAACTTTATTAAAAAGATGAAAAGACAATATCTGGACTGGAAGAAAGTATTTTCAAACCAAATATCTGACAAAAGAGTTATATCTAAAATATATAAAGGACTCACAAAGCTCAACAATAAAAAATATCAAAGATCAAATTAGAAAATGGGCAAAAGATAGACATCTCACCAAAGGGTATACAGATGGCAAAAAAAGAACATGAAAATTTGTTCAACATCATTAGCCATCAGGGAAATGCAAATTAAATATCACTATACACCTATTAAAATAGCTACCATTTAAAAAATAGGAGTAATATCAAATGTTGACAAGAACTGAGGAATTGGCACATCCATACATTGCTGATAGGAATGTAAAATGGTACTGTCTTCCTGGAAAATAGTCCGGCAGTTTCTTAAAAAAATTAAACATACACTTACCTCATAAGCCAGCAGTTGAACTCCTGGACATTTGTACCAGAGAAATGAAAGGCTATGGCTACACAAAAATGTGTACACAAATGTTCACAGCAGCTTTACTTTTAATGGCCCAGAATTGGAAACAACCCACATGTCCTTCAATGGGTAAATGGTTAAACAAACAGTGCTACCTCTGTGCCATGAAATACTACTCAGCAATAAAAAGAAATGAACTATTGATACATGCAAGAACTTGAATGGATCTCAAGGAAGTTATGCTAAATGAAAAGAAAGCCAGTTCCAAGAGGTTACATACTATATACTTTCATTTATGTAACATTCTTGAAATACAAAATTCTAGAAATGAAGAACAGATTACTGGTTGCCAGGGAACAGGAAGTAGGAGCGGGGAGGGGTGTGAATGTAAAGGGGTAGCATGAGGGATCTTTGTGGTGATAGAACCATTGTGTATCTTGACAGTGGTGGAGGATACATAAATCTACACATGTGATAGTTTTGCATTAACTGTATATGCACTCAGGCACACACACATGAGTGGATATAAAACAAGTGAGATCTGAACAATGTGTATGAATTATACCAATGTTAATTTCCTAGCTTTTATCATCATGTAAGATGTTACCACTGGGGAAAGTGGATGAATGGAACACAGGATTCTCTGTACTATTTTTGCAACTTCTGATGAATCTATACTTATTCCTAACTAAAAAGTATAAAAGAAAAATACAGGCTCATAGTAGCTACTTATACAATACAAAAGTCTCTCTTTAAAAATCTGGTAATTATCTACCCTCTTTTAATTCCTGTGCCTGAAGAAGCCAAAGTCTGGTGTGGAGCCCTTCTTGTCTTATCTTTCATATCAACACATAAGAAAATTCATAGGATTATTTTTCCTTTTTTTTGTTTCACATGTATCATCTACATTATCCTGAAACTTGCTTCTGCCCTTTCCCAGTACGACACAGACATCCTCTGATGTTAACTCAGCTTACATGCATAGATCTTGCTGATTATGTTTTCCAGCTGCACTGTTCACAGCAGCCATGCTGTGGTTTACTCACATGTTCCTTTATGGATGGACTGTTGCCAGTAATAATGCCTCTGCTTTTATTTCCGGTAGGCCAAATCTGCCATTCATTTTCAAACTTTACTTTAGTAGCAGAACCCTTTCTTCAAACTCAATCCTATCACATCACAAAGTTCAATAAGTAAAAAACCTGTTAGGTTGAATGGGAATGAGGGAGCTTGGAGCTCCTCTGCCCCTTCAGCAGCCCCAGATGCATCTTGGCGAACCATTAGGGTTTAGAGAACAACAACAAAACCATTGACCTCCACCTTCTGATGCCTGCTCTTCTCCTGGCCTGAACTCTGATCCTGTCTGCTCCCTCTAGTTCTTTCTGGGATCCTGTTTTAGATGGACAGACCCTCAGAAGCCAAGATCCTTGAAGTCCAGCCTTCTGACTACATGAGTTCTGCCCCAGCCCACCTGCTTAGACACCTCCATGTCAGTAACAATCTGAACCAGTCTTACATTTGCCACAACCCTAGGAGGCCAGCCTTAAGCCAAAATAGGTACCTAGCCGGTCCTTTCCTGGCTTACTGCCCTTTCTCCCTCACCCCCACCTCATCCTGCTACCAAGAGCCCAGTGTACCTTGTTACAGAGCCCTCCTTTCCAAGATTAAAACCCCAGCCTATTCTCTTCATCCCATCGCTCCTGGCTTTTCAACCTTGCTCTTTCCATTCTCCTTAATCTCTCTTAGGAGTGCAGTATCTCCTTCAGTCTTCCCCTTTGTTTTAAATCTCACACAGGCACACACAACTGGAGAAAAGCCATCACACCTGCAGCTATCCTTTCCAATCAAATCACACCCAGATCACGTTCGCAGCCTGGAATTCAGTCCAGTGCTCTGCCTCAAATCTCAAGCAATTTACCAGCCATTTTGACCTTTCACTTGCTGACTGTCTCCACAGACCACAGATTTGACTTGTTTAAGCAGACAATGCATTGTCCTGCCAACAAGCTCCAGATTTTCTGCCTTTGACCTATGATGTCGTTGCTTCTCCTGTCATTCCTTCAAGTTCATATCTGCTTGTTATCCAATTTGTGTTGAACCCATCCTTTATTTCCCTTTTCCTCTATTGTCATCCTAGTTAGAGTCCTAATGATTTCATATCAGTTCTTTGCAAGCACTCTAACGATTCTCACTACCTGAAGTCTCTTCTTTTACTCCTTAATGTCACCCCCTCCAAACACCACTGCTGATAAAATTTTTCTGAAACACCACTTTCAGCGTGCCATTTGTCTTCTCAAAAACTTTCAGTGACTTCACTACCTAAAGGAGTAAGATCAAGCTCTTTAGCTTAGAAGTCAACCTCTCCAGTTGTCTTTACAAACTTGACTCCTACTATTCTCCTAAAATAAACAGACCAAGTAGGCTGGTAGCCTTTCAGTGCCTTAAAGATGCCAGGCCAATTTCCACCTCTGTCTTTGCTCGAGCTGTTTCTTTCGCCAAGAATGCTTCTCCATGTTACCCTGATTTCTTAATCCCTATAGATTCTTGAACACCCCTCACTTCATTCTCAGCTCTGAGAAACCTTCCACAGACTGCACATATGCTGACTGACCTCTCATTTGCCACGTTGCAAACACTGACCAGGTTTACTGTCTCCATTTCAGGGCGTTACGTCATTGTGTGTGGCACTCCTGCAGGCAGGGTGCATGCCATATATACACTGCATGTATTTGCTACCTCACTTAGCCCGGGCTTCTGCATGTAGCCAGAACTCAGGATTTGGCTCGGGCTCACTTATGTGCTTGAATGATAGACATTATCTAGGGGCCAATTGCTTTATCACGTTTCCTTCTTTCTCTAATTTTGGGTCCATAGAGACTGTAACAACACCACAGAAAGTTGGAGATAAAGTGATGAACACTCACGCTGATGAGCTGGTGCTTTCAGGGAATTATTTAAACAGGAAGTGCCGTGGTTTGGCCAAATAGGGCCTGTATCTATCCAGACTGAGAAGGCAGCAACCCGTGTTCCCAGAGCATTGGCAAGAGAAGAAAAGCTTTTGGCGGAAATCAATTTGATAATGATGCAGGACTTAAAAGCTGCACTTTCAGCAATTGCATAAGAAAAGACTAAGAAGTCAGCATTCTCAGCTCTGAAACAGGGAGTGGACATTCCAGAAGAAGCAATGAGGGAAAATTGAACATAAGATGTAAGAGGGCCTGGAGGACTTGGCAGACATTATGGTGTGGGCCTCTATATAGCTTCCGCCACACCAGGGCAACCCCTGGTCCTTAGTGAGGAGAGACAGGAGTTTGATACCAGAATCTTGCAGGGGTCACCAGACAGAAGTGTCTGAACGTTGTTCTCTTTTATGCATGCAGGTTCAGCCATTTTTATCAAGTCGCTTTGTCGTCTTCATCAGTTCCTGAGCTGAAGAACATGTGCGGGTGAGATTTCGGAACTGGGCGGACCCAGGGGACTCTTCCAGAGCAGGCAGAGCCCCTTGTTCTTGACAGAGCCTTTTTGACAGAATGCACCTCTGCCTGAGTGTCTGTTACAAATGAACACCTCTAAATGTGGGCCTGAGGGAGAGAGGGCAGAAGAGAAACAGGAGAACTAACACTCACTGAATCTCCACTTTAGACCAGGTCCTTCGTTAGGCATTTCATTAACATTATCTGCAATCTTTACAGGAGCCCTGAAATATGGACATTGGTAACTGCATTATACAAATAAGGACATGGAGGCTTAGGTGAGGCCAACCTTGCCAATATCACAGCCAGGAAAGTATGAAGCTGGACTCCATCCACATCAGGTAGCCCCCTGTAAATCCTACACAAGGAGCCCCAGAATCTGCAGTGACATGCTGGCTTCCTTCCACTGGTGCCATCGGGGCCTGTAGAGCAGGAGCTATTTCTGGGATTAGCAAAGTTGTTTCTTAACACAAACAATGGCCTTTTCATTTAAGGCAGCTTCTCCATGAAGAGCCTTGGAAGCGCCTGCAGGAAATGACAGGTGCATCTCTTTTGCAGCAAAAGGCCTTCAGAACAGCAGGGCAGCACGGCAAAGCTGCTTGCTGTGTGCGTGCCCCGGCAGTCATTACTGTGTTCCTTGGAGCTATGGGGCTGAGAAAGGGGAAGCAGAGGAGCCTTGACTCGCTGGAAGAGAACACAAAAGTGTACCTTCTTTTTCCTGGCCTTGCAGTCCACACACACATTACCTCATTTAATCCCTGTTTTTCAAGGAAGATAGCAGAGTCCCTAAGAGGGTCAGGAAGTTGTCAAGGTCACACAGCTCCTAAAGAGCAGGGCTCCTCAGACTCAGGTGTTCTGCCTCCAGAACTCATAGTTTCCCTGCTGTGTTGCTAATGCAGCACTCTCACGATGAACCTGTTCAGTTCCCCAGAGGGTTGAAGTTGTGCTACCAGCAGCTCTATAGGCTGATTTTCAGAGACACTAGGGGGGCTACCCATTGCTCTCTAGACTCTCTCTCCTACTTATTTCTTGATGCTTGGAACTATTTTAAGACCAGGGAACAAGTCCTTTAATTCTATAATTAGAGACATAGTAAAATGCAAATACTATACAAAAGGTAGCAGCAATGACTTAAATTTTCACTAAAGTGAAAATGACTTATAGGTAGCCTAGCCAAATGAAAAGAACATGTGTTTAGGATTCAGAAAGAGCTGAGTCCACAATTGGCTTCACCAGATGTGAGGCTTTGTGGCCTGGGCTTGTTTCACCTTGCTGAGCCTCAGACTCCTCATCTATAAAATGAGAATTAAGCTACTTACCTCTAAGAGTAAGCATAAAGATTACACAGAAGTGCACATAAGTGCTCCAAACAGTGTTTGGCATAAGGTATATGCTGAAAAAATGATAATTATTCTTTTCATAACTATTACGATTTCTCCATAGTTTTGAGCTACCAAGAGATGTAATCATACACAAGAAATAGCAAATGTGGGGTTTTTCAACCGTTATTTTAAGTTCCGGGGTACATGTGCAGGATGTGCAGGTTTGTTACATAGGTAAATGTGTGCCATGGTGGTTTGCTGCACAGATCAACCCATCACCTTGGTATTAAGCCCAGCTTCCATTAGCTATTCTTCCTGATGCTCTCCCTCTCCCCCAACAGGCCCCAGTGTGTGTTGTACCACCCACCATGTGTCCATGTAGTTCTCATCATTTAGCTCCCATTTATAAGTGAGAACATGCAGTGTTTGGTTTTCTGTTCCTGTATTAGTTTGCTGAGGATAACAGCTTCCAGCTCCATCTATGCCCCCACAAAGGACAAGACCTTGTGATTTTTTATGGCTGCAAAGTGTTCCATGGTGTATATGCACCACATTTTCTTTATCCAGTCTATCATTGATGGGTATTTAGGTCGATTCCATGCCTTTGCTACTGCAAATAGTGCTGCAATGAACATACACATGTGTGTATCTTTATAATAGAATGATTTATGTTCCTTTGGATATATACCCAGTAATGGGATTGCTGGGTCAAATGGTATTTCTGCCTCTAGATCTTTGAGGAATCACCACACTGCCTTCCACAATGGTTGAACTAATTTACACTCCCACCAAAACTGTAAAAGCATTCTTTTTACTCTGCAACCTTGCTAGCATCTGTTTTTTTAAAAATTTTTTAATAATCACCATTCCGACTGCCGTGAGATGGTATCTCATTGTGGTTTTGATTTGCAAGAAATAGCAAATGTCGATTGGGAAGACCTGGCTGATGCCAGCTCTACCCAGTTGGGAACTCCCCAATCTTGGACACATTACACTCTTAGCCTTAGACTTTTCACTTTAAAACCAGGCTATTGCGAGGATCAAGTGAAATAATGCATGTGAAAGTGCTTTGTAACCTGTGAAGTTATATATCAATATCCAGTTATGGTGGATGTTGAAAAATATAGGGTGAATACAAAGGTATTAGTCTCCAATTATAACCTTATTGGCCAGAGTACTGATTACAGGTTATAAAGTGTTGACAGTACAATCTTGCTGGAGCTGTAAAGAAATTGCACCTTAATGCTATGTCTCTATGGGTGTGTATATATGTAAATAGACACATAAATTTTATAGACACTTATGATCATACGTTGTATGATAGATATCACTCTAATTATGTATCACATAAACCCAACAATAGGCTTGTCCTTTTATTTTGAAGCACTTTCTAGAACAACCTTGGGCCAATCTGGGCATACATGCTGCTGTCCATGTCAATGCATAAAAATAAAATGTCAGACCCCCAAACACCCTGATGGGGGTCTAAGGAAGTTAACCCTGAAGGCAGCATTCAGGAGATCTGAAATGGTCAGGGTTGGCACAAAAGCATCCTCAGACATGGGCTTCCTCTAGGGCAATGGGCAAAGAAATATGGAAAGCTATGTGCAAGGTTCCCCACACAAATAAGGCCAGACATAGGCTCTGCAGAGTGAAAGGCACCTTTAAAGTTGTTTGAGGGCAGATGCTGTGTGCAACTGTTTCTGCTCTGGGGTCTGGCAGCCCAGAACGCTTTTCAGGATCTTAAGGGAAAGGCGCTGTCTCCTTCACAGATGCCTTCTCCCTTCCATTCTCTCCCATCAGCTAAAACAATGTTCTGAGTGTGCATCTGTTTGCCACTAATTCTTGAGCTGTGCTTTACTAGTGGGTTCTCCTTCACAGATGCCTTCTTCCTTCCATTCTCTCCCATCAGCTAAAACAATGTTCTGAGTGTGCATCTGTTTGCCACTAATTCTTGAGCTGTGCTTTACTAGTGGGTTCTCTTCTCTCCAGCGAATTTGCCAATACGACCTGGCACACAGAGCAGTTTTACTCTAGAGAAGTAAACGTAGCCTTTTATGATGCAAATAAATGCAAGAGGGAAAAACACAGATTGTTTCACAGAACTATTGGCCAAGTGTATATAGTTTGCAGCTATGAAGCTCTTGAATTATGAAAATTAATTAAATTCAATTTGATGAATGAGAATAATCACTTCAAATAGGATAATGTGATAAATAGCCCCTTCCATAAGGAAAACAATAATTTCAATGCCACAGGTGCTTCATTTTGAGGACTGCTAAAATGCAAAATTCCAAGTTTATGAAGCAAACAGTGCTAATGATAATGAAAAGCTGGCTTCTGGCTCTGATGCACTCTTGTGAGGGACAGGGGGCAAGATCTTCAGTTTGTCTCAGCACCTCTGCCCAAAATTACTGGATCTAAAAATGGATGAGAAGGTGAAGCCTGGGGTTCCCACACAGCTCCCCATACTGTTGGCTTCTGGCACCTCATCCCAGCCTCAGCCCTTTAGGAGCAATGGCTTCAGATTCTCTTTGTGACCCTCAGAGACCCTGCAGTCCCAGCCCTTCCCAGCCATCTAACTGCACCCTCTTTCCCCTAAAACACACAGAGATTTTCCCACCCCAACGGCCAGGACTTCAGTATGGCCTCTTGCTGGGGATGCTTCCTGCCTACCACAGATAAAAACAGCAGCAAGCACAGACTGAATGCCTCCCATGTCCCAGGATTACTCCAGGCCATTTCTACCCCAACCCTGTCTGCTCAGCCCTACTCTAAGTAGTACCCATTGGGAGCTCCCTGTGAACCAGGTACTGTGCAAAGAGCTTTAGATACTATGCCATTTGACCCTTATAGCAACCCCATTCAGACAATAAAACATGATCCTCATCATACAGATGAATAAACTGAAGTATAGAGAGATTAAATATGTAGCTTCATGTCATATAGCTTATAAGAGGCTGAGCCAGGATTCAAATATGAGTAGTTATCCTCCCAAACCCTCACTTTTAACTACCACTCTACTTCTTCTAAAGAGAAATATTATTTTCCCAATAGGACACATGAGAAACAAAGGCTTACAGGGGTTAAGTTACCAGGCTGAGGGTACAGAGTAGTAGGACTGGATCTGAACACAAGTCTTGCTCTCGTCAAACTTCATGTTCTTTCTACAACAGTTGATTAAAAAAAATGGGGGAGGAGGAGGCATTGAGCAGACAGAAGTCAAGATCTTTTATTTGCTAGTTTTTGCTCTTGGTCAAAATTAACCATGGAAAGTCTCAGTGTCTTCACCAGTAAGATGGGAATAATAATAGTGTCTACCTCTTAGAATCATTGTGAAGATTCTATGGGACAGGGCGGGCACTGCTAGCACAGCTCGCAGCACACAGAGCTCAGCAAATGTCAGCCACCATTCCTATCAGTACCCTGTGTGGCCTCCATTGCACGCCTTTGGTAATGGCCTGTCTTCTCCTGAATCTTCACCCTGACCCTCTCTGTCACCTCTGAGAACTCCAGGGTCTCAGAACAGCCAAAGCCATTCCTCTGGCTTTATCGCCACATCGCTGCAGCATTCATTGCACCGTTCCTCATCTGGGAGTCTTTGTGTGGCCCAAAGTTGCTGACAGTGTGGTTCCTCACTTGTGGTCATCACAGCTAATCAAACTGGCAGTAGCCATGAGTCACCTCACAGCCCAAGTGACCATGCTAAGGCTCCCAACAACCCTCACAGAGCTCAGCCAACGTCTGCTGCTGCTGCCCTGAAGGCCCCAGCTTCTCTCTTCTGGGTTTGCTCTCACATTCCAGCCAACCAGGAATGCTGTGAGCTCCAGAGGTACATGCCTCTCTGAGCCTGTATTAGCTTCTTATTGCTGCTATAACAAAACACCACCAATCAGTAGCTTAAAATAAAGCAAATTCATTCTCTTACATTTCTGGAGGGCAGAAGTCCAACCTGTATCTCACTGGGCTAAAATCAACATGCTGGCCGGACTGTGTTCCTTTGGGAGGCTCTCAAGGGGAATCCAATTTCTCTGCCTTTCCCAGCTCCTAGAGGCCACCTGCATTCCTGGCTCATGGTCCCCTTCTCCATTTTCAAAGCCAGCAGCCTGACAGCTTCAGATTTGTCTTTGACTCTGACCCTTGCTTCTGTCATCATAGACCCTTCTCAGACTCGCCTCTATCCTAGTGTCACTTGTAAGGACCCTGGTGATGACATTGCCCGCCCCCCCACCTGGATAATCCAAGATAATCTCTGCATCTCAAACTCCTTAACTTCATCACATCTGCGAAGTTTCTCTTGCCATGTAAGGTTCTGGAGATTAGAACATGGACGTCCTTTTTGGAGGCTGGATTATTTTGCTTATGGCAGAGTCTCTTCTATGAAAGAGCTCCATGTAACCCACTTCCTGTACTAGAAATACATGTGGCTAAGAAGCGGGAGCCACCATAAGGCCCACCAAAAGCAGGTTTTCTGCCAGGGAGTCCCTGGGATGAATCACCGCCCAGATGGTGCCATCAGGCTGAAGTGAGATTACCCACCACCTGTACCCATGGGCATTTATCTGGGCCAGACTAGTGGGTGCACCTCCAAGGAAAGACATACAATTTAGCATGTTCAATAGTCTTTTAATGGTGGACACATGTCATACATTTGTCCAAACCCATAGAATGAACAACACCAAGACTGAGCCTGAATGTAAACTATGGACTCTGGATGATAAGGAGGTGTCTTGGGGTCAATATCCCCGTCTGCTTGGGGATGTTGAGAATGACTGTGTGGAGGGAGGGAGTAAATGGGAAATCTCTGTACTTTCCATTCAATTTTGCTGTGAACCTAAAACTGCTCCAAAAATAATATTGTTTAAAAAGTCTCTTAAGGGAAGAATGATCTGAGAAATGTTCTAGCAAAGTTTGGGTATCACCATGTTAAACTGTAAGCCCCTTGAGAGAAAACACCATAACATCCTTTAACATTATGTCCTGAGAGTCTCACAAGCGCCTGCCCTGTAGTGGGAGCTGAATGGCTGACGACCAGAAGGAAACCAGGCTTGTGGTGAGAATTCGTGCAGCTTAAGTGGCCCTCAGTGACAGTGACTCCATTTGAAGTGGAACGACTGTTCCTCCCGTAGCCCACAGCAGACATGGGAAACTGGAAACCAACACCGTTCATTCCTGTGCCAAGTGCTTTAGGCGCCCAATAACCCTACAAGGTAAATACTAGCATTTCCATTCTAAAACTGAGAAGAGTGGGGCTCAGAAAGGTTAAGTCATTTGCAGGGCAGAGGGCCTGGATTCAAATCTAGGTTTGTGTAAGTCTGAAGTTCACACCAGGCTTCCTTCTCAATGACAAGAGTGGAGAGGGCGGTTCTCTGTGTGTGTTCTGAGTTCTGGATGTGAAAAATAACGCAGAAAAGATGGAGCTGCAAACTAGGAGTGGCCCGCAGGGAGGGTTAGCTGTTGAGGGCAACCTTGTATATTTGTATAAAAGCCCAGTTGCCCCCAGAGGAATGCCCAAGCCCTAGTAAGATGCTGTGGTCCCTAGAGACGCTCACCAGAAAGCATCTAAAGGGAGCATCTAAGGTGGCCAGGCTAGACCAAGTGCCGGCTGGAGCAGAGAGGGGCCAACAGAGGGCGCTGTGCAGACGTGGCGCGCCCAGACCCAGCGACGCCTGGAACCCCGACACCCAGGGCTGAGCCGCGGACAGAGATCTCTCTTTTTGAACTAAATTAGTCTCCTTCTTTGGAGACCGAGGAGCACAGAGAATATTTTTCAGCAAGTATTGGAGAGTGAAGCTTGCCTCTTGCAAAATCTCTAATGTTTGCGGCTTGCTTTCTCTTCCATAAAACTTCTTTTTGCCACAATGGATGCTAAGAGACAGTGCAGCAAAATGGGTAGAGCAGAGAAAGTGATGTCCAATCCCAGCTTTATCCCTTATTAGAGGTGCGGCTTTACTCTGAGCCTCCTTTTTGCTTTCCATACGCTGGAAATCTAGGCTCTTACAGGTCTGCTCTGAAGGCTAAAGAGAATGAACAGAAAAGGTGAGAGTATGTCATCTTGCCCAAAGTAGGTCAGCAGATTGCGATCATTTTGGTCTTAAGACCTCTTTGCACTCTTAAAAATGATTGAGGACTCAAAGCAGATTGCGATCATTTTGGTCTTAAGACCTCTTTGCACTCTTAAAAATGATTGAGGACTCAAAGAGCTTCTGTTCATGTAGTTCTATCTAACAATAGATAGAACTCATAAGGATATGAGAGGAACTCATGAGGATATGAGAGGTTTTACTCAGCTTTCAGATAACCTGATGACAAATTGCATAAATGATGAAGTGAATCAGACGTGAAGTGAATCACAGCTGGAACAAGCCTAAGATCACAGGCCTCCTAATGTACGTCAGGGTGATGTCTGTCTCCAAATACCAAATCAAGAAGTCTTCAGAGAGCAGTCGGTTAAGCAAACATTTTATTTCAAATTAACATAAAACCTGCCTTTCAATGACTTCCAAAATGTTTCGTTTCCTTCCTGTTTTTGATGATGAGATGTATTGACTGTGTTTCCATCTCCTCCCCAGCAGGTGCCCAAGCCTGATGAATTCCCGTGCTAAAAAACTGCTGCCTCCTGTGGAGACCTGTGTGTCTCCCACAGGGCTGAATTGCCCTGTGTCTGCCCAGCACAGCTCTGGGCACCCAGGTGGCTCCTCCCTGGGCCTCAGCAGCAGCACAAGATGGGTTGTAGCCCTGCATCTCTGTTAAGGGTCTGCATTATGTCAGTTGCTAGATTCTTCTTCCTCCTCTTCCTATACTGCCCATCCTTGATTCTTTACAAAGCTCCTCTCCTTGATTCTTTGAACTCTCTCAGACCTCTTTTTAATCCTTTTTTTTCTCCACTAGTTTCCTCTGTCCACTCACCCTGCATCCTCCTCTCCACTGATTCAGTGCTTAATCCCGGTCTAAACCCACCTCTCCACTTAGGTCCTTCTTTCTTCCGTCTTTCTCCTCCATATGGTTTGTCATGTGTCAGGGCCATGATGCTCAATTGGTATATAATTAAGATATAATCTATAAAGTAAGTACCATTACACCCATTTTTCAGGTGAGAAAAATAAGGCACAAAAGAGTTAAGTTACTTGCCCAGGTTCCCCTAGCCAGTGATAGATGCAACCAAGGTGTGACCCCATTGTTGCCTGACTTTCCACCTCATCCCTGATGTCTCTTTTAAGTAGCCTTAAGCACCCTCTTTACTTGTCACTTCCCAGTTCACTTGCTTTCCAGTGTGCCTCCTTTGCTGGTCTCAACCCCACATCCCCCTACAATGTGCCTCCCCATAGCCTGAGCACCTGCCCTGGGTGCTGGGCGAGAGCAGTGAGCAAGACTTACTTCATGGGGCTTTCCATCTTGTCCTTTCTGCATTGATATTTGGGCTAGTTTGGGCTCTGCTGCTTTGTCTGTAGGCATCTGCCTTTTTCCCAGAAACAGTTTCATCTTGGGCAGATATGGCCTGGACAGAGTTTCACTTAGTATTTTGTCTTTGGCAACCCCTTCCTACCCTGTTCCCCTTCAAGGCCACGTTGCCTGCCATTCCCCATTGTGTTCCCAGCCTTTAAGAAGTGAGCTGGCCATGAGCCACTCTGTTTTTCCTCATCTATACTCTCCATGCTATTACATGAGGAAGCCACATCTCTTTAGAGAAGCTGACCTCTCTGGCATTGCTCATATACCCACACAGCCTCGCCCCTCACTATCTGCTGAACGCAGAGAACTGGCAAGGGTGTGCAAACAGCAGGGTGGTGGCACCTCGGGGCTCTGCCTGAGATACCAGGGCCCAGTGAGGCCAAGAGCAGGCCAGGGGCCCCTGAGGGATGGACCTGAGCAAGGGAGAGCCAAGTTATAGAAGAGGAAACTGAGGCCAAGTGCCCCATTAATTCATAGTCATTCCTTCAGTTCATTCAAAATATTTATTGAGTGCTTTCTTTGCTTCAGGGACTATTTGCATGGGATGCAGCAATAAATGAAACTAATAAACCTGCCCTAATGAAGCCTGCAATATATTGGGAAAGACAAACTATAAACAAATAAATATATAAATGGTCCCCAAGTTAAGATAGCTCGGCTTACGACTTTTTCACTTTACAATGGTGTGAAAGCAATTAGCGTTCAGTAGAAACTATACTTCAAGTACCCATACAGCCATTCTGCTTTTCACTTTCAGTAAAGTGTTGAACAAATATATATGAGATATTCAACATGTTACTGTAGAATAGGCTTTGTGTTAGATGATTGTGATTGTGCCCAACTGTATGGTAAGTTTCTGATCACATTTAAGATAGGCCAGGCTGAGCTGTGAGGTTCAGGGGGTTAACTGTATTCAATGTATTTTTGACTTACAATATTTTCAACTTACAATAGGTTTATTGGGATGTAACCCCATCATAAATTGAGGAGCATCTGTATGCAGTAATGTCAGATAGTGATAAATACTGTAAAGAAAAATAAAGTACTGTCTGGGATATTGAGGTGTCTGATGGAGGTGGAGGGTGAGCACTGTTGTAGATAGCATGGTCAGAGAAGAACTTTCTAGAAGGGTGGCATTTAATTAAAATATTAAATGCAATAAGGAAGTAGTCCTAGTGGATATTTAAAGGAAAGCATTCCGGGCAAAGGTAATAGCCTTTGCCAAGTCCCTGGGATGGGAGCATGCTTGCTGGTTTCGAGTAGAGGCAGGAAGCCAGCATTGCTGGAGGGAGTAAGAGACATCATGGGGTTGGGGAACAGAGTCCTAGTCACATGGGAATGTATGCGCCATGGAAAACAGTTAGGGTTTGAATCCAGGACTTCTGAGGCCACGTATAGTGCTCTTTTCATTGCACTATGCTGTCTCTTCAAAAGGTTATCATACAAGAGAGTCCAGTTTTGAAGGTGGGCAAAAATGGTGGCTTGGACTCTCGATGTTTATGTTCACTTCCGTTTACTTGCAACCAACAAGCAGAGCCAAAATTATTCATAAGATCAAGAACAGAGACAAAGCCAAGTTTGAGTCAGTGTAACCCATGGGGAGTGAGGGATCTGCCATCAAGAGGAGCCCCCAACCATGAGGCAGAGGAGGGCCCTGTTGCCCCCCGGGGCTCAGCCTCTCAGGTATTGGTGCACTCTCTTTTGGGCTGAGTTGTGTTCCCCCAATTCACGTTGAAAACCTAATTCCCAGTGTGACTGTATTTGGAGATAGAGCCTTTAGGGAGGTAATTAAGGTGAAATGAAGTCACAGGGGTGAGACCCTAAAGTGATAGGACTGATGTCCTTATAAGAAGAGGAAGAGATACCAGAGAACGCTCTCTGTTGCCAGGTGTGCCCACAGAGAAAAGGTCATGCAAGGACACAGTGAGAAGCTGCCATCTAAGAGTCAGGCTGAGGCCTCACTGGAAACCAACCCTGTCAGCACCTTGATCTTGGACTTCTAGCCACCAAAACTGTGAGAAAATAAATGTCTGCTATTTAAGCCACCTAGTTGTGTTATGATGTTGTAGCAACCTGATGAGAGTGACATATGCTCCAGTGAGTCCCTTCTGAGGTCCATTTCTTATTGCACCCTTGAGCCTCTAGCAAGCCTGGCCTTGGCCTACCTCAGCATCAAATTGGAGAGGGGATTCCCTCTGACTTCTAAGAGGGGTAGTCTGGTCTGCAGCAGTACTGGGTAGGGGTTGGTTTGGAATCCAAGATGCCTTAAATTGTTTATGCCTGAGCTTTTCATCTGCAATACAGGAAAGATAATATCAGTGCTTTTGAAGAAAGTTCTAAATATGCAATTATATTCAATAAATAATTGCTGACATCATCTATGCACAAAATATTGTACTGGGAAGGATGCAATACAATTTATCCCTCAAGATAAGTTTTTCTCAGTAATAACGTATGTGTGTAAAATAGTTGTGAAAGCATTTAGGAATGTGCCATTTTAAAATGGGGAGTTTTAAAAATAATATTACCTGCTTCCCAGAACCCTTAGCCTTACATACTTTATGTAAGCCATAGACTTGTCCTCACAATTCTGTGGCTTTCTCTTTCCTGCATCTTTGTGGCAAAATGGAAACAAACCAACATAAAATAAAATTCCAAACCTTTCATTTAAGGTAAGCGGATTTCAACCATCCATAAACAGTGGGAGGTCAGGACAGAATTCAATCAAGTTTGAGTTACTCATTATTTCTAGCACACAGTTTTGATAGTCTAATCATTCTCTTTTGAGATTATGGCATTATTTCCATATTTCTAAAAGTGACATATTTATGGAAGAAGTTGTTTATAAATGTCTGCATTGTTTATAAATGTCTACATATAAATGTCAAAGCAACTCTGGGTCTCCTTAACCTGCTTTGAGTCATAACAAGTTTGGTTTCCATGACATCACTTTTTACGCAGAGAGGATTAAAGTCATTTGTTGCATGAGCCCCAAGGGGCCATCTGGAGGAGTTTCAGGAGGCCCGCTTCTCCCTCATCACAAGGGCAGGACTGACTTCTGAGCTTCCTTCTGTCCAGGGCTGCATTATGCTGAGCATAATTAGTGTAAATCTTTTAAATAGGAACATGAGTATGCCCTATTTTCAGAACACTCAAAATAGCAAAATTCAAACACAAAGAACAGAGAAATTAGAGAACTACCTTAAACACAAAATAATAATTTGCTTAAAATAATGATTTACTGATTACTTCATTTGTGTGGCAAACTCCCTAAGGGCATTTAAAATATGGTTTGAATAATAAAAATCTTATTTGTATAACATGTCAAGTAGCATATGATAGTTTGCATTTGTGTAGAGTTTTGTTGATGTGTTTCATAATTTATTTTGTCCTCATGACACTTTGCAAGATGGGGCCTGTAGTGTTATTCCCATGTGACATGGTTGAGTGACGAAGACAAGTCCTTTGCCCAAGGTCACACAGCTGGAAAGCGTCAGAGGCAAGGCTAGACTTCAGTCCCTTGACTCTTTGTCAAATCACACTTTCCTCTAGATTCATACTTCTTTTTCAAATGTATGTTTTGGCTTGAAACAGAAGTCAGATATTTAAAAACTATTTTGGAATATATTCAAATTTGAAATGAAAAACTGTGTATAAAAATAATTTGACTTCCAAAGAGGGTAGTTGGAGATCTATAATGTTCTAAGAAGAGGATATAAAAATATTCTTCATCAGAATCACCAGTGAAGTCTTTTGTATTAGTCAGGATTCTCTAGAAAAGCAGAATCAATAGGATATATATCTGTTTCAGTATTTATATCTATATTTATCTATGCATATAAAGAGATTTATTATGAGGAATTGGTTCATGCAATTGTGGGGGCTGAGAAGTCCCACAGTATGCTGTTTGCAAGCTAGAGATACAGAAAAGCCAGTAGGATAGTTTTAGTGAGTCTGATGGCCTGAGAACCAGGAGAAATGATGGTATAAGTTTCAGTCTGAGGGCAGGAGAAGACCAGTGTTCCAGCTCAAGTAGTCAGATAAAGAGAGAAGGAATTCTCCCTTCCTCTGTCTTTTGGTTCTGTTCAGGCTGCCAACAGATTGGATGAAGGCCAATTACTTTGAAGTGGACCATGGGTTTTACTCAGTCCACTGATACAAATGTTAGTCTCTTCCAGAAACAACCTCACAGATACACTCAGAAATAATATTTAACCAGATATCTGGGCATCCTGTGGCCCAGGGCCCAGTCAAGTTGACACACACAAAATCAACCATAACACGTAAGAAAAACAAAACAAAACAAAAAACCCCAAAACAGATGGCCAAGCCAGACTACAAATATATTCAATAAGAATTTCCAGGTGTAGCTTTTGTTGTTTGCTTTAAAAAAATTTGTTTTAATTTTTTATTTTTCCATAGGGTATTGGGGTACAGGTGGTATTTAGTTACATGAGTGAGTTCTTTAGTGGTGATTTGTGAGATTTTGGTGCACCCATCACCCGGGCAGTAGACATTGCACCCTATTTGTAGCCTTTTATCCCTTGCTCCCCACCCTTACCCTCAAGTCCTCAAAGTTCATTGTATCATTCTTATGCCTTTGCATCCTCATAGCTTAGCTCCCACATATCAGTGAGAACATATGGTGTTTGATTTTCCATTCCTGTGTTACTTCACTTTGAATAATAGTCTCCAATCTCATCCAGGTCACTGCAAATGCTATTAATTCATTCCTTTTTATGGCTGAGTGTATTCCATGTATATATATACCACAGTTTCTTTATCCACTTGTTGATTGATGGGCATTTGGGTTGGTTCCATGATTTTGTGTTGTTTGCTTTTTTCAGAACTAGCAAGTTGACAGCCCAAACTAAAAAGCATGAACCCAAATGTGGCCAGACTAAGGCATGTTGAGAGAGTCATAGATTTTCAAAGTGAATGTCTTCTGTGCTCAAAGATGTTCCATTTCCTTGCAGGCAAACCTTATAAAATTAATGTGTGCTTATCTCCTCTAACAGAGAAGAAAGAATGAATTATATGCAATTGAAGATAATCAAGAATAAATTCTGTTTAACTTCAGGGCATGGTTGTATATTTTTATTGAAAATATGGTCCATATGTTCCTTCCAGAGTCATGTTCCTTATACACAACTCTAGTCATTATACTATTCCCCTAGGAAGTCTCCCATGGCTCCCCATTGCCCTCTGAATTACAGTGTGTTCCTTAGCATGGCATTCACATCCTCCATGACCCCACCCAACCTACTCTTACAGCATCTTTGTGCTGTGACTGTCCTTCTAGGGTCCTGCATGTCTGCCAGTCCACATCAGTGTGCTTACAACTTCCAAAAAGTACTAGATTTTATTTGTGTCTTTATGTATGTCCGTCAACTGAAATACCTTTCTCTCTTTTTTTTCCTCATTCCTCAATCTCTATCTGCTGACTTCTACCTATTCTTTAGGGGTTAAGCCAAGTAGTCCATTTTTTCACAAAGCCATCACTTGAATGAGAATTCTTCCTTTTCTGTGCTCTGCTGGTACTTCATCTTCACTTCCTGAGTTACATCTTGGTGTTTTATGTACATAGTTTAAGTCTTTTCTAGGCCATATGTTAGCCATCCTTATACCCCTAAGGTGGCCAGCACAGTGCCTGACACATAAATGGCAGGTACACACAGTAAAATAACTTGTGGAATTGAATTGAATGGTAGTTCTTGTATTTTGGAAGTTCATTTCAAATAAAATTATGAAGGCTTTCCCTAGAAGTATGACTTGGGAGAAGACAAAATTCTTTTCAATTTCTCTATTTTGTAGTCAAAAGAAGGCTGTGTCTAAACAGGCAAATGTGAAAAGTAGACTACTGTGGGTGACTTGGGAAACTGACCGAGCTGCTAAGGTTGGCAAAGAAAGAGGCAGCAGGGGAGACACAATCTTTGTCGTAACTACAGATCAGTTGATACCTAGGTATTCAAGTTTGCAGAGAGGACAAACCAGTGGTGGTGAAATTCTAAGAAAATATGTTCCTATCACTAGGATCCTTGGTTAACTTGATGAGTGAAATTAGGCAGAATTGAGCTGCCAAAATGGGAGTTAGCAAAAAGTAAGCAAGGTATGGGATCTCAAAGAATAGACTCCAAACCAGCCTATGGTCCTCACTGATAAATGGGCTGAACACACACACACACACACACACACACACACACACACACACACACACAGAGAGAGATGTATATGTCAGAGTCTGTTTGAAGGAGTAGATGAGGATATAGGAGAAAAACCAAGAGATTGTGTCACAAAGCCCAAGAAAAGAAAGTGTTATAAGAATAATTAGTGGTCAACTGTGTCTAATGCAATACAGATTGTGTAAATTGAGACTAGGGAAAAAAACCATTAGATTTGACAACATGGTGATCATTGATGACTTTAGCAAGGCCAGTTTGAGCACAGTGTTAGAAACAAAAATCTGGATTAGAGGGGATTGAAGAGTGAATGGGGCTAGGCATTCTCACTAGGAAAGCATGCCACAGATTCATACCAAATTTATAATAAAATCCCAGATAACTCAAAACCTTACTTCCTTTTCTACAAAGAGCTAAAAAGCTTTAATTTATGATCATATGGAGGACAATATTCTCTAAAATTCTGACCTTATAAAAGCTATGTAATCTTAATTTTTAAGTGCACTACAGAGTACAAAATAAAGGAAAAAATATAGAGAGGTGGAAAAACAAAGTAAAAGTTTGAACCCTGAGAAATAGTGGAGGGCCAACAAATGCTTTCACTATGAAATTACTTTCTAAACCCTAGTGAATTTATGTGTTGTTATTTTTGATGACCTCATAGGATGAGGGAAACTGGAGATAAAGTTTAGATCCCACCCAAAAAGGAAAGTCTAACAGAAAAGCTCTTGTTGTGTAACAAACCACCCCAATACTTAGTAACCTAAATCAACAATGCATTATTACATTCTATTGGTTCACTAGGCTCAGCTGGTAAGTTCTCACTTGGGGAGTATCATGGGGTTACAACCAGTGGAGGCTGAGGCAAGAGTCATCTGAAGACTTGACTGTCTACCCAGGAGGGCTCATTTACAGTTGAGCGGTTGATGGTGGCTGTTGTCTGGGAGCTCAGCAGGGGCTGCCAACCTAATCATCTTCACATTAGTTATCCAGATAGCTTGATCTTCTTGCAGAATGATTGTTGAATTTCAAGAAGAAACATCTCAAGAGTTACTTTGAAGAGGTCCGGGCAGAAACCACAAGGCTCGATATGACCTAGCCATAGAAGTCCGAGAATGTCACTTCTGCTGTATCCCATTGGCTAAACATACCATTAAGCCCAGCCCACATTCAAGAGGAGAGAAATTAGATTCCACTTCTTGATGTGATAAATAGCATGCACTTACAGGTAGAGGGGGAATCGATGGTAGCCATTTTTGGACAAGATCTACTATACCCCCTAAGTAAAGCTAGAATACTATAGGCTTCACTCTTAGTATAAGGGCATATGAGAAACAAACCTATTATACAGAAGAAAGCAACAATGCACCTTGCCTGTCTGGACCCCTTCATTAGGTAAGGGGAGAAAAATATCTATCTTGAAAATTTTGAATCACAATTTGATTATTGGAGAAGTTATGGTCAGAATTTACAAGGCCTATGTGATATTAAAAAATCAAGCAGTGAATTTAATTTAATGTAGCCCCAGGATTTTAATGTATCCCAAAACTTGGCAGAAATAAATGCAAAACATCTCTGGAGGAAAGTCAAGATAAGCCTTAAAAATTCCACTGATAGAGTTCCAAAGAACAGGGATTCATTGTTTAAAATGGCAAAATATACCAAGTCAGCATGGGCGACAGACAGCAAAAATGATATACAGCAGATCAGATAGACAAAGACTTTAAGATGAAATTATTAGACATGATCATAAAGTAAGCATATTTCAATAAATGAAGATGAGGCATGAAAAGATTAACAAGTACAAGAAATGATGAATTACAACTATGCCATTAGGAAAAAAATTTATTTCTAGAAATGAAAAGTAAAATTATTGAAATTTAAAATGCAAAACATGGGTTTAACATTGGATTAGACACAGCTAAGTGTAACTCAGGTTAATGGAAAAGAAATCTATACCTCCGCACGTCACAGAAATCTTTTAGAGCACAAAAGACAAAGAGAAAATCTTAAGACCAATCAGAACAAGAAGCATCTCATCTATGAGGCAGTGTCGCACTAAAGTTTAGTGTAGTAGATAGGAGGATAAGGGAGTTTAGTGTTAGGTGTGGTTGGTGAGAATGTGAGCTCTGGAACTGTACTGACTGGGTTTCCATACTGGTTCAATTATTTACAAGTACATCTTGACAAGTTGCTTCACCTCTATATGACTCAGTTTCCTCATATGCAAAATATGATTAATTATATTTTCAATTTCTCTTAACGAAAAATGAACACATATTTTTGGAAGAGTGTCTAGCATTAATAAATGCTAGCTACTATTATGGAAGTAATGTTACTTGAATAGCTGACATCTTATCAGCAACAACAAAAAGCAGAAGATGGTTAATCTAGCTATCAACCCGAATCCTACATTTACACACATAGTTATGCATATATTTGTTCACTGTTTCTTCTTGCATTTCAGACTGTTAATCTATTAACATTTTTCTTTTGCTGAAAATACAACCTTTGTTATTTTCTTTTGTGAGGGTTTATTTGTGTTTAATTCCCTACATTTTATTTATATAAAGACCACAGTGAAAGTCACTTGAAACCCACAGGTTTCAACAAGCTAAATGTCTGGCGATCTCAAATGTTTCCAAAAAGGTAGATCCTTAGGATTTTACATACATTGCTGGCAGAAGTATGAATTGGTGAAACCAATTTGAGAAAGACCTAGAAATGTTGATCGTGAACACATTCCTAACTGTATAATATGGAAAAGCTTTTACATGTGAGTATTGAGAGACATGTGTGAAAATATTCATAGCAGCATTGTTCCTAATAGCAAAAAGGGAAAATAACCTAAGTCATCATGAACAGACGTATGGATAAACTGTTACTATCACACAGGCTGCAGTATCATGATGAAATCTCAAAAAGATAAAGCTGAATAGAAATAGTTATATTATTCCATTTATGGAAAATGCAAAAGCAGGCAAAGCTGAATAATATTTTGCTTGCAAATACATTTATGCAGCAAAATTATAAATAAAAACAAAAGAATAATTAACACAAAATTCAGAATAACACCTATCTCTAAGATCAAGAACACATAAATGATTGTGGCATGTGAGACAAAGTAACAAGCACAAGAAGCCATGTTTGCTCATTTCTGCTTGCCAGCAGAATTTCACGAAGCCCCTGACTCTGTGATGACATGCAGCTCCCCAGAGGGATCTTTTGAAGACAAAATAGGATAGAGCACATGCCCCGCCGCATATCTCTTGCCTTAGTCACTATATTCCTTAAAGGATAAATGACCCTAATCCTTGCCTTTTCCTACACATCAGATAACATCTGACAGGGTTAGTGATTATGACTGTAATCTATAACTAGATGTACACTTACACTCAAACTTCGATGTGATTCTGCTTTAATGTAACATCTGGGCAAGTTGATGTGATTTTGCATGCACTAAACCTCCACAATCCATGTGTAAACTGTGAGCTAAAACACTGTTCTGGAGCACTCTGTCAGAACCTTTCTGAAAGACTTCTTCCAGGCTGTAATTCTCAGGCTATAGTTCTCAGCAAGATTTCTGAATGAAACAAACTTTAATTCCTTAAAAGCTTGATTTTTTTAAAGTCAACTATCATGGCAACCATGAAGGGACTCAGAAAGTAGATTTTCCCGGGTCCATTGAAAGGACCTGGCACCTCAGTACCGGCATGAACCCTCTGAGCCCCTCCAGGTCCTCCATGTTTGCAAACAACTGAGTGAGCCTCTTCTGAGTCTCAGAACCTCGATTTGATGGTGGTTCTAAGTTTTATTCAGCAAGTTGCTTTTACCCCTTGAGGAAGGGGCAAATTCTTCCTTGAGACTTTTTATTTCTCAAGAAGGGGAATTCTTCCAGTTAAAAAATACTAGGAAGAATTGGATATGTGTGGCTGTCTGATTGGCTAGGTTAAGCCAGTGTTTTCCCTTTCAATTTGATTCTATAAACAAGGCTCAGCAGGGAAGAAACTACTAAAAATCTTGAAGGTTTGACCTGAGTTAACTCCAAAGACAAGGAACACTTGCTTCTTCTAGCCGGGTTCTGATTTGGCATCCTGAGTGACTGGAGATCTCTTGGAAATGTCAGAGTACAGTCTTCATGACATGCAGTGGTCCCATAGGAAATTCTTCATCACAAGTAATTAAAAATTGGCTCATTCAGGGACACAGACATAAGAGTCTGTCACCCAGTGCTCCTAGCCCCCATAATTGCTTTAGGCAACCAGAAGAAACAACCAAGACACGTAAGACGAGTAACAGCATTGGCAATGCTTGAAGCAGCACATTTGACTCATTACACTTATCACTAGTGTTTCTGCTTTGCTGAGCTCTCACAATGGGAGACAAATAATCCCATACTGAAAGAACAGGGGAACTAAGCCCCCAAGATCCAGCAGGCTTCATGTCTAATACATACGGAGCCTATATTTGCAAGCATCTCCCTAGATGGGAGGCTTTACTAAAGGGAACTTAACATTGAAATGGCAAAAAATGAGACTTTTACACACAAAGGTATAGTATAGTAGGTTTTCTGGGACTCCAGTTAGCTACATATTATGGCCCATTCTTATGCACATTTTAAATGGGTGGGCAAATTACATCAAGAAAAATTCAGAACTCAAATGTTAATTATCCCTGCAACTATAGAGTTAACATGTAAAGCCTTCTAAATTCTCTATCTCTCTATTTTTTTCCTGCCTACTTTGAATCTGCTGACTTTTCTACTGATGTTGAGATAAAACACACTGTTTATGGTATTACTAATTCAAAGTTACTTGGAGATTTTTTCTTATACAATTCAGCCATGTAAACGTTGAAAATTTAACCATAAACTCATTTGACACTGAAAAAAAAAAGGTGTGAGAGGTTTTAAAAATCAAACTACCATGAAAACTGCTTTACCCAAAATTTTGTCCACAGCCCTCATCAGATTACCCATTGGGGCAAATAAAGTTTAGCCATATGAAAAGGTCCCAAATATAATTTGGACCCAACCATCTTTTATAATTCAGTGAGTTTGTATTACTACCTCATGGCTCAAATTCTAAAATGTAAGCAATGATCTTTATTTGTGTGTGTGTATGTTTAGATGTGTTTATGTATGCATACATGTATTATCTTATAGGTTGTGTCTACATGGTACCTAATTGATTTGTAAATAAATGAGCTAATAAATTAGTAAGCCCAAATATTTTCAAAGTTCATTGATTTAAGTACAACTTTAATAAATAAGCTGGTTTTAAAAATATTGAGAAAAGTAAAATAGAAATGTCTTCAAAATTGTCAGCATACTTTTTTGCCTGGGTTTCCTGATCACACAATTTTATGTTTGTTCTTCTATATATTTTAAAGTGCCATGGTTTGGCATGAAGTTTATAAACCCAGCCAAAACCAGAATGACATTTGTTTGTGTAATTTTTTTATAAATAAGAAACTAATATAATATTGTTGGTTTTGTGGAACCAAAAAAGAGTTCGAAAAGCTGAAGCAACCCTAAGCAAAAGGACAAAGTTGGAGGCATCATATTACCTGATTTTAAATTATAAGGCTACAATAATCAAAACAGCATGGTACTGGTATAAAAATAGACACATAGATCAATGGAACAGAAAAGAGAACCCAGAAATAAAGCCACATATTTGCAGCCAATGGATCTTTGACAAAGACAGCAAGAACATACTTTGGGAAAAGGACACCTTTTTCAATATATGGTTCTGGGATAATTGAATTGTCATATACAGAAGAATGAAACTGGATTCATATCTCTCATCATATACAAAAATAAACTCAAGATGGAGTAAAGACTTAAACATAAAACACCAAACTATACAAATACCAGGAAAAAAAACTAGGGAAAACTCTTCTGGACATTGATCTAGGCAAAAGACCTCAAAAATATGACTAAGACCTCAAAAATACAGGCAAGAAAAACAAAAATAGACAAATGAGACTTAATTAAACTGAAAAGCTTCTGTAGAGCAAAAGAAATAATCAGCAGAGTGAACAGACAACCTGTAGAATGCATCCAACAGGGGACTAATATCCAAACTGTACAAGAATTCAACTCAACAACAACAAAAGATCAAATAATTTTACTGAAAAGTGGTCAAAGATCATGAATAGACATTTTTCCAAAGAAGACATAGAAATAGCCAAGTATATGAAAAAATACTCAATATCACTAATCATCATCAAATGCAAATTAAAACCACAATTAGGCCAGTGTGGAGGCTGACACCTGTAATCCCAGCACTTTGGGAGGCTGATGGATAAAGATTTCTTGGGCGCAGGAGTTCAAGACCAGCTTGGGCAACACAGCAATACCTCATGGCCACAAAAAAGAAAAATAGAAATTTGAGCTTCCCTCATTACTACCTGCCCCTTAAAAAAAGCACACACAACAAAGATATCATCTTATCCCAGTCAGAATTACTATTATTAAAAAAGCAAAAAATAACAAATGTTGGCGAGGATGTGGAGAAAAGAAAACTCTTATACACTGTTGGTGGGAATTTAAATTAGTACAACGTCTATGGAAAACAGTATGAAGGTTCTGCAAAGAACTAAAATAGGATTATCATTCAATCTAACAATCCCACTACTGGATATCTACCAAAAGGAAAATAAATCAGTATATAAAAAACATATCCACATTCATATGTTTATCACAGTGCTATTCACAATAGCAAAAATATGGAATCAACCTGTGTCCACCAATGGTTGACTGGATAAAGAAGATGTGGTATATGTATACAATGGAATCCTATTCAGTCATAAAAAGAATGAAATCATGTCTTTTGCAGCAACATGGATGGAACTAGATTTCACTATCTTAAGTGAAACAAGGTAGACACAGGAAGTCAAATATTGCATGTTCTCAGTCATAAGTAGGTGCTAAAAATGTGTACACATGGACAGAAGAGAGTGGAGATAGACAATGGAGACTCAGAAGGGTGAGAGGGTGGAGGGGGATGGATGATTAGAAATTACTTAATAAGTACAATGCATGTTATTTGGGTAATGGATAACCTAAAAGCCCTGACTTGATCACTATGCAATCTAAGTATGTAACAAAATTGCACATGTACCCCATAAATGTATATAAATTAATAATAATAATAATATTGGCTTAGTGAAAACAGCCAAGTCTTCTGAGTTACCAGGAAAATACCCATATATTTCACTTTAAGGTTCTTATTTAGGTAAACACCTGATATTCACGGACTATAAAATGATTAACAGGGGAATATCTTGTAATGATGACTAGCTTTGTCTAATATTTCAGTTTTTATAAGTAATCTAGGTAAACTATTAAAAACTAAGTAAATTAAATAAATGTAAATGAGATAAATGCTTATAATGACCTTTTCATGTAGTTTAAAATCTTAATGTTATGTTAAATTAAATAATAGATACTCATTAAATGTTTGGGTCATTTCCAATTAAGAAAAACTTATAAGGAAAGGTGTTTTTAAGAAATTATAAAATGTTTCTCATCTATAAAATACTGACATGTGCCAGACAATTCAAGATTGCTTGGTTTCTAGTTTTATACTAAACTTTAAGTTTACTAAGAATAAAAATGCTAATTAATAGATATAATTCTATGCATAAAATGTACCCCCAAAATATGATGTGTTTTTAAGAAGAAAAGTTATAAGAAAGGCATAAAAATGTGCTCTTTATTGAGAAAAATAAAAATTTTGTCTAATTTGTAGATTATTTATGAAATAAGATAAAAAGGAAGCAGTCACTAGGGGAGAGATATGGGAAGAAAGTTATAGATATGAAGATGTAATTTTGGTAAGGAAGGTAGAAAATAAGAGAATAATATTTTATGAGAAAGGATCTTGTATGGTAAATTTTTCTTCTTAAACAAAATGACTGGTTATTTAAGAAAGAGAAAGGATTAGACAAAGCAGAAAGTCCAAGCATGTTATACATGGTTTGTGTAAGTCATAATAAAGTTTGTGAAAAGAGAATTTATAAAATGAATTTTGTATGTGATTAAGTTGGCTATAATTAAAAAAATAACAGTGTTTCTAAATATTGAGCTTTAATATTAAAAATACATTAATACAAAACTAAAAATTTTGATCTCGTATGTTAGAACAAGGTTTTCTTAAAGTATTAATTTGCTCTTTGTAAAATTACAAGAGGTTTTGGTTTTTAATCCTGAAATTTGTTTCTTTTTGAAACTTCTCAAACTTGTACCTCAGAAATTTTAACTTTTATTGTACCTCACTGCACATGATTTGCAGGTCATATATAATTGCCTTCTATTTTTGTCCCCCCTTGAGAAGGTATGTCTTTTTGCTTGGCTGGAATAATAACCATTTCTTTTAACCTTCTCATCAACTCCTGTAACACTTTTTTCTCCCGTTCTACCTTTGCCGCTGTGGCCTAATGCTGAAATGTTTATCTTAAAGGTCTAGAAAAGCAAGGTTTTCCTCCAGTATAACTTGATTTTGGGCTTTTGACTTTTTTTGGTATGTCTAAATTGTTCCATGTAACCGGGGAACTTTCCATGCTGTTACTAAGAGCATGTATTCCCTTGCTCAAGGTACTAGTTTACTTGTTTACATTCTTCTAAAATATAGTGTTTACTCATGACCCTGGACACACTCTTCCTGTGTCTGATTAAATTCAAATACTCTTTTCATCAGATTTGACTTCCAGGTTTTCTAAATGGGCTTCCCATAAGGGGAAGCAATCACACTGTAAGAGGTTTTTCTTTACCTTTTTGGGAACTGGCCTAAAAAACAAAGATTTTATATTCTATCAAGATAATTCCTACATTGTTTTTATTAGGTGTTTGGTTACATAAGAAAACAGAGCTTTAAAAGGATTAAGGTTTTTACATCCATGAAACTTTATGTATTACTTTTGAAACCTTTTGATTATTACTCTGGTTAAAAGAATAACTTATTTTATAATGCCTCATGATTCTGTTTTGATTAAATGTTTTAAATCTTTTGACATCTGAGTCAAGTTCCCCAAGATTAAAATCATAAATTAAGTCTTTTTTGGATGAAAGGATAAGAATTATTTGGTAAATTGTATGAGAGGCATTGTCAAATGATGACACTAGATTTTCTTTCAGTTACATTTATGAGTGTGTTATTGAAATAAATGTTCCAACAATTATATAAATTCATAAAAGTCTGTTTTCAGTAGTAAGTTTGGTTATCTTGTTAAATCTTTTCTAAAGTTATATTTGTATGAATATATTATTAATGTGATAAACTCTAGTCCAAAATTGTTTTTGTGAAAAAAAGGCTTTAATAAATATGGGTACAAAAAGAGAGAAAATAGTACAATTAATTTAAAGAATTCAAATATATGTTGCAGTTTTGTTAAATGGTTATCATATTTTTTTCTGTCTGTAACTCACTTTAATGCTATTAAGTATACACTGCTATGCATAATCTGTAGTATTCTTGTAATAGTCCTATTGAGGTGCTGTGTTAGGCACAGGAAAGGCAATGCCAGAAAAAAAAAAGGATCATACTCATTAGAAAAACAGATGCAACCCAAAGTGTTTTCCAATAAATAGGCAAGTATGCATGTTGGGCCTGATGCTCATTCCTTACAACTGCAACTGAGAAATTAGTGACCTTCTCAGGAAAGAGGCTTTCTAGCTATGTGGGACAATTGATGTTGGTCCTGTAAATGTAACCAAACAGTTGATTTATGAACAAAAGCAGAAACTTGCGGGATCAAATAGCAAATGTAAGAAGCCATGTTTGCTCATTTCTGCTTGCTAGCATAATTTCATAAAGTCCATGGCTCTGTGACAACATGCAGGTCTCTGGATGGGTGCTTTGAAGACAAAACAGCTTAGAGGACACAGCCTCCCATGTCTCCTGCCTGAGTCACTACATTCTTTAAAAGATAAATGACCCTAGTCCTTGCCTTTTCCTACACATAAGATAATGTCTAACAAGGTAATATGGTTTGGCTGTGTCCCCATGAAAATCTCATCTTGATTTGAAACTCGCACAATTCCCACATGTCGTGGGAGGAATCTTTGGTGGGAAGTAATTGAATCATGGGGTGGGTCTTTCCAGTGCTGTTCTCATGATAGTGAATAAGTCTCAGGAGATCTTATGGTTTTAAAAATGGAAGTTTCCCTGCACAAGCTCTCTTCTCTTGTCTGCTGCCATGTGAGACGTGCCTTTCACCTTTCACCATGATTGTGAGGCCTCCCCAGTCATGTGGAACTGTAAGTCCCATAAACCTTTTTCTTTTGTAAATTGCCAAGTCTTGGGTATGTCTTTATTAGCAGCATGAAAATGGACTGGCCAGGCATGGTGGCTCATGCCTGTAATCCCAGCACTTTGGAAGCCCGAGCTGGGTAGATCACCTAAGGTCAGGAGTTTAAGACCAGCCTGGCCAATGTGGTGAAACCCTGTCTCTACTAAAAGTACAAAAACTAGCTGGGTGTAGTGGCAGGCACCTGTAATCCCAGCTACTCAGGAGGCTGAGGCAGGAGAATCGCTTGAACCTGTGAGGTGGAGGTTGCAGTGAGCCGAGATCATGCCATTGCACTCCAGCCTGGGTGACAACAGCAAAACTCCATCTCAAAAAATAAAAAAAAATAAAAGAAAATGGACTAATACACAGGGTTAATAATTATGACTCTGTAATCTATAACCAGGTGCTCTTACACCTAAACATTCATGTGATTCTGCTTTGATATAACTTCTGAGCAAGTTTGATGTGATCTTCTACATACTAAATCTCCATAGTCCATATATAAACTGTGAGCTGAAACACTGTGCTGGAGCAGTCAGACAGAATCTCTCTGAAAAACTTCTCCAGGGTCATAGGCCCAGAATAAATAGAAACTTCTCACCCAGATGGCTCCAAGGCATCATACTTAATATTAAGAACATTAGTTTACATTAATTTATATCAAACTTTAAGCACCTGTCCCATTAAGCTAATGGGAAATTAAGTCTTCGTTGTTACAATGTCTCTCCAATTTGAGAGTAACATGGTGGTTTGTTTTCCCCTAACTTGAAGGTTATGCAAAGATCCTGAAGCCCTACATGAGCCAGCTCATTAGGGAGACTCCTCTGATAGTCAACCACTGTTCCACTGACCTAAGTGTCAGGTTATCCCTGCTGTCACCCCACACTCGGGATGTAGGGGTCTTCAGGGATTGGGGATGGAGGTTCTTGGGTTTAGAATTTAGCCTCCTCAGCACATCATGCAGCTACCCCTTCTGAGGCTTTTCAAACTCCCCAGATAAATTAGCATCTGTGTCCAAGCTATTTATTTAATCTCTCTGTAGATTCTTATGCCAATGCTATACTTTAAGGAAACTTATTAAAGCTTTAAAATATATATTAACATTCTAACAAGTTTTTTTCTCATTATATTTTTCTTGGTGGCTTTTATTAGCCCCAAGCAGCTGCCTTCATCTGCTTGGGGATGAGATGTCTTCAGAGTAAGGATCTTCCATCACCACATCCCTAGAGTTACCCCTGTGCCCACTCCCCACTCTCATTTTCCCTGATTGGGTTTCTATTTTCAAATTCTTTTCCAAACAGAAAAATAAATTCTCTACAGAAAGCCATGTCCTCTCCTAACCCATCTTTGGCCAGTTTGACATAATCTCTACTTCAGAATAAACTGAAAATCAGCTTAATCAAATCCAAAATAAAGAATTTAACACAGTTACAAAATATAATGGCATTTGCTTCTTAGGTCCCCAGTGAGAAAGCACAGTTCCAGTCTCATAATTCCACCAAAGTTTACACAACAAAAATCCTTTCTCCCAGTTGAACAAGGTATGTACTTGCTTGAGGAAATACCCACTCTAACAAAAAGAGCTGTGTCCAAAACCCCAGGACACTTTTGGCTTTTGCTATGGTAAGTAAAGAGTTCCATTTTGTTTCCTCTCCAAGGACATATTTCAACAAATAGGAGGCTTCACTCTGGCTGGAAAAAGGAAAAGTAAGCCATTACATCTCTGTCTCTGTCTGTCTCTCACATACACACACCATAGACATTAATAATTCACAACCCCTCTCTTATGCTCATCCTAAGGACCTTGGTTGCTCTGTTACTCCCAGCTTTATTTGGGCCATTTTGCCCTTGGAAAGTTGTTAAGGTTTCTCATTGACAATTGAAAATCCCTACGACTTCACAACCGAAATTCAAAATTTAACTTTTGCCCTTCTTCCTAGAGCCTGCATTTCCCCCCACCCTCCAAAGCTGCCCGGCTGCCTGCTCAGTTACATGCCACACCCAGCATGGATGCTTAGCTGGTTGGCAGCTCTCTCTCCACCTCATTTGCAGTACATATGTGGCCTCTGCAAGCCCCATTTCACCCCTTTCCCAGATGAGATTTCAGCGGGTTTCACCTCAACTACTTTAGGTGTGTACTGTCATCATCCTCATTCAGAGTAATCCATTCTTCATTAGTTTGCTTTAGAAACAAATAAGGAAGTGTGTAGTCTCAGGCTGCTTGCAGTCAGCTTGTTTCCATGAGAGGATTCACCCATGTGGCAGAGCCAACATCTGGGGAGGAAAGCCCACAGATGTCCTGGTTGAACAAGGCCTGAAGTCCAACTTCCCTCGGTATATTTCAGTTATATGAGATAATCAAATCCCTTTATTATGTAAGCCACTTGGGGTAGGGTTTTCTGTTACTTGCAACTAAAAATATCCCAAGTAACATATCAAAATCTCTCTAACCCCAGAAAGTGACTTTCCTCACCCCAAGAAAGGACTTGCCTCCCATGGCAGGACTAGATGGGCTTCTCTCAAGAACTGAAATACAACTCTGGTCCTTTCCTGCTTTCCTTTCTTCTGTCAATGTTCAGTTTCCATTTCTGATGGGCTTTCTTGTCTTTTTTTGTTTTTGTTTTAAAAAACAACTCAGAATTAGTTTGAATTTTAAAATTTAATTTTAACTTAATTTTTATTTTACTTCAGAAATACATATTCACAAGTTAGGCAATTACACAGTTCGTAAAATAAGTCCCCACCCTATCCTCCCACCCCAGCTTCTCCATAGAGGTAACCCCTGCCCATTCTTTCTTCTGCTTCTACCTGTATTTACCTCCTATTGCTAAATAATATGGTTGTACAGCTATTCATCATTTTCCAGATTTAGTTATTATGCATTTTCTGTGATAGAATATGGCAACCTAGGTCTCTTATACCTCTCCCACACACGTACACATCTTCTCCCTTCATTTCCTGAAAAAAAGGTTATATCACAGTATTTCACTCCAGCAGCACCCCCTTATCTGTGGGAGTTGCATTCCAAGACCCTGAATACGAATAGCACCAAACCCAAATAGTACCAAACCCGATTGCTGTCAATTGGAACACATTTCTGTTCATGTCTTCCACCCACAAATTTAATACCTTTTCATCTTAACTAAGTGTTTATCACACACCGTGGGGTGTAATAAATAATTTTTGCAGCTTGTGGTGCAACAGCAAAACTAGCACAAATTTCTTTTGCCTTCTTCACAATTTTACAGATGGATTTGTTCTTACTGTAGATCTTAGCAACTTCAGCATGTGTTTTTTTTCTTTCCTTATTAAGTCAAGAACTTTCACATTTTCTGTTAGAGGAAGCACTTTACAGCTTCTCTTTGGTGTATCTTATTTGCCAGCATCACTACTCTTATGCTTTGGGGACATTAGTAAGTAAAATAAGAGTGACTTTAACACAAGCACTGTTATACCACAACAGTTGATCTGAGCAACTGGATGATGACTAAGTGACTCATGGGTGGGTAGCATATACATTGTGGATCCACTGGAGAAATCTCACACCATCCCACTTTGCCCTGCCCAGAACATGGGTGGAGGGTGATAGTGCGAGATTTCAACATGCTACTCAAAACAGCACATGTTTTAAAACTTAAGAATTATTTCTGGAATTTTCCATTTAATATTTTCAGACTGGCTGGCTGTAACTGAACTGCAGAAAGCAAAACCACAGATAATGGGAGACTATTATATTCACATTATCCTCTATGTAAATATTATTCACAGCTGAGCCATGTAGTGTACTGTGGTTATATTTCCTCTCTAATACAAAAGTTTCTTTTCCTCTAGCACTTAAAAACTGTATTGCGTTTTTACTTGCTTATTTTTCTATGTATTTACGACTAGTTTATCTCAATCTCTGCAAGAGAAATCTAAATCCCTCTCAATGTGTATGAATCAATTAATTTCTTCTTTTTCTGGGAGACATCTCTCCTAGAGTCCTTTAAGAGTCCTGCTCCAACATGAATGACTTGCTTTCTAAGCCTGCTACACACCAACATCCTGGGAATTCTCTTCACTTTCTCCTGCGTTGGATTCCTTGTTTCCCAGCTACTGTGTTTTCCTCTATCTTGGTTTAATCTCTTATTTTGGAGGATCTTTTATACTCAAAAGGTCTCTATCTACTCTCACATTTATTTGTTGGTGCCTTTCATGTTACGGCCTTTCCCTCAAATGTATTGTGTTCATTGACTACTTTTCATAATTAAGAATGAGGCTCTGACAGGTTGACCAAATGCTGTGAGTGGAAGGGATTTGTTGCATTGTGGGCTTCATCGTCAGGTGAGTAATAGGGCAGACACGCAGCTTTTGTGTTGAAGGATCCTCAACTATTTGTATCTGTCAGCCTTTTTTTCAGATTATGCAGTTTCCCCATAGGAGGATCCTCCAGGGTCCTGTCTTGACAGGGTTTGAGTCTGTCTGTCATCATTCTGGTAGCTAAATAAGGAAAGGGTACTGGGATTTTTGTTTAGTATGATGACTGACTTAGTCCCTCCCTACTTTCAGAATGCCATATCACCTCCACCCTTTACTGTACTATGAGTCAACAACTCTGAAGAGAAACTTTTGGTTTTCTTGTGAGAGTGAGGAGGGGGAGGAAATTGGTAGGAAAGGACAGCTTTTATTCAGACTTTCAACCAATCTTCCTGGAAGTTTACAAGGGTAGTGGTGGGGAGAGCACCCAGCCAACACTTCTGCACAGAGATTTTTAAAACTCTTACTAGCTGTGTAAACTTAAACAAGCTTCTTAATTTCTCTAAGCTTCAATTTCTTCAGCTGTAAAATGGAACTCAGAGCTTTGGTGTGAATGTCAAATGGGATCAACAAATGTAAAGTGCCTGGCATAATCTGCCCTGCAGGGAGACTGCATTCAATTGTTGTCAGTACAATGGTCATGGTGATAGTAGTTGGTAGTATCCTTAGCCTTGTTTCAGTGGACAGAAAGGAACCTCTCACACTATCTAGTGTTTTTCTACACTATCTCAAAAGGGAAGGCAGCATCTCCCTACTCATCTTCTGCGGAAATGTTAATAGAATTTCAGGAGTGCAACAACTTTTGCTATTTGCCCTCTACTCCATCTTTCCCTTGAGTGCTCAACCCTAATCCTCAGAGGCACCTCTTTTATTTTTGGCTTCCATCCCAATGAATTAATGGGAAGGAGAACTGCAGCAAGGTCAACTAACCTGCATCTCAAAGAAAATTTGAGATACATGTCCTTGATGATCCCCCTTCCATTCTATACACAATTCTTTCATTTCCTAGGGCAATGCCCCAGATCCTCCTCCTACTTTTCCTGTCCTTCCTAATACCCTGGCAAGAGAGAAACAGTAGAAATAGGGTTGCCTTCAGTGTGTTAGAACCTCTCTCCCAATGCAAAATGAAATTCTTCCTTCCCCTACTTATTGCCAGTTCTCTTTTGCTCCAATCCTTCTCCCCCTTTTCTCTCACTGTCCTTACTTGGGACTTGATGCTGCTTTGTTATAGGACAGCCTTCCTTTTCACAGTTAGTCTTTCCCTGAATCTTAGGATGTGCTTCTTTTCTGCTCTGGGGCTTCCAGTAGCGTCGTTAGTTGGCTATATCTCAAGGGATTGAAGAGGACAGGGGAGCTGGAGAAGCTGGGGAAGTTGTGGCTCTTTTGAAGAATTTAGAAAGCCTGATGGGCCAGAGATCTGGTTCAATATCTGAAGAAAAGTAGGATCCAATGTGCTTTGCATTTTTTCCCAGTCTGATATTTCAGCCCACAGGACTCTAGTAGGGATTTTTCCTCCTGTATCCCTCATTAAGACTCAACAACTGAAAATACACTGAATAAAATTTTTGAAGTAGGTCTTATTAACAAAAGTAATGGTCAACTAAATATTAAGAATCAACATTTGTTGGGAGTGATGTAAATACAAAGTCATTTGGAGACTATGAGTGAATGAAGATGGACACAAGGATACAAGAACAGGTCTCATCTAAGAGCTCCTTATACTCTTGTTTCCTTTCTCAACCACACACTAACAGGGAAAACACACTTTGTCTTTGCCTTCTGTGGATGGCCTTTTCTGAGTGCAGACTTTAGTCTGTCCTTAAAATTCTCCCCAGCAAAGTAATAGAGCAGAGGATTGAAGCAGGCATTGGCTGCTGCCAAGGCCAGTGTGATAACCAAAGCTTTATGCAGTCTGTCTTTGCATAAACCCACTTTCCATGTCGTCAAGTGGACGGTCCTCAGTGTGTGATAGGGCAGGAAACACAAGAAGAAGATGATCAAGGTGATGATGATGGTGGTCAGTGCCTTCCTGTGAGAAACCCGCAGCCCCGATTCTGGGACCTCCACTTTTAACAGAACCCGAATGATCAGCAGATAACAGATGCTGAGTGTGAAAAATGGCAGCAGGCAGCCCACCACCAAGGCAATATAGTTCATGGTCTGCAGCTTAGCAATTTTATAGAGATTCAGCTCTAAGCATGATGTGACACTGCCGTTCTGCTCAGAGCCACTGTCCAGGAGCATTATTGAGGAAGCCATGATAAGGATCCATATGATCCCACAGAGGATCCAGGCACTCCTGATGCTGGTGACATGCAGAAGCCGAAAGGGGTGAACCATTGCCAGGAAACGCACAACACTCAGCACGGTCAGGAAATAAATACTGCTGTACATGTTGACATACAAGGAATAAGACATAATCCTGCAGGCCAGGTCTCCAAATATCCAATTGGAGCCTCTAAGATAATAGTCAGCCCTGAAGGGAAGCGTGCTTATGAACAGGAGATCTGAAATGGCCAGATTTAGCATGAAAACGTTCACAGATGTGGACTTCTTATAAGGCTGCAGGAAAACATATATGGACAACCCATTTCCCAAGACTCCCCAGAAAAATATTATCAGATATACAATTGGGAAAAATTCTCTCTTGAAGTTTTCAATTGTGCAGTTCCTGCTGTTGTTATTGCTGAAGGTGCCATTTGGTTCCATTTCTGATACGGAGATGGATGGTTGCAAGGACATAAATTTTCTCTCCATGCTGGGTTAAAAAGAAACAGACACAAAAAGTTACTTTGTGAATTTCCCTTTTTCCTTCTTGCTTACTGATTACATCTCTCTAGGTTTTAATGAAACAGGGAGCAATACTATCTTTTCTTTGAAAGTTGAGTTTTAAAACACTGGTTAAGTCTTTACTACATGCTGCATTACATTTCATAATAAATTTAAATTTCCTGATTTTTGAATGTAGAATAGCCATTAATTTGTTTGGTTGAAGCTGACGCTTCAAACTTAGAGAACTTGTGACCTACTGACCCTGTTGACATGAATACCTTACTATGATATTGCAGCCTAAAACTACTGAATAGCAGATTTCTCATCAGAAACTATGGAGGACAGAAAGAAATGGCACATTTCTCAAATGCTGAAAGAAAAGACCTGCCAAACTAGTATTCTATGTCCAGCAAAAATATCCTTCAAGTACAAAGAGAAAAATCAAGACTTTTTCAGACGGAAAACTAAGACTTTGCTGCCAGCAGACCTATCTTAAAAGAATGACTAGGCTGGGTTTGGTGGCTCACGCCCGTAATCCCAGCAGTTTGGGAAGCTGAGGCTGGCAGATCACCTGAGGTCAGGAGTTCAAGACCAGTCTGGCCAACATGGTGAAACTCCGTCTCTACTAAAAATACAAAAATTAGCGGGCCCAGTGGCAGGCACCTGTCACCTCTGCTACCCGGGAGGCTGAGGCAGGAGAATTGCCTGAACCTGGGAGGCAGAAGTTGCAATGAGCCGAGATCATGCCATTGCACTCCAGCTGGGGCAACAAGAGCGAAACTCCATCTCAAAAAAAAAAAAAACAACAACAAAACAAAACAAAAAACAAACAAACAAAGAATGACTAAAGGAAGTTCTCTAAACAGAAAGGAATTTATAAAAGAAGGAAACTTAGAATATTAGAAAATAAGAAAGAACATGGTAAGCCAAAATATGTGTAAATACAATAGGCTGTCCTTCCCTTTTAGAGTCTAAGTTACATTTAATGTTTTGAAACAAAAACATTAATGCTGCCTGATGTGGTTTTAAATGGATGTAGAGGAATTATTGAGATAGTTATATTATAAATGAGGGAAGGCAAAGAGACATAAGAGGAAATAAGAAGTTTTCTATACTTCACTTGAACTGGTAGAATGATGATGCTAATAGACTATCATAAGATATATATATATGTATATCTTTATATACATATATATTATATATATAGAGAGAAATACCTAGAGCTTCCACTAAAATGATATACAAAGGGATACACTCAAAAACATTACAGATAAATAAAAATGGAATTCTAAAAAGTGTTCAGATAACCAACAACAAGGCAGGAAAAAGAAAACAGATAATAAAAACAGAAAAAAAATAAAATGGCAGACATCCCTCATTCATCAATAATTACATTAAATATAAGTAGTCTAAATATACCAATTAAAAGATAGAGGAATGGAATATATTTTTTAAATGACCGAATTATGTACCGCCTATAACAAACACTTCAAATAGCAGTATTGGCTGGTTGAAAGTAAAAGGATGGAAAAATGCATGTTATTCAAATCAAAGGAAATAAGGAATGGCTCTTTCAGTATTAACTAAAATGGACTTCAAAGCAAATGACATTGCCAGAGACAGTGAGGGACACTATATAAAAATAACAGGGTTTAACCACTAAGAAGACGTACCAATTCTAAATGGGTATGCGCCAAACAACAGAGTTGCAAAACTGAAGCAAAACTGATAAAACTGAAAGGAGAGATATTTAGTGACTTCAAGGACCTCTCTCAGCAATTGATGAAGCAAATAGACAAAAACTCAGCAAAGGTATAGAAAAACTAAAAACACCATCAACCAACAGGATCAAATTGACATGTATAAAACACTTCACCCAACAAAAGCAGAATACTTATGCTTTTATGTGTTCACAAAACTTATACCAAGATAAACCACATCCTGGGACATAAAACAAACCTCGATAGATTTCAAATAATTGAAATAATATAGAATGTGTTCTCTAACTACAAGGGAATCAAACTAGAAATCAACAGCAGCAAGATAACAGGAAACCCTCAAAACACTTGAAAACTAAACAACACACTTCTGAATAATCCATGGGTCAAAAAGGAAATCTCAAGGGAAACAAAAAATATATTAAACTGAATAAAAGTGAAAATATAAATTTGTGAGATGTAGCAAATGCAGTATTAGGACAAAACTGTATAACACTAAATTCATACATTACAAAAAGGAAAAGTCACGAAATAAGAATATAAGCTCCATCCTCAAGAAAAAAAAAAAGCAAGCAAAAGGAAGGAGATAGTAAAGAGCAGAAATCAAGAAATTGAAAACAGAAAAAAATAGAGAAAAAAATGAAATGAAAAACTGGTTATTTGAAAAAAGTCAATACAATCGATTGCAGGTGCATGCCACCATGCCCAGCTATTTTTTCTTTTTTGTAGAGATGCTGTATCTCCATGTTGCACAGGCTGGTCTTGAACTTCTGAGCTCAAGTGATCCTCCCACCTTGGCCTTCAAACCGTGAGATTATAGGCGTGGGCCACCATGCCTGGCCAGGTAACTTTCTTATAGTAGCAGAATAGACAAAGTCAATAATGAATTAAAATTTGCATATATTAAATAAAATGTTACATCTCCTGATACAATTGACAAATCTCTAGCAAGAGGTACGAAAAAAAAGTAGAACAGACATAAATTTCCATTGTCAGGAATAAAACAGGAGATAACACTATCGATAGATACCTGAGGCATCAAAAGGATAATGAGAAAATGCTTTGAATAACCCTACAAACATAAGTTTCACAACTTAGAGGAACTAGACTAATTCCTCATAAAATGAAAAATAACTCACCGAACATTAAATAGATAATTTGAATATCCCCATAACTATTAAGGAAATTAAATTCTCAATTGAAAAACTCTCAAAAAAGAAACCTCCAGATCCAGATGGCTTCACTGGAGAATTCTGCCAACTATTTAAATAAGAATTAACACCAATTCCATACAGTGTCTTCCAGAAAATAGAAGAGAAAGGTATTTCCCAATTTATTTTATTGAAGCTAAGTATTACCCTGATACCAAAACGAGGCAAAGTTAATACAGAACAAAACAAAAGACTATGGATGAATATCCCCTGTGAATGTAGGTGCAAAATACTCTTAGCAAAATACCATCAAATAAAATTTAGCAATATATGAAAAGAATTATACCATGACCAAGTAATCATATCAATTAATATTTTTAAAAGTGCATGACAAAATTCAATATCCATTCACAATCAAAACTCTCAGAAATATAGCAGTAAAGAGGAACTTCCTCAACTTGATAAAGAGCATATACAAAAAACCTACAGATAACATTATACTTCATAGTAAAAGACTGAGTGTCTCCCCCATAAGATCAGGAGCAATGCAAGGATGCCCATTCTCACTGTCTTATTCAACATAGTGCTATAAGTTCTAACCAGTGAAATGA
This sequence comes from Homo sapiens, assembly GCF_000001405.40. Lineage (NCBI taxonomy): Eukaryota > Metazoa > Chordata > Mammalia > Primates > Hominidae > Homo > Homo sapiens. Next base: position 48,703,322 of record NC_000013.11, on the reverse strand, counting down.
GGCAAAAACACAAAAAGGAAATAAATATCATATAGATTAGAAAGGAAGAGATAAAATGCTTCCTATCTGTAGATGACATAGTTACATAGAAAACCCCAAGAGACCTACAAACATACACATACGTGCACACACACAAAGAAAACAAAAATCTCATAGAGCTAATAAGTGAATTTAACAAAGTGGCAGAATACAAAATAAACAGAAAATATATTATATTTTATAAACTAGTAATACACATATGAGCACACTGGAGTTAAAATGCAATACTATTTATATTCAATAAAAATTAAAATGAAAGACAGGTGTAAATCTCACAAGACATGTACAGGACTTGCATGCTGAAAACTACAAATTATTGGTGAAAGAAATCAAAGTTTTAAAGAAATGGAGAAACATGCCATGTCATAGATTAGAAGACAATGGAATAAAGATGTCAATTCTCCCCAGATTTATATACAAAATTATGAAATTCCCAGTAAAATCCTTGTAAGTTTTTTTGTAGATATAGATAGGATTATTCTAAATCTTAAATGACAAGGCAGAGGAACTAGAACAGCAAAAACACTTTGAAAAAGAAGATTGAAGTGGGAAGAATCAGTCCATCTAATTTCAAGACTTATTTTATAGTTAAAGTAATTAAGAATGTATGGTATTGGCTGAAGGACAAACAGATAGATCAACAGAAAAGAATAGAAACCCAGAAACAGACCCACATAACTATGCCCAACTTAATTGTTTACAGAAGTGCAAAAACAATACAGTGGAGGAAAGATAGGCTTTTCAGAGGCACTGGAGCAATTGGATAGCCATAGGCAAAAAAACAAACCTTGAACTAAATCTCACACCTTATACAAAAATTAACTAAAATGCAGCATGGACTTCATGTAGAATGTAAAGTTTTTATTATTATTATTATTTTACTTTAAGTTCTAGGGTACGTGTGCACAACGTGCAGTTTTGTTACATATGTATACATGTGCCATGTTGGTGTGCTGCACCCATTAACTACTCATTTACATTAGGTATATCTCCTAATGCTATCCCTCCCCCTCCCCCCACCCCATGACAGACGCCGGTGTGTGATGTTCCCCACCCTGTGTCCAAGTGTTCTCATTGTTCAATTCCCACCTATGAGTGAGAACATGCAGTGTTTGGTTTTCTGTCCTTGCGATAGTTTGCTCAGAATGATGGTTTCCAGGTCATTCATGTCCCTACAAAGGACATGAACTCATCCTTTTTTATGGCTGCATAGTATTCCATGGTGTATATGTGTCACATTTTCTTAATCCAGTCTATCATTGATGGACATTTGGGTTGGTTCCAAGTCTTTGCTATTGTGAATAGTGCCACAATAAACATACGTGTGCATGTGTCTCTATAGTAGCATGATTTATAATCCTTTGGGTATATGCCCAGTAATGGGATGGCTGGGTCAAATGGTATTTCTAGTTCTAGATCCTTGAGGAATTGGCACACTCTCTTCCACAATGGTTGAACTAGTTTACAGTCCCACCAACAGTGTAAAAGCGTTCCTATTTCTCCACATCCTCTCCAGTACCTGTTGTTTCCTGACTTTTTAATGATTGCCATTCTAACTGGTGTGAGATGGTATCTCATTGTGGTTTTGATTTGCATTCCTCTGATGGCCAGTGATGATGAGCATTTTTTCATGTGTCTGTTGGTTGCATAAATGTCTTCTTTTGAGAAGTGTCTGTTCATATCCTTTGCCCACTTTTTGATGGGGTTGTTTGATTTTTCTTGTAAATTTGTTTAAGTTCTTTGTAGCTTCTGGATATTAGCCAGATTTTAGGTTTTACATTTAAGTCTTTGATCTTTCTTGAATTAATTTTTGTGTAAGGTGTAAGGAAGAGATCCAGTTTCAGCTTTCTACATATGGCTAGCCAGTTTTCCCAGCACCATTTATTAAATAGGGAATCCTTTCCCCATTGCTTGTTTTTGTCAGGTTTGTCAAAGTTGAGATGCTTGTAGATGTATGGTATTACTTCTGGAGGCTCTATTCTGTTCCATTGGTCTATATCTCTGTTTTGGTACCAGTACCGTGATGTTTTGGTTACTGTAGCCTTGTAGTATAGCTTGAAGTCAGGTAGCATGATGCCTCCAGCCTTGTTCTTTCGGCTTAGGATTGTCTTGGCAATGCGGGCTCTTTTTTGGTTCCATTTGAACTTTAAAGTAGTTTTTTCCAATTCTGTGAAGAAAGTCATTGGTAGCTTGATGGGGATGGCATTGATCTATAAATTACCTTGGGCAGTATGGCCATTTTCACAATATTGAATGTTCTTCCATTTGTTTGTGTCCTCTTTTATTTCATTGAGCAGTGGTTTGTAGTTCTCCTTGAAGAGGCCCTTCACATCCCTTGTAAGTTGGATTCCTAGGTATTTTATTCTCTTTGAAGCAATTGTGAATGGGAGTTCATTCATGATTTGGCTCTTTGTTTGTCTGTTATTAGCATATAGGAATGCTTGTGATTTTTGCACTTGATTTTGTGTCCTGAGACTTTGCTGAAGTTGCTTATCAGCTTAAGGAGATTTTGGGCTGAGACGATGGGGTTTTCTAAATGTCATCTGCAAACAGTGACAATTTGACTTCCTCTTTTCCTAATTTAATACCCTTTATTTCTTTCTCTTGCCTGATTGCCCTGGCCAGAACGTCCAACACTATGTTGAATAGGAGTGGTGAGAGAGGGCATCCCTGTCTTGTGCCAGTTTTCAAAGGGAATGCTTCCAATTTTTGCCCATTCAGTATGATATTGGCTGTGGGTTTGTCATAAATAGCTCTTATTATTTTGAGATACGTCCAAATACCTAGTTTATTGACACTTTTTAGCATGAAGGGTTGTTGAATTTTGTTGAAGGCCTTTTCTGCATCTATGGAGATAATCATGTGGTTTTTGTCTTTGGTTCTGTTTACATGATGGATTACGTTTATTGATTTGCATATGTTGAACCAGCCTTGCATCCCAGGGATGAAGCCAACTTGATCGTGGTGGATAAGCTTTTTGATGTGCTGCTGGATTTGGTTTGCCAGTATTTTATTTAGGATTTTTGCATCAATGTTCATGAAGGACATCAGTCTAAAATTCTCTTTTGTTGTTGTGTCTCTGCCAGGCTTTGGTATCAGGATGATGTTGGCCTCATAAAATGAATTAGGGAGGATTCCCTCTTTTTCTATTGATTGGAATAGTTTCAGAAGGAATGGTACCAGCTCCTCTTTGTACCTCTGGTAGAATTCGGCTGTGAATCCATCTGGTCCTGGACTTTTTTTGGTTGGTAGGATATTAATTATTCCCTCAATTTCAGAACCTGTTATTGGTCTATTCAGGGATTCAACTTCTTTCTGATTTAGTCTTGGGAGGGTATATGTGTCCAGGAATTTATCCATTTCTTCTAGATTTTCTAGTTTATTTGCTTAGAGGTGTGTATAGTATTCTCTGATGGTAGTTTGTATTTCTGTTGGATCAGTGGTGATATCCCCTTTATTATTTTTTATTGCATCTATTTGATTCTTCTCTCTTTTCTTCTTTATTAGTCTTGCTAGCAGTCTATCAATTTTGTTGATCTTTTCAAAAAGCCAGCTCCTGGATTCATTGATTTTTTTTAAGGGTTTTTGTGTCTCTATTTCCTTCAGTTTTACTTTGATCTTAGTTATTTCTTGCCTTCTGCTAGCTTTTGAATGTGTTTGCTCTTGCATCTCTAGTTCTTTTAATTGTGATGTTAGGGTGTAAATTTTAGATCTTTCCTGCCTTCTCTTGTGTGCATTTAGTGCTATAAATTTCCCTCTACACACTGCTTTAAATTGTCCCAGAGATTCTGGTGTGTTGTGTCTTTGCTCTCATTGGTTTCAAAGAACATCTTTATTTCTGCCTTCATTTTGTTATGTACCCAGTAGTCATTCAGGAACAGATTGTTCAGTTTCCACGTAGTTGCGAAGTTTTGAGTAAGTTTAACCCTGAATTCTAGTTTGATTGCACTGTGGTCTGAGAGACAGTTTGTTATAATTTCTGTTCTTTTATATTTGCTGAGGAGTGCTTTACTTCCAACTATGTGGTAAACTTTGGAATAAGTGTGATGTGGTGCTGAGAAGAATGTATATTCTGTTGACTTGGGGTGGAGAGTTCTGTAGATGTCTATTAGGTTCACTTTGCGCAGAGCTGAGTTCAACTCCTGGATATCCTGGTTAACTTTCTGTCTTGTTGATCTGTCTAATGTTGACAGTGGGGTGTTAAAGTCTCCCATTATTATTGTGTGGGAGTCTAAGTCTCTTTGTAGGTCTCTAAGGACTTGCTTTATGAATCTGGGTGCTCCTGTATTGGGTGCATATATATTTAGGATAGTTAGCTCTTCTTGTTGAGTCGATCCCTTTACCATTATGTAGCAGCCTTCTTTGTCTCTTTTGATCTTTGTTGGTTTAAAGTCTGCTTTATCAGAGACTAGGATTGCAACCCCTGCTTTTTTTTGTTTTCCATTTGCTTGGTAGATCTTCCTCCATCCCTTTATTTTGAGCCTATGTGTGTTTCTGCATGTGAGGTGGGTCTCCTGAATACAGCACGCTGATGGGTCTTGACTCTTTATCTGATTTGCCAGTCTGTGTCTTTTAATTAGAGCACTTAGCCCATTTACATTTGAGGTTAATATTGTTATGTGTGAATTTGATCTTGTTATTATGATGTTAGCTGGTTATTTTGCTTGTTAGTTGATGCAGTTTCTTCCTAGCATTGATGGTCTTTACAATTTGGCATGTTTTTGCAGTGGCTGGAACTGGTTGTTCCTTTCCATGTTTAGTGCTTCCTTCAGGAGCTCTTGTAAGGCAGGCTTGGTGGTGACAAAATCTCTCAGCATTTGCTTGTCTGTAAAGGATTTTATTTCTCCTTCACTTATGAAGCTTAGTTTGGCTGGATATGAAATTCTGGGTTGAAAATTCTTTTCTTTAAGAATGTTGAAAATTGGCCCCCACTCTCTTCTGGCTTGTAGAGTTTCTGCCAAGGGATCTGCTGTTAGTCTGATGGGCTTCCCTTTGTGGGTAACCCTACCTTTCTCTCTGGGTGCCTTTAACATTTTTTCCTTCATTTCAACTTTGGTGAATCTGACAATTATGTGTCTTGGAGTTGCTCTTCTCGAGGAGTATCTTAGTGGTGTTCTCTGTATTTCCTGAATTTCAATGTTGGCCTGCCTCGCTAGGTTGGGGAAGTTCTCCTGGATAATATCCTGAAGAGTGTTTTCCAACTTGGTTCCATTCTCCCCGTCACTTGCAGGTACACCAATCAGACGTAGTTTTGGTCTTTTCACATAGTCCTCCCATATTTCTTGGAGGCTTTTTTCATTTCTTTTTACTTTTTTCTCTCTATGCTTCTCTTCTTGCTTCATTTCACTCATTTGATCTTAAATCACTGATAACCTTTCTTCCACTTGATCAAATCAGCTACTGAAGCTTGTGCATGCGTCACATAGTTCTTGTGCTGTGGTTTTCAGCTCCATCAGGTCATTTAAGGACTTCTCTACACAGTTTATTCTAGTTAGCTATTTGTCTAATCTTTTTTCAAGGTTTTTAGCTTCTTTGTGATGGGTTAGAACATCCTCCTTTAACTTGGAGAAGTTTGTTATTACCAATGGTCTAAAGCCTTCTTCTCTCAACTCTTCAAAGTCATTCTCCGTCCAGCTTTGTTCCGTTGCTGGCAAGGAGCTGCATTCCTTTGGAGGAGAAGAGGCGCTCTGATTTTTAGAATTTTCAGCTTTTCTGCTCTGGTTTCTCCCCATCTTTGTGGTTTTATCTACCTTTGGTCTTTTATGATGGTGACGTACAGATGGGGTATTGGTGTGGATGTCCTTTCTGTTTGTTAGTTTTCCTTCTAACAGTCAGGACCCTCAGCTGCAGGTCTGTTGGAATTTGCTGGAGGTCCACTCCAGACCCTGTTTGCCTGAGTATCACCAGTGGAAGCGGCAGAACAGCAAATATAGAAGAACGGCAAATGTTGCTGCCTGATCCTTCCTCTGGAAGCTTCATCTCAGAGGGTCACCCAGCTGTATGAGGTGTCAGTCGGCCCCTACTGGGAGGTTTTTCCCAGTTAGGCTACTCGGGGGTCAGGGACCCACTTGAGGAGGCAGTCTGTCCATTCTCAGATCTCAAACTCCGTGCTGGGAGAAGTACTACTCTCTTCAAAGCTGTCAGACAGGGACGTTTAAGTCTGCAGAAGTTTCTGCTGCCTTTTGTTCAGCTATGCCCTGCCCCCAGAGGTGGAGTCTACAAAGGCAGACAGGCCTCCTTGAGCTGTGGTGGGCTCCACCCAGTTAGAGCTTCCCAACTGCTTTGTTTACCTACTCAAGCCTCAGCAATGGTGGATGCCCCTCCCCAAGCCTGGCTGCCACCTTGCAGTTCAATCTCAGACTGTTATGCTAGCAGTGAGCGAGGCTCCGTGGGCGTGGGACCCTCCGAGCCGGGCGTGGGACCCTCCGAGCCATGTGCGGGATATAATCTCCTGGTGTGCCGTTTGCTAAGGCAGTTGGAAAAGCACAGTATTAGGGTGGGAGTGTCCCAATTTTCCAGGTACCATCTGTCATGGCTTCCCTTTGCTAGGAAAGGGAATTCCCTGACCCCTTGTGCTTCCTGGGTGACGCGATGCTCCGCCCTGCTCCATGGGCTGCACCCACTGTCTGACAAGCCCCAGTGAGATGAACCCAGTACCTCAGTTGGAAATGCAGAAATCACCCGTCTTCCACGTTGCTCACACTGGGATCTGCAGATTGGAGCTCTTCCTATTCAGCCATCTTGGAACCTAGTTTTCCCTAGAATGTAAAATTATAAAATTTTTAGGAAAAAAATTTTTGGGATCTAGGACTGACAAAGAGTTCTTAGAATTGACACCAAAAACATGATCCATAAAAGAAAAAATTGATAAATTGGAGCTTGTCAAGATGATAAATTTTTGCTCCACAAAATACTCTGCTAAGAGGATGAAAATACAAGCTACAGACTGGGAGAGAATATTTGCAAATCACTTATCAAAACAGGGTTATTTAGAATATATAAAGAACTCTTGAATATCAACAGTAAAACAAGCAAACAAATGAAAAACTCCAATTAGAAAATGTGCAAAAGATAGAAACAAACATTTCAGGGGATATACAGATAGCATATAAGCACATAAAAAATTGTTCAACATTGTTGGTCATTAGGGAAATGCAAATTAAAACCACAGTGAGGTATTACTACATACTTATTAGAATGGCTAAATAAAACATAGCGACTACATCAAATACAGAGAAACTGGATCACTCAGACATTGCTGGTGAGAGTGTAAAATGATACGGTCATTCTGGAAAACAATTTGGCTGTTTCCTAAAAAACTATACATGCAACTACCATGCATTCCAGTAATTATACTCCTGGGCATTTATCCCAGGGAAATGAAAACATATGGTTACATAAAAACCTATAAGTCAGTGATTACTGCAGTTTTATTTGTAATAGCCCCAAACTGGAAATAACTCAGATAGCCTTCAATAGTTAAACAGTGGTACATGCATACCATGGAATTCTGCTCAGCAATGAAAGGAGTGAACCATTAATACATTTGGTAACTTGAATAAATCTCTAGGGAGCTATGCTATGTGAAAATAAAAACTAATCATACAGAGTGATCCCATTTATATAACATCCTTGAATGACAAAATTATAGAAATGGAGAACACAGATTTGTAATTGCCGGGGATTAAGAATGTGGTGGGGGTTGGAGGGAAGTAGAGGTAGCTAAAGAGTGGAGTTTGAGGCATCCTTATGGTGACAAAAATGTTCTACATCATAACTGTATTAATGTCAATATTTGGGCTGTGCAGGAGTTTGAGATGAGCCTAGGCAACATAGTGAGACCTGAGACCCTATCTCTATGAGAGAGAGAGAGAGAAAGAGAGAGAGAGAGAAAGAAAGAAAGAAAGAATAAAGAGAAAGGAAAAAGAAAGGGAAAGAAAGAGAAAAAAGAGAAAGAAAAGAAAAAGAGAGAGAAAGAAAGAAGAAAGAGAAGAAGGAAAGAAGGAAAAAAAGAAAAGGAAAAAAAAAGAAAATGAAAAAGATTAGCTGGGCGTGGTGGCGCATGCCTGTAGTCCCAGCTCCTCAGGAGGCTGAGATGAGAGGATCATTTGAACCCAGGAGATCAAGGCTGAAGTGAACTGTGATCACACAGTTGCACTCCAGCCTGGGTGATGGAGTGAGACTCTGACAAAAAAAAAAAAAAAAAAAAAAAAAATGCCAGGTTCTGATATACCATGGTCTTGCAAGATGTTACCATTGCGGGAAGGGGTACAAGAGATTTTTCTATTTTTTTTTTACATGTGCATGGGAATTTTTAATTATCTCCAAATGGAGGGGAAAAAAAGGTGTGGCTTGAACAGAATACCCTGCAATTTTGATTGCAAAATTCCATCTACAAACTGCTCAGTGGTGCTTGTGTTTAGGAAAACACTTAGGTTTTCACTTAGGGAAGCTCCCCTTCCTCTCCATTCCCCCACAACCTACCTATGCTGTCTCTGTACACCTGAAGAGGTGATCCCCAGGAAGATGACAGAAGGCTTTCAAAAGCCTTGTTGCAATTAGTAATAAAGCCAACTTGTTCCATTACAGGAGGGTTTCTGGTGGTCTTGGGCTCTGAAGGATTGACAAAAATGGAGTTTCACAAGATTCTTCAAAAGTCCTTGCTGCCTTAAGCAAGTACCCTTGACTCAGTAATGATGCATACATGTGGGACCCTGTTCATGGCTAGGCTCTGATATTTTGTTGAGAACTGTCAGCAATGTGTTTATTTTGTTTTCCTAGGAATAGATCCTTGGAGTCTTTCTAGTCTGTAAAACTTATTGCAAATCTAGTCAGTTGGAAATATTGTTTTCTAGCCTCTAACATCTGTTCTATGATCTGTCTATTGTCCTAAGTGTTGTTTGTCTATACAAGGAAAAGTCCATAAGGAAAGGACAAGCCAAGTCCCCATAAGTCTGTCCTCTGGCTCCAGGGACTGAGAATTCAGGACTGACATGCTTTAGACAAACTTTGGCCTTTGGATAAACTTTGCGTCAGGTCACCATTTCAATACTTGTAAGGACTTCCTCTGTCTTATCTTTGTGAGCTTGAGAACTACTGTTTTTTTCGTTTCTCAGCCCTCATTGTAGACAATTGACCTTTGCCCAAATTCTGGAGACTCAAGATCGGAGAATCAAGGTCAGACAAGTGCCACCCTTACAGACCATTGCATCTCTGATGGGCTCCACTCAACCTAAAACTGCACTTCTTCCAGGCCAGATACCTGTTTCTTTGAGATTTCTGCAATGTAACACAAACGTGCATGTTTATCTCTACAGTGGGCACAGTTTCACCAAGGACAATCTGGAATTGCAATGGCCACCTTGAGGAACTTTTAATATAAACACGATGGTTTACTTTAGAGGCACTTTATAAAAGTGAAGAAACCTTCAAGAGGAGATTGTTCTGTTTGTCTAACAGTGATTCTTTTGTTTAAAGTTGGTGATAGCCCCTCCTTTTATTTCCATACTTTAGGAATTAGTAAGTGCTAGTTAATTGATAAAATCGCCAGGGGCTTAAACCAATTTTAATGTCACTCTTTTTATATTCCAAAATCTATTCTTTTACATATAAACCTTCCTCCCTCTCTTTTCAGAGGGAACATCATTAGCCTTTTTTTTTTTGGTGTTGATTTATTATTCACCTGCAGCGGGCTCCCTTTTCTTTCTTTTTTTCCCTCTATTCCCCCTCCTCTCTTTCTCTCTTTTCCCCTGTCTTCAGAAATTAATCGTTACCTTATCAAATGACCCATTCACTTTTTGTGTGCACATTCAAGGGATATCTAGTTCAGACAAGTAGTCAAAATGTCTGAAAAAAAGGGGAAAAAATGTTATTAAACTGTGTTTCTTTCTGTGGGCACAAACAGTATATTTACATAGTAGCCTTTATTATAATTAAGAGAAAAGAAAAGGCATTATATATAAGTTAAAAGATTACATGTTTGGCATGATTCAGAGTCTTCAAAAAATTACTTTAATACAAAAACTAGTGACAGCCCAATCTTTTGGTTTCTATAAGGCCAAAGTTAAATTTTTTTTTGTTAAACTGAATTTTCTACATTAGTTGTATGAGTTCAACAAGATTCCACTAGTTCTATAACTTGTCTAAATTTAGAATTTTATTTTAATATATATAAAATTGTATTAAACTAAAGTGAATGATAATAATAAATGCCTTTATAATTTTTATAAAATTCTTACAATGCTACAAATTATAAGTTTCATTTGTTAACTAAAATTGTAATTTCCTGATCCTTAACTAACTTTAAGGACTTAGACAATGGTTAATTGATAATAATCCTTTGGATGCCTACACAATTTCTAAATAAACATAAAAACACTGATCATTAAATACAATTATGTTTATTTCTTAAAATGACAATAGATTAACAAAACATGCAAATTCCTTTGAATGACATCATATATTTATATATTGAAACTGTTTAAATTGTATGAAATAAATGCTAGTAGACCAAAAAATATCTAAGTAAATCATGTTTTCTCTCCTTTTTCTTTCTTGCCTAAAGAAAAGGAAGGTTGATTACTTTGATTAAAGATGATAATTAATATAAATGTTTAATACAGAGAAACACAAATATGTATACAGAATAAATATCCTGTTGATTTCCTGTTTATTAGGAAAGTTGAAACCATTTATTCAGAGGGTAAATTTTATTTTGACATACATATTATTTTATCTAATAGATTTAATTTTAAAGCTACAGTTAAAATGTAAAATTTGAAATGTATTTTCTATTTGTATATTTACATATCTGTGTATGCCTAAATGCATACATGTAAAGCCATATTAATAAATTCTGTACTGTAGAATGTTACATGAATGATGTACAAAAAGAGTAAAATTAGAATTGGAGTCTTTTTAATATACAAAAATTAAGTTATGCTATGCCCATATTAGTGAATATTTCTTTTGTCAATAAAATATTCTGTTAACTTTCAGTGCTTTTGACACTTTTACATCATTTTTAAAAGACTCCTTGCTTTAATAAAATGTTGTTTCTAGTGACTATTGTTAATTGCTAACACATAGCAATTTTTTTACAATGTCATCTATAATTATTTCTGGACCCTAGATACTTATGACTTACATCTTGTCTCCTGGAACAACTATTCTTGATTCTTTCCAAAATTCAGGACCCAAATTCAGAATAATCAAGCTATTAATATGTCTTTTGTGTCTAAACTATCTTTGGGTTTACTGTAATGGCTATTAGGTAACACAAGATTTGTTTTGTCATCTATGAAAGGAAAGACAATGGGAATAATTAGATTTTCCAATATCCTTTGAATTTAAATTAATTTAAAATTATTATGAGAGCTCTTTTATTTACCAAACTTACTAATAAAAAGCTGATAAAAATATTTTTATTTTTCTGTTAATTATATTTAAGTAAAATATGCTAATATAAATATCTTTCAAGGATTAAACCCTTTTTTGAGTTAAAAAAAGAATGCTCATGTTTAAGCACAAAGATTACTGTAATAACTGTGTATCAAAATATCTTTTTCCAAGATTCTCGATTAGCAACCCCACTTTTCTTTTTTGTCATGAGAAGTCTGAACAAACACTAGGGGCTTTGACTCAATGACATGGGACTCATCAAAAAATCTATTGTTTATTTCAGTCTTTCATTAGCTCTAGTAGTCACAGCATAGTTGTCTTGTCTAAGAGTTCTAGAAGCTGCAGCAAAGCTTGTGGAAGCTGGAGTGACTTTGTCAAACTAGTTCTGGGGTCTACACTAAACCTAATAATTCCCCTGATGTTTTATTGATAGACGTAACTCAAAATTTTTCAGCTAGTCACTTAATCTCCTAGGAAATATTGTTGGTTTCCCTTCAAATATCACCATTCATCACTGTAACACCCTAAACCCAGTGACCCTCTTTCCTTCATCTGTAGAAAAAGAAGCTGATGATTGATTACCTCTGTTGAGGAACTCTCCATACCTTGCATGGACCTTCTATAGACTCCCTTGGATATCCATAATTTAACTTTGCTTGTTGTTGGTTCAGACTGAAAAAACAAACAAACGAACAAAAAGTAAAATTTGCCTAGTAGGATATGCTATCACTGACTTTGTGATAGCAAGTCTAGGTAAAGCTTATATTTCAAAAGTAATATAAGCTTTACCTAGATATAAAATAAGTTCAGATGGCAAAATAAATTGCCCTCATCCAGACCTGCAAGCTGACAAAAGAAAAAAAGAATACTTATACACTGATATAGGCATTTGATTTGGGATTAGTCCTGAATTCCAAATGCATTGCAAAAGAGGAGGTCTCCAATAACAAGTTCTTAAATTGAGGCAGTAATTAATAGCCTACCAACCAAAAAAAGCCCAGGAGCAGATGGATTCACAGCCGATATCTACCAGAGGTACAAAGAAGAGCTGGTACCATTCCTTCTGAATCTATTCCAAACAATAGAAAAAGAGGGACTCCTCCCTAACTCATTTTATGAGGCCAGTATCATCCTGATACCAAAACCTGACAGAGACACAACAAAAAAAGAAAATTTCAGGCCAATTTCCCTGATGAACATCAATGTAAAAATCCTCAATAAAATAGTGGCAAACTGAATCCAGCAGCACATCAAAAAGCTTATACATTACGATCCAGTTGGCTTCAGCCCTGGCATGCAAGACTGGTTCAACATATGCAAATCAATAAACGTAATCCATCACAGAAACAGAACCAATAACAAAAACCACATGAATATCTTAATAGATGCAGAAAAGGCCTTTGATATAATTCAACACCCCTTTATGCTAAAAACTCTCAATAAACTAGATATTGATGAAACATAATCTCAAAATAATAAGAGCTATTTATGACAAACCCACAGCCAATATCATACTGAATGGGCAAAAGCTGGGAGCACTCCCTTTGAAAATACACATAAGACAAGGATGCCCTCTCTCACCACTCCTATTCAACATAGTATTGGACGTTCTGGCCAGGACAATCAGGCAAGAGAAAGAAATAAAGGGTATCCAAATAGGAAGAGAGGAAGTCAAATTGTCTGTGTTTGCAGATGACATGACTGTATATTTACAAAACCCCATCATCTCAGCCCAAAAACTCCTTCAGCAAAGCAAATTCAGCAAAGTCTCAGGATACAAAATCAATGTGCAAAAATTACAAGCATTCCTATACACCAATAATAAACAAGCAGAGAGCTAAATCATGAGTGAACTCCCAGTCACAATTGCTACAAAGAGAATAAAATACCTAGGAATAAAACTTATAAGGGATGTGAAGGACCTCCTCAAGGAGAACTACAAACCACTGCTCAAGGAAATAAGAGAGGACACAAACAAATGGAAAAACATTCCATGCTCATGGATAGGAAGAATCAGTATCATGAAAATGGCCATACTGCCCAAAGTAATTTACACATTCAGTGCTATGCCCATCAAGCTACTATTGAGTTTCTTTGCAGAATTAGAAAAAAAACTACTTTAAATTTCATATGGAACCAAAAAAGAGCCCATATAGCCAAGACAATCCTAAGCAAAAAGAACAAAGCTGGAGGCATCATGCTACCTAACTTCAAACTATACTACAAAGCTACAGTAACCAAAACAGAGTGGTACTGGCACAAAAACAGATATATAGACCAATGGAACAGAACAGAGGCCTCAGAAATAACACCACACATCTACAACCATCTGATCTTTGACAACTTGACAAAAACAAGCAATGGGGAAAGAATTCCCTACTTAATAAATGGTGTTGGAAAAACTGGCTAGCCATATACAGAAAACTGAACCTGGACTCCTTCCTTACACATTAAACAAAAATTAACTCAAGATGGATTAAAGACTTAAATGTAAAATCTAAAATCATAAAAACCCTAGAAGAAAACCTAGGCAATACATTCAGGACACAGGCATGGACAAAGACTTCATGACTGAAACACCAAAGCAAGAGCAACGAAAGCCAAAATGACAAATGGGATCTAATTAAACTAAAGAGCTTCTGCACAGCAAAAGCAACTATCATCAGAGTGAACAGGCAACCTACAGAATGGGAGAAAATTTTTGCAATTTATCCATCTGACAAAGGGCTAATATCCAGAATCTACAAGGAACTTAAACAAATTTACGAGAATAAACAAACAACCCCATCAAAAGTGGGCAAAGGATATGAACAGACACTTCTCAAAAGAAGACATTTATGCGGCCAACAAACATATGAAGAAAAGCTCATCATCACTGGTCATTAGAAACATGCAAATCAAAACCACATTGAGGTACCATCTCATGCCAGTTAGAATGGTGATCATTAAAAAGTCAGGAAGCAACAGATGCTGGAGAGGATGTGGAGAAATAGGAATGCTTTTACACTGTTGGTGGGAGTGTAAATTAGTTTAGCCATTGTGGAAGGCAGTGCGGCGATTCCTCAAGGATTTAGAACCAGAAATACCTTTTGACCCAGCCATCCCATTACTGGGTATACACCCAAAGGATTATAAGTCATTGTACTATAAAGACACATTCACAAGTATGTTTATTGAAGCACTACTCAAAATAGCAAAGACTTGGAACCAACCCAAATGTCCATCAATGATAGACTAGATAAAGAAAATGTGGCACATATACGCCATGGAATACTATGCAGCCATAAGAAAGGATGAGTTCACGACATTTGCAGGGATGTGGATGAAGCTGGAAACCATCATTCTCAGCAAACTAACACAGGAACAGAAAAGCAAACACCACATCTTCTCACTCATAAGTGGGAGTTGAATAATGAGAACACACGGACACAGGGAGGGGAACATCACACATCAGGGCCTATTGGCCAGTGGGTGGCTAGAGGACGGATAGCCTTAGGAGAAATACCTAATGTAGATGACAGGTTGATGGGTGCAGCAAACCACCATGGCCTTTGCATACCTATGTAACAAACCTGCACATGTAGCCCATAACTTAAAAGTATAATTAAAAAAAAAGAAGAAGAGGTATCTTGACACTACAAGAACCCCTATAAAAAAGACGAAATCTCAGATACTTGGGAAGCTGAGGCAGGAGGATTGCTTGAACCCAGGAAGTTGAGGCTACTGTTAGCCATGATTGCACCATTGCACTCCAGAAAAATACATCTGCTGAGGTCCTCACAAGCCTATCAGCAAACTCTGATCCTTGAGGAGTGAGAACAAAGATTGGGCCTATCCTGGGTAAGAACAGTTACTTCAGAGACACTCCAGCCTGCTTAGCAGGACTTGTTTGACTTCACTGAAGGGATTTTCCCACCTCTAGTGACACACCCCCACAACCACGACCAAATAAAGAAAAAGGCAAATTCCTGTTGTAATTAACAATTTTTAAATTGCCAATATTAATACAGTTTCTGCTTCATCAGGACAGTCCTTCTTATGTGGACATAAGGCTTACGGCCACCTGCCACACACTAACTTTACTGTATATTCAGGAAAATTGTTAGAGAATTTCAGTTGTTTAAAACTACCACCCCTCCAGTGGATCATGTTTCCCTAAAAAGAATGCAAAGAAATCTCCAAAAAAGTCAAGCACAGGCTACTTGAGAGAACTCTTCAGATGGAGGGCTGCATTCTTGTGTTGCATACTATGTGTTTTAGTTAGGGTTCTCCAGACAGACAGAACCAATAGGATATTATAGAATTATAGATGATAGATAGATGATAGATAATTGATAGATGATAGATAATTGATAGATAATAGATGATTGATAGATGATAGATTATAGATAATTGATAGATGATAAATATTTGATAGATGATGGATAATTGATAGATGATAATCGATAGATAATACATAGATGATTGATAGATGATAATCTACCAATTATCATCTATCAATCATCTACATAATAAGTAGATAGATGATAATAGATAGATAGATAGATAGATGAGAGGAGATTTATTAGGGGAATTGGCTCACACAGTTATGGAGGCTGAGAAGTCCCACAACAGGCCGTCGGCAAGATAGAGACCCTGGAATGCTAACAGTGTGGCTCAGTCCCTGTTTGATGGCCTCAGAACCAGGTGTAATTCTCAGGCTGAGTTTGAAGGCCTGAGAACCCGGGGGCCCACTGGTGAAAGCCCTAGAGTCCTAAGGCCAGAGAGCCTGGAGTTCTAATGTCAAAGGGCAGAAGGAGAAGAATGTCCCAGCTCCAGGAGCAAGAGAGCAAATCCCTTTTTCTTATTTTTTGCTCTATTCTGGCCCCAAGCCAATTAGACAGTGCCCATCCATTGAGAGCAGAAGTTCCCCACACAGTCCACTGATTTACACAATAATCTCCTCTGGAAACACCCTCACAGACATACGCAGAAGTCATGCTTTACAAGTTCTCCAGGTATTCCTTAATCCAGTCAAGTTGACTTGACTATGCAAGCAATGACTATTACAGCTGGAAAGTATCATCTAAAACTTGTCTCTGAGCCTGAAAAAAGTCATAAATTATACTACTTCTGTTCTGGAAGCCTAGGTTTACACTTAAATTTGTAAGGCAAAGTTGTCACGGATAATAACATAGCCTTAAATCTCTTCTTAGCTAGCCAAAGAGAAATTTGTGCTAACCACTTCTTGCTGCACCTGTATAAATACTACGGAGCAGCCCATGACTGTGGGAGGAAAGCCCATTGGACATCTAGAAAAGAACACACAGATTTTGCGGGACATATTTTCATTGCTTGGGTATGATAATCTGGGTCCCTGTTTTCAGAGTCTATTAGAAGAACTAAAAACCACTTTTGCTTCTGCAAAGTCCTGCTTCCTGGAATCTTATCCTCAAATTACCTAACATGAGCACAAATCTTATAATATATGTAATTCCTGACTAACACCCTTTCCTGAGACACTGCAATTTCCAATGGTGTGCAAGAAGTCCATGAATCCAATTCTGTTAACTACAGCCATGTCTCTAATGGCCTTTGACTAGAAGACTTTGACCCTGAGAATCCATATAATGATCTAAAGAATAAAAGAGGTATGGTAAAGCAGTAGTTAATTTAACCTACCCCAAAAGGTGGTTTGTCAACATATTTCTGATGCAGCAAGAATATTTTTCAATTCTTCTTTAGAAATCTATGTGAAGATAATACTCAAAAAACATGGTTGGCATGTAAATGATGTCAAAAAAAAGAAAAGAGTTATTAATCCTTCAAGTTAGCACTTCCCACAGTATCTTCCACTAAACACGAATCCATGAGATGTTCTGTAAAAGAAAAGTTTTCTTGGTCAAATTAACCTGAGAAACATGGCAAGCTCTAATACGCCCCTCTTGGAGAGTCACAGTACATTTTGAAGTTTCTATGAGGTCCTACAGAAAACAAACAAACAAAAAGCCTGATATACACAGAATTTCCCTCTCTTTTTTTAACCTTGAAAACTTTTTTTGCATGCTAACACAGTCTAACATCTCACAGAACTAATGTTCTGCATAATCAGACTTGGGGGAATGATGATGTTGTTATGTAATTTATCTAGAAGATGTCATTTATCTAGAATATAATGTTAACAGAAGAGAAAGGGAACTATCACCTAATAGGCTAGATCAACCAGCAAGGGAGTAAAGGAACATGAGTTCAAGAGTTTGCAGTCAGGGAGCTCTAAGAAATTGCAACTGGGTACATCAGCATTTCCAAGCATACCTTACTTCATTTGGAAAATGGAGGTTGTACTAGTTTCCTAGGGCTATCTTAACAAAGTATCACAAACAGGGTAGCTTAAAACAACAGAAATTTATTCTCTGACAGTTCTGGAGGCCAGAAGTCTGTAATCAAGGTGTCAGCAGGGGATATGGTTTGGATCTGTGTTCACCCAAATCTTATGTTCAATTGTAATCTCCAGTGTTGGAGGTGGGGCCTGGTGGGAGGTGATTGAATCATGGGAACAATTTCACGTGATTGGTTTAGCACCGTCCCCTCGGTGCTGTTCTCATGATAGTGAGTGAGTTCTCGTGAGTGAGTTCTCGTGAGTGTTTAAAAGTGTATAGCACCTCCCCCTTCTCTCTTCCTCCTGCTCCTGCCATGTAAGACAACTGCTCCTGCTTCACCTTCCACCATGAGTAAAAGCTCCCCGAGGCCTCCCCAGAAGCAGATGCCGCCATGCTTCCTGTACAGCCTATGGAACCATGAGCCAATTAAACCTCTTTTATTTATAAATTACCCAGTCTCAGGTATTTCTTTATAGCAGTGTGAGAATGGACTAATACAGCAGGGCTGTGCTTCCTTCGAAGGCTCTGGGGAAGAATCCCTCCTTGTCTCTTCTAGCTTCAGGTATTTACCAGCAATCCTTGGCACTTCTTGCCTTACAGAATGTGACTCCAATCTCTTGACTCTGTCATTATTGGCATTTTCCTTCTGTCTCTTCACATTGTCTTTTCTCTGTGTTTCTGTGTCTTCTCCTTTTCTTATAAGGACACTAGTCATATTGGGCTTAGGGTCCACCATATCCAGTATGACTTCTTCTTAACATTACATCTGCAAAGAACTTATTTCCAAATAAGGCCACTTTCACAGGTACCTGGGGTTAGGACTTGGACATATTGTTTGGGGGTACATAACTCAACCACAACAAGGATACGTAACATCTATTTCATAGAGTTGTTGTATTATATGAGAGGTTGAGACACTGTGTGTGCTTCACAGGGTACTTGGCACTAAGTGCTCCCTCATTGTTCCAGCTTTGTGAATGAATGTAGGGATGATCTAACTTCAACACCTGTCATCCCATTAGCTACCAAGGATGAGCTGATGACATAAACTCTCACATTCACATAAGGTATAAAAAGTAAACTCCTCTTGATGCTTGCTAGAAAGACATCAAGAGGAGTTTACTTTTTATACCTTATGGGAATGTGAGAGTTGATGCCATCTCTCTATAGAAACATGGATTACTCTGATTACTCTGACATGTTCATAATGAGAATCTCTCAAGATTACCCCACTCCTTTACTCAAAGCCTATTTCTTCCATGGAACCCCTGATAACTCATCCAGTCAGTGAAGTTTCTCTGGAAGAGGGACTATGGACCTGTCATCCCAGCATTTTGGGAGGCCAAGGTGGGAGGATCACTTGAGGCTCAGAGTTCAAGATCAGCCTGGCCAACATAGTGAGACCCCCCCCGATCTCTACAAAAAGTAATTTAAAAAAATTAGCCAGGTATGGTGGTGTGCACCTATAGTCCTGGCTACTCAGGAGGCTGAGGCAAGAGGATTGCTTGAGCCCAGGAGTTTGAGGTGGCAATGAGGTATGCTCATGCCACTATACTTCAGTCTGGATGACAGAGTGAGACTGTCTGTAAAATAATTTTTTTAAAAAGTGACTATGGATTATGAACTGGAAGAATGCAATAAAAGGAAAGTTGAATACCCCATTATAATCCTCTAAATTTACAAAACAGAATTCTGGGTTAAAAATTAGTTCCCTGTCTGGCAAAGATTTCATGATGAAAATGCCAAAAGCAATTGCAACAAAAGCAAAAATTGATAAATAGGATGTAATTAAACTTAAAAGCTTCTGCACAGCAAAAGAAACTATCAACAGAGTAAACAGACAACCTACAGAATAGGAGAAAATTTTTGCAAGCTATGCATCTGACAAAGGTCTAATATCCAGCATCTATAAAGAACTTAAACCAACCTATAAGAAAAAAAAACTCCGTTAAAAAGTAGACAAAGGACACGAACAGAAACTTTTCAAAAGAAGACATATTATTCATGTGGCCAATAAACATATGAAAAAAAAGCTCAATATCACTGATCATTAGATAAATGCAAATCAAAAACACAAATGAGATAACATTTCACACCAGTCAGAATGGCTATTATTAAAAAGTCAAAGAAAAACAGATGCTGGCAAGGTTGCAGAGAAAAGAAAATGCTTATACACTGTTTGTGAGAGTGTAAATTTGTTCAGACATTGTGGAAAGCTGTCTGAGGATTCTTCAGAGAGCTAAAAACAGAACTACCATTTGACCCAGCAATTCCACTACTGGGTATATACCCAAAGGAATATAAATCATTTTATCATAAAGACACATGCACCCATATGTTCATTGCAGCACTATTCACAATAGCAAAGACATGGAATCAACCTAAATGCCCATCAATGGTAGACTGGATAAAGAAAATATGGTACATATACACCATGGAATACTATGTAACCATAAAAAAGAATGAGATCGTGTCCTTTGCAGGAACACGGATGGAGCTGGGGGCCATTATCCTTAGCAAACTTACATAGGAAGAGAAAACCAAATACCACAAGTTCTCACTTATAAGTGGGAGCTAAATTATGAGAACAGATGGACACAAAGAGAAGAACAACAGACACTGGCATCTACTTGAGGGTGGATGGTGGGAGAAGGGAGAGAATCAGAAAAAATAGTTATTGGGTACTAAGCTTAGTACTTGACTGACAAAATACTCTATACAAGAAATCCCTGTGACACGAATTTACCTATATAACAAACCTGCACATGTACCCCTGAATCTACAATAAAAGGTAAAAAAAATTAGTTCCCTATTAGTTCTGTGGGTGTAGTTCCCTATGAGTTCTATGGGTGTAAGTTGATTTCTTAAGAACTGATATGATGAAATTTCTCATGTGCAGAGCTAAGCATCCAAACCTATTTCTGAGTTGACTGCTGGGGCCTTAGTTCTGATTACATGGATAATGGCTCTCTCGTTTTGATGGATCTCAACAGCAAATCTGAGGTTCCTAGCTTAGATTGTAAGGTGAATTGTGAGGCCATTAGCTGGAATGGGGAGCACATACTTTAGAACTAAGGAGACAGGTCAGGGTGGCAGATATAATTCAGGGAAATAGTCATATAGAGGCTGGAACTCTGTGAGCCTGACTCAGGAAAGCGAATACAACAAAATTAGAAGCTTGGAGAGAGTGTCTTAACTCAATCTTACAGTGAATTATACTTTCTATCAGTTGGCAGGGCCAGGACAGCAGGACTAAATGCACAATCAGAAGGTACTCCAATGGAATACTAGAGGTGGTACAGGCAGCTTGCACAAGCCAGGTCAATAAAGCAAATGTGGAGAGGGATTAATGTCACAATTATGTGTCAGCTCTGGATGGGCAGGGCACTAGAACCAGCGTTAACACACAGAGCCTAGGGCACAAGGAGACAAGGCATGAGAACTAAGGCTGATATGGAATCAGTCAGAGGAATTTTTACATAAAGGTTTCATTACAAATGGCCTTTTATTGAAAAGGACAGTCTTGCCCTTTTCACATGGCCATATAGAACCTACTTTAGTCTTAAAGAACCTAACTTTAAAGCCAAGATTCTGTTAGAATCTTAGGGAAAGCTTACAGTTTAAGAAGTTAGAGAAGGGGCCGAAAAAGTAGAAATAGATTTGAAAGCAATCAAGTCCTTAACTTTTTGACCATGAAGACCACCGCTTGTTCCATCTCAAGATCAACAGGGCTGTGAATTGCAGGGAGAGGGCAGCTCGAGAGAGGCAGGACCAAGCCCTGGACTCCTCCCTTGCTGGGATGTAGCAGGCCCTCAGGGACACTGTCAGTTACAGATGCTGGGGTAAGTTCCTTGTCAAAGGTAGGGCATGAAATCCGGCAGGCATGACCACAGACAAGAGATCACCAAAAACAATAGTAATAGGTGGTCCACCATGGATTTGAGGGGAGCAGGTAGACCAAAAACAGACCCCAGCAATAAGGACCTCTTAAGCAACTGGGGAGGAAGGCAGACCTCATTGGGGAAGTCCATCTGTAAGAAGCAAGGCACTTACTACCAGGCCACAGTGCAAGGAGAAAACTTTAGACTTAGGAGGAGGTATGACTAGTGCAGGTGGGCTGTGAGTCCCGAATTCTGAATTAGACAAAGCCTTGAGCGCAGAGACTCAGACCAAGAACGCCAAGACAAGGGTCCGTTTCCCCTAATGAACTGGGAACAACATCTCAGGAACAAAAGAGAAGTTTAATGTTAGAATTGAGGCACAAGATCAAGATCAGAGCAACGCCAAGGGCAACACTGAGTTCTAGAATTGTTTCAGTTCCTCTGCTTGAGGTTGGGGTTGGTTTTAGGTTGGGGTTGGTTTTAGGCCCCACAGGGGGCTACATGGGAATGGGAAATGGGAGTGATAGATGGTTGTCAAGCAGCCACAGTTGTAGGGAGAGTATAATCACAGAAGCCAGAGGCATTGATACTGAGAGCATCTTATTCCCCAGAAAGCTAAAGGAAAAAAATATATATACAAACATCCTTCCTAGAAACCTCATATAGCTAAAGGCTACCAGCAAAAAGCAGGGCCAGCCCACATTCAAAATTCCATTTAGTTCGACACTTTCTCTTGAGAAACCTTTAAAATATTTTGATTGTGCATTCCTGCCAATATAAAATACATTTGACTACACCACACTGCAACATTTCACTAGACTGCAAAAAAAAAAAAAAAAAAAAGAAAAGAAAAGAAAAGAAAGAAAGAAAAGAAAATCGTCTGCTAGATGTGACTATAAAAATTAGCCAGACCAATGAAGTATGCGACAGGAAGCTGAGAAATATATGAAGACGCAAATTCAAGGGAAACTGGGAAATTATTTGGCAGCATAATTTCCACGGCCTTAATGGGAGAGGAGTGAGCATGTGCACAGCTTACTGTACTGAAAGGGGATTCAGAACAAATACAGAATGAAGACTTCATCTCCTGCAGCTTTGCTGGTAATTAAACAACAAAGAAGGGACAGGGAGCAGCAGCAGCAGATGGAGATTCCATATTTGAGTTAGGAAGAAAACGAAACATGCTGCGTGACCAGTTAAAGTCTGATGAGGGTGAATAGCTTACGTCGATGCTTAGAATGTTGTCACAGTGATAGCAAAGCTGCAACTGTTCCTGATTTCACAGATGCTATTTTTATTTATACTTAGAAAAATACATCTTTTGATAGATTCTCACGGGATCATTAGACATTGGCACAGACTCCTCCCCCACTAACCCCTCTCCGTCAACACTGACTATGGTCAGATGGGTTTGCCCACCTTTGGTTCCCAGATTTGAATCTGTGTCCTGCCCGCAGAGTCTGAAGACACATTGACTCAAACAAATCCAGAATAGCCGCAAGCAGTGTGCAATTAGACAATGAGCTGCCCTGACCTTGTGGCAAATTGCTACAGTGCAAATAACCTGGAGAACAGAGGTTGGTGCACTTTGCATCATCTTTACAAGGAAATAATGGTAGGCTTCTGTGTAGAGCAGTCCTGAGACAGAGGGGGAAAACTGGTAGACCTGCCATGCGGAAGCCTCCCTAGTTGCTACTCAGTGACCTTCTGAGTATACTATTTGCCCACTGTCTCTGCCACCTGTAACTCCCACATTGGAAACCCTTCTGGTAAATTGGCATCGGGGTTCTTGACTTTCTGATTGCTACTCTCATGGCTCCTCACTTCAAGCCATCTGTCTTGGCCAAACCTGCCCAAGGGCTCCGGGGAAAGGCATTTCCTTTATCAGCTCCCCCAACCTCAAGCCACAGATGCTCCTTCATCCAACAAGGGGCAGCAACAGTGAGTTGTACTGCAGTTACTCTGTGCCGGGCACTCTGCTATGCTCCTTATGCTATTAACTCAATTAGTCCTCAAACAATCCTTGCTACTCTTACTTGATAACAGCTCTAGGTACTCTGATTTGATCATTTTATAGATAAGAAGACCAAAGTGCACAGGCATGGAATAGCTTGTGTGCCCAAATTCCCTTGCAAGTTAGTGGTAGGATGTGGCTTGAACCCAGTTGTCTGCTCAATCAAAACACTGCCCTGCTTCTCTGTGCCACATATACTCAGCCCTGTGTATATGACAGTGAAGAAAACATAATCTTAGACCAAAAAGAACCTCTGGGGTGATGAATGGGTCAAGCAAGTCAACAGGACAAAGCTCTATGAGGAAGAAGGGCCCACAGAAAGAAACCTCAAGAGTGCTATGAGAATGCAGGGGAGGGGCCACACCAGCCTTGGGGAATGAGGGGAGTTTTTTTAAGGTTCTGGGGGAGAGAGATTGACTAAGGAGAGAGGGACAGGGACTCTGGGCAGTGGAAAACGATTTACAAAGGCCCCAAGTTGAGAGCACATGGCAAGTTTGGGGAAGTGTAAGTAATATAGTAGAGCCTAGGTGAAGCATGCAAGGAGGATGGGTGGGCAGAGAGTGCTTCCAGAGGGGCCTTTCTCCATACCAAGGAATTGGGATTTCATCCTGAGGGCAGTGAGAGCCTCTGAAATGTGGAGAGCAGATCTGCATTTTAGAGAGGTGACACTGGCAGCAGATGAGGACAGTTTGGTGGAGGCAAGCCCAAGTACAGAGAGGTGAGTAGGGGTGCTCTTGTGATTGTGCAGAACAGAGAGGCTGCACAGACCTGGATGGGACTGAGAGCTATAAAGGAGTGAGAACTGACCAGACTGTGGATGGACTAAATATAGAGGGTCAGGGAAAAGGGAAGTCAAGGTTCCTCTCAGGTATTAGGGGAAGGAAGTGGTGCCTTTCATTAATAAAAGGAACCTATGAAGAAGATGCTGATTGGGCTGAAGAAATGGGGAGTTTAATTTGGGGCATTTTGGATTTGAGGCATTCAAGAAATAGGCAAATGGAGCTGTCCTGTTGCTCTGTATAGCTGGGGAGGAGGAACTAGGTGAACCTGATAAATGTAAGGCTGTCAGCACGTGATAGTAACTGAAGCCAGAGGAGTGGAGAGGCTCGCACAGCGGGGGTGTGAGAACAAAGGAGGATAGAACCCTGGGGAACACCAACAATTAAGGGACAGGCAGAGAGAAGAGGCTGGAATGATGATTGAGAAAGACTGGCCAAATGATACAAGGAGAGTAAAGAACACAATGCCAAGACTTGCTTTAAGGAGAAAAAGATTGCTTTAAGGAGAAGTGAGTGTTCAATGGGAATAAAAAGTAACAGGTGGACCCAGTCCGGTGGTCATGCCTGTAATTCCAGCACTTTGGGAGGCTGAGGTGGGCAGATCACTTGAGGCCAGGAGTTTGAGACCAGCCTTGCCAACATGGTGAAACCTCATCTCTACTAAAAATACAAAAATTAGCCTCTCTGTACTTGGGCTTGCCTCCACCAAACTGTCCTCATCTACTGCCAGTGTCACCTCTCTAAAATGCAGATCTCCTCTCCACATTTCAGAGGCTCTCACTGCCCTCAGGATGAAACCCCAATTCCTTGGTATGGAGAAATGTGGTGGTGCTTGCCTGTAATCCCAGATACTCAGGAGGCTGAGGCACGAGAAGAGCTTGAACCCTGAAGGCGGAGGTTGCAGCAGTGAGCCAAGATTGCGCCACTGCACTCCAGCCTGGGTGATGAAGTGAGACTCTGTCCCAAAAAAAAAAAAAAAAAATAGTACCAGGCGATTCAGTAACAGGAAAGTTATCAGTAGAGGGGTGGTGTAGAAAGCTGAAGGCAGGAAGCTAATAATAAAAAAAGAAAAGCAGCAGTTGAGACAGTGACCTCAGGAAGGAGAGAGGATGCTTTTGAGTTCTGCAGCTACTGCAAAAGGTTTGTTGCTGGAGAAAGAATTTGAGTCAGGGAGAGAGGATGTGTACTTCTCTCTGGGTCACCTTGACTCTTACTCTCAGTGCATCTTTCTCATGTAACTTTAGTTTCTTCCTCGGTTCATCTCTCCTCCTCTCTGAACATCATACACTTGAGCCATAGTATGGTAGAATGTACAGTCTACCAGAAATCCAGGAGAACGGGCTTGACTCTCAACCTTCCCACTCTGTAGCTGTGTAACCTTTGCTCTCTGAGCATCAAATGCTAGTGATTCCTCCTACCAAACTCTGTGACCAACTGAAATTCTGTACCATTTCTTCTTGTTCTTTTGCACCTAGACACCCTGAACCAGAGGACTCTGGTGTCGTTTTTTGGTCATTATCTTCTTCCTAATCTACAGCAATATGCCTTCCCTGCCCCATGCCCTCCACCTCAGAGGAGACCCTCCTTAGAATTTTACATGACTAAGATTAAGATCATTCATTCCTGCTCAGCAGCCTGTTCTACTGTTCTCTTCTCAAACTTCCTTTTCAGTCACTCTGTAGACTTCAATTCTCATGTCTTTGAAACCTCCACTCATCTGACTTCTGTAGCCCTGAGGCCTCATGGTTTTCCATTTCCTGACTGCTCACCCTTCTGACCCCCAGTCACTTCACCTTTACCCTATTGTGGACACCCACTGGAGCCCCATCTTTGTCCTCGGCTCACCTCTGCCTATATTTCCTCAAAGGCTTTACCCACCATGGAAACTTTGCACTGTTTCTTTGCCTCTGCCTCCCAGATATGCCTTTTGACAGCCCATATTTTCGTCTTATAGTTTGCAAAGAATTTTCTTTTCAGATATCTCATTTGCTCCACTAGCTATCCTTGAGACAGGCTAAATTGGCATTGTTATCTCTATTTTACAAATAAAGAAACAAATCTGGGACTAGGAGAGCTCAAATGGCTTTTCCTAAATTCTAACCTGAGCTATAGTTCCAACATTTTTAGTTGCCTACAGGATAGTCTTATTTGGAGATTCTGCCTCTACCTCAAACTCTGTCTGAATTTATCCATCTCCTCAAACTGATCTCACTCAGTTGGTAACCACTATTGGGAAGTTTTCTTTAATTCTTTTCTCTTCTATACTTCACATTCAATCAATTGGCTGAGTTATCTCCATTGTTTTTATATCATATTTCTTATACTTTGTCCCTACTCTATATGTACAATATCACTTTCCTAACCTCAGACTTTGTTAGCTGATGCCTAGAAACCATAGCATCATCTGTTTTTAGAGATTTAACCAGTAAAATCTATACATCATTGCTAGATGTAACCAATTAAAATGCAATTTTCATTTCACTCAGAGAGTGTAATTGCCTATCAGACCAAATGGAAATTCCTCAACCACAAATATGACTTTCCACCACTTGGTCCCAATCGTATCTGTATTCTCATATATGAGAGTCAGCACCAACTAGTGGAGCTGTACAATCAGGGAACAGATGGCAGAAAGAGCACAGAGACCTGGGTTCTGGTCTGCCTTTTCTAAGTAGGTGACCTTGGATAGACAAATTACTTAGCTTCTTTGAGGGAAGCTTATCTATAAAATGAGGATAGGGTGACTGGCAAGATGGCTGAACAGGAACAGCTCCGGTTTGCAGCTCCCAGTAAGACCAATGCAGAAAGTGGGTGATTTCTGCATTTCCAACTGAGGTACCCAGCTCATCTCATTGGGACTGGTTAGACAGTGGGCACAGCCCATGGGGGGTGAGCAGAAGCAGAGTGGGGTATCGCCTCACCTGGGAAGTGCAAGGGGTTGAGGAACTCCCTCCCCTAGCCAAGGGAAGCCTTGAGGGACTGTGCCATGGGGGATGATGCTATTTGGCCCAGATACTATGCTTTTTCCATGGTTTTTGCAACCTGCGGACTAGGAGAATCCCTCGGGTGCCTATACCACCAGGGCCCTGGGTTTCAACCACAAAACTTGGCTGCTGTTTGGGCAGACACTGAGCTAGCTGCAGGAGTTTTTTGCTATGCCTCGGTGGAGCCTGGAATGCCAGCAAGACAGAACCATTCACTTTTCTGGAAAGGGGGCTGAAGCCAGGGAGCCAAGTGATCTTGCAGGTCACTTGCAGATGCACCCCCACAAAGCCCAGCAAGCTAAGATCCACTGGCTTGAAATTCTTGCTGCCAGCACAGCAGCAGTCTGAAGTCAACCTGAGATGTGTGAGCTTGATGGGGGAGGGGTGTCCACCATTACTGAGGCTTGGGTAGGCAGTTTTCCCCTCACAGTGTAAACAAAGCTGACAGGAAGTTCGAACTGGCAGAGCCCACCATAGCACAGCAAAGTTGCTATAGCCAGACTGCCTGTCTAGATTCCTCATCTCTGGGCAGGGCATCTCTGAAAGAAAGGCAGAAGCCCCTGTTAGGGGCTTATAGATAAAGCTCCCATCTCTCTGGGACAGAGCACCTGGGGGAAGGGGTGGCTGTGGGCACAACTTCAGCAGACTTAAACGTTCCTGCCTGCCAGCTCTGAAGAGAGCAGCGGATCTTTCAGCACAGCACTTGACCTCTGCTAAGGGACAGACTGCCTCCTCAAGTGGATCCCTGAACCCCATGGGTCCTTAAACCCCATGCCCCCTGACTGGGAGACACTCCCAGCAGGGGTCAACAGACACCTCATACAGGAGAGCTCTGGCTGGCATCTGGCAGGTGTCCCTCTGGGACAAAGCTTCCAGAGGAAGGAGCAGGCAGCAATCTTTGCTGTTCTGCAGCCTCTGCTGGTGATACCCAGGCAAACGGGGTATGGAATAGACCTCCAGCAAACTCCAGCACACCTGCAGAAGACAGGCCTGACTGTTAGAAGGAAAACTAACAAACAGAAAGTAATAACATCAACATTAACAAAAAGGATGCCCGTGCAAAAATCCCATCCAAAGGTCACCAGCATCAAAGACCAAAGGTACATAAATCCATGAAGATGAGGAAAAACCAGTGCAAAAATGCCCCAAATTCCAAAAACCAGAATGACTCTTCACCTCCAAAGGATCACAGCTCCTCACCAGCAAGGGAACAAAACTGAATGGTGAATGGGTTTGACGAATTGACAGAAGTAGGCTTCAGAAGGTGGGTAACAACAAACTCCTCCTAGCTAAAGGATCATGTTCTAGCCCAATGCAAGAAATCTAAGAACATTGATAACAGGTTAAAGAAACTGCTAACTAGAATAACCAGTTTAGAGCAGAACATAAAAGACCTGATGGAGCTGAAGAACACAGCACGAGAACTTTATGAAGCATATACAAGTATCAATAGCAGAATCGATCAAATGGAAGAAAGGATATCAGAGATTGAAGATCTACTTAATGAAATAAAGCATGAAGACAAGATTAAAGAAAAAATAATGAAAAGGAACAAACAAAGCCTCAAAATATGTGACTATATGAAAAGACCAAACCTACATCTGATTGGTGTACCTGAAAGTGACGGGGAGAATGGATCTAAGTTGGGAAACACACTTCCAGATATTATCCAAGAGAACTTCCCTACCCTAGCAAGACAGGCCAACATTCAAATTCAGGAAATACAGAGAACACCACTAAGATACTCCTCAATAAGAGCAACCCCAAGACACATAATCATCAGATTCACCAGGGCTGAAGTGAAGGAAAAAATGTTAAGGACAGTCAGACAGAAAGGTTGGGTTACCCACAAAGGGAAGCCCATCAGACTAACCGCAGATCTCTCCGCAGAAACTCTACAAGCCAGAAAAGAGTGGGGGCCAATATTCAACATTCTTAAAGAAAAGAATTTTCAACCCGGAATTTCACGTCCTGCTAAAATAAGCTTCACAGGTGAAGGAGAAATAAAATCGTTTACAGACAAGCAAATGGTGAGGGATTTTGTCACCACCAGGCCTGCCTTACAAGAGCTCCAAAGGAAGCACTAAATATGGAAAAGAAAAACCGGTACCAGCTAGTGCAAAAACATACCAAAATGTAAAGACCGTCGACACTATAAAGAAACTGCATCAACTAATGTGCAAAATAACCAGCTGGCATCATAATAACAGGATCAAATTCACACATAACAATATTAACCTTAAATGTAAATGGGCTAAATGCCCCAATTAAAAGACAAAGACTGGCAAATTGGATAAAGAGTCAAGACCCATTGGGGTGCTGTATTCAGGAAACCAGTCCCATATGCAAAGACACACATAGGCTCAAACTAAAGGGATGAAGGAATATTTACCAAGCAAATGGAAAGCAAAAAAAAAAAAAAAAAAAAAAAAAGCCGGGGTTACAATCCTAGTCTCTGATAAGACAGACTTTAAACCAACAAAGATCAAAAAAGGCAAAGAAGGGAATCACATAATGATAAAGCGATCAATGCAACAAGAATAGCTAACTATGCTAAATATATATGCACCCAATACAGGAGCACCCGGATTCATAAAGCAAGTTCTTAGAGGCCTACAAAGAGACTTAGACTCCCACACAATAATAGTGGGAGACTTTAACACCCCACTGTCAATATTAGAAAGATAAATGAGACAGAAAATTAACAAGGATATTCAGGACTTGAACTCAGCTCTGGACCAAGTGGACCTAATAGACATCTACAGAACTCTCCACCCCAAATCAACAGAATAGACATTCTTCTCAGCACCACATTGCACTTATTCTAAAATTGACCACATAATTGGAAGTAAAACACTCCTCAGCAAATGCAAAAGAACAGAAATCATAACAAACTGTGTCTCAGACCACATTGCAATCTACTAGAACTCAGGATTGAGAAACTCACTCCAGGCCAGGTGCAGTGGCTCATGCCTGTAATCCCAGTACTTTGGGAGGCCAAGGCAGGCAGATCACAAGGTCAGGAGATCAAGACCATCCTGGCTAACACAGTGAAACCCCGCCTCTACTAAAAATAATAAAATTAGCCGGGCGTGGTGGCAGGCGTCTGTAGTCCCAACTACTTAGGAGGCTGAGGCAGGAGAATGACATGAACCCAGGAGGCGGAGGTTGCAGTGAGCTGAAATTGTGCCACTGCAGTCCAACCTGAATGACAGAGCAAGATTCTGTCTCAAAAAAAAAAAAAAAAAAAGAAAAGAAAAGAAAAGAAACTCACTCAAAACCACACAACTACATGGAAACTGAACAACCTGCTCCTGAATGACTACTGGGTAAATAATGAAATTAAGGCAGAAATAAATAAATTCTTTGAAACCAATGAGAACAAAGACACAATGTATCAGAACCTCTGGGACACAGTTAAAGCACTGTTTAGAAGGAAATTTATAGCACTAAATGCCCACAGGAGAAAGCAGGACAGGTCTAATATAGAAATCCTAACATCACAATTATAAGAACTAGAGAAGCAAGAGCAAACAAATTCAAAAGCCAGCAGAAGACAAGAAATAACTAAGATCAGAGCAGAACTGAAAGAGATAGAGACACAAAAAACCCTTTAAAAAATGAATTCAAAAGCTGCGTTTTTGAAAAGATTAACAAAATAGATAGACTGCTAGCCAGACAAATAAAGAAGAAAAGACAGAAGAATCAAATAGACACAATAAAAAATGATAAAGAGGATATCACCACTGATCCCATAGAAATACAAACTACCGTCAGAGAATGCTAAAACACCTCTATGCAAATAAACTAGAAAATCTAGAAGAAATGGATAAATTCCTGGACACATACACCCTCCCAAGACTAAACCAGGAAGAAGTGGAATCCCTGAATAGACCAATAACAAGTTCTGAAATTGAGTCAGTATAATTAATAGCCTACGAACCAAAAAAAAAAAATCCAGGACCAGATGGATTCTAAGCCAAATTCTACCAGAGGTACAAAGAGGAGCTGGTACCATACCTTCTGAAACTGTTCCAAAAAATAGAAAAAGAAGGACTCTCCCTAACTCATTTTATGAGTCCAGCATCATCCTGATGCTAAAACCTGGCAGAGACACAACAAAAAAAAGAAAATTTCAGGCCAATATCCCTGGTGAACATTGGTGTGAAAATCCTCAATAAAACACTGGCAAACCAACTTCAGCAGCACATTAAAAAGCTTATCCACCACGATCAAGTTGGCTTCATTCCTGGAATGCAAGGCTGGTTCAACATACGCAAATCAATAAACATAATTCATCACATAAACAGAACCAATGACAAAAACCACATGAATATCTCAATAGATGCAGAAAAGGCCTTTGATAAAATTCAACACCCTTTCATGCTAAAAGCACTCAATAAACTAGATGTTGAAGGAACATATGTCAAAATAATAAGAGCTATTTATGACAAACCCACAGCCAATACCATACTGAATGGGCAAAAGCTGGAAGCATTCCCTTTGAAAATACACACAAGACAAGGATGCCCTCTCTCACCACTCCTATTCAACATAGTATTGGAAATTCTGGCCAGGGCAATCAGGCAAGAGAAAGAAACAAAGTGTATTCAAATAGGAAGAGAGGAAGTCCAATTGTTTCTGTTCGCAGATGACATGATTGTATATTTACAAAACCCTATAATCTCAGCCAAAAACTCTTTAAGCTGATAAGCACCTTCAGCAAAGTCTCAGGAAACAAATCAATGTGCAAAAATCACAAGCATTCCTACACCCAAATAATAGACAAACAGAGAGCCAAATCATGAGTGAACTCCTATTCACAATTGCTACAAAGAGAATAAGATACCTAGGAATACAACTTACAAGAGATGTGAAAGACCTCCTCAAGGAGAACTACAAACCACTGCTCAAGGAAATAAGAGAGGACACAAACAAATGGAAGAACATTCCATGCTCATGGATAGGAAGAATCAATATCATGAGAATGGCCATACTGCGCAAAGTAATTTATAGATTCAATGCTATCCCCATCAAGCTACCACTGACTTTTTTCAAATAATTAGAAAAAACTACTTTAAATTTCAGATGGAGCCATAAAAGAGCCTATGTAGCCAAGAGAATCCTAAGCAAAAAGAACAAAGCTGGAGGCATAACACTATCTGACTTCAAACTATACTACAAGGCTACAGTAACCAAAACAGCATGGTATGGGTACCAAGACAGATGTATAGACCAATGGAACAGAACATAGGCCTCAGAAATAACACCACACATCTGCTCCCATCTGATCTTTGACAAAACTGACAAAAACAAGCAATGGGGAAGGGATTTCCTATTTAATAAATAGTGTTGAGAAAACTGGTTAGCCATATGCAGAAAACTGAAACTGAGCCCCTCCCTTACACCTTATACAAAAATTAACTCAAGATAGATTAAAAACTTAAACATAAGACCTAAAACCATAAAAACCCTAAAGGAAAACCTAGGCTATATCATTCAGGACATAGGCATGGACAAAGACTTCATGACTAAAACACCAAAAGCAATGGCAACAAAAGCCAAAATTGACAAATGGGATCTAATTAAACTAAAGAGCTTCTGCACAGCAAAAGAAACTATCTTCAGAGTGAACAGGCAACCTACAGAATGGGAGAAAATTTTTGCAATTTATCCATCTGACAAAGGGCTAATATCCAGAATCTACAAGGAACTTAAACAAGTTTACAAGAAAAAACAAAAAACCCCATCAAAAAGTGGGCAAAGCATATGAACAGACACTTCTCAAAAGAAGATATTTATGCGGCCAACAAACATATGAAGAAAAGCTCATCATCACTGGTCATTAGAGAAATGCAAATCAAAACCACAATGAGATACTATCTCACGCCAGTTAGAATGGCGATCATTGAAAAGTCAGGAAGCAACAGATGCTGGAGAGGATATGGAGAAATAGGAATGCTTTTACACTGTTGGTGGGAGTGTAAATTAGTTCAACCATTGTGGAAGACACTGTGGCAACTCCTCAAGGATCTAGAACCAGAAATACCATTCAATCCAGCAATCCCATTACTGGGTATATACCCAAAGGATTATAAATCATTGTACTATAAAGACACATACACATGTATGTTTATTGCAGCTTATTCACAATAGCAAAGACTTGGAACCAACCCAAAAGCCCATCAATGATAGACTGGATAAAGAAAACGTGGTACATATACACCATGGAATACTATGCAGCCATAAAAAATAATGAGTTCATGTCCTTTGCAGGGACATGGATGAAGCTGGAAACCATCATTCTCAGCAGACTAACACAGGAACAGAAAATCAAACACCATTATGTTCTCACTCATAAGTGGGAGTTGAACAATGAGAACACATGGACACAGGGAGGGGAACATCACACACTGGGGCCTTTCAGGGGGTGGGAGGCTAGGGGAGGGATAGCATTAGGAGAAATACCTAATGTAGAGGATGGGTTGATGAGTGCAGCAAACAATCATGGCATGTGTATGCCTTTGTAAAAAATCTGCACGTTCTGCACATGTATCCCTGAACTTAAATTAAAAAAAAAAAAGTCAGGAAACAACAGATGCTGGAGAGGATGTGGAGAAATAGGAATGCTCTTACACTGTTGGTGGGAGTGAAAATTAGTTTAACCATTGTGGAAGACAGTGTGGCGATTCCTCAAGTATATAGAACCAGAAATACAATTTGACCCAGTAATCCCATTACGGGGTATATACCCAAGGGATTATAAATTATTCTACTATAAAGACACATTCACACACATGTTTATTGCAGCATTTTTCACAATAGGAAAGACTTGGAACAAACCCAAATGCCCATCAATGATAGACTGGATAAAGAAAATGTGACACATGTACACTATGGAATACTACGCAGCCATAAAAAAGAATGAGTTCATGTCCTTTGCAGGGAGATAGATGAAGCTGGAAACTATCATTCTCAGCAAACTAATACAGGAACAGAAAACCAAACACCGCATGTTCTCACTCAGAAGTGGGAGTTGAACAATGGGAACACATGGACACAGGGGAGTGGGAACATCACACATCAGAGCCTGTCGGGGGTTGGGGGACAAGGGGAGGGATAGCATTAGGAGAAATTCCTAATGTAGATGACAGGTTGATGGGTGCAGCAAACCACCATGG
The DNA here is from genome assembly GCF_000001405.40 of Homo sapiens. Classification (NCBI taxonomy): domain Eukaryota; kingdom Metazoa; phylum Chordata; class Mammalia; order Primates; family Hominidae; genus Homo; species Homo sapiens. The sequence continues at coordinate 48,668,685 of NC_000013.11, read as the reverse complement.
CACATATATACCTATGTATCAAACCTGTACATTCTGCACATGTATCCCAGAACTTAAAGTATAATAAAAAAATAAGTAAATAAAAATAAAATAAAATGAGGATAATGATGCCCCCCAACCCCATATCTGATGAGGGCTCCAAGAGAAGCAAATATAGTAATGCATGTAAAGACACTTTGAAACTATGAAACTGGTATTATTGTTATTATTTTACTGTTCTTCAAGACCAGGTAGCCAAGACCTGGGTTTGCACTTCTTTATGCCTATTCCTGTGCCTTTCACGCCACTCTCTCTGATCTCTAACCTGCCCCTCTTCCTATTCCCCCCTCTTCCTCAACCTGCAATGTGCCTAACTCTTGCCAATCCAAATAACCTTCTTCAACATCTACATTGCCTTCTGCAGATCACCTTAGCAACTGACATTTCCCGTGGGTCTCTCTTTTTTTTTTTTATCCCTATGGCACTTGTATAAAAACTACTGCAGCCTAAAATTAGTTCTCCTTGCTCTTTGGGGGATATATGTCAGGCAGACACATCATGTCTGCCTCTCCAGATAATCAGATTTTCATGGGGAATGGACAGTCTTCTACTGATTTTGCATACCCTATTCTGACAAGCACATATTTGAGGGAACTTGGTAAACATCATCACTAGGCAAACAAGTGTTACTGCAATGTGCTCTTAAAGCACAAGTATTAGACATGGAACCATAGGATTTGATGGTCTAGGCAAATTTGCAGCCACATTAGGCTTCCTCTTCTCCTCACTTTCATCTAACCACTCTGTTGCGGTTTTTAATTCTCCACACTAAGAGGCTCCTACTTTAATACCCCACCCTGCAATCTGCAGCTCTTCCCACAATAGTACTGTATGTTTATCTAATAACTTTAGAGATTGTCTTGAATGTTAGCTCCAAGAGCTAGCACATACTGTGCAAGGGCAAATAGGATGCTTTTTATAAATCATAGAAATGTTCACAGGAAACATGCTCCCAGGCCAAGTGAGCAGCTGTGCAGTTGAGTCTTGGCCCTGAGAAACATCCCCATAGGTCATGCCCAGCAAACCAGTCTTAGGCTAGCTTTGCAATTGTGCACCCATATAACAGTCCTGAAAAACAGCCCTGTGGGGCACCCCTGGAAGGCATGTCCCCAGGCAAGCCAAGCAGACGTTCTGAGCCAGAGAAACAGCCTAATGGGTTGCCCCAGCAGATGTTCCCTCAGGCCATCCAAGCAGCTATGTACCTGCATCCTGAGACTGAGAAATATCCCTGCAAGCCACTCCTGGCAGGCATGCCCTCCACCCCCCAGGCTGACTGAGCAACCGCATTGACATACTCCCAGCCAGGGTAACAGCCCCATGGCCTTAACCCTAGCAAACTTAACCCATAGTTCGTTGACCCATCATGTGTACACACATTCCCTTTACCTGAGAAACAGCCCAGGAAGCCCACATCTGGCTATCACTACAAATTCTTACAGCCTAGGCCACTGAGAGACTTGCAAATGCCACTAATGTGGATTACAGCCAAAGAAACCACATGAAGACTACACTAAAATGTCTACGTAGAACCAAGGTCTGCTCACCTCACTGAACTGATACTCCAGGACACATTTATATGAATAAGCTTTGCCCTGTGAAACCTACTCCATAAAATTGAAAGAGACAACTTTTCCACCAGATGTGTAGAAATCAACATAGGAACACATCAAATATTTAAAAGCATGGAAACATGACACCCCATAAGGAAAATAATAATTCTAGTAACAGACCCAAATCATAGGGAAATACATGAAATGCAAATAAAGGAACTCAAAATAATAATCTGAAGGTGACTCAGTGAGATATAAGAGAATACAGATAGACAATTCAATGAAATCAGGAAAATGATTCATAATTTGAATGAGAAATTCAACAAAAAAAGATAGTTATCATAAAAAAGAACCAAAAAGAAATCCTAGAGATGAAGAATTCATTGAATGAAATAAAAATATAATAGAGAGCTTCAACAACAGACTGGCCAAGAAGAAAGAATTTCTAAGCACGAAGACAGGTCTTTTGAAATAACACAGGCAGACAAACAAAAAAGGCATAAAAGAGAACGAAAAAAGCTTACAGGATTTATCGGACACAGTTCAGGAAAGAAATGCTCATATTATGGGTGTTTCAGAAGGCAAAGAGAGGAGAAAAGTGTAGGAAAATATATTTAATAAAATGATAGCAGAGAACTTCCCAAGTCTTGAGAGAGAGATGGGCATCCAGGTCCAAGAAGCTAAAAAATTTCCAAATAGATTCAATGCAAAAAGATCCTCCCCAAGTCACATTACACTTACACTGTCAAAAGTCAAAGACAAGAAAAAATTTTAAAAGCAGCAAGAGAAGAGCATCAAGCCACATATAAGGGAATCTTCATTGGCCTAAGGGTGGATTTCCCAGCAGAAACCTTAGAGGTCAAGAGAGAATTGGGATGATAAATTCAACATACCAAAAGAAAAAACCTGTCCATGAAGAATATTATACCAAGCAAAGCTATCCTTCCGAAATGAAGAGGAGATAAAATCTTTCCCAGACAAGCAAAAATTAAGAGAATGTATCACCACTAGACCAGCCTTAAAAGAAATGCTCAAAGGAGTCATATCTGGAAGTGAAAAGATGATAACCATTTTCATGAAAACATGCGAAACTATAAAACTTACTAGTAGAGCTGATACACAAAGGAGAATCAGAAAGGAATCAAGCCTTATCACCACAGGAAACCATTCAATTGCAAAGATAAACAATAAGAAAAGAAGTAAGGAACAAAAGATACACAAAACAAGCAGAAAAGAATCAATACAATGATAGAAGTAAGTCCTCACCTCCCAAGAAATAATAACCTTGAATGTAAATGGATTAAATTCCCCATTTAAAAGATATAGACTGGCCTAATAGATTTTAAAAACACAAGACCTAACTATATGCTGCCTATAAGAAAATCACCTAACCTGTAAAGATATACATAGACTAAATGTGAAGGGACGAAAAAAGATATTCCATGCAAATGGAAATCAAAAGTGAGCAGGAATAGCTATGCTTATATCAGACAAAACAGACTTTGGGTTAAGCTGTAAAAAGAGAAAAGAAGGACATTATATAATAATAGAAAGATGAATTCACCAAAAAATAACAGTTGTAAGTATATATGCACCCAACACTAGACCACCCAAATATATAAAGCAAATATTAAATCTAAAGGAAGAGATAGATCCCAATACAACAATATCTGGGGACTCAGCAGCCAATTCTTGGCACTGGACAGATCATCTAATCAGGAAATCAACAAAGAAACATCAGATTTAAATGGCCCCATACACCAGATGGACCTAACAGACATTTACAGAACATTTCACCCAACAGCTGCAGAATACATATTTATTTTTCATCAGCGTGTGAAACATTCTCCATGATTTACAATATATTAGGACACAAAACAAGTCTCAAAAAAATTTTTTTAAGAATCAAAATCATACCGAGTAACTTATTTGACCACAAGGGAACAAAAATAGATAGCAATAACAAGGGGAACATTCAAAACTATACAAATACATGGAAATTAAGCAACATGCTTCTGAATAACCAATGGGTAAAGAAAGAAATTAAGAATATAATTTTAAAATTCCTTGAAACAAACTAAAATAGAAACACAATATACCAAAAACTATGGGGCACAGCAAAAGCAGTGTTAAGAGGCAAGCTTATAGCAATAAATGCCTACATTAGAAATTAAAAAGATTTCAAATAAGCAACCTAAAAATGCCCCTCAAGGAACTAGAAAAGCAAGAGCAAACTAAGCCCAAAATTAGTAGAAGAAGTAATAAAGAGCAGAATAGAAATATAAAATTGATACTTAAAAAAATACAAAAGGTGAACAGCTGGTTTTTTGAAAAGGTAAACAAAATGGACAAACCACTAGCTAAACTAAGAAAAAAAGAGAGAAGAACCAAATAAATAAAATCAGAAATGAAAAAGGAAACATCACATCAGATCCCACAGAAATACAAAGGATCATTAGAGACTACCATACTACCATGAACAATTATATGCCAATATATTTGAAACCTACAGGAAATGGGTAAATTCCTAGACACATACAACCTACCAAGATTGAACCATGAAGAAAACAGAACCTGGATAAGCCAAAAACATATAATAAGATTGAATCAGTAATAAAGAGTCTCCCAAAAAGAAACACCAGATGGCTTCACTGATGAATTTTACTGAATCTTTAAAGAAGAATTCATATCGGTTCATCTAAAACTATTCCAAAAAATTGAAGCAGAAGGAATTAATTCTTCCTAATTCATTCTATGAAGCCAGCATAACCCTGATACCAAAACTGAATAGGGACATAACAACAACAACAAAAAAAACTACAGGCTAATATCCCTGATACGTATAGAAGCAAAAATGCCAAACAAAATACTAGCAAACCAAATCAAACAACATATCAAAAACACAATACACCATGATCAAGTGGGATTTATCTCAGGATGCAAGGATGGTTCGACATATGCAAATAAATAAACATCATACATCACATCAATAGAGTGAAAGACAAAAGCCATATGATCCTCAATAGATGCAGAAAAATCTTTTGATAAAATTTAAGCTCACTTCATGATAGAAACTTCTTACAATTAGGTATAGAAGGAAAGTACTTCAATATAACAAAGGCCACATGTGACAAACTCACAGCAAACATCTTACTAAATTAGAAAAAGTTGGAAGTTTTTCTTCCAAGAACAGGGACAGACAATGATGCTTACTCTCACCACTCTTATTCAATATAGCACTGGAAATCCTAGTCAGAGTCATTAGGCAAGAGAAATAAATAAATGGCATTCATATTCAAGAGAAAGAAGTCAAATTGTTCCTGTTTACAGATGATAATCTCATATATAGAAAGACTCTACCAAAAACTCTTAGAACTAATAAATCATTCAATAAAGTTGCAGGAAACAAAATTAATATACAAACATCAGTAGTGTTTTCTACACAAACAATGAACTAGCTGGAAAAAAAATATCAAGAGGGCAATCCCATTACAACAGCTACAAACAAACAAAAAACAACCTTAGGAAGAAATGTAACCAAGGAGGTGAAAGACCTCTACAAGGAAAACTACAAGACACTGATGAAATAAATGGAAGAGGATACAAACAAATGGAAAGACAACCCATGCTCATGGAGGAGAACTAATATTGTCAAAATGACAACACTATTCAAAGCAACCTACAGATTCAATGCAATTCCTATCAAAATACCCATGACATTCTTCACATAAATAGAAAAAAGTTCTAAACTTTGTATGGAGCCACAAAAGAACCCAAATAGCTAAAGCAAACCTGAGCAAAAAGAACAAAGCTGGAAGTATCACACCACCAAACCTCAAAATACACTACAGAGTTATAGTAACCAAAATAGCATGTTACTAACAAAAGCAGACACATAGGCCAATGGAACAGAATAGAGAATCCAGAAATTAATCCAAATATCTACAGCAAACTGATTTTTGACAAAGGTGCCAAGAATACTCATTGGGGAAAAGACAGTCTCCTGAATAAATGGTTCTGGGCAAACTGGATGTCTATAGAAGAATGAAACTAGGCCCAAACCTCTCACTCTACAAAATTTAACTCAAAATGGATCAAAGACTTAAATATAAGACCCAAAATGATAAAAACTACTAGAAGGAAACATGGGACACACATTTCAGAACACTGGTCTGGGAAATGATTTTGTGAATAAAACCTCAAAAGCACAGGCAACAAAAGCAAAAATAAACAAATGGGATTATCAAACTAGAAAGTTTCTGCACAGCAAAGGAAGCAATCAACAGAGTGAAAAGATAACCTACAGAATTTGAGAAAATATTTGCAAGCTACTAATCTGACAGGTGACTAATATTCAGAATATACAAGGTACTCAAACATCTCAACAGCAAAATATTCAATTTTAAAATGGGTAAATGATTTAAACAGACATTTCACAAAGAAGACATTCAAATGGTCAACAGGTATATGAAAAAATGTTCAACATCACTAATCATCAGTGATGATTTTGCAACTCAAAACCACGATGAGGTATCATCTCACCCCAGTTAGGATGGCTATTATCAAAAAGATGAAAAAACAAATGTTGGCAAGGATGTGGAGTAAAGGGAACTCATGTGTTGTTGGTGGGACTGTAAAGTAGTATAGCCACCATGGAGAACTATATGGAGGTTCCTCAAGAAACTAAAAGTAGAATTACCATATGATCCATCAGTCTCACTTGTGGGTACTTGCCCAAAAGCTTTGAAACCAGTTTGCCTAAGAGATGTCTGCACTGACATGTTTACTGCAGCACTATTCACAATAGCCAAGTTATGGAATCAACCTAAGTGTTCAACAACAGATGAATGGATAAAGAAAATGTGGTATATATACATAATGGAATACTATTCAGCCATAAAATGGAATGAAATCTTGTCATCTGTGGCAACAAGGGTGGAAATGGAGGACATTATGTTAAGTCCATTGTATTTCCTAAACCAGAAACAGAAAGTCAAACACCATATGTTCTCACTCATATGTGGAATAGTAAAAAAAGTTGATCTCATAGAAGTAAAAAGTAGAACAGAGGAAACCAGAGGCCTGGAAGAGTGGGGGAAAGGGAGAGATTTGGTAAAGGATACAAAATTACCACTAGATGAGAGGAATAAGTTCTAATGTTCTATACCACTGTAAGATGGCTCTAATTAACAATAATGTATTAAATAGTTTCAACTAGTTCAAAGGAGGATATTGAACGATCCCAACAAAAGGAAATGATAAATATTTGAGATGATGGATATGCTAATTACCCTGATCTGATCAATATACATTACATGTATAGAAACATCAATATATACCCCATGAATATGCAATTATTATTTGTCAATTTGACAAATAAATTAAAATAAATAGAAGTGTTCACAGGAGACAGTTGGTGTAAGGTAGCAGGCCACATCTGCCACTTACTGGCTGTGAGATTTTGCAGAAGTGACCTATCTTCTCTGAGCCTCAGTTATGCCATCTATAAATGGCATAATAAATGTGAGTTGTCTCATACAGGGTGAGCGCTCAGTGATGTTAACTATTATTATTAAACCTCAGAATTGGGACCTAGAACAAGCATTAAGGAGGCAAAATTTTTGCAGGGCACTAGTAAATATATAAAAACAAGGCTGAGAAATGATTTAATGATAAAAAATGGTGAGAAGCATGACAGGTGTTGCTCTCAGCTGCAGGGAAGCAGTAACAGAGCAGCAACCTCAGGATTTAAATCCTGATTTGTTCACGGACTACCTCTATGACCATGGGAAAATGACTTTATCTCCCTCGGCGTCAGCTCCTTATCAGTAAAAGGGGGTAATGCGGCCAGGCAAAGTGGCTCATGTCTGTAATCCTAGCACTTTGGGAGGCTGAGGCAGGAAGATCGCTTGAGCCCAGGAATTCAAGAGCAGCCTGGGCAATAGAGCAAGACACTGTCTCAATAAAAAAGAAAAATTAAAAAAAAAGATTAATTTAAATAAATAAATAAAAGAAAGGGGTAATGCTAATAATAGTTCTTACTTCATAGGGTTGTAAGGATGAAGTGAGATAATACATGAATGGCACTTAGGTCAGGGCCTGGACCAGAGAAAGTGCCATATTAAGTGTTAGCTGTTGTTATTGCAAAGGCTGACAGAATAAGCTCTCTGAAGTTGTGCAGAGAGGATTCTGCAACACATTTGTTCCTCAAAATCCCAGAGGCCTCAGAGTGCTGAATTAACACGGCCCTCCAGAACAGGGAAGTATCACTGAGAGTTTACTCTTGAGACCCAAGCTGACAACTCAGAGTTTATTTGTAACAGGCTCCAAATGTCATGTCAGAAATGCCAAGCTTTCTAGACCTTCCTGGCCTTCCAAGAACGGTCTTGTGCTTTCAGAATTTTTTTTTCAAAAAGTCAAGGTGAATTAAGTTCTTGGAGATCAAAACAGAAACACAGATAAAAGGAACTGAAATTGTGACATATTTTGAATGTGAAACGGAGCTGGTCTCTGAGCTTCCAGAGGAAGTGGGATGGAGGGGAATGAATCTCACAGGGCCTTGTTTTCATGGACTCAGTGCCTTGGAGAATTTTGCTGCACTGATTTTTCCTCTACCCGGTCACCCACAAAGTGCCTCAAGGAGCCCCCAAAGTATGAGTCACTTCATTGGCCACCAGGCTGGTGACCCTTTGCTTTCTGAATGCCATTTATTTCCACATGCCACTTAACCATGAAGTCAGCACTTTGGGCCATTGGTGAAGAGTTTTCTGGCAGATCTACTGTTATCTCCCAGAGAACAACTTATCCCCAGGGATGTAGCAGGGATTGAAACCTAGCAGAAGTTTGGCATCCAAACATGCCAGGGGACACCTCTGCCCTCAAGAACAAGATGTACAGCATTACCTCAGACCTCCTTCTTCCCACCTCTGTCTTTACTAATTCTCCTTGTTTCCTTCTTTAATAGACTCCAAAAGCTAGCTTCTCTTGCACATTCATCCTACCACTAACATTCAGCCACCAAATAAACAAACAAAAATTCAACTCAACAAAAACATCATATATGAAGAGCCCTGAGCTGCTTAGAGATATGGCTTCATTTTGTTTAAAAACATTATTTTGACTAAATGTTGCCCTCTCTCTGGCTCTCAAAACTTTCCTCAGCTCTCCTTGGTTAATATAACACATGAGTCTATGATGCTGATTATGAATTTAATTTTCGTAAAAATCTCAACAATATGTTTTTCATTTTCTAATGCACTTCATCCTTGTATTTAGAAAGGTTGGCGGTATCTATTATTCACCAAATGTCTGATCTAAGGAAGACCACAGAATCACAGAATTGTTTTTTATCTGAGTCTCTGATTTCCAAGACAGAAGAACAGCAAGTGTTATCATAGAAACATTGTCCTGTTTATTCCAATAAATCCCTACGGATTGATCAACATTAGGGTCCTCCCTGTCCATAATCAAGGTAACTAAATGACATGACTCAGGAGCTCCTCACAAGCCCATTTATTCAAATTAAAACTCCCTCTCATTCTCATTTCCCCTAGACAGCATTTCATATTCCATTATTAAATTCAATTCTTAGAGAAAAGAAATTATTTACAAAGGTAGTTTGTTAAACATCATGTGTATTTCCTAAAATGACATAGAGACATTGCGATATCATGGAAAACCTCTGGAATAAATCCCAACTGAACCCAAATCCTAGCTCTTCCTTGTGCAAACTGTGTGACCATCAGAAAGTACTCAACATCTCAGAGTTATTGAGAGGACCCCAGGAGGCAGCACAGGTGACAGCCAGGGATGCAGCTACACTTTGCCTGGCACCATGCATTGTCATTCCTGTTGCCACCCCACCTGCTGCCAGTGGCATGGGGGCAGTGGGTATCTGAAATCTAAAGGAGAGAGGGCCAGGAGCAAAAGTAAACCATGGGCTCTCCTCCTCTCCTGCTTGTCCTGCTGCCCAGTGTCTCCTCTGTGGCAGACCTGGCCTGTTTACCCAGCAGCCTCCATCAACTTCCTCCTTTCATCTCAGTGGTCAGCTCAAGACCGGCCTAGTACAGGCTGTCATCTTTCACCTGCACAATGGGCACAGCCTCCTCAATGGCTCCCTATCTCCACTCTGGCTGTTCTCAATTCATTTTTCACACAGTGGCCAGAGTGACCTTTCCAAAATGCATATCTGACCACATTACTCTTCCACTTAAAACCCATTATCATCTCAGAGTCAAGTTCATCTCCAGGCTTTTCATAGTATTGATCTTGTTGTCCAGCATATTCTCTCCCCACCATCCCCTCAGTAAAGGACACTCAGTCTCATGAAGCTTATTTCAAAACCCCCAACACTGCAGGCTCTCTCTTGCCCATTTCTTCTGAGCTCCAGCTCATTTCCTGGCTATTGCTTACCCAGTCTCAGGTTTCTTTCTAAACATCACTTTCTTCAGAAAAAGTCTTCTCTGATCCCTCCATGTCTTGGCTGTTTGCAGACCCTTGGGTTTCCCATCCAGCATTTACTCCAGGGGCAGCAGTTGTCTCCTGTCTATCCCTACCCACCAGACTGTTTGCCCATGGAAGGCAAGCACGTGTCTACTGCTGTACCCCAGGCCCTAGCACAGCGTGAAGCACATGAATGTGCTCAGATCAATAAATGAGCTAATGAAGCTGTTATCCAACACCCTCATTTTATGCCTTACAATTAATATCTTTTTGGGGGGCGGGAAAGAACTCACATGGTTTTTATAATGAAATGATGTTAATGTGTTTTTCCTTGAAAATTTTCTTTTCCTGAAATTCAAATCTAAAGTCTGGGAAGAGGAATATAGGGTAAATGGTCAATGGCATGGCATGGGAGCAGAAGGCAGCCACAGAGGGTACCCAGATGGTGCTCTGTTCTAAACACTGTAGGAAGCAGCACCCTTTATATCTTGGAGGGTAGCAGACTGTTTCTCTGACTCTGTGCCAACAAGTTCCCAATAGGGATTTGTGCCTCTTACAACTAAAAGGGAGTCACCTTCATATCTCTCAGTGAATTTACAAAGGAACAGTGAATTTACAAGAGATTTACATATCTCTCAGCGAATTTACCTTATTTTTAAGGTAAGACTCAAAATAAAGAGAAACCAGCTTACTTAAAAGAATCTGGGATACAATGTTATTCAGGTGATGGTTACCCTAAAAGCCTTGACTTGACCACTACACAATTTATGCAATCTATACGTCTAATAAAATTGCATGTGTAATCCATAAATTTATACAAATTTAAAATACTTTAAAAATAATAATTTGACAAAAGAGAAAAAAGAATCTAGGATGCCTTCAAATACTCTTTAGATGATTGTTTTTCTGTACTAGAGGTACAAACAAGGTACGATGCTGTTTCTACAGCCTCATGGCAGGAGACTTACGTGGGAAATTATCTTTTTTATAATAAATTCTTATTTATATAATGTACAATGTAGGTAATAATGGTGGACTAAATTATTTTAATTTCTCCCAGCTTAATTAATATTTAAACTTCCAGAGTAAACCAGCTCCCTTCCCCTCTTTTCCTCTCTCCTTTTCCATCTCTTTCCCTCCTCTCCCCTCTCCTCTACTTCCCTCCTTTCTCTCCTTTCTTCTGTTCTTTCTATAGTCTGCTTCCTGTACTTTTTTGAAACCTCTCCGTTAAGGACTTTACACTAAAGAGGCAAAAAAAACTCTGCCTCTGGTCCCAGCTCTTCCTAAGGACCCTTCCGACTTTGGAATTTCTTGACTCCAACTCACTGCTTAGACCCTTATCCTGGGCCTCTCGAATAATAACTAGATTTCTTTGTCAAAAGACTGACTGTACTGCCACAAAGTCATCAATCCATTGGAAGAGGTTTTCCTTTAAATTCTGTCAAGATTATATTTTCTCCATGGGTCAATTAATATAAAGAGGTTAATAAAGTTCAACAGAGATAAACATTAGCTGTAACTAATAAAGTCTGCATTCATTGGGTGAATTGATTTATTTACACAATGCCTTTATTCTCAATGGAGTTTATGTGCTAGGTTCTATGCAATGACTCCAATGTCAGAGTCTTGGTCCAATAGAACATACTGTACATAAGTAACTGCAGTACAAAGGAGGCAGTGGCCAATACCCTGAGAAATAAAGAAATACAGTGCTAGGGGTTTCTGACATGGATTTCAAAAAGCTCTCTAGCAACGCTGAGCACCCACAGCAAAATGCTTGCCTTTCTTTGTATTATCCAATTTGGCTGCCGCATTAGCCAGAGTTCATTGGGTAATTGCACAATCCCTTGTGAGGCTTTTATCTTAAAGGCTTACCCTTGGGGAACTAGAGTGCCTCAGATATCTGGTGCACAGAGCAAACTATAGAAAAGCAGAAAGGATCTTTGATTCTGGAGTACACAGGAAATGCTAACGATGCCCAAGGTAACCATCATGTACTCATGTACACAGCAATGAGTACACTGAAAAAATATATCATCTTTCCTCCAAAATGGAGGCTGCTCATGTGATCCCAGGTGGATAGGAGGCAGAGTGATATAATGAATGAAAGCATGTGCTTTTGAGTTAAAAGGGACCTGGGTTTAAGTTTCAACTCTGCCTTTTAGTCTCTTTTATTACTGCAGCCGTCTGAGCTTCAAACTCTCATCTGCCAAAGGAGCACTGGAGTGAGTATTGATGAAAAAAAAATGGATGTTAAGTGATTAACTTGGTGCCCAACACATGTGAAGAGTTCAGTCAGTACTAGCTAACAATCACAATAAGATTTGTGACAATAATGTACAAAACTCAGATAATTAAACAGGAGCCTTCTTTATGGTCAAGTGAAAGAAGATGGGGCCATTTCATCTGGAGAAGAGCCAACCAGAAACACATGAACAATTCTATTTATTTTTATTACACAAGTAGTACACATTCATGGTAAAAAAAAATTACAATGTAATACAAGCTGAAATAAACTTAAATAATGAACTTTACCACCAACCAGACATAGCTAAAATTTTGCATATATGGTTTTTTTATCTTTCTTGAAATATATACAAATATTTTTGAACAAAAATGAGCACACTTATAATGCTGTTTGTATCTTGCTTTTTTCTTATTTCGTGTCATGATCACCTTTCTTTGCCAACTAACAACATCAATGTCATCATTTAACTGGATACAGAATAGCCAATTATATAAACATTATGAAATTTGTTTAACCAATTTCCCACAATAGCTATTATTTAAGTTGTAAGAAAGGACCATGTGCCCTGGGCTCAACCAGATTGGACCAGTTCTGGTTCCACCTGGGAAAGATCCTATGTTCTCTTGGTCTCATCTTTACCATCTTTAAAATAAGAATTACATCCTCCAGTTCTTAAGGCTAGTATGTGGATCAAATGAACTGATGCCTGTAAACATGTTTTGTAAATAGTAAAGTACTATGTGAATGTTTACATTCATTAAAGAAGGTACTAAACAGGTGTTCTCCACTGAGTCAAAACAAGAAGAAATTAGATTAACATGCTGTTGGTCTCATTGGGATGATTCCTAGCCTGTAGCAGGCTGAGTGCAACAGCAAATGCTTCAGTGTGGTTTAGGCGCTGTGGCTCTGTTTTCAGTCCCTGATGGGAGAAACCAGAACGCAGCCCTGGCATAAACTCTATCCACTTTCCTCCTGAGGATATGAGGTCCAGAGAAGGTAAATGCCATGTCTATGTGGCTCCTGAAAGCCAGAGTGAGCCACCTTCTGCCTCCAAATCCAATCCCATCGATCTTCGCTGTGCCCACAGTGTGTTAGTGAACTGGCCAGCTATTAAATGCCCACCTTGTGTTTAATCTTGAAGAGTTTTAAAAGGAAGCCTGGCTGCCTTGGTAGATTCTAGCAGATATGGGCGTGATTCAGATACATTTAGAACACACTTGAGCCTCAACTTCTCTAACTTTTAACCACCGAAGCACTGGAAACAAATCCATCTCTTTAAAACATTAGTAAATCGAAACACAAGTAGATTCTTATCTCAAGAGTTTATGTGGCTGAGTAGATGATAGAAATTTCTAGAAGTCTTATGTTTCCCACAAATTATTTTATAATTTGCATTATTTATGTAGTGTTGAAAGGGAGATTTGGTTGGCTTGCCTTAAATTATACCTCCCTTTCTCCTAATACATATTACTCTCAGGTATATTTCAGAGACAGAAAAATATTTTGAATGACCTAGGTCATCTGTTTTTATGCTGACCACCCATTAGAACCACCTGAGAAGTTTCTGGAAAACAAGATAAAATACTGCAGATGACTCACTGATCTCCAAAAGTTAAGCTTCAGTTATTCTAGGGGTAATTTTCTAATCTCCTCAGAGTCGGGTGATTCTGGCCAGATGTGCAGCCAGGGTTGAGAAACACTGATTAGGGTCCCAGTGGGGTAAGGAACAGATTATATGCTCATGATCTCACATACTCTTTCATTCTCATTGTGCCTCTGAGCAAAACCATTGAAATATATGTGCTCAGATTTAACTTCTTCTACCCCTAAAACAAGACACTGAATGGAAAAAATATATCTTATATAATAGAAGGACCCAAACTATGAAAAAGAGGATAACAGCCAAAAATGGAGGAAGTATAGTAAAGTTCCTCAATGCAATAATATGCAGCAGCTTTAATTTATGATTACAAAGAATTCACAGCAACATGGAAAAACCATAGACTGATATGGAGGAAATGAATACAAACTTGTCCATAGTGTAGGGACGCAACTATGAAAACTAAAGTTATATGTGCATACACACACACACACACACACTCACACACACACACACACACACACACACACACACACACACACACACACACACACAAAGGGACGATCCCCAAAATATCAATAGAGGCTATTTTGGTGGAGAATTTGGCTTCTTTCAACATTTTTATACTTCCACAGTATTTTTTAAACTACCATGTACATGATAGGAAAATAACATTTATAGTAGAACAAAACAAATTTACTTTTAAAAAATTACTCCTCTGACTATTATGTGATCATCAAGTCATGATGCTCAACACTGAATTAACAAAACAAAGATTAAAATGCCCACCTGAAGGTCTCTGTCTTTCAGCTGCCCTGGCTTCTGCTGCCTCTATCTCTCCTGCCTTTCTCCTCCGAGTAATTCAGGTTGCTCATTTCAAAGAAAAGTGAAAGAGCAAATTATATTTATGAACAGTGCCAACCAATAGCAAGCAAGTCAGGAAGTGTAGCAGGTCATCTGTGCTTTTTAGAAGCCATTGTAGATGTTAGTGCAAGCTCCCTTCTCAAGAAGGGTGAAAATTTCCAGTTAGGGGCTATGTCTAAAAAGAAGAAACCTAAAATTGCCCTGCCCCTCTAATGACTGGTTTTTTGTCATTATCTTTCTCAAGAGATCAAGCGGATATGATGGGTTAGAGTCAGGAATTTTAAGTGGCTTTTAGTTCTCCTAAATGGTTTCTGTTTCCATGGCAACAGAAATAGCAACATTGCCTTACACACATAGCACTTTAGACTTTTTTAAAGCACTTCCCTCACTCACTTGCATTTTCAGCTCACTTGCACTCAGGCAGAGACCTTATCCAGTCTGCTGAAAATGTTCTGTCAGAGGTCACCAAAAACCTCCTTGTTGCTTACATAAAAAATCCTTTCTCAGTCCTCACCTTCCTTCCCCTCTTGTTTGCATAGTTGACCATTGCCACTTTCCTGAAACTTTTCCCTTTTTTCTCTGACTTTCCTGGTTCTTTTTCTACCCCTCAGATTGCTCTTCTTTGCCTCTCTTTCTGATGCCTCTTCTTCCACCCCTTTTCTACGTGTGAGCTTTCCCCAGAGGTCTGTGTTCTGACTTCTTCCCTCCTTCTCTTGCTTTTACCTATCTGATCCACAATCATGGCCAAATTTAATGTGGCCCAGGTGGAGCTTTTCTCTTCCTCTCTTAGTCCTGCATCCCCCCATCTACCCTGTCTAAGCAAATGGCACCACAATAATTTAGCCAGTTCATCCATCCATAAACCTAGAAGTCACTTTTAACTTCCCTCTTTCTTCCACCACCCACTTCTGAGCCAACAAGTTCCATTTGTTCTGCCCATAAAATATGTTCCAAATCGAACCATTACTCATCTCTCCATCACTGTTCAAATCCTCGTTTCCTGCATAGAAAGCTGCAGTAACATTAAGCAAGAAAAATAAGTAAAAGGGATCCAAATTGGAAATAAATAAGTAAAATTTTGTCTGTTTGCAAATGATAAAATCTTATATGTAGAAAAACCTGAAGATACCATGCACACACACACACACAAAACCCCAATAGAACTAATAAGCAAGCAAATTGAGCAAAGTTGCAGGACAGGAAATCAATACACAAAAATCAGTTGCATTTATATACACTAACAATAAACAATCCAAAAATGGAAACTAAGGAAACTATTCCATTTATAATAGCATCAAAATGAATAAAATACTTTGGATATATACTCAGTAGTAAGGTTACTGAATCTTGTTGAGATCTCTGCACTCTCATGTTTACTGTAGCACTATTCACAATAGCCAAAATATGGATCACCCGAAATGTTCATCAACAGAAAGATGGATGAAAAATGTGGTATATATTCACAATTGAATACTATTTACTGATTTAAAAAGAACAAAATTTGTCATTTGTGGCAACATGGATGAGCTTGGGAGACATTATGTTAAGTGAACTAAGCCAGGCATAGAAAGATAAATACTGCATGTTCTCACTCACATGTGGAAGCTAAAAAATTTGATCCTATAGAAGTGGAGAGTAGAATAGTGGTTACTAGGGGCTGGGAAGAGTACTTTCTAGGGGTGAGGGTGAGTGGTTTTCTGTGCAGCTTCTTCATGCAGCTGTGGAGAAGGGGCTGGGACCAAGGTTGCTCCTCTGAAGACAAGGTTCTTCCTGGGTCTGGGATTCTATTTCTAGTATTTTATTTATCCCAATTAGAACTCACAGTACACAAATGTTATATTACCATTCTCATCTTTAGGGGGCAAAAAGCTTGAAACAACATTTCATTCTACAAGCAGTCACTATAGATATTCATTCTTCTCCAATAAAAGCCCAATTGGCCAGGCGCAGTGACCTCACGCCTGTAATCCCAGCACTTTGGGAGGCCAAAGTGGGCAGATCACGAGGTCGGGAGTTGGAGACCAGCCTAGCCAATATGGTGAAACCCTGTCTCTACTAAAAATACAAAAATTAGCCAGGCATGGTGGCACGCGCCAGTAGTCCCAGCTACTTGGGAGGCTGAGGCAGGAAAATCATTTGAACCCGGAAGGTGGAGGTTGCAGTGAGCCAAAAAGCCCAATTAATTGACTAATGTTCATCTCATTAAAATGAATAAAGTGGGCTGGATGGAGTGGCTCACCCCTATAACCCTAGCACTTTGGGAGGCTGAGGCAGGAAGATCTCGAGTCCAGAACAGACTGAAAGCAGTCTGAGTGACACAGGGAGACCCCATCTCTAAAAAAAAAAATACAAAAATTAGCTGGACATGGTGGCATGTGCCTATAGTCTCAGCTACTCAGGAAGCTAAAGTGGAAGGATTGCTTGAGCTGGGGATGTTGTGGCTGCAGTGAGCTGGGATCACACCACTGCACTCCAGCCTGGGTGACAGAGCAAGACTGCCTCAGAAAAAAAAAAAAAAGGCTCATGCCTAATCCCAGCACTTTGGTGGGCTGAGGCGGGTGGATCACGAGGTCAGGAGTTCGAGACCAGCCTGGCCAAGATGGTGAAACCCCGTCTCTACTAAAAACACAAAAATTAGCCTGGCGTGGTGACAGGCACCTGTAATCCCAGCTACTTGGGAGGCTAAGGCAGGGAATTGCTTGAACCCGGGAGGCGCAGGTTGCAGTGAACTGAGATCGTGCCACTGCACTCCAGCCTGGGTGACAGAGTGAGACTCTGTCTCCAAAAAATAAAAAATAAAAATAAAAATAAAAAAAATTAAAAACTTTAAAATAAAATAAACAGTGAAAAAAAATCGATCCTACACTCCGAGAGCTAACTTTTGAATATTAGGTTTTCAAGGAGCAGAATATGTTTCAAGAGTATTAGAAAGATAATGAGGGAAATGCTTTCTCCCTACTCCCTGCTTCTGAATCTGTAAACCTCAGAGAAAGGAGAAACCTATTCAAGACTTTCTTTTATTTTTAGGACAGCCTGGGATCTCTAAGCACTCCATAGGCAGTAAATTTGCTGGAGAGTGCCCATTAGACACTCTTTCTTTGTACAATTTGGACAGATGATATAAAGAGATGCAATGTCATTTTAACCGGATTTGTCAGGATGGAGCAAGAAATCATTCATTTAGAGTAGATAGGGAAAGGGTCGATGACTTTAAAAAGAAGATAATCCTAGGGAGCAGAGAAAGGAATAAACACATTATCCTATGTGCTGCTCTTGATGATTTAAAGGAAAACATGGAAGCGTGTTTAATGTATATGGCACACAGAGAACTTCTCCGGAACTTTCAAAGGCCTGCAGAAGTAATCAAGAGATGAGAATCAACTCCAGTTTTGTAGGAGACTTCCAAGTTTGTTCTCAGTTGAACAAAGTGAGTTTAAGAGAATCAGGGCCAGTTTCTTGCTGATTACAGTAATGTACCAGCCACAAGGCCTTTAGTTAGACTTTTAGAGACATAAGCTTGAGTCTAGAGGATATATTCCTATAAGCACAAACCTGTGATTTTCAAAAGATCAGAAGCACTATTAAGTTACTAAGGCATCAGAGACAGTAGTTTGTTTTCATAGTGCAAGGTTAAATACAAAGGAAGAAGTCAGCGTGAATCATGTTTCTATTTAGGTCATTAAGAAAGTGGAAGAACAGGCTGGGCGCAGTGGCTCACGCCTGTAATCCCAGCACTTTGGGAGGCCGAAGTGGGCAGATGACGAGGTCAGGAGTTCAAGACCAGCCTGGCCAACATGGTGAAACCCTATCTCTACTAAAAATACAAAAATTAGCTGGGCATGGTGGCAGGTGCCTGTAATCCCAGCTACTTGGGATGCTGAGGCAGGAGAATCGTTTGAACCTGGGAGGTGAAAGTTGCGGCGAGCTGAGATTATACCGTTGAGCTCCTCAGCCTGGGCAACAAGAGCGAAACTCCATCTCAAAAAAAAAAAAAAGAAAGAAAGGGGAACAATGGAAACAAACTTGAAACCTCATGGAATTTAGAAAGCAACCAACTTTATGTGTAAGAGAGCCTGTTCTGTGATAAGACAGAGAAAAGAATTACGTAGTGTAGTGGGCTACACATTGGCACCAAAGACATGCCCATATTCAAATCCTGGATTCTGTAAATGTGACCTTATGTGGCACAAATGGTGGTTAATTAAGGATCTTGAGGCAACGAGTTTATTTTTCATTATCCAGGTGAGCCCAAAATACAATTACATGTATCCTTGTAAGAGAGACGACAAAGGAGTGTCAACAAGCTCACACAGGGGAGAAGGCCATGTAAAATGATTAAAGTGATGCAGCTATAAGCCAAGGAACACCTGGAGCCACTAGAACTGGTAAATCAATGAAAGACTCCCCCTAGAGCCTTCAGAAGAGGGAGTGCAGCCCTGCTGGCATCTTGATTTCTGACTTCTGCCCTCCAGAACTGTGAGAGAATGAATTTCTGTTGCTTTAATTTAAGCCATCAAGTTTGCAGTACTTTGTTATGGTAGTCCTAGGGAACACATCTACATTTCCCTTCTCCAACCAAGGGAACCCAAAATTCAGGGAGAAAGTTATAAACTTGCCATAAGATAACGCAATAGACTTAACTAATTCATAGTGAGCTTGCATCCTTTTTAGTTTGTTTCGATTTTCAGTCTCTCATATGTAATTCTCCCTTCAAAAAGAACAATTTAGCTTCCCAAGCAGTGTCAGCTCTCTGGAGAGGTGATGAGGCTGGAGTGAGCATTAATGTCCGCTCCAGTCCAATCAGAGTTGGGAGAGAAAGTAGCCGGAGAACTGTGCAGTGCGTGGGCCACATGACACCCTCTCCCCACTCATCCCTGGCGTCCCCCCACATACACATACATACACACTTACCTCTTTAATTTTTTTTTAGTATGTTGAGCAAATTGGAAGATTGCCAAATTAAGGATTCCAGAAGGGGGTTTTTCCAAAAGGGAGTTTTTCTTTGCATAATATCGTATGAGAGTGAGAATCAGGAGATTCTGGTTTGAACCCTAAGAGGCCCAGCCAACGGCCCTTGGAGAGGAGCAGGCCCATGTCCCACGGCATGATTTATATCACAAGTTTCAGGCAGAGCAGTCTTTGTGGAGATCATTGAGGACTGAACTCTGACCTCTTTCTCTTTGCTAAAAATTCTCTCCAAAAAGGCCTGGAGAGAGTCATACCTACAGACCATCAATCTGGCTAAACATGTCATTTTGACCCAATATATTGTATCTTGCTCTCATAACCCGACTCTGGCATAGCATCACATGATGACTAGCAAACTTCCTTCCTTTCATGTAAACATTTCTTTAAGCTGACTTTACACAGAGCTTTGTTCCTTTAACCAATTACAAATTAAAGAATCTTTGATCCCACCTATGACCTGTAAGTCCCCCAATTCATGATATCCCACCTCTTGGGGCTGAACCAATGTATAAACCTCCATGTATCAATTTACAACTTTGCCTGTAGTTTCTGCTGCCCTGAAATGCTTAAAACAGAGTTACAGTCCGACTGCCTTGGGACTCCTTTCTCATGGCCTCTTGGGTTTGTGTTTTCCCTGGGCCGTGGTCACTCATATTGGCCTAGAATAAACCTCTTTGAAATGTTGTGCAGAGTTTGGTTTTTCTGCTGACAGCATAAACATGGAGAAGGGAGCCAAAGTTACGTTAACACTCTTCACTCCCCTATCAGATCCTTCCCTTTCTTTCAGCCACCTTTTCTCAGACCCCAAAAATTTCCTGCTGCTCATGTAAGGCCTTTCCCATCCTGAGGGTACTAATTAGTCAAGTCACATAAGGCAAATTAGTGACTAAGAACATAGCATTCTGGAAAAAGACCACAGAATTAGAGCCTCCACAAAACCCATGGTACAGAAGAGACCCTAAACCCGCCAGCTTAGTTTCAAATCTGCAATTCCTCATCATCCCCTTTTGTTTTCTTCTAAATCCTAGCAGTAAGTCTGAGCACTGCTTGACTGGACCTTGAGGCTGGCTCCCTGGATTCTGTGGCTTCAGTCTGGGCAGGTGAGTCCTTCTTCACTCCCGCCTCTGTAGCCCTAGCTTCAGGCAGCAGGTGGCCACCAAGACCATGAGATGGAGATTTGAGAGATGATCTGGTCCTGTTTCAGCCAGGCTGGTGTAGGGTCTTGGAAACACACCTTGGGAACTTCCAGGGCTTCTTGCATATTGAGTGTATACAAGGCTCTGGGGATGAGGAAGGAAGAAAGATACAAAGATAAATAAGACCAGTTCTAGAACTCAAGGGATCTCTGGAGTAAACTTAATTTCTTCACATGAAAATCATTCATAGTACCATCTCCCAAAAGACAAATTTTTGGTGCATTCTCTGCCAGACAGTTTTCTAAGCTGTTGCTTGCTCATTTGTTGCTTCATTTGACAAAAATTTGCATCCTGCATTTTTCCCATTTACACTGCAACACAACGTTTTACCACATCGGCATGAATGTTTTAATTATTGAATTATATTCCTATATTCCATCAACAGGATGCGCCGTAGTGGGGAGAATAAACTACACTTCTTGTTATTTTTTCCCCTTATGCATGCAGCTTTTCCCTAATCTAGGATCTAGGTTAGTTTCACTAATAGAATGTAAGAGGGAGTTTGCAAACAGTAAGTTTCACATGGCAGGTCAGGGAAGAAGGACTTCTTGAAAAAAATGGCAACTGAGCTATAAAAATACTAAAGAAAGTTCTATTTTCCACCTACCCTGGGTTGAGACTGAGTTTGAAGCTAGAGCTTTAAGCACTAATGTAGGTGACTCAAGGGGAGGGTCCTCCCTGATAACACATGTGGTGGCCAGGCTCAGGGCCAGAGCACTGTGGCACAGCTACAGCACCTACCAGGGAGGTCTGCTGAGCACTGGGCAGAGCACATGCAAGGCAGGAGCAGCATCATCACCTGGCTGCCCTCTAGGCGTGGCTCAGTGCAGGCACATGCTCGGACATCTAGCAGTGCGGGTGGTAGCTGCAGTGGGGCTGGTGTCTTTCCTCCTTTCCCACCTGTGGATAGGAGATGACCCAGCTGGAGCAGAAGACTCAAGAGAATTTGGAAAATAGGCATGAGGAAGGTTGGGGTCAAGGACAGCAGGAGAGGAGATAGGTTGGAAACAAAATGTCACCCCAAATGAAGACCTCCAAGCCAGATAATTTCATTTGGTACCTTTACTGCCCAGGCTTGCGGGCCCACTGGGTGGGCTCAGTTCCCTTCCTCACCTCTACCCTGCTCTACTCTCTATAGGGTGCGGTGAGGGCTCACCCCTAAAGCTCAGACTCCCATATCAGCCCAGCTTCTGGCTGGATTTGGCACTGGTGGGAGGTGGGAAGGTGGAAAAAAAGGAGAAAAAAGCCAGAGCATTTCTCCCTGTATTAGTCCATTCTCACACTGCTATAAAGAACTTCCTGAGACTGGGTAATTTATAAAGGAAAGAGGCTTAACTAACTTATAGTTCCGTATGATTGGGGAAGTTTCAGGAAACTTACAATCATGGTGGAAGGCGAAGGGTAAGCAGACACCTTCTTCACAAGGCTGCAGGAGAGAGAAGTGAGGGAAAGAGCCCCTTATAAAACCATCAGATCTCATGAAAACTCACTCATTATCATGAGAACAGCATGGGGGAACCATCCCCATGATTCAATTACCTCCACCTGGTCTCTCCCTTGACGTGGGGATTATGATGATTATAATTCAAGATGAGATTTGAGTGCGGACAAAAAGCCTAACGATATCACTCCCCATCTGTTCTGCAGGTGGCATTTCTGATGGCAACTGTGTGTTCTGTGGGGCCCCAGCTTCTGTTGTGTGACTCCCAGGCTTGGGGAAACCTGTCTCCTCCCTGTATCTCTGCAGCCCAGGCATGGTGATGGCTTCTTGCTGTGTTAAACTCTGTGTTATCTCAGTTCCCTGCTTGTCTCTCAGCCCTTCCATCACCTGAGTAAACCTTCCCTGCTTTAAATATTCAGAATGAATTCCCAGGTCCCTGTGACCTGAAGGGTGGGTTACTCTAGTGAGCTTCTAGCTCTATGAGGAGCACATGTTCACTATGTCCAAATACTCCAACAGCCAGGTCCTGGGATTCATCCAGGTGCCAGTTCTGTGCTAGGCATCTCACACAGATCTCATGTAGCCATTGCAATGACCCTTTGCATTTGTTATTGTCCCATTTTGAAAATACCTAAATGATGAGAAACTTGCATTTCCAAGATGCTAAATAACTATGCGCCCTTTCTACCATTAGCCAATACTAGGGATACTAACAATAGATCCCTTTGACATTATAAATATATCTTCCTCATATTAGGGACTTTCTACTTACTAGCAGAAACTATGGGCTCCTCTTGGCATTGATGAGCATTTACGTGATGCTCACGTTAATTTGGCGCCACTAATGCCTTAGTTTATCTGGCTTTTCTCCATTTAACAGAGCTGAAGATAGGGGCGGTAAGTGCCTCTTAAAGTGAGCATGTGCAATCAAATATGCACAAGCTCATGAACCGAGAAAACAACATCGTGAAATGTACCATGCATTTAGTATCTAAGAGTGCTTTGTAGTGGTTTTAATAGCTGGAGACTCCAGAATTCCACAGAGCCCAGGAAATTGTATTATTTCATCCAGGTCATTAGGAACCAAGGGTTATTAGTCATTAATCCACTTAGGAACTGCTCAGACCAGACAATTCACTTTGCTTCTCAGAGATGCTCCTCTGGATGATGGTCCCAGGTGCAGTTAGCATTGCCTTCTGCTCTGGTGGGGAGGGGCAGATGCTGTGGAAAAGAGCCCTGCCTGGAGGCCAGCCTGAGCTCCATGCTGGTGAGGTGCAATGGGTGTTTTGGAAAAACAAACAAATGGGAAACATGTGGCAGTGGAGAAGAAATTCTGAAATTTGGATTTCCCACTTTCCAGGGATGTCAGTGTTTTTCCATTTCTTCTCCTGGTGCACATAAAAAGATTCTTCTGTTTTGAATGTGTTAAGTAATCAGGGGCCTAGAAGCATGAAACCTCAGGAAACCTAGTAGGGTATTTTAAAGAACCAGCTTGATACAAGACTGTTGCTTTCCTCTATGTATGACATGGTAGGAAAATAATAAATCAGCTTCTCGTGTGCCAGAACCAGAACACCTTAAGTATCAGTAACCCCATTGTCTAAACTGTGACTGCCACATAGCAAGTGCTCAATAAATATTTGTTGTGTGAAGAAAGGAATTGAATCACCTTGCCAACTTTAAGAAATACACCTGATTTTCCTCTTTCCTTCAGTCTTCCCTCTATCCATTTGCTAACAAACACTAAGCAGAAGTGTGCCAGTCCCTGTCCTGGACAAGAAGTAAGCAACAACACCTAAGACGTGGCTCCTGCACTTCAGAGGATCACTAGTGGTAGAGAGAGGCAGGAGGTGAACGTTCCTGAGCACTTGTGCTTGCAGGGCGTGGAGGAGGGAATGGCCAGTCCCAGGGCCCAGCTACTGCCTACAAGTGTCTCTGTGTGAAGGCTGACCCTTCTGGGTGTTAGGATTACCATAAGGTTTTCCTTTCATTGTTAGCCATAGCCTGGGGCAAAGACTCACCAGTTGCCAGGAACAGTAGCTGAATTTCCATCCTACCCCTTTCTCGGTCCAGAGCACAACTAGCACCGCTGTCTTGCCTTGCCCTGGTCAGGTCTTCCCAAGGAAGAGCACATCAGAAAACACTTCTGTGGGGCAGTGGGGCAGGAACTGACTCTGGAAGAGAAGCAGGTGCCCCAGGTGAAGGGAGGGCCTTTGTGGCAGAGGGAACCACGGAAAAAATGCCAAGGCATTCTGCAGAGGGCCACATGGGCATGAGCCACAGGCCAATCTGAGCTCTAATTTATGTCATCATTTCCAGCTCTGTGTCCACAGGTACATGACTTACCCTCTCTGCTGTACACTG
Organism: Homo sapiens; assembly: GCF_000001405.40. Lineage (NCBI taxonomy): Eukaryota > Metazoa > Chordata > Mammalia > Primates > Hominidae > Homo > Homo sapiens. The sequence continues at coordinate 48,643,973 of NC_000013.11, read as the reverse complement.
AATGTTTGTGTCCCCCAATAATTCATCTGTTGAAATCCTCACCCACAAGGTGATAGTATTAGGAGGTGGGGCTTTGGGAGGTGGTCAGGTTATGAGAGCAGAGCACTCGTGAATGGGATTAGTGCTCTAATAAAAATGACCCCAGAGAACTCCCATAGGATTTCAGACTTCTAGCCTCTACATTTGTGAGAAATAAATTTCTGTTGTTTCTGTTCCACCCAGTCTATGGTATTTTGTTACAGCAGCCCAAGTGGACTAAGAGACGCTCTGAGCCCCTTTGCTCCCCATGAAATGGTGGTGGAGTGCACAGCGGGGTTGTTCTGAAGGCTGAGTGAGTTCCTGCGCATGAAGTGCTTAGCACAGAACCTGCTAACACACAGCAAATTCTGCTGTTTTGGGGGAGGATAAAAAATGAATTATAAATAGAGCCTCTCCTTCCAACAAATCTATAATCCTAAAAAAATATATATATGATTGTTCTCATTTTATATTTGAGGACACAGAGTTGGAACACTTAATAAACTGCTTAAAATTACTTTGATTTCAAGAATATCTGACTCCGGAGCCTGTGCTCTTATTTTTATCCTCATCCCCTTGTCACTTACTGGCACCTGGGGACTGGTGTAAGGCACTGCAATGGATATAAAGGCAATGTAAACTGCTTTAAAGAAATGGAGCCTACCAGAAAGGAGCCTAAAGTCTAGTACTTCAGAAAAGGCATGAACACAAAATTTGGACTCTAGATAGATGAAAATTTCACAGAGGAAGCTGATGAGTTTAGACTCCTATAATGTTGATTATCTTATAGGCAGGTGTGATGGTTAATTGTATGTGTCACTTTGTCTAGGCCCAACTGTTTGGTCAATCACCAGTGTAGATGTTGCTATGAAGGTATTTTTAAGATGAGATTAATATTTAAGAACATTGAGTAAAGCAGATTAGACTTCGTAATCCTTGATTAAGAGCAAAGACTGAGGTTCCCCAAAAGTAGAAAAAATTCTCAAGACTTCAACATGGAAACCCTTCCTGAGTTTCAAATCTGTTGCCTGCAAAATTTGGACTCAAGACTACAACATCAACTTGTCAATCGAAGAAAATGATGAGACAAGTCTCAATCATTTTTGGAGATTTATTTGCCAAAGTTAAGGACATTGCCTGGGAGACAGGTCTATGCCTTTCTCTGAAGATGATTTTGAGGGCTCCAAATTTAAAGGGGAAATGGCAAAGGGTGGGGATATTGAGAAGCACACAGTTTTCACATAAACAAAAGGGGCAGAGGAAAAATGGGGGGAAATCTGCATTTTACATAAGATAACACAGACAAAATGGGGTAGGGGAGCAATCAGATATGTATCTGTGTCTGGCAGGCTGGGTGACTACACCTGTAAGCTATCAATTTGCATTGCCATGGTGAAGTTTTAACAGCTCACTAGCAATTTCCTTGTGGGTAAAATATGGGGCAGGCGGGTAGCTCTTCATCTTGTAGACATCTTATTTGGTATCCAATAGGTGGAGGCAGGTTTGCATGACCCAGTTCCCAGCTTGACTTTTCCCTTTGGCTAAATGAGTTTGCGGTCCCCAAATTTAATTTCCTTTCACAAACTCTTCCTGGGATTTCCAGCTTACCAGCCTGCCCTATGGTTTTTTAACTTGCCAGCACCCACCACATGAGCAATTTATTAAATTAAACAGATCAGGCCCCATGTGCATGTGTGTGTGTGCGTGTGTGTGTATGCGTGCGCGTGTGTCCTTTTGGTTTGGTTTCTCCAGAAAACGCTGACTAATACTGTATGGTTTGGGAAACATTTCAGGAAAACTTTGGCAGGGAGAGGGGCACAAAGGATAATTACCAACTAAATATCCAACTCTCTCACTTTGCAAGTTTCTAATTTGTGGCTTCCTCAGTCTCAGTTCCACATTATATTAAAACAGGCCTTCCTGAGAGTCCACAATTTCAAACAAACCTCTCAAGGAATTCGATTCACTGACCCAGAGGAGGCAAAGCGAATTATTTACTATTTGGCTTGTAGCAGAAGCTACCTGACATTTTTATGCATGCTTTACGCCCTCTATCCAACTAGACTATACCTTCACTAGGGACTCTTAGCACCTAGCCTGACATTCTAAACGTAATGCTCAATAAATGGTCAAATTGAATTGAGTCAAACATGTCGTTCTCAGATTGCTCCATTACAGTATGTCAACCTCCACAAATGGGAGCATTCTAGGCAGACCCAAGGGGATGGGAGAGCATTTAGAGATAGCTCTTATCTCTTACTTCTCTTCTCCCTCCCCTCCACACACATTTCTAAATCTCATTTCTGCTCCCTGTTCTTCTCTCTGTGCCTGGCCTCATGCCCAAAATTTAGTCAGCAATTCTCAAGAACCAATTGGAGGTAGAGCCCTGCGCTTGATACCTGGTGGGGGAAAAAAGGAACAGACTGCAGCTTCTTGGTTTCTTGGCCTCTTAGTGTAGTGGTCACTTTCTCCACCCACTTCAGCCATCTGTCCCCATGGACACAGCCTGCCTGGACTGTCTTCACTAATAAACCACAGCATCTCTAAAGTCTCTATTTCAAACATCCTGCTTATTCTTTTTTTTTTTTTTTTGAGACAGGGTCTTCCTATGTTGCTCAGGCTGGTCTCGATCTCCTGAGCTCAAGCAATCCTCCTGCCTTGGTCCCCTAAAGTGCTGGGATTATAGGCGTGAGCCACTCTACCTAGCCAGTCCTTCTCATTCTTGGCCACCATCTCCTCACCTCCTGATTCACTCACTCAATTCCCCCACCCAGCTACACTGCAAACAAACTCACAATGTCCTCTACTCCCCTGTACACACACCGCGTCATACAAAAAACCACTCACTGACTTCTCTCTTCCCTTGCTTAGAGCCCGTGGTCCTTTAGCCCCTTTCCTACAATCTGCCTCTTCTCTTCCTCCACTAGATTCACCTGGTAAAACTCTACCCCCGATTAAATGCAACTGTCTGCCTCCTTCACGCCACCACTTCAGGGGAGGAAACCGGATGATGTCAATCAAACAATCTTACTGCTTGTTTTTCTCTTTGAATTCATGACAGTTCCTAATGGACGCTACATTTCCCTGGTAGATCCAGTCCCCTCTCTTTGAGGAGACTATTTGGCACCTTCTCCTCCCTTCTCAAACCCCTGAAAACCTTCTTTCTTTGCTTTTAGCTTGTGACCACATTTCACACTTCACTGAGAAAATACTTACAATCAGATGAGAACTACTTCATCCCACTACCAAACTCCAGAAACCTGTGTCCAGACCCACATATTTTGTCCTCTCACCTGATACAGAGGAAGAAAGACCCTGATCCTCTGCAAGGCCAGCCCCTGTCCTAGTGCTGTCCATCCAATGAGCTCTCTCTACTCAAGATCTTGCTGCCACAGCATCAGTTTCTTCCTTGCTGCCTCATTCCAATCAACATACCTCTATGCCTTAATGGGACCTATTTAAATAAATTCCTTGACTCCATGCCCCTCTCTAGCTGTCTCTCAATTTCTCTGTTCTCCTCTAGAGCAGAAAAATCATCTATCTTTCCCTTTCTACTCCCTCATTGTCCATTCTTTATACAACACCCTCCCACCAGGCTTTGTCCTCATCAGTCCACTGAATGACTCTTAGCAAGATCATCAATGACAGCTGCTTTGTCAAATCCAATGGTCAATTCTCTGTCCAAATCCTGCTTGCCCTCAGCAGCACTAGACATTGACCACTGTCTCCTCTGGGAAACACATTCTTCACTAGGTTTCATGACAGCACAATATCCTGGAGGTCATCCTACTTGAGTGGTTACACATTTCTTTTTCTATTTTACTTTTATATCATGGAACATTTTTAATGTATATAAAAGCATTCAGAAAAGTATAATAGCTGAAGCTATTATACTTTGACCTAACTTCAGCTCATGACCCATTTTGTTTTCTCTATTCCTTACCTACTTTCCCTCCCAAATTATTTATAAGTCCCAAACATATTTCATCTATAAATATTTCAGTATGTATCTCTAAATAAGGATTCTTTTATAAGAGATGTAAGCACACTATCATTATAACATCTGAAAAAATAATCTTTAATATCATCATCAAATACCAATGGCTACTTCCTCTTAGCCTTTTTGCTGGCTCTCTCTTCTATCTGCCTTCTAAATTTTGGAGCCTCAGGCTGTGTCCTCTGTTTTTTTGTTTGTTTGTTTGTTTTGTTTGAGACAGAGTCTCGCTCTGTCGCCCAGGCTGGAGTGCAGTGGCGTGATCTTGGCTCATTGCAATCTCCACCTCCCAGGTTCACGCCATTCTCCTGCCTCAGCCTCCCGAGTAGCTGGGACTACAGGCACTTGCCACCACACCCGGCTAATTTTTCTATTTCTTAGTAGAGACGGGGTTTCGCCGTGTTAGCCAGGATGGTCTTGATCTCCTCACCTTGTGAACCGCCTGCCTCGGCCTCCCAAAGTACTGGGATTACAGGCGTGAACCACCGCGCCCGGCCTTTTTCTGTTTTTATACCCTTTCTGTAGTTGATCTTATCCAATCATAGCACTTTAAATGCAACATGTATGCTGATGACTCCCCTGAGATCCAGTTTTCTATGATTGATGGCTTAGCTCAAATTTCTAATGAGAACATCAATTTCAATATGGCAAAACAACCCCCCCTGATTTTTCTCCATCCACCCCTATTCCAAAACCTGCTCAAATCCCAATTTTACTCATCATAGTAAATGGCACCATCATTTACTTTTTGCTTATGCAAAAATCTGGCAATTATCCTTGATTCGTTGATTTCACTTCTAACTCACATGGTAGGTTATGTGCTCCCAAAGCACAATGGTGGGAAAGGCATAGGATAGACATTCCCTTTCCAAAATGAAGAAGTTGGAAAGAAGAAAGAGAAAATTGATAATAGTACAGTGTGCCCTACTAGCCCCAGACCTCCTACATAGATGCTGATTTAAGAGAGAAATTAACTTCTATCTTATTCTTTTGGGTATAGGCAAATACAATTTTAACTAAGCTAAACTAAATGTACAATTTATCAGCCATTTTGTTGCCTCTACCTCTAAAATAAAAACCATATCTGATGCCTTCCCACCTTCATTACTGCTCCAACAGTGGTTTGAGATACCACTGTCTCTCAGTAGGTGTCTGCTGTGGTGTGGGTATGGTTTGTTTATCCCACCAAATCTCATGTTGAAATCAGATCCCAGTGTGGTGGTATTGGGAGGTGGGGCCTACTGGGAGGTGTTTGGGTCATGGGGGTGGATTCCTCATGGATGGCTTGGTGCTGTTCTTGTTCTCATGAGACTGGATTGGGTCTTAGGGGAATGGATTAGTTCCCACAAGAGTAGATTGTTATAAAACCAGGACACTCTTCAGGTTTGGTTCCTCTTCACATGTGTCCACTTCTCCTTTGACCTTTTATGCCATGTTTTGATGCAGCAGAAAAGCCCTCATCAGAAGCCCAGCAGATGGTACAGCCTATAGAAATGTGAGCTAAATAAACCTCTTTATAAATTACCTGGCCTTAGGTGTTTCTCTACAGCAACATGAAATGAACCAAGACAGTGTCAGTACATTCCTGCTGCTCTAACAAAATACCTTAGATCGAGTGATTTATAAATTTGTTTCTCACAGTTCTGGAGGCTGGAAAGTCCAAGATCAAGGTGCTGGCAGATTGAGTGACTGGCAAGGGCTGCTCTCTGCTTCATAGAAGACGCCTTGTTGCTGCCTCCTCACATAGTGAAAAGGATGAACGTTGTGTTCTCACATGGCAGGAGGGCAAAAGAAGGCCAAATACGCTCCCTCAAGCCCCTTCAGAAGGGCACTAATCTCATTCATGAGGACAGAATCCTCAAGACATAATCATCTCCTAAAGCCCCACCTCTTGTGGGTTGAAACTCCAATGCAACAGGATTAAGAGGTGGGGCTTTAGGAGATAATTAAGTTTCAACAGGAATTTTGGAGAAACTCACACATTCAAACCATAGCAGCTGAGTAACTGCAACTACATCTGGACCTGTCCCTGGCTGCAGCTCTTGCTCCCTATAATCCATTCTCCACTTGGCAGCAAGAGTGATCTTTTTATTGGGTAAGTCTGGTGCACTTCCTTACATAACCCACCCCCCCACACATTATGATTGGAATTACATTATGATTAGCATGAAGTCCAAAGTCCTTTAAGACTCTACATAATCCAACCTGTGTTTGCCGTCCCAGGTCTGTCTCCTTTAACCCTCCCCTTGTTTCCCCAGCCTCCAGTCCCACTGGATGATTTCTGGCCCCTGGATACTTCAAGCTCATTCTCATCACAGGGCTTCCTCACCTGGAATCATTTCCCTGGATTTCACGTGGCTGTCTCATCTCTTTCTCATCACTCAGGTTTCTCCTCCTCAGAGAAGCTTTCCCTGACCACTCTAGCTAAAGTAGCAACACACAGGTAGTCTCTCATGACTTTATCTTAAATTATGTTATTGTATTTATTTGTTTATATGAGTAGAATCTGTCTTCCTTCATTGTTATGCAAACTTCAACAGAGTAGAGATTTTGTTTTATTCACCACTGTATCTCTAGAGAGTGCCTGGGACACAATAGGGCTTAATAAATATTTGTTGAATGAATTCACTGAAGAATGTTTAACCCCTGTTATTTTTTTTTAAGAGATGAGCTCTTGCTCTGTCACCCAGGATGGAGTGCAGTGGCACAATCATAGCTCACTGCTATGGATTCTCCCACCTCAGCCTCCCAAGTAGCTGAGATCAAAGGCAGTGCATCACCACATTGGGATTTTTTTTTTTTTTTTTTTTGGTAGAGGCAGGGTCTCATTTTATTGCCCAAGCTGGTCTCAAACTCCTGTCCTCAAGTTATCCTCCTGCATCAGGCTCTCAAAGCACTGGGATTACAGGCATGAGCCACCACACCCAGCCTAACCCCTGTTCTGGATAAGAAACTTTATTCTCTAATAGAGGCACTGGACATGAAATGGCTAAGGAACATTACTAAGCTACATACCAGCAAGAACAATCAAGCTAGAGGTTGCACTGTGGGGCTTTTTTTTTCTACTAAAAAAATTCTTGTGGGTTCCAATTCTTCCTGCTGAAGAACATACAGACTCTCTTGGTATGCAAGGTCAGCATGATAGAGCTCCCTTATAACCCAACAAAACTGGCCTACTTACTGCTCCTAGAACATGCCTCATCCTTCCCTGCATCTGTGCCTCTGTTTGGAGGTATTCCAACCTCCTAGACTCCCTTTTCTTCCTACCCCAGCCCCACAGCCTGGAGGCCAACATAAGCCAGCAATACCTCATCTCCTGGCAATAAATGACCCTGGTTACAATTGTGCAAAAAGGAAACTCATTCACTTCTTTATTTATGCAAATGAACTACCCAGTCACTGCTATATACAGGGAACCAAGCAAGATAATAAACAGCTACAAAAATGACTTAAGACCTGGTCACTGACCTAAAGGAAGGGACAACAAAGCAGAGGGGAAGGGGAAGAGAACTAAAACTACTGAGGCATTTTGCTAGTTGCTTAACAAACACTCTCTTGCTTTATCCTCACAATAACCCTATGAGATATTTTTACTCCCATTTTACAAATAAGAAAACTGAACCACTGAGAGATTCAGCAACTTGGCCAACATCACACAGATGGAAAGTGGAAGAGATGGGTTTTAAAGCCAGATCTGTCTGATTCCAAAAGTCAGTAGAGCTGTGGGAATTTACAAAGTAGCTGAGAAGATAATACATGTAAAGCATTTAGCATAGTTGTCTGGCACCTAATAAGAGCTTAGTAAGTGTTTGTTGCAGCAGCAACAATAGCACAACTACCCAACATGCTTAGAACAAAACCCTAAGTTCTTATCAAGGCTTTGAAGGCCCTTTGTGACCTGGCTTCTTGCCCGCTCCCTGACCTCGTCTCCTCCATACCTACTATACTATATATATATATATATATATATTATAACATATAAATATATATAGTATATATATACTATATATAGTACTATACATATTAATTAGGATTTTTAACTCTTAGTAAGCTTAAATTTTAGTGAAAACTTTGGAGGCAAGAAATCTTGAATTGTCTGTCACATACTCATATTTTATAGATGAGAAACATTTTTAGAAACATGTAACATAATTTTTTAAATTAAAATGATCCAGGCATTTAATAAGTATTTATTATTTAACATAACTTTAAGATTTCAAATTACATGAAAAGTTTATTTATGTTTACCCCATTTCATGTCAAACCCTGACATCTTAAAACATTTAGCAGAGACATGTATAAAACTGTCTGACCAGTAAATCTAGGAAAGAAAATATATGTTGACAATTTTGAAGACATTTCTATTATTATTTTACCAATAATTTTAACCAGCTTATTTATTAAATATTTACTTAAGTCATATGAACTTGGAAAATATTTGGGCTTGCTAGTTTATGAGCTAATTAATTTATAAGTCAATTTGATACCATGTAGACACAACCTATAACATAATATGTGTACATATACATAAACACATATACACACATAGAAATGAAGATCTTATAGCATTCCTTCCTAGAATTTTGATCATGAGATAGTAATACAGACTCACTGGTTTATGAAAGATGTCTGGATTCAAATTACATTTCTGACAAAATAGGGACCTGTTCACATGGCTAACTTTATTTGTCCTGATGGGTAATCTAATGAAGGCTGCCAGCCAAAATTGTGGGCAAAGCAGTTTCATGGCAGTTTGGTTTAAAAACCTCTTTACCACCTTTTTCCTTTCAGTTTCAAATGAGTTTATGGTTAAATCTTCAATGTTTACATTTTAGCTTAAAGTGGCTGAATTGTATAAGAAAAGCAAAATCTCCAAGTAGCCTTGAATTAGTACTGTCTTAAAGAGTGTGTTTTTATCTGAGCATCAGTAGAAAAGTCATCAGATTCAAAGAAGGCAGGAAAAAATACTGAGATAGACAGAAGACTTAGAAGACTCTGCATTTTGACTTTACAGTTAAAATGGATTTTTGAATAATGATCATTTGAGTTCCAAACTTTCCTTGATGTAATTTGTCCTTTGGTTTAAAAAATGCACAAGAACAGGCCATAATATGTAGCCATCTGGAGTCCTGGAAAACCTGGCATGCCTTAATGTTTCAGAATTCCATTTTTGACCATTTCAATATTGAATTTCTTTTAGTAAACCTCTCCCATCAAGGGAGATGTTTGCAAGCATAGGCTCATTATGTGTTATACATTAAGCCACTCCTTCTTTTATCTTTCAACTAAAAGAATTTTCTTTCTTAAGAAATGAAAAGTTTTATTCAGAAGTCTGACTGAGAACTATAGACCAAGGCCTAAAGCTCAGGAGAAGTCTTTCAGAGATGTTCTGTCAGACTTCTCCATTGTATTTCAGTTAATGGTTTATATATGGGTGGTGAAGATTAAGTACCGGCAAAATCACGTCAAAGTTTGGGTAAAAGAGTACATCTAGTTATAGACTACAGAGGAATAATCACTAACCCTGTCAGATGTTTTTTTTTTTTTTTGAGATGGAGTCTTGCGCTCTCTCACTCAGGCTGGAGTGCAGTGGCATGATCTTGGCTCACTGCAACCTCCGCCCCCTGGGGTTATGCAATTCTGCTGCCTCAGCTCCCTGAGTAGCTGGGATTACAGGCTTGCACCACCACACCCAGCTAATTTTTGGATTTTTAGTAGAGGCAGGGTTTCACCATGTTGGCCAGGCTGGTCTTGAACTCCTGACCTCAAGTGATCCACCTGCCTCCGCCTCCCAAAGTGTTGGAATTACAGGCGTAGCCACTGAGCCCAGCCCAGATGTTACCTTTTGTGTAGGAAAAGGCAAGGACTAGGATCCTTTATTTTTTAATGAATATAGTGACTTAGACAAGAGATGTGGGGGCCATGTGCTGTATTCTGTTTTGTCTTCAAGACATTTTCCTGTAAAGCTGCATGTCATCAGAGTCACGAGTTCAAAGAGAAATGAGCGAATATAACTTCTTACATTTACTACTTTGTCTTTCAAGACTTACCATCTAAGCATACCTCGGTACAACCCAGATAAAAAGATGAACATGATTACCCTAGGCAGGATGTGAGAGACAAAGCAGCCACAGTGTCAGTCTCTCTTTGAATACAGTAAAGATGGAAAACAGAGAAAACAATATTACTCTGCTTTTTATGGGGCAACAATTGAACACAGATGAGTAAAAAGAATTTCAGATGAAGAATGTTTAAGCAGGAAAACAAGGTCAATTATTCCAAATCTTTGAGACCATACAAGCCAGAGTTCTTGGTTTCAAAAAAATAGAAATCAACTCCAGCTAGCTTAGCAGATGAGAAATTTATTGGAAAGCCCTTGGGAGCAGAGAGAATTGTTAGGAAGGCTGGAGAACCAGGCTTGGAAGAGGCAAGGAACAAAGGGAATCAAGGCAGTAACCCCTTCTGGGTCATGCCTCAGCACAGGCTTGTTGGCACATGGTTGCCCCTGAACATTCCACATTGCCCTGGCACTCAGCAGTGGCCTTACCACCACTGGACACTGGTTTCCCTCACTGCTACATCGCCATGGGCCCCTGAACAAAGGGAACCATACTGCCACTGGAACATATCTGAGCTGCCCTGGCTTGTTTGCGCACCTCACTCTAAATTCACAGTCCCTGGAAGAGCCCACAATGGGTCAAGCTTTGACCACATGGTCCCTCTGTAGCTGCTAAGGGGCAAAAAAAGCAATCATGGTCTTTTCAGCTTTCCTGGTAGAAGGTAGAGCCCTGCTTTACGGCCACACTTACACAGCACCAGGTTCCTCAGACATGGGAGGGAGGTTTAGATCATAGGTACCCTCTGCCTTAGTCTGCTCAGGCTGCCATAACTAAATTCCAAAGACTGGGTGGCTTAAATAATAGAAATTTATTTCTCACAGCTCTGGAGGTTGAAAGGCTGAGATCATGGTGTCAGCAGGGTTGTTTCCTCCTGAGTCCTCTCTCCTCAACTTGTAGATGGCTGTCTTCTCCCTGTGTCCTCACATGGCCATCTCTCTGTGCATGTACATTCCTGGTGTCTAGATGGGAGTCCAAATTTCCTCTTCTTTTAAGGACTGCAGTCAGACTGTATTAGGTTCCACTCCAACAACCCCATTGTAACTTAATTTAAAGGCCTTATATCCACACATAGTCAGATTCTGAGGTACTGAAAGCTAAGGCTTCAACACACAAATTATGAAGGGACACGCTTCACCCAGAACATTCTCCCAAATGGAAAATATCTTCTACTCCAGTAACTAAAAGTGAGACAGTAAGTGGGAACTAGGTCCAATATGTGCTTAAATATAGAATACCTAACTTGGTAGAAAAGTTCCTTGTAGCTGAAACATTGAAGCCAACAAATATACTCAAGATGCAATTGTTCTAGGTCATTGCCTCTCATTCTGGTGGGCCAGCAGCAGTAGTGTCACCTGGGAGTCCGTCAGACAAGCAGAACCTCAGGCTCCACCGCAGCCCCACTCAGTCAGAACTGGCACTTTGCCTGCATCCCAGGTGATGCTTCTGCACCTCACTGTTGGAGAAGCTCTGCTCCAGGCACTTCTTTAAGTAAAAAGATTTGCTTCCTGCAGATAAGAGTGTGTGGGTTCACATGCCTCTGGGGTTCTGCCTGAATCCTGATGCAGAAAAGAGACCTAATCCCAAAAGCTATTCCAATGGGCTCCCTGCCTGAAGACCTGGCCACTAGCAGGAGCGGGCCCAGAAAGACTTCATTCAAGGCCACCATGACAAGAGCATGACAGAGACTGTTTCCTGGTTTGAGAGGGTCTCTAGTTTGTTTCCTGGTTTGAGAGGGTAACCTTTATAACATTTTGATATTTATTTTTAAATGTTTGTAGTAGACTGTGGGCCACTCTCTGAGTTTCTACCATTTCCTTAGGCAAGGTTCTTAAGCTCCTCGTAGCTCAGTTTTCTCATCTGACAATAGGGATAATAGCCCCTATCTCATAAGGCTGTCAGGATTCAATGGGGGTAATCCTTGTAGTCTCAGAATAATGCCTGGCACATAGTAAGTGCTACAGATATGAGCTATTACTATGATTATATTTACTTCAGAAAAGGCAAAAGTGGTACTGTGACCTCTTTTTTAGTTTTATTATACCCTAGGAGTCAACATCCAACCAGAGAACATATTCCCCGTGATCCATCTGGATGCCTGAACTGTTTGCCAGAATTTAAACTATTCATGCAAATATTTTCAAACCATACAAGCTCCTCTGGCTTTAGGGCCAGTTTCTGGCTCTGTTATTAAATATAATCTGGCTGGCAAATAGATTTACATGTGAAAGTTGAGTTACTGGAATCTAATAGTCAACCCCTAGCCTGAGGAAAGAGCTGAAGACAGAGACATACTTCTTCTAAAGGGGAGAACACTAAAGAAACCCAGTCAGATTGGGGGAAAACAATACAGAGCATTTTATACTTCTTTCACAGAGATGTTTTGTATCTCCCTAGACAGGGAGAGAGAAGAAAGGAAAATTCTTAGAGCAGGGAGTCAAAGGAAAACTACACACATTTTCACTATATACACGTACCAGAAAGGCAAATCATTACCCTGTTTTGGTTAACTCCAAAGCTGTCAGTTAGCTCTTCACCTGAGGGAGAAGGAAACTTGAACATTACAAAACACAAAATCAATCAAAGAGAAGCCAGCATGGCCTAGCTGGAGCTTAAAGAGTCAACTGAGGACAGCCAGTATGCCCTGGTCCCTGGTCACTACCAGACAGGGAAAGAACTGTGCATATTCAAACCCAGGGGTACATGGAAGAGGGAAGTGTGTTTGGTAGGATTTTGTTTTGTTCTGTTTCCCTTGAGCTCGGAAACCTTAATGGAACAGAGTAAGGCAAATCTGTGATCCAGTGTGTCTGAGCCAGAGGCTTCAGGAACTGTAGAGGATGAACCAAAAGCCAGGGTGAGGAATCATCCCGCTCACTCTCAGTGCAAATGGGTCTGCATCTGGGGACTCCTCACGTGACAACAGGCTCTGCTCTTCTAGAAATAGTTTGGATCCCTGTCAAGTATAGTCTATAATTTTAGACTTCCAAGGAAATAATTAGGTGAATTCTCAAGGTCGTAATCATCTTCTGTGGAATTTGTGAGATTTGCCATTTTCCCATTGCTTTCCTTAGAAACCTGCCTTGCTGTCCAACTTGGCAAAAGCCTATATTCTGAATAGAAAAGGAAGTGACCCCCTGCCACTTGAGGCCACAAACTTGATTCCACCAAAGAGCTGCTGTCATTACCTTTTGCTTTTTGCTGACCTTGATGACAGGTGATAGAAGGAAGGGAAATCTAGCTTGAGAGAAGGTGTGACACAGGCCAATGTGCTCTGCCAGGAATGTTCTCCCTTCAATTTGCATGCCTAATTTCTGCTCACCCATTAGATCTGAGTGTACCTATCACCTGCACAGAGTAGCCTTCCTAGTCACCCGCTCTACTGGACAAACCCCCACAGTGATTAATTTTATGTGTCCAGTTGGCTGGGCCACAGTGTGCCAAGATATTTGGTCACTTTATTCTGGATGTCTTTGAAAGACTGTTGTTGGGTGAGATTTATATTTAAATCACTTGTCTTTAAGTAAAGTAGCTTGCCTTCCCTAGTGTGGCTTGGCCTCATCCAATCAGTTGAAGGCCTGAACAAAACAAAAGGCCAACCTCCCCTGAGCAAAGAGGAGTTCCCCAGCAGACGGCCTTCAACTTCATACAAAATGTGGGCTCTTCCTGGTTCTACTGCAGACTGTCTTTGGACTGTAAACCAAAAATAAATTTTTAAGGTCTCCCAACCATCTGAAAGGACTTCCTCCTCAACCAGGGCTCTTTTAAAATTTAGCATGACAGACTGTTTCAGGCCATGATGGGAAGTGGGGGTCAGACATGCCTCCTCATACCTCTCTGGCATTAACATCAACACAAGACTGTAAGTCTGATATGAAACATTTTACAACCTGTTCTCTCTGAAGCCTACTACCTGAAGGCTTCCTCTACAAATAAGAACTTGGGTCTCCACTGTCCTTTATCTTAACCCAGACATTCCTGTCTATTGATTCCAGGTCTTTAGGTAAACTCAACCAATTGTCAACCAGAAACATTTTAAATTTACCTATAAGCTGGAAGCCCACCCCCACCTCCCACCAGCCCCCACTGCTTCGAGATGTCCCACCTTTCTGGAACATAGCAATGTATTTCTTCAATGTATTTGATTGACGTTTCATGCCTCCCTAAAATGTATATAACCAAGCTGCACCCTGAGCACCTTGGGCACATGTTCTCAGGACCTCCTGAGGGCTGTGTCACAGGCCCATAGTTACGCATATTTGGCTCAGAATAAAACTTTTCAAATGTTTTACAGAGTCTGACTCCTTTTGTTGACGGTACTCAAACTGCAACGCCTTCCTGATTCTCCAGCCTGCCGGCCTCTCCCATGAGACTTTGAACTCACCAAACCTCCACAATCACATGACCCAATTCTTTAAAATAAATGTCTTTCTGTATCTATACACATCCTATTGATTCTGTTTTTCAGTAGAACCCTGACTAATACACCACCCACCCCACACACATTCTTAACTTCAGCCCTTGTTCATGCCCTTCAGAGGCTCATTCCAGTATGCAGCCATTTTAGTCATTGTTTCATCTGTTTCTTTGACATCTTTACAGAATGTAAGTTCATAAAGGCTGGGCACGTCTGCCTTGTTCTTTCTGTTTGTGTCCCTAGTTCTTTTCAGAATGCTGGGCACATAGCCGAAGCTAGTAAGTCTGGGTTGAATGAATGAATGGCTAAAGTTCTCCAGTAGATTATGTACTGGGAAGTCCTCTATATGCAAACAGTTCTTTTTTTTTTTTTTTTTTTTTTTTGAGACGGAGTCTTGCTTTGTCACCAGGCTGGAGTGCAGTGGCAGGATCTCGGTTCACTGCAACCTCCGCCTCCCAGGTTCAAGCAATTCTCCTGCCTCAGCCTCCTAGGTAGCTGGGACCACAGGGGTGTGCCACCACACCCAGCTAATTTTTATATTTTTAGTAGAGACAGGGTTTCACCATGTTGGCCAGGAGGGTCTCAATCTCTTGACCTCGTGATCTGCCCACCTTGGCCTCCCAAAGTGCTGGGATTACAGGCATGAGCCACCACACCCAGGCACAAACAGTTCTAATACATGTGAGAACACTGTGTTGAAAATGCTCATGGCCAGGCAAGGTGACTCACACCTGTAATCCCAGCACTTCGGGAGGCCAAGATGAGAGGATAGCTTGAGCCCAAGAGGTTGAGGCTGCGGTGAGCTGTGATTGAGCCACTGCACTCCAGCTGGATGGCTGCTGCTTCTTTTTTTTTTGAAGCCTGTTTCAAAAACCAAACTTGATATGGTTTGGCTGTGTCCCCATCCAAATCTTGAATTCTAGCTCCCATAATTCTCATGTGTCATGGGAGACACCTGGTGGGAGGTAATTGAATCATGAGGGTGGGTCTTTCCCATGCTGTTCTCATGATACTGAATAAGTCTCATGAGATCTGATGGTTTTATAAAGGGGAGTTCCCCTGCACATGCTCTCTCTCCTGCCTGCTGCCATGTAGGACATCCCTTTGCTCTTCCTTCTTCTATCATGATTGTAAGCCCTCCCCAGCCATGTGGAACTGTGAGTCCATTAAACCTCTTTCCTTTATAAATACCCAGTCTTGGGCTGGGTGTGGTGGCTCATGCCTATAATCCCAGCACATTGGGAGGCCAAGACAGGTGTATCACTTGAGGTCAGAAGTTTGAGACCAGCCTGGTCAAAATGGTGAAACCCCATCTCTACTAAAAAAATACAAAAATTAGCCAGGCATGGTGGCATGCACCTGTAGTCCCAGCTACTCAGGAGGCTGAGGCACTAGAATCACTTGAACCCAGATGACAGAGGTTGCAGTAAGCCGAGATGGCGCCACTGCACTCCACCCTGGGTGATAGAGTGAGACTTGGTCTCAAAATAAATAAATAAATTACCCAGTCTCAAGTATGTCTTTACAACATGAGAACAGACTAATACAAGACCCAAGAGTGATCTTGTTAAAGGTGATTTTGATCATGTCACTCCTCCAGTCTACAGCCTCCAGTGCCCTCCATGTCAAGGTCTTATGGCTGTGGCTAAGGCCCTCTCTGATACCTCCTTCCTATCCTTACCTCTCTCACCTTCCCCTGGTCACTCTCCCCCTTGTTCACTCCATGCCTCTGTGTTGTTCCTTGAACAAATCAAGCACTCCCTGACAGTAGGGCCTTTGCCTCTGCCTGCAAGGCTCTTCCCCAGCTGTCCACCTGGCTTCTCCCTCACCTGCCTCAAGTCTTTCCTCAGGTGTCACTTTCTCAGTGAGGGATATCTCGATTACTGTATGTCAAATTGCACCCAACCCACCCCTCACTCCCAAAACTCTACTCATTTCTATTTTTTGCATCTCACTTAGCACCTCCTCATATGTCATATGACTTGTCAATCTGTTATGCCTTTTCACCGTGCCAAGATATGAGCTCCACAGGGTAGGGACTTCTGTTTTGCCCACTAAAGCTGACACACAGAAGGCATTCAGTCAATGTTTGCTGAGTGAATGAATGAATGAATGAATGAAATGAATGCTTCTGCTGGGACAAAAGTGTCATTTCTTAACAAAAAGCATTTTTTAAAGGGCAGACAGCCATCCTCCCAATGGTTTGTGAAGACTGAATTCCTTGGTTAATTTATCTCCAGGCCACATTCCTCATACCCAGTTTAAGCTGGGATTTTTCCAAGTCAATAAAATCAGGATTAAATTTTTAAAAAAATGTTGGTGAATGCACCTAACACAGTTCCTGGCACAGTATAGGTACCTTATAAATTGTTTCTTCTCCCCTTTCTGATAAGTATGGAATTTTATTATCCTGAAGGAGTGGGATGGAGGCTTGTTTAATAGGAGTCCTTCCGGTAAGAGGGACAAATGATCTGGGACAACAGCAGAGATTGCTCTTCCAGACTTGTGGATAGCAATGACACATCAAAACACTGACAGCATGGAAAGGCATCTCCATAGAAGTAAGCTATAGAATTTCTGGGCTCCTGAACAAGGAGACTACCACAAGCCTGCTCTCTGCATTTGGGCACAATTTTTACTGTTGATGGCCTTGCCCTTGCTCCTTAGTGTCCCCTGGCATTTTGCTTATTTAAAAAATTGTTTATTTATTTATGTTTAAACTCCTCTTACTATCATTCCCAAGCCTTCTGACATTTTGTTTCAAAGCATAGTATCAATATCAGAATGATCTGAAGTACAAAACAGTGGTTTGTGTTCGTCAAGGGGTGCTGGCACCATGAGTTGCAGTTTGACATAATCTCCCGCTCTGGGAACCCCAGCCCTTGAGATTGAAATTTCTAAGCGGCAGTAAAATCACTTAGCAATGGCTCTTTTTAGTGTAAGTGTTGCAGGATTTTTAAGGAATTAGAGAGATCGATGGAGTTCAGGAGGATATTTATCAATTATTTAGGTGCACCAGCCCAGTCAGATTAACATCCAAAGGATTGAGCCCTGAACAAAGAGTTAAGTTACATTTTAAGCATTTCATGGGGCAGGGAGAGATCTGTGCAGGGGGAGGCATACTACAGAAGTGAGAAAAAAACGCAGTTATTCAATCAGTTGAGATATGCATTACATCATTTCTTACTTTTCAAAGAAAAACATGTTTTGCAACTTGAGTTTATCTGTCTAGTGACCTTGCAGCTGCACAGCTAGGGAAACAGGATTTTCACAATGCCTGGGAAAGGAGGAGAGATAAGGTTCACTAGCCACAGAAAAACAGGCAGTTAATTTTTAAAGGACTCCAACTCTTCCTTTTTCTCAGGCGGAATTGGGTTTTCTTACATACAACTGAGTTTTTGCTTACACACTCCTTAATTTCTTTTAATTCCTGTTCCATAAGGAGGCACCTATCTCTCCAAGGAGAGCCTGGGTGACTGACACTTGCTCCAGTTCACTGTTCCACAATGAGCAGCTCTGTGCAAACCTATCCCCAAAGGCTGAGTTTGCTGAGAAGCCAAAGAAAAAGACTCACAAATCCAATTTCTCAGAAAGAAACATTTAATAGGGACTTATGAAAAGAAGCCATGTCTTGGGAAGCTGAGAGATGGTAGATCCCTGTACCCACCCTCCAGAAAGTATTTTTTACATAGCAATTTGTTTTGGTGAAACGTGTCACTGGTCATGTCTCCGACCCTCGGCAAAACTCATGACTAGTGGAAAAGCTAGGTAAGCATCTTTATGAGGGGTTATCTATGCTGCAGTCCTTGTTTCTTGACCTTGCTGCAGAATGCCTTGGTCTACAGGAGTCAAACATTGGTCATTATGATAGTTTCACTTCAAGGTGGTATCACTCTTGCCATACAACAGGATATTCTCTTATACTCCACCCTATAAAACTGGTCCTTACAATCTCATGTGCCCTCCTCTTCTGGGATAGTCCCTGCACCTAGATGGAGGATGCTTGATATTGTATAGCTTTAGCAATAGTGCATTGGCTCCATTGGAGCTGCCATGACAACAGTAAAGGCAAAGCAGGGCAGTAAACAACATATGCATTTAATACCTAAACCAAGAACTAGCTTCATCCAAACCTGCCCAAAACCAGTCATTCAAAAGAGGGGTTTGGTCTGAAAGAGTGGTTATTTGGGTTTTCATATCAGTCATTAATTTAGTGATGTTATCTGATTCATCAGGAATATAAACATAGCATTCAGTTTTTATGATTGCACAAGCCCCCCTTGTGTAACAGTGAGCACGTCTAAAGCCATGTGCTTTTGGAGGACAGACTTTCTCATGAGAGTGACTTCTGTGTTTCAGAGAGAGATTCTCTTGTGGCTATTATTAAAAGCTTTCTTTGTATAATTTGTTACAGCTTCCACATGCTAAATAACATCTTTGATGTCCCGTTGAGGAAGGAAAATAGAAGCTAAGTTGTTGTACCGATAGAAAACAGATTGGGCCCAATGGGATTCCAAATGAAGGAAATTCCCAGGCTTTGAAAGAGTGTGAACTATCTGACCTTGCACCCGTGTGTAACCGAAAGAACATATTAATTTGTGCCATGCATCCAGGAAGTTCCATGTGGGCCAACCAAGAGATGCCTGGATATATTACCCATTCTGTAGCATGCGAATCCATACTTTTAATATTATAATATATAAACATCTGTCTCTTGGTGTCCATCTTATATCCCTTGTTCTATTTGGACAGATAGCTTTAGAATTATTCTTTTGTTTCCAACATAGGGGGACAAGTTGACTAGGCTGGCCAAAAGATAGTTAACCAAATAAATTCATTCTATATTTGGGTTATTTTCATTGCAGTATCAGATCACTTCGTTCTTTAACTGAAGTGTTTCAGGCTGAGACTGAGTTATTTTCATTGACAGAAAAACTCCTCCCATGTCCCTTCTCAGAAAGAATAATATTAATGGGGCATGAGGTTATTTTATCTCTAGTCACATTGTATTCAATACCATCATGTAAATGTGAAAAGCAATAATATATTCCTGATATTCTATCTGTCATCCTTGGAAGGGAACTACCCATCACTGTAGGCCAGAAACACCGGAGAGTGGCATGAGGCTGCATACCCAACGGGTGTTTTTCTGTGAGCCACCAGCATAGTCTTGGCCCATTGTAGGAAAAGGTTTGCTTCATAGGTGACAGCTGGTAATAATGGTGACAGAACATAACAACTAAAGATGAAAAGAAAGAAACAGCGGGTACTGGCAGGGAAGGTCTCCATCTGTTAGGATTACACTAGTTGCTTTATTGAGGGTCATTAACAAAGATGCAGCTCTTGTGTTTTTCAAAGGAGCAGTATACCATACATGTTGCTCAGAGGACGAAATGTTAGCAACTGTAGTTGGAGTAATTTAGTTGGGAGTTCACCATACCAAGGAACCCACCACCATGCCATAGGGTGTGAGCATTTCTCCTGAACACTTACAGCACATGACCATAGATCTGGTGTTCAGTGAGTTCAGTGGTGACCACTCTAACTGTCCAAGATACTCCCTACTCTCTGGCAGGAAATAGTCTAATCAGCCTGGGGATATTTGCTATTCTAAGCCCCAGTAGAGTATCCCCTCCCCGGTACTATATCCATTGGCATCTTCATGTGCAAAGCAGGCTGATTATCAATGAGGTCTGGGAGCAAAGCTGTTATCTCAGTCATCCATATATGCACAGTGGTAGGTTTTGGGGGCAGTTGTACCAACCTGTCTATGGGGCACATGTCCTCCCTCTGGCTGAATTTAAAGAGATAAAGGCTGCAGATAACACATTCATCTACCTGTGCAAGACAGGATTCCCCAGTAAAGTTTGAAGTCGTGCTTTTAATAGGCCATTGTTTTCTCTCAATTGACCCTACTGCTTGGGGTTTATGTGGGAGGTGGAAATGCCCTGCTATATCATGCTCCCTGGCCCAATCCTGAGGGTCACGTCCAGCAAAATGGATCCCTGAGTCACTGTCAATGTGCCATGGATATCCATACATAGTACCAAGAGCCCCTAATCCTTTAATAGTACTGGTTTGATTTGCTTGCTTACAAGGAAAACTTTGCGGCAGTCCAGTAGCAGCATCTACACAGGTCAATACATACTTTTTACCTTGACTTACATGGAGAGATCCTGTCTATCCACTTGCCAGTCTTTGACAGGGTGGACAGCCTTATAAATGTGTCCTGCTTGATGGGGTCTATCAAGCAGGACACATATGTAGACACAATCGCAAACATGGTAAACCGTTTGTTACAACTGTTGGGAAGTCACTATATTTTAAGGGTAGTCTGCCCCCTTGGCTATCTCCCAGGCTACTCTTGTACTTCTGTGACCACTTGTTATATACCTAGGTTGCTTGTTCAGTGGCCTGGGCCAACACGATGTTAGGGTGTTGCTTCTATATTTCCCAGAACTGAGACTTTTGTGTTTGGGGCCACTTTAAATACAATTAAATAGGCCATAGGGTGTTGCAGCTTCTCCCATGTGTCTTGCCACATGTTCATGCCCCATATGAGTCTGTGCATAATTATCCATTTTTCTCATTCCCTTTAGGCTAGCCACATAGTTAAACCTTAAAAGACAGCCCGATGATCAGTACAGGTGGTAAGGGGCCAAGGCTCACGTGTCGTTACTAACCAAGCAGTCTGCAATTCAGCCCATTGATTACTCTGATTGTACCCGTATCAAGCCAGATAGTGTCAGTTTGTGGTTGTATTGCCACAGCAGTTCAAATACAGGGATATCCCCTGCTGGAGCTGTCTGTATACCAAGCATCATCCGGATGAGTAACACTCCTTCTCTTATGCTGTCAGGCACTGGAGAAGCAACTGAGTAGTAGTTGCTCATATGTAACAGGGCCTAACATAGCATGCAATTCTGGGCTCAATGAACTTGTTACCAGAACCCTTCATCACTGCAAATAGGCATGTCATTTATTCAAGGTAGGTGTCTGGGTTCCAGCAGAGATGGGTCTTTTAAACAATCCTTCTATCCATCCCTTGATTGGTAGGCCTGTTCTCACATACGCAAGAAGGGTCTTTGTTAATGGTTCCACCTTCAGTAAAGCATTAAATACTGCTGGCACTTGTTCAATGGGAGTGTATCTGGTTTCAGCCCCTTTCCACAATTGTGACCAAAATCCTAGGTCCAATTCATACCCTCAGGAGGAGCAGTAACATCCAAAGTCCTAGCTGAACCCTCTAAAGGGGTGCCTAAGGCTTGTGCATGCTGTACTAGCACTTTAGCCTGTTCACAAACTTCCTGCTGAGGCGTGTCCCAATCCCAATGTGTCCCATTTCTAATAATTCTATAGTCCCATTTCGAATAAGTTGTCTTAAACATTGGGCTAAGTGTGGAATAAGTTCTTTCCAACAGCCCAAAAGACCCACACATGTTTGGACTTCTTTTACTATTTTCTGAGTTTGAAGTTGTTGGATTTTGATATGGTTTGCCTGTATCCCCACCCAAATCTCATCTTGAATTGTAGTTTCCATAATCCCCATGTGTCATGGGAGGGACCAGGTGGAGATAATTGAATCATGGGGGCAGTTTCTACCATGCTGTTCTCATGATAGTGAGTGAGTTCTCACGAGATCTGATGGTTTTATAAGGGACTTCCTGCTTCATTTGGCACTTCTCCTTCCTGCTGCCATGTGAAGAAGGACATGTTTGCTTCCCCTTCTGCCATGATTATAAGTTTCCTGAGGCCTCCCAGCCATGCTGAACTGTGAGTCAATTAAACCTCCTTCCTTTATAAACTACCAGGTCTCGGGTATGTCTTTATTAGCAGCATGAGAACAAACTAATATAGACTTTGTCAATTACTGTACCCGGTATGAAACCAGTCTTCTCCTGAGAACTTCACTGCAGATCCTGGGCCCTGGATATTCTGAGGATTGATTACCCATCCTTGTTCCCATAGATGAACACACAATGCTATAAGGCTTTCCTGTGTTAACCAAAAAAGTTAGGCAGATGTCTCTATCAGTAGATGTTTATTGAGCCAACGTTTGAGGATGCACTGGGAAAAACACAAGCCACAGGAACGTCTGTGTCCTGTGCTTTTCAAAGAGGGCTTGGGAACTCAGTGTTTAAGGGTGAAAGAGCAAGAAGGAGGGAAAAAGAAAGGGAGGGTAGGCAGTGAGGCAAATGTTTACATTCTTGTGAAGCTCTAATTAACACTCAGTAAATCTACATTTTAGATAAGATAAGGTAAACATTTGAAAAGAAGGAGTAGCCCAGGTGCAGTGGCTCATGCCTGTAATCCCAGCACTTTAAGATGGCAAAGTGGGCAGATTGCTTGAGCCCAAGTGTTCGAGACCAGCCTGGGCAACATAACAAAACTCCATCTCTACTGAAAACACGAAAATTAGCCAGGCGTGGTGATATGTGCCTGTGGTCTCAGTTACTCAGGAGGCTGAGGTGGGAAAAATCACCTGAGCCCAGGAAGTTGAGGCTGCAGTGAGCTGTGATCATGCCACTGCACTCCAGCCTGGGTGTTGGAGTGAACCATTAAAAAAATAAATAAATAAAATTAAAAAAGGAAAGAATGAAAGAAAAGAGGGAGTAGAGGAAAAAGAAGTTAATTATGCATCCATCTCAACATAGGCAGAGGAGTGATTTATTGTCTTGCCCTTGGTCTGTGCCTGCGAAGACAAGCTAGATAAGTTTGTCATCAATATTGTCAGTGTGAGATTTAACAGAAATCAGTTTTAGGAGTTAAAACTTTGGTTGCAGACCCACGGTTACAATTGGCATGGCTGATTTTGTAGGGGGACATGTATCTTGAATGATTTCAGGGCTAACAAGGAATTTTCTTGTAAGCAATTTGTGAGGCAGGCTATCTGGGCAGGTACATGACCTTTTTCCATTGTTGGAACTTGGCTTAGGTATAATGCTGTGACAGAGTGTTGTGAAGTTACACCTCTCTGGTTAAGGGAAAAAAGGAAGGCAGTGTTGCACGACTTATTTTCCAGGCTTAACTTTCTCCTTGGCATACTGAGTTTGGGGTCCCAAGGTTTCATTTTCTTTTACACCTGTAACACATTAAAATCTTCAGAGGCTAACAAAATGTCATCAATATAATGAAACGAAGAAAGAAAGGATAGGAGTGAGAAAAAAGACAAGTCTCTAGCCACCATTCCTTGACAAATGGTAGGACTTTGAAGACATCCCTGGGGCAACAGGTGAAAAGTCCACTAGCAGCCTTGCCAGGGAAAAGCAAATTGGTCTTGTGATTGTTCAATGGAGGAGTGCTGAAAAAGGCGTTAGCCAAATCTGAGACAGTGTGATGTGTCCCCAGCACAGATACTATGTCATCAACTGTTTAACTAATATTAAGAACCACAGGCCGGGGCTGGGTGTGGTGGCTCATACCTGTAATCCCAGCACTTTTTAAGGCTGAGGTGGGCAAATCACCTGAGGTCAGGAGTTCGAGACCAGCATAGCCAACATGATGAAACCCTGTCTCTACTAAAAATACAAAAATTAGCCAGGCATGGTGGCGCATGCCTGAAATCCCAGCTACTCAGGAGGCTGAGACAGGAGAATCACTTGAACCCAGGAGGTGGAGTTTGCAGTGAGCCGAGATCATGTCACTGCACTCTAGCCTGGGTGACAGAGCAAGACTCCGTCTCAAAAAAAAAAAAAAAAAAAAAAAAAAAGAACTGCAGGCCAGGAACAGCAGTTCACACCTGTAATCCCAGCACTTTGGAAGGCCGGGTGTTAAGGTTTCACAAATGCACCACAATGTAGCAGTCTCTCTTTGTGAGGTATTACCCGGAGTTCTTTGTCTCACCACCAAGAGAATTAAGGAGCGTGGACACAAAGGGTGAGGTCGGAGCGAAAGCTTAATAAGCCAAAGAAGAAAGCTTTCTGCCACAGAGAGAGGGCCCAGAAGAGGGTTGCCATTTTTACAGTTGAATACAAAGGCTTTTATAAGAAACCAATGAGGGCTGGGCATCTTATTTGCATATGGTGCAAATTTCTGGTAGCTCCACCCCATCCTCCTGATGCACATGTGGGCCCTTAGCTTGAGTTACTCTATATTGCTTTGTTCCCCATACTGCACATGTGTCGGGGGACAGAATTTTCCATTGTGGGCCTGTCTGGGCAAGTCACCTGTGTAACCTTTCTTATCTGTGTGGCTGTGGGCATGTCTTAGGCAAGCCCCCCTGTGCGAGTTCCCTTACCTGTGCCTGCAGGCTGTTCTTTTACTTGAAAGAATTCAACCGAGGACCCACCATAACTGCCTGCCTGACCTGTTTCTTCCTTTCTCCTCTCTCAGAGGTGAGCAGATTACTTGAGTCCAGGAGTTCAAGACCACCCTGGGCAACATGGTGAAATCCAGTCTATACAAAAAATACAAAAATTAACCAGACATGCTGGCACATGCCTGTAGTCCCAGCTGCTTGGGAGGCTGAAGCAGGATGATCATTTGTGCCCAAGATGCGGAGGTTGCAGTGAGTCAAGATCACACCATTGCACTCCAGCCAAAAAAAAAAAAAAAGCAAAAAAACAAAGAACTGTAACATTATTCAATTCCCAGGTCTACTGCCATTTGCCAGGTATCCTCTGGTTCATGTACCGGTCAGATGGGGCTGTGAAATAGGCTTTGAGCTGGACAGATAATATGCACCTTTGCCAGTTCCTCAACAGTTGCACTTATTTCAGCATGATTCCCAAGCAGTTTGTATTGTTTAATGTTGACAGCTTGACTAGGGGCAGGGAATAGTATGGGTTCCCGTTTTGCCTCTCTCCTGAGAATGCTTTTACTACACATACCTTCATTTGAATTATCCCACTGAAGTTTGCAAAGTCCTTCCTAACAGAATATCCATGCTCAAAATGTTTTCTGGAATAGAGGAAATAAACGCCATATATGGGGCAGGGGGAGCTTTTCCAATACCTAGATGTATAAAGTTCTTTTTATTGGGATACTAAGGCCCTCATAACCATCAGTGGTGGTCCGCTGACAGCGTGTCTTTCTGGATTTCCATGGATTAAAGTACATTCTGTCCTACTGCTGGAACATGGGGTCAACCTTGGCCCCACTCCTAATCTTGGGGCCAGGGCAAAATCCACCCCTAATAAGCCAAGGCATTAGAATAAGGGGTTGAGTCATCTTCCTCGTCTGATGGAGGGGAAGAAGGGAAGAGACAAAACTGCAGTTCAGGCTTTAATTCCCTCTATAAGGCTACTAATACAGCATTAGTTTGTTTGTCTATTTTTTTCTTAGGGTGTTCCAGCTCCCAATAAATCATGCTGCATTTGCTTATGCTTGACTTGTCAGTCTCCTTCCCCCTTCATTCTCCTTCTCTTAGTGGGGCTTTCTTTTTCCCCTTTGTTAGTCCTTGTCAGATTACCAAGCATACCCTGTCCCTGGCTTTCTTGTTTTCTTCCAAAACTGTGATGGCTTCTCCCACATTATATATGTCTTGTCCCACTAAAGAACTCAAAAAACACAGCAAAGGGCCATGCCATTCTCTTCATGTACCCCATGGCAATCTATTTTTCATCCCGGCAGTAAAATCTGCCTTATCTGGTCCCACGGAAACCTGAGCATAGATGGTTTGCCTCAGTCCCAATTATCAGAGAAGCCCCTGGGGTCTCTTTGATTGACTGCGAAGAGCTCATCCCTCTTGGTAAATGTCCTTCATTAAGCCAAACCTCTCTTATAGCTAGAATGATCCAGTCCATGAAGCTATGATTCCCTTGTGTTTGCCTTGCATTAGCAAGGTGTTGCTGCAGGGCTGGGTGGGTGGTGATATTTCTCATTTTTTCTACTTTATTCTTGGCTAAGAAAATACCGTCAACCACTATGTCCCACTATTGGACCATCCAAGTGTTGAAGTGTTCCCTAGGTAGTTGTTTAAAGGTCTTTGCAATCTCTAAGAGTTCTGCAGCAGTATATTCCCTGATAGTGAGTGTCTCCTGTATTAGTTGATCCCATTTTGCTGCAGGTATTGAGCTTTAGCTTTCCTTTGCATGAGAGGGCAAGCTTGCCAATGCTCTTCATCCCCTCATCATTATCAATGACCTCTATATCATCAAGATTTTCCTATTTGTAATATTTCCAAAGATTCCATATTTTTATATTCCAATCAGGCTTAGTTATGATAGCCCTGATTTTTTGTCATTTCCAGCTCTTCCCCTAAATAGACAAATCTACATGCTAATATTTCAAGCTTTGTTTCTTGCTCCTTGATTTTGTCCACCAGATTTGAGGCAAGGAGAGAAGTGGAAAGGCTCATGTTCTCCTCTAGCCATTTAATTTTCACTTCCAATGCTAACTGGGCCTCTGTTGCCAAACGAGTGGCCCAAAGAACTAGCCAACCCACTGCAGTGGCTGCTAGCATCCCTTCCCAACCACAGTGTGATGTATGGCTCTCAGTTTGGTTAACAATCATTCTAAACTTTTTGGCATTTTCAGAGTACACTCACCCTTCAGATGTTTGTGGACCCACACAGTAGTCTACAAGCATCTAAACGGTGAGCCACACCATTCCAAATACAAGTGACTGGCCACCCTGGGATTTCCCCCACAGTTGCCTCATTCCCTTTACCCATTTCTTGATCTCTCAGCTACTGGCAGGCTCACATATCTCTTAAAGGAGATCCTGGGTAACTGGCCCTTGCTCCAATTTACTGTTTGGCAGTGAGTAACTGGGTCTATGCAAACCTACCCTCAAAGGCCAAGAGAACTGAGAGACCATTTCTTTGGCAAATCCAGTTTCTCAGAAAGAAACATTTAGTAAGGACTTAGGAACAGAAGCCATGTCTTGGGTGGATGGGAGATGGTGGATCCCTATGCCCACCCTCCAGAAAGTGTCCTTTACATAGCAAGTTGAGAGAGCTGTTTGGAGAGACAGCCACAATGCACTCTACAACAGAGCTTCCAGGAATAGCACCCAAATGAACATTGCCTTTATAAAGATGCTACTGACATGGAAAGTGGTGCTTTAGACCTATCTATAGTGTCTTTTTTTTTCTTTTTTAAAAATAAGAATGCTTTTGGGCAGTGTATAGTAAAGGATTGTCTCAGTAAGTCTAAGTCGTTCAAACCCTATACACTTCAAAGAAAGATTTGGCCCCTGCTTGGCTCCTGGAGCATAACCTCTAAGCCTTTGGAATATCCTGCCTGATAAGAGTGTCACCTGGGAGCCTTGGGCCACACAAGATGCTTCATGCTAACAATGTGACTTATGATGGGGGGCCTTAGGCCTGTTTCACAGGCCTGTTTCACAGCCCCTCTGACCTGTACATGAACAAGAGGATACCTGGCAAATGGCAGTAGACCTGGGGCCTTAGGCCCCCATCCTATCAACTTGATCTCTGGAGAGGCTAGAGTAAGGTCAACCATATTGGCAGTCTGTCATGCCAAGATGACAACTCCTTCTCAAATATACCCTGGGCACCAAGGCTCAGGTGAGCTTCCTTTGTTGGCAATACTGTGTGAACATGTTATCACACATTGCTGCTGGGAGAATTAAGCATTTTCCATCTGTCTCCACTGGGAAAGAACAAGTGAAAACTCATGCCTGTTCTCTCCTGTATTTTATCCTATGTACCTTTTTGTGTTATTGATTTTAATCTGTATCCTTTCACTGTAATAAATCATAATCAAGGTTATAAAAGTTTTGCTGAGTTTTATGAGTCCTTCCAGTGAATCACTGAATCCAACCATTGTCTTGCAGACCCCAAACATGGGATAATAAAAGTCCATAATTTTTTTCAGTTCCTTCAACATTCAGTTCTGGCAAAGCCCAGAATTACAAACTTCATTACAGTGAGGATTGTGCCTTTACTATATTCATCTTTATATCTCTCTCCTCCCCACAATACACATAACAAAGCTTTGCATATACTGATATTCAATGGGAACCAAATGGAAATAAAATTGAACTTGGAGACTGTACTGAAGAAGTAGCTTCTATAATCAGAGTCGACTTGCCCTTTCTCCCAGTCATTGGTAAGCATTGCTGTAAATCTTCTTGTGAACAGGATTCAGCCTTGGCTTTATATCAGTCACACAATGAAAACCAATCTGGCCAAGGCTGGTGTGTCTGAATTAATCCTGTGTTGTCAGGGAACATGCATTTCCTCTTTTCTTTCTTATTGACAAGAGATCTCTGGCTATTTGCAAAGGAGAGTCTTTGAGTTACAGCTTCTGCAATTTCTGACACATGTCGTGATGCTATACCATTGTAAGTGGACAATCTTGCTCAATTGAGAGGTTTAGTGAAAGGCTATACTGGGGGCTGAGCAACTTCCTAAGTTGCAGCCCTGAAACAGATGCCATGGCTCTGCAAGAAAAAAAGCAATGTCCTCAACAGGTTATTTATTTTATAACTACAATTTTAATAGACTTCTCAAGTTTGGTAAAAGTCTTAGTCTTTGAAGAAATAAAGCTGATGAATTGTTGAATTATGGCAAATATTAGGATCTTTCCAATTGTCCAGAGCTAGCATACTTCTCAGGGGTCTCTATTTTGTTTGCTTTAAGACAGAATTAGATATTTAAAGTACATGATGCCAAGTAATAATCTAAGAGACTAATTGGCCAGTGTACACTAAAATAGAGAATGTAAGCATTGAACAAAGTGGAGCTATATTCTGTTGCCATTCAGAAATAGTTGGATTTTTTACACTGCTTCCTTTTTTTTTTGTTTCTCTGTTTTTTTCCCCTCATATCAATATCTCCCCCAGCAAAGTTGTTTCAGTAAAAAACAAAACAAAATGGGTAGGTTAGTTGATTTTCAACAAGAGTACCAAGACAATTACACAGGAGCAAGGGCAGTCTTTTCAACAAATGGTTCTGGGACACTGGATATCTGCAAACAAAAGAGTAAATTTGGACCCCTACCTCACACCATCACTAACAAAAACTAACTCAAAGAATCAAAGACCTAAATATAAGACTTAAAACTATAGAATACTTAGTAGAAAAAGTGTTTATCTTCATGACCCTGGATTAGGCAATATTTGTTAAATGTAACACCAAAAACAACAGAAAGAATAGTTTTTTTTTTTTTTATTTTGCCGGGCATGGTGGCTCACACCTGTAATCTCAGCACTTTGGGAGGCTGAGGCAGTTAGATCACCTGAGGCTGAGAGTTTGAAACCAGCCTGACCAACATGGAGAAACCCCATCTCTAATAAAAATACAAAATTAGCAAGGCGTGGCGGCCCATGCTTGTAATCCCAGCTACTCGGGAGGCTGAGACAGGACAATCACTTGAACCCAGGAGGCAGAGGTTGTGGTGAGCCGAGATCGTGCCATTGCACTCCAGCCTGGGCAACAAGAGCAAAACTCCATCTCCAAAAAAAAAAAAAAAAAAAGAATAGATTCTTTAAAAAAGACATCATGAACATTTCAAACTTTTGTAACAAAGAACACCATTAAAGAAAGTGAAAAGACAACTCACAGAATGGAAGAAGGTATTTGCAAACCATGTATCTGCTAAGGGACTTATATGTTAACATTCAATAATAAAAATGTAACATTTTTAAATGGGCAGAGAACCTGAACAGATATTTCTGCAAAGATATACAAATGACCAATAAACACATAAAAAATGCTCAACATTATAAGCCATAAGGAAAATGTAAATCAAAGCCGTAATGAAATACATCACAACCACTAGGATGGTTAGAATCAAAAAGTCAAACAGTAAGTGCTGGCAGGTATATGGAGAAACTGAAATCTTCATATACTCCTGATGGGAATGTAAAATGATGCAGCCACTTTGGAAAAAAAGCTGGTTGTTCCTTCAAATGGTTTAATGTACATTTACTATATGACCCAGCATATACCTAAGAGTTTCTTTCTAGTATATACCTAAGAGAAATTAAAACATATTTTCATGCAAAAACCTTTATACAAATGTTTACAATGCCATTATTCATCATGGCCAAAAAGTGATGTGGGCTGTCAGAAAACAATACCCCAAAATGAATGGTATCAGAAGCAGCTCTCTCTGACCTCCTGCCCTCCTGTTTCTGACTCTTCCTTCTCACCTGAGGTTAGCCATAGAAACTGGAATTCCTCTTCCCCAAGACAGGTCATAGAAACCAGAAATCCCTTTCCCCTATAAAAAGCTAAAAGCCAGCCATAAAACCTAAAAATATTACTGTAACTTTACCCCCATCTCCACATTTCTGCATAAAACCTGATCATAAAGAAATGATCTGATCTACTTTGATTGTAGGTCATAACACCACAAGAGAGGATCTTGCCCCATACCCAATAGAGAAAAATGCATGCTCATAGATACCAAGAAGAATCTGCACAGACAGGCCTTGCTGGATTTCCACATTTGGTCTGTTAGCATTAGATTATACCCTTTTTGTCCAATCATATTTCTACATGGCTTTCCATACTTTGTTGAACCTAAGCATAAAAATAAAAATAAAACAGTTTCCCTTGCATCTTTGGGTCTTCATTCTACAGGATCCCATGTCTCATGAAATCATGCTTTAATAAATTTGTATACCTTTTCTCCTGTTAATCTGTATTTTATTTTATTTTATTTTATTTTATTTCTTAAGAACGGGGTCTTGCTATGTTGCCAAGGCTGGACTTGAATTCCTGGCAAGCAATCTTCTCACCTCAGCCTCCCAAGTAGCTGGGACTTGGCCAATAAACACATAAAAACATGCTCAACATTACTAGCCATAAGGGAAATGCAAATCAAAGCCATAATGAAATACTTCACAACCACCAGGATGGCTAGAATCAGAAAGTCAAATAGTAAGTGCTGGCAGGTCTATGGAGAAATTAAAACCATCACATACCCCTGATGGAAATATAAAATGGTGCAGCTACACCCTGATCTGCTTTTTTTTTTCTTTCCTCCGTCATTTTCAGCAAACTTTCAGTGAGCAAAAGGGAGATTTCTTTTGGCTTCTGCAGTGGAAACAACCCAAATGTCCATGAACTGATGAATGAATAAATAAAATGTGGTATATCCATACAATGGAATATTATGTGGCAATAAAAATAAATGAAGTGGAGGAGGGGGTAGAGCAAGATAGCCAAATCGAAGGCTCTACCAACAGTCCCCCACTGCAAGGACACCAATTTAACAACTATCTACACAAAAAAGGGCCTTCATAAGAATAAAAAATCAAGTGAGTACAGTACCTGGTTTTAACATCTACCATTGAAAGAGGCATTGAAGAGGGTAGGAAAGAGTCCTGAATTGCCAGTGCCACCCCTTCCCCTATCCCACAGTAGTGGCTATGTGGTGCCGAGAAGGAATCTGAGTGCTTGGGAGAGGGTGAGCACCACAACTGTGGCACATTGCATTGAACTTGGTGTTGCCACATTTTAATGGAAAGCAAAACCAGACTGAACTCAGCTGACACCTACCCATGGAGGGAGTATTTAAACCAGCCCTAGCTAGAGGAGAATTGCCCATCCTGGCAGTAAGAACTTCAGTTCCATCAAGCCTCACCACCATGGACTAAACTGCTCTAGGGCCCTAAGTAGCTGCCCCAGCTGGTGTCTCAGCAGGCTGAGGCAGCTAAGGGAATATTTGTGCCATACCTCCCTTAACCCCAGGCTGCACAGCTCGTGGCTCCAAAAGAGACTCCTGCCTTCTGCTTGAGGAGATGAAGGAAGAGTAAAGAAGACTTTATCTTGCATCTCAGATACCAGCTCAACTACATCAGGATAGGGCACCAGTCAGAGTTATGAAGCCCCCTTTCCAGGCCCTAGCTCCTGGACAACATTTCTAGACACACCCTGGGCCAGAAAAGAACCGCTGTTTTGAAGGGAAGGACCCAGTCCTAGTCGGACCCATCAGCTGCTTACCAAAGAGCCTTTGGGCCCTCAATAACAAGCAGCAATACCTAGGTAGTACACCATGGGCCTTGGGTGAAACTCTGTGACTTGCTGGCTTTGGATGAGACTCAGCACATTCCCAGCTGTAGTGGCTAAGAGGAGAGACTCCTTCTGCTTGAGAAACATGGAGGGAAAAGTAAAGGGGACTTTGTTTTGCACCTTAAGTATCAGCTAGGCCACAGAAGAGTAGAGCACCAAGTGGGCTCTTAGGGTTCCCGATTCCAGGCCTTGGTTCTTAGATGGCATTTCTGGGCCTACCTTGAGCCAGAGGGAAGCTCACTGCCCTGAAAGGTGAATCCCAGGCCAGGGAACATTCATCACAAACTGACTGAAGAGCCCTTGGGCATTAAGGGATTATTAGCAGTAGCTTGGAAGTACTCATAGTTTGCCTGTGGAGTTGGTGGCCACAAGGTGAGGCTTCTCTGCCTCTGGAAGAGGAAAGGAAGAGTGGGAGGGATTACATCTCATGGTTTAAGTGCCCACTTAGCTGCAGTACAATAGAACACCAGGTAAACTTCTAAGGTTTTTGACTCTAGTCCCTGGTTCCTGGATGGCACCTGTGAACCCATCCAGGGCCTAGGGGAACTCACTACCCTGAAGGGAAGAACACATACCTTGCTGGCCTTGCCACCTGCTGATCGTAGAGTCCCTGGGCCTTGAGTGAACATAGATGTAGCCAGGTTGTAATTACAGTGGGCCTTGGATGAGATCCAGTGCTGTGCTGGCTTCAGGTCTGACCCAGCACAGTTCCAGTGGCCACCACCCCCAGTGATACCCCACTACTAGTTCCAGATAGCTCAGAACAGAGATAGAGAAAGATTCTGTTTGTCTGGGAGAAAGTAAGGGAAGAGAACAAGAGTCTATGCCTGGTAATCAAGATAATTCTCCCAGATCTTATCCAAGACCAACAAGGCAGTACCTGTATGAATCTGCAAGAACCACAGCGCTGCTGGGTTTGGGTTGCCCCCTAATGCAGATACAGCTTAAAGCACAACACCGAAGTCCTTTCAAATACCTAGAAAGCCTTCCCAAGCAGGATGGGTACAAATAAGCCCAGACATGAAGACTACAATAAATACCTAACTCTTCAATACCTAGACACAGACTATCAACAAGCATCAAGACCATCCAGGAAAACATAACTTTACCAAATAAATTAAATAAGGCACCAGGGACCAATCCTGGAGAAAGAGAGATATGTGACCTTTCAGACAGAGAATTCAAAATAGTTGTTTTGAGGGAACTCAAAGAAGTTCAAGATAATGCAGAGAAAGAATTCAGAATTCTATTAGATAAATTTAACAAAAAAATGGAAATAATTACAAAGAATCAAGCAGAAATTCTGGAGCTGGAAAAATGCAGTTGGCATACTGAAGAATGCATCAGTATTTTAATAGCAGAATTGATCAAGTGGAAGAAAAAATTAGTTAACTTGAAGACAGAGGAGACAAAAAAAAAGAACAAAAAACAATGAAGCATGGCTACAGGATCTAGAAAATAGTGGCAAAAAAGAAAGTCTGAGTTATTGGCCTTAAAGAGGAAGAAGAGAAACAGAGAGGAGTAGAAAGTTTATTCAAAAGGATAATAACAGAGAACTTCCCAAACCTCTACTGATGATAGAAAGATATCAGTAGCCAAGTACAAGAAGGTTATAGAACACCAAGCAGATTTAACCCAAAGAAGTCTACCTTAAAGCATTTAATCAAATTCCCAAAGATCAGGGATAAACAAAGGATCCTAAAAGCAGCAAGAGAAAAGAAAGAAATTACATACAATGGAGCTCCAACATGTTGGGCAGCAGACTTTACAGTGGAAATTTTACAGGCCAGGAGAGAGGCATGACATATTTAAAGTGCTGAAGGAAAATAACTTTTACCCTGGAATAGTATATCCAGTGAAATTATCCTTCAGCCATGAAGAAGAAATAAAGACTTTCCCAGACAAACAAAAGCTGAGGGATTTTATTATCAACACCAGAGCTGTCCTACAAGAAATGCCAAAGGGAGTACTTCAATTGGAAAGAAAAAGACATTAGTGAGCAATAAGAAATCATCTGAAGGTACAAAACTCACTACTAATAGTAAGTAAACAGAAAAACAATATTATAACACTATAACTGTAGTATATAAACTCCTCTTAAGTAGAAAGACTAAATGATGAAACAATCAAAAACAATAACTTCAACAACTTTTCAAGACATAGACAGTAAAATAAGATATAAGTAGAAAAAAAACAAAAAATTAAACAGTTGGGGGAGGGGGATGAAATTAAGGTATAGAATTTTTTTTAGCTTTCTTTTTAATTGTTTGTTTATGCAAAAAGTGTTAAGTTGTTATTAACTTAAAATAATGGGTTATAAGATAGTATTTGGAATCCTCATAGTCACCTCAAATTAAAAAACATACAACAGATACACAAAAAATAAAAAGCAAGAAATTAAATCATACCACCAGAGAAAATCAACTTAACTTCCACAAAGACAGGAGAGAAAGAAAGAAAAAGAAGAATACCACAAAACAACCAGAAAACAAATAACAAAATGGCAGGAATACATTCTCACTTATTAATAATGACATTGAATTAAATGGACTAAACTCTCCAATAAAAAGACATAGCATGTCTGAATGATTTTAAAAAAAGACACAATGATCTGTTGCCTACAAGAAACATACTTCACCTATGAAGATACACATAGACTGAAAATAGAGGGATGAAAAAAGGTATTCCATTCCAATGGAAACCGAAAGAGAGCAGGAGTAGCTATACTTTTATATCAAACAAAATAGATTTCCAGACAAATACTATAAAAAGAGACAAACAAGGTAACTATACAATCACAAGGAGTTAATTCAGCAAGAGGATATAACAATTGCAAATATACATGCACCCAATCCTGGAACACCCAGACATATAAAGCAAATATTACTAGAGCTAAAGAGAGAGAGAGAGAGACACCTAGACAATAATAGCTGGAGACTTCACACCCCCACTTTCAGCATTAGACAGATAGTCCATACAGAAAATCAACAAAGAAATATGAGACTTAATCTGCAGTACAGACCAAATGGACCTAAGAGATACTTACAGAACATTTATCCAATGGCTGCAGAATACATATTATTTTCCTCAGTGCATGGATCATTCTCGAAGATAGACCATATGTTGGGTCACAAAACAAGTCTTAAAACATTCAAAAAAATTGAAACAATATCAAACATCTTCTCTAATAACAATGGAATAACAGTAGAAATAAGTAACAAGAGGAATTTTGGAAACTATACAAACATATAGAAAATAAACAGTATGT
The DNA here is from genome assembly GCF_000001405.40 of Homo sapiens. NCBI lineage: Eukaryota > Metazoa > Chordata > Mammalia > Primates > Hominidae > Homo > Homo sapiens. Next base: position 48,608,233 of record NC_000013.11, on the reverse strand, counting down.
TCCTGAATGACCAGTGGGTCAATGAATAAACTAATAAGGAAATTGAAAAATTTCTTGAAACAAATGATATGGAAACACAATATACCAAAACCTAGGGGATACAGCAAAGGAAAGACTAAGAGGGAAGTTTACAGCTATAAGTGCTTACATCAAAAAAAAGGAAAAACTTCAAATAAACAATCCAATGATGCATCTTAAAGAACCAGAAAATCAAGAGCAAACCAAACCCAAAATTAGTAGAAGAAAAAAATAATAAAGATCAGAGCAGAAATAAATGAATTTGAAAATAAATAAACAATACAAAAGATCAATCAAATAAAAACTTTAAAAAACAAAAGACTGATAAATCTTTAGCCAGACCAACTAAAGAAAAATGAAAGAAGACCCCAAAAAATAAAATCAGAGAGGACAAGGAGACATAACAACTGATACTGCAGAAATTCAAATGATCATTAGTGGCTACTATGAGCAACCATATGCTAATAAATTGGAAAATCTAGAAGAAATTGATAAATTCCTAGAGACACACAACCTACCAAGATTGAACCATGAAGAAATCCAAAACCTGAACAGACTAATAGTAAGTAATTAGATCAAGGCCATAATAAAAAGTCTTCTAGTTAAGAAAAGCCCAGGACCCAATGGTGTTGCTGCTGGAGTCTACCAAACATTTAGAGAAGAACAAATACCAATCCTACTCAAGTTGTTCTAAAAAACAAAGGAGAGAGGAATATTTCCAAACTCATTCTACAATGCCAGTATTACTCTGATACCAAAACGCAAGGAAGTCAAATTTTAAAAAAGAAAACTATAGGCCAATATCACTGATGAATATTGAGGCAAAAACTTTCAACAAAATACTAGCAAACCGAATTCAACAACACAATAAAAAAAAGGTCATTCATCATGACCAAGTGGGCTTTATCTCAGGGATGCAAGGATGGTTCAACATATGCAAATCAATTAATGTGATACATCATATCAACAGAATGAAGGACAAAAACAATATGATTGTTTCAATTGATGCTGAAAAAGTATTTGACACAATTCAACATCCTGACATGATTAAAAAAAAACCGTCAAAAAACTGGATATAGAAAGAACATACCTCAAAATAATAAAAGCTATATTTGACAGACCCACAGCTAGTATCATATTGAATGGGGAAAAACTGAGACCCTTTCCTCTAAGATTGGGAACATGACAAGAATGCCCACTGTCACCAATGTTATTCAACACGGTACTGGAAGTCCCAGCTAGAGGAACTAGACAAGAGAAAAAAATAAAGGGCATCCAGCCAGGCATGGTGGCTCATGCCTGTAATCCCAGCACTTTGGGAGGTTGAGTCAGGCAGATCACTTGAGGTCAGGAGTTTGAGACCAGCCCAGCCAACATGGTGAAACCTCATCTCTACTTAAAATACAAAAATTAGCCAGGTGTGATGGCAGGTGCCTATAATGTCAGCTACTTGGGAGGCTGAGGCAGGAGAATTGCTTGTACCCGGGAGGCAGAGTTTCCAGTGAGCCTATACCTCACCACTGCACTCCAGCCTGGGTGACAGAGCGAAACTCTATCTCAAAAACGAAAGAAAGAAAGGGCATCCAAATTAGAAAGGAAGAAGTCAAATTTTCCTTGTTTTAAGATGACATGATCTTATATTTGGAAAAACCTAAAGACGCCACCAAAAAACCACTAAAACTGATAAGCAAATTCAGTAAATTTGCAAGATACAAAATGAATATATAAAAATCAGTAGCATTTCTATATATCAACAGCAAACAATCTGAAAAAGAACCAAGAAAGTAATCCCATTTACAATAGCCACAAATAAAATAAAACACCTAGCAATTAACTTAAACAAAGAAGTAAAAAATATCTACATTGAAAACTATAAAACATTGATGCAAGAAATTGAAGAGGACACACAAAAAATGGAAAAATATTCCATGTCATAGGATTGGAAGAATTAATATTGCTAAAATGTCCATACTACCCAAAGCAATCTATAGATTTCATACAATTTCTATCAAAATACCAATAACATTCTTCACACAAATAGTAAAAACAATCCTAAAATTTATATGGAACCACAAAAGACCTAGAATAGGCAAAGCTATCCTAAGCAAAAAGTATGAAACTGGAGGAATCACATTACCTGACTTTAAATTATACTACAGAGCTACAGTAATCAAAATGGTATGGTACTGGCACAAAAACAGACGCAATGACCAGAGGAACAGAATAGAGAACCCAGAAATAAATCCATACATCTACAGTGAACTCATTTTTGACAAAGGTGCCAAGAACATACAGTGGGGAAAAGACAGTCTCTTCAATAAATGATACTGGAAAAAACAGACATCCATAGGAAGAAGAATGAAACTAGACCCCTATCTCTCACTATATACAAAAATCAAATCAAAATGGATTAAAGACTTAAATCTAAGACCTCAAACTATGACAACCAAAGAAAAAACTGAACAAATGAGATCACATCAAATTAAAAAGCTTTCACACAGCAAAGAAAACAATCAATAAAGTGAAGAGACAAGAATAGGAGGAAATATTTGCAAACTACCCACCTGACAAAGGATTAATAGCCAGAATGTATTAGGAACTCAAACGACTCTGTAGGAAAAATCTACTAATTTGTTTTAAAATGGACAAAAGATCTGAATAGACATTTCTCAAAAAAAGATATACATATTGCAAACAGGTATATGAAAAGGTGCTCAACATCATTGATCATCAAAGAAATGCAAATCAAAACTACAATGAGATGTCTCACTCCAGTTAAAATGGCTTTTATTCAAAAGTCAGGCAATAATAAATGCTGGAGAGGATGTGGAGAAATGGGAACCCTCGTGCACTCTTGGGAATGTAAATTAGTGCAACCACTATGAAGAACAGTTTGGAGATTTCTTGAAAAACTAAAAATAGAGCTATCCCACCATCCAGCAATCACACTCCTAGGTATATACCCGAAAGGAAATCAGTATATCAAAGAGATATCTGCACTTTTTTCTTTTTTTTGAGATGGAGTTTTGCTCTTGTTGCCCAGGCTGGAGTACAGTGGCGCAGTCTCGGCTCACTATAACCTCTGCCTCCTGGGTTCAAGTGATTCTCCTGCCTCAGCCTGAGTAGCTGAGACTACAGGTGCCCACCACCACACCCGGCTGATTTTTGTATTTTTAATAGGGATGGGGTTTCACCATGTTGGTCAGGCTGGTATCAAACTCCTGACCTCAAGTGATCCGCCCACCTTGGCCTCCCAAAGTGCTGGGATTATAGGTGTTAGCCACCACGCCCAGCCTGGATATCTGCACTTCTATGTTTGTTGCAGCATTGTTTACAATAGCTAAGATTTGGAAGCAACCTAAGTGTCCATCAACAGATGAACAGATAAAGAAAATATGGTACATATACACAATGGAGTACTATTCAGCCACAATAAAGAATGAGATCTTGTCATCTGCACAACATGGTTGGAACTGGAGGTTGGAATTTCATTAAGTTAAGTGAAATAAGCCAGGCACAGCGAGACAAACTTCACACGTTCTCACTTTTTGTGGGAGATAAAAAGTAAAACAATTGAACTTATGGCAATATAGAGTAGAAAAATGGTTACCAGAGGCTGGGAAGAGTACTTGGGGTTGGGGGGTTGGGGACTGTAGGGGAGAAGTGGGGAAGGTTAATGGGTACAAAAAATAGAAAGAATGAATAAGACCTAGTATTTGCTAGCATAACAGGATGACTATAGTAAAAAATAATTTAATTTTACATTTTAAAATAACTAAGAGTATAATTGGCTTTGTTTGTAACACAAAGGATAAATGCTTGAGGTAATGGATACCTATCCACCCTGATGTGATTATTATGCATTGCATGCTTGTATCATAATATCATATGTGACCCATAAATATATATATACCTATTATATACCCACAAAAATTAAAAATTAAAATTTTTGAAAAGAAATGAAATACTGATGCTGTATAACATGAATGAACCTTGAAGACATTATGGTAAGTGGAAAAAGTCTATCACAAAGGATCACATATTGGATAATTCCATTTATATGAAATGTCCAGAATAGTCAAATCTGTAGAGTAAAAACATAGATTAGTGGTTGCCTAGGACAAGGGGGGAAAAGGAGGATTATGGAGGGGGGATGATGCCTAAGGGATGTGAAGTTACTTTTTAGGATAATAAAAATGTTCTAAAATTGATTGTGGTGATGGTCATTAAATTGTAGTCTTTAAATGAATGAATTGTATGATATGTGATTATATCTCAAATATATTTAAAACTGTTTTTTAATAAATAAAGGTAAATATTTAGAGATTTTTCTAAAAAGCAATTATTCATGCAAAAAATCATGTAGGTTAATTGTCTCCTTCCCCTATCATTCTCCCACCCCAGAAGAAAAGAACTAGCACTTGTTGAGCACTTCGTTGGTGCCAGGCAATTCTGGTTCCAACTCTGCCAAGGTCATACAAGCAATAAAAGGGGACACCAGGTCCCCTGAGGAAGGACTCTGCTACATTGCCAAAAATGTATACCGTTTATCTTTCTCCCAGTCATCCCCAAAGGGACCTGCAGCCTTTTATCAGAGGAACTGTGCACTGGGGAAAAAGAAATAATCAGATTGTTTCAAGGATGACTGGACACTGGCTTTGAACTGATACTAATTTCAGGAGACCCAAAATATTACTGTGGTCTGCCAGTCACAGTAGGGGATTATGGCTGTTAGGTGAGGGGATGGTTAATTTTACATGCTAACCACTGGGCTGCAGGGTGCCCAGATAAACATTATTTCTGCGTGTGTCTATGAGATTGTTCCTGGATGAGATTAGCATTTGAATCGGTGAACTCAATATAGATGGCCCTCTCCAATGCAGGTGGGCATTCTCCAATGTATTGAGGGCCTGAATAAAGCAAAATGTGGAGCAAGGAGGAATTTGCCCCTTTTTTTTCTGCCTCACTGGGACATCTCATCTCATCTTCTGCTCTTGAACTGGGATTTACACCATCGGTACCTCTGATTCTCATGCCTTCAAACGTAGACTGAAGTACAATACCAGCTTTCCTGGGTCTCCAGCTTATAGATGACAGACTGTGGGACTTCTCAGCCTCCATTATTGTGTGAGCCAATTCCTAATAATAAATTCCTCATTCCTCTCTCTCTCTGTCTCTCTCTCTCTCTCTGTCTCTCTCTCACTCTGTCTCTCTCTCTCTCAGTCTTTTTCTCTGCAAATCCCCGACAATGGAGTTTGACTACGTCCACCTCATAGTAGACCCAGCGGGTCCCTGAACCCATCCTGTGGTTATTTCCCCATTTCTAGAATGCATAATTGGAATAGACTTACTCAGCAGCCTGCAGAATCCCCACATTGGTGGAATTCTAGACTGAAATTCAAGTCTGTTCTTTCCATTATGCTGAATGTCTTGAGGGCGAAAGACCAAAGTATTAACATGGGTGCCAGCAGCACTGGAATTTATTCCTACTTTCTACATAATGAATTTATGGCTGGGGATCTGGTTTCTCAGAGGTGATTAGAAGCAGCAAATTAGAAGGAGACACAAATTAGACAGAGACATACTAATGTCAGCAGTGAGGGATAAACATTGACAACCCACAGTGAGGCAGAACCCACAGGAAGTAGGCAGAAACTCAGGGAGCAAAGCAGTCTGCCGAGGATGGGCAGAGAGGCTACCTGCCTCCACCGCCCTCAAGGGCACACCTCAGAGCAGAGTGGCCCTTCTCAAACTTGAGCATGCATGAGAAGCACCTGGAGGGCGTGTTAAATCACAGAGTGCTGGGCTCCACCCCCAGGGTTTCAGATGCAGCATGTCCAGGGTGAAGTCTGCACTTACATTTCTGAGAATCTGCGTTTCTAACAAGTCTCCAGGTTGAGGGGTTGCTGATGCTGCTGGTCCAGAGTCCACACTTTGAGAACCCCTGGCATATATTGGTGTTCCCAATAATGATCCTGAATCTTTAAAACAAGATTAGATTATTCTGGATTCCTATGTACAATGAATTTAAAGTAATTCGGGTCAAAATAAGTAAGAATAAACTTTTTGGCATTTAAAGAGTTAAGGTTTGAAAATTGGAAAAATTTATTCATAAAGACCCAGCCCCCACATCACCAGAGGAGGCCTAGGGCCTTCCCTGATTACCTAATCAGGTGGCCTCCTACAATATCACTCCCTCAATCTCCTGCCCACTTTATATCATTTCATAGCACATATTGCAACCAGATATTATATGTTTTTTTGTTTATGATCTTTCTCCCACAAAAAAATAAGCTCCGTGATGACAGGGCTTGTTATCTTTTGTTCACCACAGAATCCCAAAATCTGGAACCTGGCCCTTAGTATGATCTTAATAAATAATTATTAATGAATAAATGAATAAACCAAATAAAACATTTATTTTGCTATAATGCTTGGAGGAGGCCAGAGTACAGGAAGGGGGCTGATTGCTGGGAGGTTACTCTTCAAGCAAAAGGACCCTTCCCACTCTACATGTCCTTTGAGAAAATGGAATTTAAGGGGAGCAGTAAATGAGAGAAAAGAAAATGCTGTTTTTGAAGAGGCTGTTCTCCATCTCCGTCTAGATGCTAAGAATGCAATTTCAGGCCAGACAAAGTGGTTCATGCCTCTAATGCCAACACTTTAGGAGGCGGAGGTGGGAGAATCACTTGAGGACAGGAGTTTGAGACCAGCCATGGCAACATATGCAGATACTCTGAAGGCTGAGGTGGGAGGATTGCTTGAGCCCAGGAGTTCAAGGTTACAGTGAGCTATGATTGTACCACTGCACTCCAGCCTAGGTGGCAGAGCAACCCCCTGTCTCAAAAAAAAAAAAAAAAAAATCCTGAAGAAAGGGGCAGAAAGGCCCCACAGAGCTCAGCACTCATACAAATTCCAGGTTATTTCTACCCAGGGACCTCCAGCTGAGCTCATGATGCTCCTTGGAGAAGTGCTGCCTGGGCTTGAAAGACTGGCTCAGCTTATCTAGGTTTATCTGCCATTCCGTGAGCTCAGTGTTGCTGGCAAAGGGGGCAGTGCTCTGTGGCGAATTCCCTGCACAGTGACTCGCCTGTGCTGCTGGAAAATATTAAGGTTTCTGCTGGTGGAAAAATACAGAAAAAGCAAAACCACACATCATCCTTCCTCCTCTCCCCTTCTCTGCTAAACTATGTATTGTTTTCCCTCTTTGTCACTCTTCCAAGAGGCCCACCACATACCTTCCTGACACAGAAATATTAAACCAGGAAGCCAAGAGTTCAGCTAGGCTCGTTTCTTGATTACAGATGATGTCATTAAGTAGCACATCCAGGACTGAAATTCAACTCCATCCCACAACAGAGCTTTCTACCACCCCCACCCCCCATCTGAAGACTATGAGCTCCTGTGGGGAGACAGCTGCTGCATTCTCATGAACATGGTGTCTGGCACCTTAATAGGTCTCAAGAAATAGTTCAGGAATGAGTTTGTGAATGGCTCGCTCTTGTCTATTCCCACAAATACTTTGCAAGAGGTAGTATGATTGTTGATGACATCTCTGTTGAGGTTAGAAAGAGAGAAGGATGCAATAGAGAAGTTCTGGAAGGATATGCAGGTGTAGTGTGTCTCAGGAAAATTAATTTCATGATGTCAGCACTTTCCAGGGTCTAGTCTAGTTGTTTGGGTCTAGAAACCCAATCTTTACAGTGCATTCATAGTTGAGTGTTGGAAACTGCCTCAAGCTAACTAAATTCACAAAATACCAGCATGCTATTAATTAATTCACAATATGCCAAAGGGACTGAGTATTTGAACTGGCTAATTCAACCATTCTCTCCCTAAGGAAAAATAATATAATTTGGGAAGCCACCTCCTTTAACTGTGAGTCCATATAGGGCCCTTATTATGTCACTCCAACCCCTAGCACAGTGAATAATCACACAGAGAGTTATTTTTTCGTAGAAGATAGGCTCCATGAGGGCAGGCGTTGCCTGTCTTGTTCACTGCTATATCCCAGGCTCCTAAAAGAGTGCCTGCCACATACTAGGTTCTCAATGGGTGTTTGTTGAAAGAATGAATACTTGAAGAGTTCTTTAATCAGCACAAAGTTAGGACAAATAAATTTTGTTTTATTGCCCTGTTGCTATTGAAAAGCTTATATGAAGTGATACAACCAACTCTGTTAAGAGAATGCAGCTGCCAAGCAGATGTTAAGGCCATGCCCCCGACTCCTGACTGGCATCTTCTTCATTGGGTGGTATTGAAAACACTGACATTTTGCTCTTTGACCTCCCTTTCACTCTGGAGATCTGCTGGTTGGCACATTCTTTCTTGAGACAAAGTGCTAGCCAGTTGTAATTTTCTCAGTTGTACTTACCTTCTGATCACTCCTCCCCATGACTACACCTTGGCATCCTGGTCACCCTGCTTGAAAGGGGTGAGCTGAAGACTTGCCAGCTGCACATCTGTACTTCTTGGAGGGAGTCCTATTCTACACATGTTGATTCATCCTTGCTTCCTCCACAAAGGGCAACTGAGTGTCCTGGTAGCCTAACCATAGTCTGTAGCAAGTGTAGGGGTGAAACGGTAATGCCTGTCCTCACTCATTGCAAGGTCCCCAGCTAACACCCCTATGATGAAAGACAGATTCACAAGAAAAAAGTATAACAAATTTATTTAACAAAGTTTTATGTAATACAGGAGCCTTCCGAAACAAAAGACCCAAAGACCCAGAGAAAACTTTTTTTTTAATGCTTAGGTTTGATGAAGACTGTACTGCCATGTAGAAATGTGATTGGACAAAAAGGACATGTCCCAATGGTAATAAGCTGAGATGGGAATCCATCATGGCTTGTTTGTTTAGCTTCTTCTTGGCCTCTTGCATAACATTTCTTTCTCCAGGATAAGGCAGGATCACCTGTCAAATGAGAGTTTTAAGGGGAGAAGAAAGGTCAGAGACTGACATTTTTAGGTTTATGGTTTGCTTTGGGAAAGAGGGGTTCTAGTTTCTATGACCTGCTGTGGGAAAGAAATGAAAGAAAGAGAAAGGAGAGTGGGAGAAGCTCAGAAAGAACATCTTGCTTCTGAGGCCCTTCCAATCTCCCTCAGTGCAAAGTATTCAGCATACCAAAGTGCTATACTTGAGGTTCTCATGTTCTGATTCCCAACACAAACATTCAGAGGGAGTTGTGGAAAGAGCAGGCAATTGGAAGTACAAATGAAACGGGGGAGTTCCCTGACCCCCCTTGCAGGACGTGTGATGGGTGTGGCTCATCCATTTGGCCATCTTGCTCTCAAACCCCTTATGGGAGCAGGAACATGCAGACAGGCAGGTGTAGGAGCTGGGGCAAGCACTTTTGGCCTCCGGCCCCATGGTTGCATCTAGGGGTGGGTGCCTGTGACTCCCGAAGCCCAAGTGGGCATGTGTTACAGTGCGCTCTTTCACCCTTGCTGTCCATGGATGGCTTAAGTGTTAAACAGCTCAGTGGACCCTCTGCCTTTTTGCAAGGGCAGAGGGCCAGTGTGACAGTTTTCTGTATTCCGAGCTCTTGTCCAGTGTCCAGGAAAAATAAGGTCACGCCTGGACTTAAAGGATGGCAAACGTGGGAGTTTTACTGAGTGGTGGAGGTGGCTCTCAGTGGGATGGATGGGGAGCTGGAAGGGGGATGGAATGGGAAGATGATCGTCACCTGGAGTTTGGCCATGCAGTGGCCAATCTCCTCTCCTACTGTCCCCAGCCTAGCTCCTCTTGACATTAAGAAGCTCCTTCTCTTCTCTCCTTCTCTGCTCTTCTGTTTGTCTGCTTGTGGAGCCTGGGGTTAGGGTTTATAAGGGTACAGGATAGGTGGGTGTGGTGGGCCAAAAGGCAACTTTTGGGTGTGAAAACAGGAATACCTGTTCCCACGTAGGACTGAAGGTTTCCAAGATTGAGGGTGGGGCTTTTGCCAGGGAGCCACCCTCTTCTACCTAGTATTTCCCTGTTTGCTGTCTGTATCCTTTATCCTTGCACTCCATCTCCAAAATGTGGGGCCCTCCTGAGCCACTAGCTCTCAGGTCTACCCATTCACTGCAAATTCCAATTAACATGTGCATAATGCCTTAGAGTTTATTAACACTCTACACACTTTTCCTATTGCAATTCCCCTGTCATAATAAATTGGCTCTAACTGGGTAGTGGGCAAGAAGAACTCATGGGGTGGTTACAAATACAAATTTAATTTAAAAATTGTGATATAACTATATTAGTAGCTGGGGGAGGGAGGAGAAATAAGGTGGAGAATGTTAAGACAGCTAAATCTTCATCTGCCATAATAGAACAACAATAGCTACTGTCTGGAACTGACAAGTTGGGAAATAGCAATATGTGTATATTCCTTAGAAATATGGAGTTAAATACCAGAAAAAAATAGAAAGGGTTTAGAAGGTTAAAAGAGGTTGCCTTCAAGGAACAGGAATAAGGAGACAGAAAGACAGAAATGTGAAGCAAGAAACCACCATTATTTGTGTGTAGGGGAGGAGAAAATAATTTTTTCTCTACCTTTTCTGAGTTTTTTGTTAGGACAGACCCCTGTACCGAAATTAATAAGAGAAAAAAAACAAGTTTATTAATATGTATATCTCATGTATACAAGGGAGATAGCCAGGGAATGAATAATTCTTGAGAGCAGATCTCAAATAGGTAGCTTTGACTTCAAGCTTAAAAACCATCCTTTGCTAAAACAGAGAGGGAAGGGTATGGAGAAGGCCAGTTACGAGGAGACAGCCAGGAAAGCACCTGAAACCAGGGTGAGGTTTGCGATGCAGATTTAAATCCATGCCTTTTTCATTGATAAGAGTTTCTAGTGATTTAGAGTCATTCTTCTCTTCCTGTTGCAGACAGGAAGACACCCTTATGTATGGAGATCTCCTTTATAGACATAAACTTTCCTTACAAAAGGGTAACTTCTACTGTTGTTTTCAGAGATTCTCCTCTGCTGCAGTTTCTCAAAATAATCAGCTCAAAATAATCCTCATGCTAAAGAGGCATATTTGGGGGTGGCATGTTTCTGGTCTCCTAAAGTCATAGGAGAATTCAGGACATGTCCTGAATCCCATCATTTGTCTTAAGTCTTTTACTACTATTTGACATATATATGGCAAATATATATATACATGTTAACGGAAAGGCATCCAGATCCAGACCCCAATAGAGGGTTCTTGGATCCTGAGCAAGAAAGAATTTGGGGCAAGTCCACAGAGTAAAGTGAAAGCAAGTGTATTAAGAAAATAAAGAAATAAGGAAAGGCTACTCCGTAGGCAGAGCAGCCCTGACAGCTACTGGTTGCCCATTTTTATGGTTATTTCCTGATGACATGTTAAACAAGGGGTGGATTATTCATGCCTCCTCTTTTTAGACTATATAGGGTAACTGCCTGATGTTGCCATGGCATTAGTAACTGTCATGGCACTGGTGGGAGGTTAGCAGTGAGGACGACCAGGGGTCACTCTCATCACCATCTTGGTTTTGGTGGGTTTTGGCCGGCTTCTTTACTGCAACCTGTTTTATCAGCTAGGTCTTTATGACCTGTATCTTGTGCCGACCTCCTACCTCATCCTGTGACTTAGAATGCCTAACCTCCTGGGAATTCAGCCCAATAGATCTCAGCCTTATTTTACCCACTCCTATTCAAGATGGAGTTACTCTGGTTCGAATGCTTCTAACACACACACAAGTGTATACACACACATACGTGTGTATTTGTGCTTACATATATGTGTATATGTTTGTATACACATATATCCATACCTTTTCTTGATAAAAGTTAAAAATGAACAAAGAAGGCTAGGGTATGCAATGCATGATAAGGAAATTTTCATCAAAAATAGCTAGTGTCGACAAGCAACCACTTTAGATTTAAGATGCAACCTTCAGCTCTCTGAAAAATGCTCTGACGTGGTCCTCTTCACTCCCACACTGAAGTCAGCATGGCTTACCATACTCACTACACAAATCTCCTTTCAGGCTCCACCTGTTCCATTACCTGAGCAAACAACAGCAAGCAGCAACCCATGCTGCCAACTCACTCTCTGAGGTGAGTTCCAGAACCTACAGGGTGGCATTATCACATTCTTGGGCTGACAGCACTTTTGCCTCCGTGGCTCCCTCTTCATTAAAAAAAAAAAAATTAAAAATTGTATTTGAAACAACTGTATTGGTTTAAAAATTGACATAGTCTAGATTCATTATTAGGTATTCATTAATATTCTATTTTTTCTTCTGATTTTGAAAGTAATTAAAACACTTTCATGGGTCCCTAAAAGTCTCATGGGCTCTAGGCACAGTGCCTGCTCCACCTAATGGGGAAATTGGCCCTGAGAACCTGAGGCAGGAAGAAGGGACAGATCAGCAAAGCACTCTGCCACCCTCTGCAGGTCCTGGTAGAAAAGTATCAAAAGCAAAGAAATAATAAAACCCTACTGGGGCAAAGTCATCCTTACATCAGCTGGTATTTGTTAGGGAGTTGTCAGGTGCAACTTGCAAAAACATCTTGTCAAATGTCCACAGCTTTCCTGTGAGGTGACTCTCACGTCCACAGATATCCAGTGGCCCCAGAGGTTAGGTTTCATGTCTCAGTTCACCCACGCCATTCATGGCAGCCCAGGAATGTGTAACCACTCAGTCTGGCTCTTCCCTGCCTGTCAAGGAGGTGAGGCCGTAGGGTGTGGGGTGGGTGGTACACCTGCTCCCTGTCACCCTCCGAGTCCTCCCTTCCACACCCACACTCTGCCTTGCATGGAAATTAAACATCAGTGACTAATAAATTTGAAGTCAAAATCTAATGTGCTTTTTTTCACTCGCATCCGTGTGAAGAGACCACCAAACAGGCTTTGTGTGAGAAACAAGGCTGTTTATTTCACCTGGGTGCAGGCGGTCTGAGTCTGAAAAGAGAGTCAGCGAAGGGGAGATAAGGGTGGGGCCGTTTTATAAGATTTGGGTAGGTAAAGGAAAATTACAGTCAAAGAAGGGTTGTTCTCTGGCGGGCAGGAGTGGGGGTCACAAGGTGCTCAGTGAGGGAGCTTTTTGAGCCAGGATGAGCCAGGAGAAGGAATTTCACAAGGTAATGTCATCAGTTAAGGCAAGGACCGGCCATTTTCATTTCTTTTGCGGTGGAATGTCATCAGTTAAGTCAGGAACAGGCCATTTTCACTTCTTTTGTGATTCTTCAGTTACTTCAGGCCATCCGGGCATATACGTGCAGGTCACAGGGGATGTGATGGCTTAGCTTGGGCTCAGAGGCCTGACACTTTAACAATTCCATAAATGTGCTTTCCTTTGCCTCTACAAAGATCAGACTTTTTGTGACATTTTCCCCCTTCTGTTTTAGTTCTTTCAGGCTGTGCATTCTGTTTAGTTCATTACAAAAATATCATAAACTGGCTTGTTTATAAACAACAGAAGTTTATTTCCCACGGTTCTGGAGCTGGGAAGTCTAAGATCAGGGTGCCAGCTGATTCAGTGTCTGCTGAGAGACCATTTCCCGGTTCGTAGACGACTGTTTTCTCACTGTGCCCTCACATGGAGGAAGCGGGGAGGGAGCTCTCTGGAGTCTCTTTTATAAGGGTGCTAATCCCATCTGTGAGGACTCCACCCTCATCACCTAATCACCTCCCAAAGGCCCTACCTCCAAATACCATCACCTTGGGGGTTAGGATTTAAACATATGAATTTTGGGGGGACACATTTAGTCCATCGCATGTTCAAATCTGAAATATTCCTTAGTGGCATCCCTGTGTTCCTGTCCTGTTAGTGTTGTGCTGCTGACCTGGGTGGCAAAGGCTAAGCCTCTGCTCCAGCTGGTCCATTTTGCAAATGCTGTACTGTGAGTATTGCATTTGCACAGTCAGGGTCCCCTTTCCCCTGAAAATTCAAATGAGGCCACAGACAGCTGGCAATTTCAACTCCACCTCATTTTCCCCAGCTCTTACTCATTTCTGTGCCTGAAAGGGACTGAATGGGTGGGGGAAGGTGACAATTTGCATTTATATAGAATCCCAGCTTTAAGTTAATTAATCAAAACACTAAGCTACCCTGACAAATCCTTCAGGGAAAGCAGAAAGCTAAACCCTGCTGCACCTTGTTTGAAATAATGATTCAGGCTGCGGCAAAATCTCACAACAGGCCCCCTGAAGCTCGCGACCTACCACCTGCGGAAAATCTTTCTGCAGGAGGACTTCATTCACTTATCCCGACAAGATGATCTTCCTTTCCACTTTTCCTATCTCACCTCTGTACCCACTCCCCAGGCAAAAACACTCCATAATTAAAGAGAGAAAATATGCTCAAGAGGAACAGAGATGTTTCCTGAAGTAAATAAGAAAAGTAAAACAATCCATGAAGGGCTGGGTTGCACGCCTGCCCTCAGGTGGGTTGAGGCAGAGTGCCAGGCCCCAGGCAGTGGACACACACCAAGCAAGCATGACACTAGCAATCACACCCTTTGGGTTCCTTACGACACACTGTGGGAGGCTGTGAGGAAACCATCGAGGGAAGAACAGGCAGACCTGATGCAGAAATTCGATAAAAGATAGAATTCACCAGGACATTAACATATGCAATGAATATTGGGGTGGGACCCAAACTGTCCCTGGAGTAATTACCTTAGGGGAATAGGATGGAGAAGGAGGTGCAGGCATTCTTCACTTTATATTCTTCTGGAGGTTTGTACGGCTGGCCCTTGAATAACATGGTTTGAATTGCACTTTTATGCAGGTTTTTTCAATAAAAGTTACACTGAGTGTGCTGCCTCTCCTGCCTCTCCTTCCACCTCCTCCACCTCTTCCACTTTTGCCACCCTTGAGACAGCAAGACCAATCCCTCCTTCTCCCCCTCCTCTTCCTCAGCCTGTTCAACGTGAAGAAAAAGATGAAGATCCAGCTTCACTTAATGAAGAGTGAATATACTTTCTCTTCCTCATGATTTTCTTAACACCATTTTCTCTTCTCTAGCTTACAGTTTATAATGCATATAACACCCTATATATGCATTAATCAACTGTTTATGTTATTAGTAAGGACTCTGGTCAGCAGTAGCCTATTAGTAGTTAAGTTTTGGGGGAGTCAAAAATGATACATGGATTTTCAACTGCATGGTGAGGGGGGGGTGGCGGTTAGTGCCCCTAACCTCTGTGTTGTTCAAGGGTCAACTGTACTATTTCTGTTAAACAAAGAGCATGGATTGCTTTTACCACCAAAAAAAGCATTATAAAAAATAAATTATTTTCAGCTACTGCATAAAAGAAATTAAATTACAGCCACAGGAAAACCCCAAGGGGGAAATGATAAGGGCAGAGAAGCTAGAATTAAAGGACCTAAGTTCCTTATTCAGCTTTCTGAGCCTCAGATTCTTTATGCAAAAAACTGAGGAAATTGTAATACTTGCCCACTGTGGTCACCCCAGGACGATTAAATGAGATAATAGGTGGAAAAAAGTGCAGCTTATTTTTCACTTGGTCCTTTAACTTTACACAGTAATGAAGTTTAAATGCTATGGCCCCTGTAAACCAAAAATAAAATTCTAAGCTCCCCAACAGACTGAATGGACCCCTCTGGATTCAGGGGGACCGAAAGAAAACCAGAAAAACTAGTTTAGGCTATGAGGGGAAGACAGGGTGTCAGATGTGTCTCCTTATACTTTCTCCTTTCTGGAATTCCTTTCTGGAATTCAGGCACAATTGACCCGCATTAACATTAAAAGAGAGATCTTATTGCTACCTTGTAGCAATAAGACATCAAATTCCAACCTGACTCTAGTATAACATCACATGACAGATAAAGAAGGAAATCAAAATATTTTACTCCAAAATATGTTTCTTTGCCATATTTTGAAATGGTCCTGCATAGCCATCTTTTATGGGGGTAAATTTGCATCTGTAAAGAATCTCTGTTAACATAGAGTCTTTCCCCTTCCAGGGCCTCCTGATCCTGAAAAGATTAAGAGTCTAGCACCTTTCAAAGGCCTAAATAAGAAACATTTGCCAACTATTGTCTCTAAGAAGTCTCAACTATGAGACTTCACCTATATAATAAGAACCTTGGTCTCCACAACCTCTTATCTTAACCCGGACACTCCTTTCTATTGATTTCAGGTCTTTAGATAATAACTTAACTCTTTCAACCAACTGCCAGTCAGAAAATCTTTGAATCCACCTATGAC
Organism: Homo sapiens; assembly: GCF_000001405.40. Taxonomy (NCBI): domain Eukaryota; kingdom Metazoa; phylum Chordata; class Mammalia; order Primates; family Hominidae; genus Homo; species Homo sapiens. The sequence goes on along the minus strand of NC_000013.11, from coordinate 48,592,026 downwards.
CTGTAAACTCTCCCCACCAAGTTGTCCTGCCTTTCCAGACCAAACCAATGCATACCACACATGTATCGATTAATGTTTTATGTCTCCCTAAAAGGTATGACACCAAGCTGAGGGAAGAGAGAGACCCTCTCACATTGTTTTATATTGTTTTATACTCGTACCTGTTTTAAGAAAAAACAACAAGGAAGTAAAACCAAAGGCAGGCAGCCCGGTGCCAGGCCCGAAACCAGGCCTAGGCCTGCCTGGCCTAAACCCACTAGTTAAAAATCAACTCATAACTTAGAATCCGATGTTATTCACAGATTCCAGACATTGTATAGAAGAACATTGTGAAACTCCCTGCCCTGTTCTGTTTCTCTCTGACCACCAGTGCATGCAGCCCCTGTCACGTACAGCCTGCTTGCTCAAATCAATCATGACCCTTTCATGTGAAATCTTCAGTGTTGTGAGCCCTTAAAAGGGACAGAAATTGTGCATTCGGGGAGCTCGGATTTTAAGGCAGTAGCTTGCTGATGCTCCCAGCTGAATAAAGCCCTTCCTTCTACAACTCGCTGTCTGAGAGGTTTTGTCTGCGGCTCGTCCTGCTACAAAGCTATAGCCTGACCACGTTGGGCACATGTTTTCAAAACCTTTGAGACTGTGCCTCAGGCTATGGTTGCTCATTTTTTGGCTCAGAGTAAACCTCTTTAAATATTTTATGGAGTTTGGCCTTTTCATTGACACTCCCAAACAAAGTTTTCCAAGGGACTTTCCTTCGGGTGTGTCTTAGGCAGTTTGAGGGCCACCAGCCCTGAGGAGCTGCCCAAGGAGACATGGTGACCTCTCAGCCAGGTGGCCAGGACAAAGCCATCAGACTCACAGACATGTCACCTAAACAGGTGTGCACACACACTCATAGGTAAAGGCAAACATAGAAACAACATTTACCAACATGAGGCAACAGAGAGGCCAAAACAGGTGTCACGGGCCAGGCACTGAGGGGACATGACTCTCAGGCTGGAGGGAAAGGGCATTTGTCCCTAAGCAAAATTCAGCTGCCCAAAGCAACATCCCACTGAGGAATGAATGGTACTCTGAATTCCAGGGTCAAGTCAAGCTGCCACTAAAGTCTGATTTTGCTTCTTCTTTCTTTACTCATTCCTCAGCAGCCCCTCATCCCCCACAGACTAAGAATCACCACACACACTGGCCACCTCGCCAGCTGAGGGCAAGAGGTGAGACAGAGAACCTCTACAGTGGCAATATGGTTTGGCTGTGTCCCCACTGAAATCACATCTTGATTTGTAATCCCCATAATCCCCACGTGTCAAGGGAGGGCCCAGTGGGAGGTGATTGGATCATGGGGGCAGTTTTTCCCATGCTGTTCTCATGATAGTGAGTTCTCACGAGATCTGATGGTTTTACAAGGGGCTCTTCCCCTTTTGCTTCCTTCACACATGCTCACTCTCTCCTGCTGCCATGTGGGAAGGTCCAAGCTTGCTTACCCTTTGCCTTCTGCCATGATTGTAAGTTTCCTGAGGACTCCCTAGCCATGCAGAACTGTGAGTCAATTAAACCTCTTTCCTTTATAAATTACCCAGTCTTGAGTAGTATATTTATAGCGTCTAAGAACAGACTAATACAAGTAGGGTGGGGTGTGGGCGTGTCTTAGCTCAGGCTGCTGTGATAAAAATACCATAGCCTGGGTGGGTTAAACAACAAATATTTCTTTCTCACTTCTGGAGCTGGAAGTCCAAGATCAGGGTACCAGCATGGCCAGGTTCTTGGTGAGGGCATTCTTTCTGCTTTCTTGTGTCTTCACCTGGCAGAGAGAGGAAGCAAGCTCTCTCCTGTCTCTTCTTATAAGGGGACAAATCCCATCATTAGCTCTCCACCCTCAAGAACTAATTAACTCCTGGGTTTCAATATATAAATTTGCAGGGCGGGGATTGGGACACAAACACGGAGTTCATAACAGGACACTCTCCAGATTTGGACCCAGAACACTGCAGGAAGCAGAAACCAACTGCAGAGAAATAATATGCACCATCCCTAGTCTAAAGTATAACTTACCCACAATGGTCACCCCAGGAAGATTAAATGATATGCTAGTGGGAAAAAGTGCAGAAAAAAATATCTGCACAGGGTTGACAAGAATGGCATGCTGGGTTCCAGACAGAAGTATAGTTATAATTAATCATTAATCAGGCCGCACTTTGGCCCAATTCCTTTTTGCTAAAAGTCACTAGATCCTTACTATTTGCATCCCCATTGTTCATAGAGATAGGATTTCTGATGTTAGGTCAAAAGACTATTTAAAAATGGATTTGCATCCACATTGTTACTATAAATAGGATCCCTGACATTAGAATCATTAGACTTTTATTTAAGGATTGCTTAAGATGTTTTTCAGCCCCTAAATTCCAGCAACCAGTTTGAAAGCCCCCACAGAGAAACAGGATGAGCATGAGAGCACAACTGCTTTCATCTCCCTGTCCTGTGACTACACCCTGCACTCTTCAACCAATCAACACTCTCCACCCTTTGACCCCCTCCAAAACCCTTAAAAACTCTAACCCCAAATTCCTCAGGGACATACTTTTTTTTGTTTTGTTTTGAGATGGAGTCTCCCACTGTCGCCAGGCTGGAGTGCAGTGGTGCAATCTCGGCTCACTGCAACCTCCGACTCCTTGGTTCAAGCAATTCTCCTGCCTCAGCCTCCTGAGTAGCTGAGATTACCGGCATGCACCACCATGCCTAGCTAATTTTTGTATTTTTAGTAGGTGGGGTTTCACCATGTTGGCCAGGATGGTCTTGATCTCCTGACCTCATGATCTGCCCACCTAGGCCTCCCAAAGTGCTGGGATTACAGGTGTGAGCCACTGCACCTGGCCAGGAGATGAATTTGAGTTTCCCTCCCATCTCCTCTTTCGGTGACCCTATGATTAAACCTCTTTCTCAGCTGCAACCCAGTGTCTCAGTGTAATGACTTGCTGTGTGCATCGGTCAATGAGCCTATTAAAGTTAAATGACTACAAAGCTCATTGGGGAAGTGCCCCTCCATACTTACCCATCTGCCCACTGGAGCTGACAAGAATAGAGGCTTGGGTGCCAGCAGACCAGATGGGGTGAAGTGGGGGTTACGCAGAGAGAACTGGAAAGGAGGGGCCTTTCCAAATAGAGGGATGGAAGGAAAGCATCACAAGTGGCCTAGTGACACAAAGAAGCCAGGCTGCCTGGCTGGGTGTGTTCTACAGAAGGTGGCTGGTGTCACAGAAGAGGCACCAGCAAAAAGTCAGATTCTATGCCCCTGCCTCTCCTGACTGACACTACCCCTCAGCAAGTAAGAGAGGCTAAGGGACAGACTGGGGAGATGTGGCTTGGGCCTGATGATGGGCACTTCAAATGTCGGAGTGGGTAGTTCAGACTTGATCCTGCCAGGGGCATCCTCTCTCTTGTGTCTAAGCAATGTAACCACCCAATGGGCTCATCTTGCCCACTGCCCAGATACAGCTGATTTATCAAGACAGGGGAATTGCAATAGAGAAAGAGGAGTTAGCTAAATGGAAGACCAGAGTTTTATTACTACTCAAACCAGCCTCCCTGAAAATCCAGAGGCTACAGTTTTTTAACAATAGTTTGGTGGGCAGGGGGCTAGGGAAGGGGTGCTGCTGATTTGTTGGGGATGCAATCATAGGGTCATAGAAAATAGTCCTCATGCGCTGAGTCAGCATCTGGGTAAGGGACATGGGTCCAGGTGGAGTCATCTGGTTGTCAGAAATGAAAATCTGAAAAGACATCTCGAAAGGCCAATTTTAGGTTCTACAATAGTGATGTTACTTACAGGAGTAATGGAGGAAATTACAAATCTTGTAACTTCCAGAACAATGACTGGTAATCATTTAACTATGCCTGCATCTTAGCAGAATTCAGGCCCCTCTAATAATCCTAACCTTCCTAACCTTGTGACCTTTCATTAGTTTTACAAAAGTAGTTTAGTTTTGGGAAGGCCTATTATAATCCTTGCCTTAAGGTTAAACCAGAAACTAAATTTATCCAAAAGTTAGCTTGGCCCGTGCTCCAGAATGACCAAGGTTAATTTGAAGGTTAAAGGCAAGATGGAATTGGTTAGAGAAGGTCTCTTTGACTGTCATAATTTTCTCACTGCTATAATTTTTGCAAAGGTGGTTTCAGCAATCTGGGGTAATTTGTGTAACAGATATCCTGTTCTTTTTCTTAGTTTTATTTTATTTTATTTTATTTTTGAGATGGAGTTTTGCTCTTGTTGCCTAGGCTGGAGTGCAATGGCATGATCTCAGTTCACTGCAACCTCCACCTCCCGGGTTCAAGCAATTCTCCTGCCTCAGCCTCCCGTGTAGCTGGGATTACAGGCATCCACCACTGCGCCAGGCTAATTTTTTGTATTTTTAGTAGAGACAGGGTCTCACCATGTTGGCCAGGCTAGTCTTGAACTCCTGACCTCAGGAGATCCACCTGCCTTGGCCTCCTGAAGTGCTGGGATTACAGGTGTAATCCCACCACACCCAGCCTTTTTTCTCTTTTTTTTAAGAAAAAGTCTTGTTTTGTCACTCAGGGCAAGTGAGTGGCACAATTATGGCTCACTGCAGTCTCAGCCTTCCGGGCTCAAGCAATCCTCCCACCTTAGCCTCCCAAGTAGCTGGGACTACAGGCACATACCACCATGCCTGGCTAATTTTTCACTTTTTAGTTTTTTAGGGATGGGGGTCTCACTATGTTGTCCAGGCTGGTCTTGAACGTTTGGACTCAAGAGATCCTCCCACGTCAGCCTCTCAAAGTGCTGGGATTACTGGTGTGAGCCACTGTGCCTGGCCTCAGATTAGCCTGTTCTTAAGCGTTTCTAAAATGTTCATCCTGCCTAGCCTGCTTCCAGGACTTCTGGGTATCTCTGCTTCTTCCATCCTTTATGTTAGTGCTCAAAATACCTACCAATTTTCACTTCCTAGTTGGTTTCCTGTGATTGTTTCTAAACCTTGTGGCCAAGTTGTTAGCACCTCATTTCATCTAAAAAGTCAAAACATGCTTACCTTCCTCACCCCAAATATGCTAACCTCTGATGGTACAAATGATCTCCTGTGATTAGACCTTCCTGTCGTGTCTCCCCTGCAGCTAATCAGGAAAGCATCCACCTTTGACAATCACTCATCCTGGCAGCTCTGTTTCCTCTTTATCATTCATTCCCTGTTGCTTCCCTGAGCATAGCATCAGCTCCTGTTAGACCAGATAACCTGGAGCCCATCAGCAGGCTCCAACACAGACTGCTGTAGACAGAGGCTGGACGTTAGCCCAACTCCGAGGAGGGGCCACAGCCTTTCTGTGGGTGTAAGCACTTGGCAGGAAAACTTGGTTGTGGCAGCAGTCAAGACGTGAGGCTCCAGAAGTGAACACTGAAGGCTTCCGTTGTTGCTGCTGTGCTCCCCTTCACGCCCCCAGATAACTATGTTAATTTTCAAAAGTAAAATAAGGGGTTTCCTCCAAAAGTTTAACCCAAAATTTAAGTATCATCTTTAATTCATAAAAGCACTACTTAGTAACTGAAAGAGTAGGTACAATGTGATTGTTCTATCACTAGATTCAGAACTCATGGGATTCCCTAACCCATATAACCAAAGGATTTGAGAACTGCTGGTCTTCCTGCATGTTCCATGGTTGAAATAAAGGGATTTTTGGTTTTTTTAAATTTAAGAAAGTGAGGCAAGTGCTGACAGAGATGGAAATAAAAAGGTGAAAGCTGAAAGGCAATAGTTACAAACATCAAAAGAAAAAAAAAGAGAGAGAAAATAGACAAACCTCAGTCATTAAGGAAAAGTGTACCTTGTATGTGTAACTGATAAATTCACTTTTGGTAGAGAAAGAGTACGTGTTCTTTTTCGATGTGTGAAGTAGTTCAAGGTTGTGTAGCAGTATTTCCTGAGATGAGGGATAAACAGATGAAACAAACATTTCAGTAAGGTATGAAAATTAGGACATTTGAATCCCTGTATAGAGTTGCCAGGTGAAACACAGGACACCCAGTCATATTTCAATTTCAGATAAATAATTAATAATTTTTAAATCCAAGTATGTTCCAAGTCTTATATATTAAAGATTATTCATTATTTATATGAAATTCAAATTTAACTCAGCATCTTATATTTTTATTTGCTAAGTCTGATAACCCTAATAATGCAGAAAAAAAGATGGAAAACAATAACTCTTATGGAGTTTGGCATGAGAATGGCATTTAGAACACAAGAGAAAGGTCAGTGAGAGGTCATCCAATAAACACCACAAAGGGTTTTTTATAGAGGATGTTGAAAAAAACATGCGGTAAAGAGCCAGCTTCTTGGCTCTATAAAAGGCTGGCTTTGTTTCTTAGCAGGATAGAGGCTGCCCTCGCTAACCCCAATTTACAGCCAGATTGGAAAACTCTCTCAGAGTAGAACTGGTCTCCATGAGAACATGCTGGCTGCCAAATACCCAGAGGCTTTTTCAAGTGCCAGGTGTGCAGAGCCCAGAGAAAGTGCTCAATGGAAAATGGCAGGTTGAGTGAGAGGCAGTGGAGGAATTCTCTAAATTTTAGCATCTAAAGAATGAGCAACTATTTCAAAAAATGAATTAGCAATCCAAAGTGTTCCTATCTGGACTCATTTGGCCATGTTCAATTTTTAAGTATAAAAATGAACAGATTGGCCAGGCGCAGTGGCTCACGCCTGTAATCCCAGCACTTTGGGAGGCCAACGTGGGTGGGTCACTTGAGGCTAGGAGTTTGAGACCAGCTTGGCCATCATGGTGAAATTCTGTCTCTACTCAAAATTACAAAAATTAGCTGGGCGTGGTGGCACAGACCTATAATCCCAGCTACTTGGAAGGCTAAGGCATGAGAATTGCTGGAACCCAGGAGACGGAGGTTGCAGTGAGCCAAGATCGCATCACTGCATTCCAGCCTGAATGATGGAGTGAGACTTGGTCACAAAAAAAAAAAAAACAATTATCCTGTGTGGAGGCAAGCGCCTATAGTCCCAACTTCTCAGGACACTGAGTTGGGAGAGTTGCTTGTGCCAAGGAGGTAGAGGCTGCAGTGAACCAAGACTGTACCACTGCACTCCAGCCTGGGCAACAGAGCAAGACCCTATCTCTGGAAAAAGAAGAAAAGGAACAGATCTTCAGCCAAAGTCACTCAGTTATGCAACAGCAGCACTAGGAACAAGAAGCTCCCAGGCAAGAAACCATCATGTTGGGCCATCTACCTTAGCACATATTTCCATTCAAGAACTTGCCTTCCCACGTGATAGCCAAGACTTTCATCTTTATAGTACAGAATGAAACCACACTTTTCCAGAGGCATAATTCTTTATGCATTGAGTAATAAAACAATTTACACAGTCCCTGTTTTCTCAGTTCTTTGGTCCAGCTCAGCTGGTTTGCTTTGGAAAACCCTCACACTGCAGAATCCCTCCAACTACCCTCCTATTTATTTGCAGATTTATGATTATCCAAATGAACTTAGTCCCTATCAATTTAGATACACTTTAGGTAGAACTTTTTCATCCCTTGTCCTGTTAGGTTGATGGAAAAGTAATTGCAGTTTTTTTCCATTAAAAGTAATGGCAAGAACCGCAATTACTTTTGCACCAAAATACTTCTCACTTATCCTGTCCCCATTAAGTGACGGTACATAACCCATCATTTAAATCAAAGCTACACATTTAGTTGGGAGTTGTATACTTTGGAGGTTAGGATAAAGTTTAATTTCTGTTTATTTTATTATGCATCTGTGTCTTTGATAAAATTTGGAAAGATTCCCAAAGACCTGTGGGCACTTGGCATGTTTTTAAAGCTATGAGAATCAACAAATGAATCTGGATCTTGAGCACAGTCTCTCCTATGAAAGGGAAAAAAAATCCATGAACAAGGTTGGGCTTCCTGTTTTCCCCTGGATGCCTAGCACACCAAGGTCGTCACTGAACTCGGGTCTACTGACCTTTAAGCACCAGGCAGCACCTTCGAAATGCTATCTGAAGGTATGCCATTGTGATATTGTAAAATGTATGTTTGATCTTCCTACCCATTTCCTGAAATACAACTCCAAAAATTCTTGGAATCTTCAGTGATATGTGTCCTTCTGTGTGCCACCCACTGGACTGGTGGCCAGCAGCCCCTAGATAGCTTCAGTATGGGGGCTGGTCACCAGAAAGACCAAGGCAGGACTAAAAGATGGGGACTTTCAGCCCCAAACCCTACCTCCAGAGAGGGGAGAGGGGCCAAAGTTTAAGTTGATCACCAATAGCCAGTGGTTTTATCAATCATGCCCACATGATAAAGCCTCTATAAAAACTCAAAAGGACAGTGTTATGAGAGCTTCCAGATAGCTAAACTCATGGAGGTTCCTGAAGGCTCCTGGGAGGTCATGGAAGTTTCACACTCTTCCCCCATATCTTGCCCTATGCGTCTCTTCATCTGTATCCTTTGTAATGTCCTTTATCATAAACCAGTAATTGTATTTCTCTGAACTGCTCTAGCAAACTGATTGAAGCCAAGGAAAGCGTTGTGAGAACCCCAATTTGTAGCCAGTAGGTCAGAAACACTGGCAAAATAACCTGGAGCTTGCAATTGGCATCAGAAGTTAGAGATGGGGGCAATCTTGGGGACTGAGCCCTCAGCCTGTGGGATCTGACATTATCTCCACGTAGACAGATTGGAATCAAACTGGGCCAGAGGATACCCAGCTGGTGTCCCCTCCAGAACTTATTGATTGCTTGCTTGCTGGTGGGGAGACATCCCACACATGTGGTCACAGGTGTCTTCTGTGCTAATTTTTCGGGTATGAGAGCAGAGGACAAACAGTTTGAGTTTTTCCACACTTGGTCATCAATCCATGACAAATTCCCTGATCACAATCACAATTCCCTCACGCTCACGGATGCCTGTTGCTGGAGCTCCAGAAGAAGCTATCAGGTTTTAGAACCCAACCTGTTGTTCTTTAGACGTGTGGAGAGAAGAAGTGCCTGCTTTGATCTGAAGAAATAGGGTAGCAATTTCTGAGTACCTGCCCTGTACCAGATATTGAGCTAGACAGCTGGGAAGTATAGAGATGGAATTGACTCTCTCTCTTCAAAGGGCCTTGAGACATGTAGTTAAAGAATTATAACACAAGGCAAAACACAAGACATGCCCTTAAAAAGTACAGAATGTTGGCTAGGTGAGGTGGCTCTCAGCTGTAATCCCAGCACTTTGGGAGGCTAAGGTGAGTGGATCGCTTGAGGTCGGGAGTTCAAGTCGAGCCTAGCCAACATGGTGAAACCCCATCTCTACTAAAAATACAAAAAAATCAGCCGAGGTGGTGGCATGAGCCTGTAATGCAAGTTACTTGGGAGGCTGAGGCAGGAGAATAGCTTGAATCCAGGAGGCAGAGGTTGCAATGAGCTGAGATCATGCCACTGCACTCCAGCCTGGGCAACAGAGGGAGACTCGGTTTCAAAAAAAAAAAAAAAAAAAAGGTACAGAATGTTAGAGGAGTGAAGAGAAAGCAGTAATCAGGAAATAGTATTATAGCTTTAAAAAGATTCCCATTTTTACAAAGGTGAAAGTCAAGGCAAGTCAGATATGGTTCAAAGGGGGAAGCAGGTTCTATCAACGGGCAGTGGTCAGGTGGTGTAGGACCTGAAATATCCTGGTCTGACTTTCAAGGTGCTCCTCAGCAGACAGTGAATCATCTTAGTGTCTCCCGCTCACTCAGGCCCTATGGTGTAACTATCTTCGTCCACCCTGGGCACTTTGTCCAGCCACCCACCAGGCAGGAAACCTCTTGACCTGTCTGTATGAACAGACAGCTGCTGTAAACTGGCATTCAGCTTTTGCTAGACAGCTCCTGGAGGCCAAAGTCATCTTCCAGACCTAGAGAAGGATGAGTTATTTTCCAGGAGGACTACTCTTTAAAAAGCATGACACAGGCATATCACAGCCATGCCCTCTACGTGCCCCTGAAGGAAAGCTGTTAAAGACCAGAGCAAGAGTGGAGAGATAAGAAAAGCTACCTGAACATAAATGACCTCTTGCACACTGTTCTGTGGCCAGAGCATGGCCCCAGGGGAGCTGTGTTCCTCCTCCAGTGAATTAGACCAGCTGTCCACAAACTGAAGGATGTCACCCCTTAGATGGGATGTGTGTTCCACATCTTCAACTTCTGCATGTCCTCCTTAAAACTGATTGTCAGGGAAATTCCTGGGGTAGCTCAGTGGGCTGCTCCCCTGCCTCTTGTACCTTTCACAATCTCCCTTCTCTCTGTTTACAAGAGAAGACATACACCTTTTACCATCCTGAAACTTATAATACACCGTCCTGGTAATCCCAGCACTTTGGGAGGCCAAGGTGGGCAGATCACCTGAGGTCGGGAGTTCGAGACCAGCCTGACCAACACGGAGAAACCCAGTCTCTACTAAAAACACAAAATTAGCCAGGCATGGTGGCACATACCCGTAATCCCAGCTACTCGGGAGGCTGAGGCAGGAGAATCACTTGAACCTGGGAGGCGGAGGTTGCGGTGAGCCAACATCATGTCATTGCACTCCAGCCTGGGCAACAAAAGCGAAACTCCATCTCAAAAAAAAAAAAAGAACTTGCACCAAACAATGGGACAATAAGAAAATTTAGAGCTAAGACAGGAGAGTCCCATGAAAGTAAAACTCCTTTTGCTTTCTCAGAAGGCACCCCTAAAGGAGCAATGCCTGGGTCACCTGCGCCAGCTCTATCTAGTCACCTACCTCAGTGTTAGAAGTCAGCAGCGCAACGATGTCCTCCAAAGCACAGTTCTGTTGAATTTAAGTCAGTCAATGATATGGTTTGGCTGTGTCTCCACCCAAATCTCATCTTGAATTGCAGCTTCCATAATTCCCACGTGTTGTGGGAGGGTGCCAGTGGGAAATCATTGAGTCATGGGGGCAGTTTCCCACATACTGTTCTCATGGTAATGAATAAGTCTTTTCAAACAACTTTTCAACAATGTTGAACAGAATAAGTCTTTTCAACAATGAATTTCAAAGTCTTTTCATCAAACATTTGATGCTTTTATAGGGGTTTCCCCTTTCGTTTGGCTCTCTTTCTCTCTTGCCTGCTGCCATGTAAGACGTCCCATTGCTCTTCCTTCATCTTCCACCATGATTATGAGGCGTCTCCAGCCACATGGAACTGTGAGTCCATTAAACCTCCTTTTTTTTAAGAATTACCCAGTCTCGGATAAGTCTTTATCAGCAGCGTGATTAATACAGTCGAGTAAACTATTTTTCTGTCAGAAAGCAATTCAAAGTTAGCTGATTGGTCTGACAATGAGGGCTGGCTTTGCCCACCAGGTGATACAGATGGTGTTTTTCATAAACTAAACTGGATACGCTCAATCTGCAACTATTTAAAGCTCAGAAAATGTGTGGGAAAGAACATCCTTTGCAACTATTAAGGTGATAAGGCAAATTTAGATGTCAACTTAAAAACACGCAAGGAGGCACATGATTATTCACAATTATTTTAGGGGGGTATGTGAGAAAACTCTGGAAGACCATTGAATCTTCCAGTTCTCTTCAAATTAACCAGTGTTGGGAAGTTCGTTTAACCACCTAGAGTTGCGATCCTAGTTTTGCTCTGCAGAGGGCAGCATTGCTAAAATATTATTCGACTGTAAAGAAAGGATTTTTTTTTTTTTTTTAACAAGCTCTTTCTAGGCTAACTTACCTCTCCTGTCTTGTGGCATTTTTTTTTTAATTCTTAATTTTTAATTTTTGTGGGCACATAGTAGGTCTATATATTTGTGGGATACATGAGATATTTGGGTACAGGCATGCAATGCATAATAATCACATCATGGAAAGTAGGGTATCCATCCCCTCAAGCATTTATCCTTTGTGTTACAAACCATCCAACTATACTCTTTTAGTTATTTTTAAATGTACAATTAAATTATTATTGACTATAGTTACCCTGTTGTGCTATCAAATACTAGGTCTAAGCTTCAGCATTTATGGCCTCGAGGAGAGAGTTGCTATTTGACCAGAACAGAAATACAAAAGGCCTCTGTGTCAGGCACATTTTTCCAGGGCAGAAACAGCATTTTTTTTTCCTTTACTAAACAATTATCTGTCTTTCTGGAGTCTAACACAGTGCCCAGCACCAACAAGCGAGTGCCCAAAAAGTGTATGATGGATGAAAAGTAGTGCAGTCTCCAACTCCAGGGAAGCTTTGGGTTAAACATGCAAGACATGGCTCACCAGCATTCCTGAAACTCTAAAACCTGCCTTGATCAGATTGCTGTAAGTTCAAATAGTCCTTAGAAAGAGCAGCCACCACCTGGAAGGACTTTGGCACTGGCTGACACAAAATGGCCTGACTCCAGCTACACCTGGTTATGGTGCTCTTTGGTCCCCGGAAATCTTCTGATGCCATTTCACCAAGAAAGTCACATGATTTTCTTATAGTTGGTAAATTCTTTCCAGGCCTTAAATAAATGGCCAAAATTTTACACTTAAAGCGCAGGTTAAGTATGGAGACAAATTACCCATACTTCCCGGTGAATTCAGCTGTAACAGGAATTGAAACTTTCTCTCAAAAATAAGAAAGGGAAGGGAGATCAGGTCGAAAGAAAAAGCATGAAGTAATGAATTTTGACTCTGAGGCTCTCAGTTCCTCTTTTCCAACTTCGTGTCTCCTCCCTGTGGTGTTCAGCTCCTACCCCCAGCTAAGTGTCTGCACGTTATTTCTGGCTGCAGAAATTGTCTTCAGGCAAGTTTTAACTTGTGGGTGTTAACTGCTTCCACCAGGGCATTTGAGTATTTGTTTAATTTGAACTAAAATAAAGGGTTATGCTTCCTGTAAAGGGATCCCAGCATCAGGAACAAGTGTGCCAGGCAGCGTTTTCAGAGAACAGGCTCTCTGGCTGCTGCTAAGCCTGGAGACAGGCAGGGGAGGAATACAGTGGCTTCCCCCAGTATCCTCCCATGGAGCTGCAAAGGTCCCACCGCTAATAAGATAGGATGGGACTGAGTCAAGGTCTGTTGAACTAGAAACCTGTGTTCTTAACCTACTGACTGCTATTCTCACTCTCTGGACTGGCCCAGACTGGCCCCGGACAGGCTCAATACATGATTGTTGAGTTAAAAACAAAAAAAAACAAAATCTCATTGAGAAAGAAAAGAAACTTTATCTGAAGAATGTGAGCCATTTTAAATTATCAGGCCCAAAGAGGCATTGAAATGTGACAGCAATTATGTCTCATTCCCTGCCTTGAGCTAAGTAATCACCTCTTGAAGCCACTTGCTATGTGGGCTCAAGACTGACTGACACCAAGTGGCCATACATTAACCTAACAATGCCATATGCTAGATACCATAGCTCTTACCCTATAGCTCAACAAGGTATAGCCAATCATGAATCAATATTACTTCTTTAAGCCAGTGAGAATTCCTGCCAAACAACTTTGTATCAGCCTATTCCTTGTTCCCTTTTGCCTTTAGAAACCTGCTTGTGGTTGGGTGTCAGGGCTCATGCCTGTAATTCCAGTATTTTGAGAGGCTGAGGCAAGAGGATCACTTGAGCCCGGAAGTTCAAGACCAGCCTGGGCAATATAGGGAGACCTTGTCTCTATGAAAAATTTAAAAATTAGCCAGGCATGGTGGCATGTACCTGTAATCCCAGCTACTTGGGAGGCTGAGATGGGAGGGTTGCTCGAGGCCAGCAGGCCAAGGCTGCAGTGAGCCATGATTGTGCCACTGCACTCCAGCCTGGGTGATGGCGTGAGACCCTGTCTCAAAAAACAAACCAAAAAAAAAAAAAAAAAGACCCTGCCTGTGCAAATACATAAGGGAGCACTTCCCAAGACAACTTGGAAGTGTTTCCCGGGCCGCTGTCCTCACTGTGACTCAAGTTAACTCCTTAAAATTGTATTTTGTGCCTCAGCTTCTTCCTTTAGGTTAACTCCCATGAAGAGCTTTGAAAGAAATAGAAGGATATTACATCCTCTTGGATCAGTCTTGTAAGTAAAAATCACTAGTAAATACGATATTCATGGTCATAGCTAATATACTATTTCCGTTTGTGTCTCAGAAGGAGGAAGGGAAGGGAGAAGGAAAGGTGAGAGGAGAGGATGTGATATCTTTGACCTGCGTCCACCTCTCTTTCCCAATAGGCAAATGGAGAACCTGCTCTCTGGGAGAAAAGTCAAATCGGTCCCACGGCTCTCTTCTCCCACTAAGAACAACTGGTTCCTTCCTTCAGAAGAAGATGTGTTATTCCCACCAGTAGTGGTGAGCGCCTGGATTCCAAAAGGGTTAAGAATTCGGAGATGTGACCTGCCTCATTCTGAAGAACGTGGCCCAGCATGTGTATGAAGCAATTAATTGCTCCACAAACCCTGAAAATTTGATCACTGGCCAGAGTAACGCTGAGGAGCCATCCTGTCTTCTGCTTGAGTGTCTTCACTCTGGGGATTCTGGCAGGCTGGTTTCCTGGCCAGATGCTTCTCATCCACACCTGTGGACCTCAGGAAACCAAAGGTGACCTCTGTTGGCATGGCCTTGACTTCCTTTCCACCAATGCCCATGAGATGTGGAAATTGAGCGAACATCCACACCAGAACCATACACTCAAACAAGCAGGTTGGGGCAGGGAAACTCCATCACATCATGGTGAGGCAGAGATGCTGCAGCCACCCAGATCATTGTGTAGTAGAGGTGGCACCATTTTACTATGTGTCCTCCCTGCACTCAGTGAAGTCTGTGAAGGGAGGGGTCAGTGCAGCAAGGAGCTCGCTCTGCCCCAGAGGAGAGAGTGGAATGTTCGAGGACACATGAAAGCAGTTACTCTGCCTACCTTTTAAAACTCTTTCCTCCTGGGGAACTGGTTTATTCTGTACTCCTAAACAGACTATATCCATGTATTCACTCCTTCTATAAATATTTGAGAAAAACCTACTATATGCCAAGCACTTTTCTAGGCAAAGGAAATGCAATAGCCCTTTCTTCCCATAGCTTCCAGCCTGGTGGGGAATAAAGGAATTAAATAAGCAATTACAATAAAGGGTGCTCAGTGTCATAACAGGAGGGGTACAAGTGTCACAGATCAGGTGCACCTAACGTTATTCAGGCTGTTTCTGTCAGCTGTGGGATTTGATTTCATCCTACTTGTAAGCTAATTAGTTAGCCTGTTACTGTATCATGGATGTTGTCAGACGACATGAGACTCCTGAGTCAGAGACAAGGGGCCTTATTATTTACAGTCACCAAGCAGCATAAGCATTATGTTTCAGCTGTTTTCCTTGCTTCCAAGTCCCAGAGGGCAACATAGGGCTCAGATAAATGCTGCCATGCAACAGGTTGTATTACAGGAGAAGAACCTAGGCTTGGGGAATCCACCTCTTTCACAGCTGGTGGTAAGGAAACCTGCTCTTTGTTGGGGGGAGATATTATCTCGTCCCTCAAGGTTATTCACAGCAAATAACCTGAGAAAGGGCCCAAGTGAAAAGCAGTCAAGCCCTTGCATTCTTGGAAAAACCAGCAAGAACATTCCGAGCTCGAGTACAAGGATGCTCAGGGCCTCTCATAATAGTTCTCCAGAAATTCAAATTCTGAATCCCCCTTCAAGCTCCACAGCTCTCTCTCTCTTTTGTCCAGAATTCTTTTTCCCTTTACCTTCCATTTTGATATTTAATCATGTGCTGCTTTTTGCTGTCATCTTTTGTAGTCCCACAATGTCATCCACAAATATTGGCTCCAAAACAACTTCTGAAGGAATAAAAGAAAGCCCTTCTGTAGCTACCTGTAGGTGACATGTGGACAGAGAAGAGGCAGGAACTCTTCATTTGTGATATTCACTCTGAAATTACCTTGGGTAAAGGGCTTAATTTCTTCCTTGTTAAATTCCTGGCCTGTAAATTGAAGATAATGATATTTGCCTACCTTGCCTTTGGAATTAATTAGTGGTTGTGTTGCATTTTGAGTCTACAGATGAAAGCCTTTTTGTAAGTACAGGGCACCATCATCATCATTATTATCACCATCATCATCATCTTCATCATCATTGCTATCATTGCCTTGGGTTCTGAAGATAAAAGTGATGGAATTCCCACACAAAGCTTCCAAGAAACTTGACCTTTCTAACCCTTTCAACCTCCTCCTCTATGCTTTTTAGAAGGACTAACTCACTTTCCCCTTTTTTGAGACCTCACTGTCAGGAACTGAGAGCCAGCCATAATGTCTGAGAGACCTATGTTTTGTACACTCTAACTTGACTGTGCATTTCTTTTGGCAATCAAGCCTAGACCTTTCAACCATACTTCAAATCCAGAATATAAAAGAGCTGTATTAGAAGCAGAGGTAAGGAGACGCTTTTAAGAAAACTTTCCAAAAAAAATCTCAACCTGGCATGGTGGCTCACGCCTGTAATCCCAGTACTTTGGGAGGCCAAGGCAGGTGGATCACAAGGTCAGGAGATTGAGATCATCCTGGCTAACATGGTGAAACCCCATCTCTACTAAAAATACAAAAAATTAGCCAGGCATGGTGGCACGTGCCTGTAGTCCCAGCTACTCAGGAGGCTGAGGCAGGAGAATAGCTTGAACCCGGGAGACAGAGGTTGCAGTGAGCCAAGATCACCCCACTGCACTCCAGCCTGGGTGACAGAGAAAGACTCCACCTCAAAAAAAAAAAAAGAAAGAAACTACTTCCTTGTTTGAGGATTAAATGACTTATTTGTGGAGTGCAGTGACACAATCTCAGCTCACTGCAATGTCCGTCAGCACAGCGAGCAATAGGAGTATTCCCAGCAATAGCTTAACTCTACCTGGAAGAGGCTACAACACACATATACACATCCCACTAAACCCAAACTAAATGAGTCTCCCACGCAACTCCCTAGAAATGCACGGACACATGATGCCACTGACAAATGAGGAAGAATGATGGGAGGAATCAGAAATGGGTGGAAAAGAACAGGGTCTTAATTGATGGTTGTTCAAATATTTCTTACAGATTTTACAGAAATCATACGACAATAAGGTCTATCAAGCTTTTGCTTTTTTCATTCATAAACTGCTAGAGACACCTTGCTTTTGTAGTACTGCTTCAGACTTGCCTATAAACTCAGAGATAGATGTTGTGGCATGTGATTCTCATCAATATAGGAAAGAAAAATACATATGGTATATTAAAGTCATCTATGCTGCATTTTCCAGTATATTCCTGACAGGAAAGAACTTGTATTTTCACTAGTCTTCTTTGACAACTGAATTTTCTACTTACTGACAATTGCAAGAATGCTCCATAGACTATCTTCCAGCTTCAAACATTTCAAACCTTGTTTATCCTCCACTCTCCTTATACTTAAGGTCATGTCATGACATGGCCTCTGTCTCCTTCACCTTCCTGTCACAGCTCCCACTGAGTCAACACAGTGAGCAATAGGAGTATTCCCAGCAACAGCTTAACTCTACCTGGAAGAGGCTACAACACACATATACACATCCCACTAAACCCAAACTAAATGAATCCCCCGCGCAACTCCCTAGAAATGCACGGACACACAATGCCACTGACAAATGAGGAAGAATGATGGGGGGACATCAGAAATGGGTGGAAGAGAACAGGGTCTTAACTGATGGTTGTTCAAATATTTCTTACAAATTTTACAGAAATCATACAACCATAAGAACCTAGTTCTAGGGCCTTAGAAGGGCTGGCGCAAGTGAGGGCCCTGCCATGTAAGTTTCATTTCCTCTAGTTGGTACTCAGGCAGGAAACAGGCAAATGTGCCAGTCCCTCCACGATGATGGGAACCATTGTACACCTCTGCCCTGAGGATCCCAGGAGCTTGAGGACAGTGAAGGGACAGGGCTGGCATCTGGCTCCCCAAAGCTGACCTTAGCTATGTGACTTGAGCAGGGTGAGTTGGGGGCAAGGAAAGAACATTCATATCAGTATCACCCTGGGAGTGCTTTCCCTGCCTGCTGGCAAAGGATGTAGTGTGAGTGTGTATGTGTGTGTGTGTGATGGGAGAGGGCAAGAAAGAAAGGAAAAGCCATCTAACTTTTCTGATCCTCAAAAGCTACTAGTAGTCACCAAAGGTCTCTTCTGACATTGAATCTTAGTTTCCCATCACCAAAGTAATCAACTTATTTATGTATGACCATTTTTTCTAAACACAGCCATTTCTCCTTTATGTGCATGTATGTATGCATTCTGTGAATTGTAACCACAACAGACTACCACAAATAGCACTTTGGATCTGCCTCTCCCATCATCAGTTGTATGTTCAAAAGAAATAAAAGTTAATATTACTGGTAGACCAAGTAAAATATAAATCAACTGGTGGATCAGTTTAAGGCAGAAAGGTAACATAACATATCCCATAGCCAAACAGAAATTATTCTTGAAAATCCCCTGTTTGCTTCGGGCTCTTGGAGGAAGAAACATTTTTAGAGGCCTACTTTGTGCCATTCATATTGTCTCCTTTAATCCTCACAATACTCCTGGGAGGAAGTATTTTTATTCATATTTTGCAGATGATGACACAAGACCATAGTGGAAAAGAATAGCAGGAAGTGTTGGGCCTGAACGAGACGACACAGATAACAAGGGTCGTGTAACCCTCAAGCTTGTTTTTTCGCTACTCTAGATTGACAACTGAAAACCCCATAGCCTCAAGTTCCCCTGATGGCCGGAGTCCTCCTCACCTAAGTGCTCAGCAGGCAGAACTGTCACACTGCGCACCTGGGACCTGACTGGAAGCAAAGAGAAGCTATTCTTCAGAACCCAGCAAAACACCTTCCTTGGACTTTATAGGCACCTCAGTGTTTGCTGACTGAGCCAGGCAACTGATCAACATATTTCATTATTTTCCTGAAGAATTACCACTACCCTTTGAGGTGAACCCCTAAGCTGGGATGGTTAGTAGAAAACTTATTTTAGAAGTACCTTAAAGCTCCATTTTGCAAACTCTACATTAAGGAGCATGGAAGGTCAATTGTGCCAAGTATGGGGTGCACTAAATCTCAGAATTCATCCCTATATAATTCATCCATATAACCAAAAACCACTTGTGCCCCAAAAGCTACTGAAATATGTGTATATAATATAATACACACACACTTTTTTTTTTTTGGACCCAGGGTCTCATTCTATCACCCAGGCTGGAGTGAAGTGCCACAATCACAGCTCACTGCACCCTTGACCTCCCAGGCTCAAGTGATCTTCCCACCTCAGCCTCCTGAGTGGCTGAGACTACAGGCACATGCCACCATGCCTGGCAAATTTTTGTATTCTTTGTGTAGAGACAGGGCTCTGCCATGTTGCCCAGCCTAGCCTCCAATTCCTGGGCTCAAGCAATCCTCCTGCCTCGGCCCCCTGAAGTGCTGGGAGTACAGGAAAAAAATATTAAAAAAAAAAACCAAAAAAGAAATATAGGCCAGACGTGGTGGCTGATGCCTGTAATCCCAGCACTTTGGGAGGCCAAGGTGGGCAGATCACCTGAGGTCAGGAGTTCAAGACCAGCCTGGCCAACATGGTGAAACCCTGTCTCTACTAAAAATACAAAAATTAGCTGTGTGTGGTGGCGGGCACCTGTAATCCCAGCTACTTGGGAGGATGAAGCAGAGAGAATTGCTTGAACCCAGGAGGCAGACATTGCAGTGAGCCGAGATCACGCCACTGTACTCCCAGCCTGGGTGACAGAGCAAGACTGTCTCACAAAAAAAAAAAAAAAAAAAAAGAGAGAGAGAGAGAGAGAAGTATAAAAAAGAAAAAGAAAAAAAAAAAACCTCCTCTAAATTCTGTCATCCAGAGACAAATACTGTTAACATTTTGATGAATATCCTTCTGGATATTTCTCTATGCATCTACATTATTATCTATCTAAAAAAGTACGAATGAATGTTCCATTTTCTCCAACATCTTTGGAGTCCTTTAAAGTGTTCAAAAGGCCTATTGAGCATTTTCCATATTGACCTAATGAAATAATGAAAAAGAGTATTTGTCTACTTATTTATCCATCTACATATTATTCCCTATAAAAACTGCTGTTGGATTTAAAAGAATAGTGCCACATATGATTATTTTTTTAAAAAAAAGTTCTCATTTTTTAGCCATTTTAAATAAATACAAGCAACGTTTTCACTCTGTACTCCTAGAAACCAGTCAGCCAAACTTTGGCTTCCTCTCTGAGTTCACATATCTGAGAGGAAAGTTGATACTTCTTGCCTGCATGCCTGGGAGTTGTTTCAAAATGAAACCAGAACATTCCTAGTCTGCAGGCAGCTGCGGTAGCCACAGACAACTGGAAATTATTCAGTTTCAGTGAAATAGGTTAGAGACTCTCCCAGCACCCCACACACAAACAGAGGGGTGCATGGATTCTTTTAAAATGAAGACTCAGGGGTCCATGACCGCAGTTACAGAGTAGCAACCCTCCTGGGGCTGTTTGCTGTCTGTGGAGTGGGCGGTGTGGGGCCTCAGGAGAGGAAGGGGCCTGGGGTACTAGCCTTTTGATTCTGCCAAAACTTTAGAGACATTTCTCGAAGAACAAGCACACTATCTCTTTCTGTCTCTCTCAAAAATAAAAAATAAAATAAAAGAATTACATAAAACACATGGCAGGAAATGAAGGCTGTTGGGTTTTCTCCCACAATCTCGTGTAGATATTTTAGGCTCTGTGGCAGACAGAATGTCCTCCATCTGTCTGTGCTATTCACCATGCCCGACCCATGCCTTCAAGCTTCAAGCTTCGGATAACTTTTCTTTTCTTTTTTTTTTTTTTTTTTCTGAATTATGGTCTCACTCTGTCACTCAGGCTGGAGTGCAGTAGCACAATCATAGCTCACTGCAGCCCTCATCTCCCCAGGCTCAGATGATCCTCCTGCCTCAGCGTCTAGAGTAGGTGGGATTATAGGCATGCACGCGCATGCCTAGCTAATTTTTTAAATTTTTAATAGAGATGAGGTATCCCTATGTTGCCCAGGCTGGTCTTGTACTTCTGAGCTCAAGCGATCCTGCTGCCTTGGCCTCCCAAAGCGCTGGAATTACATGTGAGTGTTTTTAATGACTTTTTAAATGACAAAAATAATCATCACTTATGAGTGACATCTTTCTCTTGGGCAGCACAAAGAGTTATATCCTTCTGGTTAGCCCTGACCTTTCCCTAAATTTCATTCCACACAGGACTGTCGCATGGCCGTCGGTGCCTGTGTCTCCCCGTCTCCAAGCCTCCTCTCTCCCTCCCAGTGCCCCGTCATCTTCATCCCACTAGAAGCCCAAGCCTCTTCTAGTGACCCTACATTCTCAGAGCCCCGAAGCAGAGAACAGAAGCTGCTTCTACAGCCGCTCCAGACCCAGAGGCCAGACCTCACTTGTGAGCTGTTTACAAACACAGGGTCCTAGAGCCCATCTCAGACAGACCTGCTAAATTGGAACCTGCATTCTGATGAGACTTTAAGTATGTGAAGCACTGGTCTATATCATTCTCCTGGGGCATAGTTTGAGCTTTGTCTCCTCAAACTTGCATGTGACCTGGGACAGGTCAGAACACATCTCTCGGGCCTCATTTTCTCATTTGTGGGGAGGAGGAAGTAAAGCCACTCCAGGGGACAGTGTGATAAACAGAGCAGGCTGTGGAGTCTGGCCGCCTGTTGCACCACTAGGTCAAGTGACCCAAACTCTCTATGCCTCATTCTACTCATCTGCAAGATACCAACAGTAAGTACCCAACTGTTAGGGCTGTCACATGAAGGTGGAGTGAGAACATCTGTATTCATTTCCAATGGCTGCTGTAAAAAAAATTACTATAAATGTAGTAGCTAAAAACAACACAAATTTTTTAATCTTCCAGTTCTGGAGGTCAGAAGTCTGAACTGGGTTTTGCTGGGCTAAGATCAAGGTATCAGCAGGGCCAGGAGGGTCTAGGGGAGAATCTATTTCCTTGCTTTTCTAGCTCCTGGAGGCTGCCTGCATTGCTTTGGCCTGTGGCCCTCTTCCATCTCAAAAACTGCAGTGACCAGTCAAGTTCTCAAATCACATCACATCACATCACTCCAACATGTGCTCCTGTCCTTTCAGCTCCTTCTGTGACTTGCCTGCCTGCCACTGTTACCTGCAAGGATGCTGTGATGACATGGGGCCCACCTGGATAATCCAGGACACTCTTCCCACCTCACAGTCAGCTGGTTAGCAATCTTAGTTTCTCCATTGCCTCGTAACATAGAATATTTATAGACTACAGGGATTGGGGTATAGAGGTCTCTAGGGGGCCATTGTTCTACCCACCACACATAAAAGGACTGCTTCTGTGCCTGGCAAGTAGCACATGATAAATGTCAGCTGTTTTTCTTGTGTTCTGTGATTCTGAAGACAGCCTGCCCCACCACACAGGAGCAGAGCACTGGACTAGCTTTGTTTTTGCAATGAAGTGACCAAGACATTGTCAGTAGAAGCTTTCTCTTGTTCTGTCTTGTCTTACGCTCTCTAACTTTGGCTGCTGTGGCTGGACACACACGAATGTGTCTCCCTCGGCCTCTGGCAAGCCAGTCTTGGTGACCCACCCACCATTCCATGTCTGAAGATTGAGAAACCTTTATGTATTAACTATTCATGGTTGCTAAGTTATAGCCTCACTATGCAGTTATGGAATCCACTGCACCCATTTATCTGAATTCTTTCCTACAGACCACCCACTCTATTTTGTGCATTCATTCATGCGTACATGCACTCATTCATGCAGGAAATATTGAACGCTTATCATGTCCTAGGCGCTGGAGTTAACATGGTTGAGTGGTACTATCTCTGTCTCTCAGTAGAGGCCTCACTCCCTGCAGAGATGTTTTGTGAGCTACCAATGGATCCGGAGGAAAGCTGAATGTCTCTGAGTCCCCCAGGCCTTGCTTCAACAGAGCAGCGTCAAATTTTTCTGTTTTACATATTGGGGTTCTTGTAAGATTTTGTTTGAAAACAGAGCCTTCTTTCTAGTGCCTGGCACATAGTAGGCACTCATAAATGCAAATGAGTGTCTGGAGACTGCTGGCTCAGGACATCAACTGCTGACACCCTGGGATCCTCATTTCAGGCTCCTTTGTCACTAAGCCTGGAAACTCCTTTCCCCCCAGGATCTCCCTATATGTGTAACCTCCTCCTCCGACATTTATTGGCCTTCATTTCTGATTTATTTATTTATGTATTTATTGCTATTTCTGAGCCACATCTTTTGCCCTACTTCTGCTATTTCTGAAGCACATTTGGCCGTTCCTACCATCCTTCTCTCTCCTGTTAGCTAAATCCCATCTCATCATCATAATTGCATTCTACAAACTGCTGTGACGTCTCCTGCCTTCCCCAACTTCAATATCTCTCTCTCCAACCCCAGCCCACCTTTACCGGGAAAGAGGAGTCATGCTACCTTCCCCACCTCAGCCCGCCCTCTCTTCTCTTATTACCACAGGGCAGTGCAAATATCTAAGACTCTCACACAGCTCTTTGTACCCTGAGGCATTTGAAATTACTTGAATTAAGCTGCCCCATTATTTACTTTCAACAGCTTCTAATAACACTTTATATTCATAGTTCTTTAGAGTTTGCAAAGCTCTTTGACATTATCACATTTAATTTGAGCCTCAAACGCCCTTATGAGGTAAGCAAGAACATGACTTTTATTTTTGTTTTACAGGGAAGGAAACAGCCTCAAAGGGAACCAATGCTTTGCCCAAGGACACTTGGCACTAAAGCGGAAAAACTGGCCCCAAACCCAGATTTTCTCAAGTCCAGCACTTTCTGCACCGTGTGTTGGGCCTCAATTTCAAAGATGACAAAGCTTCAGGACCTGTTTCAGTTTTGTCTTACGAATGGATTTGGCAAAGAAGGCAGTACAGTTAATCCTGGCTGCAACTGCTGGAAAATTTGCTACACCCTCCTCAGTGCTAGCTGTGTATTGAATTTGGAACCTCAAACAAAGCTTGATAGAAGGAAGACAAAAAAGCTTCCGTTTACATTCCATTTTGGTTCCCCATTTGACTTCAAAGAAAGGAAAGAGAAGGAGGAAATTCACATTTTTGTCATTGTTACAGTCACTTTAATTATGCAACGTTTTGTTATGAAACACAGTTTTCTTTTTATGAAATAGTGCAGCCCTTTGGAAGCAGTGAAAATGCTAAGTTCAGAAAAATTTTACATGGCACACCATTGATCTGCATGATGATAGAAGGATAATTAAGATGCTGTATCTTAATTATCTGGTAGCAGAAATATGAGTCTCCTAGTCTCAAGACTTCAAACAGTAAGCAGTGGACTGTACAAGATCACGAGGCAGTCATCCCCTCTCTGCTCTGTTCCCTCTCCTCTACAATCCTTGGAGAAAGCTGTATAGGTTGGGTTGTCCTCAAAACCTTAGACATATGTGAAATACACAGGATTTTGGAAAGTGGTGTTTTTGTTTGTTTGTTTTTTAAGGTACTAAAAGAAATAAGAGATTGTACCTTCTGAGTCAGGCAAAATGAATGGAAACTGTTGAAAGCTCCTTAGGAAAAGGGATCACGGTAAAAGCTAATCAGGCTTCACATCAGCTTTCCCTTACTGGGTCACTTTAGGAGCAAAATAAGAAATAAATGATTACAAACTTGAACATGAGTCAAGAACCACTCCTGACTAGGGATCACTGATTTGAGTTAAAGAATGTAGAACGCCTTTCCATTAAAGGAAAAACTCTTTGGTTTTGAATTGGGAACAGGGGATTCAGTAAGATTCAGTCACAATTTAAATAAATATGTATTCTAACTATCTCTACTAAAGGGGCCAAGAAGCAGTAATATCTCAGTAGCAATGGACACATCTGATACCCAGATTTTGGTTTCTAAATATCATTGCACTGGGCATCTTGGAGAAACTGAATAGGTTCAGGGCTAGGAGAGAGAAAGTACAAGGTAAGCCTGTTCTGTACCAGAAAGTAGAAAAACATTCAAAGACCTATAGGTTTACGTAAAAAAAAGACATAAGATCTTGCAGGCCCAAACAGGGATAAGTGGCTCCCTGAGGAAGGAATCTAATGGACAGAAACAACTCTACCCACCAGTCATGTGGTTAATGTTATGTAAATGATGCTTTTGAAGCCACTTAAACCATACAAAGTTTTCTTTTCTTTTTTTTTTTTTTTTAAGAGTTTTGCTCTTGTTGCCAAGGTTGGAGTGCAATGGCGTGATCTCGGCTCACGGCAACCTCTGCCTGCCGGGTTCAAGCGATTCTCCTGCCTCGGCCTCCTGAGTAGTTGGGATTACAGGCATGTGCCGCCACCACACCTGGCTAATTTTTTGCATTTTTAGTAGAGATGGGGTTTTGCCATGTTAGCCAGGATGGTCTCGATCTCCCAACCTCAGGTGATCCGCCCACCTTGGCCTCCCAAAGTGCTGGGATTACAGGCTGAGCCACCGTGCCCAGCCTATAAAGTCTTAAATACCCCAAATTAATCTTGGTCTTCTTTGTATATTCATTCTCCTCTTTCTTGCTCATAAGATTAGGTACTTAGTTTATATTTATGGATTTGATTTAGTTTTTTATTGTTTTTTTTTTTTTTCATTGAAAGGGACTTTTGGAAAGTAACCAATTATTTGATCATATAAATAATCACCTTGAGGGTTATCTGTTTTCCAACTTTAGATTTTCCTATACTGGATTTCCTAAAAGCAAAGAATATACACTGTACTCATATATGTACGTGTATATTACAGAACTAAAAACTATAAGTGGTGGTGTATGAAGTTTATAAATGAATTTAGGTAATTAATGGGAAAATTAGAATGAAGTTCCAAACATATTGCAATTTGTTTAATAGATGTTTGATTCAGACATCACCTAAAGTTTTATATTGTATTGTAAATATATTGAATAAGCTTTAATAACGAGTACAATTGAATTAAACATATAAAGTTTCTCTCCATCATCCCCTAACGCACTCCCCACAGAAGACTTACAGGCCTCATAATAACTAAGGGCCTGTGTGTCACAGACCCTAGGACACAAAAGGCAGGAATATCTTTGATGAGATTATCACTCTCTAGTACCTCCTCCGAAATCTGGAGAATCCACCTGCAGTACCTCTGAGATGAAGGACATTTTGATTTGATGTGGCAAAGTCAGATGAGCCACATGAAATTTCAAGAATACATTTCTCACGTTCCCAGTTGCAAGCATACCTGTGAAATATAGCCTAATAGATGGAATGTTACCTGAAGCCTACAGAAATTAAAGGCTGATGCCTCATGTTGTCCCTGGGCTAAATCTGTGGTCCTCAGAAGACTGACCTCACCAGCATGCCTCATCTGGGGCACACGCACATGCACACTCACACTCATGCTAACACACTCACACATACCTATGTTTCCCACTCCCTGCTCTGGCTGATCGAGTTGCTTGTGTGCAGACTGTTTCATCATTGCAACTACTACTTGTTTTCTGGTCTGTACCTTGGCTAACTTGAGGAGAGCCACTTTTTTCTGTGTGCAGATATGAGAAAAAGCCTGAATTCTTCCTTCTGGTTGAATTAGTGACTACAGGAGTTTCTTACACTCTACCTAAGATCGGTGAAATAATCCAAGAATTACCCGACTCAGGTGCAGTTTGGTGGCCTCTGGCCATGCACATTGGATTGGGTACCTTAAATCATGGCCTAGCAGCTCCATCTCAGTCAGGGAGTTTCCTGACCCCAGGCTTGGCGTATGGGAGGCCTTATTTATCTGGTCAACCTTCCAACTCTCTAGGAACAGAGCTGTTCCTCCCCTAAAAAGGCATACCACAGAAATCATCTGTCCACACCAAATGTTTATTGATTTTATCCTTATAATGCTCATCAGGGTTTCTCAGCTTCAGCACTATTGACATGTCGGACTGGGTGACTGTCGTTGGGGGCTTTCCTGTGCATTGAAAGATGATTAGCAGCACCTCTGACCTCTACTCACTGAATGCCAGCAGACCTTCCAAAGTTGTGACAACCAAAAATGTCTCCAGGAATTGCCAAATGTCTCCTGAGAGACAAACTCATCCATGAATAGATACACTGATATACACAAATAATATTGTTCAAATTGGCTAACCATCTTGGGTTACAATCACCTGAAATCTGTACAATCGTCTTACCATTTCATGCTTAGCAATTACCTACATTATCATAAGGCAGGTATCAACTACATTTTAAAAAGCAGAAAATATTGAGTGGTCATAACAGTTTGAGCTATCATAGTCTTGGTCTTAAACTGTATTCCTACTTCCTCTAGTCAAATATATCTGTGACTTTTTTAGGCCCCTTTTTCCCCTCACAATACTCAATTCTAAGATAAACTGCAGTGCGCATTTGTTTTTATTTTCTCTTGCCTAAAGAAAGGACACAGGACAAAGTTACTGATAACTCCAAGTTGCAGAGTCAGTATTTGTAAAACCTCTCAAAGTGTCTCTTATCACTGTTATAATACAGCAGGTCAGCAGTCAAAAGAGGAAAGGAAACAGGGAAAGATGATCTTTTTAAACTGGTGTAAACATCCTTCTTTATTTGCCATGGCCCCTTATTATCATCACTTTTCCTTAGCTGGGACATTATTGCCAATTTCTCCAGAGATAAGATAGCATTTATTTATCATTATTTCTACATAAGAAACTTGAGGACATTGTGTTTTTCTGCCTTTGAAGTAGCAATTTCATTTTCAATCTCTCTCCAAGATGCTGATGGGCAACTGTATATCCTATCTTCCCTTGGGCACTTTTACCAACAAACCGTCTAAAACACTAGCAGAATCTATTGCTCTGTCTTCCGGGTGAGTCACACAGCTTATTAAAAGCTTATCAAGGCCAGAGCAAGCTCAGATGACTTGATAGTTGATGAAACAGAAAAGTTTTTTTATTTTTTAATTTAAGGAAGTCTCACATGGCCTAATTAATGCTAAGGTTCCTACGGCCATGGTCCCTTATAGTTTAAACACTTATATTTAAATATGATAATTACCCTTAAATAATTATAGCAATCCAGCCTTGAATACAAAGCAACCAGAAGAATGGGATTGATAATTGGAAACTTTATAGAATAATTAGGGAAGAAATTACTTTCTCTTGGTCCTCTGTAGAACTGGGAATTTTTAGAGCAGGGAGAGACTTTGGGGTTTACCTAGACCAGTCCTTTTATATTACAGATGAGGAAGCTGGGAGTCAGGGTGATCTGGTGATTTATCTAAGGTCAGCAGACAGCTGTTGACCAAAAAAAACAAAAGAAAAGACAGAAATTTTCCCATGTTTTTCCATTAGACCATGGATTTATATTATTTTTGGACATTTGGACAATAAAGAAATCTATTTGCTAATTAAATTGAGACTTTTTATAGCTAGACATGATAACAGTAAGGGGCCATGATGATAATAAGGGACCATGGCAAATAAAGGAAGATTTTTACACCAGTAGCACCAGTAGTGCTAGACATTATATGTATCTCTTAGAAAGAGGTTTGTAGTACAGAGATCTGGGCATAGAGAAAAGTATATTATTTATGGCTTCAATACAGATTTCTAGGAACATTTAGATATTGGGTACATTTAAGTTCAGTGAAGAAGAAAGAAAATCAAGTTCATCATTTTGTGATTTTTTTTTTTTTTTTTTTTTGAGACAGAGTCTTGCTCTGTTGCCCAGGCTGGAGTGCAGTGGCGCAGTCTAGGCTCACTGCAATCTCCACCTCCCAGATTCAAGTGATTCTCTTGCCTCAGACTCCCGAGTAGCTGGGACTACAGGCATGCACCACCACACCCGGCTAATTTTTGTATTTTAGTAGAGACAGGGTTTTGCCATGTTAGCCAGGCTGGTCTTGAACTCCTGACCTCAGGTGATCCACCCGCCTCGGCCTCCCAAAGTGCTGGGATTACAGGTGTAAGCCACCGTGCCCGGCCTGATTTAAATGAAGAACTGATTGCATTTGAAACCATTTTGACCAATAGAGGAGATAGTCAAGTATTGCTGGAAATAAAATGTTTTCTGCCAGTTGCTTTTGGTTTCAGCAATCTTGAGTAGAGATATCATTGAAAAAGAAATCTGATAGGAAGAATTCAAGGCAAAGAGACCATTGTGGTTGAAGAGGCCTATCATTCTAGACAGAGATGGGAAATGGCATTGCCTAACATCTAAGTTAATCTAGACAGCTGCAATGGTCAGGAGCCCTTGTTCTGCAGCCTCCACTGCCCAGTTTCAAGCCACATCTGCTGTATTATATTAACCTTGTCCACCTTTACCCTGTATGACACTACTATAATTAGGTTCCTTCTCCCTTCAGGTAAGAAATCATTAAAAAATTTTTTGGTGTTCCCATAGACTTTGTCCAAGCTTAGGCGTATTATTTAGTTGGTCTGAGGAAATTGTACCAAGTTTG
Source organism: Homo sapiens (assembly GCF_000001405.40). Classification (NCBI taxonomy): domain Eukaryota; kingdom Metazoa; phylum Chordata; class Mammalia; order Primates; family Hominidae; genus Homo; species Homo sapiens. The sequence goes on along the minus strand of NC_000013.11, from coordinate 48,562,628 downwards.
AGTCTGCAATTTTGGGCAGAGAGGTTTACTCCATGGCAGAACAGAAACCCACACCTGAATCTCCCTGGTTCAAATATGAAGCCACACTTTGCATGAGTAAGTACTTCTGTGGTTCAGAGGCAGCTCTCACTACCTCTATGGGAGCTAACTCTCATGCGAGTGGTTTGAGGTTTCCTTCTCTGAGGTGAGTGTTGCTTCCTGCAGATAAGCGACTAAACATCTCAAATCAGGGTGTATCACATTTTCTATGAAGGTGATATTCAGTGAAGAAGACACTGGTCCACATAATTTCTATTTGCAGTAGACTTGTTTTTTGATTTATCATCGTCATCCTGAAAGAATAGCTTTCAACAGCAGGTTTCTGTATACTTTTGGTCTGTGAGTCCATTTCAGTGAACATTTTCTAAACACTGTCATTGGGTTCACTGTTTTGACAGGTCCAGTAGAGAAAATGGTCCTTTCAGGAGCAACATCTAGTTTATTTTTCCTGTCACTTTACTGTAGTTTAGATACATTTGCTTCAAGTTGCATGGGTTGTTTTGTGTATCTCAGTCACTTACTTCCTTTTTCAAAAACATCAGAGCAGTAAATGGTGCAATTGCTGCTGAATTTTTTTGTGTACTTTATTCCCCTGATTAAGAGTGTGTAAATTCACTGATTCAGATGCTACATAACAATAAACCTAAAAATAGTAATATCAATATTTATCAATGTTTACTTGGTAAATGACAAATTTATCATGACCTTAAATATTTTAAAAATTAAATATTACTGCAAATAGAGTCACAAAAAATGACTGAGCATTTTGGGTTGGATTTTCAAAGTCTTAATGGAATGAGTAAGTCTGGTTTCTTAGTACTAATCTCTCAAAAAATCAAGGTGTTTGGGAAAGAGCCAATATTATAATGAGCTTGAGGAATATTATCAAATTAGTCCTGGTTGATGCAGTGACTGTCCTAACTTGTGAAGCCACTAGTCTCCATTTGAAGATGTCAACATCAAAAGTGAAACCGTGCCCACAGTGCTCCAGGCAGTGAAGAGGAAACCAAAATGAAAAAGCCTCACCCCCATGAGCTTCTAATTACAGGGAAATAATAGGTAGGAGATTGTAAGGGACAAATGAACAGAAATAACAAGATAATATTGAGCAAGAAGAAATTTTAGAATGAGCTCAGGAAAATAATTCCATCAAACTTCTCAGTATAATCACTGGAGCCATTATACTGCATAATGTTGTTGGGGCTATTAGTATTAATAATAGTAATCATCATTACTACAAGTGCAGTGGAGAGAACAATTTTGCAGCTGTAGAAAGATAGTACAGATAGACTTCAAGAGAAATGTCCCTTCAGTCACATGATGCCATGTACAATATGAATTCTAAGAAAAAAAGATCCTAACCATTTAATTACCAAGAAAATGCTGCCTGACCACATTCGAGGGAAGTGTCTTCTTTACAACCATACTCTTTTAATTATAGAAGATAATTTTTTTTTTTCGTTCGGGTCTCACTCTGTCTGCTGTGGCACAATCATGGCTCACCGCAGCCTCTACCTCCTGGGCTCAAGCGATCCTCCTATCTCAGCCTCCCGAGTAGCTGGGACTACAAGTAAGCCCCACCCCACCTGGCTAGTTTTTGTTGTTGTTGCAGGTCTTGCTATGTTGCATAGGCTGACCTTGAACTCCTGAGCTCAAGCAGTCTCTCACCTTGGCCTCCCAAAGTGTTGTGATTATAGGAGTGAGTCCGGCAGAGAAGATGATTCTTAATATAACTGACTCAGCTGAAAAAACACCAGAACCGAGAAGGGTCGTTTTACTACTTGTTAGTTAGTAGCACATTTATCCATCTTACTATTTTCTTTCCTCTTTCAGAAATAACCTGCAAAATAAGTTTACCTTGTAACCCTGTGTAAGAAATCAGGTAAAGGGTATAAAATAGAATTTTAGATAAAAATTAAGATGTATAGATTATTTAATAGAGCATTTTTATAGAAATTTTTTATTGAGATAATTGTAGATTCACATGCAGTTGTAAGAAATAATCCAGAGAATACTTTCTACCAGTTTCCCTCATTTTGCAAAACTGTAGTATAATATAACAATCAGGATATTGAGAGTGATACAAGCCACCTATCTTATTCATATTTCCCCAGTTTAACATGTAAATATTTGTGTATTTAGTTCTATCCAATTTTATCATGTATATAGGTTCATGAATCCATCACCACAGTTAACATACAGAATATTTCATCACCACGAGGGTCCTCCTGCTGCCCGTTTATAACAACACCCACCTCTCCCCTCCCCCATCCTTAACCCCTGGCAACCACTAATCTCCATTTCTAAAAGTCTATCACCTTTAAACTGTTACATAAATAGGATCATAAAGGATGTAACCTTCCAAGATTGGCCTTTTTTCATTCACCGTAATTCCCTGAAGAATCACCCAAATTATGGCCTACGTCAATAGTTTGTTCCTTTTAATTCCTGAGTAATAGTCCAAGGAATGCGTGTATCACAGTTTGTTTAATCATTCATGTCTTGAAAGACATCTGGGCTGACTCCAGTTTTCAACTCTTACAGAAAGATGCTATGAACATTCTTATACAGCTTTTTATTTCATTTGATCAAGAGTACAATTGCTGGTCATATCGTAATTACATATTTAGCCTTATAAGAAATTACCAAACTGTTTTCAAAATGACTGTATCATTTTGCATCCCCACCAACAATGTAGGAGTGATCCTGTTTTTCCATATCCCTGACAGCACCTGGTGTGGTCACTGTTTTTTTATGTTAGTCATTCTGATGTGTGTGCAGTGATAGCTCATCATGGTCCTAAGCTGGATTTTCCTAATGGCAAGAGATGTTGAACATTTTTTCATATGCTTACTTGACAACCGTATGACCTCTTCAGTAAAATGTCTTTTCATGGCCTTTGTCCATTTTCTAATTGGATTGGTTTTTTGAAAGTTACATTTTGAGAATTCTTTATATTTTCTGGAAACCAGTCCCTTGTTGACTATGTTGTTTGTAACTATTTTCTCCTAGTCTGTAGTTGATCTTTTCATCCTCCTCCCATAGACTTTTGCAGAGCAAAGTTTTTAACTTTGAGGAAACCCAGCTGATATAGTCTAAAAACTTTTTGCCTAGCCCTAGATCTTGAAGGTCTTCTTCCTGTTTTGTTTTTGGTTGGTTTGTTTGTTTTTGTTTTTGTTTTTTTTCTGAGACAGAGTCTTGCTCTGTCACCAGGCTGGAGTGCAGTAGCACAATCTCGACTCATTGCAACCTCTGGCTCCTGGATTCAAGCAATTCTTCTGCCTCAGCCTTCAGAGGAGCTGGGACTACAGGCGTGCGCCACCATGCCCACCTAATTTTTTTGTATTTTTAGTAGAGACAGGGTTTCACCATGTTGGCCAGAATGGTCTCCATCTCCTGACCTCGTAATCCGCCCGCCTCGGCCTCCCAAAGTGCTGGGTTTACAGGCGTGAGTCACCGCGCCCGGCCTTGTTTTTAATATTTTGTAGTTTTGTGTTTTACAGTTAAGTTCATCTTTCGGTTGGTTTGTATAACGTATGATATTTAGGTTGAGTTCTTTTGTTTTTGATTTGTATTGTTTTGTTTTTTGCCTATGGGTGTTCAATTGCTCCAGCACCATTTGTTGAAAAGATTTAACTTCCTCCATTCAATTGCTTTTGTGGATGTATTGTCAAATGATTTTTGTGTGAATTGACACTATCATATTATCTTTTCCTTAGGCCGATATACCAATGTTTAATTTTGAATGTTGAACCAATCTTACATTCCTAGAATAAGTCCAAATTGGTCATGGCGTAGAATTCTTTTACACACTATTGGATTTAGTTTGCTAATATTTTGTTAAGGATTTTTATGTTTAAATTCATGAGAGATATTGGTTTGTGGATTTCTTTTCCTTTCTTCTTTATTTTTTAATACTGTCTTTGTCATATTTTAGTGTCAAGGTAATACTGGGCTCATAAAATGAGTTGCGAAGTATTTCTGCTGTTTCTATTTTCTGGAAGAGTTTATGTAAAACTAGTGCTAATTTTTTTAGATGTTTGGATAAATTCACCCATGAAAACATCTGTGACTGAAGATTTATTTTTCATGAGCTTTTAAATTATGAATTTAATTTCTCTAATGGTTATAGCTACTCAGATTGTCTATTTCATCTTAGTTGAGAGTGGGTAATTTTTGGTTTTTAAAAAATTGATCCACTTCTTTAAGTTATCAAATATATAAGCATAAAGTTGTTTGTAGCATTCTTTTATTAACTTTTTAATAGCTATAAGATCTGTAGTGATATCTCTTATTTTATTTTTGATTTTGATGATTTATGTCTTCTTTTTTATTTTGGTCAGTCTTGCTAGAGGTTTATCAATGTTATTAGTTTTTTTCAAAGAACTAGCTTTTGGTTTCATTGATTTCTCTCTGTTGTTTTCCTGTTTCTATTGCATTGACTTCTGTTTTTACTTTGTTTCCCTTCTTCTGCTTACCTTGGATTTATTTTGATCTTTTTTTAAAAGTTTCTCAAGGTGTGAACTTAAAGTATTGATTCGAGGCCTTTCCTCATTGCTAATTAAGCATTTACTGCTATAAATTTCCTTCTCAGGACTGCATTAGTTGCATCCCACATGTATTGATATGTTGTATTTCATTTCACTCAGTTCTATGTATTTTCTTTCCTTTGAGAGTTCCCCACTGACCATTGGTTAGTTAAAAGTATGTTATTTAATTTCCACATGTTTAGAGATTTTTCTATCATTTTTCTGTTATTAATGTCTAGTTTAATTTCATTATGGTCAGAGAACATACTCTGTATGATTTCAGTTCTTCTGTTGAGGGATTTTTCTTTAATGGCCTATGATATGATCTACTGGGAAGGTTCTATGTAGCCTGAAAAAAAACTGTGTCTTCTATTCTCATTTGGTGGGGGTATTCCATACATGTCAGTTAGAACTTGTTGTTTGACTGTGTTGTTTAGATCCTCTCAATCCTTGCTGCTTCTTAGTCTGTCAGTTCTAAGAGAGGGTAGAAAAACATTTTGAACAGAAAACCTAGGCTAGTTGTTTACTTTCTTTCACATATTAGTTTACTAATTCAATATGCACAGAACGTTAAGAAAAATATTTAGCATTTTATGAAAAATAAACATTAATGATTACTGAAATAATCTCCACCTGTTTAATTTCAAAGAAATATAAAAGTGAATGACTCAAAACCTAGACGGTGTTTTTCCAACCTAAACAAGTCTTCTTTCCTCATTAAATCTTAAAGAGACCATTCATATTTTGCTAAATTTGCACCAGTTTCATATCTGATGATCAAACATTTTACTGTACCTAAATTCACATTGTAAAGTAATCCATGCTGTTGTTTTCTATTATTTCTAAGATTTCTCTGTGTGTGGTAAGGATTTGTCTTGACTTACATGAATTTTGAGTAATGCAAAATCTCCACAACTACATGCCTTCCATGAAGTGTGACTGCTGTATAATAAAAAGCTAGTCAAGTGAAAAGAATATGGCCTTAGAGTTAAAAGGCCTAAGCTGATGAAAGAATCTTCAGATTGTGGAAGTATGAGTTAGTAGCAAAAAAAAAAAAAAAAAAAGGAAATTTATTTTAGCTATTTCATGGTGAATCTGCATAATAAGAAGAGTAATGAGAAAAAACGTTAAAGCAACCTGAGGAAAACACATATATTAAGAAGAAATGAAATTTAGACTCAAACAGCACATGACTCAATAGCAACAACAAAAACCGGATGGTAATAGTCTGTTATCTTCAAATTGCTAAGAGAAAATAAATGCCAATCTAAAATTTTATATCAAGCTAAACTACGATTTAAATGTAAGGACAAAATGAAGACTTTTCAGCTAATAAAAACTGAGCTTACCATTTTTTATCACTCAGTTGTTGCTGAGTAATCAACAAAGGAATATAATTAAGAAAACAAGAAACAGGACACAAAATGAGTATGTGGATATAAGAAGCAACATTAAGCAAAAAAAAAACTGGGTAACATGTGGGTATATCCAACGAATTATTAACTATAAACTGATTTAAATGATTAATTTTGAGATGTTTAAAGGGAATATAGAACCATAAAAAGACTACAGCATGGAATATTGGCAAGCATGGGAGAAACTGGAATTAAAGCATAAGAATGGTATGTAATTTAGTATGAGGGACAAGATTTCATTAACATTTCAGTTATCTGTCATCATGTAGAAATAGATCCCAAGTATCAGAGGCTTAAAACAACACCACTTTATTTGCTCACAATTCTGTGGGTAAATGTTTTTTTTCACTCACTTAATACTTGTATTAATTACTTTATTACTTGTTTTCATTTACTTGTATTAATTAATTACTTGTTTACTAGTATAGAGGCAGTTCAAACAACTGGATGCTGGCTGGAACACACAACTGGGACCATAGGCTGGGACCTCAATTCTCATTGTCAGCTCAATTCCTCAGTTCTCTTCCATGTGATCTCAAGGCTTCTCCCTCTCCCTGTGGTTTTTCCATACAGTCTCTCCATGTGGCTCTCCAGCAAGTTAGCCCATGGCGCCTAAGAGTGCAAAAGCAGAAGCCATTAGGCCTTTTAAAATGTTATATTCAGATCTGATGTCACGTCTGCCACATACTATTGGTTAAAGACAAGCCCAGATTCAAGAGGAGCAGACTACACAAGGGCCTGAATACTGAGAGACACAGTTCAGTGTAACAGAATATTACAATTAACTTTAGAGTTTGTCATATCAGTTATGCATGCTAAAAATTTAAGGTAACTAGTAAAATAATTAAAATAAAGTGTTGAGGGCCCAAGAAAACTTAATAAATCAAATACACTAGAGAAAAGTGATGGTAATAGGGAAAAGTAAAAACAAAGCATAGTAAATGCAAAACACAAAAAAAGATAGCAGACATGAAACCAAACATGTCAGAACTTACAATAAATATAAATGGGTTAAATTAGCTTTTTAAAAGAAAACTTTTTATAAACTATTTAAAAATTAGCTTTTTATAAGAAAACATTCAAATTATAATGACCCAGAAAAATTGAAAGAAAAAAGAAAAAAAAAGAAAAATATACTAGGCAAATACTATACAAAATGAAGATGATGTAGTTAAAGTAATATCAGATAATAGATACTTTAAGAAAAACTTTGGTTTTAGTGATAAAAAGGATTAAGACTTAGTGACAGAAAAAAACAATTGATCAGTAACAAATAATCTTGAACCCATATGCAATGAACAATATAGTCTTATATGCATATAAAGCAAAAAAAATAGGAGAAATTGTGAAAATCTCATTAGGATGGGTGAAAGAGAAGACAGAAGACAGAAAAAATAAGTCAATATATAGAAAAATTGAATAAAATGATATTAACAAGCTTAATATAAGAATACATGAGGAACTCTTACCAACAATTAAAGTTTGGAGCACCTATAGAGAATTTATAAAAACTGAGCACTCTTCTAGGCCACAAAAGAAGTCTTAAAATACAAATTATCAATAGCATACATAATAAACCGGTCACAAGGCAATAAAATTAGAAACTGAAATTTCAAAGTAGTCTGAAAGAAACAATTACAATTAAATTTGAGATGTGTTTAAACCTGAATGACATTCTATGAGTATTGCATTTTAAAACTTATTAATTACAGATAGTGATACTAAGAGGAAAAATTATAGTTTTAAATGTCTACATTTTTAAGATAGAAAATAGATGAGTTAAATGTTCAATTAAAAGTTAGAAAAAAAGAATGGAGTAAACACCCCAAAATTATAATTATATAAGAAAGTCTAAGTAATTCTCTGACAAGATTGATCAAGAAAAGAAGGCACAAATAAACCATATGAAAAATAAGAGTTTAACATAAAGATCATTAAAACTTAACTAAATACTATGAACAACTTCATGATAAAAAGGGCATTTTTGGTTTAATGTAAGTTATGTAAATTGACTCAAGAAGAAATAAAAAACTTGAATAGGTCTATATCCAAGAGTAATATTTTAAAATATTCAACTGATACAGGATAGACAATGACGAAACCAAAGGACAACTAACAAATCCAAACAGACAATTGCTGAAAAAAACTGGTATTGACTTATCATGGGTACTAGATTACTTTCAACCCACTCATAACTTTTGAAAAAATTAATTCAAAGGTTTACAAAATAAACATACCAAGAAACACTATGCCCAGAAGAGTTTACAAACAAGTTTTACCAAAATTTTAAGGGGCAGGTAACTCTTTTTAATATTAGAAATGTTTCTAATAGAGGCCAGGTGCAGTGGCTCATGCCTGTAATCCTAACACTTTGGTAGGCCAAAACAGGCAGATCACCTGAGGTCAGGAGTTTGAGACCAGCCTCGCCAACATGGTGAAATCTCATCTCTACTAAAAATACAAAAATTAGCTGGGTATGGTGGTGCACACCTGTAGTCCCAGCTACTCGGGAGGCTGAGGCAGGAGAACCGCTTGAACCCAGGAGGCAGAGTTTGCAGTTAGCTGAGATCATGCCACTGCACTCCAGCCTGGGCAACAGAGTGAGCCTCCATCTCAAAAAAGAAAAAAGAAATAAATATTTCTAATGGAAAAGAAGACTCATTTCCCCACTTAGAACCAGGCAAGAAAATATAAGAAGGAAAAATTGAATGTAAGCTTATGTATAAATATAGATGCAAATCCTATAAATAAAATTTTAGCAAACTGAATTCAGCAATGTATGCAAAAATGTTATCATGACTTAGAAGCAGAGAGTAGAATGATGGTACTAGATCCTGGGAAGGATAGTGGGAAGAAGGGATGCCAGAGGTTGGTTAAGGAATCAAAAGTACAGTTAAATAGGAGAAATAAGTTCTAGCATTCTATAGCACTATAGGATGACTATAGTCAACAATAATTTATTGTATATTTTCAAACAGCTAGAAAAGAAGATTTTGAATGTTCCCAACATGAAGAAATAATAAATGTTTGAGGTGATGGAGATGGTAATTACCTTGATTTGATCATTACACATTGTATGCATGTATCAAAATATCACCGTGTACCCCATAAATATGTAAAATTATGAGTCAATTAAAAATAATAATTTAAAAAATTATTATGACTAACCAGTTTATCACAGGAATGTAAGGATAGTTTAAGGCATAAAAATATATTAATATAATTTGCCATATTAAAAAATTTTTTAAATATATGATCATCACAATATATGCCCAATAAAAGCATTTAATAAAATTCAACATTTATTCATGATTTTAAAATAAACAAAAAGAATATTTAATTGAGGAACAGAAGGAAACTTTCTTAAACCATCAAGAACACTTATTAAAAACTTACTACAAATGTCACACTTGGTGGTGAAATGAACTTTAAAAAATTGTGCTCTTAATTCTTAGTGATGTAAAGGGAAAATGCAACATTATCACAAATGTGAATGAATTTTATTCCTCTGACATTTCTCTTCATATCTAAAAATTTATTATTTGCTCCCATGCACCATATACACCAAAAATATCTAAATTTTGTAGCACAGAGTCCAAAGCTTTCTTGATTATTGCCACATAAAGTAGATAGTATCCCCACTGGCATCAGTTAAGATAGGTTCAGTCAGCCGGGCGCAGTGGCTCACTCCTGTAATCCCAGCACATTGGGAGGCCGAGGCGGGCAGATTACGAGGTCAGGAGATCAAGACCACAGTGAAACCCCGTCTCTATTAAAAATACAAAAAATTAGCCGGGCATGGTGGCAGGTGCCTGTAGTCCCAGCTACTCAGGAGGCTGAGGCCAGAGAATGGCATGAACCTGGGAGGCGGAGCTTGCAGTGAGCCGAGATCACACCACTGCACTCCAGCCTGGGTGACAGAGTGAGACTCTGTCTCAAAGAAAAAAAACAAAAAAGATAGGTTCACTTACAGTGTGCAGAGAACACACGAACGGTGACTTATAGAAGACAAAAGTATGGTATGGCAACTCTACAGTCATCAGAGACCCAGGCTCTTTCTCAATTGTTGCTCTATCATCTTCAACATATGGTTTCCATCCTGTGATCCAAGAAGCTACTTTAGGTCCAGCCATCACATCCACATTCTGACCAAGCAGATGGAAAAAGTGAAAAAGAACAAATATCCCCTATCTCTAAGGACTTTTTCAGGATGTTGTACACATCACCTTATGCTTATATCCCATTGTCTGGAACTTAGCTATATGCCATACCTACCTACAAGCACAGCTGGAAATGTAGTTTTTATTCCAAGTGGCTAGTACACAGCTAAATTTTCGGGCTTCTATTATAGGGAAAGAAAAGAAGAACTGATATTGTGAGAATAATCAATAGTTTCTGACACACCATCCTTCTCCCTTTCTTTTCTCCTTCTCCAAAAGGGAGAATACTAATTTGATTCCAGAATATTGACTGGGTCATGTTGTCACAGAATCCTTGGGGTATCACTTCTCCAGCCAGAAACCTCTGTGGCCGGGGTGCCTTCTGCCTGAGTATTGCTCACACTCATTGGGCTCATTCCACCCACCTGGCCCAGCAGGCTGCACTCAGCTCACACTACTGGCCCAGATCCCACACCTGCCAAGTGCCAGCCAGTCACAGAGCAATTAGAGGTGTGTGGGTGAGTGAGCACAGGGTCCAGACACTGCACACAGCCAGTCACACTGGTGGGGCAGGCAGCTCCAGGCATGGGCATAGGTACCAGCTCCATGCAAGACTGCAGCTGGACTAGATGTACTGCACGCAGCTTCCACTATGGGCACCTGCATCTGGACAAGGGGAACGTGGTGGCACCTGGAAGTTTGGAGATGCCAGAAACTGCAGAACCCCAAAGAGGTTGTCACAGCCTTGGTTCAGGGAGCCCCTAAGTCTGGGATGCCCAAAGGGCCATAGCTCTTCTCTCCTTGTCACCCACAACATGGTGAGAGGGAAGCTGGGGGATGCATTTCAGCCTTGTTTGTGTTACAGCTCTTTTAGTCCTGCTATTTGGCAGGTCCCGAGTTGTTGTCCCATGTCCAGGAAGAATGAGGTACACAGACAAGTGGATGGTGAGCAAGGCAGAGAGGCTGAGCAGCAGAACAGTTCTCAGGAGACCCTAAGTGGGTAGCTCCTTTCTGCAGGCAGGTTGACCAATGAGTGTCCAGCCCTCAGTGGAGAGGAGACCCAGAGTGGGTAACTCCTATCTGAAAAAGGCAGGTTGTTCCATCATCAGCCTGAGTCTGGCTGAGTGCAGAGTTTTTATGGGCTTCAGAGGGGAGGGAGTGCATGCTGATTCATCTGTGAGTGGCCATGGATGGGCCAGGAAAAAGCACCATAAATTCTCACCCCATTTGCAGAACTGGCAGCCTGGCCCCCCGGCTTCATGCCATCCCTGGCTTGAAGGTAGGGCTTCACTGGGGATCTGTCCCTTTCCACCCAGAAGCCTGTCTGCCTCCTGACACCATCAACCTGCCCTCTATGGCACCCATGGTGCCCAAGCTGTTTGTGCTCAGGGGTGCCTGCAGGCCCCTGCAGAGCTGTCCTCAGCACCCCCTCATCCTCCCTCTGGAGCTCATGTTGGAGCCCAAAGTCTGGAGGGAGCTGAGGTGGCAGGGGGCTGGCATGTCAGTGCTGCTCCAGGCATGTGCACACCTGGCCATGTTGCAACAATGCTTGGACTTGGCCTCAACTTTACTCCTAAATTGGAGCAGGCACTGGGAGCAGGGAGAGGCCAAGCAGTGGATGCAGGCACTTTCAAGCCTGCAGGGACGGGGGGCTTCCTGGGTCCCCAAGAGCACAGGGATGCCTGGGTCCTCAGCCTCGGCAGGGTGGCTGCAGCTGTGCCCAGGAGGGCAGGGCTCTACTCCTCCAACTCAGAAGCCCCCACCTGTTCCCTGCTCCTGTCAACTCCATGGATCCTGCAGCCCCTGCTGCACCTTTCCCACTGCAGTTGGCAATCATGACTGCTGCCGCCATCGATATTTACTCCTGAACAGAGCCACTGCACAATAAAAGGTCTCATGCATAGATGCATTGATGTAACCCTTCTTGGATGCTCTGCTCCATTTCTTCCCTCCATGAAGCTGAACTGGTAAACTGATCAAGGCTTTGTCTGAGGGATAATCTAAGCATCTTTGTTTCTGGTCTCTTTTTCTTGATTTATAATTGTCTGGTTGTTCTCAGGGCAGCAGTTTGCTAGTGGCTTGCTTTGGGCATGCATGGGATGTGAATCACATGCTTCCTTCTACTTTACCCAAAAGTCATGTCTTAAGGGTTATGGGCTTGAGACCAGCTAATATGCAAAATAAAATGGATATATTGGTTTTAGTTTTAAAGAAAAAGTACTTGGAATCAAAGTCAAAATCTCAAGGGACTGCTCAAGTAATAAAAGATGGTAGCTACATTGTTTTACATATAGAAGGAACCAAAGAGGCTGGAGGCTGTGAGGTGGAAGGATCAGAAGGAAAACCACCTATAGTAGGATGGGGCAAGGAGAGATGAGAAATGACAGTGGGGATCTGCAGGCTGTGTTCTGGGCAAATACCTTGCCAACCTTCTCTTTTTTCTTATCAGTGAAATATTCAGTAAAGTGTTCATTGTTCACTAAGGCATTATATGAGTAGATTCTTGATGGAATTCAAAGAGGAGGAGGAGACAGGTGACAATCTGGATTCTACCACTTGCAAGTTCAGAAACTCAAGACAAACTAACTTAAGGAAGAGAAAAGGAAAGTAAGTTGGCTTATAAAACAGGGAAGTCTGGGGATGAATTTAGATTTACGCATAGTAAATAACATTGTTTTCTCTCTCATTTCCCTTCTCTCTCCCTGCCCTTCAATCTCTCTCTCTCTCTCCTTCTCTCTCTCTCTTTCTTTCCATGGCTGCTCTGTTTTCCTCTTTCTATTGGCCTCACTCTTTTCCTTTCCACTGAAGACAGGCTTCCTCCATGCAACCAGGGAAGGCACCCACTGGTAGCCCCAGATTCACATTCTCCCAGCCCAGCCATCCCAGCAGAAAAGCAATTCACTCACCACATTTGTATATCAATTCAAAAGAAAGCTGTTCCTGTGGAATCACGTGGCCATTCTTAAACCAATCAGTTTATCAAGCATATAATGAACCATGAGTGACCCAGTCTGGATCACATGACCATCCCATGGCCAAAAAGTAATTGACACCCTGTCAGTCCATTTGTGGTGCTATAACAAAATACCTGAGACTGGGTATTTTGGAAATACAGATATTCACTTCTTACAACCCTAGAGGCTGGCAAATCCAAAATCAGGGCACAAGCATCTGCAATCTGGTGAAGGCCTTCTTGCTGTGTCCTCCTATGGCAGAAGATAGAAGGACAAAAGGGCTCAAACTCCTTCCATCAAACCCTTTTATAATGGCATGAATCCATTCATGAGGGCAGAGCCTATATGACCTAAACACCTCCCAAAAGTCACCATCTCCCAACACTTGCGTTGGGGATTAAGTCTCCAACACATGCATTTGGGAGGACAGATTCAGACCATAGCACAACCCCACATGCATTTGGGAGGACAGATTCAGACCATAGCACAACCCCATCCAGACCATATGGAGTTAGGAAAATGTTCCCCAAGGCAAATGGCGTACTGGGACCAAATGTGCTGGGCAGGCAACAACAACAATAATAACAAGACCAAATAACCCAACAGTTTCCCCAGTCCACTATACTATGTTATGTTTTCTATCTTTAAACTAAGATTAAATCTCCACCCCAGAACTGAGCAATTCATATTCTCCTACCACTGTGAAAGTGTTGAATGGATGGTGTGGAGAAATAAAAATGGGCCTAACAAGGACTGAGAATACCATTTTTGAGTCAGAGGAAAATTACGGAAAAAACTGGGTTTGGCTTGGCAGCTTTTGCAGGGATGCTAAGTTCATGACAGAATGGATTCCTAGAAATAAGATTAAGATGTCAAAGTATGTTCATATTAAATATTGACAGATTTTACCAAATTGCACTACAAAGAAGGGGTTTCAGTGTACACTCCCACCAGCAATGCCTGTTTCCCACACCCTCAGCAAGACTTTATATTATAGAACTATTTAACCTCTTCCCTCTGAATAGTTTATATGATGGCTTTGCAAGGCAGGGTAGCCCGCAATTAATCATGAGAGAAAATACACGATTTTTTCCACAGATTTCTTAGCTGAGGATGGATTCTTTCTTTTGTGTATGTAATGATCTATGCCTATAATAAGTCCATTTTATTTCCTTTTTTAAAATGAAAGAATGTTTTAAAATGGAGATAGTAATGTGCATTTACTCAATATAGAGAACATATGTGTGTTTTTTAGACCAATTCCATCAATGTAGAATGTGATTTCATTTCAGGAGTTTAAGTGAACAGACTGAGAGAAACTATTAAAAAATATAAAAGATTAAAAGGCCTGAGAGATAAAACAGTTTTCATAGGGAAGAGAAAATCTTCTGGAGAAAGAAGCTAATTTTAAATTAAACAGACCACATTCCCAAATTCACTTGCTGTATTTATGAAGCACTGTTGGAGAGAATCTGTGCTTCATGACCTGACACTGCTGAATGGTGCAATCCTCCCACGAATACCAGGGCTGGCCTATACCTGTGGTTTTGCCCCCAAATGCCAAGGGCAAAGGTTACACTCAGCCAGTCTTAAATGCCTGGCTAAAAAAGGTCTGAAACACAAAAGCAAATATGGGTAGGTTTTCGTTTATTCTTTTTCCAAAATGTCAAAAGCAGATATTTATTTATTTATTTGAGATAGGGTTTACTTTGTCACCCAGGCTGGAGTGCAGTGGGAGGATCATAGCTCACTGCAGCCTTGAACTCTTGGGCTCAAGTGATCCCCCGACCTCTACCTCCCCAGTAGCTAGGACTACAGATGTGCGCCACCACACCCAGTTATGACCAGGCCCATTCCAGAAATTATAAGAACACTCCAAGGTGCTAGAGATGGGGGTCTCACTATGTTGCCTAGATGGTCTCGAGCTCCTGGCCTCAGTGGATCCTCCTAAAGTGCTGGGATTACAGGCATGAGCCACTGTGCTTAGCCTTAATTTTTTTTTTTTTTTTTTGAGACAGAGTCTTGCTCTGTCACCCAGGCTGCAGTGCAGTGGCATAATCTCGGCTCACTGCAACCTCCACCTTCCAGGTTCAAGTGATTCTCCTGCCTCAGCCTACAGAGTAGCTGAGATTACAGGTGCACACTACTATGCCCGGCTAATTTTTGTATTTTAATAGAGACGGGTTTTCTCTGTTTTGGCCAGGGTGGTCACGAACTCCTGGCCTCAAGAAATCTACTTGCCTCGGCCTCCCAAAGTGCTGTGATTATAAGCATGAGCACCATGCCCAGGCTGGCCTTAATTTTTTAAATAAGAGGTTGTATACATATTTTACCTACTAGATTTAAATAGAAATTTTCTGTATATGATTAAGACTAGTTATATATTAAGATAGAATTAACCATGTAAGCCTTCTGATATTGTAGCAACAAACACAGATGAAATGAAAGGACGCAATGTATACATTCTCATGAAATGGTCACTTGAGTTCCATTGAAATCTGTGTTCATAGCCTAAATGTAGTAAATTGAGATAATATGGATAATCTCAGTCAAAACTCATTTATCTCATCATTATTTAACTATATCAGGTCCAAGTTATGCCATGTGACTCAGCTCTTCATTTTCTAAAACTTTAAAGTTTTAAATCCGTAGGAAGTTTCATCCATTTTTAAAATATGCTGTAAGAAGATGCTGGATTCAGACAGACCTGGGCTTGGTACTCAGTTCATCTTAAACAAGTTACTCAGCCTCTTTAAGCCTCTCTTTTCTAAAATGAGGACAGTGACACAGTGCTCATCTCATGGAGTTATTGTGAGGCTTAAAATAGGTCATATGTAAGGACTTAGAGCAATGCCTAAACATAATATGCATGCTCCAATATTGTCATTATCACTATGATTAATGGCACATGGTACCTAGTACACAGCACTCAATAAGTGTTAGTTCCTTTTCTCTCTAACAGAAGCTCTTGTTGCCATGGTTCTGCATTTCAAATCATTTGCCATATACATGTCTTACCACTAATTTATATTCTAAAGCCAAATCAGTTCAGGGTAAAGGAGTTACACTGAGACAGGAGTTTCAGGGACAATGCTAAAAACATCAACTTTGTTCTAAAAAATAGTTTTGATCATATTCTGTGAACAGACGAGAATTGTATGACTTAGCGGTGTCAGCTTTCTAGCATTATCTTCAAAACACAATTTTCCGTTTCACAGTGGATGCTTTCATAGTGATCCATAGGCCTGTATCCTCTGATGAGCCTAGAAAGCATCAGAATAATCCTCTTCAAGTCTCAAACACTGAAAGAAAAAGGGAGGGGACCAGCAGGTTCCCTGAGGATTATCTCTTTGGGGTAGAAAATCCTCTGAGCTTTTTGGAAGATGTGGAAGACGTATCTGATCCATGAGCTGGTTCAAGTGGTCCTATGGGGTAGGAAAGGGAACAGGGAACTAGGAAGACTGGTTAAATGAGGGCCTGGACATTCCCATGAATGAAGTGGCAGTGCTGGGTCATAGGTGATCAGGAAAGACAGAGTGCTATGGAAAATGTTGAGATACACAGATGTGCTGGGAAAGCATTCCAGGATGTTGAAACCCCGAGTGAGCCAAGGAAAAGCTAAATCCTAATCAAAGAGAAGTCCAAAAGAAAGCCCTGTCAATCTTGTGGAAAGAGATCAGAAATAGAAGTGAACTGAGGTGAAAAGTAAATAGAAGAGAGCATGGGGCATAGCCACAGAGCCTGGAGCATTGCATTGCATCTTCCCGGTTTCTCAATAGTGTGGGTCCTGCCTACTTGGCAGCCCTGTTGTAAACCATTGACTGATAATCGCCTCCAAATTTGCCTGTCTTAAGCTTCATTTCTCCTTCTATAAATTACTTGAGAAGTCCCCTGGGAACAGAATCAACAGCCATTTTGGTGGTGATGTTGGGACAGGGTTTCAGTCCCACGGGCCATACCCCAGGCTGCATAACTCCAGGGGATAGGGCCAGAAATTTTCTATAGACCTCTCTCTTAATTTTAATTTTGGAAACCCTGAAGCTGAGTTTACCTCAAACCCATCACAAGGGTAATTATCTCAAAGTACAGAAAAAATTAAAATGTTCATGTTGTTTCTTATTCCACTGTCATGTATATGAGACCATCAGTTTAGACTATACTATTGAGCTTTAGAAACATTATACCAGGTCTTGCAAAATGAGACGATATATTGGTTTCCAAGGTTTCTCTAGCGACTTGTGTCTCAGGCCCCAGACTCTAGCTAGGAACTAGCACACCAGATAGGAATCTCAGGAGAGAGGATTAAACGGACACTGGTTCTAAATAATACAGACTCAATACCGTTTCTTCTAGGTGAGGCTCTTAAACTTTCTCACTGACCCATGCATTGTGATTTCACAGCTGGGATGGCATTCTTGAGCCGAAGCTGATGTGAGATTCCGGATTTTGAACATCTTGGTGGGGAGACAGCCCCATCCTTCCTTCCAGGTTGCAGATTTGCTACAGTATCTCCAGACCCAAGTTGGCTCAGACTGGAATGGCAGGATCAGGTTTGAGTTCCTGCTGTTCCAGAGAAAACTTAGGAAGGCCTCATCTGACCTCTAACTAGATTTCAGAGCAGTCTGTTCCCTAAAGTGAAATTTGAGTGAAGAGCCAGTTTTGTAGGAAGGCTGCAAATGATCAGGCCCATTCCAGAAGTTATAAGAACACTCCAAGCTGAGGGTGTGAGGAACACCACCCCACTGAATACCCTAAAAGGAGAACAGAGATTGGATATCAAGGCTCCAATATGGCCCTGGGATTGATGGCCTACTGTTTTTGAACTGGGGTCAGGATCACATCTTTATCTGTATGTATGGGGAGGTGATTCCTACTGTCAGTCATCAAGTGAAGATGTGGATTTGTCCAACCAAAACACAAATCTGCAGATGTCTTGGCTTAGTTTTACGAGTTCCATGCTGGCTTCCAGGAGCCAACTGTTCCTCCTTTAGAGCTCTGACCCAAGGATGGACAGAAAAATCTTGTTTTCAGTTTAACCCTTCTGAAGACTCCAATGATGCTAAGAGAAAACAAGCGAGAAATGACCAAAGAGACTATACAATGTAAGTATTTGCCTAATTCTTGCTTTCTCTTCTCCTCTCCATCTCAAAACCACTGCTCAAATTCCTCTGGATTCCTTCAACCACGTCTATTTGTTTCCCTACATCCAACCTGTCCCCCTCATGTCATCCTCCAGACCATATCTGCTCTTTGTTTAATATTTATCAATGCCCTTGAGGAACTGCCTTTCTAGATTCATCTTCAGCGTCGGCTCCACACGTTTCTTTCTGGCATTTCTGACTTTACTTTATGAGATCCAGAGAGTAAGCTTATAGCTTACGTTGAATTTGTCACAACTTTCATAATGTGGAGCATGCAGCACTGAGCCTATTTCCTTTGTCTACTGTGATAGCCTGGCCTTAACTCCCTGTGCAGGACCAGCCATTTAAAAGGTCATTAACAAAAGAAAGAAGACCCTTTTTCAATTTTTCTCCGGAAGCCTAGAAATTTTTTAAAAATATCCTTTCTGTTTTAAGAATATGCAGTGTCTTAGGAGAATTAAATGGACCCAAGAAATTGAAATTTCTTAAAGGTAGGCTAAAGGGAGACTGCTTATCATTTTTACCACTAAGTGAAAAATGTACTAATTTCATTTTTCTAGTGAGTAGAAAATGTCTATAAAACTCATGTTTTTCTGAAAGTGTTTTTTCTCTGACAAGATGACTGTGCTCCACTGGGCTGGAAAGCATTATTAAGTATAACAATAAACTATACAAAGAAAAAAATCACAAAAATTTTCAGATCAGGAAATGCTTAAATATTTCCAAAAATGTTTATCAGTAAATGTTATTCTAGAATTAAAACATTTCCTGTTGATGATCATGCCATGGAGAAAATCATGTAATGCCAGTTATGAGATCTTATATATTTAGAAAAAAAACCCCATTATAAGTAACATGAGATAAATAGGAATCATACTTTTAAAAAAGATTATTATTCACATAAAAATTTAAACCTTAAGCAATATAAAAATACAAGAGAGAAATAAATTAGTCAATATGTCAACTCTCAGAAATGACCACTCAATATTTAAGTATTTCCAAGCAGGTCTCAGTGTAAATAGACACACTTGTGTTCAATTTTACATATATAGTTTTTATGACTTGTATTTATATCAGCAACACATCCTGGACAGCTTTCCCTGTCAAAAAGTCTGGATCTGCAGTATTAGTGTTCACAATTGTGCATTTGTGTCACATGTATCCATTGAGATGTTCCAAGCTTCAGCAGCACCTCTCCAAACAAGTCCTCATGTGACAACCTAAAAAAAGCAGGAAGGGAAGGAGGGGGCAGCCGAGTGGGTGGGTGGGCGTGTTTTTTCAGAAGCCTCCTAGTGGACTTCCTTGTATGAAATTGAAGCACGATATTTCCCTGACCCCTTCGTGGGACTCACAAAGGAGCTGTCTTGTTTACTGAGCCCGCAGCTCTCAATTCCTTGAGGGAGGGAGCCCGTGAGCAAATGAGGCAGGAACTGGAGTGCACGGGTGCTGGAACTAGCCAGCTGCTTCAGTGCCAGCAGGAGTGAACTCCACTCACTTGGATCTGCTGTGCTCCACTCCTCACGGGAGGGAGCACATAGGTGAGCAGGTGCAGGAGCCAGGGCGAGTGCTTTTGGGTACTGGCAGGAGTGAACTCTGTGCAGGCCCTGCGGCAGCATTTGCAGGGGGGTGTGCCTGCAACCCCTGAAACCCCAGAGGGAGTGCTACAGTGCCCTTTTAGCTTTGCCTGCTGTACACAGACAACTTGAGTGCTAACAGCTCAGCAGGCCCTCTGCCTTTTCATATGAGGCGGCTGCCTTCTGCCAGAGAGGGCAAAGGGCAAGTGTGACAGCTTTTTTGTATCCTCACTCATGGCTCCCGAGCTCTTGCCCAGCATCCAGGAGAAATGAGGTCTCATGAATGAATTGAAGGATGGTAAATGCATGGATTTTATTGCCAATGAAAGTGATAATCACCAAGAGAGGCAGCTGAAAAGGGGACAAGATGGGAAGGTAATCTTCCCCTGAAGTCTGGCAGTCTCCAGCCAGATTCTTCTCCAAAGTTACGCCACCAAGCTGTCCTTCTGAAGTCAGGCTGCTTCTCTCTGATGTCCAGCTATAGTCCCTGACATTCAGCTGCTTCTCCTCTCTCTGCCAGCTGAGGCTGATGTTTTTATAGGCACAGGATGGGGGGCAGGGTGGGGCCATGGGTGCTTTGGAAAAGGCAAGATTCGAGCAGGGAAACAGCGGTGTAAGTTCTAACTTTGGGCCGCAGTCTCAGGCTTTTCAGCTTGAGATGGGGCTTCACCAGGGACCTGCCCTTCTTCGCCTAGAATTTCTCTGTTCCCATCCCCATCAAAATGTCTATGGCTAGGACCAGTCACATGGCCACCCCAGACACTATCAAGTGAGAATGAATTGATATGACTGTCTCGGACAAGCCAGGCTTGCTCCTCTGTGATCATCACAAAAACCAGAGTCCTGTGGGCAATAAAATAAGCTTAAATTCATGAATTCACGACAATACCAACAAAGAAACTCAATTAGTGGCCATTGCAGACTGCTAATGACCAACCCATTATTATAAAATTATTATAAAAACTGGCAAATTAAGAGACAGAATCAAATGCTTATCATGCTTTTCCTATGTCATTGGGAAATCAAATCATTGAGGAAGAAAGTTTCCCTTTATAAAAGCATGTCAGCTAATAAATGAAGATGAAATGATAGGGTTAGGATATCACCATTTCCAGTATCTGTTGAGTTAATGGATCTAGGTATTGAGCACTAACAACTACCAATATCACAGAAAGAAACAACCCAACATTAAATGCCTCCTGGTGGAAGGACACAATACCATCTAGGAAGTCATCTTGCCAAAAATATAGAACCTCAATCTAACCGAGACTCTAGATCCAATCACACCAATTTGAGGGAAATATGAAGGGTACATTCAAGGAAATCAGATTTTGGAAAACTCAGTGATTGGCACAATTGTAGGCTACAGTTTGTTTACACCTCTACTTGTTTTTTTTTCTTTTTTTAATTTATTTTTTATTATTATACTTTAAGTTTTGGGGTACATGTGCACAACATGCAGGTTTGTTACATAGGTATACATGTGCCACATTGGTTTTCTGCACCCATAAACTCGTCATTTACATTAGGTAGTTCTCCTAATGCTATCCCTCTCCCAGACCCCCACCCCCAAACAGGCCCCAGTGTGTGATGTTCCCCTCCCTGTGTCCATGTGTTCTCGTTGTTCAGCTTCCACTTATGAGTGAGAACATGAGGTGTTTGGTTTTCTTTTCTTGTGTTACTTTGCTGAGAATGATGGTTTCCAGTTTCATCCATGTCCCTGTAAAGGACATGAACTCATCCTTTTTTATGGCTGCATAGTGTTCCATGTACACCTCTACTTGTTATAATTTATGATGTACAGAAAAACCTTTAGGCCAAACTTAAAATATGTAAGGAGGCAGCTTTAAGCTAAACTTGATTTAACAATTATAAATGTTTCTTATCAGATTGAAGGTCTGAGTTAATGTTAATGCTGGCTGGCTTTTCCTGAATTCCAAAAGGGAGGAGGGTATAATGAGGCACGTCTGACCCCTCCTTCCCATCATGGCCTGAACTAGGTTTTCAGGTTAACTTGGAGTGCACGTGGCCAAGAGGAGGGGTCCGTTCAGATGGTTGAGGGGCTTAGAATTTTATTTTTGATTTACAACTATTAAGCATGAACCTAGCTTTCATCGTATGTAGCCACTTACTAAAGATTTCTTTGATCAAAAATGATTACAGACTATTAAATTTTATCAAACATTTTTCTCATCATGAATTAAAACATTTCTATTCCTTTGACCTATTATTATGGAAGAATATATTAATCAATTTCTTAACACTGAATCATATTTACATCACTGAAAGGAACCCAATCTTGGTAATTGTACAATATATTTTTAAAAGTATTGCTAGTTTCTATTTGTTACATTTTATTTAGTATATTTTTCCTACTTAATATGCAAACAACGTGCCATCTTTATCACATTTTGTTATCGGTTGGCTTTGCAAAAATCTTAAAATATTAAGGAAACACTAAGTCTAATCCTCCATTTTTAAAGGTAAAGATTTTTGAGGCCCCTAGAATATTAAGTGACTTACTAAGTTCACATTATTTTATTTTTTTTTATTCCCTGCAAGTGTTGCACATCTACTCTTTTTTTTTTTTTTTTTTTTTGAGTTGTGGGGTCTGGAAAACTCTATCACCCTGGCTGGAATACAGTGGCACAATTAAGGCTTTGTGGCCTTGAACTCCTGGGGCTCAAGTGATCCTCCCACCTCAGCCTCTCTAGTAGCTGAGACTGCAGAAATGAGCCACCACATCCCACTAAGTTCTTGTGTGTGTGTGTGTGTGTGTGTGTGTGTGTGTGTGTGTGTGTGTGTGTGTGTAGAGACAGGATCTCACTGTGTTGCCCAGCCTGGTCTTGAAATCCTGGCCTCAAGCCATCCTCCTGTCTCAGCCCCACAAAGTGCTGGGATTACAAGTGTGAGCCACCACACCTGGCCATTTTCTACTCTTTATATCCAGTCTTGCTAATTTCAACTTCTAAAATTTTCTCAAATCCATGTTCTCCTCTCTCTTTAAGCCCATGCCACTGTTAACACTGAATTCAAGGACAGCTGGTGTCCTGCCAGGGTTGATGCAATAGTGTCTTCAAGTGGTTTCCCTGGCTCCAGGCTCACCCTTCTCCCCACTGGCATGATGGTGAGCCATCATGTTGTCCTCCTGCTTAAAATATTTTGTTAGATCCTATGATACATCTTGCTGTTACATTGCCAAGGCCTTCTATTATTTGGCCCATTTACCTTTACATCTCATTTGGAAAGAGGCCTCATGGTCCAGTGGAAAGAGCTCCAGATGGGAATCAAAGATGGATTTGAGTCCTAGTTCCACCTCTTACTACTTATGTGACCTTAGGCAAGTTACCTAGGTCTCCACTATCTCACCTGTAGGATGGGGCAAAAATGACTTAAGTTGCCAGTAACTGTAATGTTGACAAAAAGAGTCAAACTCTGTAAAATATCTGAAGGGGTTTATTCTGATCCAAATATGAGTGACAGATGGCCCATGACACAGCCCTTAGAAGATTGTGAGAATATGTGCCTAAGGTGGTCAGGATAAAGCTTGGTTTTATACATTTTAGGGAGACATAAAACATCAATCAATACATATAAGGGGTATATTGGTTTAGTCTAGAAAGATGGGACAACTGGAAGGAGCGGCTTCCAGGTTATAGGTAGATTCAAAGTTTTTCTGATTGGCAATTGGTCGAAAGAGTTAAATTATTGTCTAAAGACCTAGAATCAATAGATAGGAATGTCTGGGTTAAGATAAGGGGTTATGGAGACCAGGGTTTCCATTATGCAGATAGAACCAACAGAAGGGGATGTCTGGGTTAAGATAAGGGGTTGTGGAGACCAAGGTTCTCATTATGCAGAGGAAGTCTCCAGGTAGCAGGCATCAGAGAGAATAGATTATAAAAGTTTCTTATCAGAGGTGATTCTCTCCTGGAACAGGAAAAAGGAGGGAGAAGGAAGATTCTCTTTAAAATACAGATTTTCCCCACAAGTCAGCTTTGCAAGACTATTTCAAGATATGGCAAAGAAAATAAATTTGGGCTTAAAATATTTTGATTTGCTTACTTATCTATCATGTGATATTATGCCAGAGTCAGATTGGAAAGTAGACCACGTTATATAGCACTAAGTAAAACCCGTCTGATGAGACTATGGTTTGGAGGGCGTGACTCCCCAGGCCCCAACATGGTGAAACTCGGTCTCCACTAAAAATACAAACATTAGCTGGGTATGGTGGCACATGCCAGAAGTCCCAGCTACTTGGGAGGCTGAGTCAGGAGAAGCACTTGAACCTGAAAGGCAGAGGTTGCAGTGAGCTGAGATCGTGAAACTGCACTCCAGACTGGGTGACAGAGGGAGACTCTATCTCAAAAAAAAAAAAAAAAAAAATTATTGCTATTTTAAACAATTAATTTTTACAGATTTATTTTTTAATTAACAAAATTCTTTATATTTACGGTGTATAACATGATCTTGTCGTATATGGATACATTATGAAATGGCTGAATCAAGCTAAGTAATATATGCATTACCTCATATACTTATCATTGTGTGTGCCTGCTGAGCACATTTAACATCTGCTTTCTTGGCAATTTGTAAATATACAAAACATTGTTATTAACTACAATCACCCTATTGTACTATAGGTATCTTGAACTTATTCTTCCTACCTAACTGAATTTTTTTATTCTTTGACCAATATCTCCTTGATCCTTCCCAGCCCCAGCCCCTAGTAACCACCATTCTGCTCTTAACTTCTAGGAGTTCAACTTTTTAAGGTTCCACATATGAATGAGATCATGTGATATTTTACTTAATGACCTCCATGTTCATCCATGTTGTCACAAATGACAGAATTGTCTTTTTTTTTTTTAAGGCTGATTGATTTTTGACAAGGCTGTGAACACAATGGGAAAAGAACAGTCTCTTCAAAAAAATGGTGTAAGAAAATTGGATAGCCATATGCAGAAGAATGAAATGAAACCTTTTTCTCACACCAAATACAAAAATCAACTAAAAATGGATTAAAGACTTAAAACTTAAGACCTGAAACTATAAAACTACTATAACGTAGGGGAAAACTCCATGACATTGGTCTGGGCAATGATTTTTTTGAAGATGACCCCAAAAGCACAGGCAACTAAAGCAAAAATAGACAAACAGAATTACATCAAACTGTAAATCTTCTGTACAGCAAAGAAAACAATCAACAGAGTGAAGAGAAAAGCTAGCAAGTTGGAGAAAATATATGCAAACCATGCATCTGTTAGGGCGTTAATATCCAAAATATATAAGGAATTCAAACAATTCAGTAGCAATAAAACAACCCAATTTAAAAATGGGCAGAGGACCTGAATAAACATTTATCAAAGAAGAGCTACAAATGGCCAAGTAGATGAAAAAAAGTTCAACATCATTAATCATCAGGGAAATGCAAGTTAAAACCACGATGAGATATCACCCCACACCTGTAAAGATGGCTATTATAAAAAAGATGAAAAATAACAAGTGTTGGCAATGATGTGGAGAAAAAGGAACCTTTGTTGATGGGAATGTAAATTAGTACAGGCATTACGAAAACCAGTACAGAGGTCCTCAAAAAATTAAAAATAGGACTATTTTTAGCAATCTCACTACTGAGTATATGTCCAACAAAAATGAATCAGTATGTTGAAGAGATATCTGTGCTCCCATGTTCACTGCAGCACTATTCACAATTGTTGAGATAAAGAATCATCCTTAGTGTCCATTCATGAATGAATGGTTACTTTAATTTCCTACCATTGCCCTATTCCCTCCATATAGCCTTTGTTTCAGCCTTACTGAGCAATTTATAATTCTCAAACACATCATATTTCTTATTCTACTTAGACTACTTCCCTTCCCTAACACTTCCATCCCTAACCTTTGTTCTCTTAGCTAACTCACACTGACTCAGCCTCCCAAGTGGCTGGGATTACAGGCACCCACCACCATGCCTGGCTAATTTTTGTATTTTTAGCAGAGACGGGGTTTCACCATGTTGGCCACGCTGATCAAGAACTCCTGACCTCAAGTGATCCGCCCATCTCCGCCTCCCAAAGTGCTGGAATTACAGGCATGAGCCATGGCACCCAGCCCACACTGAAAACTTAATGCTAAAGTAATCTGTTTTGGAAAGCCTTCTCTGATCACCTCTTGGTATTTTGTCATTCTTTCACTATTGCCACAGTAAGTGTATATGTGCCTATTATCATCTTTATCACTTTTATATTCTAACACCAATTATAATACCATGCTGACATGCACAATTCTATACAGCATGGTAATAGCATGCATCAGTAAAGGTGCAGTGTGACTGATACCTCTACAAAACACAGAGCTGGGCAGTGCACCAATTTAATGGAGTCTGAAGGAATTTAAGTTCTAGAAAACTAAGGTGCTACCCAAGGTCATTCACCTAATCAATGGCACTTAGGGCACCAAAGTGCAGGCTGCTTGCAGTCATTCATTCATGCATTCAATCTGTAACAAGCAGACTGATGTAGAAATTTACTGGTGCTAAATTTTTGTTCTGGAGACGCAAAGAGGAAAAAAAGAACATTTTCCTCTTCCCTGAAGCGTAATTAGACTTTCTGAATTTCCAAGAAAAAGTCAAAAGACGGCCCCATCCACCTTTTCTTGTGATTAGGGCCTTGGTGCCTGGATACCTGAAAAGAAAAAAGCAAGATGAATTCCTCTGCTTTTGGATAACTAAAGGAGGCTTAAAGATACCCCAAAAGCAGAAGTAATTAGGGGGTTTAAAAAGGGAAGAAAGGGAAGACTTTTATTGCAGCTAGATCCCCATTGTGGGCTGGAAAAGGACAAGGGCTCCTAGTTTCACAAGAGTAGTGTCATGAACTTGTTAGGACATAAGAAGTGGCAGGACTAAAACCATGTCTTGAAATAAAATTACTAAGGGAACGAGAAGATAGAGAAGTCCAAGAACCAAACTCTGGGTATGCCAATGGCTGGAGAAGTGGTGGATGAGCCAATGGAGCTGCCAGTGAGATGGACGAACCAAGAGACAGGGGCCACCTGAAGGCCAACAGAAGAAGATGAATGCTTCAAGATGGCAGCTGTAAGCAAATGCTTCTAATGCTGCTGATAGTTCAGGTGAGATAATGGAAAAGTAACCACTGATTTAGCAATTCTGAGGTCATTGGTGACTTTGCCAAGAGGAGTTTCAATGGAGGGGTAGGGGCAAAAGCCTGGCTGAAATAGATTCAAGAATGAATAGGAGGGCCAAGCATGATAGCTCACATCTATAATCTCGGCACTTTAGGAGGCTGAGGTGGATAGATCACCTGAGGTCAGGAGCTCTAGACCATTCTGGCCAACATGGCGAAACCCCATCTCTATTAAAAATTCAAAAATTAGCTGGGCATGGTGGCACACACCTGCCGTTCCAACTACTTGGGAGGCTTAGGCATGAGAATCACCTGAACCCGGGAGGTGGAGGTTGCAGTGAGCTGAGATTGCGCCACTGCACTCCAACCTGGGCAACAGAGCAAGATTCTATCTCAAAAAAAAAAAAAAAAAAGAGGATGAATAGGAGGAGGGGATGAGGATACAGTTAGTATAAGTGACTCTTTTAAGACATTTTGGAAGAGACCAGAGAACACATTGGTAGCTGATAGGGGACATATAATCAAGGAACTTTTTAAAAGATAGGCAAATGTTGCGCAATGTTAATATGCTTATGGGAATGATCCAAAAATTAATGATACAAAAATTAATAATGTAGGATTGAGAGGTGACAACTACCTGAGTGAAAACCTTGAGACTGTAAGGAAGACAGGATCTAATACAAAGGTGGAAGAGTTGAACTTAAATAAGAGCATGCACAGCTCATTCCCAGTAATGGGAAGGAATAGAGTGCACAGGTACAGATGTAGGTAAACTTGGGAGATGTGGTGATGGGAACTTTAACTCCTGAAATACTAACCTATACTCTCTCAGAGTCTAAATTTTTAGTCTACTGAATTCAGCAATACAGTGAAGTTTAGTAGACCAAATTATCCAAAAGTGTTGAAGGAAACTTATATGTGATGGAGACATTTTTACTTCTTACTTTTAATTTTGACCGCCCTGGGAAAAACTGTTGGACCCATATAAAATTAAAATCTTTAGTGAAACACATTCTTTTATAGGTATATTTTAAAGTTTTAACTTCTGAGATAATATCACAGTTTTCAAAACACTAAGACATGTTTTTATTGTTAGCTAATTGTCAGGCTTCAGCTGAAGCACACCGTAAGGCCTGCATGAACTTCAGCTGTCCATAATGCGTAAAAGACCAAGTGCGCAAGGCAAACAGATCTTGCCATGGTTGCTGATGAAAGAAACTTAATCTCTTGGGGCCTGAGTTGCCTTATCTGTAAAGTAAGGATAATCCTTGCCTTACAGGATTATTGTGAGCTCCAAATAAGATAAACCTCTTGGCACACAATAGGTGCTTAAAAAAAAAATGCCAGCTATCATCACTGAAGTGAGCTTTTTCTGAGAGCAAACCTGTTTAACTCATAAATTTCTTTCATTGATAAGATGTAACCAGTGGAGAAACTTGGGGCAGGCACACGATGCCTCTCTGCACTATCGCTGCAACTTCCTGTTAATGTATACTTACTTTTTCTTCCATTTAGAGCTCTACAAGAAATACCTGTGTACCATTTTGCGTGCCTCCTTCTGAGGCTCAGTGGGCTATGCTCAGAGAATAGAGATAAATGTCTGCCCTATGTAGCAGAAAGGCAGTTATACATTTTAGAATGATGTTTTTCCGAAGAAATGACAAAAGCCAGACGAAACAGACTGACACGGTCACTGTGGTTTGGAATGTTAGTTTTTCTCTTTGGCTTTACTACTTTTGGCTCTACACTGTAGAGGAACCAGTGTCCTCATGAAACAGCCAGTATAAAAGCAAGTAGCTTACTTCACAGGAATAGCTAATAACATTTAATTGTTGAGCATTTAACCAAAACCCACTCAGGTCAATTTAAGTGTAGTGCAGTGGAAGAAATTATTGCACACTGCAAAGTTGTGGTGCATTTTACTTAAATCTACAAAGGCCAACAGAAGTGCAGTGTAATATAATAAATTACTGCAAAATATAATCATAAGGGGAGAAGGTGGCTGTTTTCGAAGCCCTTGGCCCCAAGGTAACTGAGGTCATCCCCCTGAACCCCCCAGCACACATCCTCATTATTTCAGCATTTGTACTACAGGGGGCTACAAGACTTCCGCCCCACAGCAATGGGGTGAAAACGTGAAGTGATCGGAGCCCCCAGATAGAGGGGCCAGCAATAGAAGAAAAGCTGGGGCAGGCTGGAGGAGAGGGGCTGTGGAAAAGGTTGCTCTCAGCATCATACACGCCTTATCCTTCTAGGTCGGGTATCCACAAATTCCCAAAATTTGCGAGAACATAACCCTGGAGAAGGTGGGGGTGACCCACGGAGGAACTCCCTGGAAAAGCGGAGGCGGCCCCAATGGGAGACTCCCGGGGGTCAACTCCGAGGGGAGGGGGCGTCTGCGAGAAAGGGGAGGGGCGGCGGTGGGCAGCCTAGGGAGGAGAGGAGGGGCGAGACGCCGTCGCCAGCCCCCTCCTCTTGTCTGCGCTCCCTTCGTTTCCGTCTCGGCCGGGCACCCGAGCGCATCCCGCCGAGGCCGGGCCGTTTCAGGGGGAGGCGCCAACTCATCGCGGCGCCGGGCCCCTGACCGTGCAGTAACCGCTACCCAGGAGGCGGAGCGGACAAGGCTCCGGCCTGCGAGGAGGTAAGAGGGTGGAGGAGTGGTGTGGGAGGCCGAGGGGGATCGCGGCCGTGACGTGGGATGCTGTCAGGTACCACTGGGGCAGGCCACCCCTCCCCGCCCCTGCGGCCCGACCTCCCCGCCAGAGACAGCTGAGGGGCCCAGGGGACTAGAGCCGCGACCGTGCCACAGGCCTAGGCGTCGTCGCGCATGCGTAAAACTGCTGGCGGGAGTTAAGAGCTAGGTTCCGGGGCTACACCCAGCCCAGGCCGCAGGCAGAGGCGGCCCTGCGCATGCGCAATTCCGCTGGCGTGGGCCCGGTGCGCTGCTCGCGACTACATCCTGCCCAGGCCGCCGGCCCAGGCTGCGCTGCGCATGCGCGAGTCCTCTGGTAGGGGTCGCGTTTGGCGTCGTTCCAGGGTGATCATCTGCTCGGAGGCCGCTCTCATCCTAAGCTCCCACGTCTGGTGTGGCTGGGGGGGCGTCACAGGTCCCGAGGGAGCGTCCTGCCTGAAGTTTCTCCCTCCTAACCCACTCGCTGCACTGCATATGTTGCCGATGTTTTCATTTCTGTGGCCTCGACCCCTAGGCTCCCGTCCCATAAATCTAGTACCCCAGGTCCCGGGCACCGGCCCGGCTCACTAACTCAGTGGCAGTATATGCTTTCGACATTTGGTCCTGATGTCCAGGAATAGCGCGAAAAGTTTGACTTTGTTAGGCGAAGCCGTTTTGGAACTGCGGAGGGATGGGAAGAAATCGCCGAGCGTCTTAAGCCGCAACATAGTGCTCTGCTCAGCCCTGGAAATAGAGGTTTTCAGACATTGAAAACTTTCCAAGTGCTCCGTCTTGGCGGAGAAAGAACTGAGTTGGAAGGCTAATTTAGAATGAACTTTTTGCTTTTGTTCTTTGCAAAAATTACATAAAATGTTGCAACAGTTCGAGACCAGGACTATAACAAAACGCATTTCATGGAGCTACTTTGTACCGCGCTTGGCGACTTACCTTGTCAGAGCTGAATAAAAGTGGTTGAGTTCACAAACAGTGCTCTGGATCGTTGCTCTTTCCCCCAGACACTGTTTAACGTTTATTGAGCCTCCTGGCTTTGCACCTTCCTAGTATTGCGTTCCTGCTGGGTTTTACACCTTACTAGACAGTGGGTCTTAGTTAAGTCAGTTTCGTGACTCCTGGGGCTACTGTGAAGAGTTTCTAACAATGTCATTACTCTGTGCTTTGTAATCTTATATGATGTGCTGATACAGATATTTGGGGGCTGGAATAGAAGAGCCACTTAGGCTCAGAGAATGAGTATTCTAGGTGAAACGTAATCTCTTTATTTCCTGCTAGACAGTACATGCGTGTTATTAAGCAGCAGGTAAAAGCAACAAGAATGATACGTTCTTGCATACCCCACTTCCACCACTCAGGCCTTATTGCTCTTGCTGGGCTCGCCAAGCGGACCCTCATCCCAGGGCGTCTGCGTTTGGTATTTCCAGTATGCTCAATGCTCACTTTCCCACTCTTCGCAAATCTGCATGGCACAGAACTTTATTTAAGTCTTGAAACAATTGCCATCATTTCAGAGAGGTGACTACCTCACCTAAAATGTCTGGCTCTCCAAACTCTTGTACTGCTGGTTCGGCTTTGTAGCACTTAATCACCATCTGATATTATATATTTGTAAGGGTATGATCAATCTATCTCCACCATAATTGAAGCTCAGAAGGTATTTGTTAATTGTAGAAATAAAATTGGAAACTAACTTACTCCAGAGATATTTTTTTACTGAACTCAACCTAGATTCATTCATTTATTCAACAAAAATTGATTTTCTATCACGTCCTGTCCTTGATGCTTGGGATGCATCAATGAACAAAAGAGACAAAGATCCCTTCCCTCTGGAGCTTACATTCTAGCAAAGAATGATAAAAAACATATTTGTATATTAGGTTAGAAAAGTACAAATGCTATGAAAAAATGAAAAAGGAGAACAGAGAAAGGGAATTGGGAGTGCAGGTGTGGGTTGCAATTTTAAACATCATGGGTACGGTGAGTCTGAAGGATAAACCAAAGGTGATGTTTAACATGGGGAACTGGGTTTTAGAAATAAATGTTCTTCTGGGAGAAAACGTTCTTTATCGTGCTCTACAATGTCTTTTATGGGAGCCCACGGCATGACCCTTGTGATAAACGTCACCATTTTTTATAGTATATAGGTGAAAAAACATTTTTTTCCTAAATAAGAGTTCAAATTATTCAGGAGTTTACAGTTTAACTTAGCACATCAAATGAAGACACTGGACTTTTACAAGGAAGAGCTAGCCAGACATCTATGTAAATTGTGCTGAGAAAAACTGTACGTTGTCTCCACAGTTTTTGCAATTGCTTCTAAATGTCCCTCTGACTGTGGATGACTAGTGAAGATCTTTTCTAAGAATGGTCATTGCTTTTCTGTATTTGAAACTGTGTAGGAGAGGAGCTTAAATCACCTGGTGTGATGTTATGCTATAAATGACCTCTCTTACAGGTATCTGAATGAACCAGATAGACCTAACTAAATTTCAATCCATAATTAAAGAAGGCTTAGAGAAAGAGGGTGATGGAGAGGAATAATTTTAGAAAGTAAAGTGTGTTTCCCCTCATGTCCTTTACTTACATAGATTACAAATACTCTGTTCAAACACCAAAATATTATTAATCTAGGACCATAAATGTAAGGAGTCCATGGAATTTGCTTATGCCCTATGAAATTGTCATATTCAAGTTTGGTTTTATCAGTTGGTTAAAGTAAAATTTAAATGCCCCAAGATACTGCTACTGTTGAGGTTTACTTGGATTTAAATTACTACAAATCAGGCCGGGCGCGGTGGCTCACCTGTAATCCCAGCGCTTTGGGGGAGACCAAGGCAGTCAAATGTTCTTGAGCCCAGGAGTTAGAGACCAGCCGGGACAACATGGCAAAACTCTGTCTCTACAGAAAAACGAACAAAAAAAAAATGAGCCAGGCATGGTGGCACACACCTGTAGTTTCAGATACTTGGGAGGCTGTAGTGTGAGGATCACTGGAGCCGGGAAGGTTGAGGCTGCAGTGAGTCATGATCACACCATTGCACTCCAGTCTGGGCAATAGTGTAAGACCCCATCTCATAAATAAATAAATAAATATTGCTACAGATTAAAATTGTCCAGGAAAAGGTAGATTGGAGACCAGGAATTATTGGGGTTACAGAGTGACATTAAGGACTCTTGTTAAAGACTAAAAGAGAGTTCTACTTGGAGATTTTACTTCAAAGGAGTGGATGGCTTGCCTCCTGGTAAGGGATATTGATAATGTCCATCAATGGAAGGCTGAGATGATACTTCCAGCTTTCATTGTCTGGAAGGAACATGTATCTAGTTCACATGGTGATCACATTCTAACAACGTGAAAGTTTCCAGGAAACTTAAACCATAATAATTTTTCAGCATTAATTTGACATTAGAGTGGGTTTCTTTTACGTCTTCAGCCTTGCTAATTGGCCTGAGCTAATATCTCTTATGTATATCTCCCTATGGAAGATGTTTTGAGCTAACAAGTACCAGTAGGAGATAGTATGTGAATAAAACATAAATTTTGACTGCATTATAATATGTCCTGTATTATGCTGCGTGTATGTATGTATATAATACTGAACAAAACCAATCTCAAGTGGAAATGAGCCAAGGCCAAGAGGGCCTGCCATGTTGAAGGAATATATATGCTGTGGGTCAAAGATCTTTAACAATTAGGATCTCTGTAGCAGGCGTGTTAAGATTTTTTTTTGAAAAATTGGATTAAATCTATAAGGACCGAGATTTAAAATGGATTTACAAATGAGATCTCAAATCTCAACTCACATTAGTGCATATAACAACTTAAAAATATTTTTATCATTTATGTTGGTTATTTTTCATATTTGAAAATGACACTTTTGCCGTGTGTGGCTGAAAAGACTGAAGTTGTCAAGCTCAGTAATCTTTTCAATTAAATACCGCTTTGCTTTGTACTGAAGATCTGACTCATCACTCTTGTTGAAATTTGGAAAACTTTTTAAAAAAACAAATAATTAAAATAGCAACAGGGTTTCTGTATTCTACACAACAGTTTTCTGTTTTTCATGAACATATGACAATACCATTTCCTTTGAGGTTGTGTGCTAGTTTTAGTTATGCTTTTAGTGTTTTAGTTTTGTCCGTCCTGTTTATAATTGTTCCATTTTAATTAGCCATGTAGGTATTTTACTGTTACTTGTCATTGATTTTAGACATCTCATTTAAGTGGAGCTAATATTACAGCTAACACTATCCCTTTTTGCAAGTGAAAACTGGGATCATGTTTTATTGTATACGTATTTATATTATTTATAACTTGAAGATGACCCTTAAAAAGCTATTAAAGATACTATCTAATGACTCACCTAAGGATATATTTGGGAACCATCATTATCCTATTGAAATTTATGTGGTCTGCAGCTCATTAACACACCGATGCTGTAAACTGCATGCTGGTACCCTAAAAGATATCGATATTATTTAATTTCCTGTTTCTTTTGATTATAAAAGCATCATCAAATGTGTTACCCACCCAGATGGGATAATTTTAAGCATAGAGTTCTATATTGAGAGAATTCTAAAAATATCAGTGTGTTTCTCAAGCATAGCTTTAGAGTTGATCTCATTAAGTTGAATTTTAAAATATGTAATACTGGGACTTCTCTGCAGGAATTGCTATTTTTTTTCACCCCTTCTTCTGTAATCACTTCTAAAGAAGAATTATTAGCATTTAGAAGCCCCTGATTAACTGCAAAATGTCAGCATTTAAAACCTACCATTGGGTTGGGGTAATGTGGACAGAAGTCCCTAAGAGAGCTGGATATTGTTTTGCTCTACGTTATTCTGTTTGCTCTCATGTATTTGCTTTCAATTCAGTGCCTACTGCAGGCACTGAATTAATATTTGTTGAATGAATTAGGCAAATGAACCTATGTCCCATAATCAGCTTAACTCATTTTTTAGGTCAGAGGTATTACCGAGTAATATAACACATTGTGTAGCAGATACACTGATTAATACTGATTACTTTGCCACAAATAATATGTACAGACTGCCTGTTATATCTTTTGTACAGGCAAATGAATTATTTGACTTTATGTGAGGATTAAGAATGAATGTGTTTATCACATTATCAAAAGAGTGTCCCCTTGTTCAGTAGTCTTCAACTGTGTAGTTTTTAAAAGTGTAGAGAAAACTCTCAACATAGAATATATAGAAATAAGGAGTTATCTGCCCCAAACAGGGATACTTTAAAAATAAATTAGTGAACCGTACAATTAGGAAAACAGCTGAAATAGGAAATGTCATGTGACAGATTACCTTACTTGATATATATTTGGCTTTGAAACATTACTTTTGTACAGACTTGAACTACTGGCCACCGAGTGTCCCATTTGGAACCTTTAAAGACAGAGATCAGTGGCAGGAACTTCTGCGTGGAGAGGTTACTTATCATTCCATTTTCTATTTATATTGCAAGGCAAACATTAGTATAATAAGATTCTGTAAAAACAGTTTTAGGTTACATTTTAATAAAATGAGGAAATAACATAGGAGACTGTTTTGCAAAGAACAAAGCACCTTTTAATATAAATATATATCATATATATATATCATATATAAATATATATCATATATATATATATCATATATATATATATATGAGCCAAGTCATATATCCCAAAACAAACATATAAGGGAAAAACTAATAAAGTAACACATAGTAAGATAGTAAGATAATATTACTGTCATCCTATAGTAAGATGATATGAGATGATCTTATGCTGTAACACTGTCACTATGAAGAAAATCTTCCCAATACTGTTGCCAGCTTCTGCCTTGGCTCTACAAGAAACATTGCCCTCCTATGCAGAAAAGGGGGGACATTTGTAAGCAGATTTAGACCATAAGTAGAAAGCACATTTTTGCCATTTTAATACACTGATATTAAACATTTTTTTAACTATTTTGGATTTTTCTTACAGGTACAATAGTATAAATGCTACTCATTGGATATGTTATTTAATCCTCCTATTTAAAAAAAATCTATTTATTATTATTATTTTTTGAGATGGAGTCTCACTCTGTCACCCAGGCTGGAGTGCAGTGGTGTGATCTTGGATCACTGTAACCTCTGCCTCCCAAGTTCAAGTGATTCTCTTGCCTCAGCCTCCCAAGTAGCTGGGACTACAGGTACACACTCTTACGCCTGGCTAATTTTTGTATTTTTAGTAGGGATGGGGTTTCACCATGTTGGCCAGGCTGGTCTCCAAACTTCTGACCTCAATTAATCCTCCCATCTCTGCCTCCCAAAATGTTGAGATTACAGGCATGAGCCACCGCGCCCAGGCTATTTTTATTTTCTTAGAGACAGAGTCTTGCTCTGTTGCTTAGGCTAATGTGCAGTGGTGCGATCATAGCTCATTAAAAAAATTATTTATTTTTTATTTTTTGAGATAAGATCTTTGTCACCCGGGCTGAGTGCAGTGGTGTGATCATGGTTCACCGCAGCCTCCACATCCTGGGTTCAAGCGATCCACCTATCTTAGCCTCCCAAGTAGCTGGGACTACAGGCGTGTACTACCACGTGTAGCTAATTTTTAAGTTTTCTGTAGAGACGGTGTCTTCCTATGTTGCCCAGGCTAGTCTCAAACTTTTGGGGGCCTCAAGCGATCCTCAAAGTGCTGGGATTACAGGTGTGAGCCACCATGCCTGGCCTTCCTAGGGTATTGATTCAATTTTATTTTACAGATGGCTAAAGAAATTATAGTTTATGAGTTTTCATTACCAAACGTTTATTGAATTTCCATGTCCTTGGTAAAGGCAAAATTAGAATGATAGCATTCTCATTTTAAGAGTTTATTTTCTTTAACATTGGGTAACCTTAATCTCTCCATCCTGAGATGATTAATTTAAGCTTAAAATCTTGAAAACCATCTTGTCAGATGGAAAAGCTGTAGCATACCAATTCATTGACAGAGTTACATGGGACCTTTTATCTTTGGTATTCCCTCCACCAAAACTTCCCCACGAAAAAATTCCCATCAAAGTCTAGCCATGCATATGTTGGTATCCATAACACATTAAAATAGTACTGTCTTCTGCATGTTTTAAAATGTTATCAAATATCAAATGTTATCAAATGATACCATATGTATCATTTTGTGACTTAGTGATTTTGGTGAACATTGTTTTGTAGATATACCTGTTTTGATTCTAGATAATTTATTTTAATAGCTATATAGTATGCATATGCCACAGTTTATTGGTTTTGTTGATCAATTTGTTCTTTCTTGCTTTTTGCTATTGGGAATATTTGTGTGTATGCTCTAGAGTTTATCTAGGGCAGTGTTGCTAAAATTGCAGGACTTGTTAGTGATCTGGAAATTAGTGGGCTGAGATCAGCATTTTCTTTTAAAATGAAATTGAACAAGATAAAATAGGATAGAGTAGGGTAGAATAAAATAGCATAAAGTAGAAAAATGGAAAAGATATCAAGCATCTCATGTAGGAGGAGTAAGAATTATTTTGTGAAATTTCAGTTATATATACATATATAACTGAATATATATATATATATATATATATATATATATATATATATATATATCATGAATCCTTTGCTCACTTTTGAATTGTGTCGTTTGTTTTATTCTTACTGATTTGCAGGCATTCTTTATATATTTTGTGTATGGATCCTTTCCAAGCTGTCCATTATGCATGTTACAAATATCTTCCCCCATTCTGTGGCATATTTTTCCTTTTGTTCAAGTTTACTGCTCTTTTCTTTGTGTTTTATGCTTTCCTGTCTTATGTATGAAATCTTTAACTGCTCTGAGGTCATAAATATATTTCTATACTTCTAAAAGTTTGAAAGTTTTGCTTTTTTTTACATTTCCACATGGATTCTCTTTTATTTTCCATATGGAAATACTATAGATTAAATTCTCCTTAGTGTGCATTTTTTCATGTGTTTCAGTGTCCAAATTGTTGAAACCCTCTCCTGAAGCTTATAAAGTATGATATTCTAAAGTTACATTTTATAACTTTAGTATTTTTATAATAGAGCATCTCTGCTGCTGACTTTTTAATAGTAGATAGCACAGATACAATTTTTAAGCTGTATTTTTCTCAGATAAAGAATGGATTGTTAAATGTGCAAGACAGTATATTCTTTTCCTTCTGTTTTTCTCTAATAGAATTTATTTGTGTATTTATATTTCCAGTCACATTAACTTTGCTCTAGAAGACAACTTTACAAGGATCTAAAAGGAACAGGATTAAAGATGACTGAATACTGGGTTCCAGAAATTTAAAACAATCAGGTACAAAAGTTTTTGGAGGGAATGCTCCCAGCCAGTCAGTATAAAATAGAACTGTTGAGAATGTACACAAGAAAAACTTAAAGTATCTAGCCCTGAAATACAGTGGAGGGTCCCAAAACAAGGGCTTTGGAATAGTCCTGGTTCAAATACTGGCTCTGACACTGATTGGTTGGTGACTATTGGTCACGTTACTGAAATGTGTGAATAAAATGGAGGCAATGATTAACCTGTTTCATTTGGATATTATAAAGATTAAATAAGGTGAGGCACTTAGTGCCTGGCACAGAATAACTTTATTTTTACTGTTGTTATTGCTGTTGTTATTTAGAATACATTTTATCACATCATGGATATGGCTTTCTGTATGTATATTGTGAATTGTTATTTTAAGTATATATATCAACATATTGTTAATAGCCTGGTGAAATCACATGGATAACAGGGTAAGGTAATCTCCACGTGTAGTGCACAAACTATACATGCAAATTGGGGATGATAGTTTTCTTTATTATGTATGCATCACATTGAAATAATGTAAAAAAAAAAGCCAACCATCTCCCACAATGCTAAAAAATTCAAAACACTTTTTAATAGTATTATACAATAGTAATTAATCTTGATTTATTTTTAAATCTTGAAGGACTTTCTGATTGACAAATATGAAATTATGTTAATCTTACATTTCATTCAATTTGAATCCTGCATGTCATTTCTTTGAATGTGGTAATTTCCATGACATACATACAATTATGTCTTAACCTGATGTCAGATAAACAGAATGGCCTGTTTTCCTACCATTCTAATTTTAAAGAGTTTAATTTTACTTGAAATTGATAAAAGACACTGAAAAGAGGTTATTTCCTACTCAAAAGCCCAGGATCGGTTTTTCATGATTTTAGCACATTAGGAAGATTTCCCTTCTGCTAGGAACGAAAGGGGGCCTAGGGTAGTGCAGTGAGGGGCAGTCACATCTCTACTTGGTCCCTTCTTTTTTCTCTTCTCTCCCTCTTTCTTCTCCTCTCCTTTTATTTTTTATTCCAGTAAACTTGGGGCAAATATGGAAAAAGTGTTTCCTGATAGGGTGAGGCAGAAGGAGAGGGAACTTTGGTTACAGGCCAGTTCCAGTATACAAAAAGCTGGGTTCTAAGGATGCTTTGTATGAATACGTTGCGTTTTACTCTGAGCCATGGGCTGTGGGTTATAGCAATGAAGGAATCGTCTGCCCTTTTGAAGAACTTACCAATTAATAGAGAAGGTACATCATACAAGAATAACTGTCATATGAGGCAGAATTTGAAAAATGCCTTCAATGTAGTTAAAAACAAAACAAAAAGTGCTGTGGAAATACAGAGAAGAGGTCCCAGCCCATTTGGGTAATCAGGATCCACATTGATGTAAATCTCAGTGGCAGTCATGCTGGGTCTTAGAGAAAATTAGGATTTTAACAGATCTGCTAAGATGCCATAGATAATATGTAGTAAGTATTAATTAAAATGACAGAATATCTTTCCATATTGTCAATCAGATCGGTTTATAAATTTTTAAGTGAGAAACTTCTAAGTAATCTTCTAAAAAGCAAGCATATCTTTTTTACTTGTTTCCAAATGTTAGAAAGTAATACTTTGCTATTAATTTTCATAATTTTAAGTTATAATAATTCTGAATAAATTATGATTTCTCGTATTCTGAGAGATCTTTTTATAGCTGAGGAAAAAAATTACTAATATCCTCAAGGGCATAGAAAACATTGATAAGGAACACTGTTTAGACTTGGCTGTATTTTGATTATTGTTTTTATCTGTCTATTATGAGGCTCTCACTCTACTGTAGAAAATACCAGATAAAATGTTCTGATGTTAGTACCTGAAATAATAGATTGTATTTAAGTAAATAGACCCTACCTCGTCAATTAGAAAAAGCAACATCATTAAATACAGCCTTATTAAATTGCTTTTTGGAGGAGAGAGAATATTTTATTTTTATTTATTTTTAATGATGAAATCGTTAACTACATAATGATTAAACCACAGTCCAGACATATTGCATAGCTTCTGCTAGAGCTGCTCCTGCTGTTACTTTTACCTGGTAGAAAGTAGGTGATGTGGGCATGGTTATTAAGGCAAGAACATTTAGTGCATTGCTACATATTTGATGGCTGTTGTTTCAGATTTTTCATTAAGTCCAGAATAACAAAGCCACATTCATTCATTCATTTTTTTCATCATTTTCATTCATTTCTCCTTTTTTTTTTCCAGCTTAGCAAATCATATATTCTTCTGTGGAGCTGAGAATTGATGTCCGCTCTTCCCCGTGATTTGGAACTTTCCAATCCCAGAGAAAAGTTGACAAAGGTCTAAAATTTATTTTTCCTTATCACAGGAAGTCAACTCTGAAATGAAAATTTTCTACTGATTTCCTTTATAGAGTTAAGGACCCATGTGAATTTTGAGACTACTTTTTCAGACCTCAGCAGGAAGATTCCCGTAAGAGGCCATCCAGTAGTTCCAGAACAGTTAAAACATTTTTGGAGTTTTATAGCTGTTCATTCCCATGCCTAAAGCTTAATTCCTTTATCTTCCTTTCACAACATTTGAGCTTAGCTTATTTTCCCTGCTAATTAGAAGTAAAGTAATTTTAACCTGCCTGGTTCCATCGAACATAAGGGATCCTGATTTTACCACATACTTTTTCCTCAGGGACTGCCCAGGACTGAGTCCATATGGAAGAAGAACTTCCTCTTTTCTCTGGAGACAGTGGCAAGGTTAGAAAAAAATCATGCCCTTGGAGCATGTGTGTTCTGTTGCATGAAACATACTTCATGAAGCACCTATTGGTCACCGATAGGAAAATCAATGAGATACTATCTATCTTTGAGGGGCTCACAGTGTAATCACTGAGATGCCAACAGATAATCGTTGTGGGTATGGAGAATGCTGAAGGGGCCAGCAGGAAACTGATATACCTCAGGTTAAGAGAAAGGGCTCCCAGCGATGGTGACAGTGACAGATGAGGCGCAAAGGCCATCCCCTGCATTCAGACAGTGCTGGCCTGCAAGAGGCTATGAGTTGATCAATGTTTATCCCATTCCCAGAGATTTTTAAAATTATAAACTGTCTGATCTTAGATGATATGTTCTCAATTCATCATAGACATTCTTTAATTTCTTTCTTCATCACATCTGAACATGACAGTCAACCAACTTATGTCTACTCAGTGTCCAGTTGTTGTTAAAAGCCTCACATCTTCCTGCACGCATATTGATTTCCATCTTGTGTTATTTTGTTAAATTTACATAATATCTGCTTATTGCTATTAACAGCTTAATATTAACTCACTATTATTTAATAAAATCAGGTCAAAATTCAATAAAACTGTAAATAATTATGCAAAGCCAGCATTGTATACAAAGATGGCAAAGCTTTTGAAACTAAACTGTAGCATTACCGTGTGCAGACTTAAGTGTTCATTTGTGAGCCCTTGTAGGAAAGTCCAAAAGTAGTTTACAAAAGTAATGTATAGAACTCGAGAGTCCTACAAAAATGTTAACAGAAAAATTCCTAATTTTTCCTAGGAACAGCTTTCATAAAATAAAGAATAGTTTCACAGAATCAGCAATGAAATTACTATATTATTACTACATAGTGATTGAACATATACAAATATATATACAAAGTGTTATAATGAATGAATATGATATAATGAATACTACATAGTGAATATATTTATAAGATATAATGAATATAATGAATATATATGAAGTGTTATAATGCTAGGAAGTACTCAAAAGTTGAGGTGTTGGCATTTTTTCTTAACTCTTTTTTGCTAGGTATGCCTAACGTAATTTTGATTCTCTTTAAATATACTGTATTTTAAATTGAATTGCAACAACTTGATAGCTGTCTGTAATTAAGTGAAGTTTGGTTATACACTCGATTCTTCATATTGCTGGAGAAGCATAGTTATACAGGTATCACACACTCAAAGGAATAATAAAGTGCAATTTGGTCTCTAATTTTGTGGCAGATGTATTTCCTTAATTATGTTTTCCTTGAGCTAATATTAAAATTTCACTACTTGACATTTCTCAAACAGATGCCAGGTCT
Source organism: Homo sapiens (assembly GCF_000001405.40). NCBI lineage: Eukaryota > Metazoa > Chordata > Mammalia > Primates > Hominidae > Homo > Homo sapiens. The sequence continues at coordinate 48,520,555 of NC_000013.11, read as the reverse complement.
TGAAGGAAGGGGAGGTGGACTAGATGTGAGAAAAGTAGTAAAAGAAAGCCAGTCTGGGTTAATTATCACCTGCAGTAGTGTTATTTGCAGTAAGGAAGGTTACCTGTGCCAAACCAGGACTGAATTCTAGGGACACCATATTGCCATGCTCTCATTCCTTAGTAGTGCTTTTTTCCCCATACAGATTTTTCTCTTGACCATACTTGGCTCTTGCTCAGCCAGTTTCTTACTTGACAGTTGGGCACGGAGTTGATTGGGTCATTCTGCAGAGACAGCTGCTGTCATGCAGAATGGCTGCAGATAGATTGAGGCTCCTATGGGGGACTATTGTGTGAATCCTACATTGTTTCATGAGTGTGCTGGACAGAAGAATGTATATTGCTTCTGTGAACAAAGATGCTGTAATTCCTTGAGACTGACACAGGTAGAGTATCCCTTATCCGAAATGCTTGGGACCAGAAGTGTTTGGATTTCAGATTTTTTTTTTAATTTTTGAATATTTGCATTATACTTACCAGTTGAGTATCTTTAATCTGAAAACCTGAAATCTGAAATGCTCTAATGAACATTTCCTTTGAGCAGGACCTTTGAACATCATAATTGGTGCTCAAAAAGTTTTGGGTTTTGGATTCAGATTTTTGAATTAGGGATGCTCAGCCTGTATTAAATATGTACTTCAAAAAATGCAAATACATGCATTTTATAAATTTAGTCATCAGTTCCCTATGTAATAGTTGCCCTAACAAACTTAAAAATTGAGTCTTTGATGACTAACTTCCAACAGCCAGCCTTCTGCCAGAAATTAAAAGCAATGTATTCACATCTCTGTTGTACTTAGGTTATATTGTAATTATTTGTTTTCTATTAAATTGTGACCTCCTTGAAGAGAATGATCATGTCTTATTTTTGTACCTTAGTCAATGATACTATCAGATCCCACATTCTCTTGACTTGTAGCATCATTTCATAAAACTTACAGACTGGAGGTTTCATTAAAGAAAACACACGCATTGGAATCCCAGTAGCCAGTAGAGTTACGGGCTGGGTACCATAGGTTTTTATACAGGTGGGCCAGGAAGAAAGCCTAGAACTAATCATTTGTAGACAGGTATGTAAGAGCTGGCTGGAATTTACAGCCTGATTCTAGACATCCAGAAAACCACTTGATTTTATAGCAGAGCAGGACGAAATATAAAACTCTGCTTGCAAGGGAAAAATGAAATAGCCGTCAGTCATTGTATCTTTCCATGTGTGCTGTTTGTGGAAGACAACCCACAGTAGGTATTATTGCCTGTTCCTTAAGGAGTCTGAGAATAGCCAAAGCCCTGCAGATGCAAGCAAACACTAGGTCTACCAGCAGTATCACAGTTTATGTAAACTTTTTACTCAACAATCAGATGATATGTGGAAAGAACTCTGGGCTTTAATCTGGCTCATCCACTGAGAAGCTAGTGATCTTGAAAGATTACTTAGTCTCCCTGTGCCCCAGTTTCCTCATAGGTAACATGAGGATAATAATATCTATGTCCTACAATTGTTGTGAAGATCAGAAATAAGATATAAGATATAGACATTATTAGATTATTAACATCTACATTAAATACTTGTTCCACTTCCTAAACCTTGTTCTTTTGGAAATTTACAGACTTAAAATAGGAAAAAAATTAAAAACGAAGGCCTCATAGAAAATAAGATTTCTTCATGATATTGGGTGGTGGGGTAATTTAAAGTAGAAGCTTAACTAAAAGCTAACGTAACAAAATTCCATCCTTAGCTCTATTGTGGCCTTGGGCAAGTTGCTCTTTTTTCAGTAAACCAAGTGTCATAGAGAAGAAATACAAATTTTAAATAAAGATTCTTGGATTCCTCAATTAATGTAACATCACCATAGAACACTGTGTTCCTAAAATTATATATATAATAAAATTGGGGACATAGTTTTACACTTGCATATAACTGGAACTTCTTACATATGTGAGATTTTTTTTTGAATTCCAAATTCCAAATTAAGGTTGTCCTGTAGGAAATGCCTGTGGATTTTCCTACCTCTAAGAGGTAAATATATATATATATATATATATATTTTTTTTTTTTTTTGCAAAGTACTCTGTAATTAAAGTAAATGCAGAAACAGTAAGCACTGTTTCAAAAGTGAATGGGAGAACCAACTGTTGGTGTTGCCCAAAAGATAACAGAAGGTGTCCTTTTTAGGGCAAGGTCTTATGATCCAAGTGGCACGTGAGGGAACATGACTAGATTTGGCATCAGGAGAGCTTAGCCCTGGTACAGGCTCTGCCATTAACTCACAGGGTGATGCTGATAGCAGGGACAAGCTGCTTGTCTTCTCTGTTAGTTTCTTTGTGCTGCTGTAACAAATGACTACAATTCAAACAACAGAAATTTCTTTTCTCACAGTTCTGGAGGCTAGAAGTCTGAAATCAAGGCATCATCAGGGCAATGCTCCCTTGATATCTCTCAGGAAGAATCTTCTCAGCTTCTGGTGGTGGCCCCCAGCAATCCTTGCTGCTCCTTGACTTCCAGATGCATTACTGCAGTCCCTGTGTCTGTTGTCATCTGGCCTTCTTCCCTGTGCATCACTGTGTGCCCTCTCGTCTTCTTTTAAGGAGACTAGTCATTGGACGTAGGGTCCACTCTAATCCAGTATGACTCCATCTTAACTCATTACATCTGCAAAGACCCTATTTCCAAACAAAATCACCTTCTGAGGTTCTAGGTGGATTTGGACTTTGGGGGGAAGCCATTCAACCCACTGCAGCTCCTCTCTGGGGTTTCTTCGGGTTTCTCAGAAAACTATCTTTTGAGCTCTTTTTAGCTACAGCATTCAATAGTGCCATGAAGATTATTCAGAAAAGATAGAAACCTGAAAACAAAGCTTTATTTACAAGAAAAAAGCTGGTGGCTCTGCTTGTTTTTGCTTTAGGTCCAGTGGCCATTGGGACAGCTGCTCCGTGCATCCTAGCTTCCCTTTACTGACTGCAAACTTTACTTTGGATACAAGTTAATACTGTTGGCCGTGATCAGAAGGAAACTTAAAAGTTTGAGGACTTAGTAACAAAGTTGTGTTTGATGATATGGCTCAGGTGAAGTAGAAATGGAGAGCTTGGAGCCGAGAGCAGGGATTTGGGGCCCAGTTTTCGGAATGGCTTCCGTGTGAAGGAGTTACAGAGGATGAGATGGAAAGGAGGGCTGTGAATCTGGAAATGAGTCACAGCCATTCATTTACTTGTTCATTAACCAACACAAAGGTAGGTATTGCATTGTTAGCTCCTTTCAAGGGATGGATGACATGGTGGTGAAAGACTCGGTCTCTGTCCTCCTGAAGTGTACTCAGGAGTCTGTGAAGGTGGCCCCAGAGAAATTCATGGTAATGAGGACAGGGGAGGCTTACTAAGTTAATAGTGTGGACTTGAGAAGAGCAGAGTTGCTGACTTGTGCTCTCCTAAGGTGGAAGGGACAAGTAGGTGTTCAGATCTGTAGAAGGTAAGTGGATAGTCCACTCAGTTATACACCAGACCACATTCCCGGTAAGGTTGATTTAATAACTGATGGGAAAGAGAGGCCTTAGAAAATCTTTGTTGCTTTAAATAATGTGTAAGTTTGTTGATGCTGTGGGAAATAGCAGACATGCCATTTGATAGACATATTGGCTGTTTATGTATCTTATTATAACCTACAAAATGTTGGCAAGTTGAAAAGTATATCAATAAAAATGCCTCCTAAGTAGCAAATAGGTAAAACTCTTTCAAACAAATTTATAACTTCCTCTTATAGGAGTGTGGGTGCTCGTGATCTTAATGTATGCTGTTAGGGGGTTAATTGTGACCCTGCAACATTTATGTGTTGAAGTACAGCCAGTACCTCACAGTGCAACTTATTTGGAAATGGGGTCAATGCAGATGTGGTTAGTTAAGATGAGGTCATTAGGGTGGACCTTAATCCAATATAATTGGTGTCCTTATAAAAAGGGGAAATTTAGATGCAGAGATATGCAGGGCATGGGGGGAGATGATGTGAACAGACATAGGGAGAAGACAGCCATCCACAAGCTGAGAAGCACAGCCTGGAAGAGATCCTTCCCTCACAGCCCTCAGAAGGAGCTAGCTAGCTGATACCTTGAGTTTGGACTTCCAGTTTCCAGAACCATAAGACAGTAAATTTCTGTTGGTTAAGCCACCTCGTTTGTCACTACTTTGTTACGGCTGCCTTAACAAACAAGTACACGTGTTTTCTGGGTGTTAATTCCTGTCAACCCCCAAACTTCCTTGAGGGATGAGGAAACCCACCAATTCCTTAAACTGAAGGCCAAGTAAAGCTTGCCCATGAACTAAAACTTCGGACCATTTCCTTGGTGTCACTTTCAGCGTTGTTCTTTACCAAGCATTGTTCTTGACTTAGAGAGCAGATGACATGGCAGCTCTCTCTCTCTCTCTCTCTCTCTGTCTCTCTTGCTTTTACAACCAGCCTAGTTTCCACAGCTACTTTTAAGACATAGCCAATATTTAAAGTATCTGCTGAACATTCAGTTCCCAGAAGCCCAGCTTTGGATGACTCCTGTGTCCTTGAGGACAATGAGTAGGGGAGACCTGGTTCCATCCGGGCCTCCGCTGCTCGATGGCTGTGAGCCGCCCAAAAGCAGCTGGCAGAGGCAATCCCTGCAGCTGCGAGAGGCCTCTCAAAAATGGATGCAGTGTGTTCCTCCCAAAACCAGTGTTCGCCCTCTTCTACAGAACTGAAGGGGCAGAGAAAATTCACTTTTTAATTTGTCATTTCAACATATATTTTTTCCTTTTCAGCCAGTACAGGCTACTCTGTCATCTTTGAAGATGTTAGATGTGGGAAAGTGGCCAATTTTTTCCCTTTGTTCTGAAGAAGAACTACAGTTAATTCGTCAGGCTTGTGTCTTTGGCAGTGCTGGCAATGAAGTTTTATACACTACAGTAAATGATGAGGTAATTTTGAAGAAAATAAATCAGCTACTCACATTTTTAGAAATGGATTTGCCAAATTGAAGATCTTGGGGGAACTAAGGAATAAAAGGTTAAAAAAAAAAGCATGGAAATTAGGTTTTATTTATTATATAAAGAAGCAGTTTGCTTAAGGAAGATGATTCCTGTTTGGATGTAATTTATAGATTTGTTAGAAATAGAACTGCTTGAACTAACAGTGGTTTTTCCCATAGATTTTTGTGCTTGGCACAAACTGCTGTGGCTGTTTGGGGTTAGGTGACGTCCAGAGCACCATTGAACCTCGGAGACTGGATTCTTTAAATGGCAAAAAAATAGCCTGCCTCAGCTATGGGAGTGGTCCACATATTGTCCTTGCAACAACAGGTAACCTAGGAACCCCATGTAGAATTTCAGCTTTATTCGCAGCTGCCCTTGAGAACATTGTTTAATTGGTTGAGAGTTGCTAGCTCTTCCTGTGAAATTGACTATGTTTTGGATACCATAAAACATGAATGTATCTGAATGCCAGCATAAGGTGATGTGGCAGATGGAATCTAGGAATCATTGGCATTTTAGATGTATGAATGACAACGCTGTAAGCCCAGTAAACACTGACGAACTGATTGTGGACTTTGGCAAGTCTGTCTGAACTTTGGATTCTTGATCTATGAATTGAAAGACTAAACCTTGTGTCCAACATCCCCCCGCCAACTCTTAGCATTCTGTGATTCTTACACTAAAGAGTGACTGATGGCTGTAGTTGGCATTAGTAGTAGGGATTAGCCACTTCATAAGGGATTGACTAGAAAAATTCCTTGCTCTGAGTGAAGCAAGGAGGAAAAAAGGAAGAAAATAAATAAAACTTCTCCCCAAAAGGTTGTAACCATGGATTTGTAGTTTAATTCACATCAAGACTGAACGGTCCAAGAAATCTCAACCCTTGAATTTATTCAAGGTACTGGATGGCAAGTGCCTTAAGGGCATGATAGAAGTTAATGCAGATCCTTTCTAGGGGAAGGCACCTTTATCCTAGGCCTGAGAGAATTAACCAAAATAATTGTTCAGTGGCAATAGGCAGCACATAGTCAGAGATAACCAGATATACAGTAGTCTCCCGTTATCCTTGGTTTTACTTTCTCAAGTTTCAGTTACCTGCAGTTGACTGTGGTCTGAAAGTATAAATGTAAAATTTCCAAAATAAACAATTCATAAGTTTTAAATTGTGTGCCATTCTGAGTAGGGTGATATTTCACCATCTTGCTCCATCCCAGCTGGGACATGAACCATCCCTTTGTCCAGCATCTCTGCCATAGACACTCCCACCCGTTAGTTACTTAGTAGCTGTCTCAGTTATTAGATTGACTCTCTTGGTTTCATAGTGCTTGTGTTCAAGTCACCCTTATTTTACTTAATAATGGCCCCAAAGTGCAAGAGTAGTGATGCTTGCAATTTGGATATGCCAAAGAGAAACCATACGGTTCTTGCTTTAAATGAAAAATGGAGAGTTTCCATGCTGAGGTTGTTAAGATTTATGGTAAGAACAAATCTTCTATCTGTGACATTGTGAACAGTACATTTTGTAATTGTTCTCTTTGATTATTAGTTATTGTTGTTAATCTCTTACTATGCCTAACTTACAAATTAAACTTTATCATAAGTATATACGTATAGGGAAAAACAGTATATACAGGTTCAGTACGAGAGTCTTAGAATGTATCTCCTGCAGATAAGGGGGGCTTGCTATGCAAGGAAACAAGGTACCATGAATGGGAACCAGAAGAAACAACAGACAGCAAGAACGGATTACTAAATATCAGGCATTAAAATTATCAGACACCAATTATAAGACAGCTGTATTTATTATTTGAAGAAATTAAAATGAGCTTGAAAATAATCTGCAGGGATTATAGAAGATTTGAAAAGATCCAAATGAACAATATGATTATCAATATGAAAATTCAGTGGACAAATTTTGTAGCAGTTTGAACACAGCAAATTAGTAAAATTAGTAAACCAGAAGATAAATGAGAAGTCACTATTCAGAATATAACACTAAGAGACAACATGCTGGAAAATACAGATGAAATGAGTACAAACTGTATGATTCCATTTATTTAAATTTCAAAAACAGGAAAAACTAAACATTTGTATGCAAGATGCATATGTGAGGGCCTTTTGGGGGGTGATTATAAGGTTATATTTCTTGACTTAAGTAGTAGTACATGGGTGTGTGCTTTCTAATTTGTAAAACTGTACATATATGTTTTATTAACTTTTCTGTATATTATGCTACCCAATAAATAATAACAAAGATTTTTAAAAATCAACTTGGTGATTATTTTAAAGATAAGGAAATTAAGACCTAGGGGAGTTAAGTGGCCTTCTAATATTTGACTTCATTCTAATGTTTTTGCTATTACTCCCAGCAGCCTTTTCTCTGCTCTTTATTAAAAACTTATTTTCCAGTTATTATAACTGCATGCATTTAAATTTCACCTTGTTGCTTTGAGGTAGAATGCAGTTTATACTTTCCAAATAGATTCTTTTGTAGAATGACTTTGGTGGAATGGGGAAGTTGATTAGCTTTTTGCACCTGAATTTTTAGATTTCATTTGTGGAAGCTGTGCTACATATATTTTCGTATAATGAAGTAGATGTTGTAAAAAACTGATTGTCTTTCTTTTTATTTTCAGAAGGAGAAGTCTTTACCTGGGGTCATAATGCTTATAGCCAGCTGGGCAATGGGACAACTAATCATGGTTTAGTGCCCTGTCATATCTCTACTAATCTGTCAAACAAACAAGTCATTGAAGTTGCCTGTGGGTCTTACCATTCTTTGGTGCTAACATCTGATGGAGAGGTGAGAACAGTCAGCATAAAGCTCATTGATTTTTTTCAATAAGATTATGTAGACTTCTATAGTAGTCCTGGAAATACAATCATTTGATTAAAATAACCACCTCCCTCAAATTCAGCCTTATTTTTGGTAGCAATTCACAGTCAGGGTGTTGATGTTGTGACATTTACCTGTACGTAGTAAGGTCTTCCATAATTGCAAAATTTAAAAGGAGGTATTGTTCCTTCTCTGTTGCTGTAGTAAAGAGGTTATTTGCAATAAGAAAAATCCCCAAATGCTGGAAAAGATGGCTGGGGCAAAGTAGATACTTTTGTGTTACATTTTATTTAATAGTAATTATTACTGTTTGTATAGATAACACCAATAACCTAATTGTATAAAATCATGTACATTGTATAAGAATGCATTTTATAAACACTTCTCTGCCTGTGTTGTGAGGATTTATGAATGTGAAGCACTTTGAGAGGAAAGACTCGGTGCCACAAGTACATGTCAGTGTCCAGTTGAGACAGTTTATAAATTAATCTGTTTCATTTACTGATCTTTCCTTTAAACAGGTATTTGCCTGGGGTTATAATAACTCTGGGCAGGTAGGATCTGGATCAACAGTTAATCAGCCAATCCCTCGAAGAGTCACTGGCTGCCTACAAAATAAAGTAGTTGTGACCATAGCATGTGGGCAGATGTGCTGCATGGCAGTAGTAGACACGGGGGAGGTAAGGAAGTTATTTTACATCTTGTTTAAAAACCGTGTTTGCCACATCAGTCTCATGCCAGTATGGTATGTCCCACATAACAGACAGCTTGCTGGCCATTTGTCTCTTGAGAGGATTGAGGGTCTCATTTTCTCTCAGGTCTATGTCTGGGGTTACAACGGAAACGGGCAGCTTGGACTCGGCAACAGTGGCAACCAGCCAACCCCTTGCAGAGTGGCAGCTTTGCAAGGCATCCGTGTCCAGAGGGTACGTCCACTGTCAGTTTGTGTGCGTGTATTTTTAAGTCTTCGCTGGCAAAGATATCAATGTATTAAAAACATAGATTTGTTGGCAGGATGAAAAGTTTAGCTGCTTGGATGTCTTCATTAAAGTAAAGGTTAAGTCTCTTTTTCCTTGAATTAAATTGCAGCTGTTCAGAAAATTTCTCTTCCAGGGCACTGTCACATACCTTTTGGAATATAAATTGTTACAAGCTTTCCTGAGGAAGCTTAAAAGCTTTTATACCCTTTGACCTGTAGTTCTACTCCTAGGGAATTTCCCTGAGGAACCAACAATTCCTGTAACTGTCTTACAGAATTAGTTAAGAAGATACATATACATATAAAAAGAGGATAACTTTAATAAAAAAAATAGGTGTAACAGAATTTACTAATCAAATCGTAAGTTAATGATTAGATAAATTATGCCAAGTATATATGCTGGAGATGATGTATTGTATACAAAGAATTTTTAATGACATGGAAAACTGCTATGTGTAATGGTAAAATGAAGCAAGATACAGAACTGCTTATACAACATGGTCAGTAAAAAAATGCTATAGGTACATATCTCTATGTCTATATAGAAATAGAAAAAAAATGCCTCTGATATTCAGAGTACTTTTATATTTATATTTTTCTATATTTTTCAAATTGAACATGTTTTACTTTTATAATCAAAAAAGAAAATAATTATTTAAAAAATACAAGTGTCTGTTTCTTACATTCCCCTCATACCCCTTGATTTCTGTGAGTATTAAAGCTCTAGTGAACTGGGGCAGGTGCTCACGCCAGGGTACTCATGGCAATCTTACTGCAATTCTGGCCCACATGTTCTGGAAGGATGTTGGTTAACTTAATGCTTGCCTCTCCTACGGGTAGGCTGCCTCTTCCTTTTTTTTTCATTTTTGATTCTTAACCTACTTTGTGGAAGCAGTGAAATAATTACTTATATTTGCAGTCCTGAGTGGATTTTTTTCCTTCCAGGTCGCCTGTGGCTACGCACACACATTAGTATTAACAGATGAAGGCCAAGTGTATGCTTGGGGCGCCAATTCTTATGGGCAGTTGGGCACTGGCAATAAAAGCAACCAGTCCTATCCTACTCCTGTCACTGTGGAAAAGGACAGGTAACACGGGCATTTTCACAGTCCCCACACTGGTCTTTGGTGATTGTGATTAAACAGGACTTAGATATATAGAGAATGGTGGGGAATGTACTGCTAGTGTTAGAATATTATTTAACAAGAGTATTTATTCCTTTAGAAAAATTGGCTTTGGAATTGTTGGGGAGGTTGATTGTATGTTAAATATGCTATTTTCACTTACCCATGTTTCATCTATACCTCCAACAGCTATTCTAAGCAAACTGCAGTGACTAAACTTGCAACAGCTATTCTGTTACTCTTCTGCCTTACAAATCACCCTTTTGCCCTCCTCCTTTTCCTGTTTTACATTCTTAAGGGGGTGTCAATAACATTCAAGGTCGCTCTTCCCTGGCTTAGGAAAAGGTACCTTGCATGGGGTATAAAGCTGGTCACTCAGCTACATGGAAATTTGCCAGTTGAGAAGGATAGGGTTATTTCATTACTTTAACTCCCAAGCTGTCACTACGAGGAAGAGTAAAATGGTTAGGAAATTAAGATTTACTTTTGTGCACTTGTTTGCAAGGTTGTGTTATGTAATTAGCACATCCAGAATTAGTTTCCACGTTATTCTGATATTTTTGAAAGCCTTTGGAATTTCTCAAGCATGGTCAGATCACTGCCTTTCCACTTTTCATTTCCTGATAGTAGTGTAGAGCAAAAACGTTTCACTATCTTTTCTTTTAAACCAGGGTTGCAGTCATTGTAGAAATGAATGCTGCTGTTTTTACTGCATATATCTTTATTATATTTAATTTTAAAAGAAATATGTAGACAAACAGATTAGCTCACATTTATATGCAGTTCTTTTCTAATTTTCTGCTGGAATACTTAACAATGAAAATGAAGAACCAAATTGTCATTTTTCAACTGCCTCAGTTTTCATTTGGGTATTGTGAACTTGGCTGACTTTCTTTAACCTATGTTTTAAAAGTTTTATTTAACCAATTTAACATAGGTTAATTTTATAGGTTAAATAAAACTTTTTTCTCCAAAAACCTTAAAATTTAAGACCCCTGGCCCCTTCAGAATTGGGAGGAGGGACAATAATGGAGGCAGGAGGTGGTGCAGGTAGATGCCTGCAGCTGTTCATTCACACATCTTGTAGCTTAGAGCTCCTCAGAAGAGAAGGGACAGTCCTGAGGCTTTGAATAACCACAAAAGTGCCTCAGTTGGTAGGGACACTTAACATTTAAACTGAAAAACAGAGTTAAAGGATCAAATAAAGATGGCATGGAAATAAAAACGATGGATTTGTATGGCCTGTTATTTTTTTATTTTTATTTTTTGAGACACAGTCTCCCTGTCTTCCAGGTTGGGGTGCAGTGGTGCAATCACGGCTCACTGTAGTCTTGACTTCCCAAGCTCAGGCGATCCTCCCACCTTAGCCTCTGGAGTAGCTGGGACTACAGGAGCATGCCACCATACCTAGCTAATTTTTGTGTTTTTTGCAGGGCCAGGGTTTTGCCACATTGCCCAGGCTGGTAGCTCCTGGGCTCAAGTGATCCTCTTATCTCGGTCTCCCAAAGTGCTGGGATTACAGGTATGAGCCACTGCGCCTGGCCTGGCCCATTACTTTTTATGGTGCTCCTACACTTACCCAGAACTTTAGCACATCCATCCCTGGTCTCACAGAATCTGCCGTCATTGCCCACCAGTGACTTGCTGCATTGCACTGCTGGTCCCTGATCCAGAATGATCACCCAAGGCTTCTGATTCAGGTTCTCACTGGGGCAGATGGATTGTGGGGCGTCAAGGTGGGAGAAAGAAAAAGTAGCAGAGAAGCAGGTAATGGGAATGGAAGCTGTGTGAGTGCCAAGTTGCTTAACTGGACATTGGGAGTTATCTATTGCATTTCTGTCTTCTTAAACTGCAGTTATTTTTGAATTATAATTTGGTTATAAAAATCATGGATGGGCCAGGCACTCACGCCTGTAATCCCAGCACTTTGGGAGGCCAAGGCGGGCGGATCACCTGAGGTCAGGAGTTTGAGACCAGCCTGGCCAACATGGTGAAACCCTGTCTCTACTAAAAATATAAAAATTAGCTGGGCACAGTGGCACATGCCTGTAATCCCAGTTACTTGGGAGGCTGAGGCACGAGAATCCCTTGACCCCAGGAAGTGGAGGTTGCAGTGAGATCGCGACACTGCACTCTAGCCTGGGCAGTAGAGTGAGACTCTGTCTCAAAAAAAAAAAAAACATGGATGAATGTTTTAAATGAGATGTTCCTGATTTTCTGTTTTCCGTACTTGAATTTCAAGTGGTGGTTTCTGAACTTGCACAGTTTCAACCAGGCACTCAATCACGGGCGTATTCCGAGGGAGGGGTTTATAGGTCTGTGCTGGGACTTGTTCTGCACTTCTCCACCCTTTCCAGGGATGGGAAAGTCAAGTATATGTCATAACTTATCCCTGGGGAACCCCGGAGCCTTACTTCTGACTCTTCTGCGGCCCATTGCAGGAAAGCCTGACTAATTAGGAACTGGATTGAATGTGGGGTGGGGTGGGTTTCAGTTCTTAGTTACCTGTTCACAGAAGTGGGAAGGAGAAATCTGTCTACATTGTTTTCTTTGCTGGAGCAACCATCCAAGGGAAACCTTTTAAAATCTTTCCCAGAAAAAGATTTTATTTATGATGGAGAATACTGATATTTGTCAGCAATTTATGTTTACATAAAAATAAGTTTAATGATTAAAATGATTGTCTTCTCCTAATCCAGTCATCCAATCTTTCTGAAGTTTCAGTACCTTGGGGACAGATTGACCAACATTTGTATCTTTGTTCTTAACGTTCCCTAACGGCATATTTTAAACTAAACTGATGTGAAGCTAACTTTTCCTTGAATTTCTGAGAATTCTTTGACTTCTGAGGTAGTTGGTATAATACTTGGGCTCTTACAAAACCAGGATTGGGAATCCCTGCTGTGGATCTGTCATCTTTGCTGTTTCTTCTCCAATATTCTTCTCCCTCACAGATGACCTTTCACCCCCCTCAAGGTTTTCCAGTTTCTATTCTTTCTCACTCTCTGCTTTTTCATTTCTAGTACTTCATAGCCAATAAGCTCAGCAGTTGTTGTTGATCATTCCCTCAAGGTGACACAAAACCTGTTTATTATCAACATGTAGTGATTTTTTTTCCCATTAAGATTGGCTACAAAATAAAAGTGTGAAATACGCCAGACATCCTGACAGTAAAGGTTAGCTCAGTTGATAGTCATTGTCTGTCGCATGTCTGGCTGGAAAATTGGAACGTCGGTGTTTGCTGCTTGGTGTGAGTCCAGTTTAAAAACCAACGATGACCTTAGGCAATGGCAGGATTCCTTAGCGGTTGCTTGGGTCACAAGCCTAGACCTGAAAGTACCCTCTAAACTTTCTGCATTCTCATTCCTGTAGCAGCTACTGCAGCCAACCAAATCCGCGCCCCACCCCTGACTTCCCATGTGGAGCCGGGTGTGCCAGGTATATGTCACAAGGCCATGCCCCGGGACGGGCAGCATCACATGGCCTTCCCTGACCCACCCTTTGGCTCTGTCTGTCCCAGCCCTTCTCTAGAGAGTAGTGTCCCACTTCAGGTCACCAGCTGCTCTAGGGGCAGAGGCTACCCTCTTTCATGGATGCTAATAACAAAGAACAAACATCTCAGAAGGGAACATAAGAACCGCATTATTTGGCTTTTCTGATGTTGGGCAGATCAGTGAAGGATGCTGTTGTGCTCCAGTCACTGACATTTTTCATAGAACATTACCCCAAAGGACACAGAAATGATTCCAAAAAATGTAGAAGTCTTTGCCTAGTAGGTCACTGCAAAGTGCTAAAATCTGAAGAAAGGAAGAGCAGTTCATAAATGCTTATCTTCACATTGTTCATTGGGCTGCCCTAACCTCCCCTGCTCCCAGAGAATGCCAGATGGCTTTACAATTGAGGTGGTTCAAACACAGAAGGCCCTTTTTCCTTTTATTAATTGCTCAGCTATGTGTACATTGGCCCCCACACCTGCCACCTGACCAGCGCGGCTTCTGCCTCCCTCAGCACTGCCAGCCGGGGGTTTTCTTAGACTCATCCCCTGGGCCACCTTCCGCTCCTCTCCCTCCCTCTGCATTAACATCCAGGCCACCCTCATTACTCCTTGGCAACCTAGCTTGGGTTGGCCTCCCCAGCCAGCCTTCCAGACTATTCTTTCTCTCCCTTGCAGCCTGTCTTGCACACCACTGTGGCCAGGTCAGTCTTTCTGAGAATACCATTTCCTCACATCATGGCCCTGTTTACAAAGCAGTTTCCCATTTGCCTATCACATCAGATCAAATCAGAACTCTTCGGCTCTGGATTGAAGCCGACGCCACTGTTCCTGGCAAGCCTCATTGCCCTCCGATCCCGGCGTTGGCCTCCGTCCCTGTCAGGTCTTGTACGATGCTGCTCTCTGCCATCCTGCCGTCTCCAGCTCTGCCTGCATGTTGGTCCTGCATTGCTCTCCACCTCACAGACTCTTATTCCACGGCTCTGGCCAGTCCAAAGCATACATGGCCCAGTTAGTTCCCTTTTACTTGAAATATTCCCTGAGGAGCCCCCAGGTATTTTTCCTTACTCACTGGAGACTTGTAGTCAGGGCCACACTGATGTCATTTGGGAATTATTTGCAAAGTCACAGATCTGGACTTCTCTCTCCAGCTAAATCATGAGTTCCTCAGCTAAATCACGGGCCCACAGTTCTGCAGCAGCTGGTAAACACTTTTAGTCACGGAAGGAAGCCTTTTTCGGTTCTCAGCTCTGCCAAGGAACTTATTTCACGTACACAAAACCACAAACCGTGAGAGGATTGCTGCCTGTATCCTGTTCCCCCTCATCTTTTTTTTTCTTTGAAAAGATGGTAAAGCTGATTATAAGAATTTAAATAACGTGGCCCTAGAACTACACTCTGACTCTGATCCGCGTGTCCTGCCCACAGCACCAGGCCACGAAGACAGACCATGTCGCTATCCTCACATTTGCTTGTAACTTAGGAGGCTTGCCAGTAAAATCGATACTAACAGTGGACGTACTTCTCTTTGAATAAGTTTATTCTATTTCCTTCTCCCATTTTCTTTATTTGTTGAAAAGAATGATGCTGATTGAGAAGCCAAATATTGTTAACCATTTTCCCCGTCTGGCACGGTTCTTTTGCACAGCACTGGATTAGGCCAGGGGACTGGCCTAACCCTGCAAATATCAGGAAAGGACTCTTCTAGGGAAAGTCGTACTAATTTGAATTGATCACTAGAAATACATGGTCTCCACCTAAAAGATGCTTTGTCACTTAAAAGGCTGAGTAGTCATCATAATGTAAAGAAACCTCTATTGTCATGCAACCATTTGCACCCAGACATTGTGCCTGGTTGGCACTTAACATTTTATCACTTGATTCTCACACCACCCTTGCAATGTGATGAAACCAAGGCTCCTAGGTGCTAAGTGACATTCCCCTAGTCACGCAGCCTAGTGCTAGTCACGCAGCCTAGTGGTAGAGCGAGGATTCAAACCCAGTTTTTGTTTTCCTTTGAGCTGGAGCTGCAAGAAAAAAAAAAAAAAAGAAAGAAATAAAAAACAAACCTAGGTTTGACTCCAAATCCTGAGCTCTCCACTGTGGGCCATCGTAGCCTTTTTTTCCTCTAGTATTTTTGGGTGGTTTTCAAGGGCTAAGAACGATCCTCATAATAAGTCAGTGAGATTACCGCACATGAGAACAGCATGTCTCAGCCTCTGAGGCGAGCCGGTACAAGCTCCAGGTTCTGTGATAACACCTCCCTCCTGGTTTGAGAGCAACTGCCTAAAGGAGGCAGTGGAGGATCATCCTCACCCTTCAGGTGCTAGCCCGTGTCAGTGGGGTCTTACACAACCTTTGCTCTGTGTTGTTGAGTCTTCCTCAGTCAGTAAAGTGACCCATAGATTATATTCAGTAAGACACCACGTTATGTGCTTAGAGAGAATTAAGCCAGTGATTAGGCCTGCCAGAAACTGGTCATCTCGCTGAACAGGTGAAACGGATGCATAAAGTAACAGGGCCAGGCTGGAATGGTGTGGACAGGAAGTGCTGCAGGAGCTCAGGTGAGCGGGAGACCTCAAACTTGGGGCAGTTTGAACTGGGCCTTACAAGATGGGTAGGGTTTGTAAGGCAGAGAGAAAGAACATTCCTGAACAACCATGTATGAAGTCATTGAAGGTCAATGAGAAAGCCTGTTTGTTGAAACAGGGTGTGTGGACAAAATTGACTTGTGAGATGTCTGTACAGAGGTGACGCCAAATCATGGATGGAGTTATGTCTTGTGTCAGGATTTTATCTGAGAGAAGCCACTGCCCGTGTGAAAGTTCTGATGAGAACGGTGTTCCAAGAGGATGATTAACCTGCCAGCACTGTGTGAGTTGGGGCAGAAGAGAGAGTCTAAGGCAAGGGAGACCTGGGAGGCTGTTACAGGGGCCAGATGTGGGGTGTACCTGACCCCCCAGTGGTGGCTGAGGGGAGACATTACAAAGAAAGCATCTTTGTTATTTAACTGGATATTCTAAAGAAAGTGGTAAATGAGGAGGGAGAAGTCAAAGATGACCCTGAAGTTCTGAGCCTAAGTCTCTGAGGATGCTGGTACCATTGTCTGCTGTAGCAAAATCAAGATGGGGACTTCCCCTGGGTTAAAAGAGTTTACCATTTTCCTTCAATCTGTATGGTGGCTTATTCTGATGGAAAAGAAATTACTTCCAGATCAACAAGACAATGTTTTCCATTAAGAAGTGTTCTGAGGCCGGGTGCAGTGTCTCACACCTGTAATCCCAGCACTCTGGGAGGCCAAGGTGGGCGGATCATTTGAGCTCTGGAGTTCAAGACCAACCTGGGCAACATGGCAAAACCTTGTCTCTACAAAAAATACAAAAGTTAGTCAGGTGTGGTGGCTTGCACCTGTAGTCCCAGCTACTACAGAGGCTGAGGTAGGAGGATCGCTTGAGCCTGGGAAGCAGAGGTTGCAGTGAGCCAAGATCCAAGATTGTGCCACTGCACTCTAGCCTGGGTGACAAGGCAAGACTCCTCTGTCTTAAAAAAAAAAAATTGTTCTGAGAATTACCTCCTCATCAATCGTGAACTTAGAGCAGTAGGGCATATCACATAGTGATCCTAGGAAACTGCTCTCCTGGGCTCCAGGTCATACAGCCCAGTGTGGTAGAACTACTGAATTTACTCTGTGCAATAGGAGTTGGAATGACCCATAGCATTCTAAAAATTGGTGAAGTCTTCATTAAAATATTTATTTATTGGCCCTCAGTCCAGATGACCCAAATCTTTATTATTTTCTTCAGTAAGTGATGTTTTAGGGGGAAAAATTTTAAACCACCCTTTTTTGGTAGGGGGGACCACTACTCTCTTGGGTTATACTTGAATTTCAAAACAGGATGGTGCATATTTTTATAGGCCTACTGGCTAGAAGTGGTACAAACAGATCTTCATGAGTTATAAGTGCCATTGAAGTGTGGCTTAAATGTAAATAACGGTTTGGTGCCTGATAATTTAGGAGATGAGGTGTATGAGTCATGTGGTGGTTTGTTTTGTTTTGTTTTTTCCTTTTCCTGACCCTTTTTG
The DNA here is from genome assembly GCF_000001405.40 of Homo sapiens. Classification (NCBI taxonomy): domain Eukaryota; kingdom Metazoa; phylum Chordata; class Mammalia; order Primates; family Hominidae; genus Homo; species Homo sapiens. The sequence goes on along the minus strand of NC_000013.11, from coordinate 48,503,016 downwards.
TAATTTTATGATGTCCCACATCAGTTAAACCTGGCGGGAGGAGGACCCAACTTGTTTCTGCCCCGGTCACTGTGCTTATGTGGTGTGTGTTTGTGAATTTAGGATTATCGAGATTGCAGCCTGTCACTCCACACACACGTCTGCGGCCAAGACGCAGGGTGGGCACGTGTACATGTGGGGCCAGTGCCGGGGTCAGTCCGTGATCCTCCCGCACCTCACCCACTTCTCCTGCACTGACGACGTGTTTGCCTGCTTTGCCACGCCCGCCGTCACGTGGCGCCTCCTCTCCGTGGGTAAGCTGGTCACTGTCCATTTGGGGGATGGCCTGAAAATCTGGGAAAGAGCTCAGGGCTTTACTTTGATAATGAGGATTTTGTTAGGTGCACTATCATAATTTATTTCTCTCTGATGGGCTTCTACAAAAGGGAACTAATTTTATTTTCTTCAGAGCATCAGAAATCAACACCAGTACTAAACTAAAAGTAATTTTATTTGACTACTTTTTTTTTTTTCTTTAAGAGAGAAAGATGAGGTCTTGCTCTGTTGCCCAGGCTGGAGTGCGGTGGTGCAATCATAACTCGCTGTACCCTTCAGCCCCTGGGTTCAAGCGATCCTTTTGCCTTAGCCTATTGAGTAGCTGGGACTATACATACCCATTACCATGCCTGGCTAATTTAAAGAAACTTTCTTTGGAGGTGGGGTCTCTCTGTGTTGCCCAGGCTGGTCTTAAACCGTGGGCCTCAGACCATCTTTCTGTCTCTGCCCCTGCCAAAGTGTTGGGATCACAGGTGTGAGCCATTGTGCCCTATCCTTATTTGAGTGCTTTTTAATTTTACTGAGAAACTGTTTTTTACTTTTAACTAGCGTATTTACTCAAATGTTTAAAATTTCATGCAAAATTAGTGATGTGGCTTGGGACTTTTTCTTGTTATTTTGCCAGATTTATAAGCAGATATTTGTGAGATTCTTATTCTTAATGATTACAGAGATGCAAATCTGTCTTCAGGGGAAAAAATCCATTGCTCAGTTGCTCAGTTATTTTGAGGAATTGGTACTTTCATGAGTACCAGTAGAGTAGTGCCATATCCTGTCCTGTGTGTTCATTATGTCTGTAGCTAACTCTGGAAGCATTTGCATTATTCTCCTAGAACCTGATGACCACCTCACAGTGGCTGAGTCACTGAAGAGGGAATTTGACAACCCGGACACTGCAGACCTGAAGTTTCTAGTTGATGGAAAGTACATTTATGCACATAAAGTCCTTCTCAAGATTCGGTAAGGAATCATTTATTTGAGAATTGAGAAAAGTAATTCGTTCAACAATTATATTCTAAGTGTCCAACTATATTAGGCACCTCAGTAATCAAGAAAAATTGTAAGGCTGTTTTTGCTCTTACAAGCATACAGTGGAGCGGGGAGAAATATACATGAAACAAGAAATAACACAGGTTGTGTGGTTCCGGGAACCAGTACCATAGGCGTTCCTTAGGCTTGAAAAGTGGCGTGGTCACCTTGGCAGCAGGGAGCAGCCAGCGCACGCTCCAAGTGTGTCCTGTGCTCTGAACACTGTATTGATACTTGGACGTCCATCAGTTACCGTTTCTGCCTGGGAATCAAGCTCAGCTCTTAATAATCACCTTCTTATAATCACTTGTGGCGTACTTTTAGATGGTTTAAGAAAGAGAAGATCAAGGCCTTTCCAGACCAAAAAGGTCTATAGTGAGGCTAGCACAGAGATTTTAAAAAATCACATTTGTGAATGTTTTTGAGCAATGAGCTGTGTGCATTTCAAATGTGCAGTTTGATGAGTGCTGACACATGTCTACGCCTGTGAAACCACTGCCCCACATCCAGACAGAGAACATTCCCATCACCCTTCAAAGACCCCTCATGTCCTAGCCCTGGGTGACCGCAGCTCCTTCTGTCACTGTAGCTGAGTTAGCATTTTCTAGAGTGTATTTAGATGGGATGATACAGGATGCATTCATTTGTGCTTGGCTTCTTTCTTTTACATGATGATTTTGAAATTCATTATGTTGTTGTGTAACAGATATTTAAATCCTACTGCAGTGAGTCACACACTCAACACAGCATTTTAGTCTCAAGTTCCTCTTTAGTAAGATCAAGCTGTGCAGCGTTTGCTCACTCTCTCTATATCACATCAACCTGCATGAAAGAAGGGGGGTGGATTTGTTTGCTGTAACACAGTACTATGGCCCGGGTGGCTTAAGCAACATAAAGTTCTGGAGGCTGGAAATCCCAGATCAAAAGTGTCACCTGGATGGGTTTCTTGTGAGGCTGTGAGTGAGAATCTGTTCCTGCCTCTTTCCTAGCTGCTGGGGATTTGCAGACAGTCTTTGGCCTTCCTTGGCATGTGGCTGCTTAACTCCAGTCAGCATGTGGCATTCTCCCTTTGTGCATGTCTGTGTCCAAATTTCCCCCCACCTTATTTTTTTTAGATGGCAGAGTCTTTCTCTATTGCCCAGGCTGGAGTGCAGTGGCCTGATCTCGGCTCACTGCAACCTCCTCCTCCCAGGTTCAAGTGATTCTCCTGCCTCAGCCTCCTGAGTAGCTGGGATTACAGGCGCACACCACCATGCCTGGCTAATTTTTGTATTTTTAGTAGAGATGGGGTTTCACCATATTGGCCAGGCTGGTCTCAAACTCCTGACCTCGTGATCCACCCGCCTCGGCCTTCCAAAGTGCTGGGATTACAGGCGTGAGCCACCGCGCCCTGTCCAAATTTCCCCTTTTTATAAAGATGCCAGTCATATTGGATTAGGGCCCACCCTAGTGACCTTCTTATAACTTGATTACCTCTTTAAAGGCTCTCTTTCCTAGTAAGGTCACATTTTGAGGTATTGGCCATTAGGACTTCAACACAGGAATTTTTAGAGGACATCATTCAACCCGTAATGGAGTGAGGAAACAGAATTACTTAGATTTTATAAAAATAAACCCACTGATTTCTCTAAATGCTGACAGTGGTTGTGGTGTGAGAGAGATGCCAGGGAGCCCAGCTCTGTCCCCATTAGCACGGCCATTGGGGCTGCTTCCCAGGCCACCCCTGGCAGCAGGTTTGTATATACAGCCTTGCTGAATAGATGATTGTTTGAAAACCCTGGCCAGCAAAGAAAGTGAGGAGCCACAGCAGGGACGTGCCAGCGTGCACCTTCGAGAGAAGAACGTGGTCCTCACAGAGGCCATCTGTCCTGGCTGGGAAGCTAGGACCTGACATACTGCTTTTTTCCTTCAGATGTGAGCATTTTCGTTCGTCATTGGAAGATAACGAGGATGATATTGTAGAAATGAGTGAATTTTCATATCCTGTTTACCGGGCCTTCCTGGAATACCTATACACAGACAGCATCAGCCTTTCTCCTGAGGAGGCAGTAGGTAATTGCCAAAGACTTCCAAAAACTTGGCAAAATGTTGAGGAACTGACAAGGTGGTTTCTATAGAACCTAAAAGAAAGTCACTGTGAGGGTAATTACAGAAGTATTTCTTTTTGTGTGTGTTGAATCCAAACACGTTTCCCTTGTTACTACTTTATTACAAAGGTTGACTGGACAGATAAGAGAGAGAAGAATCAAATCATCACCACCGTGGAGCATTGCAGGCAGCAGCATGGAGGAAGGGACAGAGACTGAGGGCCATGCAGCAGATCCCCGTGTCTCCACCAGCAGGGCCCAGGAATTCCACTTATTTCAGACTGTGGGCCTGAGTCAGTCAAGTCTGTGCCCAGTGGCTTAGGAGGCTGGGAAAATGGGCATTTCCAGAGGGCCGTAGCTTGGCTAAAAATTCTGTGGTTTCAGTAGAAAGGAAGAATGGATGTGTGTGTGTGTGTGAGAGAGAGAGAGAGAGAGAGAGAGAGTGTGTGTGTGTGTGTGTGTGTGTGTGTGTGTTGGGGTGGGGGTCGGGAGAGAGGCAACTAGCAGCTTCTGCCACAGGAGAGATGTGATCTGTGTTTAAAACATCAGTTATTATATTGGTTCAGGTGTGAGATGATGGTCTCCTGGGTTGGGGTTGTATAGCAGTGGAAGTATTGAAAAGAGATCAGATTCTAGATATATTTTAAAGAGGTTGCTGATGGGATTTGTTGATAGATGGGATGAGAGGTGTGAGTTGAGAGAGAAGGATGGCTGCACTGAGGTACTTGGCCTGGGTAGCTGCCTTAATGGCACTGAGGTGAGGAAGATAGAGAACAACAGGCTTGCTCTGGACTTTGAAAGTCAAAGGAGTTTGAGCTTCCCATTAGATACCCAAGTGATAATTTTTTTTTTTTTGAGACAGAGTTTCACTCTTGTTGCCCAGGCTGGAGTGCAATGGCACGATCTCCGCTCACCACAACCTCCGCCTCCCGGTTTCAAGCGATTCTCCTGCCTCAGCCTCTCGAGTAGCTGGGATTACAGGCATGCACCACCACGCCTGGCTAATTTTGTATTTTTAGTAGAAACGAGGTTTCTCCGTGTTGGTCAGGCTGGTCTTGAACTCCCGACCTCAGGTGATCCGCCCATCTTGGCCTCCCAAAGTGCTGGGATTACAGGCGTGAGCCACTGCGCCCGGCCGCGAGTGGCAGTTTTTTATCGGCCCACCACTAACATTTGTGGGGCTGTAGCCAAGACTCCAAATGGAGACCTATGTTCCATATGTCTAAAAACTTAAAGTTATATGTCAAGCTAGTGAACTTCAGATAAAAATATGTCCAATCCTCCCACCTTGAAAAATGTAATTTCATTAAGAACTGAAAGGACAGGTTTCAATTTTAGTTGACATTTAGAGTTGCAGGACTTCTTGTGCCAGAACCCAATGGCACAGGCAGGACAGACCCCTCCTCCAGCAGAAGGGTGTGTGGGCACCCTAGCTTGCATTCCAAGCTCTATCCACCCCCAACCCAGGTTACCCTTTTGGGCCAGGGGGTCTGCACATTGGTGGTGGGGTCTAAGGGAGGAAATACCCACACATGTGGCCTCAAGGCCAATTATGCAGGCAGTCCCAGGTTCCCAGGTACCCAAAGTGTGGTCTAGAAGTGGGCATGTGGCTCCTTAGCCACCCTGTGCTGAAGGTGTGCGTGGAGGAGGCGCAGAGCTGGGGCTTGGGGCAGAGTCCTCTCTTAGGGCAGTGCAGCTTGCATGTGTGTCTGAAGCTTGGGGCCAAAAACAATGAAGCCATTCACAACTCAAGATTTCAGTGTCCTCCAGTGGGCTATCTGTCTTTCCTCTATAACTTTGATAATATTTGTTATTAAAAAAGCAAGTTTCCAACCAAAGTCTACCACATGTATAAGATTTATTAGCAGATAGACACAAAAACAATTAATATGGTAAAATTGATGAAATCCCTGCTCTTTATACTTCGTACACTCTATTAAGTACCTTGCATGAAAAGTTAGCTTGAGGTGGACATGACAGTGTTCTAGTAGCCGGATTCAGCTAGCCTTTTGATCCTGGCTACCACTCATTTCAGCAATGACAAACTAATTCTGACATTCTTTATGCTAATTACAAATCCTGTAATGAAGATTCAGAAAAACAAATAGGATCTTTCAGATGCTGATTGACTGCTTCAATTAGAGTACTTCCTATCATTCCTTGGGGTAGATTAAAATTAATTTACATATGTCACCTCACCCAGTCTACGTTGAATTACTTGAAAATAGGTGACAGGTAATATAACAGGACTCACCTGCATATATAGATGATATTTAAAACCCTGGGGCTGGGGTTTTGGGAAGTAAGTGAGGAAAGTGTCTGAGGATTTAACCCTGGGGCACTCAAACATTTGGAAGTCAGGAAAAATGATCCAGCCTAGAGAACTGAGGAGCAACTAATTAAAGAGAAGAAAAATGCAAGCAAGTGACAAAGTGTCCTAAGGAGAGCATTATCAACCATATCAAATTCTGTGTAAATGTCGAGTAAGAGGAAACCAGAGAATATTGCACCCTCAAAGCCACTGTGACTGCCACAGGTGTGACCACCAAGGGTGTGACTGCAGTAGTGGTGGGGATGGGGTTCTGCTTGTAATGGCTTGAGGTCAGAATGGGAGGTGGGAAAATGGAGACAGCAGATACAGATAGCTCTGTCTAGGAGTTTTGCTGTAGAGAGGAGCAGTGGGATAGGGTAACAGGAGGAAGACACGTGTCCATGAAAGGGTCTCCCCTCCCCTCCTCTCCCCTCTCCTCCTCTCCCCTCCCCTCCTCTCCCCTCCCCTCCTCTCCCCTCCCCTCTTCTCTTCTCCCCTCCCTTCCCCTCCCCTCCCTCTCCTGTCCTCTCTTCTTTTCTTCTCTTTTGTTTTCTTTTCTTCTTTTCTTTTCTTTCTTTTCACGGCGGGCACTCTTACAGCATGTGTGTGTGCTCCTGGGAGTGGCCCAGGAGAAGCTGACATTGAGATTGCAGGGGAAGGGGTCATTCAAGGCGCACATGCTTTTTTCCTAGGAAAAAAATATTAAAGCTATTTTCCCTGTGCTCCTGTTTTTCAACAGCTAATGATTTGTGTATCATGTTTGCTCAGCTTGGCTGCCATCCTGGGTAGAGCCCCACACTGAAGTGTAAGTGTCAGTCAGCATCAGTCTATGCAGTGCTTCACTGAGGATTATATCTAAAATAGTGTCAAAATCATCTCTGAGTGGCTGAGTGAGCAACTGTAAATCAGGATGCTTGAAATCACTCCCCCTAATAAACACCTCTTTCCGCCAGGACTGCTAGACTTGGCTACATTTTATAGAGAAAATCGTTTGAAAAAGCTCTGCCAACAAACTATCAAGCAAGGCATCTGCGAGGAGAATGCCATCGCTCTGCTCTCGGCTGCGGTGAAGTATGATGCACAGGTAAGGAAAGCTTGCTTCCAGCTGCCGGCCTCCTGGAGAAATGGAACCCAGGTGTCTGCCTCGTACCTTAAACTAAAAGAAAGTCTGGGTAGAGGAAATATTTAATATTTTTTAAAAAATGAAGTAACAAGAGTACTAGACAACGTATAAGCAAGTATTTATATAATGTTGGGATGGACATCAAAGGCAGAAGCCATAAAGGATTTATAGCTCTGATTTAAAAAGATAAGAAACTTTTATCCACTTAAAAATACCATAGAGAAACTTACAAAGTAATGAGACACTGGGAAAAATACTTGCAACATATAATGAAGTCTGTTTACCAGAGTGAAAAACAAAAAGACAATAGGAACAGTTTGGTTGAAAGAAATGGACCAAAGAACAAATGGCTCTATAAATAGACAAAAAACATAAATGAAAACAAGGTATAACTTTTCACCTGTCAAAGCAGGAATATATTTTTAGAGATAATGTATAGGATCAGAATAATGGTGTTCTCCTAAACTGCTGATGAGAGTACAAATTGGTATGGAGAACAATTTGGTATAATATGTATTAAGCACCTTAAATTAAAGACATAATTCTTCAAGGAATTCACTCACAAGTATTTATCTTGAGGAATTAATCATGGATTTGCACAAAGACTTAGCTTCAAAGGTGTTTACTTCAGCAGTTTATAATTTTGAAAAATCAGAAAAAGGTTAGTGTGAATAGTGGAGGCTTGTTTATAAAATGTTAATATCAAGAAATTATGCAGCTATTCAAGATATATCACTAAGTGAAAAACTTATCCTATTTTTATTTTTTGAAAAAGTATAAATAGCTGAATAAAAAACTAAAATTCATTATCTACATAGAAAAAAAGACTGAAAACTATGCTTAGTGGTTATCATTGAATGGTGGGATTGTGGGTGATTTTTATTTTCTTCTCTTTGCTTATTTTTTTTTAACTTTTACAGTGACCATGTATTGTTATGATAATAAAGAAAGGAAAGAAAACCAATCTTAGAACCAAATCTTTAGGAAACAGGCTGTAACATCTTCGAGTCAGTTTCCTTTTGGTATAAGGATATCCTCTCCTTTGGTCAAAGAAAACAGAGACATTTTAGTAGATGAAAGGTTATAACTTTTTTTCTGTTTACATAAATAATACTATGCTTATTAAAGAAAATTTGTAAAAGACAAAAAGTGAGGAAGGTAATGACTCATCAACCAGAGAACATTAGCACTTTCATATAACAGCTTCTGAGTTTTTGTTTTATGTCACATTATATATTTGTAAATACTTGAAACCTAGATTTTTTTTCACTTAACATTAAAAAAAAAGTACTACCTCAAAACAATGACATTTAACAGCACAGTGAATGTTTTATATCAAGGCAATAACATATTGGGCACTTACAACACAGAATGTTTCATGGTCAGACAAAATCCATGCACTTTTCCTAGTCCATTCTTGAGCATCACAGTGATGAGCCACGGTGATGGAGGGCCATCTCAGATGTCAAGATGGTGGCACGTGGTGTTTGCATCTGAATCAGGCTTCATTTTTAATACTTTTTTATATTCTCTATTTATGTGAATTATTTGTCTGGCTACCTTCCAGCTCTCTGTTTTCTAGAAAGTAAGCTCTTTGAGGCATGGCAGGGACTTTGTTTTGCTCACAACCATATCCCCAGCGCCTAGGACGGTGTCTGACACAGAGTAGGTACCTACTAAATACCCCTTTCATGGATGTTCAGTTTTGCCTATAGAGATGCACTGTTGTACTACAGCCTGTCCAGCTAATTGCTGTACCCTAAATTAGTATAATAGACTATAAGTAAAATAGACTGTATATGTACTTAATGTAAAATACAAGCTTTCGTAAATAAAGAACAGTGCTGTATTTGATTTGCCTGGCTCAAATAAGCAAGAAATGGGCTCTTTCAGCAAATTATTATCCCTCATGCTGGACTGTCACTTAGTACATAATTAATATGAGCCAGGGATTATTCTAAGCACAGTTCATGTTTCATTTACTCCTCAAAACAACCTTATATGACATAGGCATTATTATATTAGATCCAGTTTATAAATGAGAAAACTGAAGCTTGGAAAGATTAAGTAATCTGAGTAAACTAGTAAACTGCAAAACTGGGATACAGTCCAAGATTGGGCACATTTTAAAACCGCATGTTTAACTACAATTCTCCATTGTCCTCAGTATTTTGAAATCAGGAGTATTTATGCATGGATTCAACAAATATTCACTGAGTGCCTGCTACATGCCTGGCACTGCCCTACGCACTGGGGTACTGCAAATGAACAAAACAATCCAAAATCTCTGCTCTCATGGGAATTTCTGGTGAGGGGAGATAGGTGATCAATAAATGAATAGGATATATAGTATGTCAGATGGTGACAAGTGATATGGAAAGAAGTAAGACAGGGAAGACAGCCTAGGGAATGCCATCCTGAGATGAAAGTTGAAATTTTAAATAGAATGGTCAGGGAGGCAAGACATCAGTGAGCAGGTGACTCAAGCAGAGACCTGAAGGAGGTGTGGGTGGTGTGTTCTGGGAAAAGCAAGCCCGGTGTGGAGGGAGCACAGTGGGGAGGGAAGTAGCTGATGAGGCAGGGAGATGGTGCGGTGGAGGTGCACAGTGGCGTGTGTGGGAGGAGGCAGGGCCTGCAGAGTCCATAGGCAAGTTTCAGGAATCAGAGTTCCAAGGTGAGTGGCCATCAGAGGGTTTGGAGAGGAGCAGATATGATGGGCATTTGAAGTAATCCTCCTGCCTCCTGGCTGCTGTGTTGAGGAGGGAGGGAGGGAGGTAGGGAGAGAGAGAGAGGGTGAGAGAGAGAAGAGAAGAGAGAGAGAGAGAGAGAGAGAGAGTGTGTGTGTGTGTGTGTGTGTGTGTGGAGAGAGAGAGAGGGTGAGAGAGAGAAGAGTGTGTGTGTGTGTGTGTGTGTGTGTGTGTGTGTGAAGGAGGGTACTTAGGAGGCTGTATAATCCAGTAAGTGATGATGGTGGATTGGTCCAAGTTATCACCTGTGGGGATGGTAAAAAGTGGTTAAGATTTTGAATACATTTTGAAAGTAGAGCCAACAGGATGTGCGGATGGATTAGATGTGAGGAAAAAAAAGACGACTGAGGAGGTTCTGTCCCTCAGCAGCTGTAAGGATGAAAGTGGCATCTATTGAGATATAGAAGATAGGAGCAACATTTTGGGGGAAATATCAGAAATTTGGTTTTGAATATGAGAAGTATGTGATGTCTATTAGACATCCAAATGGAAATGTCTAATAAGCAAATTGGATAAGCAAGCCTGGAAGTCAGAGAGAAATGTGCTGAAGTCAAAGCTATGAGGCAGTGACGTGAGACAGGTTTGAAGATTAAGTCCTGAGCACTCTGTGCTTAGAGGTTAAGGAGATAAGGAGACACCAGCAAAGGAGACTGAAGAGGAGTGAGCAGTAACGGAAGAGAGAAACCAGCAGACCGTTTCCTGCAGGCTGGGAAAGAAAGCGAAACAGGAAGGAAGAAGTCCGAACCACACCAGATGCTGCTGGCACGTCTGCACGAGGACTGAGAACTGACGAGTGGGTTTGGCGATGAGAACGCCGGAGGGGCCTTGGCAAGCAGTTTTAGCGCAGTGAGGCGGGAAGTCTGATCGGAGCGTGGAAGTAGAGGAACTGAAGATGGGGAATAGAGGCAGCTTTTCATGGTAATTTTATTATAAAGATAAAAAGGAAGAGCTTTGGGGCATTTGAGGTAAAACATCTTTACTTTTTTAAGATGTGGGAAATGGAAGCTTGTCTAATGATGCAAATGACTCAGTGAAGGGGAACAAGCCAGTGATGCAGGGGACAGTTGGTAGAGCAGGGCCCCTTAGTAGGTGGAGCAGTGGGATCTAGTGACAGAGCAAGGGCTCTGCTTTCTATAGGGTCTTGGACCTTTGATCCAGAGAAGATTGCATCCACAGGCCTCTCTGTAATAGGCAAGGAGACGTGGTGGGGAGAGCTTGTGGAGGTTCTTTTCAAGTGATTCTGGTTCTCAGTGAAATAGGAAGTCATGTCAGCTGAGGATGAGGATGAGAGGGGAGATGTCAGGCTTATGGGGAGAAGTATGAGAGTCCTGTAGGAGAATGAGCAAACTAGGAGAATGTGGTAGGACTGCAGGACAGAACAGAGGGCCCCATTTTGAACATGAAGCCATACAGAGTGGTAGCATTCAAAATAGACTACAATTCTTTAACTGAAAAATAATGGGGGCCTTGTTTTCTATGGACAGAATTCCCCTATAACCAGTACCACCACCCTATGCCAATTTATTGAATTCTTAGAATCACAGGAACTCTTTCCAAGTCCTGTCCTTAATTTAGTATTTAGGGGAAGATCCCACTCTAGAATAAAGTAAAGGAGCATGGATCCAAGTGATAACTTTTTAGGGTCCTTTCATTCTCCCATTAATTAGCAATTTTCCTGATGCTGTCCAGATCTGTGAGGCATCAAACTGCCCAGCCACCTAACTCCAGACACACTCTAATGTGTGTGGTGTAGGTATGAATTCCTCCATTCCTCTCTGTAGACTTCAGCCAAAGAGATGATGCATCTCTATCTGGTTTCACTTTTGTGTGCTGTAGGCAAAAATGTCATTTCTAAAAATTTAAGCAACAGCACATAATTTTAAATGGACTCTGAGATATTCAGCATGTATCATTGAAGCACATTTTTATGTATAGTATGCTGTGATGACAAGTGGGTGTGTGAATTTTCCCTGTTTATCACTGAGGGCTTACCTGGGACAGAGACACATCATATTGCTGGTGTGGTACCAACAGCCTGCCCAGTTATCTTCAGGCATGAAATAAACATTTTCCTAGTATAGTTTCTTTCTTTTCTTAAAAGAAAATGTACCGTAGGTTTATATGTACATTGGCAAGGCTATCAGCATTGCTATTTTTTTTATTTTTTCCATCTTCAGCATTTGCTATAATTTATGTCTAAAGAAGAAAAGACTATCGTGTGTAATGTTCATATGTAATTGCTTAGAAAGTATTTGGGGCTTTTATTTTTTATAAATTACCTACAGTAGCTTGGAGAGGAAACTTTTAAAAATTGACCACCACCTAGCAGCATCTTGTCCTAGGCCAAGTAGCCTAGGGTTTGAGGCATATTGGAGGTCTCAGCACCCTGCCCTCACTTCTCCAGGGCCAAAAAGCATCTGGTCAGCCTCATTCTGATTTTCAAGTTATAGTTCTAATCAAGAGAATTATTACAGCATTATTCTTTGGCCCAGAGTGCATTACAGTAAGCCAGAAAACACCAATCTGTTGGGTCTCTCTTACCAGAGACTTGGAAGTCATGATTTCTTTAAAGCATTTTCCCAGTTGAGATTATTGAAGGCATATGTAGTGTGATCAAATCCATCCATCCCATCCTGTGTCGTCTCATAAAGAGAAAAAGCGGTGGCCTGTTAATGACTTCAGAGCAGCAATTTCTTGGCATTACTGCTTTTTATGGCTTACCTTTTTCTTCCATCAACTCTTTATAGGCAGACATACTTAAAGACGCTGATATAAATATAAAAGAGGAGTATAGGGCTTTTAACAATTATTGAAAGTGAAATCAACAGTTACAAATACTGTCACTAGACAAAGGTACCAAGGAATTCACACACTCACATGCCTATCTCTGGGAAGAAAAAGTTAGATTCTTTACCTAGGTTAGTGCGGAGGAACTTGAATGTTACTCTGTGCTACTTAAATTTTTACAAGCATAGATGATTCATACTTGTTATACTTTTTATGACTATTCTTTAGGTATTACCATGCCATCATTTCCTCCACTTGCCTATTAAATCCTTTTTCTTTGCCTAACTTGTTTTAGCGATTTTCATGCTATGTTGCATTGAATTAGTAAATATGAATTTATTAAACCATCTTTGTTGTTGTTCCTAGGATTTAGAAGAATTCTGCTTCAGGTTTTGCATAAACCATCTGACTGTAGTAACACAAACATCAGGTTTTGCAGAAATGGACCATGATCTCCTGAAGAACTTTATCAGCAAAGCAAGCAGAGTTGGAGCCTTTAAAAATTGATCCCATCTGCAGGAAAGTTTTTGAGCCTTTCCATTTCCCCTGCAAAAGCCAGAGATGAATCACTTCTCTTTAATTAATAGTATGTATGATGAGCTATGTTTGGCTGAGTACTTGTAACTGTCAGAAGAAGGATGGTGGTGAGTGGTCTTTGTCTGCCTAAACCCAGAGTTTATGTAGAAAGCATTGAATGTTCTGATCAGATGTGACTAAGGTCAAGGAAAAAAAATTGAAATATCTTATTTACCATTTCCTCTTTTTGAGTCACTTAAATTGGACACCTTTGGTACCCTGGTCTCAGTATATGCTATTCTGGCCCAAATGTTCCATTATTCAGCTGGCTGATACCACATAGATAGCTTGACAAGGAGTGCTGTCTGTCCTTACCACATTTTCAGCACTCAGCACAGTGCCTTGTGTATAATAGGCACTCAATTTATTATAAATCTTCAGTATGTCCTGAGAACAGCTTTAGTCATGGAATACTGGGAGAAGGAATAACTTTCACAAAATAAACTTAAAACAGCCTGTAATTATTGAGGTTCATATTCTTCTGGTATATCATTCTGAGAAATTGTGGCTAATTTAGAACATTGTTTAGAATTGACAAAAGGCCCTGGCAATTAAATTGTCAAGGCCCAAGGGCTAATTTTAATTTTCTTTTTACTTGGAGTCATTCATTAATTTCTCACATGGGATTATGGAGTATGAAGTATTATCTTTGAATGAAATTCCTGGGCTGATCTGCCTTACATAATCACATAAGGTCCTTTGCTTTTCTTTGTGTTAAGAGGGACTTGCCTCTGTAAATGAAAATGACAATGTGCTTTTCTTGTAGTTGACTTTCATGTCACTCACTATAAAATAGGTCTCTTAACCTGGCACCAGTATAACTATAAAGCACTAGCTGAGAAGGAACTGATACTTACATTTCATGGACAGCATTAACAAGAATGAGATAAATTTGTACTTTTTAGATCAAAACAAATTACCTAATTGCAAAAGAGAAACTGAAATGGAACATAGTCTCAGATTCTTCTAATGTGTATCTCACAATGTCATGTAATGTAAAGGAAACCCTTTTGGAATTAGAATTCTTGTTCTGATGCTGAACTATTTGGTAATAAAGTGCTTATTTGCAGATAACAGAACAAATGTGTTGGGGTTTTTTTTAATCCCAAAACAGCAGCAAAATTATAAAATGTCAACCTCATGTCTCTTAGATGTACATAAATAAATTGGATATATTATGCTCTTATCAAGCAGTTACTCGGATAAAGTCTCATAGGAAAGCCCACCCTAGACCACAAATAGCTTATAAACAACCTAATTATCATTCATATTATTGTCTTGGTCTGCTCTTTATTGGTGAGGTGACTTTTTTGAAGACTATTTTTGTAGAGCAGTTTTAGGTTCACAGCAAAACTGTGAAGAAAACACAGTTTTCCCTTATGCCTCATGCCCTACACATGCGCAGCCTTCCCTGCTGTCAACACCCCCCACCAGAGTGGTGCATTTGTTATACCTGATGAACCTGCTTGGACACATCATTATCACCCACGGTCCATAGTTTACATTAGGGTCCATTGTTGGTGGTGCACATTCTGTGAGTTTGGACAAATGTATAATGACCTGTGTCCATCATTATTGTATCATAGAGAGTGGTTTCATTGCCCTAAAAATCCTCTGAGCTCTGCGGAATTCATCCCTTCCTCCTTTGCCCCTAACTCCTGGCAGCCATGGATCTTTTTACTGTATCCATAGTTTTGCCTTTTCCAGAATGTCCTATCGTTGGAATCATACAGTATATAGCCTTTTTGGATTGGTTTTTCACTTAATAATATGCAATTAAGTTTCCACAAGTCTTTTCGTGGCTTGATAGCTCATTTCTTTTTAGTGCTGAATAATACTCCATTGCCTGGATGTACCACAGTTTATCCATTCACCTCCTGAAGGACATCTTGGTTTCTTCCAAGTTTTGGCAATTACAAATAAAGCTACTATAAACATCTGTGTACAGGTTTTTGTGTGGACATAAGTTTTCAACTCCTTTGGGTAAATACCAAGGAGCATGATTACTGGATTATATGTTAAGAGTATTTTTTTTTTTTTAAGAAACTGTCAAACTGTAGTTCAAAGTGGCTGTACCGTTTTTCATGTCCATGAGCAGTGAATGAGAGTTCTAGTTGCTCCACATCCTCACCAGCATTAGGTGTTGTCAGTGTTCCAGATTTGGGCCATTCTAATAGGTGTATAGTGCCATCTCATTTTTGTTTTAATTTGCATTTCCCTGATAACATAGGATGTGGAGTATTTTTTCATGTGCTTATTTGCTATCTGCATATCTTCTTTGATGAGGCATCTGTTCAGATTGGTAGCCAATTTTTAAATCTTTTTTTAAAATTGTTTTGAGTTCATTGTATATTTTGGGTAACAGTCCTTTATCTGATATGTCTTTTGCAAATATTTTCTCCCAGTTTGTGGCTTGTCTTTTCATTCTCTTCGTTGGGTCACATTTTGAATCCATTATTTCTGCTATGATTTGGATGTGGTTTGTCCTTTGCCAAAACTCATATTGAAATTTGATCCCCACTGTGGTGGTGTTGGGAGGCCTTAGGGACTGGTGGGAAGTGTATGGGTCCTGGGGGCAGATCCATTGTGAATAGATTAATGCCCTCCAGCAAGAGTGGGTTCTGGTTCTCTTGGGACTGAATTAGTTCCCAAGACTGAGTTGTTATAAAAGGGGTTTCAGGCCGGGTGTGGTGGCTCACACCTGCAATCGCAGCACTTTGGGAAGCCAAGGCGGGCGAATCATAAGGTCAGGAGTTCAAGACTAGCCTGGCCAACATGGTGAAACCCCATCTCTATTAAAAATACAAAAAATTAGCCAGGTGAAGTGGCGGGCACCTGTAATCCCAGCTACTCGGGAGGCTGAGGCAAGAGAATCACTTGAACCTGGCAGGCGGAGGTTGCAGTGAGCTGAGATTGGCACCACTGCACTCTAGCCTGGTGACAGAGTGAGACTCTGTCTAAAAAATCAAAGGGATTTCAGCGACCTTGGTTTCTCACCACATGATCTCTTTGTGCACGTCTGCCCCACTTTGGCTTTCCACCATGACTTGAAGCAGCCCCAGGTCCCCAGCAGATGCATCTGCCCAATCTTGAAGCTTCCAGCCACCAGAACCATGAGCCAAATACACCCCTCTAATTTATGAATTAACTCAGCCTCAGTTATTCTGTTACAGCAACACTAAATGGACAGAGTTTCTCTTTAACAAATTGCTTAACCATTTTTCTTCAGACTTTATCTGGTAGAGGCAGAGTCTGAGTGTCTCTAGATCTAAATCTGAATCCTGTTTTTAAAACTATATAGTTTTATTCTGTTGTTATTTTAAAAGTAGCATTATACCATTTGTTTTCATTTTTTGATAAGTTTGCTATTTTATCCAACAAAAAAACATTCAAACATGGCAAGCACCTATAGCATCTGTTCTGGCCATTAGACAACCACAGTCTTTGTTTCTTTGGTCTCTCTCCCCCACCTTCCTGTGCTAGCTATAGCTGACCAAGCTTTTATAGCTTCACAGTGTCTTCCTTTTTCTTGCTTATTTCTGACAGGGTCTTCTGAAGCTCCTCAGTGCCTTTTTCTTTTGTGAACTCACTTCATATAAAAATTGGAACACTCAAAGGGGAACAGATAAGTTTACTGGGGGATGAAAAATGGACTACTTTTACACACTCCACCATGGGTCAGTAGGCATACTGCCAGAGTACAGATTGTTACTCTGGACTCTTACCCCGTTTTGCTCCCTAAGCTTTGTTTTGTGTAGGTTTACATGCTTCTTATCTCTGCACACAACAGAATAATCTATGGATTTTTTTTTTTTTTTTTTTTTTTTTTTGAGACGGAGTCTCGCTCTGTCGCCCAGGCTGGAGTGCAGTGGTGCGATCTCGGCTCACTGCAAGCTCTGCCTCCCGGGTTCACGCCATTCTCCTGCGTCAGCCTCCCGAGTAGCTGGGACTACAGGTGCCCGCCACCACGCCCAGCTAATTTTTTGTATTTTTAGTAGAGACGGGGTTTCACAGTGTTAGCCAGTATGGTCTCGATCTCCTGACCTCATGATTTGCCAATTTGCCTGCCTTGGCCTCCCAAAGTGCTGGGATTACAGGCGTGAGCTACTGCGCCTGGCCTTTTTTTTTTTTTTTTTTTAAGACAGAGTCTTGCTCTGTTTGCCCAGCAGGCTGGAGGCGCGATCTCAGCTCACTGCAACCTCTGCCTCCCGGGTTCAAGCGATTCTCCTGTCTCAGCCTCCTAAGTAGCTGAGACCACAGGTGCACACCACCATGCCCAGATAATTTTTGTATCTTTAGTAGTGACAGGGTTTCATCATACTGGTCAGGCTGGTCTCAAACTCCTGACCTCAGGTGATCCACCCACCCTGGCATCTCAAAGTGCTGGGATTACAGTCATGAGCCACCACGCCCTGCCCAAATTCAGTACATTTTAAAAGCTCCACAAGTAATTTGATGTTCAGCCAAGGATGAGAATTAGTGGTTTAGCCCTTAAAACTTCTGACGCCAAACAATAAAGAAGAGCTAGTTTTAGATCTGAGAGATGACAGATGAGTCCTGGGTGTGGGTACATCTATCTGAAAAAACATGCTTTCTTTCTGGTCTTTGAGGATAGGCTTGCCATTGACACTCCTATGGGAAGGAGAAAGATTTCCTTTTTAAAATTTCCTTCTAACAGATGAGTGTTTGAAGAACCTTAGTGATATGAGAGAAAAGGTACATTTTCATAAGGACACTACATTAGAAATTAATGGATCCTTTTTTTTGCACAAGTTTATCTTAGATTTTCCCAAAAGTTTTGTTTCCTCTCTTGCTCACACAAGGAAGTCAATGTTTTAGTGCTTCTAAAATAATTGTCCACTAATTTACACAGAGAAAGGTTAAGATTTTATAGGAATGAAGAAGTGCCCTCATCTGCTGATAGAGGTTTGTGAAGATGCCATTGAATTCATTTTAAAAAACAAAGGTTAAGAATGTTAAGTATGTTCTTCAGGTTATAGTTCATGTAAATTGCCAGTCATTCTGGACCTTAACATGGAGAGTTTTATTTAGAGGCTGGATTCTTAACCAAGAATAATGAAAAGATGCAACTACAAACTATATAATCTTAACTATCTTATTATGCAACCCCCCTTTATTACATCAACAGAGTTGGGAGAATTGTGAAGAGAAAGGAAAAAATCAAATCTTACTGTTATTTTTAATTCAATCTTTGTCAAAACACATAGAAATACAAAGCTTACCAATTTTCTCAGTAAATTCAGTTAAAAATAACATTTTGCATTTAGGAAGTAACTGAGGTTGGTCTGTGTAGTAAATTTAACCTTTCGTATTGTCATTGTTTAATATGACAATTGTCATATGTCAATACTACTATATATAGTCCCAAGATAATGGACACACAAAAAAAGTATTGAGAATGGATGACTATGCTTACTGTGTATTAAAAGAGCTTGTTTGAATCTCACGTAGATATTATACAGTGCTACCATATTTCTATTTAAGAAGCTACACCTATGGTGGAAATTTAATATTTCTGGAGGTAAGGTTTGAGTCGTCCTGTAAAATATCTATTTAGTCCAAAGGAAAATTCTACTGAAACTTTACTTATGCTATGTATACTATATTGGCCCTAAAATGAGGAACAAAAATGTACTTCTAAAAGCAAGTTTCTATGAAACCATCCAGATGATAATAGAACTAGTATAACTAGTTTGTTCCTGGCCATTTGTACCTTTAGAAAGCTGTAATGAAAAAGTAAATAGGCCAGGTGCAGTGGTTCACACCTGTAATCCCAACACTTTGGGAGGCCAAAGTGGGCGGATCACCTGAGGTCAGGAGTTCGAGACCAGCCTGGTCAACATGACAAAACCCCATCTCTACTGAAAATACAAAAAGTAGCCGGCGTGGTGGTGTGCTCCTGCAATCCCAGCTACTGGGGAGGCTGAGGCAGGAGAATCGCCTGAGCCCGGGAGGTAGAGGTTGCAGTGAGCCAAGATCGTGCCATTGCATTCCAGCCTGGGCAACAAGAGTGAGACTCCATCTCAAAAAAAAAAAAAAGTAAATATATGAATTTGAATTTGCCCCTTTTATTATAGTGAGTATTTATTCATTGGAATACTAAATTCATCTCTAGAAGTGAACAATTCTCTGCCATGCAGACAAAATTTTTTAGTGTCATTTAGGCTGCTTGATTTTGACGTGACCTAAGAGACTGCATTTCATTTAAGATCCCCGCCCAATATAAATACAGCCTACTGAGATATGCTTGCTGCTTTTCCTGCTCTGCGCACTTTGCCTTTCTTCTTTCAGGAACAAACATGTCACTGTCCCAGAAGGAAAGAATTTCATCTGCCATGTTTTTGAGAAATCATATAAATTTAAGATAATCCCTTGTCTGAAACCCTTGGTGCCAGATGGGTTTCATAATTTTGGGGGAGTTTAGAATGATTAGAATGATAATATGGTACGTATGCCAAATAATACCTAACACCTAAGGTGGGTCTGGGTTAGCTCCCAATCAAACATATTAATATTTCTGCAGTGAAATGAGAATATTCCAATTATGATAAAGATTATAAATAGCTCTGTGCCAGTTTACATATGGTTTTGATGCCATATGACTTTTGGCACAAAACACACAGAATCACTGGATTTTAAAGCTTTCTCAATTTTGGAACTACAGATAAAGGATTATAGACTTGTAATATACATAAAGGCCTTTTATACTTTGCATTAGACGAAGAGAGATACTTGCTGCCCATTTTGCTATGACCTCCTAATCGTTCTTCAAACACACCAGACATACTCCTACCTCTCTCTGTGGAATGTTTGACTCCTGTTTGTGTCTGGCTCACTCTCTTGTCTCCTTCAGATCTTTGCCCAAATATCACTCAAGTCTTTCCCTGATCACTCTCTTTTAAATTTTAAAACTCCTTTCCCTACCAGCCTTCCTTGCCCTCCTCTTTGCTTTGTTTTTCTCTGCAGTCTTTAATACAATCTCACATACTATGTATTCCTCATTTATTCATTCATTTGCTCTCTTTGCCTGAAACTAGAAAGTCAGTTCTGCAAGGATGGGGATTTTGGTTTTATTTATTCATTGTTATAGCTCTAGCATTTAGAACTGTGCCTGGAATATGGTAGATACTAGTACATGGCATTTTAAAAGAGGAAGAGAGTGTTGTTTGTTGTCACATACTTGGAAAAATATGGAAAACATATATTCTGTTTCTTACTCTACAGATGGACTTTCTAGGTGCTAGACCTAAAGTGGTAAATAAGAATAGATAGGCTGATGGTTACAATCTGGGGTGGGGAGTGGCTAGGGATGGGGAGACAGGTAACAAGAAAGGCAATTTCAGATGGTGGGAAATAGTCATAGATGGATGCTGTTACACTTTTGAAGGAGAATGATACAATACACAGTGATGATTTTAGCTTGGTGGTCAAGGAAGCCCTCTGAGCTGAGTTCTGAAAGACAGAAAGGCACTGGCTATGCAAAACTGTGGGAAAAGAGTATTCCAGGCAGAAGGAAGAAGAAATATAAAAGCCTAAGGTAAGAATAGGCTTGGCATTTTAAAGAAAAAGGTTCAGTGTGGCTAAAGCACAGTGACAAGGAGAAAATTCTACAAGATGAGGATGGGAAGTCAGTAGGGGCTTTATAATTCCTGTTAAGTACTTCAAGTAGAGAGCAATGTGAATCAATTTATATTTTTAAACAATCATTTTTGTTCTTTGTGGAGTTTGACAGTAAAGAAAGAAAGGGAACAGGGAGACTGGTTAGAAGTCTTTAGCAGTGGTCCAGACAAGAATTAATAGATAGCTCCTAAGTTTTTGACTTGATAAATGTTTAATAAAATGGAGAAAGACCAGGGTAGAAAAAAAAGATTTTTATTTATTTGATTTTAGTTTATATTTGGAGACATTGGGTAGAGGGGAGTAGGAATCAAGAGTTCTGTTGGCTATAAAAGCCTTGACCTCTGTGAAAAGATCAGGGCTGAAGAAATAAATTTGGAAATCTCTAGCATATAGAGCCCCTTAAAGGCTAGGAATGGATGAGATACTAGGAGAGTTATCTTCTATCTATCTTCTCCTAGACAGAAAAGAGAACATTAGTGTACTTAATACAAAGAACACAACATCAGACCATTAAGACTCTTAACAACTAATTTATTTTAAAATAGACAAACTATTAATTGTAGAAAATAGTAACATAGCAATTTTAAATGTACAGTTTTAACCAATACAAAAAAGCAATAAAGCAATAATATCTGAAGCATTATTTAAGAAATCTCAATACACGATCTCTGAAGTTCCTAAAATTCTGGCACTAATTCTAATGTGAACTTAGTAGCAAAAGACCCAGAAATAGTAAGCCCTTGACCTAAAAACTAACTGATTTGTATGATATTCATGCAGAAACAATGATGAAATGGAGTCAAGTTTTCTAGTGTCATTGTTATCAAAATAACTGTCAAAATAGTAAGTTTGAAACTTAAATGAGCACAAAATAAAATTTTGTTTTCTAACAAGACCAGATTTCTTTTTAAAAATAATTCTGAGTTAGACAAAGTGATTTTCCTAAAAGCTAGCTGAAGCTACCTTAAATATCCCCTATTTTAAGTTACAGCATCTCTAAATAAGTTAATCACACAAGATAGTTTAAATACACCTTTAGGTGTAGGGGAGGGGAGAAGCGCCTCTTTTTCTAATGCAGCTGTTTTAATTTGAAGCTTTTGCACAAAATCAGATAGAAACATTAATGCCTAACCCATAATGACCCTTGATTACTTGTAATTTTGGACTAGAAATAATGTGGCTTTGAACATGCCAGTGTTAGACCATACTGACTTAAAAAAATAAAAGATAAATAGACAATTGCCAGTTCAAAAGATACATGGAAGACATGTACCATTCCAGAGAAAACACAAACCTTCCCAAATTAAGGAGGGCAGAATAATTTTGAGATGCAATTAGACAAATCTCTATGAAAAAAAAATTAAGGCTCCTATAATTAACAGTCTGTTTATGGAGTAAAATTAATTTGTATCTTAATTCTTCAGGACCCAGAAACATTAGAAAGTGCACTTGGGATATACTGTGTTAGGGTCCTCTATACCTAAGATCTGGCAGAACACTTTACTTTTTCAAGTACTAGATGGGTACTTTATAAATTCAGTGATCTGAATGGTATAAAAACCAAGAGTACTATCAATAATCCTCATTTAAAAACATAAGTTGGATGAAGAAAATAATCAGTAAGTTCTTTTACATTCTGAGGTATGAAATCTGTTTCAGTAGTATGATAGTATCATATGGTTATACTTTGCTTCCAGCTTTTATTTAATTAAAAGCAAAATTTTATAAAACAAGCACACAGTATATCAGATTCCAATAGTAAAATAAAATCTAATGTGTAAAATTAGTAATTTTTTTCTAATTTCTAATAATATCCATTTTTGCAGAAGAGTTCAGGATAATTTTGGTGAATGGGCAGTCAATCAAATTGCATTTGGAAGATAGATAGGACACATTTTCTAAGGGTGTTCATGTTAAATTAAAAAAATATACATATAAATTAATAAAAACAAGAGCAAACATCACCTATATGCTACAAAAGAAGGCAAAGTAGTCAGACAGGCCTGGGTTATCAGGACTCCCACTCTAGGGCCATTCTTACTATCCATAAAGCACAGCAATTTTACTTTGGAAGAGGAAACAATCTGCTACAACTTTTTAAATGGCAGGATTTACACAAGATTTTCAATCTTGTATAAATAACAATGACTAACATTTCAAGTGGCTTAGGAATCACCCAAACAATTGCATCTGCACATTTTATATCCACAAAAAGAGCTGAAGATATTAAATGTGGCCATAAACAGAACCTGGGAAAGTTATACAGTCACATCTGTGAGAGACAATGAATCCAGAGGTGTACACAGTGTCCACCAAGGTCCTGAGATCCTCATTTCTCTTCCTTGTTTGAGGTATCCATGCTATCATTCATTTTCTGCTTTTGCATTCGTGTTCGAGTAGAAGCTGGAAAAAGGATGAAGAACTGTTAACAGCATTGATGGTACTGGGTAAGTTGGCAAGTGGCTGCCATATATATTATGCTCATGTCAAACTGATGGCGCTCAGGACCTTGCAAAAGCAGTGGTCTTCATTCTAGTATTTGACAGTACCGTAGGGAGTTACAGTTAATTTACTGCATATTTCAAAATAGCTAGAATTGTAATGTTCCCAATGCAAAGAAAAATGTTTGAGGTGATATATATCCCAATAACCCTGATTTGATCATTACACATTGTGTACACGTATCAAAACATCACATGTACCCCTAAAATATGTATAACTATGATATATCAATTAAAAAAAAAATTCCCTCCCCACCCCCCAAAAAAACAGTGGTCTCCAAATCTTTAAAAATCATATATCCCTGTGAGTAAATTTTTTTCCAAGCCTGTACCACAAAAATACGTATGTATGTACAAATTATAAAACACATACCCCAAGCAAACATTAAAATGAGATAAATAGAACTTCTACTTTATGTACCCCAAAAGATGACTTTGCATACTTCAGGTATGCCCCATTTTGTAGGCCACTATTCTAGAGATGAGGTGGTTGATGCTTGGCATATACTTCAGCAGACTAGAATACTCGGCTGGCCCAGACTGAATCTGCCAGAGTGAGTGGTGGTATTCTTTACAAAGCTATAGGTTCCCTTATGTTTGCAGATGCCTTGCAGGTACTGCAAATACATCAAATCATAGCTCATTTAAACTGGGCATGGATTTTTTTTTTTTGAGACAAGGTCTTGCTCTGTTGCCCAAGCTGGAGTGCAGTGGCATGATCATGGCTCACTACAGCTTTGACCTTCTGGGCTCAAGCAATTCTCTCACCTCAGCCTCTCCAGTAGCCAAGACTACAGGCACATGCCACCAGGCCTGGCTAATTTTTGGATTTTTTTGTAAAGATGGGGTCTTGCTATGTTGCCCAGGCTGGTCTTGAACTCCTGGCCTCAAGCAATCCTCTCACCTTGCCCTCCCATAGTGCTGGTATTACAGACATAAGCCATCATGCCTACCCGGGGCATGGCCATGTTAAAAGCATATTATGAATTACAATATAGACAAAGCCGGGATACTTATTAAATTTCTTAAAAATTCTTAACTTGATTTTAGAGGTAGGCATGAGTTCTTTATAAAGAAGCACATTTGGAAAAATGGAATGCCCTTCCATTCTGGGCAATCCAGCATTGTATGATGATCTTTTCTAAATGTAATTCTTTAAGAAAAGCTGAAGAGCATCCTAAAGAAATGCCTTAGCCTCAGGGGTTAAAATTCTGCCTGCTTTGTCACAATTTTGTAGATGCACAAAGGTCCTGAACTTTGGCCTGGCAGAGGAAGCTCGCCATCATAGCTAAGTGTGTCACTGGGAAATGTACTAACTATAGCAACTGAACACTTCTCTAAGAAAATATACATGTTTTTACAGCTTTCAGCTCCTTTTTAAGTGCATATTTGTGGGTTCCAAAATGTTTCCATATGTCTTCAAGGCCTGATTTTGGTTATGAGCCTCTTGTCTATTTTCATGTACTGAGGGGAAAAGATGCAACTATTTAAGAGTTAAAATAGGAATATGTAAGTTGACATAAAATCCAAAAAGAGATTCATTTATAACTAGAAAATTTTGTTTTAGTTATTTAGTTTTAATTACACTTTAAAAAAATACATAGAAAAAAAGCATCCTTTTAAATATCTTATTTTCAAAGTTAGTATCTACAAAGATGTATTAAAAGAAAGCCTCTCATTTTAATTGGTATTGTTCTCATTAGTGTGTCCTGTGACCTAGGAATGATTGTTTTAACACCTATCTCCTGAATATTTGTCTTCTTTCAAAATCCCAGTTCCTTTTCCTATCAATGGATCTGGCAGCAGATACTGGGAAATGTTACACTCACTACCATAACTACCTAAGACAACCCAATAGTAGTTAGTGAACATTTATCTCTTTCCTAATGTGCTTTCCATCTACTATCCTTGGATTATTTTTTTTGTCTAGTCTCAGAGTAGTTTTGAATAGAATTCCACTTACCCTAACATGATATCACTCTGTATAACTTGGAAAATGACATAAGTGTTCTTTATTAAAATTCTGATTTCCAGTAATGGAAACTTTTGTTTGAAATTGTTTTAAGATTTGCAAATAAGGAAAGTTTAAAAATGGTAGAATCAAAGGTTATTCCTTAAATAAGGGTGATGATGTTTACATATGCTAGGTTTATAAAACTTTTCCCTATATCTAACACTCCCAAATAGCTCCTCTTTGTAGTTCTGCTAAAGTATTTTCTAACTGTAGCCATTTGTGTTGAATGTGGTCAAGCAATGTTTCACTTCTTAGTCTTCCTGCATGAAAGATCATAGAAAGGGTAAAAATGACCTTCATTTTACATCATACATTTAATCCACAAATGTTTGTAGATAAATAACCTTGATTGAATTATATTTTAAATGCATAAACAAACCTGCCAACTGAAGAAATTATACATTCTTTTATATAACGAAAAGACTTCTTGCAGTGTAAACAATTGTTTATTTCATTTACACAAGGTGAAAAAAGTACTTACTCATTTCTGCCAGTTTCTGCTGAAATTTGGACTCTCCTGGGAGATGTTTACTGCAGATTAAAAAAATGCAAAACATTTCATGTGTATTTATAAATGGAAAACTCAAATTTCCAGTAACTATGATGCTTTCGATGACTTACTTTATGCTATTATTTTAGTGAGTAGCTTTTAATTTTAAAATTTAAAAACTAACCATCTAAAACATAAATGTCACAAATTTATGATGCTATGTATTTTTTCAGTGGTTCTCACAAAATACAGTGGTTAATATTTTTCAAGAGTAAACATTTTTAAATTTAATGTTAAGAATAACAAAATTTTATCAATAGCTTTGTAAAAAAGATCAGGGTTTATTAGATATCTTCACTGAATGTTGGTATGCAATTTGTAAGATGTTTTTAACTTTGCACTACACTCATATCTATTATTTTGAGCCATTCTCACAACTTCCAAATAAACTTGGCATGAAAGAAATTGGTATAAGCCAGGAGCAGTGCTGAGACTCTGGATTCCCCAGATGACCATCTCGGCTACTGGAAAACATTCAAAACTGGTTCCTACCTTCCATCTGCTTCATCTGATCCTTCAATATCAAAGCGTAGTTTTTTCAGTGGTTTAGGAGGGTTGCTTCCTTCAGCACTTCTTTTGAGCACACGGTCGCTGTTACATACCATCTGATTTATTTTCTGGAACTTCTCAGAAGTCTACAAATTACAGAATTCTTTACTTTAAATCATTAAATGCCAGTGTTTCATAGTTAGCAACCTCAAGTTATAGTTTGAGGTGTGTCAAAAATCAGGCAAAGGTAATAACTTCATTTAAATTTTCTGCTTCATTGGACCAAATAAAAGATATGAAAAATCTAAAAATCAGAATAACTACCTAATTCCATCCCCAATTAAACACCCACTCTTTGTAAATCCTCCTGTCTTTTCCCATGCAGCTCACATTCTTCCTCCAGCAACTGCCTACTCTGCAAGTCCTGGTTCCTCATTTTCAGAACCCACCATACAGGACTACTTTTCAGAAGTAGGCAAGTCAGAACAGCTTTCTGGAAACTTGCTTTTGTCCTTTTTTTGTTTTTTAGGCTATTATACAACCAGAAGGAAGGTCACAAGAATTTGATAAGAGATGATGTGTTCAATGAATAATAATTTTTGATTCACTTTATGGGTATTATGTTGACAAGTCATATAGACTTTCTGATAGAAATTATATCTGATTTGACGGATAGATTCAACAGTGAGGATTAGCTTTGCCAATTATACTTTATTTTCCAAAAATTAAACTAGCGAATTCTCCCAATATTAAATTCAAAACAGGTTTTGATGGTAAATCTATTTGGAGCACATATACAATTTAACAAAAACTAAATCCCGTGCTGCTATTAAATGTATAATATTTTAAATTATCAGCTTTAAGATATGGAAGTACATTCAACTTTTTCCCAATTATTTTAGAGGTTATGGCAAGCAAAAATGTTTGAAGACCACTATGTGATACCTAGCCAGTTCCAACTGTCCTTATAAGGTCCCATAGCTCCTTTGTAAAGTCTGACAGCTGAGCCCATCGTGAACTATTTGTAACACACATTTTAATATTTGGTCATCTGGCATATAAACTTTTACCTCTCCCTAGTTACTTGAGGCAGTGTGGTGGGCAGCCTCTCAGATGGCTCCCAATGACCCCACCTCCTGGTATTCACCTCCTTGTGTGATCCTCCTCCCCTCGTGTGTGGGCTAGATCTACTGTTGTCTTGCTTCTAACCAAAATAATATGCCAAAAGTAATGGGCTGTCATTTCCAGAATTAGATTACAATAAGACTGTGACCTCTCTCTTGCTCTTTATTTCCCTGCCTCCCTCAGAGTCCCTGCTCTGGGCAAAGCAAGCTGCCATGTTGTGAATAGCAAGCAGTACTATGGAGGGGCCCAAGGGCAAGAAACCAATAGAGGGGCCAATAGCCATCGAGGATCAGCCAACAGCCATTTGAATAAGTCTGCCAGTGAATGCTCCTCTAGTGGAGCCTTGAGATGACTGCAGGCCCAGCCCAACTGACACCTTGATCACAGACTTTGGAGAAACTCTGGCCCAGCTAAGTCATGCCTAGATTATTGACCCACAGAAATGGAGATAATAAGCGTTTGTTTTAAGTCACTAAGTTTGGGGGTAATGTATTATGTAGCAACACATAACATAGGCAGTCTTCCCATTCCTATAAGAATATAAGCTCTCTGGCCAGGTGCAGTGGCTCACATCTGTAATCCCAGTTCTTTGGGAGGCTGAGACGGGGTATCGTGGAAGCCAGGAGTTCAATACCAATCTGGCCAACATAGAAAACCCTGTCTCTACAAAAAATTTAAAAATTAGCTGGACATGGTGGTGCATGCCTGTAGTCCTGGCAACTTGGGAGGCTAAGGTGAGAGGACTGCTTGGGCCGAGGAGTTTGAGGTTATAATAAGTAGGTGACAGAGTGAGACACTGTCTCTAAAAATAAAAATTTAAAAATTAAAAATATAAGCTCTCAGGGGAATGGAGATGGTGCAACATATTAACAGTAATGCATATTGAATATGGGACTGCTGAATTAGTGACTTTAATGGAAGGCCAACTAGGGTTGTGGATTTGCAGCCTAGAATAAATGTTTCAAAGCAAAGCTTTCCCTTGGATCTCCTAGAATGAAGCTCTGCCACTTTCACTGAGGCAGGATCTCATGCAAACAATTCCTAATCAGTGTACCAGAAAAAGAATATCCTAGAAGTCTGAGAGGAAGGACAAGCAAAAAGTGCATATGTATGGAAGGAGACCAGTAGGCAGGGACAGGCTGGTGACATTTGGATATCGGGCTTACATTTTGGAGTATCTCATTTCAAATCACACTCATAATGAGTGAATTTCAAAATTGTTTTATAAAGATTCCTGTGAGGTTATGTACATACATACATGGTATCATTGAAAGATATTTGGTCTTTGTCCCTGGTTCCTGGGACAGAGCTCCTAAAACCCTTCGAATTTCATGTGTGATAAGGGTGATGGGACCATCTTTTGTTCTAATGAGGTGATACTTGGTGGGTACCTAGCTAATTTAGGATGGAAGCTGGTTGCCAGAAAGACCAAGTCTTGAGTAGAAGCTTGGAACTTTCAGCCCCACCCTCTATCCAGGGAGGGGAGGGGGTTGGAAATTGAGTTAATCAATTATGCCTATATAATGAAACCCCCATAAAAACCCCTCAACAATAAGGTTGGGAGATCTTTGGAGTTGGTAAACATGTCTAAGTGCTAGGAAGGTGGTGCACCCCAACTCCCCAGGGACAGAAGCCCCTGTGCTAGGGACTCTTCTGGACCTCACCCTATATAATATTTCTTCATCTGGCTGTTCATTTGTATCTTTTATGATGAACTGATAATAGTAAGTAGAATATTTTCCAGAGTTTTGTGAGTAGTTCTGGCAGTGGATCAAACTGTAAGGAAGAGGCACTATCGGAACCCCCCAACTTCGTATTCAAGTCAGACGGAAGTGTGGTGTAGCCTGGGGACCTGACACTTGTGACTGGTGTCTGCAGTGAGACCATTTTTGTGGGACTGAGCCCTTGAACCTGTGGAGTCTGATGCTGACTCTGGGTAATTAGTGTCAGAATTGAATTGAATTGTAGAACACCAGAGAGTTGAAGAATAGATTTGGGTGAGAAAAAAATCTCACACATTTGGTGATAGAAATGTTGTGAGCAAAAACAGCTCACGTATATATGTATGTATATACACAAATGTATATATGTATTATATAATCTCAAGTGGATATTTAGAAAAGTTTTGAAGTTCACCAATTAGGAGTATGATTTGAGATTAAACTTGATTTGAAAGTAAATCTGAGATATATATATCTCATAAAATTCTATGCAATATGCCTGGATGAGGTGTTTGAATAACTGCATTTGGAAATTCAAATTATAGAAAGCTTTAATTTCTTTTATACTTACAATGCATACTATTATATTTCATAGAAAGAAAATACTCACCCCGAATGATTCACCAATTGATACTAAGATTCTGTCAAGTTAAGATGAAATACCAATTAGTAATAAAAAACCATATACAATTTTGCAGAGATGAGCATAAATACATCATTCTGAACTATTAGGAATACCAAATTAAAGGTTACCTCTACCCTAGAACCACTGACAAACTATATTCATTTGGGAATTATTCTAACAGTGCCCGTCTAATCATATACTCACCTAGTCTCTTAGTTTTAAAGCAAAAGTTATAGGTCTGCAAGAACATATTCTGCCATTGCCCATATTTAGGGAGGGCAAAGGCAAGTTTCAAGGTTACCCCTACTTAGTTCTTCATAAATCAATGGGTAAGTTATCAAATTTCTTTCATATTTTCTCATTTAAAATTCAAGTTATATTTGGAAAAAACTTAGAATATTAAGTAATAATCAGAATTCTAATTAGCATCTATATTGATATAGTAAAGGCTATTTATCATATATCATAGAGTCAGAAATCTTTATTAGTCTGTCTTTATTTGAACCATATAATTTATGTTCTTTATAATAAAGCTGAAGAACATCATTAGCCTGACATGACTCGACAAAGATTTGAAAACATGAACATGGAACTAGTGAATATAGAGATTTTTTTGCCCTCCAATTCCTTGATAAGTGGCCATCACTCTACATATAATATTTGATTAACCAGAGTACCTAAATGTACTGGGTAGAGTGTTAAGATGCTCTCCTAATGCCTGGTCAATGATTTATTAGTTAGGATGTTCAGAATGTGACGTTTTTGCTGAAGAATACCAACACAGAATTTATTTCACTAAGGATCAGCAAGTAGCCATCATTATCACCATAATATGGACTAATTATCACTATTAAAAAAAACTACCTAAGTATACATTTTCATATAGTGGCATGGAACAATGTAAATTTTCTTAAATAGACATGACGTGGCATCTTAGCAGCTTAGAACAAGTAGTAGATATCAGTACACAGATATCCAACTACAAGAACACCAAATAAATAAAGGATGATACAGAGACACATGAGAGCATTTGTATCATATTGCCAATTATTTCTTACTTCATATTTTTCTGTAGAGTTTGAAATTTTTATAATGAGTACGTACTACTTAAATAATTAAATATACCATGCAAATATTTTCTGAAAGGCCAACATATGCCCCCTTTTCTTGCCCATTAGGTACAACCATATGGGCTGATAATTTCTGAGATGAGACTACATTAACTATACTAGCTAATCTGCCTCCTACTTCACACAAATAAAGTCAGTTTCAAATAGCCCATGATAACATATAATTAGTCAACTGAAGCACTTCAAAGCTAGAGAGCACTTGTGGTTGGATGTGGAAGATAATATAATGATTTGTAGTTGCATACAACCTTTCATCTGAGAATTTAAAACAGCTTCATACTCATCATTTCCCTGATCCACAGCACCCTTGTGAAGTACAGATAGAGACCTGCCCAAGGTGAGGTGGTAAAGAGGCCGCCAGCAGGATTAGGGATGGACCTCTAAAGACTTAATTGACAGTAATCTACATTTAATATAACAAGCAAAAGGAAAAAAATCCACAGGAAGCAAAACTTACAGGACATCCAATAAACTGCAAACTAAAAGTACTCAACCTAAAGTAACCTGCTTTGTTTAGCAGATTGGCTATTTAAAAAATATAAAAGTGTTTTGAAACATATAACCAAACTGGTTCTCAAATTGTTCTCAAAAGAAGATACCTAACAGTCAGGAAAGCTGATAACTAAATCTGTAAACCCATCCAAGTAAATAGATTTTCTTTTTTTTTTTTTTATTTATATTTTTTATTATACTCTAAGTTTTAGGGTACATGTGCACATTGTGCAGGTTAGTTACATATGTATACATGTGCCATGCTGGTGTGCTGCACCCACTAACGTGTCATCTAGCATTAGGTATATCTCCCAATGCTATCCCTCCCCCCTCCCCCGACCCCACCACAGTCCCCAGAGTGTGATATTCCCCTTCCTGTGTCCATGTGATCTCATTGTTCAATTCCCACCTATGAGTGAGAATATGCGGTGTTTGGTTTTTTGTTCTTGCGATAGTTTACTGAGAATGATGGTTTCCAATTTCATCCATGTCCCTACAAAGGACATGAACTCATCATTTTTTATGGCTGCATAGTATTCCATGGTGTATATGTGCCACATTTTCTTAATCCAGTCTATCATTGTTGGACATTTGGGTTGGTTCCAAGTCTTTGCTATTGTGAATAGTGCCACAATAAACATACGTGTGCATGTGTCTTTATAGCAGCATGATTTATAGTCCTTTGGGTATATACCCAGTAATGGGATGGCTGGGTCAAATGGTATTTCTAGTTCTAGATCCCTGAGGAATCGCTACACTGACTTCCACAATGGTTGAACTAGTTTACAGTCCCACCAACAGTGTAAAAGTGTTCCTATTTCTCCACATCCTCTCCAGCACCTGTTGTTTCCTGACTTTTTAATGATTGCCATTCTAACTGGTGTGAGATGATATCTCATAGTGGTTTTGATTTGCATTTCTCTGATGGCCAGTGATGATGAGCATTT
The DNA here is from genome assembly GCF_000001405.40 of Homo sapiens. Classification (NCBI taxonomy): domain Eukaryota; kingdom Metazoa; phylum Chordata; class Mammalia; order Primates; family Hominidae; genus Homo; species Homo sapiens. The sequence continues at coordinate 48,470,806 of NC_000013.11, read as the reverse complement.
CTTCATGTGTTTTTTGGCTGCATAAATGTCTTCTTTTGAGAAGTGTCTGTTCATGTCCTTCGCCCACTTTTTGATAGGGTTGTTTTTTTCTTGTAAATTTGTTTGAGTTCATTGTAGATTCTGGATATTAGCCCTTTGTCAGATGAGTAGGTTGCGAAAATTTTCTCCCATGTTGTAGGTTGCCTGTTCACTCTGATGGTAGTTTCTTTTGCTGCGCAGAAGCTCTTGAGTTTAATTAGATCCCATTTGTCAATTTTGGCTTTTGTTGCCATTGCTTTTGGTGTTTTGGACATGAAGTCCTTGCCCACGCCTATGTCCTGAATGGTAATGCCTAGGTTTTCTTCTAGGGTTTTTATGGTTTTAGGTCTAACGTTTAAATCTTTAATCCATCTTGAATTGATTTTTGTATAAGGTGTAAGGAAGGGATCCAGTTTCAGCTTTCTACATATGGCTAGCCAGTTTTCCCAGCACCATTTATTAAATAGGGAATCCTTTCCCCATTGCTTGTTTTTCTCAGGTTTGTCAAAGATCAGATAGTTGTAGATATGCGGCATTATTTCTGAGGGCTCTGTTCTGTTCCATTGATCTATATCTCTGTTTTGGTACCAGTACCATGCTGTTTTGGTTACTGTAGCCTTGTAGTATAGTTTGAAGTCAGGTAGTGTGATGCCTCCAGCTTTGTTCTTTTGGCTTAGGATTGACTTGGCGATGCGGGCTCTTTTTTGGTTCCATATGAACTTTAAAGTAGTTTTTTCCAATTCTGTGAAGAAAGTCATTGGTAGCTTGATGGGGATGGCATCGAATCTGTAAATTACCTTGGGCAGTATGGCCATTTTCACGATATTGATTCTTCCTACCCATGAGCATGGAATGTTCTTCCATTTGTTTGTGTCCTCTTTTATTTCCTTGAGCAGTGGTTTGTAGTTCTCCTTGAAGAGGTCCTTCACATCTCTTGTAAGTTGGATTCCTAGGTATTTTATTCTCTTTGAAGCAATTGTGAATGGGAGTTCACTCATGATTTGGCTCTCTGTTTGTCTGTTGTTGGTGTATAAGAATGCTTGTGATTTTTGTACATTGATTTTGTATCCTGAGACTTTGCTGAAGTTGCTTATCAGCTTAAGGAGATTTTGGGCTGAGACGATGGGGTTTTCTAGATAAACAATCATGTCATCTGCAAACAGGGACAATTTGACTTCCTCTTTTCCTAATTGAATACCCTTTATTTCCTTCTCCTGCCTGATTGCCCTGGCCAGAACTTCCAACACTATGTTGAATAGGAGCGGTGAGAGAGGGCATCCCTGTCTTGTGCCAGTTTTCAAAGGGAATGCTTCCAGTTTTTGCCCATTCAGTATGATATTGGCTGTGGGTTTGTCATAGATAGCTCTTATTATTTTGAAATATGTCCCATCAATACCTAATTTATTGAGAGTTTTTAGCATGAAGGGTTGTTGAATTTTGTCAAAGGCTTTTTCTGCATCTATTGAGATAATCATGTGGTTTTTGTCTTTGGCTCTGTTTATATGCTGGATTACATTTATTGATTTGCGTATATTGAACCAGCCTTGCATCCCAGGGATGAAGCCCACTTGATCATGGTGGATAAGCTTTTTGATGTGCTGCTGGATTCGGTTTGCCAGTATTTTATTGAGGATTTTTGCATCAATGTTCATCAAGGATATTGGTCTAAAATTCTCTTTTTTGGCTGTGTCTCTGCCCGGCTTTGGTATCAGAATGATGCTGGCCTCATAAAATGAGTTAGGGAGGATTCCCTCTTTTTCTATTGATTGGAATAGTTTCAGAAGGAATGGTACCAGTTCCTCCTTGTACCTCTGGTAGAATTCGGCTGTGAATCCATCTGGTCCTGGACTCTTTTTGGTTGGTAAACTATTGATTATTGCCACAATTTCAGAGCCTGTTATTGGTCTATTCAGAGATTCAACTTCTTCCTGGTTTAGTCTTGGGAGAGTGTATGTGTCGAGGAATGTATCCATTTCCTCTAGATTTTCTAGTTTATTTGCGTAGAGGTGTTTGTAGTATTCTCTGATGGTAGTTTGTATTTCTGTGGGATCGGTGGTGATATCCCCTTTATCATTTTTTATTGTGTCTATTTGATTCTTCTCTCTTTTTTTCTTTATTAGTCTTGCTAGCGGTCTATCAATTTTGTTGATCCTTTCAAAAAACCAGCTCCTGGATTCATTGATTTTTTTGAAGGGTTTTTTGTGTCTCTATTTCCTTCAGTTCTGCTCTGATTTTAGTTATTTCTTGCCTTCTGCTAGCTTTTGAATGTGTTTGCTCTTGCTTTTCTAGTTCTTTTAATTGTGATGTTAGGGTGTCAATTTTGGATCTTTCCTGCTTTCTCTTGTAGGCATTTAGTGCTATAAATTTCCCTCTACACACTGCTTTGAATGTGTCCCAGAGATTCTGGTATGTGGTGTCTTTGTTCTCGTTGGTTTCAAAGAACATCTTTATTTCTGCCTTCATTTCGTTATGTACCCAGTAGTCATTCAGGAGCAGGTTGTTCAGTTTCCATGTAGTTGAGCGGCTTTGAGTGAGATTCTTAATCCTGAGTTCTAGTTTGATTGCACTGTGGTCTGAGAGATAGTTTGTTATAATTTCTGTTCTTTTACATTTGCTGAGGAGAGCTTTACTTCCAACTATGTGGTCAATTTTGGAATAGGTGTGGTGTGGTGCTGAAAAAAAGGTATATTCTGTTGATTTGGGGTGGAGAGTTCTGTAGATGTCTATTAGGTCTGCTTGGTGCAGAGCTGAGTTCAATTCCTGGGTATCCTTGTTGACTTTCTGTCTCGTTGATCTGTCTAATGTTGACAGTGGGGTGTTAAAGTCTCCCATTATTAATGTGTGGGAGTCTAAGTCTCTTTGTAGGTCACTCAGGACTTGCTTTATGAATCTGGGTGCTCCTGTATTGGGTGCATAAACATTTAGGATAGTTAGCTCCTCTTGTTGAATTGATCCCTTTACCATTATGTAATGGCCTTCTTTGTCTCTTTTGATCTTTGTTGGTTTAAAGTCTGTTTTATCCGAGACTAGGATTGCAACCCCTGCCTTTTTTTGTTTTCCATTGGCTTGGTAGATCTTCCTCCATCCTTTTATTTTGAGCCTATGTGTGTCTCTGCACGTGAGATGGGTTTCCTGAATACAGCACACTGATGGGTCTTGACTCTTTATCCAACTTGCCAGTCTGTGTCTTTTAATTGCAGAATTTAGTCCATTTATATTTAAAGTTAATATTGTTATGTGTGAATTTGATCCTGTCATTATGATGTTAGCTGGTGATTTTGCTCATTAGTTGATGCAGTTTCTTCCTAGTCTCGATGGTCTTTACATTTTGGCATGATTTTGCAGCGGCTGGTACCGGTTGTTCCTTTCCATGTTTAGCGCTTCCTTCAGGAGCTCTTTTAGGGCAGGCCTGGTGGTGACAAAATCTCTCAGCATTTGCTTGTCTGTAAAGGATTTTATTTCTCCTTCACTTATGAAGCTTAGTTTGGCTGGATATGAAATTCTGGGTTGAAAATTCTTTTCTTTAAGAATGTTGAATATTGGCCCCCACTCTCTTCTGGCTTGTAAGGTTTCTGCCGAGAGATCCGCTGTTAGTCTGATGGGCTTTCCTTTGAGGGTAACCCGACCTTTCTCTCTGGCTGCCCTTAACATTTTTTCCTTCATTTCAACTTTGGTGAATCTGACAATTATGTGTCTTGGAGTTGCTCTTCTCGAGGAGTATCTTTGTGGCGTTCTCTGTATTTCCTGAATCTGAACGTTGGCCTGCCTTGCTAGATTGGGGAAGTTCTCCTGGATAATATCCTGCAGAGTGTTTTCCAACTTGGTTCCATTCTCCACATCACTTTCAGGTACACCAATCAGACGTAGATTTGGTCTTTTCACATAGTCCCATATTTCTTGGAGGCTTTGCTCATTTCTTTTTATTCTTTTTTCTCTAAACTTCCCTTCTCACTTCATTTCATTCATTTCATCTTCCATTGCTGATACCCTTTCTTCCAGTTGATCGCATTGGCTCCTGAGGCTTCTGCATTCTTCACGTAGTTCTCGAGCCTTGGTTTTCAGCTCCATCAGCTCCTTTAAGCACTTCTCTGTATTGGTTATTCTAGTTATATATTCTTCTAAATTTTTTTCAAAGTTTTCAACTTCTTTGCCTTTGGTTTGAATGTCCTCCCGTAGCTCAGAGTAATTTGATCGTCTGAAACCTTCTTCTCTCAGCTCGTCAAAGTCATTCTCCGTCCAACTTTGTTCCGTTGCTGGTGAGGAACTGTGTTCCTTTGGAGGAGGAGAGGCGCTCTGCGTTTTAGAGTTTCCAGTTTTTCTGTTCTGTTTTTTCCCCATCTTTGTGGTTTTATCTACTTTTGGTCTTTGATGATGGTGATGTACAGATGGGTTTTCGGTGTAGATGTCCTTTCTGGTTGTTAGTTTTCCTTCTAACAGACAGGACCCTCAGCTGCAGGTCTGTTGGAATACCCTGCCTTGTGAGGTGTCAGTGTGCCCCTGCTGGGGGGTGCCTCCCAGTTAGGCTGCTCGGGGGTCAGGGGTCAGGGACCCACTTGAGGAGGCAGTCTGCCCGTTCTCAGATCTCCAGCTGCGTGCTGGGAGAACCACTGCTCTCTTCAAAGCTGTCAGACAGGGACACTTAAGTCTGCAGAGGTTACTGCTGTCTTTTTGTTTGTCTGTGCCCTGCCCCCAGAGGTGGAGCCTACAAAGGCAGGCAGGCCTCCTTGACCTGTGGTGGGCTCCACCCAGTTCGAGCTTCCCGGCTGCTTTGTTTACCTAAGCAAGCCTGGGCAATGGCAGGCGCCCCTCCCCCAGCCTCGCTGCCGCCTTGCAGTTTGATCACAGACTGCTGTGCTAGCAATCAGCGAGATTCCGTGGGCGTAGGACCCTCTGAGCCAGGTGTGGGATATAGTCTCGTGGTGCGCCGTTTCTTAAGCCGGTCTGAAAAGTGCAATATTCGGGTGGGAGTGACCCGATTTTCCAGGTGCGTCCGTCACCCCTTTCTTTGACTCGGAAAGGGAACTCCCTGACCCCTTGCGCTTCCCAGGTGAGGCAATGCCTCGCCCTGCTTCGGCTCGCACACGGTGCGCACACACACTGGCCTGCGCCCACTGTCTGGCACTCCCTAGTGAGATGAACCCGGTACCTCAGATGGAAATGCAGAAATCACCCGTCTTCTGCGTCGCTCACGCTGGGAGCTGTAGACCGGAGCTGTTCCTATTCGGCCATCTTGCGTTGCTTAAGTCGTAAATAGATTTTCTTCACCCCGCCCCCATATTCTTATTATGTTACTTAAATAAGCAAATAGAGTTTCAAGAGTCTAGCTTATTTGAAATGAAGAATGCTTTATATTTTTTATTCTTGGATCAAAATAATCCCCCTCTCATTCTTTACTACTTCCCTAAAGAGAAAACACACACCTTGATCTTGGAGTCATTTTTGTTGGTGTTGGCAGACCTTCTGAAATTTTATATGGACTCTTCAGGGGTGAAATATAGATGTTCCCTCCAGGAATCCGTAAGGGTGAACTAGGAAACTTGTAAGGGCTTCGAGGAATGTGAGGTATTGGTGACAAGGTAGGGGGCTAGAGCAAAAACAAAAAAGTAGATTATTTATTTAATGTTTTGGTGGACCCATTACATTAGATTTTTCCAATCAAAGGATACTTTTGACCTACCCTGGTGGAAGCATACTGCAAAATATTTGTTTTCAGTCTCTGCATGAAGACCGAGTTATAGAATACTATAATAGAATCATACTCCTCTTCTTTGATCAAAACACGTTTGAATGTCTGAGGAAGAACAGTAAAAAAAAAAAAAAAAAAAAAAAAGTAAAATTTACTTGTTAAATGAATTTTAAAATTTCTACCTTTAGATTTTCTTTTCTAATAGTTTATAATACTTTTTGACTGGTAAGAAGCACATATTATAAAGGAAAAAATAATAAATAAATAAAATTACTTCTTAGGCTTGGATTATAGCTGCTCTTCTAGAAGTGAAATGTCACAGAATGATTGAGAGAAATAGCCAGGCAGCAGCAGATGGAAGAGCTGGCCATCCAAGAAGAGAAGAGTATATAGACTGGGAAGAGAGGAGTAGATAGACTGGTAGAATGGAAAGCATGATGGGAATCAAAGGGCCAGAGCTGAGCGAAAGCCAATAATATTATCCACCAATATTTGGACTACATTCTCTGGCCTGTACCTCCCGGTATCCCCCCCAATCTATAAGGGTTTCAGTATACATTACGCAATTGCAAGAAGTAGACATTTAGTAAAAGCACTATATTTTAGTGATAGTTAGATTTCACTCAAATTTTAGGGAAAAACACAGAGGTTATATCAGATGCCTCTGATATATACAATTAAAATGATTGAATTTAGAAAATAACTTCAAACATACAAACAAAAATGACTTGGTTTGTATTACTTTTGAAAACTCCAATAATAAATGGGAAAAATACCCCTCAACTCACTTTCCACAGAACAATATGAAATGTGTCATACCAAGTATATTTTACTACTACTATTTCTCTAAAGGGAAGGTAAACCGGAAACACAAAATGTGTTTATACTGAACATTTGTATTATTGATTTGCAAGGCTGCATTTATACTGGCTTTTCCTATAAAGTAATAAAAATAACTTCAAAGAATATCTAATGTTCTATGACTCATGTCAAGTTTATTACAAATACCTGCTTATTACAGGGATAAAATATTATTTATTAACTTTATAAAAAACTATGAATATGGGTAATTTCATAATTACCCTTATCTTTCCAATTCTATTTAAGTTACAAATAAATAATATAAAAGTTTTTATTTGTGAATTTACATAATAAGGTCAGACAGAATATATGATCTCATTAATGAATAAATGAGATCAAATGAATTACCTATGTTATGTTATGGATATGGATTTATCAAAAAAACTTACTATGGAAAATTACCTACCTCCTGAACAGCATGAGGAAGATCCTTGTATGCTGTTACAATGATTTTGAATTTAAGGTCTATATTCTTCACTTTGCATATGCCATACATGGAACACATCATAATCTAGTAAATAAATTGATGTAAAAGTAGTCAGAATTTTATTACATGGTTTTGTTCTTAAAAAATACCATTTTCTTTCTTTTAGCCTCAAAAAAGAAAGGTTTAATCTACAGAGTTATTTCTTTCCATACTGAGCTCAGTTTGAAAGTCTACATGAAGTGTTTAACCCAAAGTGTGTTTAAAGAACAAAATGCAAATCACCAAGGCTCAATTATTCAGGACTGATCACCTGGTTTGTAAATTACCCTAACTTTGGCTCTTGTCCCTTAAATGTTTCCCAGAAAAGTTGAAAGTAGAATCAGTTAATTTTGTATAACTAGCACTTTAAAAAGCCAGGTGTGAAAATGTTTCAAACTATTAGATAAAATAATATTGAACACACTTGGTGGTGGTGGTAAGGAGGCTATGGTGACTGGAAGAGCATGTAAGAGAGTCTTATGTGTTGCTGACAATGTTTTGTTTCTTGATCTGGATGCTGGTTATATAACTAAGCTCAGTTGATGAATTTTTGTTAGAATGTATACTTTTGATACACAGGTTTTTACATATGTGTATTACATTTCAATAAAAGATATTTTAAATGCAAAAATAAGATCTGAAAATGATTCCCTGTGACTTTAAAATGTCAGATTTTCTTTATTTGTATGAACTTTATAGCCTAATTTAAGTACTCATTGCTTCTGCAACATTCTTGCTCTTACCTACTATTGCCAAGAATGCCAAATAATCATTTTTGCTTGGCATCCTACAGCCAAGTGTACAGTGTAGTCCTGACATAAGAATAGCTTATGTAGATCTCATATGAAACAGAATTGAGAGTCCAGAAATAAATACTTATATATTTACAGTCAACTGATTTTTTGACAACTGTCAATGAAGAGAGAAAAAAACTCTTCAAAAAATGGTGCTGGAACAACTAGTTATCCACAAACAAAAGAATGAAGCTGGACCCCTACCTCAACTATATTAAAAAATTAGCTCAAAATGGAGCAAAACCTAAATGTAAGAACTACAATTATAAACATTTTGGAGGAAAACAGGGATAAATCTTAACAACTTCAGATTTGGCACTGGTTTCTTAGATATGACACTAAAGCATCAATAACAAGAAAACAACTACATAAATTGGACATCATCAAAATAAAAAACTTGTGTTTCAAAGGACACTAACAAGAAAGTGAAACAACTCACAGAATGGGAGAAAATATTTTCAAATTATATATGTGATAAGTGACTTGTATGTAGACTACATAATGACCCCTTACAGTTCAATAATAACAAGACAAATAACTCTATTAAAAAATGAGCAGTCTGGGCATGGTGGCTCATGCCTGTAATCCTAGCACTTTGGGAGGCCAAGGTGGGTGGCTTACTTGAGCTCAACCATTCAAGACCAGCCTGAGCAACACGGCAAAACCCTATCTGTACAAAAAAATACAAAAATTAGCTCGGCGTGGTGGTGTGTGCCTATAGTCCCAGCTACTCAGGAGGCAGAAGTGGGAGGAACACTTGAGCCCGGGAATTCGAGGCTGCAGTGAGCTGTGATCATGTCACTGCACTCCAGCCTGGGTGACAGAGTAAGACCATGTCTCAAAACAAAATGGGCTGGGCATGGTGGCTCATGCCTGTAATCCCAGCACTTTGGGAGGCCAAGGCGGGTGGAACACAAGGTCAGGAGTTCGAGACCAGCCTGACCAACATAATGAAACCCCGTCTCTACTAAAAATACAGAAATTAGCCAGGTGTGGTGGCACACACCTGTAATCCCAGCTACTCAGGAGGCTGAGGCAGAAGAATTGCTTGAACCCAGAAGGCGAAGATTGCCGTGAGCCGAGATCGTGCCACTGCACTCTAGCCTGGGCGACAGAGCAAGACTCCGTGTCAAAAATAAAAAAAATAAATAAAAAATAAAATGGGCAAACGGTCTGATAGACATTTCTCTAAAGAAGATATACACATGGCCAGTAAACACATGAAAAGGTGCTCACCATCACTAGCCATCAGAGAAATGCAAATCAAACCACACTGAGATGCCATTTTATACCCACTAGGATGGCTATTATTAAAAAAAAAAGATAAAAAAGTTGGTGAGGATATAGAGAAATTAGAACCTCATACATTATTGGTAGGCATGTAAAATGGTATAGCCACTTTGGAAAATGATCTGGGCATTCCTCAAAAAGTTAACATAGAATTATCATATGACCTAGCAATTCTACTCCTAGGTATGTACCTAGGAGAAATGAAACATGTTCATGAATGTTCACGGTAACATTATTCATAATAGCCAAAAAGTGGAAACAACCCAAATGTTTATCACTTTATGAATGATAAGCATAATGTGGTGTATATCCATACAATGGAATATTGTCTGGCAATGAAAAGGAATGAAGTACTGATACAAGCTACAATACAGATGAACCTTGAAAACATTATGCTAAATGAAAGAAGCCATACACAAAAGACCACATATTATATAATTCCATGTATATGAAATGTCTAGAAGAGGCAAATCCATAGAGAGAAAATAGATTAGTATTGCCTTGGGCTGAGGGGGTAGGGGAATAGGGGGTGACTGCTTGAGGGTATGGAGTTTCTTTCTGGTGTGATACAAATTCTAAAATTGATTATGGTGATGTTTGTATAACTGTGAATATACTAAAAACCACTGAATTGTACATTTTAAATGGGTGGTTTTTATGGTGTGTGAATTATTTCAGTAAAGCTATTAACTATATATGTATATATTTTTTTAATTAACAAAATTTTTTTGAGACAAGGTCTTGCTCTGTTACCCAGGTTGGAGCACAGTGGTGTGATCTCAGCTCACTTGCAACCTCCACCTCCTGGGCTCAAGAAATCCTCCCAGTTCAGTCTCCGAAGTAGCTGGGACCACAGGTGCAAGTCACCACACCTGGCTAATTTTTAAATTTTTTGTAGAGACAGAGTTTTGCCAGGTTGCCCAGGCTGGTCTCAAACTCCTGAGCTCAAGCGATCTGCCCACCTCAGCCTCCCAAAGTGCTAGGATTACAGGCGTGAGCCACTGCACCCAGCCAAAAGTATATTGTTCTTATTAACCTATTTTATAGAGAAAAAGGAGGAGATGAAAAATGATTCTCTCATTGTAAACTAATTGACTTCATTCATTCATTCAATAGGTATTGTTTTAAATCAACTGATTCTTAAGTCTCATGCTTTTTTCACACTAAAATGATATCTAGCTCACTACTACATAGAAAAAGCCAGTGATAAGAAGGTTCTTCAGCTATTTTTTTTACAGGTAAGATCTTTTGTGTCATTAAATAAGCAGTTACTAAAATATACTCTTGAGTGTTAAAGCTCTAATTTGTAAGAATTACAACAAAAATGTAAATGGTAGCCAAAAAGTGAACATATATTAAGTCTAATAAATTGATCTAGTTTCTCATTTGAATCTAATATTTTCTTTAGAAATCACTTAACAAGGCTGGGTGCGGTGGCTCATGCCTGTAATCCCAACACTTTGGGAGGCCTTAGGTAGACGGATCACCTGAGGTCAGGAGTTTGAGACCAGCCTGGCCAACATGGTGAAAACCTGTCTCTACTAAAATACAAAAATTAACAAGGTGTGGTGGTACACGCCTGTAATCCTAGCTACCTGGGAGGCTGAGGCAGGAGAATCACTTGAACCTGGGAGGCGGAGGTTGCAGTGAGCCGAGATTGCGCCACTGCACTCTAGCCTGGGTAACAGAGTGAGACTCTATCTCAAAAAAAAGAAAGAAAGAGAGAAAGAAAGAAAGAAAAAGAAAGAAAGAAAGAAAGAAAGAAAGAAAGAAAGAAAGAAAGAAAGAAAGAAAGAAAGAAAGAATCAGTTAACAAGTAAGTAGGGAGGAGAGAAGGTGAAGTGCTTGATTTTCTTACTTGGTCCAAATGCCTGTCTCTCATGAGTTCATACTCATTCTGCAGGGTGTGCTGGAAAAGGGTCCAGATGATATGTTCTAATTCTGGGTGCTCAGACAGAAGGCGTTCACAAAGTGTATTTAGCCGGAGATAGGCTAGCCGATACACTGTGGGAATAAGAAAAATTAGTCATTTTTACTGTTCATTTTGAATTACAAGTAGATTTTTTTCAAATCATGAAATCGCTCTAATTATAATGCTGTTAAGTAGCATTTTAACAGAAACCTCTTTTCTACCACTCTTTTCTTTCCCCCAGAGAAACATGTTTACTGGTTTATTATGAGGCATATTACAAGGGATACAGATGAAGAAATGCAGAGGGCAAGGCATGTGAGAAGGGGCATGGATTTTCCTTGCCCTCCCCAGGCATGCTATTCTCCAGGAACCTCCAGTTGGGCAAATATCCAGAAGCTCCCAGAACCAGGTCCTTTTGAGTTTTTATGGAGGCTTCATTATGTAGGCATGAGTTTTTTTAAAAAATAGGTGTTTGGGGGAACAGGTGGTGTTTGGTTACATGAATAAGTTCTTTAGTGGTGATGTTTAAGATTTTTCTACCACTATTTTCCTTAAAAATAATTGATTCCTTGTGTTAGCACATTTCTAGGTACATATAAGGCAGAATGATACTTGCTGAATTAACTATTATGGCATGAAATTGGGGCAGAGGTGGGAAGTAGTGGAGGAAAGGTCATAAGACACTGTAAAATTAGACAAACCCAATAGGGTTTGTTTCAATTCTATTAATAATCACTCACCACTGGTCATTCCCACTATCAATATTAAAGAGGAATAATCATTTTTTTAAATTATATAATTGCCAGTGTCTATGAATTTTTCCAATCCTAAAAAAATTAAACCACACATTTCTCTATAAAATACCAATGGAACATACTCTGTTGAAAAATGGTAAACTTGTAGATTACCTATATGTAAAATGACTGCAATATGTAATTTATTTAGTTTATAAAAAATACTACTGAAAATGCAAATTTGGCAAAAAGGAATCCATAAAATTGAATTTTCCTTCATCTACTTTAAATATCATATAAAGACCTTTTATATATCTCTTTCAACGACTTGCATGAGGTAATTTGAAATTTTTAAAGCTAACAATTTATCTCAGTGGTCTTAAACTTTAGCATACATCAGACTTAGCTGGAGGGTTGTTAAAACAAGGTTTTGAGGGCCCTATCTTAAGAGTTTCTGATTGAGCAGGTCTAGGCTGGAGCCCCAGAATTCTCATTTCTACAATTTCCAGGTGATGTGGATTCTGCTGGTTGGGAACGACACTTTGAAAACCACTGCTCTAACCTAAGGATAATATCTGACAATATGCCTGTAAAGCTCAGCATAATTCTTACTTGAATAAAATCAGGAAAAAGATTATCATGGAGGAACATGACCTTTTACTGTCTTTCAAAGAGCTCCAAGTGGATATGCACTAGGAAGTATATACGCATGCACAGACACTCAAATCAACCTCCCCACCCCACCATATATACACACTCAGAGAATGCTACATGACCTGGTTACTGGCCTTCTTAAATGTCCTGAAAATATCCAGGAAATGTGTCTGCAGTAGGCAACAACACACTACTTTTGTATGTACATCACACCTGCTGCAGCAGAGAGGCGTGGATGGGGCGGCACGCTCCAGGAAGCCCGGAGGAGCCGGGGACAAGCAGGAACCCCGCCCCTTCCGAGTTGGGACAGGAGCTCCCCAGTGCTTCTGCAGCCGCCCAAGCCACCGCTGCGGACCCAGGCATCCCTGTGCTCTCTGGGCTGGGGAGCAGGTAGGAGTCCCACCCTCCCCAGTGCAGCTGCAGCTACCCAAACCGTGGCTGTGGACCCAGGCATCTCTGTATACTTGGGGGCCGGGGAAGGCACCCCCCAACTGCCACCGCCCTCGCAGGCTCAGAAGTGCCTGCTCCCACTGCCTGGTTTCTCCCTGCTGCCAGCGCCCACTCCAATCTCGGAGCAAAGTCAGGGCTGAGCCTGGGTGCTGCTGCAGCCCAGCCAGATGTGCGCACGCTCAAGGCAGCGCTGACACGCCAGCCCCCTGCCGCCTCAGCCCTCTCCAGACTTTGGGCGCTGACGAGCACGGGGGGGAAGCCGAGGCGGGGGCTGAGGGCAGCTTGGCACTGGCCTACAGGTGCCCCTTGACGCATGGATGGCGGCAGGAGGCAGATGGGCTCCTGAGCAGTAGAGGATGAGTCCCTGTTGAGGCCCCACCTTCAGGCCAGGGAGCGCCTGAAGGCTGGGGGTGGGCGCTGCCAGTCCCACGGACAGGAGTGAGGACTTGTGGTACCTTTTCTGGGCCCACTAGTGGCCGCCCATGTACCAATCGGTGCACACTTTCTTCCCGCTGAGGCCCACAGAAGCCCGAGTCTCAGCCAGAGCAGAGCAGAGGATGGAGAGACAACTAGCTGCAGAGAGGAACTACCCTCTCTACTGATAGCTGAACACTTGTCAGGACGAGCAGCTGCAGAGAGGAGCTACCCTTTCTGCTGAGAACTGAACACTTGTTGGGACGACCTGCCTGCAGAGAGGAGCTACCTTCTCTGCTAGGAGCTGAACACTCATCGGGACTTTGTGGTTACAGAGAGGAGCTGCCCACTATGGGTCTTCTCTAAGCTGTTCTATTGCTCAATAAATCTCCTCTTCATCTTGCTCACCCTCCACTTGTCTGTGTACCTCATTCTTCCTGGCTGCAGGACAAGAACTCAGGACCCACCAAATGGCGAGGCTGAAAGGGCTGTAACACAAACAGGGCTGAAACATGCCCCTTGCTCGCCATGTTGTGGGTAAAGAAGAGAGAAGAGCTGCGGCCCTTCGGGGAGCCCAGAATTGGGAGCTCCTTGAGCCAGGGCTGTGACTCCCTCTTTGGGGCCCTGTGGTTTCTGGCGTCTCCAAGCTTCTGGGAGCCATTTTATTGTTCCCCAGTGCCAGCTGTGGAAACCGCTTGTGGTGTGTCTGGTCCAGGTGCAGCCTCACAGAGAGTTGGCACCTGTGCCAGCACCTGGAGCTGCCCGCCCCGCTGCAGCAGCCAGCATTTCTGACTGTGGGCAATGGCCAGATCTCATGCTTGCCCACACACCCCTCTCCGTTCCATGTCTGACTTGCTCCTGGCTGGCATGGACCCAGGCCGGTAGTGTGAGCCGAGTGCAGCCTGTCAGACCAAGGGGCTGAAATGAGCCCGGTGGGCCTGAGCAAAAATTGATCAAGGGCGCCACCGGTCACAGAGGTTTCCGGCCAGAAAAACGACTCTGAATAGTCAAGAAAGATCTCGCAACATTATCATTTCCATTTTATAGATGAGGAAACTGAGACACAGAGATATTAAGTGACTTGCCCAGTAATGTACCTAGAAAGTAGAAGAAACATGATTTGAACCCAGTCAGCCTAGTTTCAGAGTCCATGCTCTTGAAAATAATCATCTACTAACCTTTTTTATAAAACAGTGAAAGAGAGGTAGATTTCAATGGCTTCTGGGTCTGGAAGGCTGAGGTTGCTTGTGTCTCTGCATTTGCAGTAGAATTTACACGCGTAGTTGAACCTTTTTTCTTTGGAGATCTTACAGGAGAAAGATACCTAGATATATTTAAAGGAAAAGTCTTCATTTCAAGTTGGCTAAGAATCACAGATTATACATACACTTCAAGGTTGTACACCCAGATACATCTTGTCTATTTAATTGGTATTATAGCAGACTATTTAAATGCAAGCTGGGAAAGATATATTAATAGGAAAACTGCTTGTCATCATCATATCTAATTCTATTTTAATAAATGGCTTTTCCTGGGGATTACTGCCTTATTAGAAAAAAATAGCTATATATGTATAATGTACAATTTTAATAATTATAGTGGTATTGAGACCATAAGGTGATTCCAGCTTAAAAAACAATTTATTGATATTAAATACTGTTATCTTGTTTTTGTGATTCTCCTTCTAAAAATTTTTTTAGCGATAACTATGGTTCATATCTAAGATTTCAGTTATACACACAGATTTACACACACCTAAATTACACAGTACAGAATTCTATGAATTAATACTTCAAATAACATTATTCAGACAGATTTACACCATACTAAATATGTCAGGCATAACTCAAGGCAGAGATATTACAAATATTATCGTTCTGTGCTGCCCCTATTTAACAGAATAATCTAGATCTACTTTCTGATTTTCTTTTGGTAGCTGGCAAATGAACTTATTTTTAAAGACAAACTTTAAGAACAAAGAGAACAGGAAGTAGAATTTGTACCTTACTATGGATGTTTCTACAACACGTAGTATATTAACCAGTACACTAAGAAAAGCGACCCATTATCACAATGATTTTAGAAGGACCAGTGTCTGGTCTAGTATCCACTTTGGATTTTCATTCAGTTCACTGACAGTATCGTAAACTGGCCTAACTTGGGCAAAGTTAGTCTCTGAAGTTCTAGGTGTAAATCTCCAATTACCTACCGGATATAACTACTCGAATCTCAGACTTAATAAGAACAAAGCAGAGCTCTGGATTTATTTTCCCATCTCAAAGAATAGCTCCACATTACATCTAGTGTCTTAAGTCAAAAACCTAGGGTTATTTTTAATTTCTCCATTTTCCAAATTCCTGAAATCCAACATAAAACCAATGTAAAACCTATTAATTTATCTCTAAATACACCCCAGATCTCTCCATTTCTATTTCTAATACCATACCTTAGACCAAGTCACCTACATCCCTCATCTGAACTACAGAAATAGTCTCCAAATTGGTTTCCTCGCTTTTTGCCTTGCCCTGTCCCTTTCCTCCAAACCCACCTGTACTTCAGATAGCAGCTAGAGAGTGGAGATCTCTACAAGATCTACCCCAGCTTAGCTCTTCAGTCTCATCTTGCACCATTCTCCTCTTCCAATACCCCAGCCACACTAGGATTTCTTTCTTTCTGTTCCTAAATCCAGCTAAGTTTGATCTGCCCTACAGCCACTGCACTTGCTGTTTGTTCTGCCTGGAATGCACATCATGCAGGTTTTTGCCTAGCTAGCATCAGCTTGCCCTTCAGGTGTGACGTCAAAATATCACTTTATCAGAGAAAGGAAAGTGCCACTAAGCATTCTATCAGCCTCTCCGTTTCTCTCTTTCACACCACTCTGTTTATTTCCTTTGTAGCACTTATTATACTCTAAAATCATCTTACATCTTGGTTTACTTGTTCATTGCCTGTGTTCCTCCTCCAGAATGTAAGCTCTATGAGGGGAAGGACCCAGGCCATCTTACTTCTGTATTCCCAGTGCCTACACCACTTCCTGGCAGTTTACAGATGACTGCTTCTTGAATTTTAAAAAAACAAGGCTTAACTTATTTATACAATGCATTACTTAGGAAACAAATGTATACATGAAGGCAGGGTCTCCATATGCCAGAAACACTTTGGGTACAAGTTAGCATGAAAATGACATCTCTGGAAAATGGCCCCTGCACTAATACAGAATACTGTAATGTCAGTTCCTACACAGAATTAAACAGAAACAAAATATTAGGCACATTTCTGTGAAAGGCAATGTAGTTAGAGTGATTAAGAGCCTGGACTTTGGGATTAGATAGCTTGGGTTTGAATTCTATTGACCTTAGGCAAGTTATCTTATTTCTCTAATTCCTATTTTATAGTTAACAGGCTGACAGCAGTATCTGTTACCTTATGGGCTGTTATGAAGATTAAATGAAAAAATAAATCTTAAGTACTTAGGCCATTGCCCAGCACACAGTTAGTGATTGCTTTTGTGAAAGGAAAATAAACACTTGGGACCCCAATTCACTATGCCAAAAGGAAAAAATTAAGCTGAAATCTGAGTCATGCAAGAAACTGCCTTTCCTTTTGTTCCCACACAAATAAATACAGATAAAAGGTTAAATACCTCCACAGACAGTGACTCTATGTTCACCTTATCTTATGTAAAATGTCGATTCACTCAGCATGAGATGGATAGATAATTGACGATTCCTCTACCTGCTCTTTTTCTCTTGCAACATGTGGATTACCATACCCTTTTTCTTTCCCCTCCAGACTGACTTTCCCATTTAAATATTGGAGCCCTCAAAATCATCACTGGAGAAAGGCACAGATCTCTCTCCTGGGCACGTCCTTAACTTTGGCAAAATAAACTACTACATTGATTGAGACCTGTTTCAGATACATTTGGGTTTACATTTTCTTTTCCCATCGTCATCACCAGCACACACTAATCAACTGTGTGTTAGTCCACATCCCATACTTCTCCCTACACTTATCCTATGCTTCACTCCAAATGGACTGACCTGCACACTCTGAAAAATGTTTTCTGCTTCCTTTGACATTTTTGAGTTAATGCCATTCTGACTCTTGGAACACACTCCTCTGTCTCCTCTATTCTCTCCAGTTTCCACATTGAAATCCTATTCCACCTAAACTGCCAACTCTGCCATGAAAACTGCTCTCATTATGCAAATCCTAGGTGATTCAGTAGCACTCTGTACTCTTTTATATGACTTTATTTGGGTCATGTACCTTTTATTACTAATTTCTTAAAAACAGAAACTATTCTTATTCAAAATTCTATTCCCTACAGTTTCTTTATAGAATGTTACATTGCACTTATGCTTAAAATCTATTTGCAGTTTGAATGGTCAACATAACATATATTTTGCTTACATATCTGCTGCAGTGTGATTATTCTGGAGAGGAAGATTAAGAGGACAAGCAGATTCAAGGTGATCAGTTGGTCCTTCTCGGTCCTTTGATTGTTTAATAAGATCAAATAAAGGTGAATCCTATATGAAACATGATGAAATTAAAACCACATTAGTAAGCATAATTTTCCCAGGTACATATCAAAATCATATTGTTTGACATGGTAAGTACTATGAATTTTAGGCACAATTGACAGTGGCAATTTAAAAGTCAGAATGAAATATTTTTCTCTACTTCGAAATTCCCAATTGACAATTTTTGTACTTCCCACACACAAAAAAGTAGAAAAATGTATAACCTTCAACGCTTATATTAGAAAATAAGTTAGAAGTTAGGAGGAAAGACAGAAAAAAAACGAAGAAAGTGGAGAGAAAGAAATGAAGACATGAGCAGAACTTAATGAAACTGAAAACAAAGATAAAACACAGTTTGGTCAACAAAGCCAAAAATGGATTCTTTGAAATAACTAACAAATCTCCAGTCAGATTGATCAAGATAAAGAAAAGAGATAGATAGGCAGTATTAGGTATGAAAAATGGGACAAAATCACAAAGATTAAAAAGATAATAGGGAATTATTATGAATAATTTTATATCAATAAATTGGAAAACGTAGACCAAGTGGAAAATTACTACAAAAATACAAATTACCAAAACTCAATAAAAAAGAAATAAAATAACTTACATAGTCCTGCAACTATTAAATAATTTGAATCAATAATTTAAAATCTTCCCATAAATAAAACATCAAGCTCATTTGGTTTTACCAGTAAATTCTACCAAACATTCAAGGGACAGATAATTCCACTTTTACTCAGATTTTCTTCCTGGAATGGAAAAACTAGAAACATTCCTCATCTCATTTTATGAAGCTAGTACAATATTGATACTAAAACCAGTTCAAAGAGCAAACAAACCCCAAAGCTAGCAGAAGACAAAAAATAACCAAGATCAGAGCAGAACTGAAGGAGACAGAGACACAAAAAACCCTTAAAAAATCAATGAATCCAGGAGCTTATTTTTTGAAAAAATTAATAAAATAGACCACTAGCTAGACTAATATAGAAGGAAAGAAAGAAGAATGGAATAAACGCAATCAGAAATGACAAGGGAGATACCACCCTTACCCCAAAGAAATACAAACAACCATCAGAAAATACTATAAACACCTCTATGCACATAAACTAAAAAATCTAGAAGAAATGAATACATTCCTGAACACATACACCCTCCCAAGACTGAACTAGGAAGAAATCAAATCCCTAAGTAGACCAATAACATGTTCTGAAATTGAGGCAGTAATAAATAGCCTACCAACCAAAAAAAAAAAAAAAATCCCAGGATCAGATGCATTCACAACTGAATTCTACCAGAGGTACAAATTTCTACTGAAACTATTCTAAAAAATTGAAAGGAAGGGACTCCTCCCTAACTTATTTTATGAGGCCAGCATCATCCTGATAGCAAAACCTAACAGAGATACAACAAAAAAAGAAAACTTCAGGCCAATATCTCTGATGAACAGCAATGCAAAAATCCACAATAAAATACTGGCAAACCAAATCCAGCACACACCAAAAAGCTTATCTACCATGATCAAGCTGGCTTCATCCCCAGAATGCAAGGCTGGTTCAACATATGCAAACCAATAAATGTGATTCATCACATAAACAGAATTAAAGACAAAAACCACATGATTATCTGTGGTTGCAGAAGAGGCCTTTGATAAAATTCAACATAATGTTAAAAACTCTGAACAAACTAGGTATTCAAGGAATGTATCTCAAAGAGCCATCTATGACAAATCCACAGCCAACATAATACTGAATGGGGAAAAGCTGGAAGCATTCCCCTTGAAAACCAGCACAAGACAAGGATACTCTCTCTCACCAATCCTATTCAACATAGTATTGGAAGATCTGGCCAGGGCAATCAGGCAAGAGAAAGAAACAAAGATATTCATATAGGAAGAGAGGAGGTCAAATTATCATCTTAACCCAAAACATTCTTAAGCTGATAAGCAACTTCAGCAAACTCTCAGATACAAAATCAATGTGCAATAATCGCTAGCATTCCTATACACCAACAATAAGCAAGCAAAGAGCCAAATCATGAATGAACTCCAATTCACAATTGCTACAAAATGAATAAAATACCTAGGAATACAGCTAACAAGGGAAGTGACGGGCCTCTTCAACAACCACAAACCACTGCTCAAAGAAATCAAAGAGGACACAAACAAATGGAAAAACATTCCATGCTTATGGATAGAAAGAATCAATATTGTAAGACTGACCATACAGCCCAAAGTTATTTATAGATTCAATGCTATTCCCATTAAACTACCATTGACTTTCTTCACAGAATTAGAAAAAACTAATTCACATGGAACCAAAATTCATAAAATTCATATGGAATCAAAAAAGAGCGCAAATATCCAAGACAATCCTAAGCAAAAAGAACAAAGCTGGAGACATCACACTACCTGACTTCAAACTATACTACAAGGCTACAGTAACCAAAACAGCATGGTATTAGTACAAAAGCAGACACACAGACGAATGGAACAGAGTAGAGGACTCAGAAATAAGACCACACACCTACAACCATCTGATCTTTGACAAACCTGACAAAAACAAGCAATGGAGAAAGCATTCCCTATTAAATAAATGGTCCTAAATAAATTCCCTATTAAATAAATAAATGGTCCTCGGAGAATTGGCTAGTCATATGCAGAAAATTGAAACTAGACCCCTTCTGTAAACCTTATACAAAAATTAACTCAAGATGAATTAAAGACTTAAATGTAAAACCGAAAACTCTAAAAATCCTAGAAGAAAATCTAGGCAATACCATTCGGGACATAGGCATGGGGAAAGATTTCATGATGAAAACACCAAAAGCAATCACAACAAAAGCAGAAATTGACAGTGGGATCTAATTAAATTCAACAGCTTCTGCACAGCAAAAAAAAAAAAATATATATATATCATCAGAGTGCACAGACAACCTACAGAATGGGAGAAAATTTTTGCAATCTATCCATCTGACAAAGTTCTAACATCCAGAGTCTACAAGGAACTTAAATTTACAAGAAAAAAACAAACAACTCCATTCAAAAGTGGGCAAAGGATATGAACAGATCTGAATTCATATAAATTGGAAACTTCTGGATGACTAAAACTACAACAAACTAAATTAAATGGAATCTGCAGAAGATAAACAACATTGGTTAAAGATGCCAAATGAATGCAGACATTAACTCTCTCTCATAAAACCCCACTAAAACGGCAATAAACTGACTTATTTTAAAAGACATAAACCTTTCAGATACAACACTTTTTTTTTAAGAGACAGGGTCTTGCTCTGTCACCCGTGCTGGAGCACAGTGGCACAATCATGGCTCACTGCAGCCTCCTGAGTAGCTGGGACTATAGGAATGCGCCATGGTGCCCAGCTAATTTTCTGAAATTTTTTTTGTAGAGACAGGGTCTCCCTATGTTGTCCAGGCTGGAGATACAAAATTTTGAAAGCTTGGAAGGCAGATACACAAATGGTAACCTACTCAGTAGGTGAGAAAAAACTGAATTGGAACTCAGCATTAAGGAAAGCCAACAGGCAAACCAGATAAACTTTTAACCCACCAAAAGGATGTGGCAGTGGCGATACCAGGTACTTTGGGCAGTGAGGTACTGAGTAACAGGATAAAAAACCTAAAGATACGCAATGGGGGTTTCTTAAGAAATTGCTCTACCAAATAACTATACAATGAAGTTCCCAAACCTCATCCAGGTGCTCAGAGTTTCTAACTAATTTTTAGTGATTTACTCTTTTATATGAGTGGCAATCAAATATTTCCAGAAAGTCCCTAATATAAATATGCCAAAACAAAATAACAAAAAGGCGATCTGGGAGATGCAGAAACTATGCAGGGAGAAGAAATTTAAAAAGAAAGAAAAAAAAACGGCGATTACGCAACAGTTCTTTCAAATAGGAAGTTACTCATGCCTAAGCAATACATTACTAAATACTATTTTTCTTATTTATCCTGCTCTTAATTCACTCAATAAAAAAAAGCATGAAGAACAAGTTTTAAAAAAGCCATTAGCAATAAAAGCACAGGTCCTGGAATTAGAGATATATAAGCTCAAATTCTTGTTTACTAGTTTGAAGTTTACTAGCAATGAAACGTTTTGCTCTCTGAACCTCAGTTTCATTACTTGAAAAACAGGAATACAGCACTCATTTTGCAGGATTACATGATACATCACATGAAGTGACTTCAAGTAGCCACTTGAACATTCAACTCTTTTCTCAGCTTTCAGTGATTTGGCTTGATTATTTTATTTGAATTTCTTGGATGTATGTATGAATGTGTTAAAGATGCGCTTTCAACTCTAAACTTTCAGGAGAAACAAACTGTCTTTTCTTAACTTTACTCTTTTCCTTTCTACATGTCAAGTAGGTACTTGATAAGCTGTGAATAAAAAGAGGCATGATAATCATATAGTCATTACACATATCACTGCAAAAGTTTAACAATTTTCAGCCCTTTTTCAGTTTCAGCAGACCAACAGGAGATGGGTTATTATCTGTAATAGTGACTCACTACAGAAATAATTCTTAAAGGTGGAGATGGTGAGCATGAGTTGTCTCCTATGGAGGCATCAGAAGAAAAGGTGTCCTACAGGAGCTGGATTTTATGGCGGGGAGAAAAAAGAGAAGGTGGCATGTATGCTTTGGAAAAAGAAGCAGACTCTACAACTCCAATCATATAATTTTTGTTGACAAGTCATCTTTTCCTATATTCATTAGGGGCACTGCAGTGTAAATAATGGCTTTCATCTGAGCAAAGTAATGCTAACAATTAACACTTAGGAAATTCATTCCAGCTAATACACATACTGTTATACTAAATATTTTATACTTCCTAGCCATGGATGAATTGAAAATCTTTAACTAAAATGGTATGAGTATAAACCCACATATATTCAAGAGTGGCCTACTACCAATTTTTCTTTCAAACAATGAAATTTTAGGAGACTCTTGAGACCTTGCAAAGATGTGTGATTAATAGGACTTAAGTACACTAATTAGATATTTTAGATACCTTTCAGATATGAGATAAAATCTAGTTGTGCTTCAGATTCACCCAATAGGATTATACTAAAAGTAAATTTCTCTTCCAAGGATTAAGGTGGCATTTTTCACCAATAGTCTTCATATTTCATTCAAATATCACTTTTATCACTCCATCACCCCAAACCAAATGGTCACACAGATATATAGATATTGGTTTATGATGATGAGTATGTCATGATCACGGGAAAACTATAGTGCAGTAGGTAGGAGCACAAACTCTGGAGCCACAGTACATGGGTTCAAATCCTGGCCACCTGTAGCTACATGACCCTCAATAAGCTTCTCAACTGTAGAGCAGAGATACTAATGATAATAGTAGTAACTTAAATCATAGTATATGAGAAGTGAATTAATAATGTTAAGAATTGGGAACAGTGCTTGACACAGAGTAATATATAATATTTGATATTATTATGGTTGTGATTATTTACATCTATGAGTGCCATTATACAAAGAACACTCTATTTCCTCAAACGTATGACTGTATGCCTAGTTATCCATCCATCCACCCAGTATATGTTGTATGTCTATGCTAGGAAGTAGAGCCATAAATGTAACAATGCTCCATTTGTCAGATACTAAATAGCCTTGAAGGAGTATTTCAGAAGCATCTGCCCTATTTGACCTTACTCAACATCTTCACTTGATGTCTATGTATAAAATAAACTTTAATCATCCTCTACCACCCCCCAAAAACGACTGCTTCTCCCTAGTCTTTACCATATCATTAAATCACTCCTTGTATCCAGTTGCCCAAAGCAAAAAAGACAAGGAGTCATCATTATTATTCTTTCTCTCATACTTATCCAAGACACCAGGCAAGTCATATTGGCTCTAAATTCAAAATATATTCCAAGTTTGACTTCTTTTCATTACCTGTACCATTGCTAGAGTCAAAGCAATTCTTATCTCTTTTCTGTCCCACTGCAAAAGCATCCTACAAACTGGTTTCCATACTTCTACTCTTGCTGCCTCCTAGATGTCCTCATAGAGCTAATATGTTACTCCCTAACCCACCTCCACACTCAAAACCCTGCAAGAGCTTCCTGTCACACGTAGAATAAATTCAAATGCCTTATCTTGGTTTACAAAACACTACATGAGTTCTGGCCCCTTGATACCTCTCAGACCTCATGCTCTAACACTCTTCTTACTCCAGCCATCCTGGTCATCTTTCTATTCCATGACTGTGGCATAATTCTTCCTTTCTCTGGGTTTTTGTACTTGCTGTTTCCTCTGCCCAAAATACTCTTTGACCATGCTTCCTATGACTCACCCCACTCCATTATTCACATATCTCCTCAAATAGCACCTCCTAAGCAAAGCCTTGTCTAAACATCTTGCCTAAGACAGCCATAATTCCCATTTATTTGCTACTCCTACCTCTGCTCTATTTCCTTCATAGTATTGATCACCACTTGAGGTTATGTTATAAATTCATTTATTTTCTTATTTATTATCTCGCTACTAGCAAGCAAGATGCAGGAAGGCTTGGGCTTTGTCTATCTTATTCAATAGTATCCCCAATGTTTAAAACTACCTGGCACACAGTAAGGGCTCAATAAACATTTGTTGAATAAATGAATAAAGTGAGAAGGTTGATATTAAGATAACTTAATCTCAAAGTTTTCTGAGATTAACTCCACCTCAAAGTGAGAATAAGATTTAAAATGGGGCCAGGCATGGTGGCTCAGGCCTGTAATCCCAGCACCTTGGAAGGCTGAGGCAGGTGGATCACCTGAGATCAGGAGTTCAAGACCAGCCTGGCCAACATGGTGAAACCCCATCTCCACTAAAAATATAAAAATTAGCCGGGCATGGTGGCACGCACCTATAATCCCAGCTACTCAGGAGGCTGAGGCAGGAGAATCGCTTGAACCCAGAGGGCAGAGGTTGCAGTGAGCTGAGATCGTGCCACTGTACTCTAGTCTGGGTGACAGAGCAGGATTCCCTCCCAAAAAATAACAAATAAAGGGAACCTTCTTAGTTATATATACTCTAAATCCTCTAAAAATATGTGTTATCTGCTCCTTTCCCCCATGTTTTTTACCTCAAATGTTAGTCAAATAGAATACGTGTACATGTATACCTTAGCCATTAAGTATAAACAGATAAACCGTTTCAGACTTGGGTCTTTGAAATAATACTTTGTTCCTACTTACACGGTGCTCAGGGTCTGGTGAGAAGAGGCACACAAACAAGGAAATAAGTATGTGATGACAAATTCAGAAAAATCCTATGAAAGAACAGGGTTCTCTCATGAAGAATAAACAGGGAGATCCAGGTGGATGGGGTGGGTTCAAGGAAGGCTGATCTGGGAAGGTAACATGGACGCTGAGTCTTGAAATGTGAGAAGGAGGCTGTGCTTTGAAAGGAGAAGGGGCAGAGATCTTCCAAAAGATGAAAGATCATATGCTAAGAAACTGATGTTCTTTCAGAAAATGAAAGAGGCCACCAGAACTAAAGTACCCGGGTGGGATAGTGGAGAGGTTGCTAAAGAAGAGGTTGCTGTATGATCACGCAGAATCTGAAAGACCATGGTAAAACGTTTAAATATTCTAAGAGAAACAGTAAACCAATTACAACAGAAACTCTGTTTTAGGATAAGTCACTAATATAGAGATAGCTAGTTCAATTGTGTCTGGCTTCCTATCACATCACTAGCACTTAGTACAGAATTGGGGTCCTAAAAATATTTGGCAATGATGACCTGTGTTGCTTTCAGGAAAGTATTCCAAGTGATAGGGTCCACCATAATCCATATTGCTTTAGCTCTGTTACAAGTGACAAAATTTTCTATCAATTTCCAACTTCCTAGCTCCAATGTCTCAAGAATATGCCAGGCGGGTGTAGGCACAGCTCCAGACAGCAAACAACTTTGGGGTTGTATGCATATAACTCAGGAGTTAACTCTATTGATCTGTGAAATTAAAAAAAAAAAAACTACTATTTACTCAATTTACTTAAGTCTTTAACTTCATATTATGCAAAACTGAAAATATATAAAAACTGTTGTGTTGTTATAACGTTTGGTGTGGTAGGCCTCAGGGGCAGGCCTCGGACCTTCTCTTGCCCTCCTTTAACCTGTTCCAAGGCAGGACTCTAATTTTTCCCCCATCATTGTAAATTGTGTGTCTTTAAGACCCTCCCCAGAGATGGTTTTTGCCCTATAGTGTAGGGGAGGAATGCTGACATCATAAAAATCCCAATGCTGACATCATAAAAACTGGATTAGGAGAGCTTCTGGATAGCTGAACACATGGAGGTTTCTGGAGGGTGTGGCCCCCAGAGGGCATGGAAGCTCTGCACCCCTGCTCCCATACCTCACCCTACGCATCTCCTCATCTGTATCCTTTGCAATATCCTTTGTAATAAACCGGTAAGTGTGTTTCCTTTGATTTTTTCTTTTTGTTTTTTCAGACAGTCTTGCTCTGCGGCCCAGGCAGGAGTGCAGTGGCACAATCTCAGTTCACTGCAACCTCTGCCTCCTGGGTTTAGGTGATTCTCGTGCCTCAGCCTCTGGAGTAGCTGGGACTACAGGGGCATGCCACCACACCCAGATAATTTTTGTATTTTTAGTAGAGACGGGGTTTTGCCATGTTGGCCAGGCTGTTCTTGAACTCCTGGCCTCAAGTGATCTGCCCACCTCGACCTCCCAAAGTGCTGGGATTACAGGCTTGAGCCACCGTGCCCAGTATCCTTGAGTTTTGTGAGCAGCTCCAGCAAATTAATTGAACCTGAAGAGTGTGGTGTGAGAACCCCAATTTGAAGCCAGTAGGTCAGAAGTTCTGGAGGCCTAGGATGGTGTCTGGGGGTATGAGGTATGGGCACTGAGACCCCAACCAGTGGGATCTGACACTATCTCCAAGTAGACAGTATCAGAACTGAGTTGGAGGATGCCCAGCTGGTATCTGCTGCTTAGTGTGTGGGGAAAAAAACCCACACATTTTGTCACAGAAGTCTTTTGTGTTGACAACTGTTGTGGTGGTATGAGAGCAGAAGAAAAACATGGTTTGAGAGAGTTTTTTCCTACACATCACTATGTTCTGGGTTTTTATTTCAGCAATAGCATGTCATCAACAAAAATGTTTTTCAGCTTATCTTTTTTCCAAAAGAAAAAAAAATGTATATAAGCAATATAAAACATAGCCAGGTCTAAAAGCAACGGAGGTGCCTAAGATGGAAAATTTAAGGAGGCATTTACTCTCACTTGCACAATCTTAGTATGAAATGTACCCTTGGTGCCCTGAACACTAAACTGACAATAAAAGCTAGTTAATTTAAGATACACTGGCAAAATAGAATGATGTGTCTTTTACTTTCATGGTTTCCTTACACAAGAATGAAAGTACTTTCAGTTTAAAAGGTTTTATTTGAATGTATTACCTCATTTAATCTTCAAAATAAGTCTTAAAATTAAGTGTTATTATTCATTTTATGAATCAGAAAACTTAGCTATTTTAGTAAACTGTGACTTAATACATTAGAAATATTTTTTGAGTGTGGAATAACATTTGAAGTTTATAGATATTAAAACTAAAACTCTTTTAAACTTCTTTTTAAAAATAAAAAAGCAAATGAATAGAGAAGCTTCCTAGAATTAAATATTAAGATATTTATGACTCTTTCTTTAAAACATTTTATTAATTTCTTATTTTTCAGCTTTATCCATTTACTGAAAAAGGAATCTTTTTTCTTAGCTAAAAAATAGCTAAGCATTTTTTTTAAGTCTTTCAAAACAGTAATCCTTTCGCTAAATTATAGACTAAGAGGAGATATTTTTAAGAACATAACAATGTTTAAAGGAATAGTAATGTTATATCAATGACATAATTTTATACACATGAACAAACACATTTTAAAATGTGTTTCAAATGGATTTATTAATTAAATGTCTTAAAATGTCTTTCAAAGTGGATTTATTAATTGATATCTTGGTCAAAATTTTCAAAGAAAATGAGAGATATATCAATTTGATTAGGTCTGATTTCAAAAATTTTTATTTTATTTTAAACTAAGTTACTTTGTGGTGTTGGGTATTTTTTTAAATATTTAAAGTATTTTGAAAAGTGCAATATGTAAAATATATTTTGTGATTGTTCTGTTAATTTTAAAATATTGTTTAAAGAAAGGACTTCCTAACTCAAAATTAGCCAAGATTTCTAAAATTGGGTCCAGGTTTACTTGAGGATGTCTGATATACCAGCTCTGGGAGGCAGCTCCAAGGGAGATGACAAAATTCATGTAATTAAACTAAAATAGTCACTTATCTGAATGAGGTGTTAACAGAAGTCAAAGTCCTCACCCATCATTACTATCTTCAATTCAGTGAGGGTCTTCCTCCTTTCTAATAGCCAGGAAAAAAACCTTGTTAAAGAGTTTTTGTGGAATTTATCCTAAGTACAGTAGGAAAGTTACCTTCTGAATCCAAAGAAAAAAATCCTGTTCTAACTGAAATAAGACAAAAATATCTATGATGAATATTTGCAAAATGAATAAAAACTCATACTATATCCATCCTGGCTAACACGGTGAAACCCCATCTCTACAAAAAATACAAAAAATTAGCCGGGCATGGTTGCATGCGCCTGTAGTCCCAGCTACTCGGGAGGCTGAGGAAGGAGAATGGCGTGAACCCAGGAGGCAGAGCTTGCAGTGAGTGGAGATGGTGCCACTGCACTCCAGCCTGGGCAACAGAGCAAGACTCCATTTCAAAAAAAAAAAATAAAATTCATACTGTAGGAAGAATTAATACTATAAAAGGAACTAATACAATGTGAGAAACAGACATTAAAAGAGGAATAGGAAAGTTCTTGAAGCTAGCATGTCTGAATATGATGAAAGTCAAAGATGCCTCACCAAATTTTGTAGATGTAGAAGGAGTGGGTTACGACTGAATAGAAAAACACAAGAAGGGTGAATTCGAGTTTAAAAGTCAGAAATAAACATGCTTGTACTGCTAAGTGACAAGGCATCAAATTATCTATTAATAATGCTCATGACTAAGATTTGTGAATAAGTTAAAAACAAGTGAATAAATAGGTCCTATAATTAAATGATCAAAATTAAAGTCATTTTTAAATAATTCCTGCCTCTTAACTAGGATCTCTATACCACAGAATGAAAATCACCAGGTTTTTGCCAATGGGAATCTAACTGGTACCCTTTACCCATATATATAATTCTATGATAGCAAATTGTGTCAAGTTTAACCTATTCCTAGTGCTAAACTTTTTTGTTAAAAATTGCTTGATGATTAAACACAGTATAGTTTTATTTTCTAGTAAATAACACTTAAAAATTAAACAACACTATTAAAAATTGTATTGGTTTTTTGGGTTTTGCTGCTTCTACTTCTAGGTGGACCTACTCCAAGTTCCCAGAATTTCATAATCCTTAAAGCTTCCAATTCTGAAACAGAACTAGATCTAAGACAGTAGGAGTAGGCTTATTAGCTAGTATTGGGTTCCTACCAAGTGATTTTTGTTGATATGCACATGTTACTACTTCTATATGTTTGGAAACCCGTTGGTCATTCTTGCCCTAGTGCCTTAAAATCAAAGGTTGGCCAGATACAATAGAAATTTGATATGTAAAGGTAACATAAGGGTCTTCAGGCACAATTTAGTTTCAACACATCCCTCATGAAAAGGATGATTAGTACCCTTATAAAAGGGACCCCAGAGAGCTGCCTTGTCCCTTCCACCATCTGAGGACATGGTAAGAAGGTGCCATCTATGAACCAGGAAACAGGCCTCCGCCAGATATCAGATCTGCTGGAAACTTGATCTTGGACTTCCCAGCTTTCAGAACTGTGAGAAATACATTTCTGTTGTTTATAAGCCACCAAATCTATGGTATTTTGTTAAAGCAGACTGAACAGATCCAGTGTAATAAGAGTTCAGAAAATCTAATGATTAATTTCAAGCTTAGACTATCAATGGCCTAGGTCATCCTTAGAATGTCTGCAGGATTCTTTTTTTCTTCCCTACATTTTAATTATAAGCAAACCTTGAATATTACAATATAGGGCATTCTTAGCAATACAGATGAGAGTTTAAAATCATAATTTTAAAATTGTTTTCTCTGATAACTATGTGTTCAATTTGCTTTTTAAGCTCCTTTCATTTTCTATTTATTATGAATACATTAATTTTTTAAATGAAAAGTTAAGCAAGTATAAGAGATGTCTCTTTTTTACCTTTTAACAAAGAAAACCCTTTATCTATGAGTGCAACTACAATTTTAAATTTAACTAAGTTCTTCTTGGTTAAAACAAAATCATATAATTAATACTGACTCTAGCCCTTGATCATAAATTCTTTGACACAGTAGAAGAAAGGCAAGGCAGATCGCCTTACCCCAATCTTTATATATATGAAGCCAAATACTAAATTTCAACCAAAAAATTAAACTTTGGATCATGTGCCCATCAGGCTATGCATGTAAATAACAAACATTAAAGTTAAAAAATATGCATTAGCTATTTGTACATAAGTAAATGAAAATTAACAGGGCCCAACATAGACAATATCATACATAAAAGAAAGATGTCTTCATCAACTCTAGCCTCCCTCCTCTTTGCCTCACAGAACATAGCAAAAGTTATCTCCCAAATTTCAACCACTTCTATCTCAGGAAAAATAGTTAATATTTTGTAGAACATCTGACTTTAGTTTTCGGTTATATTTTATACTGTAAACTCCTATTTCCTGATATGGCTTGTAATTTATTTGGGAGGCAGCATATATCAGAGTCCCCAAGGAAGCTTTATTAAACATGCATGCCAGGTTTCCCTTTTACTCCCAAGATTTTGATATACCCAAAAAGAGAGAATATCTACATGTAAGAAAAGCTCCTAAGCAGATTCTAATGTAATCCTACTATTCTATCTCCTTCCTACCCTATTCCTGATACTTCTCTCATATACATATAAAAATATTTAGACTTATGTATATATGTATGCATGTATCTATCTAATCTCCTCCACCACCTCCTTAAGAAGTATAAACTATATTTCTGCATTTTTCTAATTCTGATATAAATTTCTGAAAAGTGACTTAATATTCTTTCTTAAATAGCAATATTGTGATAACAGTTCAATTTCTTGTCTTCTTAGGTTCAAAAAGGCCTTCTTTCAAACCTTCCCCAAAGCCTATTTTCTGGAACACTAAAAACTCAGGCAAATTTGAGGTCTATCAAATGTAAAAAGTACAGACTCTACTGTGAATCTCAGAAATTCTCTAAATCATAACACATTCAATAGCTGACAGAAGACTTTTGTTTCTCTTTTTCCCAGCATTTGGGCTAAAGTGATGATACGGTAAGAAGGCAGAATATTCTGAACATTTCATTAACTTTAGTTTATGAGGATTAATTTTTAACTTTATCCCAGACTCAGTGGGCAAAAATGTTGTGTGGACTGGTGAGGATATTGCACTATAAGGAAGATTAACAACCGTAATCTTTCTATCATGCCTGATTTCGATAACTATGATTAATGATTCAAAGTCATTACCTTATACTTCATGATTCTATTTTATTTCTCTCACTACCTCACTACCAAAATTCTGTCTTCATGATTATCTTAATTTAATAATAGTACTAGTTAATATTTATTGAATATCTACTATATGCTAGGTTCTATGCTAAATATTTTACATATATTATCTCATTTAATCTTCAAAATACGTCCATAAAGTAGATATGTGTATTTTATAGAAATTATAAATTTTGCCCCATATTATATGGCTGATAAGTGATGGAGCAGTGATTCAAACCCAAGTCTACCTGTTTCTAAAACTTGTGCCGTTAGCTGCTATACTAGTATGGGAGTCACGTTCCTTTGCTTACTGCCTCTTTCACTCTTTCTTTGCCCATTGTCATGCTTTTAACCATGTTTCTAGGTTGCTGTTTACCCCTACAATTAGTTCCACTGGCCACAATTCCATCTATCATTCATTCACTGATCCATTCATCTAGAGATGCTAAGAGAAATAGCACATTCATAGTAGTACCCACTACATAGAGTTGTTGTGAAAATAAAATAACCTATATAAAAAGTTTGGTATGATACATGGCACATGATAAGCAATCAATAATTCTACCCTCAAAGAGCTTAACAGATAACATTTATTGAATGCCAGACATAGCACCAACCACATTACTTATATTATTTAATTCTCACAACAAACTCTAGAAAGAAGGTAATTATTTTTTAAATGCCATTTTATAAGTGAAGAAAGGTAGACAAGGAGTAAATTGTCCAGTCACATGAATAAGTGGTGGATCCAGGACACAGTTCCAAACTGTTTGATTTCAGAGCCTTTGTTTTGAACTTTTATGCTATAGTTTACAGTCTAATGAAAAAAAAAACAGATAAGTAAATAAAAAATAGCAATACAAAGTGCTAAGTACCAGAATAAAAGAATACACAGGGTGCCATGAAAATCAGAAGAGACAACTAACTCAGATTAGGAGCATTAGAGAAAACTTCTTGGAAGAGATTATGCTTGAGTTGAATCCTAAAGAAAGAACAAATTATTTTAAGTAAAAAGCAGAAGAATAGTGTGCTCAGAAGCAAGAGAAGAAAAAATAATATGGCCCTGGGGAAACTTCATGCAGCTAATCTATAAGATAAGAAAAATAATGCTTACTATAGGGCTGTTTTGACAACTAAGTTAGATAATAAATGTAAAGTGCTTAGAAGGGCACCTGGCACACAAGCCTTTGAGACAGAAATTTTTCTTTCCATAATGCTAAAATACAGATTTCATAGCAAGGAAATAGCAAAATATAAACTCGCTGAAGGATTTTAGACAGGTGACTACCAGGGTTCAGATGGGACTTTCAGGGAGTTCTTAAAATAAAATTCCAGTGCCAAGCATATAATGGACACTTGGTAAATATTTCTAGAATATTGACATATGATGCAGCCATATCATGAGTCAAATTAACTACAGCAAAGCACAAACAAGAAAACTGATAATAGGATTTGTTTTCTAATTGACACTAAGTCATAACTATGGCAGCCAGCCTCCAAGATCACCCCAATAATCTCTGACACTGGGTATTTATATCCTTGTGCAGACAGTTCCTAAACTGTACCAGGGTTAGTCTGTGGGCCAATGACATAGGGCAGAAGTGATGGCATGTCACTTCTGAGATGAATTTATAAAAATCTGCAGTTTCCATCTTAGGTTCTCTCCCTCTCTAGGATCTCTTCCACTGGGGTTGAGGCAGGGAGCTGCTATGGAGTAGCCCTACGGAGAGGCTCACATGGCAAAAAAAATGAAGCCCCTGGCCATCAGCCAGCAAAGAACTGAGGCCTGCCAACAACCACACGAGTGAACTTGGAAGTAGACTCTCCAATCCCAGTGAAGCCTTAAACTAGCTGCAGCCTTGGTTGACAATTTAAGAATCTCTCATGAGGAAACATGAGTCAAAATCACACAGTAAAGCCACTCCCAGTTTCCCGACTTTCAGAATTTGTGTGAGATAATAAATGTTAGTTGTTCTAACAGATAATTAATATAGCAATTGATCTTTTTTAACTATAAAGAAAATATTTCATGGAATACTTAACTTTTGAAAGTAAAATATGTATATTTCTTTCTAAAGCATTGTTTCTATCCAGGACTTGGGCAGTAGTTTTCTCTTGTACTCAACTCATGTTATTACTTATCTACTCAAATTAACTGTCAGCCTAATTGCTCTCTGAACAACGCTTCACTCTGTTTTGCTACTTAGTCTTGTGAAGGAAACCAGGCTCTCACTGTCAGCAAGATTAGTATAAATTTCACTGGGTAAATAATATTGATAGAAAAAGTAGAAGCTATAAGTCTGTTCTACATGACTTTTCATAACTAACATACATTTCTAAGGCAAGCATGAACTTGTCTAGAAAGTAAAGGACTCCAAGGCTATTAAGTCAAGGTGCTCCTAAAAGAGATTCTGATTATCAAAGTAAGTACAAGTCAGTAGTGCTAGTAGAAAAATTAACAATAGAGGAAGTGGAAGGCAGAAATTGCTATTGTTTTCTGGGTATTTTAAGGAATATTATTAGAACTACATTACAGGAAATGTTTTTGTGCCACCCTAAGCTAAATTCTAAGACTGTTTTGCCTCGCAAGAGGAAACTAGAATAGAAAATAGAAGAATTTTGGCAGACCTTGGCCTTTCTGAAGATCTTTTCCATTTTACCTTGCTGGTCCTTTAATACTAATATTTCTGCAGATCTGCTTGCCAATACATATGCTGGCTGAGCCACTATCATGATTTTTTTTTTTAAGAGAGAGTCTTGCTCTTGTCACCCAGGCTGGAGTGCAGTGGTGCAATCTTGGCTCACTGCAACCTCCGTCTCCCGGGTTCAAGCGATTCTCCTGCCTCAGCCTCCCGAGTAGCTGGGATTACAGGCATGTGCCACCATACTCAGCTAATTTTTGTATTTTTAGTAGAGATGAGGTTTCACCATGTTGGCCAGGCTGGTCTCGAACTTCTGACCGCAGGTGATCCGCCTGCCTTGGCCTCTCAAAGTGCTGAGATTACAAGCATGAGCCACAGCAATTGGCCTCATGATTTTAACTATATCTATATTATTCCTAAGTCTACATTTCTGACTAAAACTATGCTTTCAAGTTCTAGATCCATATTTCCAACTGGACACCAAAGATATCCACATGAATATGTGGCAAACATCTCAAATATAATAGGTTCAAACATTAACATGAACTCATTTCCTTCATCACCAACCAGCTATGAGATGGTCTTTCAATACCTACTTTGGTTAATTGTGTTATCAACCACCTAATCACCCATAGTACAAATCTTAAAATTATCCTCAGTTAACCTCAGTTCCATCCAGGACCTAATCTTTTCATTCATCCTTTTAACATATTCGTGTCTTTATATTTACAATAGATTTCTTTTAGATAGCATAGAGTTGGGTTTTGTTTTTCATCCACTCTGATAATCTCTGCCTTTTAATTGGGCTGCTTAGAGCACTGACATTTAATGCAATTATTAATATAATTAGTTTAAATTCTACATCTATTTGTCTCATCTTTTCTTTGTTCCCTTTTTGACAAAGATACAAAAGCAAATCAATAGAAAAAGGATAGCCTTTAAAATAAATGGTGCTGAAACAACTGAACATCCATGGTGCCCAACTCAGCACCCCCTAAAAAAACCTCAACCCAAATCTCAAACTTTGTACAAAAATAAACTTAAAATGGATCATGGACTTAAAATGTGAAACTATAATTTTTTAAGTATAAGGGAAAATCTTCAGGATCTGGAGTTCTTAGATTTGACACCAAAAGCATAATCCATAAAAGGAAAAAGTGATAAACTGGACTTTATGAAAATTAAAAACTTTTGGATGAGAAACATGATGTGAAGAAGATGAAGAAAGAAGCTACAGGCCAAGAGAAAATATTTGCTAACCACATATCTAACAAAAAAGACTAGTATTGAGAACATATAAAGAACCCTCAAAACTCAATGGTAAAAAACAAACAATCCAATCAGAAAATGAGCAAAGACATGAAGAGAAATTTCACCAGAGAGGAAATACAGGTCACAAATAAACAGGGAAAGGTTAATCAATATCATTAGCTATCATCCTGATGGGAAATGCAAATTATAACCTCACTGAGATATCCTTACACTATCAGAATGACTAAAATAAAAAATAAAGACATCACCAAATGATGGAAAGAATGCAGAGAAACTGGATCACTCACTCGTATATTGCTGGCGGAAATTTAAAATGATTCAACCACTCTGGAAAATACTTTTGCAGTCTTTTATCAAAGAAAATGCAAAATAACCATACAACTCTTCAATTTTACTCATTAGGCATTTATCCCAGAGAAAAGAAAACCCATACTGATACTAAACATAAATGTTCATAGCAGCTTTATTTGTGATAGCCAAAAACTAGAACCTGTCCTGATATTCTTCAACATGTGTCTGGCCAAAGAAACTGTAGTACATTCATGCTACAAAATACTAGTCAGCAATAAAAAGGTATGAACTATTGATACATGCAATATCGTGAATGGATCTCCAGAAAATTATACTGAATGAGAAAAAAAACTAATCCTGTTTGATTCCACTTACATAACATTTTTGAAATGACAAAATTTGAGAATTGAAGGGCAGATTAGCAGTGGCCAGGTGTTAGGGACAGGGGTAGAGAGGCTGGAGGGATATGGGTGCAATTGCTTGTGGTGGTGGATACATGGACCTACACATTTTCACCAGGTCAAGCTGCCTGGTGGAATGGTGTATAGTGGAAACCCCTGAATAGTGTCTCTCTACAGGCCTGGTGTTCCTGGGCTGAGAAAGAGTCTCGGCTGTAGGGTTAAAGAGACTTCCTGGGCCAGGGTGTTTTTTGTGGCTGGGTGCCTTCTGCTGGTTTCACTTGCTTGCCTGGAGCTTCCTAATGGGGAAGGGAATCTTAGGAGTCTTAGGCTTGTTGGATAAAAGCACCTGAAGAAAAATGACTAATGCTATTTCCAGATATTGCTGACAGAGCAATATTGAAATAATCTATCTGTTAAAATTTTTTTTCTCCGTTTTTATTATCAAGACTGAATCCAAAAACAGATTCACTGAAGAATAATTTTATTTATTTATTTATTAAATGGAGAGAGATTCTCACTATGTTGTCCAGGCCGTTCTCAAACTACTGGCCTCAACTGATCCTCCTGCCTCAGCCTCCCAAAGTGTAAGGATTACAGGCATGAGCCACCAGGCCTGGCTCATTGAAGAAGAATTTTAAAACTTCAATGTTTCAATTTATAATATAATAAAATACAAAGCTATTATGATTGGAGAAATTATTTATTTTAATTCTCAACATTTTAAGAACATATATTCTTGTAACCTTTAAATAAATATTGAGGCCAGGCACAGTGGCTCATGCCTATAATCCCAGCACTTTGGGAGGCTAAGGCAGGAGAATAACTTGAGTCCAGGAGTTCAAGACCAGCCTGGGCAACATAGCAAGACCCTATCTGAAAAAAAGTATATATGTATATACATATAAATAAAACATATTGAGGTAATAAAGACAAAAGTTGTAAGATATGCTTCTTCTCAAGAAGAAACTAATTCAAAGATGATGAATGGAATAAATCTGAATAAGCCAAAGTCCTTATTTGTCTAGTTTAACTGAAAGTTTTCCAAAAGATATCATTGTTTTGTAATACAATGCATACCTACTAAAGGTAAAAAAAAAAAAATGCATTTTTGTTAACAGTAAAACAAATAAAACAGTGGAACAGTTTTATCAAGAAACAATTATGCTTTTGTCATAATATTTGGTGTAAGTTATAAAAAATGGTTTCATTTAAATACAGTCTATCCTATGTGGCATACTTATTTAAGACTTATTTAGTGGCAGAAATTCTCTGAACAAAAATTTTTTACAGATTCATCTCCAGCAGGTACTCTGAGGGAGTCCCTGAAAAAGCTCTTTTAAGTTACAAAGCAAGGCAACAGAATCCCAATTCTCTTCTTCAAATAGTATACATCTTAAATAAGAATTTTAATGCTTCTAATCAAAGATAATTTTAAAATTTAGAGTTAGTGGTATATTTAAATAATTTTAAATGTTTTAAAACATCAAAGTACATTTTCCTATGTTCTATATTTACCCAGGTATACTCATAAATAGAAAAGTACATATGTATCTTTTTGAAAAAAAAATTAACGTCTAAAAGAATCTATTTCTAATAAGTCACGTTTTAGATATTTCATAATACTGAGGTTTAGTAGCTTACATGTATGTTCATATCAGAAATTAATTTATTTCTCATATTGTTTAAAATGTACAGTGGTTAAAATCACTTTGAGAAACTTATGGTATGACAGAGTTTATAAGACACAGTAGAAAGAGTTCTTATCTAAGAGCACATAAAAAGAAAGAGCAGTATCCCATTCCAAATCTTAAAGATATTATTCTCTGATTTCAACTATATAAGCATAATAGCAAAGACTGAAATTAAATCTGGAAAATCATAAACAGCAGATTTATTAGAGTTGTAGGGTTATGCTATCTTTTTTCCTTTTAATTTTATTCTGTCTCTTATAATTGCTTTTCAAGAGCCTTAATAGTAATATCTCTCCTATATTATAAATTAAAATTTTATTCCAAGGAAATAAAATTTTATATTCCTGTACGCTTACTCAAGCATAGTTAGGACAAATAATTGACAGAAGTCAAGGAAGACAGTTGACATAGGCTGTCAGATGTCCCTGCTATCAGGGAAATTAAATTCAGGAGAAGAAAGTTCAGTCTCTTGAGGTAAACAGGATGCTAACCAAAGCATTAAAGAGTAAAAGACATGAACCTAATCACCGAATGGTGAGAAGAGACAAGTCAGGGTGGAATGTGACTGAAATGGAACTGTTGATCTGGGGCTCTTTAATGAGAGACAGCTACTCTCCGAGAAGTATTTAGTTTCAGAACACTGGCAAGTAGCCCAAAAAAAAAAACAAAAAAACAAAACATGCATTCCTATTTTATGAGGTGCCATGAAAAATAAGAATCAGAAGCAGAAATGTAGAATCTTACCAAGTTGAAATACTGTTTAGAAATTTCTATTTGCCCCAAAGATCTTGGGGACATGAACATGGTGAGTGAATTTCTGGGAGGTGAGCTGGAAATACAGATTGGAGAAGGCCTTTTAAAGATGTTGATCAGTTAAAGGTTAATTCCCTGAGACAACCACATGATTCATTCCTTCACTTCTTTCAAGTCTCTGTTCAAATGTCCCCTTATTAGCAAGGCCTTCTTTGACCTCCCTATGTAGAACAGTAAAAGCCCACCCCCTTTTTCCTCCTAAATTATTTTTCTTCAGAGAACTTATCACCATATGACCAGTTGTATAATTGTTTATTTATTGATTGTCTTCTCCAAATAAAATATAAGCTCAGGGATTTTGTTTTATTCACTGCTATATTCCCAGCACCTAGAAAAGCACCTGGTACACAGTTACACTCAATAAATATTTTGCTACTGGAAAAAAAAATAAGTATCAGTTGACCCAGAGATGAAGACAACATAAGCAGGAAAAAATTTTAATATGCCTGTCTTAATTTCCTATTTATATGGCCAGGGCAAAAATCCAGCAATCTTTTTCGGTTAGGTTGAAATAGTCCACTTCTGTTTAACTAAAACAACAACAAACGGCTGGGCTTTAACAGGGGGCCTTTTGTAGAAGCCGTCCTTTGGTCTTTTGTTTCTAACCTTTCTGGAGTAGTGCTCGTATCTTCTAGTATAGACAGGAAACCCTCAAATTTTCCAAACATGTGAAAACAGTTGATTAAAGCAAGCACACTAGAAAACCAATAAAAAAAAGTAACCACAGAAATTTTGCTCTGGGAATAGATGACTAGTGGCTTAGAATCATACCAATAATTCTTCCTTACCTTTGAGTATCAGTATCTGTTAAAGAGCTAGTCTCTTTGAATTCCAAGTGGGTTAAGAGCGAAACATTTATCTGCATAAATGCCTAAAGTCAAAATATGTTTTTGGTTTTAAGCATACTTGCTTTAATGTTCATAGCACTAGTCCTTAAAAATCAATCATCTATAATAAAAAGAAAAGAAAGAAGTCTAATCAAATGTATAGTCATTTTTATTTTGAAGGCCAAAACTTAAAAAAAATACAAATATTAAATTTGGGTACCTAAAACTGAGAACCACTTTTAAGTTAAGGACAAAATGATATGCTTGTTTAGATGCATCTCCCACCTTTTTGAATGGGTTGTTATTTTTTGTTAGTTTGTTCTAACAGACTTGTTTCCATAATTTGTCATTTAACTATTCTGTAAATGTTATAACTCATATGATTCATATGATGGACTGATGTTTTCATTCCACTTTATGTTGTTCTTGCAACAAAATTATTTAGTCAAACCTATCTTTTTTTAAACACTAGATTTTATATAATACTTAGAAAGCCTCTACTGCTATTTTTAAATATATTATTTTATTTTAATTGTTAGAGTTGGGCTGTCACCCAGGCTGAAGTACAGTGGCATGGCCTACTGCAGCCCCAAACTCCTGGGCTCCAGAAATCAATCCTTCTGCTTCAGCCTCTTTGCTGGGATTACAGGTGTGAGCCACAGCAGGCCTCTACTGTTTTTTTTTTTTGTTTGTTTGTTTGTTTTTTTGTTTTTGAGATGGAGACTCACTCTGTCACCCAGGCTAGAGTGCAGTGGCACAATCTCGGCTCACTGCAACCTCCGCCCCCTGGGTTCAAGCCATTCTCCTGCCTCAGCCTTCCGAGTATCTGGGACTACAGGCACGTGCCACCATGCCCAGCTAATTTTTGTATTTTTAGTAGAGACGGGGTTTCACCACGTTAGCTAGGCTGGTGTCAAACTCCTGACCTCAGATGACCCACCTGTCTCGCCTCCCAAAGTGCTGGGATTATAGGCATGAGCCACAGTGCCTGGCCTCTACTGTTATTTTTCTAACGTGCTCATTTTTTTCCAGAACTTATATGGAGTCATTTTTTAAATGGAGTCATTTTTTATTGAGATTATTGATCTAGCTAGAATTTATTTTGGTATAAAGAATAAATCAAAGTCTACCTCTTTTTTTCAAATTGCTATCCTGATAACTCATGAGCATTTACTGAATTATCCTGAATTTTCTCCACTGATTTGAAGTGGATAAATTATCATACATTAAATTCCCCTGGGTATGGGATTATTTCTGGACTCCTTATAACTAAAGAAATGCAAACTAAACAAGATACTACTTTGACCTGTTAAAAGTCTAATAATAATCTGGTTTGGGTGAAGGTGTGGAGAATGCAAATTAGGAGGGGATTTTTTTCTTAGAAATGAAACTGCTAGGTGATATAACCCACAGTATCTACAGGTGAACAAACTTGTAAAAACATGCACTGAAAACATACTGAGATTTTTACTGGATTGGCATTAAATGTATAGATTTGTCCCAGAAAAACTGCCTGGCACATGTTCAAGTATTCTCTTATGGCCTTTATTAAAGTTTTGTAGTCTTTTGCTTTGTTTTCATCTACATCCTGCACTTTGCCTATTAAGCTTATTCCTAAGGTATTTTGTACTATTTGTTATTGCTGTAAATTGAATATTTTTCATTACATTTTCCAGTTGATTACTGCTGGTACATAAATTGTCTTATTTGAGAGATTGGCACCAGTTAATTTAAAAAGCTAAGCAGGAAATCATTTTAAAATAATATATATAATTCCATATAACATTTTAATTTTAAAAACACAAAAAGTGTATTCATTTGAAAATCTCTTTACGTAAGGTCAAGGTTTTTTGTTTTTTTTTTAGTTCTAAGTTGTTTTTCTTCTATAAACCACACCAATAATGTGGGTTTATGATTTTCACTATGTGCAGGGTGAGGACAGAAAAATGCAAAGGAGTCTGAGGCCTAGAGACACAATCCTTCTACTTTCCGACCTGGGTGGGTTCGCCCCTCCTTGGGCAACCTGGTAGTCCCCTGCTCCCAGGAGGTCACCATATTGATGCAGAACTTAGTGTGGACACCTAATCAGCATAGCGCACAGCCCAGAACTCCTGGGCTCCAGTGATCTTCCCACCTCAGCCTACAGAGTAGCTGGGACTACAGGCATGTGTCACTGCACCTAGCAATCCTTTCTAGTTTCTTACGTTGCCCCCTCATATCTTTTCTACATCTAAGTCTACAATATTTTCTGCAACTTGCCTCTGAGTCATTTCAAAGCACCGAACTTGGTTTGACTAAAACAACCCTTTTTTGCACTTCCATTTTATAACATTACAATAATATGAAAAATCAGCAAATATAAATCAGGGAGTAAACAATGCTTAAACTTTTAATACACACACAATTTCACTACTGGGAGCAAAAGAATTCAGGTATATCAGAGAATAGCTTTATAGCCACAAGCATGCAGCTTCCAGGAGCATCCTGAGAGACCAATCCTTTTTAACTTCTACCCCTCAGTAATAGGTAAAAGATACAAGTCAATAAGTGTTTACTTTAACTGAAGAGTACTTGGATTTCTGATAATAATCTATGCTGGAAGGTGTTAAATTTACTATTCACAGAAAACCCTTGTTCTAATTATTTGAAAGCAGCAGAGATATTTCCTGCTTTTGTATAAAACTTGGCACATTACTATGTACAAATGCAAACTTTTTAAATAAATAAAGATGAAGCTAAAAATGAAGGATGGTCATCATACGATTTTAATCTACAGAAGGATGAAAATGTCTAAAATCTCTTAATCTTAAATTTCTATCATAATGTTAGAATTTAGTGTTTTAAAAAGTCTGCAGAGCTTACTCATTTAAAGACAAAGTTCTTTGCTTAATATTTACCTAAGCTATGGACCAAGTTTCCTATTTTATGTCTGATATGGTTTCAATGTTTGTCCCTTCCAAATCTCGTGTTGAAATGTGATCCCCAATGCTGGAGGTGAGGTTTGGTAGAAGATGACTCGTGTTGAAATGTGCTCCCCAATGCTGGAGGTGAGGTTTGGTAGAAGATGACTCGTGTTGAAATGTGCTCCCCAATGCTGGAGGTGAGGTTTGGTAGAAGATGACTCGTGTTGAAATGTGCTCCCCAATGCTGGAGGTGAGGTTTGGTAGAAGATGACTCGTGTTGAAATGTGCTCCCCAATGCTGGAGGTGAGGTTTGGTAGAAGATGACTCGTGTTGAAATGTGCTCCCCAATGCTGGAGGTGAGGTTTGGTAGAAGATGACTCGTGTTGAAATGTGCTCCCCAATGCTGGAGGTGAGGTTTGGTAGAAGATGACTCGTGTTGAAATGTGCTCCCCAATGCTGGAGGTGAGGTTTGGTAGAAGATGACTCGTGTTGAAATGTGCTCCCCAATGCTGGAGGTGAGGTTTGGTAGAAGATGACTCGTGTTGAAATGTGCTCCCCAGTGCTGGAGGTGAGGTTTGGTAGAAGATGACTCGTGTTGAAGTGTGCTCCCCAGTGCTGGAGGTGAGGTTTGGTAGAAGATGACTCGTGTTGAAGTGTGCTCCCCAGTGCTGGAGGTGAGGTTTGGTAGAAGATGACTCGTGTTGAAGTGTGCTCCCCAGTGCTGGAGGTGAGGTTTGGTAGAAGATGACTCGTGTTGAAGTGTGCTCCCCAGTGCTGGAGGTGAGGTTTGGTAGAAGATGACTCGTGTTGAAGTGTGCTCCCCAATGCTGGAGGTGAGGTTTGGTAGAAGATGACTCGTGTTGAAGTGTGCTCCCCAATGCTGGAGGTGAGGTTTGGTAGAAGATGACTCGTGTTGAAGTGTGCTCCCCAGTGCTGGAGGAGAGGTTTGGTAGAAGATGACTCGTGTTGAAGTGTGCTCCCCAATGCTGGAGGTGAGGTTTGGTAGAAGATGACTCGTGTTGAAGTGTGCTCCCCAATGCTGGAGGTGAGGTTTGGTAGAAGATGACTCGTGTTGAAGTGTGCTCCCCAATGCTGGAGGTGAGGTTTGGTAGAAGATGACTCGTGTTGAAGTGTGCTCCCCAATGCTGGAGGTGAGGTTTGGTAGAAGATGACTCGTGTTGAAGTGTGCTCCCCAATGCTGGAGGTGAGGTTTGGTAGAAGATGACTCGTGTTGAAGTGTGCTCCCCAATGCTGGAGGTGAGGTTTGGTAGAAGATGACTCGTGTTGAAGTGTGCTCCCCAATGCTGGAGGTGAGGTTTGGTAGAAGATGACTCGTGTTGAAGTGTGCTCCCCAATGCTGGAGGTGAGGTTTGGTAGATGACTCGTGTTGAAGTGTGCTCCCCAATGCTGGAGGTGAGGTTTGGTAGAAGATGACTACATCAGGGGGGTGGATCCCTCATGAATGGTTTAGCACCACCCCCTTGGTGATAACCGAGCTCTCGCTCAGTTAGTTCACAAGAGATCTGCTTGTTTAAAAAGGGCATGGGACCTCCTCCTTCCTCTTGCTCCTATTGTCACCACGTGACATGCCTGTTTCCCCTCCGACTTCTGCCATTAATATAAACTTCCTCAGGACTCACCAGAAGCTGAGGAGAAGCTGATGCCATGCTTCCTGTACAGCCTGAAGAACCGTGAGCCAACTAAACCCTACTCTTTTCTTTACAAATTACCCAGTCTCAGGTATTTCTTTACAGCAATGCAAGAACGAACTAGCACAACATCAGTAAGAAAAAAAGGGTGAAAGCTACCTGTTACTACGAGAACATTTGACTAGAAGTCAAGAAACTAGGATTCGAGTTCCTGCTCCAGCAATAATCAGCTATGGTTTTAGTTTCCTAAGTTGTACTTGAGTGACTGGAAGGAGAGCTAAACTATATACCAAAGAAGATGAATGGCTAGTTGTAACAGGGGTAAGGTGGACTTTTATTCTGAATTTCTAGGATCCAGTGCTAGCTCCAACATTAGAGGATATTAAGACTAATGCAATATGCAATGTGTTAACCACCAAGCAAACTAACTTAGAAATATATGTGGTTTTTATAAGCAAAGCCTATGTCTATTTGATTTAAATTGGCTGTACATTAGCAGTGCTAAAAAAGGCATACCAAATGCATCACATGATCACTTCTTTATCTGACAGAGCACAGGCATCCTATCTGGTCAAGAAAACAAAACAAATCTTATTGTTCCATGATTTCCCACAACATAACCTTTATTTCTATAAAGTTAAGATATTATAGGTGATGTCATCTATAATAGTATCTTTTTAGAGGTTTACATTCAGAATATGTTTTCATTTCATTTTATTCTGAAAACTCTTCATAAGGTCAAAAGGGCATGTCATATCCATCTTAAAGTTCAGGGCAGAGTTTGCC
Source organism: Homo sapiens (assembly GCF_000001405.40). Classification (NCBI taxonomy): domain Eukaryota; kingdom Metazoa; phylum Chordata; class Mammalia; order Primates; family Hominidae; genus Homo; species Homo sapiens. Next base: position 48,426,114 of record NC_000013.11, on the reverse strand, counting down.
CAAGGTAAGGTCAAAATTTAGAAATCAAGGATTCTGGATCTCTAGGTCACAGTGCTTTCTATTATCCTTTATGCATGCACTCACTAAGTTGTATTCTTTCATTATACAAACATGTATAAGGAACTGGGTTGGGTACTTCTTGTGAGGACCCAGTTTTTAGTTTTGACTTCGTCATTCTCCACCAATAATCACTTTGTAATCCTAAGCAAGTCACAACTTCTCTGAATTTTAGTTTCTTGGTCTGTAAAATTGAAACAATAATATATGTTCTTTCTTGTCATTGAAAATTAGTGGGGAGACTGAATTAGATAGAAAGCTAAGAGCTGAAAAGAATTCTATAGGTCTAATTTAATACTCTCCTTTTACAAATATACAATAGAGAAGCTAAATTATTTGCTCAAGGTCATGTCATTTTTTTTTTCCTTTAAGAGTTGAGGACTCTCTATATTGCCCAGGCTAAACTGGAATTCCTGGGCTCAAGAGATCCTCCTACCTCTGCCTCCTGAGTAGGTGGGGCTCAGGAGACGCACATTAATTTTTAGTAACTTGGATTAGAATCCAAGTCACTTAACACCTAGTGAAATTGGTCCTTTCATTACACTTTGCAGCGTCTAAACTAGGTGAAAAATTTTTGAAAGCTACAACCCACCTAGCCTTACCCAACTAAGGTTTTATGACCAAATTCAGCCTTTATGCCACAAGGCATATATTGTATGTGAAGAATTAACATCTTCCAGGAATTCAGAGTAGGACTAGGTTACATAGCATCCTTGAGAGAATGGAGAAAATAGTCACTCAAATAGTTTTCTGTGTTTTTGGATGAGAAAGGCAGCATGACTATATTAATGGGACATTATTACCAGGAATGGCTCTAGCCTTCAAGACCTGAAATTTAAAATTTGTATTCAACTGTAAAGGCTAGCCTTCATTACACATCATCTCCTCAAGAAGCTCTTTACTAAATTCGTAGATTCTCATGTCTATGTGTTACTAATAGCTGTTGTTATATCTTGTATTGCAATTATTTCTTTGTTTTGTATTCTTTTATTTTTCTTTTTTTTTGAGACAGAGTCTTGCTCTGTCACCCAGGCTGGAGTGCAGTGGCATGATCTCCGTCACTGCAACCTCTGCTTCCCAGGTTCAAGTGATTCTCCTGCCTTAGCCTTCTGAGTAGCTGGGATTACAGGTGTGAGCCACCACACCTGGATAACATTTTGTATTTTTAGTAGAGACAGAGTTTCACCATGTTGGCCAGGCTGGTTTCAAACTCCTGACCTCAAGAGGTCTGCCCGCCTTGGCCTCCCAAAGTGCTAGGATTACATGCATGAGCCACCACACATGGCCTTGTTTTTCATTCTTAATTGAATTGCACGTATATGTCTTAAAAGGCAAACTAAGTACTGTGGAAGTACAGAAAAGGAACTGATGAGATTAAGGAGACTCCATAGAAAAGACGTGATATGATTCTAAGAGTTGGAGATGAAGAAGCAACAAGAGAGTTCGGAAAAAAAGATAAGGAAGAAGGGACAACTCAAGTGTATGCACAGATAAATATGCTTATTCAAGTTTTAAATCTTACCACAATAACATTTTCACTCCTCTTGATTTCCTTTCCCTACTTGTTTGAACCTGCTTCAACCATCATTCCCATCAACTTTTACTTTGCTCTAATCATCATTCATCACCCTTTAAATCTTTCCTCTTCTACTCCCATCCAACTCTATAAAAGTTGGTTCAACTCTTTGAACTTGGGTAGATGACTCACATTCCGGTAAAAAGTAACATAAAGTATTAAGTGTTTACAATAATGAAAGGAAGGTAAATCACTTCGAAATGATACCGATAGACTTATGGTAATACTAGTCTAGAATTTAAGATTTTTTCTCCTTAGGCTAAAAGATATTTTTATAGAAAATAAATATATTCTGTCAACATAAATTACAAATGTTCATTTCTCAAATTGAAAAAGGTTTATTTGTTTCTATACCTAAATAGAAAATTTTATCATAATGAGCATCAAAAGAATCCCAAATGAGAAAACTGCTTTTTGCATAAGTGTAAATTAAGAGATGGAAGTCACATTTCACCATGGCAAACATTTGCTGCATGCAAAATGACTGAAGTAAGTTTAGAATAATTCTTTTTAAATTTTAAAATATCAATGTCCCATACTTTTTTCTTTCTTTCTTCAAGAGACAGTGTCTCGTTATGTTGCCCAGGCTGGAGTGCTGTGGCTATTCATAGGTGTCATCAAAGAGCAATGAAGCCCCAAACTCCTATGGCCTTAAGTGATCCTCTTGTCTCAGCCTCTAGAGTAGCTTCGACTACAGGAGTGTACCACTATGCCTGGCTCACACTTTCTTTTGAACTTAAATCAATTTATTTCTGTTTTAAGTCTCACATACTCTCTCATTTGATTTTTTTCTTTTTTCTTTTTGCATATCCCCTGTTCTCAATGTTATGTACAATTTCAATTATGGCCTTCGAAACTTTTAATGAGAGAATTCTTTAAAGTTTTAATCGATTCCTCTTTGATCAATTTTATAGTAAAAGAACACGGTGTCTTATTGTGGAAAAAAATAGGTCTTTTAAAGAAGAATGCTATTGAAACATAAAGGGAAGCCTTTTACAGAATATTTAATCTTATACATGTTTCTTGTGCAACCTGTTTCAAAAATCAGAAATCCTTAAACATAAAGAGTGTAAGGTGACTCCTTGATCTATTATACCTGAGAGTGAAAAAACCCAACCTGCGGAGGTTGCAGTGAGCCGAGATCGCGCCACTGCACTCCAGCCTGGATGACAGAGCAAGACTCCGTCTCAAAAACACAAAAACAAAAACAAAAACAAAAACCCAACCCAGCAGCTTAAGCAGTGAAAGTATTCAAAGAATCAGAATCAGATGTCATTAAATTTTAAAAACCGATGCATTACATAATGAAATTCACTATATTTCATTCTTTTTATTTATTTACTTATTTATTTGAGAACAGGCCTCTCTCTGTCACTCAGGATGGAGTAAAATGGTACAATCATAGCTCAATGCAGCCTCAATCTCCCGGGCCCAAGTGATCCACCCACCTCAGCCTCCCTAGTAACCAGGACTACAGGTGCCCACCACCACACTTGGCTAATTTTTGGAAACAGGGTGTCACTATGTTGCCTAGGCTGGTCTTGAAATCCTGGTCTCAAGTGATCCTCTCATCTCAGCCTCCCAAAGTGTTGGGATTATAGGTGTGAACCACAGATCCTGGCCAAGATTCACTATATTTTGAATTGGTTGTATATGTAGGCTATATTCTTTCCTTTTTGTTTTTTTTTTAGACAAGGTCTTGATCTGTCACCAGGCTGAAGTGCAGTGGTACAATCAAAGCTCACTGCAGTCTCAACCTCCTAGGCTCAAACAATCCTCCCACTTCAGCCTCCCAACCAGCTGGGACCACAGGTTGACATCACCACACCCAGGTAATTTTTAAATTTTTTATGGAGACAGGGTTTCCCTATGTTGCCAAAGCTGATACACTATATTTCAAATCAGTCTACAAGGTCATTATGGCAACAGTCCTAAAAAAAGGCTTGTCTTCACCATTTTTTAAAAGTATTATACTTTAAGTATTGGGATACATGTGCAGAACGTGCAGGTTTGTTACATAGGTATACACGTGCCATGGTGGTTTGCTGCACCCATCAACCCATCATCTATGTTAAGTATTTCTCTTAATGCTATCCCTCCTCTAACCCCCAACCCCGACAGGCCCCGATGTGTGATGTTCCCCTCCCTGTGTCCATGTGTTCTCATTGTTCAGTTCCCACTTATGAGTGAGAACATGCGGTGTTTGGTTTTCTGTTCCTGTGTTAGTTTGCTGAAAGTGATGGTTTCCAGCTTCATCCATGTCCCTGCAAAGGACATGAACTCATCCTTGTTCATGGCTGCATAGTATTCGATGGTATATATGTGCCACATTTTCTTTATCCTGTCTATCATTGATGCGCATTTGGGTGGGTTCCAAGTCTTTGCTATTGTAAATACTGCTGCAATAAGCATATGTGTGCATGTGTCTTTATATTAGAATTATTTATAATCCTTTGGGTATATACCCAGTAATGGGCTTGCTGGGTCAAATGGTATTTCTGGTTCTAGATCCTTGAGGAATCGCCACACTGTCTTCCACAATGGTTGAACTAATTTACACTCCCACCAACAGTGTAAAAGCATTCCTATTCTCCACATCCTCTCCAGCATCTGTTGTTTCCTGACGTTTTAATAATCGCCATTCTAACGGCCATGAGATGGTATCTCATTGTGGTTTTGATTTGCATTTCATTAATGACCGCTGATGATGAGCTTTTGTTCATATGCTTGTTGGCCACATAAATGTCTTCTTTTGAGAAGTGTCAGTTCATATCCTTCACCCACTTTTTGATGGAGTTGTTTGCTTTTTTCCTGTAAATTTGTTTAAGTTCCTTGTAGATTCTGGACTTTAGCCCTTTGTCAGATGGATAGATCGCAAAAATTTTCTCCCATTCTGTAGGTTGCCTGTTCACTCTGATGATAGTTTCTTTTGCTGTGCAGAAGCTCTTTAGTTTAATTAGATCCCATTTGTCAATTTTGGCTTTTGTTACCATTGCTTTTGGTGTTTTGGTCAGGAAGTCTTTGCCCATGCCTATGTCCTGAATGGTATTGCCTAGGTTTTCTTCTAGGGTTTTCATGGCTTTAGGTCTTACATTTAACTCTTTAATCCATCTTGAGTTAATTTTTGTATAAGGTGTAAGAAAGGGGTCCAGTTTCAGTTTTCTGCACATGGCTAGCCAGTTTTCCCAACACCATTTATTAAACGGAATCCTTTGTCTCATCTTTGTCAAAGATGAGATGGTTGTAGATGTGTGGCATTATTTCTGAGGCCTCTCTTCTGTTCCATTGGTCAATATATCTGTTTTGGTACCAATACCATGCTGTTTTGGTTATTGTAGCCTTGTAGTATAGTTTGAAGTCAGGTAGCATGATGCCTCCAGCTTTCTTCTTTTTGCTTAGGATTGTCTTGGCTATATGGGCTTTTTTGGTTCCATATGAAATTTAAAGTAGTTTTTTCTAATTTTATAAAGGAAGTCAATGGTAGCTCGATAGGGATAGCATTGAATCTATAAATTACTTTGAGTGGTATGGCCATTTTCACAAGATTGATTCTTCCTATCCATGAACATGGAATGTTCTTCCATTTGTTTGTGTCCTCTTTATTTCCTTGAGCAGTGAAGTTTGTAGTTCTTGAAGATGTCCTTCACATCCCTTGTGTGTTGTATGCCTAGGTATTTTATTCTCTTTGTAGCATTTGTGAATGGGAGTTCACTCATGATTTGGCTCTCTGTTTGTCTATTATTGTTGTATAGGAATACTTGTGATTTCTGCACATTAATTTTGTATCCTGAGACTTTGCTGAAGTTGCTTATCAGCTTAAGGAGATTTTGGGCTGAGATAATGGGGTTTTCTAAATAGACAATCATTGTCTCTGCAAACAGAGACAATTTAATTTCCTCTCTTCCTACTTGAATACGCTTTATTTCTTCCTCTTTTCTAACTGCCCTGAACAGAACTTCCAATACTATGTTGAATAGGAGTGGTGAGAGAGGGCATCCTTGTCTTGTGCCAGTTTTCAAAGGGAATGCTTCCAGCTTTTGCTGATTCAGTATGATATTGGCTGTGGGTCTGCCATAAATAGCTCTTATTATTTTGAGATACATTCCATCAATATGAAGTTTATTGAGAGTTTTTAGCATGAAGCAGTGTTGAATTTCATCAATGGCCTTTTCTGCATCTATTGACATAATCATGTGGTTTTTATCTTTGGTTCTGTTTATGTGATGGATTACGTTTATTGATTTGCATATGTTGAACCAGCCTTGCATCCCAGGGATGAAGCCGACTTGTTTGTGGTGGATAAGCTTTTTGATGTGCTATGGATTCAGTTTGCCAGTATTTTATTGAGGGTTTTCACGTCGATATTCATCAAGGATATTGGCCGAAATTTTCTTTTTTTGTTGTGTCTCTGGCAGGTTATGGTATCAGGATGATTCTTGGCTTATAAAATGAGTTAAGGAGGACTCTCTTTTCTTCTATTGCTTGGAATAGTTTCAGAAGGAATAGTACCAGCTCCTCCTTGTACCTCTGGCAGAATTCAGCTGTGAATCCATCTGCTCCTGGGATTTTTTTGGTTGGTACGCTATTAATTACTGCCTCAATTTCAGAACTTGTTATTGGTCTATTCAGGGATTCGACTTCTTCCTGGTTTACTCTTGGGAGGGTGTATGTGTCCAGGAATTTATCCATTTCTTCTAGATTTTCTAGATTATTTGCATAGAGATGTTTACAGTATTCTCTGATGGTAGTTTGTATTTCTGTGGGATCAGTGGTGATATCCCCTTTAGCATTTTTTTATTGTGTCTATTTGATTCTTCTCTCTTTTCTTCTTTATTAGCCTGGCTAGTGGTCTATCTATTTTGTTAATCTTTTCAAAAAACCAGCTCCTGGATTCATTGATTTTTTGAAGGGTTTTTCGTGTTTCTCTCTCCTTCAGTTCTTCTCTGACCTTGGTTATTTCTTATCTTCTGCTAGCTTTTGAATTAGTTTGCTCTTGCTTCTCTAGTTCTTTTAATTGTGATGTTAGGGTGTCAATTTTACATCTTTTCTGCTTTCTCCTGTGGGCATTTAGTGCTATAAACTTCCCTCTAAACATTGCTTTAGCTGTGTCCCAGAGATTTGGGTATGTTGTGTCTTGGTTCTCATTGGTTTCAAAGAACTTCTTTGTTTCTGCCTTAATTTCATTATTTTCCCAGTATTCATTCAGGAACAGGTTGTTCAGTTTCCATGCAGTTGTGCAGGTTTGAGTGAGTTTCTTAATCCTGAGTTCTAATTTGATTGCACTGAGGTCTCAGAGACTGTGTTATGATTTCCATTGTTTTGCATTTGTTGAGGAGTGTTTTACTCCCAATCATGTGGTTAGTTTTAGAATAAGTGTGATGTGGTGCTAAGAAGAATGTCTATTCTGTTGATTTGGGGTGGAGAGTTCTGTAGATGTCTATTAGGTCTGCTTGGTGCAGAGCTGAGTTCAAGTCCTGAATATCCTTGTTAATTTTCTGTCTCATTGATCTGTCAAATATTGACAGTGGGGTGTTAAAGTCTCCCACTATTATTGTGTGGGAGTCTAAGTCTCTTTGTAGGTCTCCAAGGACTTGCTTTATGAATCTGGGTGCTCCTGTATTGGGTGCATACATACTTAGGATAGTTAGCTCTTCTTGTTGCATTGATCCCTTTACCATTATGTAATGCCCTTCTTGTCTTTTTTGATCTTCGTTGGTTTAAAGTCTGTTTTATCAGAGACTAGGATTGCAACCCCTGCTTTTTTTTTTTTTTGCTTTCCATTTGCTTGGTAAATCTTCCTCCATTCCCTTATTTAGAGCACGTGTCTTTGCATGTGAGATGAGTCTCCTGAATACAGCACACTGATGGGTCTTGACTCTTTATCCAACTTGCCAGTCTGTGTCTTTTAATTGTGGCACTTAGCCCGTTTACTTTTAAGGTTAATATTGTTATATGTGAATCTGATCCTGTCATTATGATGCTAGCCAGTTAGTTTGCCCATTAGTTGATGCCCATTAGTTTCTTCATAGTGTCAATGGTCTTTACAATTTGGTATGTTTTTGCAGTGGCTGGGACCAATTTTTCCTTTCCATATTTAGTGCTTCCTTCAGGAGCTCTTGTAATGCAGGCCTGGTGGTGACAAAATCTCTCAACATTTGCTTATCTGTGAAGGATTTTATTTCTCATTCACTTATGAAGCTTAGTTTGGCTGGATACAAAATTCTGGGTTGAAAATTCCTTTCTTTAAGAATGTTGAATATTGGCCCCCACTCTTTTCTGGCCTGTAGGGTTTCTGCAGAGAGATCCACTATTAGTCTGATGGGCTTCCCTTTGTAGGTAACCCGACCTTTCTCTCTGGCTGCTTTTAACATTTTTTCCTTCATTTCAACCTTGGTGAATCTGACGATTATGTGTCTTGGGGTTGCTCTTCTTGAGGAGTATCTTTGTGGTGTTCTCTGTATTTCCTGAATTGGAATGTTGGCCTGTCGTGCTAGGTTGGGGAAATTCTCCTGGATAATATCCTGAAGAGTGTTTTCCAACTTGGTTCAATTCTCCCTGTCACTTTCAGGTACAGGGACAATCAAACATAGGTTTGGTCTTTTCACATAGTCCCCTATTTCTTGGAGGCTTTGTTCGTTTCTTTTCATTCTTTTTCCTCTAATCTTGTCTTCACACTTTATTTCATAAAGGTGATCTTCAATCTCTGATATCCTTTCTTCTGCTTTGGCTGTTGATACTTGTGTATGCTTCACGAAGTTCTTGTGCTGTGTTTTTCAGCTCCATCAGGTCATTTATGTTCTTCTCTAAACTGCTTATTTTAGGTAGCAATTCCTCTAACCTTTTTTCAAGGTTTTTAGCTTCCTTGCATTGGGTTAGAACATGGTCCTTTGGCTTGGAGGAGTTTATTATTCTCTGTCCAGTTTTGTTCCCTTGCTGGCGAGGAGTTGTGATTCTTTGGAAGAGAAAAGGCATTCTGGTTTTTGGAATTGTCAGCCTTTTTGCGCTGGTTTTTCCTCATCTTCATGGATTTATCTACCTTTGGTCTTCGATGTTGGTGACCTTCAAATGGGGTTTCTGTGTGGAAGTCCTTTTTGTTGATATTGATGCTATTCATTTCTGTTTGTTAGTTCTCCTTCTAACAGTCAGGCCCCTCTGCTGCAGGTCTGCTGGAATTTGCTGGAGGTCCACTCCAGACCCTGTTTGTCTGGATATCACCAGCAGAGGTTGCAGAACAACAAAGATTGCTGCCTGTTCCTTCCTCTGGAAGCTTTGTCCCAGAGGGGCACCCACCAGACGGCAGCTGGAGCTCTCCTGTGTGAGTTGTCTGTCGATTCCTGCTGGGAGGTGTTTCCCAGTCAGGAGACATGGGGGTCAGAGACCCACTTGAGGAGGCAGTCTGTCCCTTAGCAGAGCTCGAGCAATGTCCTGGGAGATCTGCTGCTCTCTTCAGAGCCAGCAGGCAGGAACGTTTAAGTCTGCTGAAGCTGCACCAATAGCCACCCATAGCACCCTTCCCCCAGGTGCTCTGTCCCAGGGAGATGGCAGTTTTATCTATAAGCCCCTGACTGGGGCTGCTGCCTTTTTTTCAGAGATGCCCTGCCCAGAGAGGAGGACTCTAGAGAAGCAGTTGGGCTACAGTGGGCTCCACCCAGTTCAAACTTCCCGGTGGCTTTGCTTACACTGTGAGGTGAAAACCACCTACTCAAGCCTCAGTAATGGCAGAAGCCCCTCCTCCCACCAAGCTCCAGCATCCCAGGTCGACTTCAGACTCCTGTGCTGGCAGTAAGAGTTTCAAGCCAGTGGATCTTAGCTTGCTGGGCTCTGTGGGGGTGGGATCCACTGAGCTAGACCACTTGGCTCCCTGGCTTCAGCCCCTGTTCCAGGGGAGTTAACAGTTCTGTCTCACTGGTGTTTCAGGTGCCACTGGAGTACGAAAAAGAAAAAATCCTGCAGCTAGCTCGGTGTCTGCCCAAACGGCTGCCCAGTTTTGTGCTTGAAACCCAGGGCCTGGGTGGTGTAGGCACCCGAGGGAATTGCCTGGTCTAAGGGTTGTGAAGATCACGGAAAAGGCATAGAGTCTGGGCCGGAATGCATCGTTCCTCGTGGCACATTCCCTCATGGCTTCCCTTAGCTAGGGGAGGAAGTTCCCTGGCCCCTTGCACTTCCCGTGTAAGGCGATGCCCCACCCTGCTTTGGCTCGCCTTCCATGGGCTGCACCCCCTGTCTGACCAGTCTCAATGAGATGAGCTGGGTACCTCAGTTGGAAATAGAGAAATCACCCACCTTCTGCGTTGATTTCGCTGGGAGCTGCAGACTCCAGCTGTTCCTGTGTTCACCATTTTAACATCTATCTGGCTCTGTTTAATTTTCGCTCCCCCCAAAAAATCCATATAAGAAATAAGTTGATTCTCAGAGTTAAGTTCCAGAAGTGTAGAGATCTCACATTAAAATAACAGTTTGCCTGAGTTTATCAAATACAAAAGTATCTATTAAATATAATTGATTATATGGATTCATTACCTCCCTTTGCAAGTAGTTACTCTGTATTTTTCCAATTCTAACCTAAGAATTTTTCAAAGTTTCTAAATTCCCCTTTGGTTCCTTAATTAGAGGCCAAATTTAATATCTGGAAAAAATGCAGTATTCAATTATCTTCTTCCTGTTCAAACAGTCCCTCTGCTATGGCTCTTCCTCAGTAGAAACAACTGGCAACAAAATTCAAGTTTATGATTCATTCATCAGCAAACATGTGAGAATCATCTACAAAGAACCAAGAATTGTGGTAAGAATTATACAAACATTTACTATGATACTGATAATAATGAAAAGCCTAATTCAACAAATAGTGATCTATCCATTTTTAAGCCCCAGTAACTCAAACATTAAAAAACTATAAATGAACAGGCCGGGCACGGTGGCTCACACATGGAATCCCAGCACTTGGGGAGGCTGAAGTGGGTGGATGACTTGAGGTCAGGAGTTCAAGACCAGCCTGGCCACATGGTAAAACCCTATCTCTACTAAAAATACAAAAATTAGCTGGGTGTGGTGGCGGGTGCCCATAATCCCAGCTACTCGGGAGGCTGAGGTGGGAAAATTGCTGGAACCTGGGAGGCAGAGGTTGCAGTAAGACAAGATCGCACCACTGCACTCCAGCCTGGGCGGCAGAGTGAGAAAAAAAAAAGAAAGAAAGAAAAAGAAAAAGAAAAGAAAAGAAAAAACTATAGATGAATGACTTAAGTGAATAACAAGTCAAGTGAGTAATGACAATATGTAGAAAAATATTCCAAGTAGAATTAATAAATTTTAATTATTTGAATGAGAAAATGCCGCCATATTCAAAATGAAAGTAAAAGTAGGATGAGATCAGCATATACAACTGCATATATTTCATTAATTAAAGATGACTAAAGAGGAGACTATCAATTTGAAAGAAGATTACTAAGATTTTGTTTTTTTAAAACATACTGAACCAAATAAAAAAAAAATAACAGTAAGACATAACTACTAACAGAAAATTTTTTCCAATGAGAATACAAGCTTATTAACCACTCCTTTTTTCATTAATGCTCACTCAGCTTCTACCAGCCTTCTAATAAGAACACACACATACATCTTTTCTATACCAAATGTGATATAAAAGATATTCAACCCTTCAAAATTTTAAGTATTGGTTATAAGTAATACTCATCTTTTTTTGTCATTTGATAATAGATGAATTTTCTAGTCCAGACAGTAGAAATAGATTATAGTTCATCAACAAATGACAAAAATTGCTGAGTGTGAAAGAATGGTGCAAAACAACACAAAACATTTTACTGTAATAAGTTATTTTTAAGCTAGCTAAGTAATTTATGAGAAAAAAATAAATTGTTCTTAAATTACTTAATACCCAAGAGGAAGAGTTTCAGCTTAAACTAGACCAAATTAAAAAAATAATAACAGTAAGGCATAACTAGATCTAGCCTTTTCTGAAGAAAATGATATTTAAAACAAGAAAAACATGTGCCATAGAGGTTGTGATATCCTCAATCTTTGAGGAAATAACACCTACATTTAAGTACCCTCACCTTACACACACTTTCTTCTTCTGATTTTGGAGTCTTTAAAATATAAGTATACTTTTTTTTTTTTTTTTTGAGATAGTCTCGCTGTCGCCCAGGCTGGAGTGCAGTGGCTTGATCTTGGTTCACTGCAACATCTGCCTCCCAGGTTCAAGCGATTCTCCTGCCTCAGTCTCCTGGGTAGCTGGGACTACAGGCACGCACTATTGCCCTAGGCTAGTTTTGTATTTTTGGTAGAGATGGGGTTTCGCCATTTTGGCCAGGCTGCTCTCAAACTCCTGATCTCAGGTGATCCACCTGCCTCGGCCTTCCAAAGTGCTGGGATTATAGGCGTGAGCCACTGCACCTGGCCCAAAATATGAGTATACTTTAAATATAAACATATAAACCATTCATAGAAACTTTTAGATGGAGACAAAATCTGAAATATATTTCAATATATAGTTAATGTCATATTAAGGGGTTAAGGGAAGAGCTGGGAGGAAGAAGGAAGATAAGACTATGAACCTAAAATTTTGCCAAGTAGTAGGATTTTTATTCTCTAAACCTTATTTCAATCAATTTAAGGTTAAAAAAATTTTGCTTAAAAAGATGCAATTTCATTTTGTGCTTAGAAAGTAAAATTAACACCACACCAAAGATAAACATTCTTGAGTTTGTTCTTTTGGAGAAATGAGTAATTTAAAAATTTAAACAGCTCTAAAATATTAATACAACTGCATAGGAAAGAGGAAAGAATGTTAGAAAATTGCTTATCAAAAACTAATGAGACCCAGGATAAGAGCTACTCATAATGATAACAATTAAATATTGAGTATTTTTCAGAAACCAAGAGTCAAATGCTTGTTATACCTTAAAGGTTAAAGGCCCCTGTTTCATAGTCATTAAACAGTTCTTTGAAATGCTATGTTAAGATATCACTAACAATTTCAATTTATAAATACACACCCATACACATTTTCTTTTCTAAATTGTCATATCCCAAACACGAAAACAATCGAATAAGAGAACAGGCTGAATAGTGATTTTTTTCTTTCAATTATTACTACTGAAACAAATCAAAACAACTCTGAGAGGTTGCCAGCACCGCAGAAGGCATTTCCACATAAAAAGAGTTAATGAGCAGACCACGCAGTTCAACAGCCAGTGACCATTTGCAAGCCTCCTAGGTATATTCCCAGCAGACACATTATCAGATTAAAGGAAGTGCAAACAAACTGGGCTGAAAGTTTCTTTGTCCAAACCCAGCCTCTTCTTCCTGTGATGTCATATTACAAATCTAGGAAGCCTTTCTTTTTCACTTCAGAGAAAGCGACCTCAAGATACAACTGGCAACTGAGGAAAAGGCCTCAATTCAACAAGAGCTAACAAGCTTGGGAGTTTATTTCGGAATCTTTAAAAGACTCTTCTGCTTACCCACAATCTGGGATCCACTGCAGGAAAACAAAAAAGGAAAACTTCATTTAAAAGAAGCAAGAAGTAAAATGGGACAAATTGGGAATGTTTAAGTCTCTGAAACTCTGCACTGAAAAGAAAATAAGATTGATAACTTAAGCTTAACATTCTGAGGCATAAAGAAACATTAACTTTGGAGTATTCATCTTGACTACTGAAATACAAGTTTAGAAGACAAGTGGTTTCATTCTGGTCACAGATCACAGCTTTTCTTTAAATTTATAATCCTATGGGTTGGACTCGTTGACTGTATTTTTTAAAGGTTGCTCGTCAGTTAACTGAGCCTTGGAATTCATGGATTTTCTAAAGACTAACAAATGAAAATATTTTCCTGTTGAAGAACCCAGCGGAAATTTTACAGCAACAAATTTCATGTTTCTTTTGGGTATTTCTGAGAAAAAGGAAATATTTATAAAACCATCCAAAGATCCAGATAATTTGCAAATAAATTGGAGGTTATAGAGGTTATAATCTGAATCCCAAAGGAGACTGCAGCTGATGAAAGTGCTTCCAAACTGAAAATTGGACGTGCCTTTACGATGGTAAGCGTTAACAGCTCCCACTGCTTCTATAATGACTCCTTTAAGTACACTTTGTATGGGTGCATGTTCAGCATGGTGTTTGTGCTTGGGTTAATATCCAATTGTGTTGCCATATACATTTTCATCTGCGTCCTCAAAGTCCGAAATGAAACTACAACTTACATGATTAACTTGGCAATGTCAGACTTGCTTTTTGTTTTTACTTTACCCTTCAGGATTTTTTACTTCACAACACGGAATTGGCCATTTGGAGATTTACTTTGTAAGATTTCTGTGATGCTGTTTTATACCAACATGTACGGAAGCATTCTGTTCTTAACCTGTATTAGTGTAGATCGATTTCTGGCAATTGTCTACCCATTTAAGTCAAAGACTCTAAGAACCAAAAGAAATGCAAAGATTGTTTGCACTGGCGTGTGGTTAACTGTGATCGGAGGAAGTGCACCCGCCGTTTTTGTTCAGTCTACCCACTCTCAGGGTAACAATGCCTCAGAAGCCTGCTTTGAAAATTTTCCAGAAGCCACATGGAAAACATATCTCTCAAGGATTGTAATTTTCATCGAAATAGTGGGATTTTTTATTCCTCTAATTTTAAATGTAACTTGTTCTAGTATGGTGCTAAAAACTTTAACCAAACCTGTTACATTAAGTAGAAGCAAAATAAACAAAACTAAGGTTTTAAAAATGATTTTTGTACATTTGATCATATTCTGTTTCTGTTTTGTTCCTTACAATATCAATCTTATTTTATATTCTCTTGTGAGAACACAAACATTTGTTAATTGCTCAGTAGTGGCAGCAGTAAGGACAATGTACCCAATCACTCTCTGTATTGCTGTTTCCAACTGTTGTTTTGACCCTATAGTTTACTACTTTACATCGGACACAATTCAGAATTCAATAAAAATGAAAAACTGGTCTGTCAGGAGAAGTGACTTCAGATTCTCTGAAGTTCATGGTGCAGAGAATTTTATTCAGCATAACCTACAGACCTTAAAAAGTAAGATATTTGACAATGAATCTGCTGCCTGAAATAAAACCATTAGGACTCACTGGGACAGAACTTTCAAGTTCCTTCAACTGTGAAAAGTGTCTTTTTGGACAAACTATTTTTCCACCTCCAAAAGAAATTAACACATGGACATTTTAAAGTCTTTAGTATAAAGAAAATTTGTATTCAATGTGTTAAGCATTAACATGTATTTTATTTGTGTATCCACTCCATCTGATTTTTCTGAGCCATTTTGATTTGTTCCTTCATTAAAAAAAATCTCTTAAAGTTATTTAGTGTCTAAAAGTGACTGACTTAAATTATGTGGTGCCAATCTGTAATGTCTTTGAATTCCTTTTTATATTAAATGATTTAATTTACTAAATTATTTTATACTAATTTATGTTTATGTAATATTTTATTCAACATACCATTTTTATTTTGAATTAAAACTACTAATCATATTTCTTAAACTATGATTAACAAATGAGAAAGAAGAGTAATTTGAAATAAATGTTTTGGGAGTATTTTAAAATATATGTATAACTAAAAACGTAGTCTTCTGTAGAAATGATGACATATTAACATTGTTGGAAGATCTTGAGCAGTAACACATTGATAACATTTTGGGAGTTTGGTCTGTGTAGGCAATTTGTAGAAAGCAGATGCTATCTATATGGTATGCTTTGAAGTTACTATTTTGATTTTCTGTATATAATGCACCCAATTTCAAAATGATATATGCCACAAAAATTGAGAGGGAGAAAACTAATAAAATGTCATTTTGCTAAGTTTTTACTTAGCAAAAAAATAAAATACTACCAGAGGTACATTTTAAAGGTGCACTTACATCACAGTCAAGAACTTATGTTTTAAGTATGTTAGGTCGGAGAAACATCAGAGATAGTGAAATATAGTACTTGGCATTTAGAAAGTAATATACTGTCACGTGTTGCTTATGATGCTTGCTTAGGTAATTATGTCGTGCAAACATCACAGTGTGTACTTACACAACTCTAGAAGGTATACACTATTACACACCTAGGCTTATATGGTACACCCTACTGCTTCTAGGCTACAAACCTATACAGCATGCTACTGCAAAGAATACTGTAGGCAACTGTAAAATAATGGTACTTGTGTATCTAAATACATCTCAACACAGAAAAGGTACAGTAAAAATATAGTATGATAATCTTATGAGACCACCATCGTTTATGCGGTCATTGACCAAAATGCTATTACGTGATGCATGACTGTAAATATTTTCTTTTCCTTCACTCTTCTGGCCATTTTAAGCCAAATATTGGGAAGTTCAAAACATTATTTCAAGTAGGCAAGATGTTATTGTACGTCAAAATGATTAATTAAGGACACAGTTCCTTACATTATAAAGTAACAAAACTACAAGGCCAAATAACTAAACAAAACTATATTTTCATTTCACTAAACATAAAATAGGTCTGGCTCTGAGGTATACTTTAGAAAAAAAGTACCAAGTACACTAAAACTTTTTTATTATCCAACATATTCCTTTTTTAAAAAAATTCAGGCCGGGCACGGTGGTTCACACCTGTAATCCTAGCACTTTGGGTGGCTGAGGCGGGTGGATCATAAGGTCAAGAGATCAAGACCCTCCTGGCCAACATGGTGAAACCCCGTCTCTACTAAAAATACAAAAATTAGCTGGGTGTGGTGGCACATGCCTGTAGTCCCAGCTACTCGGGAGGCAGAGGCAGGAGAATCGCTTGAACCCAGGAGTCAGAGGTTGCAGTGAGCCAAGATCTCGCCACTGCACTCCAGCCGGGCGACAGAGCGAGACTCCATCTCAAAAAAAAAAAAAAAAAAAAAAAAAAAAATCAAGCAGTTCTCCAAAGTTAACTAAAAAAGAATGCCTTCTATTTAAGGAAAAGGACATGTAATTAAATTCAGCATCCAACCTATCTGATTTCTACTGTCTTAATCTTTCAAGTCCTCAATACAACTTGGACAAAAAACTCTTTTAAGACATAAATTTGATTTTTGCTGTTCTCTGGGTTTGAGGTGTAATGATTTCAGAAAAATCACAATCATTTGCTAGACAGGTAAACCCATTTTCAATAAAATAACAGTGGGGGGTTTTCTTTAGGGATCCATGGTTTCCTTTAGATAAACCTAAAGCAAAATACATCTTTAATGCCTTCAGCCCAGGAGTTCCAAGTTAGAGTGAGATATGATCACACCACTGTACTCCAGCATGGACAACAGAGCAAGATCCTATCTCAAAAAAAAAAAAAAAAGAGAAAAGAAAAAAAACCCAAAAAACTAGTGAAGATACTAACCATGGTCCTTTATATCCCAAGAGAAATATATACATAATATAAATGTGTTTTCTTCCATTGACCTGAAATTCCTTTATTTGATATTACACTTCAGTAAATAAAAATACACTCTTTCTTAAACATACTGAGTTGAGAAGCAACTACCAATCTACTGATCTGGGGGAAAGGGGTGGAGAATTGTATAACTTTGAGATTTCTCAGAACTCTCCTCAGCTTAAAGATCTCAACTTAAGGCAAGATCATAAAACATGAATATAACTTTAAAATGCAAATAAAACAGTCATTAAATAGTTGTTATTACTATGTTCATAAAGAAACTTTTTGGTGTCTCTTGTCAACAGGAAGATAAATGAATCAAAAGTTTTGTAAGATTCTTCATAAAGCAATACATAACAGATAACAAACATGGTTTTCTCATCTAGAACTATGGAAAAAAAGTGTACCAGAACAAAATTTATTTTCCTTTGCTAGTGTTGTACTTTGTGGTAAGTCATATATTCTGAGGGTTTTCTCTTCCCTTCCCCCTTTATTCAGAAAAACCTATATTAATATTAGAACTCTGATGATTTTACTTTTGATTACCTGAAAATGATAGCACTAAGCCCCCCTATAAAAACTGTGCCCACTGTTATTAACATTTTCATAAAACGGTAGATGATTTGACTAATCTTCCTTCCCACATTAACTCCCTTCAAAGGAACACAGTAAGCTGAGAAAATTTTTCAGGTGTGGAAAAATGGCTTTCCAGCATCCTAATAATTTCTGAACTTAGAAATCATCTTTACTGAGAAAATATCAAGTACCTAGTTTATTTTAAAAAGCATAAAAATATATGTATTATATATATTATATTCACAGAAAATTAAACTGAAGACACTACTTAAGGAGCTATCAATGAACCTTAATATTCTACATTCAAAATGCTGAAAAGTAAATTGGAAATAGAAATCTTAATTATAGATATTGGTATTTAAAGAAATTAGTCACTAAATTGAGAAATAT